>NC_000012.12:61210128-62460128 GCF_000001405.40 Homo sapiens | reverse complement strand
ATTCTTCCTCCTTCATAACTTTCAAATCCATCCCACTTTTCTCCACTATCACTAACTTGGTTCAGGCATTTACATAGATCACACACACCAAATAAACACCCTCTCCATTTACAATAGGGCACATTCTGAGTAAATGACTCTGTGACTTCACTTCATTCTCTTCATTTACGTAGAATATTCGCCAAGTACCAATGGGAAACCTCTAGAGTATTGAAACCCCAGAAAATTCTGTAAGCGGGGCTCTTGAGCCTATGCTCCAGCCCACTCCCACACTGTGGAGTGTACTTTCCTTCTCAATAAATCCCTGCTTTTGCTTTTCTGGTTTCGTTTGTGCATTTTGTCCAATTCTTTGTTCAAGATGCCAAGAACCTGGACAGCTTTTACTGGTAAAACAATGAGCCATGATCATATCACTACACTCTAGCCTGGGCAACAAAATGAAACCCTGTTTCAAAAAAAAAAAAAAAAAAAAAGGGAGGGAGGGGAAGATCTGATAAAGTTAGAGGCCTGTCTCTTTCCTTAATCTATTTTCTGAACATCTTTTTTTTTTTTGAGACGTTGTTTCACCCTTGATGCACAGGCTGGAGTGCAATGGCGTGATCTCAGCTCACCGCAACCTCCGCCTCCCAGGTTCAAGCAATTCTCCTGCTTCAGCCTCCCTAGTAGCTGGGATTACGGGCATGTGCCACCACGCCCGGCTAATTTTGTATTTTTAGTAGAGACAGGGTTTCTCCATATTGGTCAGGCTGGTCTTGAACTCCCAACCTCAGGTGCTCCGCCCACCTCAGCCTCCCAGAGTGCTGGGATTACAGGCATGAGCCACCGTGCCTGGCCTATTTTCTGAACATCTTGATTGGAACCTTCCTTTCAGATTGGTTATTTGTTTAGAAAGAAAGAACTTTAGGTTTGTCATAGCACTACTCAGTACATATCCCTATATGATAACACATATTCTATTTAATTGTAACATTGTCTGTCTCCCTGCTACACTACGAGTTCTTCAGTGGAAAGGCCCTTGTGTTACTCATAGCTATATTCCTGGCAACTGGTGTGTGTTTGTGTGTGTGTACACACACACAGACTAAAACAGTTGTTTCAGTTACACGGATTCTTGTTCTTGATCACAGAGGAGCGAAGGTACAGAGAAAGTTATCAAGGCAAGAATTTGAGCAAAGGAAAACACTAGTGGACTGGGATATACATGTTAGGCAACTTGTTCCCACAGAGGAGACTCAATAAATCTTGAAGTGAGTGCCATCATGTACCTGCCACGGTACATCTTATCCCAAATAGCTGCTTCCTTACCTCAAGAAATATTTGTTGAGTGAATGGAATGCTGCAACTAAGATAAGCTTTCTGCCTTTGGAGTTTAAGACCACAACTGTAAAAATACTAAGCCATTGTGAAAACAACTGTACATGGCATATGGTGTTTGCCAAAAGTAAATGTCTTAAATCTTTGAAATAAAGTTTGAATCACAACCAATAATTATTCTTAAGATCAGTGAATTCGCCTGGCATGGCGGCTCATGCCTGTAATCCCAGCACTTTGGGAGGCCGAGGCAGGTGGATCATGAGGTCAGGAGTTCACCACCAGCCTGGCCAACATGGCAAAACCCTGTCTCTACCAAAAAAATACAAAAATTAGCTGGGTGTGGTGGTGCACCCCTGTAATCCTAGCTACTCAGGAGGCTGAGGCAGGAGAATCACTTGAACCCAGAAGGCAGAGGTTGCAGTGAGCCGAGATAGCACCACTACACTCCAGCCTGGGCGACAGAGCAAGACTCTGTCTCAAAAAAAAAAAAAAAAAAATCAGTGAAGTCAATGTAAAATTCCTAGCATAGTGTTTGGAACACGACTGGTGCACAGAAATTATTAGCTCCTTATTGTCTTAATACAGAGCCAAGAGTAGACAGTGAATGTTTTCCTTCACTACATTTATGTACTGATTATTGTATCTTTTTATTGTAAGACATTTTTGAGGATCTGGTTTTATTTTTTAAAATTATTGGCAAGGCCAGACCTCAGTCAAAATGTGGAGTAGGTAGTTCCCAAGGCTCATTACCCTTCACAGAAACACCAAAAAATGAACAAAAACTGTCAGAATCCGCTTCTCCAGAATCTGGAAAATAGTCAAAGGTTTATAGCAACCAAGTGAACACTGAATTAAGAAAATGACTTAAGCCAGCAGGAGAGCTTTGTGGCATTTAACTTAGCTTTGCCTCACTCACATTCCCAGAATAATAGCAGGTCTTCTAGATGGCAATCTACATTCCTGCTGGGGATATCTGGTTCTGAATGAAATAGAGTGGACCTTCTTTCAAAGAATTGTGTTTGTTAGCTGCAATATGTCTGGGAGTTCCCTAAAGGACTGAAAAACAGGATTGCCTTTATTTCGCCTTACTCAGAACTCTTTCGGGGCAGAAAAATGGCTAAGTGAGGGCATTCTTCAAAAACATTTAAAGGCACATAAACAAGCTTAGGAATCCCTCTCTTGAACGTATATAATATACATATTTAGACTATGAACTGCCAGATTGCTTTACAGAATGGACAAATATGTCTGGTCTTTCACCAGCAGCACTAGGTCCCTGTATCTCCACATTTCCACCAACACTTGGGAAAATTAGATTTTCTACTGTGTGTCAATCTAATGGTATAAAATCTCACTGTTTTAATTTGTATTTTATTACTAATGATTTTGTGCATGTTTTCATGTATGTGTTAAGATTTGGGTTTCTTCTTCTGTGAATTGCCCATTATCATTTGTCCATATTTCTATTGTATTTTCTTGTTGTTAATTTGGAAGCATTTATCATATGTTCTAGGTATCAGTGCCTCTTTAGCATTAGACAGTATAAATGATTTCTCCTAATTTGCTATGTGTTTGTTAACTTTTTTCATAAAGTCCTTTGTTGAAAGGAAATCCTTAATTTTATAAAGTCAAACCTTATTCCAAGTCTTGGGACAGAAATTTTCATTGTTTTTTTGCATCATTCCTTCATCTTAAGGTTTGTGCTTTCTGGTAGTCTTCTCTAACTTTCAACTTTTCTCAAGTTGTTTAAGTTGAAAAGCCATGAGCCATGAGTTTGCATTATATAGATTTAATTTTACCAGCCTGTTCATGGATTTCAAAGAGAGAGGCACTTTACCAGTTTATATGATGTTTTTGAATAGCCTCTCTCAGTACCACACCAAACCCATTAACAAAGCTGGTACCTAATCAGACACCATGCAGTCAATCAGGAATAGGCCCAAATGAACCTTCCCAATGTTTTTTAAGCAGTGACTATAATCAGAGACTGATTTGTCTCTTTATTATCTGCACCCTTGAAACTTTGACCAGTCTATTTTAGATAGCAAGGCCATAGGGTAGGAATCTTTACTTTACTTAGCTTCATGATAGGTGATGGGTGTACTTTGATTTAATTATAAGTCTTCATTGACTCGGGCCCATTTAGCCTTAGATAAGGAGGCATCTCCAGGACCCACAACAAGTTTGAATGGTTGGTAAATCTCTGGAAGCCCTAGATAATATGCCCCTAAACCTAATTTGTGTAGAAAACGTCTCTGTTTTCTTATGGGTCAGGGAAGTCCTCTGTTATAGAGGACAGATAGAGACCAATGGTTTAAAATGACTTATTGAGGAGGGGCAATTGAGATCCTTCAACTTTCCTTCCTTGAGGCCTTGAGGTCTGAGTACCAAGAGAGTAGGGCCAACTTCTCAAGTAACTACAGGAAACTGGGGGCCAGAAAAGTAGTTATAGGTCTGGGGAGAAGTGGGTAGACAAGGAGGTCCAGGCCGTAGCAGAGAGAGAGACAGGAAGGGGTTGGAGAAGCAGATTGATAAGAAGAGGGAAAGGAGAAAGGAGTGAGTGTTTCTGAGGTTAGAGTAGATGAAGGAGTAATAATTGAGGAGGACAAATGATCCTTGAGAGATTGAATAGCTTTAGATAAAGAATATTGAGAATGTTCATGACTTGATTAAGGTTAGACTGAGGCTAAGTGTGGTGGCTCACACCTGTAATCCTAGCACTTTGGGAGGCTGAGGTGGAAGGAATGCTTGAGCCAGGAGTTTGAGACCCACCTGGGCAATATGGCAAGACCCTGTCTCTACAAAAAATACAAAAAGATTAGCCAGGCATGGTGGCACACACCTGTAGTCACAGCTACTTGGGAGGCTGAGCTGGGAGGATTGCTTGAATTCAGGAATTCAGGACTACAGTGAGCTGTGATGGCACCACTGCACTCCAGCTTGGATAACAGGGCGAGACCCTATCTGATATGGTTTGGCCATGTCTCCACCCAAATCTCATCTTGAATTGTACTCCCATAATTCCCACATGTTGTGGGAGGGACCTACTGGGAGATAATTGAATCATGGGAGTGGTTTCCCCCATACTGTTCTCGTGCTAGTGAATAAGTCTCACCAGATCTGATAGTTTTGTCAGGGGTTTCTGCTTTTGTCTTCCTCATTCTCTCTTTGCCTGCCGCCATCCATGTAAGACATGACTTGCTTCTCCTTGCCTTCCACCATGATTGTGACACCTCCTCAACCAAGAGGAACTGTAAGTCCATTAAACCTCTTTCTTTTGTAAATTGCCCAGTCTTGGGTATGTCTTTATCAGCAGTTTGAAAATTGATTAATACACCATCTTAACAAAAAATAAAAAAATAAAAAATGTTAGACTGAGAAAGACATTTGTCAGCTTCTCCATATCAAGAGAAATTAGAGACTTTGAATCCCCAGGATACAAGGGCTTCCCATAGATGAATCAACTTTGGGGAAAGAGGCCACTGTGGCTTCAAATTATTCTTTATAAAATTTTGCCAGCTGGGTGTCGTGGCTCATGCCTGTAATCCCAGCACTTTGGGAGCCCAAGGTGGGTGGATCGCCTGTGGTCGGGAGTTTGAGACCAGCCTGGCCAGCATGGTGAAACCCCATCTCTACTAAAAATACAAAAATTAGCTGGGTATGGTGGCAGGCACCTGTAATCCCAGCTACTCAGGAAGCTGAGGCAGGAGAATTGCTTGAACCCGGGAGGCAGAGGTTGCAGTGAGCCGAGATCACGCCATTGCACTCCAGCCTGGGCAACAGAGCGAGACTCCATCTCAAAAAAAAAAAAAAATTGTTGCCATTTTTTGGAGATATTGGACCGAATTAGTGCCATAGTACTGCTGGAGCATATAGTCTGGAAGGGAAAAAGTGGACAAGCACCTGATGGAGTGAGAATTATTATTATTTGAGACAGAGTCTCACTCTGTCACCCAGGCTGGAGTGCAGAGGCATGATCTTGGTTCACCGCAAGCTCCACCTCCTGGGTTCAAGCGATTCTCATCCTTCAGTCTTCCGAGTAGCTGGAACTACAGGCATGCACCACCACACCCTGCTAATTTTTTGGATTTTTTTGTAGAGATGGGATTTTGCCATGTTGGCCAGGCTGGTCTCCAACTCCTGACCTCAAGCAATCCGCCAGCCTTGGCCTCCCAAAGTGCTGGGATTACAGGCATGAGCCACCATGCCTGGCCCTTCCTGGCTCTTTTCTGTTGAATGGGAATCCTCCTGGATCTTTTGTGAGGTCTGTTTTGTTTACCTGAATACTAAACTAATCCCATTAATAATTCTCGCTCCAAATCGGGCGGGTGTGTGGATCACCTGAGGTCAGGAGTTTGAGAGCAGCCTGGCCAAAATGGTGAAATCCTGTCTCTACTAAAACTACAAAAATTAGCTGAACATGGTGCCGGGCACCTGTAATCCCAGCTATTGGGGAGGCTGAGGCAGGGAGAATGGCTTGAACCCAGGAGGCAGAGACTGCAGTGAGCCTAGATTGCGCCACTGCACTCCAGCCTGGGTGACAGAGTGAGAATGTGTCTCAAAAAAAAAAGGCAGGAAGAATTCCACTCAATAGAAAGTTTCAGGGATTAAATTCTCACTCAAAAAGGGTCAAGACTTCCATCCAAGAAAATTCCCATTCAAACAGAAAAGAACCAGTAAGAGTCTCTCTCAATAGAAAGAGTCATAGATTAAATTTCCACTCAAAAAGAGCCAAGATGCTGTTATGGAAAATAGTATGACAGTTCCTTAAAATATTAACAATATATAATATAAATATTTAACAATATTTATTTTGTTTAACAATTAAAATAATTTTTTAAAAAAACTTGCCAAGATGACCTTCATCCAGGAAGATTATTATTTTTTTTTTTTTTTGGAGACAGAGTTTCAATCTTGTTGCCCAGGCTGGAGTACAATGGTGTGATCTTGGCTCATTGCAACCTCTGCCCCTTGAGTTCAAGAGATTCTCCTGCCTCAGCCTCCCAAGTAGCTGGGATTACAGGCGCCCGCCACCATGCCCATCTAATTTTTTTGTATTTTTAGTAGAGATGGGGTTTCACCATGTTGGCCAGGCTGGTCTCAAACCCCAGACCTCAGGTGATCCACCCCCCTCGGCCTCCCAAAGTGCTGGGATTACAGGTGTGAGCCACCATGCCCAGCCATCCAGGAAGATTCTTGCTGAAATAGAAAAAAAAAAAAAAAAAAAAGAAAGAGGAAGATTCCCCATTCAATAGAATCAAAGTAATTCCTTACTATGTTAGACAACTTTCTAAGTCACCAGATTAGGAGTTACTGTGCTTTATGGGCTCAATCGTGTTTCCAAAATTTATGTGTTGATTTCCTAACCCCTAGTGCCTCTAAATGTGAGAGTAGTTGGAGATACAGCCTTTAAAGAAGTAATTAAAGGAAAATGAGGTCATCTGGGTGGGCCCTAATCTGATATGACCGATGTCTTTATAAGAAGAGATTAGGAAAATGACACAGATTAGGAAACTGACAGAGATGACATGTGAGGACACAGCAAGAAGGCAGCTATCTGCCTTCTTGAATTTCATTCCTACAGGTTGTGTATGCTCCATTTGACAGGATAGAGCCCTCAGAAGAAACCAACCATGGTGATACCTAGATCTTGGACTTCCCAGCCTCCAGAATTGTGAGAAAATAAATTTCCATTGTTTAAGCCATCTAGTCTGTGGTATTTTGCTATGGCAGCCATAACAAACCAATGTACCATGGATCTTGATTTCCCCAGCCAAGAAGGAGGGCACAAAAGATCTGAGAAGACAGCATGAATATGAATACCCGGGTAAAGACAGTAGGTTCTGAGGAACAAACAGCACTTGAGCAAGTCATGACACTATAAAACTATCAAATAAACAAATCTTGACAACTAAGGAGAGTTTTTTTTCATAGTGACTACAGCAATATGAAAATTATGTTCAGAGAATGCTCTGAACATAAGATCTAGAAGCATCTCAAAATCAAATAGGAAAAGGCTTTTCTTTTATAGGGAAAGGTAAGCAGGGATGGCAGGAACCTCACTGAGGGTGGCTAGAGTGGGCTGGCAGGAACTTCACTGAGGGTGGCTACAGTGGGCTGTCTCAGTGCTCAGTTGCCTGAAGCAGCACTGTGCTTTAGACGATGGAGAATATCTCTTTAGAGCCCCATGGCTGAGCTCAAGCTCAACTACATAAAGCTTCATTTTCTTCTTTGTTTTCTCTTGTGAGTGGTGGGGTTCCACCTTATGGTACTGAATATACTACCAACAGAGGAATCAAATTCTACCCATATTAATGAAACATCAGGACATCATTAAGGTAAGTGATCCTTAGGACCAGCTCATAGTAGAGATTCACTCTTTTGTCTCCTGTCCACTTCCCACTTTTCTAACTCAATTGTGCTGGCCCAGAGGGACATCTTAGAACAGAACTCTCGGGAAAGGAAAGATTATTATCTAAGATAACAGATTAGATGGGAAAGATACTAGAGTAGAGGTTACTATTTCAATCCAGACTTGCAGACTATCCATCTGGGTGTGGCAGAGGACTTTTAGAATAAAATCTCAAACACAATAATTTAGTACTTTAGTTAGGCTATGGATTATAATATTTAGGGATTCAGGACCCCCACAGGAAAAGAGATTTCCTTAACATTTGTTCACCAGTCCCCTTCCCATATCAGGTATCTCTAGGCCAAACCATTTATTTGTGTAAGGGCTGATATGCAGAGCAATGTTGTAGTCTAAATTTTGTCCTCAGGGAACATCATCCTATCAAATGGAGCATACATAACCTGTAGGAATGAAATTCAGTGCCTTTTCAACAGAGGAAAAATCAACTGAGGCTCCCCTCTGGAAAAACATGTTTCATGTTATTCAACATGATAACATGTGCTTTAAACAAAAATGAAAAAGTACTTTATCCACTTTAAAAATTAATACCATACTAAGTACAAACAATATATTATTCATGGATGAAGTTCTTAAGGATGCCTTGAAAAGGGAGATTGACAATTGTGTCCCATGCTCTCCTCCTTGTTTAGTTTCCCAGCATCAATGCAGAAAAAAAGATGTAGGAAAAGGGTGCATTGATAGGTAAGGCCTGCTCTCCTAACATTCTGCTCCAATGATGAACCATAATCTTACCAATACCTGAAAGCCCATGCCACCTGCACAGTCTTTGAGCATGTCAGGTGTTAGATTAAGTATTCCATCAGAGAGCAGATCCCAGAGGGGAAGATCACAGGAAAGTCATCCAAGCCTGGGTCATTTCTCACATTCCTGCTCTGCCCATTTCTCTTTTTTCCTGTTCATTCTTCTGAGCATGGTGCGCAACTTCAGGGTCTCAGAGCAGTCTAGGATGTGTAACAGAGGGGACCACATAGTGAAAGAATGCTTAAGAAAGCCATGGGGCGAGGTTGAAATGTCCACTGTAAAGTCGGGGTTGTGAAGAAATGTATTGAGATAATATGCATCAGATGCCTCTACCCCTGCAAGACCTCCCAGGCCTTCCTACTCCCATTCTACTTCATGACCTTGTTGTGTGTCTTAATATCTGCTAAGGCAACTCCTCCCCATGTGGTTCTTCTTTTACAGCTGAAAAAGATAAATAAGGATCTCTGTTCTTCTGTATAACTTTTGACTGTTGAATTTCTATTTAAAAAAGCTACAGCTGAAATTTTGATTGGGATTGCATGAAACTTATGGATTAACTTGGGGAGAATATCTATCTATCTAGATATATAGACATATAGATATTATCCCATTTAAGAGAATAAAATATCTTTCCATTTATTCAAATACTTCCCTATGACTTTTTTTTGGAGACAGGGTCTTGCTCTGTTGACTTTTTCTTTTGGAGACAGGGTCTTGCTCTTTTGCCCAGGCTGGAGTGCAGTGGTGCAATCACCACACACTATAGCTTCAGCTTCCTGGGCTCAAGCCATTCTCCTATCTCAGCCTCCAAAGTAGCTAGGACCACAGACATGCCATGACAACCGCCTAATTTGTTGTTGTTGCTGTTATTATTGTTGATGTTGTTGTCGAGATGAGGTCTCACTACATTGCCCAGGCTGGTTATGACTTTGAATAGATTTAAAATATTTTTTCATCGATAATTTCATAGATAATTTTTTCATAATTTCTGTTTTAAGTTACATTCTTAGATACTTTTGCTTGTTCTATTATATTTTCCATTGATTATTGCTCATATGGATGATTTGTATGAATTCATCTGGTATCTGGCAATCTTTCTGGATACTCGTATTCATCAAATAGCTTGCTTACTGATTCTGAGTTTCCTACATAGATTACATCATCTAGAAATAATGAGAGCTTTATCTTTTTTTTCAATTCTTACATCTCCTTTCTTCTTCTTTTCTTATACAACTTACCAGCTCCTTCAAAACCACTGAAAACTGTATGGCTGTATATGAGCAACCTGTGTTTTCCTGAGCTTAAAGTGAATGCATCTCAATTTTTTTCCATTAAGTATTATGTTTGCTCTGTTTTTGGTATTACACCTTTGTCAAGATGAGGGAGTTTCCTTCTAGTCTGTTTCTTTGTTAAAAGTGCTTTTTTTAAAAAAAAATTAGCATATGCGTATATGTGGGAATTATTTTATTTCATTTTATTTTGAGACAAGGTTTTGCTGTGTTGCCCCAGCTGGAGTGCAATGGCGTGATCTTGGCTCACTGCAACCTCCTCCTCCCAGGCTCAAGCAATTCTCCTGCCTCAGTCTCCTGAGTAGCTGGGACTATAGGTGTACACCACTGTGCCCAGCTAATTTTTGTATTTTTTGTAGTGATGGGGTTTCGCCATGTTGCCCAGGCTGGTCTCGAACTCCTGAGCTCAGGCAATCCGCTTGCCTTGGCCTCCCCAAGTGCTGGGGTTACAGGCATGAGCCATGGGGCCAAGCCCGTGGTAATTATTTTAAGAATCTAGTGAGTTTATCATGTAATTTTTTCTTTTAGAATATTAGGGAGAAGTTATATTGCTAGACTTTTCTGGTATGGACTATGTTTGCAGTCTTAGGATAAACTTGATTATAATGATTTTTTTTTTTTTGAGGAGTCTCACTCTGTCGCCCAGGCTGCAGTGCAGTGGCTCGATCTCGGCTCACTGCAACCTCCACCTTCTGGGTTCAAGCGAGTCTCCTGTCTCAGCCTCCTGAGTAGCTGGGATTACAGGCATGTGCTACCATGCCCAGTTAGTTTTGTATTTTTAGTAGAGACAGGGTTTTACCATGTTGGCCAGGCTGGTCTTGAACTCCTGACCTCGAGTGATCCACCCGCCTCGGCCTCCCAAAGTGCTGGGATTACAGGTGTGAGCCACCACGCCCAGCCAAATAATTTTTTTATTACACTTTTGGATTTAAGTCCCTTAATATAGGCATTTCCTGCTTAATCTCTGTAATCAGTTTTTGAAAATCAGATGTCATGAATGAAGTCACCAACCAGGAAAAGTTTTGATGCATTTCATATCAAGCCAAACCCCAAATCAATTTCCTAAACCATACGAAACCCATTTTAAAAATCCATAAAAATGAACAAACAGTACTGTAAGAATATAAAGTGCAGCCCGGCACAGTGGCTCACACCTGTAATCACAGCATTTTGGGAGGCCGAGGCAGGCGAATCACCTGAGGTCAGGAGTTCAAGACCAGCCTGACCAACATGGAGAAACCCTAACTCTACTAAAAATACAAAATTAGCCAGGCATGGTGGCATGTGCCTGTTATCCCAGCTACTTGGGAGGCTGAGGCAAGAGAATTGCTTTAACCCCTGGAGGCAGAGGTTGCATTGAGGTGAGATCATGCCATTGCACTCCAGCCTGGGCAACAACAGCAAAACTCCATCTAAAAAAAAAAAAAAAAAAAAAAAAAAAAAAAAAAATATATATATATATATATATATATATATATATATATATATATAATGCTTAAAACATCACTTCTTGATCACCTGAAAATTAAGACTGACTGTAAGCATATAGTTGCTCTGTAGGTATGGCTTGGCCTCTCTGGGCCAGCAACATCCCCAGTGCACATTTCTCTTGGTTTTGTTGACTCGCAGTATGCTTTTCAAAATTTCCACATGAGATTTGACAGCTCAACTATTGCATTTACGATGTAACTCAAAACTTTCCCCACATATTGTTTTGTTTAAAAATTGTATTGAATATTTTTCTGGGCATAAGTATAAACATTCTTTATAATAAGCATCAGCCAAAAAATGTTGTATTGTATACATCCTATGAAATCTGAATAGTAATAACAAAAAGGTGTTCTACTGGGAAAACGTTAGTTGGAAATGTCTAAAGTGGAGTATACATGTAGTTTATTTAGAATATTTCTGTTAAAATATTCAAAATTTCTGTTAAAGTTCAAAAATTAAGTGGCCTTTTCCTTTTTTTGTATTTATCCATGTTTGCGGTCAAGATTACACCATTTGTACTGATCAGCTGAGTTTGACAACTCTCTTTAAAAAATATTAAATAAGGCTGGGCGGGGTGGCTCATGCCTGTAATCCCAGCACTTTGGGAGGCTGACGTGGGTGGATCACTTGAGGTCAGGAGTTCGAAACCAGCCTGACCAATATGGTGAAACCCTGTCTCTACTAAAAATACAAAAATTAGCCAGGCATGGTGGCATGTGCCTGTAGTCCCAGCTACTCAGGAGGCTGAGACAGGAGAATTGCTTGAACCCGGGAAGTGGAGTTTGCAGTGAGCTGAGATCATGCCACTGCACTCC
Source organism: Homo sapiens (assembly GCF_000001405.40). NCBI lineage: Eukaryota > Metazoa > Chordata > Mammalia > Primates > Hominidae > Homo > Homo sapiens. The sequence continues at coordinate 62,448,045 of NC_000012.12, read as the reverse complement.
AGCCTGGGTGACAGAGTGAGACTCCGTCTCAAAAATAAAATAAAATAAAATAAAATAAAATAAAATAAAATAAAATAAAATAAAATTCAATAAGTAATTTGCCCAACTAAGGGACTATATTTTCTAGCCTTCTATACAGTTGGATATGGACATGCTTTTAAATTCTGGCCAGTGAGATATAGGTGGAGTGATATGGTTGGCTCTGTGTCCCCACCCAAATCTCATCTCAAATTGTACTCCCTTGGCAGAGGTTGCAGTGAGCTAAGACTGCCCCATTATACTCCAGCCTGGGCAACAGAGCGAGACTCTGTCTCAAAAAAGAAAAAAAATTGTACTCCTTTAATTCCCATGTGTTGTGGGAGGGACCCAGTGGAAGATAATTGAATCATGGAGGCGGGTCTTTCCAGTGTTGTTCTCGTGATAGTGAATAAGTCTCATGAGATCTGATGATTTTATAAGGGGGTGTTTCCCTACACAAGCTCTCTTTTTGCCTGCTGCCATCCATCTAAGACATGACTTGCTCCTCCTTGCCTTCCACCATAATTGTGAGGCCTCCCCAGCCATATGGAACTGTGAGTCCATTAAGCTTCTTTCCTGTATAAATCATCCAGTCTAGGGTATGTCTTTATTAGTAGCATGAACATGGACTAATACATGGAGGTTTGAAATTGCCTTTGCAAAAATTATGACAATGAAGGAAATCTAAAAATTATGACAGTGAGGGAAATCTAACATAACTGACTCTTGCTTCTAACCTCACGAGCTGTGTGCTCAGTCCAAGCTAACTATGGGAGGAATTCAGTTTATAGTTTAACTTTGATTCAAAGATGATAACAGTCCCTTTCCAAAATTAAATGCTTCTTTGCTCAGGACTGAAACTGCCTTTGTAAAACTAACAAAAGGTAGAATTATGGTTAGAATTCACAATGCTAGAATTGTGATAAAGGCCTGAATTCTGCTAAGATGTAGGCACAGTTAAACTCTAACTAACCATTGTTTTATAACTTGCCTTTTTAAAACTACTTACTGCTCAGGAGTCATGTAGTCAACGGTCACAAGATTTACAACTTCCCTAATTGTCCCTATGGATAATATTGCTGTTGTAAAACCTAAGACTGGTGTTTGAGATATTTTTCAGACCTTGCATTTGTTATGGTTAAACTGGCACCACCCAGACTGGTAACCCATAGCCAGGAACTAACTCAGTACAAGAAGAAAGTGTCAACTTCCTATGATTTCATCTCTGACCTGACCAATCAGTATTCTCCATTCCCTAGCTCCCTGCCTACCAAACTGTCCTTGAGAAACCCTAGTCCCCAAATTCTTAGGGAGGTGGATTAGAGAATTATCTCTCATCCTCCTACCCTCCCAGTGTGGTGGTTCTCAAAAAATTAAAAATAAAACTACCACTGGGGGCTGGGTGTGGTGGCTCATGCCTGTAATCCCAGCACTTTGGGAGGCCGAGGCAGGCAGATCACCTGAGGTCGGGAGTTCAAGACCAGCTTGACCAGCATAGAGAAACCCCATCTCTACTAAAATCACAAAATTAGCCAGATGTGATGGTGCATGCCTGTAATCTCAGCTACTCAGAAGGCTGAGACAGGAGAATCGCTTGAACCTGGGAGATGGAGGTTGTGGTGAGCCAAGATTGCACCATTGCACTCTAGCCTGGGCAATAAGAGCAAAACTCCATCTCAAAAAAACAAAACAAAAACCAAACAAACAAACAAAAAACTACCATCAGATACAGCAAGTCTGCTTCCAGGTATATATTCAAAAGAATTGAAAGCAATACCTTGAAGAGATATTTGCACACCCATGTTAATTGCAGCACTAGTCACAATAGCCAAGAGGTGGAAGCAGCCCAAATGTTTATCAACGGATAAATGGGTAAAGAAAATGTGGCACCTATGTTATGCAGAGATCCTGGTGCAAGGGAGCCTTCTCTAATCCACACTCAAGCAGATTTCCAGGCATGAAGAGCACCCACTTTCTTGGATTAAGTGTTTTGGCCACCTCCCAACCCATGCAGAGAACTGGGGCTGAGGAGGATTCCCAGCTCCATACCTAGGCACACCTCTGGGTACTCGGTGGCCACCCACTAGATTTTCCCTCAGTGCTGGTGCTTGTGTCTGCCATTGGGGGACCTGTAGGTGGACCTGCCCAGTCCAGACCTGCCCATCTTGTCCCCACCACCCTGGGGCTGAGCAGGGAGTTCAGACCACTCTGCACTCCAAGAACCAGCCCATTTCCTGAGGCAACAGAGGGCTTCTCCCAGTAAAAAAGGATCAAGTATATACCCAGCACCCTTGGTCACAGCCTGTTCTTACCTACAAGTTTCATCTACTGGCTTGCAGGTTGAACTGCACAGCCTGATATAAAAACTGCTGACAGAAATGCATAGGAGTATAGCAGAAAAGCCAGAAGATCTTACCTAGTCTTCTCTACAGTCACATCCCCTAAGAACGGGAGGGAAGAGAAAGAGAAAGGAAAGAAAATACAGAGGAAAAGAAAGAAAAAGAAAAAGTCCTACCCACAATAAAATAATTACAAAACTGGCCGGGTGCAGTGGCTCTCACATGTAATCCTAGCATTTTGGGAGACAAAGGTGGGTGGATCACTTGAGGTCAGCAGTATGGGACCACCCTGGCCAACAAGACAAAGCCCCATTTCTACTAAAAATACAAAAAAATTAGCTGGCCATGGTGGTGCATGCCTGTAATCCTAGCTACTTGGGAAGCTGAGGTGGGAGGATCACTTGAATCTGGGAGGCCGAGGTTACAGTGAGCCAAGCCTGGGAGACAGAGTGAGACTCTGTCAAAAAAAAAAAAAAAAATTTACAAAACTTAGAAATACCAGTGTCTCCAGATTAGTAGGAACCAGCACAAGAATTCTTGCACCATGAAAAATCTGAATGTAGTGACACTACCAAAAGTTCACACAGCTCTCCAGTAATGGTTCCTAATGAAAATGGAAACTCAGAAATGACAGATAAAAAAATTCAAAGCATGGATTGCAAGGAAAATCAATTAGATCCAAGATAAGATTGAAAATCAACACAAAGAAACTTCTAGAGCAATCCAGGAAATGAAGAAAGAGATAAACATCCTAAAAAGAAATCAACCAGAGTTTCTGGAATTGAGAAACTCACTTAAGGAATTTCAAATACAATTGAAAGCTTTATTAATAGACTAAACCAAGCAGAAGAAAGAATTTCAGAGTCTTGTCTTTCAAACTAATCCAGCGAGACAAAAATAAAGAAAATAATTTAAAAAAATGAATAAAGTTTTCAAGAAATATGGGGAGCATATAAAGCGACCAAAGGTATGAAGTATGGAATTCTGGAAAGAAGGAGAAAAAGCAAACAAACTGGAAAACATATTTGAGGGAATAATTTAAGATAATTTCCCTAATCTTTCCAGAAACATTGACATCTGGGTACAAGAAATCCAAAAAACACCTGAAAGATGCTATACAAAGTGAACATCATCAAGGCATATAGTCACGACTGTCCAAGGTCATTGCTAAAGATAAAAATCCTTTTTTTTTTTTGAGACAGAGTTTCACTCTGTCACCCAGGCTGGAGTGCAGTGGCGTGATCTCAGCTCACTGCAATCTCTACCTCCCAGGCTCAAGCGATTCTTCTGCCTCAGCCTCCCAAGTAGCTGGGATACAGGCATGCACCACCACCCCCAGCTAATTTTTGTATTTTTAGTAGAGATGGGGTTTCACCATGTTTGTCAGGCTGATCTTGAACTCCTAACCCTGTGATACACTCGCCTTGGCCTACCAAAGTGCTGGGATTATAGGTGTGAGCCACTGCACCCGGCAAGAAAAAAATCTTAAAAGCAGCTAGAGAAAAAGGTCAGATCATGTACAAAGGGAACCCCATCAGGCTAACAGTGGACTTCTTAGCAGAAACCTTAAAAGCTAGGAGAGATTGGGGACCTATTTTTACCATTCTTAAACAAAAGAAATTCCAACCAAGAATTTCACATCCTGCCAAACTAAGCTTCATAAGCAAAGAAGAAATAAAATATTTTCCAGACAAGCAAGTGCTAAGGGAATTCATTGTCACTAGACCAGCCTTATGAGCAATCCTTAAGGGAGTTCTAAACAGAAATAAAAGCACAAAAGCACGCTAAAGTACATAACTCACAGACCCTATAAAACAACCACACAACAGAAACTGCAAAGCAACCAGCTAACAAATTTGTGTTAGGATCAAAACCTCACATGTCAATATTAACCTTAAAGGTAAATGGTCTAAATGACCCACTTAAAAGTCAAAGTGGCAAGTTGGATAAAAATATCAAGACTCATCTGTCTGCTGTCTTCAAGAGACCCATCTCACAGGTAACTACACCAACAGGCTCGAAGTAAAGAGTTAGAGAAAGATCTACCACACAAACAGAAAACAAAAAAAGAGCAGAAGTTATTGTTTTTATATCAGATGAAACAGAATTTAAACCAACAACAGTGAAAAAGTAGAAAGAAGGGCATTATATAATGATAAAGGGTTCAATTCAACAAGAAGACTCAACTATCCTAAATATATATGCACCCAAAATTGGAGCACGCAGATTCATAAAGCAATTACTTCTACACCTATGCAAAGACTTAGACAGCCACACAATAATAACGAGGGACTTCAGTATCCCACTGGCAGTGTTAGACAGATCGTTGAGGTAGAAAGCTAACAAAGAAATTCTGGACTTAAATTCGACACTTGATGAATTGGAATTAATAGACATCTGCAGAATACCCCACTCATCCACCACAGAATATACACTCTTCTCATCTGCACACAGAGCATACTCCATGATCAACCACATGCTCAGCCATAAAGCAAGTCTGAATAAATTCAAAAAAATTGAAATCATACCAACCATACTCTTAGACCACAGTGGAATAAAACTAGAAATCAATAGCAATAAGATCTCTCAAAACCACACAATTACATGGAAATTAAATAACTTGCTCTTGAGTGACTTTTTGGCTAATAATGAAATTAAGGCAAAAATTTAAAAATTCTTTGAAATAAAAGATAACAGAAACACAACATATCAAAATCTCTGGAGTGCAGCAAAAGCAGTCTTAAGAGGAAAGTTTATAGGTCTAAATGCCTACCTCAAAACATTAGAAATATCTCAAACTATCTAATATCACACCTAAAGAAACTAGAAAAGCAAGAACAAACTAACCATAAGCTAGCAGAAGAAAAGAAATAACTACAATCGAAGCTGAACTGAATGAAATTGAGACCCCAAAATTCATACAAAACATCAACAAAACCAAAAGCTGGTTCTTTGAAAGGATAAACAGGACTGATAGACCACTATCTAGATTATCAAAAGAAAAAAAAAGAGAAGATCCAAATAAACACAATCAGAAACAACAAAGATGACATTACAACCAATTCCACAGAAACACAAATGATCCTCTGAGACTATTATGAACACCTCTATGCATACAAACTAGAAAATACAGAAGAAATGAATAAATCCTTGGAAACACACAATCTCTCAAGATTGAACCAAGGAGAAATTGAAAACCTAAACAGGGCAATACTGAGTTCTGAAATTGAAGTAGTAATTTAAAAATCAACCAATTAACAAAAGCCCTGGACCAGATAGATTTACAGCTGAATTTTACCAGATATACAAAAGAGAGCTGGTACTAATTCTACTGAAACCAATCCAAAAAATTGAGGAGGAGGTTCTCCTCCCTAACTCATTCTATGAAGCCAGCATCACACTGATACTAAAGCTAGACAAGGATAAAACAAATGAAGAAAACTACAGACCAATATTGCTGATGAACACAGACAGAAAAATCCTCAACAAAATACTAGCAAATTGAATTCATCAGTACATCAAAAAGTTAGATCAAGTAGGTTTCATTCATGGAATGCATGGTTGGTTCAACATACACAAATTAATACATATGATTCATCACATAACAGAATTAAAAACAAAAACCTTATGATCATCTTAATAGATGCGGAAAATGCTTTCTATAAAAGCTATAACTTCTATCTGATAAAAACTCTCAAGAAACTAGGCATCAAAGGAACATACTTTGAAATAATAAAGAGCTATCTATGACAAACCTACAGCCAACATCATACTGAATAGGCAAAAACTGAAAGCATTCCCTTTTGAGAACTGGAACAAGACAAGAATGGTCGCTCTTACTACTCCCATGCAACATAGTACTGGAAGTGCTAGCCAGAACAATCAGGCAAGAAAAAGAAATAAAAGGCATCCAAACAAGAAAAGAACAAGTCAAACTATATCTCTTCATGAATAATATGATTCTATACCCAGAAAACCCTGGAGACCCTGCTAAAAGGCTCTTGAAACTGATAAGCAACTTCAATAAAGTTTAAGGATACCAAATCAATGTACAAAAGTAGGTAGAATTTCTATACCCCAATAACATTCCAGCTGAGAGCCAAACCAAGAATGCAATCCCATTTACAATAACCACAAAAACAAACAATAAAATACCTAGGAACACATCTAACGAAGGTGGTGAAAGATCTCTATAAGGAGACTTACAAAACACTGCTAAAAGAAATAATAGATGACACAAACAAATGGAAAAACATTCCATGCTCATTAATTGGAAGAATGAACATCATTAAAACGGCCATACTGCCCAAAGCAATCTACGGATTCAAGTTATTCCTATCAAACTATCAATGTCATTTTTTTCACACAACTAAAAATACTATCCTAAATTTCATGTGGAAATTAAAAAGAGCCTGGATAGCCAAAGCAATCCTAAGCAAAAACAACAAAGCCAGAGGCATCACATTACCCAATGTCAAACTATACTATAAGGCTACAGTAATCAAAACAGCATGGTATTGATACAAAAACAGACACATAGACCAGTGGAACAGAATAGAGAACTAGAAATAAAGCTGCAAACCTACAGTCATCTGATTTTCAACAAAGTTGACAAAAATAAGCAATGGAGAAAGGACACCCTCTTCAATAAGTTGTGCTGGAATAGCTGGCTAACCACATGCAGAAGAATGAAACTAGACCCTTTTTTTATACCATATACAAAAATTAACTCAAGATGAATCAAAACTGAAATGTAAAACCCCAAACTATAAAAACCATGGAAGACAACCTAGGCAATACTATTCTGGTCATAGGAACAGGCAAAGATTTCATGATGAAGATGCCAAAAGCAATTATAACAACAGCAAAAATTGTCAAATGAGATCTAATTAAATGAAAGAGCTTCTGCACAGCAAAATAAACTATCAACATAGTGAACAGGCAACCTGCGGAATTGAAAAAAATTTTTTTGCAAATTATGTGCGTGACAAAGGCCTAATAGCCAGCATCTATAAGGAACTTAAACAAATTTACAAGAAAAAACCAAACAACCCCATTAAAAAGTGGGCAAAGGACATGAACAGACACTTTTCGCAAGAAGACATACATGCAGTCAACAATCATATGAAAGAAAGGTCACCATCACTGATAATTAGATAAATGCAAATCAAAACTACAATGAGACACCATCTCGCACCAGTCAGAATGGCTACTATTAAAAAGTCAAAAAAATAATTAGCCGGGTGTGGTGGCACACCCTGTAATCCCAGCTACTCGGGAGGCTGATGTGGGAGAATTGCTTGAACCCAGGAGGTTGAGGCTGCAGTGAACCGAGTTCGTGCCACTGCACTCCAGCTTGGGCAACAGAGAGAGACCCTGTCTCAAAAAAAAAAAAAAAAAAAAAAAGGGCCTGGCACAGTGGCTCACGCCTGTAATCCCAACTCCTAACACTTTGGGAGGCCAAGGCAGGCAGATCACAAGGTCAGGAGTTCGAGACCAGCCCGACCAACATGGTGAAACCCCCGTCTCTACTAAAAATACAAAAATTAGCCAGATGTGGTGGCATGCACCTGTAATCCCAGCTACTCAGGAGGCTGAGGCAGGAGAATCGCTTGAACCCAGGAGGCGGAGGTTGCAGTGAGCCGAGATCGCACCACTGCACTCCAGCCTGGGCGACAGAGCAAGACTCCATCTCAAAAAAAAAAAAAAAAAAGTAAAAAAATAACAGATGCTGTTGAGACTGTGGGAGAAAGGGGAGTGTAAATTAGTTCAGCCATTGTGGAAGACATTGTAGTGATTCCTCAAAGACCTAAAAACAGGACTACCATTTGACTCAGCAATCCCATTACTGGGTATATACCCCAAGGTATATAAATCATTCTATTATAAAAATACATGCACATGTATGTTCACTGCAGCACTATTCACAATAGCAAAGACATGGCATCAACCTAAATGCCCATCAGTGGTAGACTGGATAAAGAAAATGTGGTACAGACACACCATGGAATATTATGCAGCCATAAAAAAACCCCATGAGATTATGTCCTGTGCAGGATCATGGATGGAGCCGGAGGCCATTATCCTTAGCAAACTAACACAAGAACAGAAACCAAATACTACATGTTCTCATTATGAGACACATGGATACATAGAGAGAAAGAACACACACTGGGACTTATTTGAGGGCAAAGTGTGGGAGGAGGGAGAGGATCAGGAAAAATAATGAGTACAAGGCTTAATACCTGGGTGATGAAATAATCTGTACAACAAACTCCCATGACACAAGTTTACCTATATAACAAACCTACACATGTACCTCTGAACTTAAAATAAAAGTTAAATTTAAAAAAGAGACAGAGACAGCAGATCAGAAAGATAAACAGCAAAATATTAATGCTGGTTATCACTGGTTGGTGGGATATTAGACAATTTTTGCTTTTAACCGTGATCATTCAAATGCTTTATATTGAACCTGTACTGTTTTCAACATTAAAAAAAATACTCAGGTTTAAGAAGAAACTAAAAAATAAAAACAGAAAATTGAAGAATGCTCTTCTCTGTACTCTTAAAGCAAACAGGCCTGTTTGCCTTAAGAAAAGTTTAAAAAGCACAAATAAGAACTGTAAAAAGCACTGCAAATGTTAGATGATAAGGTATATGTTGTGTAGAAAGTGAAAATTGTATCTTTTATAAAACCATTATTAAACAAAGAAATACAATGTAAATTTCCTGGAAACATACCAGAAGCAAAACTTTTAAACAAAATTCTGAGCTGGGTTTGACTTCTAGGACTGCATGGGCCCCTATTGTAGCAGCTGTGAGTGCAGAAACCCAAAAGATCAGAGAGCAAGGTGATACCTGTGACTTAGCCCTTCAGTGTCAACCTGGACACATCCTCATAATAGCCCCATTCCCTAAAGGATGCGGTTCCCTGGATGGTCCAAAGTGGGACTTCAGCCTAGTCTTTACAGACTTTTTAAGCAAAAACTCAGGGAGGTTAAATAACAAGCCAAGGTTGCCCAGTTGGGGAGGCCTGATGTCTTGAGAATCTGTGTTTTCCCTACATCCCTGTCCTCAGTTGAGATTATCTGAGGAATGTAAAGGCAGAAATTTTTGTTACCTGGAGATTTGAAGAGAGACCAAATGTTTGTGGGAAAACGACAGTCAAATCGACCATCAAAATCAGTAGAAATGTATTCCTATTTACCAATTTTAACACGTTAATACCAATAATCATTTTTCTGTGCACCAATTGTATAGCTTAAGAATTTGAAGCTCCCGTACATCAAGTTGGAAGCACTTTTTCTTTAGTGAAGTCTTGGAAAGATCAGAATAACTGGGTTCACACAGCTGGACACTCCTGCCCCCTGCTGGCTAGAATTAACTAAAACCAGACGATTTTAAGTTAACTGTAGGAACAACACTTTGAAACCTCTCAACTTTTCTAATAAAAGATAGCCAGCTCTTCCCTTACTTTGACGGGTAAAGTTCTTAGTTTATTTTCTTCAAAAGAGAGAGAGAGGGAACAGCTTGCATTCTGCTTTTCCCTCCTCTTCCTCCATCTTGTTGCCTTGTCATAGCCTGCCCAAGTGCTGATTTGTTTCATTATATGGTAAGAAGATAAGGGCAGTGTGTTTATAATTCAAATGTAATCAACAGTTTAAAATAGTATCCAGTACACAGAAGGTGCTCAGTAAATGTTGAGCAAATAAGAAGCAGAGGCAAAGTTGGAGAGAAAGCTGGAGAGAAAGATTGAGAGACGAGGATAAGAAAGAGAACCTATTCTTTCATGGACTGTTTCTCCCCTCTATTTGGGAGAGATATTTATTTAAGAAATACTAATATCATCCTTAGTATGTGCCAGGCATAGGAAATAGGAACTCAGTTAAGTAGGCATAAACAGGCATTGTCCTAAGCACTTTACAAATATTCTTAGTCCTCATAATAAACCTATAAAGTGAACATTATTATATTTATTTTACAAATTCGGAGACTAAAGCAGGAAGATTAAGTGAAATTCCCCAATGTTTAATTGCTAGTATAAGTGATGGGGCTGAGATTTAATCCTAGGGAGTTTGGCTCCACAATTCACACTTTTAACCAGACACATGCTGCCTCTCCAAAAAATGCAAAGAGGGGAGAGCAGAGATAGGGGAGAGCACAGAGAGGGGAGAAAAATAGTTGCGGAAGAATTGTACCAATCTTTCCACATAAGTCACTTGCCTTCTGGAACATTGTTAGAGTGGGTTATTTCAAAAGACCTGTCTTCAAGTCTGACATTCTCTCTGCTGCTTGGTCTAGTCTATTGTTGAAGCTTTCAACTATATTTTGTATTTTATTTGAGGACTTCTTCAGTATCAGAATTTCTGTTTGGTTCTTTTTGTATATCTATCTCTTTGGTTAATTTCTCATTTATATCCTGAATTGTTTTTCTGATTTCTTTGTATTGTTTTTTTGAAATTCTCTTGTAACTTACTGAGCTTTTTTAGTATCATAATTTTGAATTCTTGGCCGGGTACAGTGGCTCACACCTGTAATCTCAGCACTTTGGGAGGCGGAGGCAGGCGGATCACTTGAGGTCAGGAGTTCGAGACCAGCCCGGCCAACATGGTGAAACCTCATTTCTACAAAGATACAAAAATTAGCTGGGTGTGGTGGTGCACGCTTGTAATCCCAGCTACTCAGGAGGCTGAGGTAGGAGAATCCCTTGAATCCAGGAGGTGGAGGTTGCAGTGAGCTGAGATCATGCCACTGCACCCCAGCCTGGGTGACAGAGCAAGACTCAGTCTCAAATAATAAATAATAATAATAGTATTGAATTCTTTTTCCAGGATTTCATGAATTTCTTTTTGATTGGGGTCTGTTGCTGAGGAATTATTTATTGTGTTCCTTTGGAGGTGTCATTTCCTTGCTTTTTCAAGCTTCCCTTATTCTTACGTTGATACCTTCTCAACTAGTGTAATAATCACTTCTTCCAGTTTTTTGAATTTGCTTTTATAGGGAAGACATTTTCCTGAGGAGTATCAATGGTGTTGGTTGGGTGGGGCACTTTGGCTTTGCTTCTGGATACCTGTGATAGTGTAGACTCTATGATTTCTTCAGCTGTTAACAGTTTCAGTAGTATTTTTGATTTCCTCAGTGGTTTAGGGTTGGGTTATTAGTGGAGGCTATGCAAAGTTTTGCTGAGGATAGGGAAGCCAAGTGGGCCGGTCTTTGGGCCCCAGTGGTGGCAGCAGTGGGCTGAGTATGCCTGAGCTGGGCCCTGGGCGAATGCTGGCTGATGTTAGCTGGACCAGACCCAGGCCAGTGGACCCTTGGACCTCCAGTAGCTTGCTTAGAGTCTGGTAGTGGCAACGGTAGGCTAGGCGGGCGAGCCCGCTCTTGGGTTTCTAGACAGTGGGCGTGGTGTGGGCAATGGCGGTAGCAGGAAGACCCTCTGGGTCCTGATCGGTGTGCACTGGTGTTGGCTGTGGCTGCGGTGCCGAGTCGCCATCCACAGCTCCAAACCTGCAGCTCTCAGGCCCTCCTGCTCTCTGATACAGCAGTGCCACAGCACCGTGCAGAGTGTGGGAGGGACCCCACCCCTCCCTTCATGTGCAAGCCCGGGCACGGAGGCCACAACTCCAATGGGGTAGTCACCCCTCACAGCCCCAGACAGGCAGCCCTCCAACCTGCCTGCCCTACCTCTGGGGGTAGCGGCAGTGGCTGTGCCTGCAGCGGTGTGCAGAGGGGAAGAGGTCTCACTCTCTACAGCGTTAGCACAAGGTGCAGATGCTGCTCGGCCTCTGGATGGGGACTTCTCTCTTCTCTTACAAAGCGGAGCAGAGTTTGTGCTGCCGCTGGGGGCAGAGTGACTTCTCACAGCCCCAGGAAAGGAAGCTTCGGGCTCTGGAAAACTTGCTCTGGTTTCTTTTGCAGCAGCTGCAGCCTTTCGTCCTTTCCTTAGGGAGTCGTACTCCCTGTGGGCTAGAGTACTGGAGCCCCTGCAGCACCTTTTGGGTCCAGCCAGCGCTGTACCATTGCAGCTGTCCAGTGGACACTGGGGAATGTCAGCAGGAGATCCTGGGATGTGGAGATACGGGGGCTGTGGTTCCCAGGGCAGGGTGCAGTCCCGTGGTGGCTGCACTCCTGCAATGGCACCTGCCGCAGCTCAGGTGGGGTGTGGTGAGAGACCCAGGGCGAGTTTCCTGTCTGGTGCATTGCCCTCTCAGGGTCTCCAAACTACCGCCCAAGCACCGCCTGGGTACCTCTGGGTGGGGGAGCTCCCCGCGCTTAGGATCGCAGCAGTTCGCTTAGGGATGCAGACGTCGAGCCCTCTCACTTACCCTCTCGCCGCAATACCGAGGCCCTCGGGGCTCCTAGCCCATTTCAGCAGAGCTGACTGCTCACTTTCTTTTCCTGAACCTTAGGTATTCCTCTGTTGGACTGTCTCCTAGATGTTCTATTCCAGGTGTGATGATCTATTCACAGGTTTGCTTCTTCTTTCTAGGAGGCGGGGGGTGTCTGACGTCTGTAGTCAGACATCTTGAACTGGACGATCCAGAGGACAGTTTTAATAAGGGAATGCTAATTCCTGGAAAACAGCAGAGTAGGAACTGCTAGGTTCCAAGCTTCACCATGTGTAAGCCCATTTTCTTGGGTAAACTTGCCCAGAGGGGCGTCTGGTCTCAGTCCAGTCCTGAGACATCAGGGGAGGATGGAGGAGGCTGTGGAGCTGAGCAAGTTCTCCAGGACACGGCGAACCTGCTTCCCCACTCAGACACAGCTGCGAAGCTGCCCTTCCTGTATTGTCACTCTGCAGCTCACCTCCTTGTTCTGGGATTCTGGGCAGGCGCTGTGGACACTCTTTGGGTAATAGTAAAACCCCGAAAAAAAAAGAGAGGGAAAACGGCCTTAGATAAAAATATTAATTATATCAGAGACGACCTCACTAGAATGGAGAACTAACGTCGTCATCAATCCAGTGCTACTCACACTTGAGCACTAAAGGGAAACTAATGGCAGAGGAGGGTAAAGCATGCGTGGGGTGGGTTGTAGGACCCAAAACGGTCTTGGGGAAGTAGTTTTCTATTATAGCTTAAAAATAATTCATTAAGTCTTGAATTGTATTTTCTATGAGATCTGTTTGTTTTGCTATAAAACGGTTTTAAAATAGTTACCACTGAGCAAAACTGATACTCCAAGAAGATGTACTGTGTTCATCCTGTGACTCTACTGTGACGTTCGCCTCAATTTGAAAACACAGATCTATTCCTTTCTTTAGTTTTGCCTTAATATAAAAGTTCCCCACACCTCAAATTACTGGGAGAAAATTAAGTTGTTAAAAAGAGACAGGCGGCCGGGAGCGGTGGCTTACGCTTGTAATTCGAGCACTTTGGGAGGCTGAGGTGGGCGGATCACTTGAGGTCAGGAGTTCGAGACCAGCCTGGCCAACATGGTGAAACCCCGTGTCTACTAAAAAACACAAAAATCAGCTGGGCATGGTGGCGCACACCTGTAATCCCAGCTACTTGGAAGGCTGAGGCAGGATAATCCCTTGAACCCAGGAGGCGGAGGTTGCAGTGAGCCAAGATCGTGACACTGCAATCCAGCATGGGTGACAGGGCAAGATTCCGTGTCAAAAAAATAAATAAATAAATAAAAAGGGAGAGAGAGAGAAAGAGAGAGAGAGAGAGAGAGAGAGAGAGACATGGCATAGAAAGCACAAATATTCTTTATGTTTAAACTTGAGAGTTACATATCTTGAGATGAAGGATTATAATAACCACTAACTGACCAAACAGAAGATGCTTCTGCACTAGTGTGATGCCTTCAAATACTATTTACAAGTGCTTTGAGAAGTTTTCTTTGTTTTGTTTTGTTTTGTTTTGTTTAGACAGGGTCTCACTCTGCCGCCCAGGCTGGAATGCAGTGGCGTGATCTTGGCTCACTGCAACCTCCACCTCCCGGGTTCAAGCAATTCTCATACCTTAGCCCCCTGAGTAGCTGGGATTACAGGGGCGCACCACCACGCCTGGCTAATTTTTGTATTTTTTTTGGTAGAGACGGGGTTTCACCATGTTGGCCAGGCTGGTGTTGAACTCCTGACCTCAGATGATCCACCTGCCTCCACTTCCAAAGGTGCTGGGATTACAGGTGTGAGCCACCATGCCCAGCCTTTCCTTTTAAAAAAGAAAATAAAATGTAAATAAATCTATGGGCATGTCATCTTTAACAAGAGGAAATATTGGTTGAATATAGTGATGTTATTTATTCATATATAAAATACCTTCAGACCCACGTATTTAGTGATGCTCTGTGTATAATTTTGTACCTTTTTGAATATATATACTATTAGGATGCCTGAATCAGCTCTAGGAGGTATTTCTTCCTCAGTTAATGGCATCACTAATTGAACTGATCACCCAGTATATACCCTCAGTCTCAAAATGTCCTCTTCACATGCCCCGGAGTCTTGTGGAAAAGAGACATAGAAATTACTTTCATTGATGGAGATTTGGACACAAATCCACAGAGTTGGCCTCATGAGGTGCCTGAAGACTTCTTTCTTTAATCCCCTCATCCAAGTACTCAGTGTTAGGAGTTAGGATTAGGTTTGTCTGTATATTACAGAATACTCAAATAACACTGAATTAAATCAGGATTTTTTTTTTCTCTTACATAAAGAAGTCTAGATTTCTATTTCAATCCAAGATGGAGTAACAGGGACTGGATTTACACTCTTGCCAAAAACAACCAAAAATAAACCAGATAAAATATATGAAATAGCATTTCTCATAATATTGGGCATCAGTCAACAAAAGACAGTCATCACTGAGAGATGGGAAGTAAGTAGTAGGGCTCTATGATTTCCTCAGCTTACTGCCTTGAGAGTTTGCAGGCTATAGTGCAGAGAAAGAGAAATGGGATGGAGTGTAGTGAACATCCTGGGTTGAGAGATGTAGTTGATAGTCCAAGGAAACCAAGGTACCTCAAGCTTGCAGGGCAGAGTGCTTGGAGTGGAGATTTTCTTCACAAAGAGCAGATCTGCTGAGGATACACCCTTCAGGGTACTGGTCAGGGCATAAGTGTGAGAAAAGAAGTTGAGTCTGGAAGAAAAAATCATCCCGAAAGAGTAAAGGAAACCGTGACTGGCATTCACTTGGGGCTGGGAACTCAAAGCATGTGACATTGGGTAGAATGTCTTTTTTGGAGAAATGTCTTTTCAAGCCCTTTGCCCATTTTAAAATTGTGTTATTTTGTTTTGTTTCATTTTTTGCTATTGAGTTGTAGGAGTTTATTATATTTTAGAAATTAACCCCTTATCAGATATATGGCTTGGTTCCTGTTTGCACCAGCCATAGTGAAAAACTTAAAGCATGTGACGTTGGGTAAAATAGTCAGCAGAGCCTTGCTTCAGTAGTGGGGAAAAATTAGCTCTAACTGAGCATTCCTATGAACCTGTCAAACAAATCATAAAAACAAGATCTGAAACAGCTTCTAGGTAATTTAACTGCATACCAGAATAAAGCTCAATAGTATTTATTGGAATACAGGCAAATATCCAATACCCAATAAGCTAAAATTCACAGTGTCTGGTTTCCAATAAAAATTACCAGGCATGCAAAGTGGCAGGAAAACATGATCCATAACTGGGAGAATAATTAAACCATTAAAATGAATTCAGAACTGATACAGACATTACAATTAGCAGACAAGGATATTAAAATAATAAAATTATATCCCATATACCCAAGTCAGGAACATGGAAAATATAAAAGACACTCAAATGAACTTGGAGGTAAGAAAAATGCAAAGTATAAGATAAAAATACAATATATGGGAAAATCAGATTAGACAGAATAAAAGATTAGTGAACAAAAATAAGTGAATTTGTTTTGCAGTATATTGCAATAAAAATTAACCAAATTGAAACATTAAAAATGAATTTCAAAAGATGAAAGCATCTTCAGTGAACTGTGGGACAACTTCTAGGGACTAATAAATGTATAATCAGATTCTTCAAAGAATAAGAGAGGAATACAACAAATATTTAAAGAAATAATGGCTGAAAATTTTCTAAATTTGATGAAACAACTAAACCCACAGATCAAGAATGACAAACTCCAAGCACATGAAACATGAAGAAAATGACACTAAGGTACATAATGCTCAAATTGCTCAAAGCCGGGATAAATGCAATTTTAGTTTCCTTTACAATCTTTAGGACTTTTCTTTTTCTTACCTATTTAAGACCTGTAGTACAATGTTGAATAAAAGTTGTGAAAGCATATATTTTTGCATGTTGCCTCATTTAGAGGGAAAGCATTCAGTATTTCACCATGAAGTATGATGTTAGCTATAGGTTTTCCATAGATTCCCTTTATCTGATTGGGGAAGAGCCTTCTTAATCTCAGTTCACTGAGTTTTATTCATAAAAGATATTGTTGTTGAGCATCTTTTCACATACCCCTTGGCCATGTGTATGTCTTCTTTAAAGAAATGTCTTTTCAAGTCCTTTGCCCATTTTTAAATTGTGTTATTTTGTTTTGTTTTGCTATTGAGTTGTAGGAGTTCATTATATTTTAGAAATTAACCCCTTAACAGATACGTGGCTTACATGTATTTTCTCCCATTCCATAGGTTGCTTTTTCATTCTGTTGATTATTTCCTTTACTGTGCAGAAGCTTTTTAGTTTGATGAGCCCTGCTTGTCTATTTTTGCTTTTGCTGCCTGTGCTTTTCGTGTCATATGGAAACAATCATCGCCAAGACCAATGTCATGAGGATTTCCCCCATTTTTATTCTGGGAAGTTTACAGTGTCAGGTCATATGTTTAAGTCTTTCACCCATTTTGAACTGCTTTGTTGTGTACAGTGTATGATAAAGGTATAATTTCATTCTTTTGCATGTAGATATCCAATTTTTCAGCATTATTTGTTGAAGAGACTCTCTTTTCACCCATTGTATGTTCTTGGCACCCTTGTCAAGGACATGTTGGTGGTATATGTATGGATTTATTTCTGGGCTTTCTATCCTATTTCATTAATCTATATGTCTATTTTTATGCCAGCACCATAGTGTTTTAGTTACTGTAGCTTTGTAATCTATTTTGAAATCACGAAGTGTGATGCTTCCAACTTTGTTCTTCTTTTCCAAGATTGCTTTGGCTATTCTGAGTTTTTTATAGTTCTATATGAATTTTGGAACTGTTATTGCTATTTCTGTAAAAAAAAATGCCTTTCGGATTTTGATGAGCATAGCTTTGAATATGTAGATGACTTTGGATAGTATTGGCATTTAAACAATGTGAAGTCTTCAAATTCATGAATATAGTGTATCTTTCCATTTATTTGTGTCTCCTTTAGTTTATTTCATCAATGTTTTATAGTTTTCAGTGTAGAAGTCTTTCACCTCTGTGATGCTTAATTTTAGGTGTCAACTTGACTGGATTAAGGGATGTCCGGACACCTGGTAAAGCATTATTTATGGGTATGTCTATTAAGGGGTTTACAGAAAAGACTGACATTTGAATGAATGCATTGATTAAGGAAAATCCACTCTCACCCAATGTCAGTGGGCACCACTCAATCAGCTGAGGGCCTGGATAGAACAAAAAAGGCAGAGGAAAGGTAAACTAACTCTCTGTCTGTCTGTCTCTCTCTCTCTCTCTTTCTCTCTCTCTCTCTCTCAGAGCTGGGGCACCCTTCTTCTCCTGCCCTTGGACATCAGATCTTCAGATTATCTGGCCTTGGGACTCTGGGGCTTATGCCAGCCACCCCACTCCCACTTCAGGTTTTCAGTCCTTCAGCCTTGAACTGAGAGTTACACCATCATCTTCCCTAGTTCTGAAGACTTTACACTTGGACTGAGACATATTTACACTTCCCTGGTTCTCCAGCTTACAGACAACCTATCATGAGACTTCTTAGCCTTCATTATTATGTGAGCCAATTCCCCTAATAAATCTCCTTCTATCTATCTATCATCTATCTATCTATCTGTCATCTATCTATCTATCTATCTATCTATCTATCTATCTATCTATCCTATCTATTGATACATCCTATTCATTCTGTCCCTCCTAGAAAACACTGACTGACTAATACAACCTTCAACCTTCTTGGTTAAGTTTATTCCTAAGTATTTTATTCTTTTTGATACTATTATAAGTGGATTTGTTTGCTTTTCTTTTTGAATGGTTCACTGTTAGTGTATAGAAACACAATTTATTTTTGCATGTTGATTTTATATCTAGCAACTTTACTGAATTTATCTATTTTTTTTTAAATTTTTTTTCTTGAGATGGCATCTCACTCTGTCGCCCAGGCTGGAGTGCAATGGCGTGATCTCAGCTCACTGCAACCTCCACCTCCCGGGTTCAAGCGATTCTCCTGCCTCAGCCTCCTGAGTAGCTGGGACTACAGGCACCTGCCACCACACCCAGCTAATTTTTATACTTTTAATAGAGACAGGGTTTCACCATGTCGGCCAGGATGGTCTCAATCTCTTGACCTTGTGATCTGCCCGCCTCGGCCTCCCAAAGTGCTGGGATTACAGGCGTGAGCCACCGCGCCCGGCTGAATTTATCTATTCTAACAGGTTTTTTGTGGAGTCTTTATCAAAACTACAGTGAGATATCACCTCACACCTACCAAGATGTCTATTTAAAATATATATATATAACAAATACTGGTAAGGATGTGGAGAAATTAGAACCCTTGTACACTGTTGGTAGGAATGTAAAATGTTGCATCCGTCATGGAAAATCATATAGAAGTACCTCAAAAAATCGAAAATAGAAGTACCATAAAATTTCACTTTTGAAATTTTACTTTTGAGTGAAATCACTCAAAAGTAATTTCACTTTTGAGTATATGCCCAAAAAATTAAAATCAGGATTTTGAAGAGACATCTGCATTCCTATGTTCACTGCAGCATTATCCACAACAGTCAAGATATGTAAACAACCCAAGTTTACATCAACAGATGAATGGATAAAGAAATTGTGGATAAAGAAAATATATATGCAATAAAATGTTGCGTATAAATAAAATGTTCATCCTTATAGAATAAGGAAATCCTACTATTTGCGACCACATGGATAAGTCTTGAGGACATTAGGCTAAGAGAATAAGTCAACATACAAGGACAAATACTGCATGATTCCACTTATATGAGGTGTTTATAATATTCCAACTGATGGAAATTACAACTACAATTATGGTTGCCAGGGGATGAAGGGTAGGGGAAATAGGCGTTGTTCAATGGATATAAAGTTTTAGTTATGCTAGATACATAAGTTCTACATATCTGCTGTACAACATTATACCTATAATTAACAATATAGTATTGTACACTTCAAAATTTGTTAATAGGGTAAAGTTAGGTAAGTGTTCTAACTGCCTACTGCGCCCCCCTACCTCGCCAGAAAAAAACCCACAAAGAAAATCAAGGGAACTTCAGGATGCGATAAATCTATCTATTACTTTGATTGTAGTGGTGGTATCACATATGTGTGCATATGTCCAAACTCATCAAATTGTATGCATTAAATGTATGTGATTTTTATATATCAATTGTACCTCAACACAGTTGTTGAACAAAAGGTGTTGAATCTGCTGAATGCTTTTTTTCTGCAACTGAGATGATCTTACGATTTTTTCACGGGTGATTAGTTTTTAAAAATCAATTTGTAAACTTTATTGTTACTCCTAATGATACAAAAACACATACTATGATTTGTCTCTAAGTTTGTATAAGTGAATTAGGTTTTTTATTTGTGGCAAAAAAACATAATAAAATTTACCATCTTAACCATTTTTAAGTAACTATAGTCACATTGACATGTAACACATCCCTAGAACTTTTTCATCGTGCACTACTAAAAGTCAATATCCATTGAACAACAACTTGTAGATTGATTGCACTACAAACACAAAAATTTGCCTGGCATGGTGGTGTGCACCTGTAGTCACAGCTACTTGGGAGGCTGAGGCATGAGAATTGCCTGAACCTGGGAAGTAGAGGTTGCAGTGAGCCAAGATGGCACCATTGGACTCCAGCCGAGATGGCACCATTGCACTCCAGCTGAGATGGCGACAGAGTGAGACCCTGTTTCAAAGAAAAAGAATAAATAAAGTGGTGTACTTATAAAGTGGGGAAAATGGAGACAGACCCAGAGAAAGGGAGAGTGTCATGTGAACATAGACAGAAATTGGGATGATGCAAACAAGCCAAGGAACATCAAGGAAGAAAAGGTAGGCAAGACATGGAGAACAGGCTCTCGTTCACAAACCTCAGGTGGAACCAAACCTGCCAACACCTGGTTTCAGACTTCTCTACAGAATTACGAAAAATAAATTTTTGTTGTTTAAGCTATTTTTCTCTCTTAAGTTTGTGGTACTTTTATTTGGCAGCATATTTGGCAGAATATGATGTCACCCAGTCTAACAATCTCTATCTTTTAATTAGTGTGTTTAGATCATTTTCATTTAATGTAATTAGTGATATTATTGGGTTTAAGTCTCCCAATTCATGATTTGTTTACTTGTCTTATCTGCTTTTTGATTCTTTCACCTTTTTTGCATCCTTTAGTATGATTTGAATACTTTATTATTCCTTTTTAGTTTATTAGCTTTTTGGCAATGTCTTTTAGATTTTTTTGTCTTAATGGCTTCTCTGTAGTTTAAATTATACATACCTTACTTAACCTTTCCCATTTTATTCAGGTTAATATTTTACTACTTAAGTAAAAGGTAGAAACCTTACAACCACACAGGTTGTTGTACCCTCCTCTCTTTATCTTACAGTTGTCATATGTATTACACTTACAGACATTAATATTCCTACCAGGCAATGGTATAATTTTGAGAGGAGATTTATTTTACCCTATTTTAAGCTTATTAAGTTAGCATGCTATAATTTCATGAATGCTGAAGACACTAGAATCCTGTGTCAGAGACAAACGATGTTTTTATTCACACACACCAGTGGCAGAAACCAGAGAATCAGCATTTTGTGCTGGTTCCCTGAGCCCCACACCCATGAGGTAATGTAAAAGGCCTAAAGAAGCCAACATGCACAGTGGGTTTATGGGGCCAGAGGAAAGGAACATCAAAATTAATGAGTCCCATCTGTACTAAAAATACAAAATTAGCTGGGCATGGTGGCACATGCCTATAATCCCAGCTACTTGGGAGGCTGAGGCAGGAGAATTGCTTGAACCCAGGAGGCGGAGGTTGCAGTGAGCCAAGATTTTGCCATTGCACTCCAGCCTGGGCAACAAGAGTGAAACTCCATCTCAAAAAAAAAAAAAAAAAAAAAAAATTAAGGAGTCTTTCACTTTTATGGCAAGCCACAAAGAGGCCAGCTTTTTGTCTGAGAGCACATATTACATCACCTTTGATAATTACCAGCTGCATAAACAACTCTGAGAAATGACCTGGCTGAAAGAGTTGTTAGGGCCTTGCAATCTTTACACACTCCGCAAGACATGTAGGAGTACAAGAGGTCCGTAGCAGACTGCCTCCCAATCATATTTTGCTTTCCTCAGTAACACACATTTTTCAAAACTTAAGGGGAGAAAAATAGATTATTATATTTACTCAGACTGTGATAATTTTCATTGCTCTTCTTTCATTTTTCAAGTTTTAAGTTTCTGGTGTCATTTTCCTTTAGCCTGAGTAATTTCCTTTAAGTATTTTTTAGAGCTGATTTGCTGGTGATGAAGTCTCACAATTTTCCTTCATCTGAGAATGTCTTTATTTCCTTTTTATTCTGAGGGATATTTTTGCTGGACAAAGAATTCTGAGTTGACAGTCTTTTCCTCTCTTGACAGTTTAAAGGTGTTCCATTCTCTTTTGGACTCCATCGCTTCTGATGAGAAATTCAAAGTCATATAAATAATGTGTTAGGTCTTTTGATATTGTCCCATGGGTTCTTATTGCTCTTTTTTTTTTTTTTTTTTTTTTTTTTTAAATCTTCTCTCCCTACTCTGTTCTTCAATTTGGTTAATTTCTGTTTATCCTCTTCAGGGTCACAGATTATTTCCTCTGACATCTCTGTTTTGCTATTGAGCCCATCCAGTGATTATTATCTTTAATTTAAAATAACTAGGCCGGGCGCTGTGGCTCACGCCTGTAATCCCAGCACTTTGTAGGCCGAGGCAGGCGGATCACTTGAGGTTGGGAGTTCAAGACCAGCCTGACCAACATGGAGAAATCTCATCTCTGCTAAAAATACAAAATAGCTGGGCGTGCTGGCGCATGCTTGTAATTCCAGCTATTTGGTAGGCTGAGGCAGGAGAATCGCTTGAACCTGGGAGGTGGAGGTTGCGGTGAGCGAGATCACGCCATTGCACTCCAGCCTGGGCAACAAGAACAAAACTCCACCTCAAAAAATAAAATAAAATAAAATAAAATAAAATAACTTTTTTATTTTGAAATAATTATTGAATAACAGTAAGTTGCAAAGATAGTACAGCAAGGCCTTATGTATTCTTCATCCAGTTTACCCCAATGGTTTCATCTTGTATAATTATAGTACGATATCAGAATCAGAAAATGATGTTGGTACAATGTGTATTTATAACTCTGTATCATTAAATCACATGTGTAGATTTGTGTAATCACCACTGTAATCAAGAAACCAAACTATTCCATCACTATAAAGATCTTTTGTGTTATCCTTTTATAGTCATACTTCCATCCCCCAACATCTGTAACCCCTGGCAACTACTAATCTGCTTTCTATTTCTATAATTTTGTCATTTTGAGAATTTCATACACATATAACCATACAGTATGTGAGCTTTTGAAATTGGCTTTTTCCCCACTCAGCACAATGCCGTTAATATCTATCAAAGTTATGTTTTCAATGAGTTTTTTCCTTTTAATTGCTAAGTAGAATTCTATGGTATAGATGTACTGGTTTGTTTAACCATTTACCTATAGAGAGACATTTTTTTTCTAGTTTTGGCCTATGAACAATCATTTACAGGTTTTTAATGAGACAATGACTTCTTTTCTTCAGAATAAATGCTAGGAGTGATTGCTGTGTTACCTAAGTATTTGTTTAGTTTCTAAAGAAAGTGCCTATTTACCAGAGTTGCTATACTATTCTGTATTCCCACCAGCAATGCATAAAATCCTGTTTTTTTGCCTCCTTTTCAGTATTTAGAATTTGTCCCAACACTTTATTCTATGTAATCTTCTATAAGTTTTACAGTTGTATGCTTTGCATTTAAATTATTCATTTTGAGTTAATTTTTGTATAAGATAGAAGTTTTAGGTCTAGGTTCATTCTTTCACTTATGCATATCCAATTCTCCGGCATCATTTGTTCAAAATATTATCTTTCCTCCATTGAGTTGGTTTTTCAATATTGTCAGATATCAGCAAACTGTACTGGTGTGTGCCATCTTGGGAGACCTCTCTTCTGTTCCATTGATCTGTGTGTCTATCTCTCTGCCAATATCACAGTCTTGATTACTGTAGCTTTATGTCTTGAAATCTGCTGTTTGTCTTTCCCTCTGTAAATTGGTCACACTTCCCTTATTCTTTACATGCCAAATAACTTTTGATTCTGTCCTAGGAAATGCGACGGCTATACTGTGTAGACCGTGGGTTCTATTATAATTCCATGAAGGGTGTTAAGTTTTTTTTTCTCAACAAGTCAATCAACTCAATTTAGGATCAAACCAAAAGTTCTGTCTTGTCCATGGTGGCTCCAGTCTCATTACTGTTCACACCTTTGCTCTTTCCCTTTGGGTCTTTCCCACATAGCCATCACTTGTTTTTCTTTTTCTAGCTTTTTAAAATGGATACTTAATTTTAAACTTTCTTCTTTTGTAAAATAAGTACTTCAAGTATAATCTCACTTGAGACGGAGTCTTGCTCTGTCACCCAGGCTGGCGTGCAGTGGCGCCATCTCGGCTCACTGCAACCTCTTCCTCCCAGGTTCACGCCATTCTCCTGTCTCAGCCTCCCGAGTAGCTGGGACTACAGGTGCCCGCCACCATGCCCGGCTAATTTTTTGTATTTTTAGTAGAGACGGGGTTTCACTGTGTTAGCCAGGATGGTCTCGAACTCCAGACCTCGTGATCCGCCCACCTCGGCCTCTCAAAGTGCTGGGGTTACAGGCGTGAGCCACGGCACCCAGCCCTCACTTGAATATCTGTTTTGGCTTCAGCCCACAAAGTTTGATAGTTTTTTATGATCAACCAGTTCTAAATATACTGTTATGTCCCTTGTGATTTCTTCTTTGACCCATGTTGATTTTCTAGATAACTTGTTATTTTTAACTTGAAGTAACTTGGTGAGAGCATATTCTGTATGATGTCAATTCTTTGTAATTTACTGAAACTTAATTAATGGCCCAGCATTTTGTCCATCTTAGTGATTATTCCATGTGCATTTGCCATGTGTAGTGTTCTACAAGCATCAGTCATCTGATATTAATATAGCCACCCTAAATTTTTTATCATAGGTGTTTGCATGGCATATCATTTCCCACCGTTTTATTTTTAACCTGTCTGGTATTCATATTTAAATTGTGTCTCTTGGGAACAGTATATAATTGGATTTTGTTGGTTAGGGGCTATCTTACAATTTCTTCATTTCTTGGAGAGTTCAGTTCATTTACATTTAACTTAATTATTGATATGGTTGGGTCTAAATCTACTATTTCCTCTGTTTTCTATTTGTTCTTTCTGTTCTTTGTTCCTTTTCCTCTCCTTTTCTACCTTTACTGTTTTGGGGGGAGGGAGTGAAACAATCTTATTTGTTATTCCATTCTATCCCCTTTGTTGGATTTTAGCTATATCTTTTATTTATTTATTTATTTATTTTTTGAGATGGAGTTTCACTCTTGTTGCCTAGGCAGGAGTACAATGGTACGATATCGGCTCACTGCAACCTCCATCTCCCAGGTTCAAGCGATTATCCTGCCTCAGTCTCCCAAGTAGCTGGGATTACAGGTGCCCAACACCATGCCCAGCTAGTTTTTTTGTATTTTTAGTAGAGACGGGGTTTTACCATGTTGGCCAGGCTGGTCTTGAACTCCTGACCTCAGTTGATCCACCTGCCTCGGCCTCCCAAAGTGCCGGGATTACAGGCATAAGCCACCGTTCGTGGCCTGTGCTACATTTTTTTTTTTTTAATTTTACTTCCATAGGTTATTAGGGAACAGGTGGTGTTTGTTTACATAAGCAAGTTCTTTAGTGGTGATTCGTGCATCATCCAAGCAGTATACACTGTACTCTATTTGTAGTCTTTTATTCCTCAACCTCTTCCCACCCTTTCTCCCTGAGTCCCCAAAGTCCATTGTGTCATTTTTATGCCTTTGCATCCTCATAGCTTAGCTCCCACTTATGAGTGAGAACTTTTGATGCTTGGTTTTCTATTACTGAGCTACTTCACTTAGAATAATAGCCTCCAACCTCATCCAGGTTGGTGCAAATGCCATTAATTCATTCCTTTTTATGGCTGAGTGGTATTCCATCATATATATCCCACAGCTTCTTTATCCACTCATTGACTGATAGGCATTTGGGCTGGTTCCACATTTTTGCAATTGCAAATTGTGCTACTACAAACACGCGTGTGCAAGTACCTTTTTTGTGTCATGACTTATTTTCCTCCAGGTTGATACCAAGTAGTGGGATTGCTGGATCAAACGGTAGTTCTACTTTTAGTTCTTTAAGGAATCTCTGCACTGTTTTCCATAGTGGTTGTACTAGTTTACATACTCAGTAGCAATGTAGAAGTAAGTGTTCCCTGTTCACTGCATCCACACCAACATCTATTATTTTTTGATTATGACCATTCTTGCAGGAATAAGGTGGTATTGCATTGTGGTTTTGATTTGCATTTCCTTGATCATTAGTGATGTTGAGCATTTTGTCATGTTTGTTGGCCATTAGTATATCTTCTTTTGGGAATTTTCTATTCATGTTCTTAGACCACTTTTTGATGGGATTGTTTGCTTTTTTCTTGCTAATTTGTTTGAGCTCCTTGTAGATTCTGGATATTAGTACTTTGTCACATTTATAGATTGTGAAGATTTTCTCCCACTCTGTGGAGTGTCTCTTTACTCTGCTGACTGTTCTTTTTGCCGTGCAAAAAGCTCTTTAGTTTAATTAAGTCCCAACTATTTATCTTTGTTTTTATTGCATTTGCTTTTGGGTTCTTGGTCATGAAACCCTTGCCTAAGCCAATGTCTAGAGGGGTTTTTCCAACGTTATCTTCTAGAATTTTTATAGTTTCAGGTCTTAAAGTCCTTGATCCGTGTTGAGTTGATTTTTATATAAGGTGAGAGATGAGGATCCAGTTTCATTCTCCTACATGTGGCTAGCCAATTATCCCAGCACCATTTGTTGAAGTGGGTGTGCTTTTCCCACTTTATGTTTTTGTTTGCTTTGTCGCAGATCAGTTGACTATAAGTATTTGGGTTTATTTCTGGGTTCTCTGTTCTGTTCCATTGGTCTATGTGCCTATTTTTATGCCAGTACCATGTTGTTTTGGTGACTATGGCCTTATAGCATAGTTTGAAGTAAGGTAATGTGATGCCTCCAGATTTGTTCTTTTTGCTTAGACTTGCTTTGGCTATGTGGGCTCTTTTTTGGTTACATATGAATTTTAGGATTGTTTTTTCTAGTTCTGTGTAGAATGATGGTGGTATTTTGATGGGAATTGCATTGAATTTGTAGATTGCTTCTGGCAGTATGGTCATTTTTCCAATATTGATTCTACCCATTCATGAGCATGGGATGTGTTTCCATTTGTTTATGTCGTCTATGATTTCTTTCAGCAGTGTTTTGTAGTTTTCCTCGTACAGGTCTTTCACTTCCTTAGCTAGGTATATTCTTAAATATTTTATTTTATTTTTTGCAGCTATTGTAAATGGGGTTGAGTTCTTGATTTGATTCTCAGCTTGGTCACTGTTGGTGTATAGAAGAGTTACTGATTTGTGTACATTAATTTTGCCTCCAGAAATTTTGCCAAATTATTTTATCAGTTCTAGGAGCTTTCTGGAGGAGTCTTTAGGGCTTTCTAGGTAAACAATTATATTGTCAGCAAACAGCGACAGTTTGACTTTCTCTTTACTAATTAGGATGCCCTTTATTTCTTTCTCTTGTCTGATTGCTCTGGCTTGGACTTCCAGTACTATGTTGAAGAGGAGTGGTGAGAGTGGGCATCCTTGTCTTGTTCCAGTTCTCAGAAGGAATGCTTTTGACTTTTCCCTAATTGGTATTACATTGGCTGTGGGTTTGTCATAGATGGCTTTTATTACATTGAGGTATGTCTCTTATATGCTGATTTTGCTGAGAGTTTTAATAATAAAGGGATGCTGGATTTTGTGGAATACTTTTTCTGTGGCTACTAAGATGGTCATGTGATTTTTGTTTTAAATTTTTTTATGTGGTGTATCACATTTATTGACTTGCCTATATTAAACCATCCCCGCATCTTTGGTGTGAAACCCACTTGATCATGGCAGATTATCTTTTTATATGTCATTAGATTTGGTTAGCTAATATTTGGTTAAGGATTTTTGAATCTATGTTCATCAGGGATATTTGCCCGTAGTTTTTTTTTTTTGGTTGTGTCCTTTCCCAGTTTTGGTATTAGGGTGATACTGGCTTCATAGAATGATTTAGAGAGGATTCCCTCTTTCTCTACCTTGTGGAATGGTGTCAATAGGATTGGTACCAATTCTTTGAATGTCTGGTAGAATTCTGGGAATCTGTCTGGTCCTGGACTTCTTTTTGTTGGTAATTTTTAAATTACCATTTCAATATCGCTGCTTATTATTGGTCTGTTCAGAGTATCTATTTCTTCCTGATTTAAGCTAGGAGGGTTGTATCTTTCCAGGAATTTATCCATCTCCTCTAGGTTTTCCAGTTTATGCACGTAAAGGTGTTCATAGTAGCCTTGAATGATCTTTTGTATTTCTGCGGTGTCAGTTGTAATAGCTCATATTTTGTTTCTAATTGAGCTTATTTGGATTTTCTCTCTTCTTTTCTTAGCTAATCATGCTAATGATCTATCAATTTTACTTATCTTTTCAAAGAACCCACTTTTTGTTTCATTTATCTTTTGTATTTTTCTGTTGTTGTTGTTTCAGTTTCATTTAGTTCTGCTCTGATCTTGGTTATTTCCTTTCTTCTGCTGGGTTTGGGTTTGGTTTCTTCTTGTTTCTCTAGTTCCTTGAGGTGTAACCTTAGATTGTCACTTTATGCTCTTTCAGACTTTTTGATGTAGGTCTTGATTTTATTTTTCATCCAAGGGTCATTCAGGAGCAGGTTATTTAATTTCCATGTACTTGCATGGTTCTGAAGGTTCCTTTTGGAGTTGATTTTCAGTTTTATTCCACTGTGATCTGAGAGAGTGCTTGATATAATTTCAATTTTCTTGAATTAATTGCGGCTCACTTTATGGCCTATCATATGGTCTATCTTGGAGAAAGTTCCATGTGCTGATAAATAGAATGTATATTCTGCAGTTGCTGGGTAGAATGTTCTGTAAATATCTGTTAAGTCCATTTCTTCCAGGATATAGTTTAAATCCATTGTTTCTTTGTTGACTTTCTGTCTTGATGACCTGTCTAAGTGCTGTCAGTGGAGAATTGAAGTCCCCCACTATTATTATGTTGCTGTCTATCTCATTTCTTAGGTCTATTAGTAATTGTTTTTATACATTTGGGAGCTCCAGTGTTAGGTGGATATATATTTAGGATTGTGATATTTTCCTGTTGGACAAAACCTTTTATCATTTTGTCTTTTTTAACTCTTTGTCTTTTTAAACTGCTGTTGCTTTAAAGTTTTTTTTTTGATATAAGAATAGCTACTCCTGCTTGCTTTTGGTGTCCATTTGCATGGAATGTCTTTTTCCACCCCTTTACCTTAAGTTTATGTCAGTCCTTATGTGTTAGGTGAGTCTTTTGAAGGCAGCAATAGTTGGTTAGTGAATTGTTACCCATTCTGCAATTCTGTATCTTTTAAGTGGAGCATTTAGGCCATTTACACTCAACGTTAGTATTGAGATGTGAAGTACCATTCCATTCATTGTGCTATTTGTTGCCTGTAAACCTTGGTTTTCTACCTTTACTTTTTGGGGGAGAGGGAGTGGAACAATGTTATTTATTATTTCATTCTATCCCCCTTATTGGATTTTAGCTGTAACTTTTTTTTGTTTTCTTCTTTTTTGATGGTTGTTCTAAGGTTTATAATATACATTCTTAACATATATTCTTTTGCATTGATATTATACTATTTCATATATTAATGTAAGAACTTTATAACAATATAATTCCATTTACACCCCTCTCATCTTTTGTCTATGTTGTCATGTATCTTTACTCCTACACATGTTACAAGCCCCACAGTATACTGTCATATATTTTGCTTTGAACAATCAGTTGATATTAAGAAAAGCTGGCTCTCTGTGAATTACTCTTTCTCTATTGCAATTCACCTGTCTTGACAAATTGGCTCTGTCTAGGCAGTGGGCAAGGTGAACCTGTTGGGCATACACTTTTAGTTAGATTTTGTTGCAATCAACAATGGTTCCATCATTTTTAGGATTTCATTTTTCAATTACTAGTCACTCTTGCTTTGCAAAACTATGATCTCTGAGACCCCTCAGCATAAACTGGCATCTTCCACATAAGCTCTGTCAACAGCATAGACTGTATGATTATGCCTCAGTGCCTTCAAACTGTTTTTATATTTAGAGTTTCTTAATGTTACTTGCAAGACTGCTAGGCTGATACAAGCCCCTCTTTCCTTACCAGAAGCCAGAAGTCTGATGTGGACATTTTGCCACAAGGATTTTGATACTAGAATTTTCCTCCTCCTCTTAATGTTAAAGCTAGTTAATTAAAATAAACTCTGTTTTTAAAAATTACCAAGTAGTAAGCAAAACTGTCTTAACTCATTACTAGGCCATATCCCATGGTACACCACTTCCCTTGTAGTGTAGCTCAGGAGGAGAACTGAGATTAAGTGTGGCTCAGGGATGATATAAGGCTTAGAGAAGAGGTAAAAGATGCTGTAAGTTATGAGGTAGGGATTAGACAATGTCTGACAGGCAAAACACATATATAATTGTAGAGTTATATGCTTATATTATTTATATTACAAAGGGCCATCATTTATTCTAAATAAGTAATTGCTCATGCAGCATAAGTTCACTTTATTGTAAATTGTATCATTAAACAAAAAGTCCCCAAAACCTTGGATTTGGGATATGATATGTGATAGAGTAAAATGGTTTTTTTTTTGTTTTTAATGTTCAAATATTACAATGCAAAGCTTGTGGGCTTTAGGGATAAAAGTAAGTAGAAAAAAGGCCATTTTCCACCCCAGATGAATACAGTTTTGGTTATCAGGCATAAAGACTAAAGTAAAAGAATATACTCAAGGTTAACACACCTTCACACTTCAAGCCCAGTCCCAAGATGCCACTGTGCCATTCCAGGAATCACATGTAGACAGAAATCTGTTAAAGAAGGATCATTTTTTCTTTCCTCCAGAAAAACTTCCCACAAGTACACCAGCAGACTTCCCTTCTGGACTCACTGGCCTTTAATGGGTTATGGGCCCAACACTAAATCAAAAAGACAAGGAGAATAGGACTACTTTCCATAAAATTGACTTTAAATAATAAATTCCTATCCCTAGTTACCTGGTTAGGGGGTGGATAACTTGCTATGCCCACTAGCAAGGAAGGATGACTATTGGGTGGATAACAATCATGTCTGTTGTAGCCAAATTTGACATGGAGAAGAAGAGACTTCTGACAATTTTCTCCCCTTGTCTAAGGTGTAATATAGATTTTTGAGGTGACAAAGAACCCAAATCAAGAGTACATTCCTTGTCTTTGGACAACTGTATTGAACAGATAAATGTTTGGGGTATCCCCAACTCAAAAAAGTATTCCTGGCCTTGTGTAGTCAAAGTATTATTTTTGTGGAGATGCCAGAAGCTCCAAGTTGTGAAAAGCGTCTGAACAAATGGGAATTCAGGATGCCCTCCAACTGGAGCAAGAGATAGCAACTGTATCTTCCTTACTGGAAAAAAGAATTCCTTACAATTAAAACTTCTTTAGAAAAATATAAATGAAATATAAATTTTCTACATTTAATCTTGAATATTCCAAATTCATAAATACCGAACTTAAAATGTTAGTATATCTAAAATGTACGTTTTTAGTGCACATTCATAAGGTAAATTACTTTTAAAGCTGTTAAAATATGTAGCCAGCAACATGTCAGGAATACAACACAATCACAATAAACACAATAAAGCTTCAGACTTTCAGAAAACTTGTTTAATAACTTTTACATTTAGGAACAAATACTATGCCACACATACACCATCTTAACATCTTAAGAACAATATTCTTCCATCAGGTAATTGTCTAGTGGGGGAAGAGACACACGTAACTTATAGCCCAAGGTGGCAGTTGATGTCAGAAGATCTAGCAAGTGCATTTTGGAGCAAGTCTTGAAGGAGTGTAGGAGTTCGCCAGGTAAGAGATAAGGCAGACCATGCAAATGTGGGACAAATGTGGGAAAGCCCCATTGTCAAGTAGTATGACATGTTTGAGGGCAAGTGAGGAATTAGATGAGGGCAAATTCTTACTTTTTTTCCTTCAAGCACCAGGTTAACAGGCAACCTGGGTGGACTGACTGTACCATACTCTTTGCTCTCTTGCTAAAGAAAGTTTATTAGAACTTGAGTATGAATCGTATTGAACAGAGAGCTGCTCTCATTCATAAGGAAGGAACAATCATTCCCATAGTTGGGTACTTCTTTATTAGTAATAATACCTGCCACATTTTTCATAATGATCAAGACACAAAACCTTGCAATTATTCTGAAAGGTAGGTAATATTCAATTACAGTGGTAGGAGTGGATGGCTTAAGTGAATGGGGATTTGGTTTCCTTATAAATATTAATAGCCCTCCATCACAAGCAAACTGTATATTCTGAGAAAAGTCATAGGTTTGCTAAGCAAATATGCAGTTTTAAGTCACATTGTTCCCTTCTAATCAGGTTGCTCACCCCAAGCCTTCCTAGATGGACATTCGGGAGCTGCTCTAGTTTACAGAGAGGTGAAAGGCAGAGAGGTGAGGTGAGTTGCACAAAAGTGGTAGGCTCAGAGGTGGTTTAACTCCTGAGCCTATGGTCCAAACCACTCTTTTCTACATGAAGGGATGTGATGGTTTATTTAATGTGTTGACTGGGCCACAGGGTGCCCAGATATGTGGTCAAACATTATTCTGGGCATATCTATGAGGGTGTTTTTGGATGAGATTA
The DNA here is from genome assembly GCF_000001405.40 of Homo sapiens. Classification (NCBI taxonomy): domain Eukaryota; kingdom Metazoa; phylum Chordata; class Mammalia; order Primates; family Hominidae; genus Homo; species Homo sapiens. The sequence continues at coordinate 62,415,381 of NC_000012.12, read as the reverse complement.
ACATTTAAGTCAGTAGACTGAGTAAGGCAGATTGCCCTCTCTAATGTTGGTGGCTCTCATGAATTGAAGGCCTGAATAGAACAAAAAAGGCTCAAGTAAGGATAATTTCTCTTGCCTGATTGAACTGGGACATCAGTCTTTTCCTGCCTTTGCACTAAAACTGAAACATTCAGTCTTCCTGGGTCTTTAGCCAGGTAGCTTGTGGACTGGAACTTTTATCATTGGTTTTCCTGGTTCTCAACCCTTTGGACTCGGACTTGAACTACACCATTGGCATTCCTGGGTCTCCAGCCTGCTGACTGAAGATCATGAGACTTCTCAGCCTAAGTGCATGAACTAATTCCTTATAAATCTTTCTCTCCCTCATATATATATATATATATGTACATATATGATATATATGTATATACATGATATGTGTATATATGAGGGAGAGAGCTATACATATATGTGTATACACATATGCATCCTATTGGTCTTGTTTCTCTGGAGAATCCTGATTAATACAAGGAATTAGAAGAGAACTTTAAGACAGAAACAGGATCTCATTTTTTTTTTTTTTAAATGAAACCATGAAGATCATTCTGGTAGCAGGATAATGGACTGAAGTAGGAAGGGACTGCCAGCCAGATGTAATCCTATTGAGTGCACCCTGAATACACACTTCTATTTTTAAAAATGGGATGCTACATTATAGGCTGCCAAAGACATGTAGTTATTTAGTACTGGTTAAATGAAAATACATGGCCAGGTGCTGTGGTTCATGCCTGTAATCCCAGCACTTTGGGAGGCCGAGGTGGATGGATCGCCTGAGTTCAAGACTTCAAAACCAGCCTGGGTAACATGGTGAAACCTGGTCTCTACAAAAATTAGCCAGGTGTGGTGTGGTGGCACATGCCTGTAGACCCAGCTACTTCGGAGGCTGAGGTGGGAGGACCACTTGAGCCCAGAGGCTGGAGGCTGCAGTGAGATGAGATTGTGCCACTGCACTCCAGCCTGGGTGACAGAGAAAGACCTTGTCTCAAAACAAAACAAAACAAAAACCAGGCATACCTTGTTTTATTCTGCTTCACTTTATTATCATGCTTTGAAGATAATTGTTTTTGTTTTTTTACAAACAAGGCTTGTGGCAAGCCTACATTGAGCACATCTATAGGTGTTATTTTCCTAACAGAATGTGCTTACTGTGTGTGTGTCATATCTTGGTACTTCTCACATTTCAAATGTCTTCATTATTATTGTATCTGTTACGGTGATCTGTGATCAGTAATCTTTGATGTTACTGTTTTGTTTGAGGGCACAGACGTGTGTGTTCCAACTGCTCCACTGGCCATTCCCCATCTCTCTCCCTCTCCATGTGCCTCCCTATTCCCTGAGACATAACACTATTAAAACCAGGCCAGTTAATAACCATCCAATGGCCTCTAAATGTTCAGGTGAAGAGCTGTACATCTCTCTCTCTCTCTCAATCAAATGCTATAAATGATTGGAGCTTAGTGAGGAAAGCATGTTGAAAGCCAAGGCAAGCTGAAAGCTAGGCCTCTTGAGCCAAACAGCCAAGTTGTATATCCAAAGGAAGAGTTCCTGAAATTAAAAGTGCTACTCAAGTGAACACATGAATCATAAGAAAAGTGGTATAGAGAAAGCCTGAGTTTTTTTTTTTTTAATAGATCAAATCAGCCACAACACTATCTTAAGCCAAAGCCTAACGCAGAGCAAGGCCCTCTCTCTTCAATTCTATGGAGGCTAAGGTAAGGAAGCTGCAGAAGAAAAGTCTGAAGCTAGCAGTGGTTGATTCATGGAGTTTAAGGAAACAAGCTGTCTCCACAACAGACAAGCATAAGGTGAAGCAGCAACTGCTAAAGTAGAAACTACAGCAAGTTATCCAGAAGATCTAGCTAAGATCATTGATGAAGGTAGTTACACTAAAAACAAACTTTCAATGTAGATGAAAGTCTTATGTTGGAAGATGTCATCCAGGACTTTCATAGCTAGAGAAAAGTTGATGCTTGGCTTCAAACGAGAGACTGATTTCTTGTTAGGGGCCAATGCAATGCTAACTAATGTTCATTTATCATTCCAAAAATCCTAGGGTCCTTAAAATTAAACTAAATATAATGTTTTTGCTCTATAAAAGGAACCATAAAGCCTGGATGGTAGCACATCCGTTTATAGGAAGGTTTACTAAATATTTTAAGCCCACTGCGGAGATCTATTGCTCAGAAAAAGATTCCTTTCAAAATATTACTGCTCATTGACAAGTGCACCTGGTCACCCAAGAGCTCTATGGAGATGTATGAGATTAGTGTTTTTCTGCCTGCTAACACAACATCCATTCTGCAGCCATAGATCAAAGAATAACTTCAGCTTTCAAGTCTTATCATCCAAGAAATACATTTTATAAGGCAAAAGCTTTCATAGATAGTGATTCCTCTGATGGATCTGGGCAAAATAAAAACCTTCTGAAAAGGATTTGCTATTCTGGATGCCATTCATTCAGAATATTTGTGATTCATGGGAGTCAAAATATCAACATTAACAAGAGTTTGAAAGAAGTTAATTACAACTTTCATGACTTTGAGAAGTTCAAAACCTCAGTGGCGGCAGTAACTGCAGATGCGGTGAAAATAGCAAGAGAACTACAAGTGGAGCCTGAAGATGTGTCTGGATTGCTGCAATCTTATGATAAAACTTGAACAGATGATAAGTTGCTTCTTATGGGTGGGCAAGGAAAGTAGTTTCTTGACAATCTCAACATCTGTGAAAAGAAGGGGGGAAAGTCTTCTCCTGGTGAAGATGCTGTGAACATTGTTGAAAAGACAACAAAGGATTTAGAATATTCCATAAACTTAGTTGATGAAGCAGTGGCGGGGCTTTAGAAGATTAACTCCAATTGTGAAAGAAGTTCGGAAAGAAGTTCTACTGTGGGTATCAAATATTATCAAATAGCACTGCATGCCAGAGAAATCTCTTGTAAAAGGAAGAGTCAATTGATGAAGCAAACTTCACTACTGTCTTATTGTAAAAAATTGCCACGGCCACCCTAACCTTCAGCAACCACCATCCTGGTGAGTATCTATCAAAATGAGGCAAGACTGTCCATCAGCAAAAACATTACTACTTGCTGAAGGCTCTGATGGTTATTTAGCATTTTTTGGCAATAGTTTGAAAATTAAGGCATGTACATCTTTTTTAGGCACAATGTTATTGCAGTTAATAGACTACAGTATAGGGTAAATATGCCTTTTATATGCACTGGGAAACCAAAAAATTTGTGACTCACTTTATTTAAATATTTATGGTGGCTGGGAACCGAACCTGCAATATCTGAGGCATGCCTGTACCCACAGTTGTTACTAAATATATCTGCTATGGGCTCAACTGTGTCACCTCCAAATTCAGGTTGAAGCCTTAAATAGTATTTGGAGAGGAAGTCTTTAGGAGATAATTAGGTTTAGATGAGGTCATGAGGGTGAGGGCTTCATGACGGGATTAGTGCCCTTATAAAAAAGAGATGCCTCAGAGCTTGCTCTCCTCTCTGACCCTCCTCTGCTACCATGCAAGAACACAGTGAGAAGGCAGCCATCTGTAAGCCAGGAAAGGCACCCTCACCAGAAACCCAGTATACTGGTACCCTGATCTCAGATTCCCAGCCTCCAGAACTGTGAAAATATAAATTTCTGTTATTTAAGCCACCCAGTCTGTGTTTGTTATGGCAGCCTGAGCAGACTATGACAGTATCCAAACACATAAAAGCCATAACCTCTGGAGTCTGGATTATTGTCTTTAATTCAAATGACTTTAATGACTAATGAAACTGGACCAAAAAACAAAAAGACAACATAATTCATGTCAGCTGAAGGCAAAGGTTCTAAATGTGTTACGAAGTTATGCTCACAAATAGCTTTAAAAATTATATTTGTAACTGGATTTTGTTTTTGTATATTACTTTATATCTTGAATCTAGAATAGTGCCTGGCACATAGTGGACACTCAAAAAATATTTGATGAAGGAATGAATGAAGCTCTAGAGGCCTTAACAGATACAGAACAGATGGTTTGCTCCAGAGCCCAGTGCCATCCATCTAAAAAGTGAGGAGCCAGTTAAAGAGTAAAAATGAGAAAGAGCAAGAGGATGTAGTGACTATCTGAGTTGTCTCCAGACTTTGTGTACATGACTTTTCTCCTTCTAGCCCTCAGCTTCTACATCTGTAAAGTGGGATTCCTCAAGGATCTCTAGGGTCCTTTTCCCTTATTTCTGCATAAACAAATTAAAGCTTAGCAGCTAAAAACACAAACATCTGTTATCTCACAGTTTTTGTGGGTTAGGAATTCAGGTGTGGCTTGCTGAGAACCTCTGGATCAAGGTCTTTCATGGTGTTGCAACCAAGGTGCCTGTTGAGGATGCAGTCTCATATAATTGGATTCTAATATCCCTGATAAAATTTTAATTTTCAAGTTTACCATCATACTAAGACTTCTGTTCCAAGTCTTTTATAGGAGTGAGGCCCAAAATTAAAAAAAAAAAAAAACAAAAACAAATATTAACTTGACTCATCAATGCTATTAGTTATTAATTCCTTTGCTAAAAATATATACTTTTAACGACAGCTTCAAAAATGAAATTTAAGCCTTCCTCTCCACACCCATAAACTAATACTTTCAAGAGACCAGCATAATTTTATGGTTGTGAAAACAGTAATTCAGAGGTTAATGACCTGTTTGGAGCTAGCTATGGTGGAAGTTGTTGTAAGTGTAGAATGTTTCCTACCATATCTCACTGTAGGTAGTACCCAAATATCTAGGATTAATGATGTTTACTGTTTGAATTTGCAGTATTACTTCAACTTATACAATAGGTACATAGCTCAAAAGTGAATATAGCTCTGAGTTCTAGAAATTAAAAAGCTTTACCAAAGTCACTATTTAAGGGAGACCTACAGGAATTCTTTCTCAAATTAAAAAAAAATACTATAAGTAATTTTCCCATCTTTACTTTTTTTTTGTTTTTTAAAATAAGGGCAACTCTAAAATAATTCCTATTTGCTTTACATAATTCTTGGGAGACTGATAATTCACCACAATGTGATTACAAATAGATAATCCTTGGTGCTTCTATTAGGGAGTTCAAGAACTGAATGACTGGCTGGAGGTCGCGGTCTTTTTGGGGAAATGAGTTAAACAGGCATGATGGGATTAATTTGGATGAACTTATCAGACAATTTAAATATTGCCCACTTGATATAATGGAAAGATGGTTCTCACTTGAAAGAAGATTAAATGCTGTATTTAATAGAAATGACTCAAGGTTAGAAGAGAGTAGGTATGCATATGACTAGACATAAGTGAACACTTTAATACATTAGTCTAAATTACTTAAAACTTAGCATACTTAATCATGAACAGAGGAGCATTAAAGAGTTACGTCTGTTAACATCGAATACTCCTTTATGGAGTTTAAAAGAAAAGCAAATACTATTAAAAAAAAATTTTAATGAGAGACTTGTGCTTGATATGTTACAAAATCTAAGAATTCTGAAAGATTTTAAATAAAAATTAGAAATGTGGTGATGTTTAAGGTTTAAAACAACAGCTTGGGAAATGTTAAGTATGTGTCATTACTGAGAATAATGTAATAATACACATTGTGGGAAAGACTGTTGGGATGTTTCCATATTTATTGTTTTACTTTTATGTATGTAGATTTAACTCCAGCTAACAACAAACTTAAATGTCACAGCAGATAAAAACTGTTTTGTTTGTTTCACCAAACTATATAGAACAAGCTGCAAGTTCCTGACATGAGAAAAAAAACTTTAGCAACACGAGCACCAACTTTAATTATGATTTTCTACAGGAGAACATAGTAAATTACCAATACAACTTAAACATTTAAAATATATTTTGTGCATATTGAAAGTGTGTGGTCTTATTTTACACATTTTCAATTCCAGAGAGATAGTTGTATTTTTAGCTGCTTTGTAAAATCACATTTGCTACACATTTCTAGGAAAAAAAAATATCAAAACCCATTTGACTGATTTTCTCTCTGTCCTTTGAGACTGTAGTCCAATATATTACGTAAATTCCTGATTTTCCTTGAATGGCTTAGCCAGTTTCTGAATGTCCTTAATAGTCTGAGATCTATTTCACAACCCTGACAAGTTCCAGGCTCCCAAAAGTAGAGCTGGGGAATAATTAAACCATGGCACCGTGTGGGGTATGTTTCCCGATGCATATATTTTCCAAAAATAATTTTTGAACTGTCTGTTTTATATTATCCATTTAAAAATTCTTTACCCCATCATTAGTGAAGAAAAAAGTCTTGATAAATATTTGAATTTTTACCATCTATATTTTATTTTCCTAATTCTGATATTTTAAAGCCTATTCTATGCAGCTTATAAAATTTTGATGTATTCTATGTAGCTTATAAAATAACTCAATTTTAAACCAAAGTTTTCTTATCTGAGCTATTTGGAAATTCTTTTAATATATAGTAAATACGAATTAAACACGTAAAACACATACATATTGAATTGAAATGGCCTCCAAACCTAAAATGATTATTAAAAAACCATCATATATATTTCTCACTAGAAAATCTGATAATAAAATGATATATAATATAGATCTGCAACTGAATATATAACAAAAACTAGCAAGGATATAAATACACTCACCTTTTCCTCCTTTCCCTATCCTCTGGTCAAGTGGTACTTAGAAGAATTATTTGGGAATGAATACCAATATATTTTCAAGAGAGGTTGTTTCCAAATTCCTCATGTTAAGTTATTCAAAGAGCAAAAAATTTTTTATTTTTTTGTAAAGTAAAAACAAACAAAAAAAATGAGCAAAAACTTCTACTCTTATTCTATGGCCCTAGAAAGGAGCTCTTCCTTTCCTTCTCACTCCTCTGATATTTTAGAGGACCTCTGGTTCCTTCCCCTAGTCTATGATTCAAGAGTTTTCCACATTTCTATCTTAAAAATTAAAGCGGTGAGCTCATCTACACTGCACAAGCACAGAAGATCAGAAACATACTACATAGGGAGAGTTGGAAGTAGGCAATAATGAAATGCATTATCTGTAGGTAACTTAAAAATAACAAAACAAAAAATTGGCCTTTTTCTTGTCACCATACATCAGACTTAAACGTTATCAGTCTAATATATTCCTCCTCTCGGAGGCAGAGAGCTCCTACTACACCCTACACTCCCTTTGGTGTACCACTGAAGGAGACTCCATTTCAGTCTCCCGGCTTATTTTATAAGATAAACTCACTTCAATCAAATTAGTTCATAAAAAACCCCACCACCTTTATGTTGTATCTATTTTGGTACTTACTGATTTTCTTTGTGCCCAAATCAATGTTTTGTGTAGTTTTATATCCAGTTGTCAGGAAAGCAAGGATAAATACAGGACTACTAAAATAACACAGATTATGAGAAAGCAAGATATTTAAATAAAGCACCAGGCTGCAACTTTTTCAAGGAGGTTAATTAAAACTAAATTATAAGGCTGAGGCAGGAGGATCACTTTAACCCAGGAGTTCAAGGTTACAGTGAACTATGATTATGTCACTGCACTCCAGCCTGGGCGACAGAGGGAGACCTTGTCTCTAAACAAACAAACAAACAAACAGAAAGCAAAACTAGAGTAGAGTTTACAAAGTCCTGAAATTCAGGGTTGCATTTGGGGAAATGGAAAGAAGGGGACACAAGTTAGATGAAAAGGTAAGAAAAAAATGTCACATTGTATTTACCATTTAATTAAAATTGTAATAAAGGTATATAAATTAAATGAAATTAATTTTTAAAAGGGAATGGGTTAGTCAATATTCCAGTGGGTACTTTCTTATTCAATGCTCGAATACTGAGCTAAATATACTTTTAGAAGCAAAGTTATTAGACTTCAAGATGTCTTTCTATTTAGACTGAAGAAATCAGTGAGTGTGTAATAAAGTTTACAAAGCTCTTCCCATAAAATACATGATCTCATTTGAGCTCTCAACAATCCTATGAGGCAGACACTATAACACAGTGAGAGGTAGTATATATCTGAGGATAGAATATTGGCTCTACCCCATAGCAATTGTGTGAGCTTGGGAATATTACTTAAATGCTTTGTATCTTGGTTTCTTCATATGAAAAATGGGGATGACAACTATCCCTACCTCATAGCTGTTGTGGGATTAAATGAGAGAATGCATATAAACACTTTAATATAGTGCCTGGTCCATAGTAAGTGCTCAATAAATGCTGGCTATTATCATCATTATTCTACAGGTAAAGAAACACTATCAAAGATTAAGTTCAAAGTCATATGATTGCTAAGTGGCAAAGCTAGAAGTAGAAATTCTAGTCTAGATATATTCCCATTACCCTGTATTACCTATGAATATCTTTTTTTTTTTTGAGACAGAGTCTTGCTATGTTGCACAGGCTGGAGTGCAGGGGTGTGATTTCGGCTAACTGCGGCCTTGACTGCCTGGGCTCAAGCAATTCTCTCACCTCAGCCTCCCCAGTAGCTGGGAACACAGGTGTGTGCACACCCAGCTAATTAAAAAAAAATACATATATTTGTACAGATGAGGTTCTCACTATGTTACTCAGGCTGGTCTCAAACTCCTGGGCTCAAGTGATCCTCCCGCCTGAGTCTCCCAAAGTGCTGGGATTACAGGCATGAACCACCGTGCCCAGTCTGAATGCCTACTTTTAATTAGAATATGTATTATCCTTTTGCACTATTTTTAAAGTATACTTCTTGCAGCTGAAAAATGACATTTGAGTTTGGCAGTTTCAATGGCATTATTAACATCACTTCTTTTAGTGGGAACAGAAGTTAATGACAGGCATTAAAAAGAAAGTGGTCTCTGAAGAATTAGGATGGAGACCACAATATAGGTTTAAAAGATTTAGCTTTGACTTTTCTTTAAATCTTCAGAAAAATGGAAATATAGTTCATTAGTTGGTAGATGGCAGAAAGAATGTAAGCTCTGTGAAGGTAAGGATATTTGTTTACTGCTGTATCTCCAGACTCTACAACAGTGATTGGTACACAAACATATGTTTAATGAATAAATATTAAAGTGGACAAAAATCAACTTTAAAACGTCCTTAATAGTAGGATTCATTTTGCTCTGACATAATTTCCTTTCTAGTATTAACTATTTATAACTAAAAAGTCTAGCATATAGTCATCTAACCATAAAGTAGGGGATTTTTATTAAAAGATTAAGAGTAAGAAATAAAAGACTAAATAAGGCCTTGAATAGCTTTATTGAAATCTATATAAATAAACATGCACATTTCAAATGTAAACTCAAGTGAACTCAAGTGCAGACAAAATTTTAACCTCTGTCATGCAGGAGGTTAGTTTACATTAAAAAAAAAAAAAAGAAAAAAAAAACCCCAAAGCAGCTTTTAAAATACCAGGATGATAAACCAGCTTTAATATCAAGATATAAAGCAAAGCCATGATCAACATACCTCATTTATCCTGGTCAAATGCATTTTTTTTAAACTTTTAAATGCTAACATAAATAAATAATTTACCAAAATGTGCACTCACAGAGTGAACTTTTATTTACAATACACAATTTATAATCTATTGTATTTGATTAGTTCAAGTGAAGAACATTATACTTTTTGCTTTAATAACAGTGGGACACAAAGCAATTTCTCAGGTAGTCGATATGTGAAATGTGCCCCAGCATTTAGGTTTTCTATTAAAGGCAGTATTGTATGCCAATTTACAATACATTCTTTCAACTATATCAAAGGGAAAAAGCAGCAAATAAAAATGTTTCAAATGTTCACACATATTTTTGGCATCCTGGATCCTTGAATGTGGTGAACTAAAATCAAATTCAAGGTGTTTATGCTTTATATACTGTACAGGTTCTGACTCTGGAACATGCAAATGCCATTTCTCTTATAACAAGTTACCTTCTGAGAAAAGCTGTAAGGCTATGGTGAATTCCATCAGGAACACACAAAGAAAGTTAACAGACCTACCTTTATAGCCAATTGTCCATTAATGATTTAAAGGCCAGTATATGAAAAAAATTTCTCATCTAAGCTTGATGCAATTATTACTATGGGTACAGAATACTATTATGTCTGTCCTTATATTACAATAATTGGGAGAGCTCAAGTTGCCAAATTACCACAAAATGGGGTAGAGAAAAACAGACAGCAAAAATTTTAATTTTGGACCAACACCCAATTAAAGATATGCATTTTAAAGCAAAAAATGTTTTTGAATATCTGAAGAATAGATCCCAATAGCAGTAAATAATACTTACATGTAACTGAAAAATGACTTTAGATGGAGTATGAAATCTAGAACCTGTTTCCACAGTGGCAGTAAAATGAATATAATACTCTGGATTTTTAAAGGTATTACAAAGGGAAATAACTTTTCCAAGGTTGTTTCTTGTATCATGATTTGGTTTTTTAATAGGCCCACATTGATTACGGGGATAAATTTGAAAATGCGGTTTTCGAAGAATGCTGCCGCAGTATTTATGCCACATTGATACTGCAGCTAAATATCATAGTAGTATATACGGCAGCCTAATGCACATGAACTAGATTATCCAAAAACTAAGTTCAGCCATAGTTTTCTTGCAGTATTATTAGAGCAAAATAAATGACCAACATCCACAAATTTAACATTTGTCATCAACTCACATCCAAAAAATTAAAGGAAACATAATTAATCAAAACAGCAGCAAACTTAAAAGGGATTTATTTGTGATTTCCTATATATATTTAGCTTGTAAATACAAGACTGTAAATGTATTAAGAGACAATTTCTGTTAAAGTTTTCATTGTGTTTCACTTCAAGTACTGCACAAGTTAAAATCTGATAAAGGATTTACATTCGGTTATCTGAAACTCCCCATCTCAGACTTTTGTTTTAATGTGGTGGGTAACTTCATCATTTCCATAGATACCACCAGCAGGAAAGTGTCTCTTTTATGGCTTCTAGGACTTTCATTAGTTAGTGTGCATACAGTTTTCATTTTCTATATCATTGTCATTATCATTGCTATCTTCATCACTTTCTAATGGGATGCCAGTGGCAGCTGAAGCACCTTTAGTTTCTCGGTCAAGAGGAAAAAAGCCAGTTCCACTGAAAGTGTCTTGTCTCTGGTAGAAGAGTACATATGCTGCTTTGGACTGTCAAAACAAAGGATGTTAAAACAGTTATGATTCTCAAAGATCACGTTAAATACATTATGAATTTTTAGCTGGTCACCAATTTTGGTAAGAGGGCATAAATCAAATAGAAAAACCATGCATGGTCAAATGGAAGTTACTAAAATTCATTAAATATAAGATGATTTCTAATAAAGAATCGTTATTAGAATTACAAATTTTTATGTGCTTCTAAATTATTTGGACAAAGAAATAAATGCAACTGTATCACAGTTCTAACTGTGATACACAAACTGTATCACAATTCTAACGTAAAAATAGAATTCTATGCTTTCTTTCCTACCATCTCTTAAGGAAAAGGTAAATTCCTCCCTTCTAATACTAGTCACTTCATCCCATGTTTGCTGTAGAGTCCAACTTTTCCTACCATCTTAAGGATGCTGTTCCATCAATCATCACTGTGTATCTTCAATGAGTCCTTATCCACTGGACTTGTCTCTTTGGCATTAAAAAATACCTAAGGTTTTTCCTATCATAAGTCCCTCTCCATTCTACTTCCCCTTCTAGCTGCCATATACCTCTCTTCCTCTTCCTCATAGTCAGGGTGATAAACAGAGTTGTCAATACTCATCATTCACTCTCATGCACACTTCTCAACTCAAAGTAATCTAGCTTTTCCCCAAACCATTCTAGCAAAATGGCTTTCAGCAGGGTCAATAACCTAATAAACAACTGAAATGGGTGACCTTTCCAGTTCTTTTGGTCAATCTCTCAGTAGCATTTAATGCTTCACTATTTCTTTTCCTATCAACAAACAATTTTTTGCTTCTGTGACAACACTACTCAGATCTCCTACTATCTCTTTGGTTTCTTCTCAGGCTCTTCTGTGGACTTATTAAATCCTGACCTTTAAACATACTATGTTCTGTCCTCAGCCCACCATTGTCTCAACCTGAATCCTCTCACTAGGTGACTCATTTAAACCTATGGCTTCAACTGCTGCCTGAGGCTGACAACTCAAATGTATAACCTAAATCAGTTCTCACCCCTGAACTCCTGTCTTATGAGTCCAACAACCTAATGGAAATTTCCACACAGCTATCATACAGGCATCTCAAACTTCAACAGCAACTATTCTTCCTATATTCCCAATCTTGGTGAATGGTGAAGTAAAAGTCATCTTAAACTTCTCCTTCTCTGGATCTCTACATCTATTATCCTTATTATATCTTTTATCAAGTTATATTAATTCTGTCCAGTAAATATCTCATAAATCCATTCTCCCCTTGTTTGTATTGTTCTAACTACTATTTTAATTGCTTAAATTATGTGACAGCCTCCTGTATGGCTTTTCTGTTTCTTTACTCAGTGTCTCCAATCTATCTTCTATGATGTTCTCAGAGAAATGTTAAGATACAAACTGAACAATGTTATTCTCTTGTTTAACAATCTAATGGCTACTCATAGTCTGTAAGAAAATGTCTAAACAACTAGAATGCCACTTTTCTTGATCTAAGCGCTAAATTTATCTCCAGACTAATTTCTTCCCCATGTCCCTTTAAGAGCTTTTCCTTTGAGTCACATCCAATTATGTGCTGTTCCCTTAAAATGTCACGCTTTGTCATGCCTCCTTGTTTTTGTAGATACCGTTTTCTTTGCTTAGAACACCTTTTGTTTAATTTACTCTTATTTTTACTAGACTCAGGTCAGACATCATCTTTACCACATGAACTTCCCTGTGCTGGTTATTGTCCCCTCAAACCCCAAATCTGAGTTGAGACAGAAGTTCCCTTTCTAAGTGGCCATAGTAAGGTATTTAATAGTACTTATCATGCTGTAATTGTTAATTTACTTATCTTCTTTGGTTTATAAATCAGAGATAGCTATCTTTTAAACTCTGGACTGAGTGACAGCTATCTTTTTAACTCTGTTTAGAATGGAGTCTTTTGTGTATCTCTCTCTCTCTATATATATCATATTCAATTTGTTGACTAAATGAAGAATCATCATTGTTAAAATGCATGGCAACCTCAAATTTGTATACTATATATAAACAAGATAACTGTTTATTTGAAGCCAAGATTAGGGCAGTGTTGTTAAAAAGACTGATGGAGGAGGTGGGCAATTTGAGGAGAACAGAATTGATTTTCTTTTGCAGAAAAAAAATTAGGAGTTTAAATATAAACAAAAAATGTGGTTAATTAAAACTAACACAATTTTAAAAATTTATAGTATTCAAGTCTCTTTTTGTCATAGATATAGGGAGAGAAATAACAGTATATATATATATATATGTATATATACATATATATGTATGCATCTGTGTGTATATATACATATACACACACACACACAAACCCATACTGAGAGTCAGCGGTGGATGATAAACTGATGTAAGTGTGAACAGACGGAACTTCCTCATTTTTTTTACTATTCAGAAAATATCAAAGTAGTAAGTACACAAGTATTAATCTTTTATAAATCTGTAATTTGTTTTATCTAATTATGTCATTTTGAGTTTAGTTAATTTTCATAAGGCAGGATATGACTTTAAAGATCACAGGTACGGTAAGGTACTTCAAGGATTTTTTTTCTCTTGTTTAAACATTCTGGCTTTAAGTACTCAATGTCTAGAAAGTTAAGAGCTGAATCTACTTTCCAAAGCAAAACTTAATTATTTTTATTAGAAACTCCATGTTGAAAACTACCAAAAATTTTTTCACCTTGCAATTTATGCTTTTGTTAGTGGGCAAATTTAGAAGACAAATTTCCATTTAGGGGACAATTTGACATTTCTTTAAATAAGAGTTAGTGTCTTTTAGCTACTCAAGCTGCTAGAATATAGACTACAGTGTTCCATGAGCCCCTTTTATTAATTTATATTCACTCCTTAAGACAGTGAATCCCATAGTTCTCAGGAAATATAAGACAAACTTACCACAATTTGGTCTTCAGATGCAGTGGAGACACTACTGTCATCAAAATAGTACCATTTTCCATCATCTTTATTTTTTGCAAAAGCAGTATCTAATGAAAAAAATATAATCACTGTGACGAAAATGATCTTGGTTTTCTGGGGACTCCTCAAAACTCTATAATCATCTATATAAGGAATATCTATTAACACTGATAATCATCTATGAGGCTTATTTATTACATATTCAATTGATTCAAATGATTTCTAATTTCTACAATTAGATGCCAAAAATAATTTTCATGTAAGTTGAAACATTCTTTTTTCATCTCAGGAAAAAACAGATTATTTTTAAATTCACATAATAACACTAATGATAATAAATGGTAATTAACATTCATGTAGTGCTTACTGTGTACCAGGCATAGTGTTATGCACTTTACATGTATTGTCTCATAAAGAAGGTATTATCATTATTATTCTCCCCACCTGAGAGATGGGAAATTAAGGCATCAAAAGAAGGATAATTTACTCAAGGTACTATACTGTTAGCTAGCAGTTAGGATTTAAACCTAGATCTGTTTCTGACTTCATAGTTTGAAATTTCAACTTATTATTAAATTTTCTATGACGATTTCTTTTCTGATACCTCTACTCATTATGCTATAGTGTTTTTTTTTTTTTTTAACACCAGAATCTCTTTTAGTCTTTAACAAAAGTGTAGTCGGTCCTGTGCATACATGGGTTCTGCGTCCCTGAACCCAACCAACCACAGATCAAACATATTTGAGGAAAAAAAAAAATTCCACAAAGTCCTGAAGAGTAAAACTTGAATTTGCCACGTGCTGAGTACTATGTTCAATTTATGTGAATGAAGTGACGTGCAGGCATTGTATTAGGTATTATAAATAATCTACACATACAAGTATATGAGAGGATGTGGTTAGGTTATATGCAAATACTACAATATTTTACATAAGGAATTTGAACATCTGTGGTATCCACTGATACAAAGGGATGACTGTACACAGCAAGAAAAAGGCAAAAAGTGATTCATTAATCCACATAATTTTTAAAGATCTGCTTTATCTTTAAGTTAAAAAAATGCCCCTTTCCCCATCCCATGCCTTGTATAAACTACTCAATAACTGAAGAAATAAAGTTGCACAATGTTTCCAAAATAATTATATGTGGTCATTGTTTCTAAAAAGTGACACTTTGTAGGGTACGGCTTCTAAATAATTCTTCCCATCCTAAAGTAATTATTCTTCCCATTTGTATATAAATAAGAAATTGAGGTATTATCCTTAATAAGGCTGAAATCAAAGGGCAATATTCTCTTTCTATTAAGTTACCTGTTTGGATGATGTTCAGAGGGAATGGCAATACTTTGAAAGTAAGGTAAGCATTATCTTTGGTGAAACTCCACTGGCGGTCAGAAGATAATTCAAAAGACAAGCCAATCAACCGACCAGCCAACCAACCAACCAATCACAATAAAATAATGGTTTAAACTCTAAGTTGTTTGGTTAACAATTTTACTGAGTAACTACCATGTGGAAGAAATGTTTCATATTCTATCTGTTGTTGGTTCCCTCTCCTCAAATATCAACCATGGAGAGAAACCGTAGAAAGAGATGGAAGTTAGAGTCAAAGGAACTAACAAAAAAAAATTGAGAACCCTGTTCTCAATATATGAACTCAAGAATATTTGTGTGCATGCAACATGGCTGAAGAATGCGACAGAATGGATGGAGGCAGAAATGAGAAAACAATCTAGAAGAAAGCGTTTAAATTTCTTGCTTCAATTTTTGTCACAGAAATCAGCAATACTCAGGCTACCTGAATCAGAGTCTTATTGCTGTTTAAAAGTCCTGTTGGGCTAACAAAATATTTGACAACTAATATGACTGTACCCCATGAACTCTGGTTAAAAATCAGCCTTGGTGAGGAGTGGAAGGAAATAGCCATGGGATGAACAGCTTCCTTTGAGCACACTTTTCCCTATTTTCTCTCCTTCCAGCTACACAGGACCTCTGCTAAGCTGTTGCTGTGCATGCTGTATTGTTTCTTGACCTGTATCCTTTCTTAAATCTAAGTAAACCTGGTGCTGGGTGAATGCTTTTGCGTGCTGTGAGTTTGTTGATCTCAACCCAAGATCAGTGCAGAGCAGATGCTGCACTTAGATCTGTGTGATCTATAAGAGACACATTCAACAAAAAGGCACAGAGTTTGTAAATTAAATGATACCAAAAAGAAAGCTAGAGTAACACTTGTAATACCTAAAAAAAAAGGGGCAAAGAATGTCAAATCCTGGTGTTAAAAGGAACAGAGAAAGAAGAGCTACCCATTATGAACATAAGTATAATTATGCAAAATATTAATAACAACTAATAAAACTGCTGGGAGAAGCAGGTCAATCAACACTTTAGTAGGAGTCCTGACAAATTCCTCTCAGGAATAAAATGAACACAAAAAATAACCAGGGATAGTAATGGTTTGAATACACTTGATAAGCTTAAATTATCAGAGATATAAAGAACTCTGTATCTAAATGGGGAATGTATATTTTTTTCCAAGCATACACACGTTTAAGGAACTGACCATGTATTAAGACATGTTACAACTTTCGGACTCCTAAAGATTAATATAGACAATGCTCTCAACTGCTATGTAATAAAGGTAAGAATGAAGTGACAAAACTCTCTACATTTGAAAACTAAGCATATGATTAAATGACATTGTGCTAATTAGGAAATCATAAAGGAAATTAAAACATACATACAATTGAAAGATAATGAAAATCTGAAGTACAGCTAAAGCAGTACTTAGCAGAAATTTATAGCCTTTTAATTACAGCCTTCAATATAGGAGAAACAATGAAAAGCAAAGCTAAGCATTCAATTCAAGAAGTTGTAAGAAGAGTAACATAGAAACCCAAAGTAACAAGAGGAACCATACAATGAAGGGAAGGGAAGAAATCAATTAGACAGAATAAATACATACAAGCCAGGTGTCGTGGCATGCACCTGTAGTCCCTGATACTCAGGAGGCTGAGGTAGGAGGATCGCTTGAGCCCAGGAGTTCAAGACCAGCCTGGGCACCATGGTGAAACCCCACTGCTACTAAAAATACAAAAAAATTAGCTGGGTGTGGTGGCATGTGCCTGTAGTCCAGCTACTCGGGAGGCAAAGGTGGTAGGATCGCTTGAACCCAGGAGGTGGAGGTTGCAGTGAGCCAATATCATGCGACTGCACTCCAGCCTGGTGACAGAGAGAGAGCCAGTCTCAAAAAAAAAACGTATAGATAAAATAAAATATAATAATAATATAAAGTATAAATACATACAATAACAAAAATAAAAATTTAATAAGATGAAAAGTAATTCTTTGAAAAGACTAACAAGATAGAAATCTGGGAAGACTGATACTTTTTTTTTTTTTTGAGACAGAGTCTTGCTCTGTTGCCAGGCTGGAGTGCAGTGGTGTGATCTGGGCTCTCTGCAACCTCCGGCTCCCTGGTTCAAGTGATTCTCCTACCTCAGCCTCCCGAGTGGCTGGGATTACAGGCACGTGCCACCACACCCAACTAATTTTTGTATTTTTAGTACAGACAGGGTTTCACCATGTTGGCCAGGATGGTCTTGATCTCATGGCCTCATGATTCACCCGCCTCCACTTCCCAAAGTGTTGGGATCACAGGCGTGAGCCACTGTGCCTGGCCAGGAAGGTTGATTTAAAAAAAAAAGAGAAAAAGAATGAAAAAAGGACAAAAATAGTGTAATATAAGCATTATAAACAACAATTCTTAAATAAATTGAAAAACCTAAATGAAATGGATACATTTTTAGAAACAGAACATCAAAATATACAGAAAAGGAAAAAGAAAACTGAATAGACCAATATGCATGACATAAATAAAAACAATTATGGCTGCAAAGCCTAGATGGCTTTACAGGTTAATTCTACTAGACTTTGATGAACAGTTAATTCCTATATTGTACTAGCTGTTCCAAAAACCAGAAAAAGGATAAAGCATCTCAGCTTGTTTTATGACTCTAATCTTTATTCCAAACTAAGATAATGAAAATATAAAAAACTTACAAAACCATTTCACTTATGAATGAAATTGTAACAACCCTAAATAAATCTGACTGAATCCAACTGTGTGTCTAAAAATATATAATGATAAGTAGGATATATCCAAGGAATGTAAATACTGTTCAACAGAAAAATCAACTGCTTGCAGAGTGTCGAGTGTTAGAGCCATCCTGGGGGGTGGGGGGCAATCTGGCAACACTTACTCACTTAAACTCAGCAATTTCACTTTTGGGCACGCAGCCCAAATAAATTCTTACATACGATACCATAAACAATGGTTTATCAGTCTTACAGTGGTAGGAAGTGAAAGGGAATTTAGATGTCTATCATGAGGTAAGTGGAGAGATAAAATATGGCAGATGTAAATCATAAGCAGTGAGAAACAACTGACTAAATGGACACAAAGCAACACAGATAAGTCTTCATAAGTGTCGAGACCTAGTGATATCTACAGCACAGTACCAATTATATAAATGAATAAATATTAATGATTTACAAGAGTATATGCATCAAACATGTTAGAAAGCAAAGGGGAAGGAGAACGTGGAGGGAAATGCACTCTAAATGGGACAACATTCCCTACTAGGCCTTGAACTGAGGAGTATGATGAACTCAATTCTCTATACCCTATGTGAAAAAAAAAAGGTTCAAAAGCTGACTCATTCATTAATCAATACTGAACTACTATATGCAAGACACATCTGATATTTTATCCTTAAGAAGTAATAAATATCTTAAAGAAAAAAGTCTGGAGTTCTTCAAACACCATGATTTGGGTAAAAAGGCAAACTGTCAACTTACAGTGTCCTCCTCCCATCCCTCCATAGTGGTTGGAAACAGCAATCAGATTATAGCGGCAAGGACCTGCATTTGGATTAATTAAGAATTCCGACATATCCAAGTCACTGTTTAAAAAAGAAACCAAGTTAATTTTTATGTTGTCCCTAAATGCAATGAATTCTATTCCCTTCTGCCATTGTTGTTTGACATACATATATATATCTATATCTATCCATCTATATATATCTATCTATATATATATATATCTCACTAAGGAAATTATCATGAGTCAAATAACTTACAAAACAAATCATACATGTACCTCTGAGATATTAATGTTTTGGCAAACATTTGTTTATGGGTTGAAAATTTTAAAATGCTTCATTGAGTATACTGAAGAGATATCTGCACTCCCCATGTTTGTCGCAGCAATGGTCACAACAGCTAACATTTGGAAACAACCAAATCTTGTTGATTTGACGAAACTATGTGTTGCAATGTTGATGGAACTAAGTGTCTATCAACAGATAAATGGCTAAAGAAAATCTGGTACATATACACAATGAAGTACTATTCAGCTATAAAAAGGAATGAGATCCTGCCATTTCCAACAACATGGATGGAACTGGAGATTATGTTAAATCAAATAAGCCAGGCACAGAAAGACAAACATCCCATGTTCTCATTTGTGGGATCTAAAAATAAAAAAAAATTGAGCTCATAGACAGACAGAGTAGAAGGATGATTACTAGAGGATGACAAGTGTGGTGGGAAGGTAGGGGAGATGTAAGGTGGGGATGGTTAACGGGTTAAAAAAAAAAACGAATGAATAAAACATACTATTTGATCACACAACAGGGTGACTATAGTCAATAATAACTTAATTATACATTTAAAAATAACTAAGAGTGTGACTGGATTATAACACAAACGATAAACGCTTGAGAGGATGGATACCCCATTCTCCATAATGTGACTATTTCACACTCCATCAAAACATCTCATGTACCCCACAAATATATACACCTACTATGTACCCACAAAAATAAAAAAATAAAATAAAATAAAAATGTGGAATGTTGTCATTCAGATAAACGTTTTCATGCTAACACATTTAACTCTCAGTATACCAGGAAAAACAGTCATCACTATTGACCATCTGGGTCCAGTAGATCTTTATTTTACAGTCAATTTTAGAAAGTAATTTATGGGCAGGGTCAGAGATTAAAAAAGAGGAAGTGATTTATATGAAGAAAAATACAGGAATAGTGAAAACTTCCTTAGAAGTTTTAAAAAATATTAATATATCAAACCTTAATTTTTATTCTACATTTGCTGTCTTTGATGACCTATATACCCGAAATGGGCAACATCCTTTGAATGTAACTGACTAATCAAAATCTATCATTCAAGAACCTGGAAAACGACTTCTTGTAAATAGCTTATTATTATTTCTGGTTGTTCTTCTTGTATTTGCATCATTAAAAAGCAATAATGATTCTAAATTTTAAATACATCTCTGATAGATTCTAGTTTGTCATTACTTCTGATTCTTTTTTTTTTTTTTTGAGAGGGAGTCTCGCTCTGTCGCCAGGCAGCCTGGAGTGCAGTGGCGCGATCTCAGCTCACTGAAATCTCCGCCTCCTGGGTTCAAGCGATTCCCCTGCCTTAGCCTCCCGAGTAGCTGGGACTACAGGCGCGCACAACCATGCCCGGCTAATGTTTTTGAATTTTGGTAGAGATGGGGTTTCACCACGTTGGCTAGGATAGTCTTGCTCTCCTGACCTTGTGATCCACCCACCTCGGCCTCCCAAAGTGCTGGGATTACAGGCGTGAGCCACTGTGCCCAGCCCTGATTCTTTTTCTTATACTTACATTGCCAAATGCTATATTCTTGAAAACTTATGGCTCACTATTTTGTTAAAGAGAAAATGATCTTTTTTTCACTCAATAATTACAAATAATTTTAAATTTTAAATTTATAGCCACCAATTAGAATGAGTAATCCAGTGAATATTTTGTTTTATGTAATCTATTTCCTTCTAGTTACCTTTATAGATACACCTGCCTTTAGCAATTGTCTACTTACTAACTGTATCAAGTACATTTTGGTGTACAAATATCACAGGATATGAAATAATACCGCTGAAAGTTCTTTTTGCAAAATGGGATAGTACCAAGTACTTGTACAAAATATTGTGTGATGAAGTCCTTCTGCTGAATAACTAAGTGACGGGGAATACAATGTTCCCTTTTTGTCATTCTGAATTCTCAACTGTTAAAAGCAGGGGAAGAAAAAAAGAGAGATAAAGTGTGAAGATGTATACAGACTTCTTTGTATCTTTTTACAGACAAGATCAGGGTACGTTCAAGGTGGTATGGCCATAGATATATCTTTTTACAAATATGATGTCATATAATGGCAATAGGAAAACTGAAGGATAATGCAATAGGGATGATTTATTTCACTACTGTGTTATCCTTCTAAGCAATTCCATTGTTGTTTTATTTTAGTCTTTTTGAAAACAGCATATTTAGGGCTGGGCACAGTGGCTCATGCCTGTAATCCCAGCACTTTGGGAGGCCAAGGCGGGTGGATCACTTGAGGTCAGGAGTTCGAGACCAGCCTGGTCAATATGGTGAAACCTCGTCTGTACTAAAAATTAGCCGGGCATGATGGCGGGTGGCTATAATCCCAGTTACTTGGAAGGCTGAGGCAGGAGAATCACCTGAATCCAGGAGGTGGAGGTTGCAGTGAGCCGAGATTGCACCATTGCACTCCAGCCTGGGCAACAGAGTGAGACCCTGTCTCAAAAAACAAACAAAAGAAACACCAAAAAACCCCAACATATTTAGGAGTAAGTGATGAGTAATGATGAAGTAATTCCTAGGATAAACAAAATCACTAAGTACCATAAAGTATCTTAGATTTATAAATGAGACCAATTAACCCATAGGTAATATAACACAGAAGGATTTTTATTGTTTTTATTTTTTTAAAGTATATTTTCTCTTTGATCTTTGGAAAATCTCTAAGAAAAAATAAAAATTTTGAAACACTGATCCTTATAAACTGTTAGAACTACTCAAAAACAAACTTGAAAGCTGAAATTGGGTCCAATGGCACCTGATGTTTACTAAAGGATAATAACAAAAAGCATCAAATAAGTTTGAAAGAAGAGTTGCCCAATGCTTATAAAGTACAATTAAAGCTTACTTGATAGGAAAATCAACTAAGGTATCCAACTTGTCTCTCATGTATCGACTGTAAGAAAATCGCTTGAGATGTACTACAAGTACTGGAGGCAGGGACCATAAATCCAATTTCTTTGTGGCTTGCTGATGTTCTTTACAATTCGGACAATACCTAAGAATAAACAGAAGTATTTAACACTTGATAGAGGTACAAACAACCCCCATTAATGAAAATAATAAACAAAAATGTTTGGAAAGTTCTACATTTATTCAGTGGGCAATTATAGTATGCCTAATATGTACCAGGTTGAAAGCAACTCTTATTATTTTTATTTTCAAGACATTTTCCAAATAGGTTAAACCATTACAAATTAATATACAAATAAATACTTAAAGACATAATGAGGGCTAGATTATTTCTCTTTTAGTATGCAAAAAAGACATAGGTCACAAATCTGTGCTGGAAGACAGGTATTAGAAAATCTCAAATCTGGGCTCTAATGGAATAACACCACAAAATATATCACTACATTTTTCCTAAAAAGCTTCTCTCAAAATGATTACATAGCTAAAATTTCTTGGAAAAAAGGTAACTAAAATGAATTAATAGTATAATGGCTATTATGAAAAACACAGTAATAAAATTAAGGCAACACTGTAATCGTATTTTTTAAGACATTCCCATCCCTCTTAATAGGCTACAACTTATATAAAGAATCCTTTACTATTTAAAACATCAAAGAGAATTTAGTAATTACTTTTTCAACTTGATGTGGCACATATCTCAGAATAAATCCTTAAAGAAAACAAAAACAATTATTTAATTTTGTCTCTTACCAGGGATCTTCAGCACCTAGCTTTTCTTTTGTTGTAAAAAGTTCAATGCAATCTTTTAATTTCACAAAGGGTTTTTTAGGAGGTTTATACTCCACACTTTCATGTTTTTCAAAGTCCTAAAGAGAAGTATTTCTTGAGTTAAGAGAACAAATGAAACAAAACTCATTTTAGTGATACCATCTTACTATGAATAATAATGAAAACTCCTAAACTTTCTCAAAAGAATCATAAAGCTTATTTCAGTTGAGATTTATATACTTCTAAATAATTCCTGTACACTTCTATATGGATGACCAAAACACGTTCAAAATGAACTCTGAACCTTTAAAAAAAAAAGGTATTTTTGCAAAGACTTTTTTTTCTAGTTCATGACCAATTTTTTACTGGCAAAATAAACATATTTGGTGGAAGCAAAGAGTGTAACACAACAGTATGATTATCTCTGGTAATCACATAAAGTAAATCAAGGAAAGGTAAATAAGTGAGTGAGTGATGACTTACCTCAGCAGCATTTTCATCAAAATATCTTTTTTTCAAATCAGGATCCCAATCCAAAGCAAGAAAAGATCTTTCTAAGGTGGAAAACATATTTTTTCTTTAAAATTTAATATGTCTTAGTATTAAAGTATATTTTAATGTTAGGATATAC
The DNA here is from genome assembly GCF_000001405.40 of Homo sapiens. Lineage (NCBI taxonomy): Eukaryota > Metazoa > Chordata > Mammalia > Primates > Hominidae > Homo > Homo sapiens. The sequence continues at coordinate 62,391,738 of NC_000012.12, read as the reverse complement.
ACCAGAATAAACAAACAGCAATCTTTTCTACTTGTACTGGTGATTAGGGCAAACAGCAGTTTCCAAGCCATTGAAATAATTTAAGAGTTTAAAAAAAGATAGAAAACTGAAGCATGAGTTCAATCTCCATTTATGAAACACAAACACACATTTTAGTCTACTTAGATATTAAGTCCTTTCATGTAAAATTTGAGATAGAAAAGTAAATGGTATATTTCTTGACAGAGCTGAATTTCATGGTTTTCACCTAAAAAAAAAATAACATGCTCGGCTTGTTTAATGTTCAAGCCATTTTTCACAAATACTTACCATCTAGCCTAAGCTGCCTATCATCAAATCTTATATGCCTGGTATCATCTTTGATGTAGTTGATATCAGTATTGCCTAAGTTGTTGAACTGGAATGTAAACAATCGTTTTTTGTGTCCCGTGAGTTGACCTTTGCAAGTATCCTCAGTACATAATCCATTTTCAGAATCATTATCTCCTCCAACTGAATCTTCAGACTGACTGTTTTCATTCTCTGAGGGAAGTTCTTGATCCTGGCTGGATTCATCATCTGGCTCATCTGTTTCCATTTCACCTAATTTTAGATATTAGAGAGCTTTAAATAAACCCAATGCTATATTTTTAAATTATTAATATTATTAATCCTAGGTTTCCAGGTATTTTTTAGTTCTTTAATTCCCATTTTCTTAACTTTTTCTCTGAGGCAATTATCTAAGTGAAACATTTGTACAATTTAACAGAAAAGTCTTACTTGGTGAGCCTTCTTCATGTATGCCATTTGGGCCATTCCCATTAATATTTTGGTCCTTACAGCAGTGTAGGGATCCTTCAGTTTCTTCAGTTTCAGTAGATATTTTGACATATCGGCTTAAGTAAAATCAAAAATCAAACAAGTTCAGTACTACAAAGATAAAAACTTTTAAAAAGTTTTCCTTCTATCAGTAAAACAAAACTTTTTAATGCAGTAACAGTGGTCACTTAGTAGATTCAAAGATAAATTCAAACTTTTAGTACCATAAGTATAACTGACTAGTAATTTGTTTTGCTCATCTTTATAAAAATAATTAATATGTTACCTTTTAGGTTAAATGTTAAATGTTTGTTGCAAATAATTTCTCAACTTACCCTATTTAGATGGTATATATTGTTGCTAAAAACACTTATATTTGTATAATGTGATCTTTATATATGGGTTATGAAACTATAATAATTAGATATGCAAGAAAGAATACTAAATATACCAGCTTTCAAGGATAAAAGGGATCAAATGACATTCTTGATAACTTCATAATTCAAATCAAGGGATTTATTCAGGAAGGCAAAAAATAGGCTGCCTTACAATACTATTAATCATGAACTGGTAATGTATATAAAGAAATGAAGCATTTGACATTTGTTATTTCACAGTGCAAACATATGGCATTTGACATTTGTTATGATTTCACAGAATGAACATGTAACACATAATTATTATAACATAAATTCCTATGTCCTTCTAACTGTAAACTTTTGGTTTAAAACTGCTACAGACTTCGTGCTTCCTGGGTTTGAAATTACCTCCATAATATGTTTTACATGAATAAGAAAGTGGATTAGGACTATAATCTGACTATGAACAAAATTGAGATAATACAGACTTGAATAATTATATTCCAATAGTACCTTATGTGTTTATTTTTATTAGCTATTTTATATTTTATTCCCATATTTATTTTGTCAATGTAGAATTGTCTGGCACTTACCACATTCTCAAGAGCAGGAGATTATAAAGTTTGTCTTCAGTATTGTTTCGTGGTACAGCCATAAGAAAGGGCTGACCAAAAAGTGAAGAACCAGTATGGTGGGTATAACTCGAGTGTCTGAATTTTTCTCTTAGGCAAACAGGAATAATCACGTGCTCTGTATCTTCTGTCCTATTGATGTTAATTTCAAACCTACAAGGACAAAACTGACCATAAACTCTCAAAATTTTATGTTACTTCTATTAATTTTTTTTCAAGTAATATTTTGCACAATGAGTTTTATACTTACACATAAATATCATCCCGTTCCATAATACTACTAAGGTTTTCATCCATAGCGAATATTCTGTGAAATCTATGATTGTATATATCAGTAACTATCATCTAAAAGGAAACGAATTTCTATTAAGCTGGTTTTACAGCACTGAGAAACTAAATACCAACTTATATACTTCAACCCCAGAAACATCTTACCTTATCTGCAGGTATTCCTGACAAAGCAGACAATGCTGTACAAAGATCTAATATGTTTCCAATTTTGGGGACAACCACTTTGTACTAAAAAACAAAAAAAATTGTAATGAATTTATTATTTTGGAAAAAAAATTCAGTAAATGAGAGTGACCTCATGGTTGCTATCTCACATTCATTTGGCATTTGGATTAGTGTTTGTCTCCAATCTTGCCACTATCCTGGGTCCTGTGTGACAATGCCCACATGGATAATTTGTCCTAGTTTTATCATTCCTTGGCTCCTCAATTCAAAGACACTTGCATTAATTCAACCTCAGTCAACTTATTAGATCCTGTCATTACTTGAAACTGCTCCCACTTTTGCTATCTTTTTTTGTTTGTTGTTTAGAGACAGGCTCTCACTCACTCTGTTGCCCAGGCTGGAGTGCAGTGGCATGATCTTGGCTCACCGCAGCCTCAACCTCCCGGGCTCAAGCCATCTTCCGAATTCAGCCTCTTGCGTAGCTAGGACTACATGCGTGTGACACCATGACTGGCTAATTTTTATTTTTTAGAGACAAGGTCTCATTATGTTGCCCAGAATGGTCTCAAAATCCTGGATTCAAGTGACCTTCTGCCTCAGTCTCCCAAAATGCTGGGATTACAGGACTGAGCCACTGCACCCGGCCCCACTTTTAGTATCTTAAACTCGGGTTACTGTCTAACCACTACTTCTTGCTTCTCCTGGAAATTCATTCTTATCTCTTCTTGTCTTGCACAGAGATTTCTATTCCTTTTAACTCTTGTTTTCTCCCAGTTTACCAGCTCCCTACTGTCTTCTAGCCCTTCCATCCAGGCCCTACATGCTTTATCACGAACCTTTAATGTCTTTGTTACTCAATTCTATTCATTCCACTCTTGCTAAACTTTCTCAGAGCTGTTCACATGTGCTGAAGAGAATTTCCCAATTTTAGAGGCTGGTGTGCTACAAATCCACAGTGCCCAATATCAATTGATCCTTTGACAGTACTCAGAAATAATTCTGCATATCACACATGTGGTTATTCTCTCATTTATCTCAATAACTATTTAAAATCTTCATTGGGCTGGGCCCAGTGGCTCACGCCTGTAATCCCAACACTTTGGGAGGCCAAGGCAGGTGAATCGCTTAAGCCCGAAAGTTCGAGACCAGCCTGGATAACATGGCAAAACCCTGTTGCTACAAAAATACAAAAAATTAGCTGGGCTCGGAGGCGCACACCTGTAGTCCCAGCTACTTGGGAGTCTGAGGCGGGAGAATCCCTTGAGCCCAGGAGGCGGAGGTTGCAGTGAGCTGAGATCACACCCTAATGTACTCCAACTTGGGTGACAGAGCAAGACCCTGTCTCATTAACAAAAAAAAAAAAAAAAAAAAAAAAATCTTCACCATTCTTTAGGCTTCCTATTTCACTACTGCTCCCTTAATATCAGCAGAATACCTATTTCATCTCAAAAACAGAAACTACTGGGTGGGAAAATCTCCAACTTCCTGTTCTACTAACTTCTTTGAATCCACATAGGTACTTTTCTGTCTCTTGCAACACATGGAAAGAAAGATGTCTCTCTTCTTATTCAAAGCTAACCTTAGCGTCTATGTTCTAAATCCCATGCTCTTCTGCTTTCTCTGGGACCTAAACCAAGCAATTATTCTTTCTTCCATTTTATCTCAACTCTTGCATAAGCATTGGAATATAAAGTCTCTCAAAAAACAAGGGTACCTCATTGCTTTCCCTCTAATTATCTCCCCTTCTCCTCTATTTTATAAATAACTTTATTAATGATATCTATATTATCATAACTTCCTTATCTCCCATTTACTTCTCAACCCTCTTGCTGGCTTGTCTTCGCCTCTTTATTTAACTTGTTTCCAAGGTTGCCAATAATGTTGTACAACTTATCAGTCTTTATTTTATTGACCTCTTTGTAATATGACTGCTGACCACTTTCTCCTTAAAAAATTCCCTTTCCTTATAACACGACTACTTTTAATTCTTTTCTATTGCTGTGATCATATTCCTCTTTTGAAGTTCTCCTACATTGTTCTTTAGAGTGTTGTCTTTAGCCTTCTTCTCAATTTTATATGCTCTCCTTGGAAGAGGCAACAGTGTCTCCTGATTTGCTTTGGCCAGTCCTGGATTAGCCTGCTATCCTAGTATAATTATTAATGACAGTCCCTTCTATTTTCAAGAGTTCTTGTTTAGATGATAAATCACGGGGTCACCTTAGCCTTAAGTAATCTCATCCTTCTAAAACACTATCATTTTCATAGAGCTGATTGTCCAATTTATAGCTAAAGCAGTCTCTCTCCTTTGGTCTAGATACACAAATTCAATGCCTACTGGATATCTCTACCTAAGTGTTCCTCATGCATCTGTAAGTCAGCATATCCAATACTAAACACAGGTTTGGGTCATGTTAGGCCACCACGTTCAATACTAAAATGGATTCCTTCTTCAACTTGTTCTTCCTATATATTCCACTAAAACAGCACTGCTGTCTCCTCTTTTCCTGTCAAGTAAACTTGGCATCATCTTTGAATATACTTACACATTTTCACTTCCTACATTCAACTGGTTCTTCAAACTGCCATCCTGACAGAGTTGAAGTGTTTGTCATTTGTCTGTCGTCTGATCATTAAAAGCTTCTTACCTGGTCTTAGTACTAAGCCTTTTCTAACTGATCTCTGTGCTACCCAGAATCATCTTTCTGAAACATAATTGTGGCCATATAATATCTATACTTAATAGTCTTTAATGGCTTCCCTAGTTTTTAGGATGAAGTTCAAACTTCCTATACTGGCATCAAAGTTCTTCGTGATCTAGCTCCTGCTTGCCATATTAACTACTGTAGATTACAGAAGTGGGCCATGTCCTCTTCTCCCATAAGTTCTTTGTACATGCCATTATCTTGGCCTATAATGCTTTTATTTCTAGTTTTCACCTGCTTATAACCTAATTGTCCTTCAGAATTTATCACAGGCCTCATAACCAGTTTGGGTAGGTTACTCTGTGTTCTCTTGCAGCACCCTGTCAGAGCAATTTTCACACTGTATGACAAGCTTCTTGAAGAACAAGGACTAGAAACACCATTATATTTCTAGCACCTTGCACAGCATAAGAGCCTAAGATATAATATATATTCAATATTTTTCCTAATAAGCTTCCATGACCTAAATCAACTTCAATGACGGGAAAACTCAACAAATAGGGAAACTCAGCTAATTTCACTTTTCTTACAAGCTGGTCAAAGCATAGTGTTAATGAAATGAGGTGATCATTTTGTATTTGAGTTGTTACTGCCTCTAAATGGAAAAAAGGAAAAAAAAAAAACACAAAACACAAAAACAAACGAATTTCTCTGTGCTAACCATGGCTCTAACCTCCGCAAATTTATATTATTGGTCACCAAATGAGAAAAGTGATAAGTCAATGAAATTCACATTGCTGGAAAAATAATTTAGAGCCCAATTTATGGAAGAGCACTTATCATATACCTTATGGACTAATGTGTAAATTAATGCAATTTGCCACTATTGATATAGATTACCTTATATTATTGGCATGGGAGAATATTATCTCTAACAAATGTGCTGTAGAGAAATAAAACATCTACATTTATTTTTTGTTGCAGTAAATTTATACTTATTATTCTACGCTCTCTTGCTCCATTACACTCATTGGTGTATATCTGCAAAGTTATAAACTAGAGAGGTAAGGATGTGGTTTGGCACTGTTATAGTTTCTCACCATTGAAAAGAATGTTGACAATCTTGTACTTATAAACGAGTGAATAAGTGAATATCTAAAGGATATAACTTTAAAAATGTGAACACATATTCCCCAGGCCAAAAGTAAAAGCAGGTCTTTATTGGCTCTGCTCACAGATAAGGGATAGTACTTAGCACTCTCCAGTGAAATACTGATATGAGGGCATTGTGTTCAATGAGTTCATAAAGAAAACATAAAGCAGCAGAAAAACAAATTGCTTAAATTTGCATAACTGAGTACATACCTAGTATCTACTAGACTTTAATTACTTTGAATAAAAGGACTGTGTGTTTATGAACACTACATATACCCTGTCTTTGTTGACAATAAACCCAAATACATCCCTGAATGGTAAGATCATAATTTTGTTCAAATATAGCTTTCATATAGACATCGTGACTATTATGCACTAACAAACTGAGCTATTTGGCTAAAAATTTACAGAAAACAATCTTCTAAAGCAGGAATCATATCTTTTTTGTTTAGCCAAAGAGCTTTATACTTAGTAGGTGCATAGTTAAGTATCTTGATGAATAAAATTTTTGAATACTTCTTGTGCATTAATATTTACCAGCCACAAAAGCTGGAAATACAAAGGTTTACAAGGTCTCTGTCTTCAAAGACTTGTAGTCTAGGGATAAAAGATAAAAGTAAGCCAAAAGTTATAACAAAATTAGTTAAGTGTTAGAATTTAGGGAAAGAGAGGTAGAAAAAGAAGAAGTTACTTTCACTGGGATGGGTCAAGTGTCAGAAGAGGATTAACTGATTAATAAATAAGGGAGAAAAGATAGTGCTTTACCCACAAAATATAAATAATCCAATTATAACACTAGGTAACGGAATCAGGCAGACAATTTGACAGTAAGACTTACCACAGGACTTTTGCACAGAATAAACAATATGTGATACTTCAAAGTATTAGAAATTAGAGAACATCACTGAACAAAATATTTTTAGTCTAACTGAATTTCTACTTTCTTTTAAGTTCCTAAAATGCCTAAAAATTACAGGTATTTAAATACACTACTATCACACTATGAATTAAAAGTATTAGCTTTACTTCCAATAGCCACTAGTAAAAAAAAATTACAATTAACACTAAAGAAAGTTGAAGTTTAAAAAAATTAAAAATATTATGTTGATCTTCATAAGCTAATATTCACCCCAATATTATAAAAATAAACCTCTATAAAAAGCCTTTTGAGAATTTTTTATAAGACACACGTTGCTCTTTCAAGACTGTAAAAAGTTACACTGATTTCCAAAGTATTCAGCTTATAAAATCTCTTATACAAATAAACATTATTGATTGGGCTTGATAATTCAATACTTAATTTTTATAATAAGGACTCAACACTAATTTTTTAATAAAAATAACAAATGCAAAAAAAAAAAAAAAAAAACAAAACAAACCAACCCATGATTTACCTGCATAGGTTTGGTAAGTGGATCCATTCTAACTAAGTAAACTTCCAAGGTGCGTTCTTTTTTCATGGGCAATGGAAGTGTCAAGTAACAAAAAGGATCAAATGTTACTGAAATCTTAGCACACTCAGGACAAACTAAAGTTGATTTGAAAAGGCCATGAAATATATCTACTATGATAGAATCATTTCGTTTTAAATGGTTTTCCCAGGCTTCTTCGGCAACCACCTACAAGGATAATAGACACAAATTAGAAAGAGGTATCACAAAATTATAACAATGGTGACAATAGGATCATGAAATTTACCTTATCTGGCCTTCCATCTGCATCTTTTAATTGTATATATGGTTTTTTCCTAATTCTATTCAAATCCTCATGTAATCCATCTAATAGGAAAGCTAACAGTTCTTGACAGTCTTGCTGCTGATATCCAGAGAACTGAGGTGCAAAACGTCCTACCTGTGTCTGTAAGAAATGCAAAACCATCAAATCAGTTCTAGGAACAGGGTTGATTTTTAAACATATGTACAATAGATTCTCATTATTCATGGATTCCACATTTGTGAATTTGCCTGCTTTCTAAAATGTATTTGTAACCCCAAAATCAATTCATGGTCATTTGTAGATATTTTCAGAGTGGCAAAAAATTTGAGTCACCTGATATGCATGTTACCAGCTGGGGTTGAACAAGGTGATGCTTTGGCTTGTTGTTTCAGCTCTGAATCTATAAACAAGTGTCCTTTGTAGTTTATTTAGTGTTATGTTTTTTCACATTTTTGTTTGTTTTGTTGTTAATTTCAGTGTTTAAAATGGTCACTAAATGAAGTACAAACATGCCAGCTAGTGTTCCTAAATGCAAGAAAGCTGTGATGTGCTTTATGGAGAAAAAGTATGTGTTAGATATGCTTCATTAAGACATGAGTTATAGCACTGTTTGCTGTGAGTTCAATGTTAAGGACTCAACAATATATATTAAACAAGTTGTTTTTAAACAGAAACACATGCAAAACAAAGTTATACATTGTCTGGTTGACGAAAATGTTGTGAACAAAGGCTTGGAGGAATCAAACCCTATAGTTTCCCTAGGAGTAATGGTTCAGTAGTTGTTATTTCAGTGTTTGTGGCAGCTTCATTGAACATAACTCCTGTGAATAATAAAAATTGTATACACGAACAACAGGAATATATATGAATTATATTTTGTTTTGCATTCCTAGTAAGCACTCAACAAAGCTTATCTGGGACAAAATAGATCAACACATGTAATCTTTAATATATAAAAATGTATTGATCTTTGTTTGGTCATAGATTTCATTGTCATTAATTGTTGTTTCACTATTTGTCAAAGGATTTTCCAGATGTCCTTAATTCTTAGCTTTAGGTATTCCTATTGCCTCCTCCTATAAATGTCTGGTAGGTAGACAGGAAGAGGCAGGTTCTCATCCTTGCTATATTACCACATAAAGATAATTACGTATCTGAAAGCATTTTTAAGATAACTACTCTAGGCTCTCACTTAGTTTCTATGCGCAAAAGGAGGATGAGTATCACAGAGATAACAGAAACATTAATGTTCATATTCAATTTTCCTAATCTTTCATCACTAAGTATTTTTGTTTTTGGATGAGACTGAAAATAAATGTAATAGTATGAATCATCATCTGACAGAAAAAAAGTCACACATAAAGAACCTATTTACACATAATTTTAAGAGAGAAAATCTACCAAAATAAAACCAATTAGAATGCTAGTAAGAGCTGAGAGATGGTTTGTCTGGACTAGTTTGTCCAAAGTTTAGAATGTTAAGGAAGACAATACAGAGGCATTTTGATTTGCTGGTTTTTTATTTTCTAAGAACTAGTATATAGCTAATAAAAAATGTTGTCCAGTAGATGTCCTCTATCAATGCCATTTAAATTACTTGTATAAATAACGACTTAAAACTGCTTATTCTCTCTACAAGTTTAAAACTTCTCAAAGTTTCACCTATATAATTAAGTAGGCATTTTTTTAACAATATAAAGCTAAATTTCAGCCATAAAGCTAAATTTCAGCTCAATTCTTATTTGAACAATAAATTATTTGATAAGTAACAATTCACACATGTGAATAACCTTAAAAGTTTAAGAACTATATTGAAAGTACATTTAATTTTTAATGCTTGGTTTGCAGACTATTTTCATTTTGATAATTTTTCAAATTCATAATGACTCTCAAAGTAAAATGGGTTCTTAGAGTTCAGTAACATGCCCAAATTTAGTCTTTTACATTTGTATAGAATATTCACATAGGTTTTCCAGAGATGTACTATATTCCAAAACAACTATACAAACGCTCATTGCTGTCTCTATACTCATTCTTGTACCACACCAGTGTTTTTCAACTTTTTTTCATTATTCTCTCCATTCCAGATTTAGATGTAAAACAAAAACAAAAACAAAAACAAAACAGATAAACTGTTCCATATCCCTCCCACCTAAATTTTATATCACAGATGTACTGTATATCTATTTATGTACTGTGTTCCTTTGGAGGGCCACAAACCATTGTAATAGCTACTATTTTTCACTCCCCCTATCCCCAAGAACCAACTTTTGTACCCTTGCAGGTACCCTTGCTAAAATGCATTTACCACACTAACCTTAAAGGCTCTTGGGGTGACGTAGCTAAACTTTCCAGACCACATTTGCTTGATCAGTTCGGCATAAGATTTAGCTATTTCACCTCTCATTCCTAAGGGATTGTCAAAATTCAGTTCTTCTTGATACTTATCATTGAGGAAATACTCAGTAAGTGGAGGTGTGTTGCTCAAACACTGCAAAAAATAAAATATATTTTCAAGTAAAAGTAATCATAATGAATTTTTCTTAAAACACATTAATATGAAGAGAGAAACAAATTGATTTGCTATAACACAGAGAACATTTAAATGATGGTTTCTTGCACTAATAACTGGTCAAATAAACACTCAAATGATGTACTCAACTATTCATTTCCCAAATTTCAAAATAATTACTTATAATAAATAAAAATGCTAATATCCGCTGCTGTAAAATCTGCATTAATTTTAACCACAGCAAACTACCTGGTAACTGGGAGAGAAGCTCAGTTTTCTTTCCTTCTTTTACTTGATTGGTAGAAATTATGGATTGTCTACTCATCCCAGGCACCTGCAAATTAGCCTGAGTAGGTAAAAACTGAGATAGAGTGCAAGCAAGAAATTAACTTAATAGAGGTATTTACTGCTTCCATTGTCAATTATTTATCATGAAAGAGCAGCCTTTAAACCTTCCATATGGTCAACCATTTTTAGAAGAGACAGTACAGATTACTTGAGCCTGAGAGAACAAACTTTAGTATGTGAACTCTGGTAAGTGTGTTCTCACTTCCAGCTCTTTAATTTCATAAACGATACAATTTTCCTTTATGGCAAAATAAAAACTATAAATAAGTTAATTTTCCAACTCTTTCCAATTCCGAATTAAAAAATTTCATATTTAAAATAAAACATGGCAGACGTACAATTTTTCAACATTTTATCTCAAGTTGGAATAATTTTAAGGTGATGATCCATATAATTTGACCTCAATACAAACCCAGTATTACATTATCAATTAGATGTCTATAATATGCAACGACTAACACAGACATATGGTCACATAAGTAAATTTTTTTTGCTGTAGGATGATATTTGTGTTGGAATTAAGTGGCAAAGTGCTGCAAGGAAGCTAGTTGCTTGCATGGAAAATAGTAGAAACTCACTCTTATGAGAGCCTGGATTCACATTAATGGAAATCAGAGTTTTTCGAAGCTTGCTTATAGTCATTTGTATTAAGTTAGACAGGTTTGGTAGCTATGAAAGGTTCAGCCTGTTGAATTCACACAGATAACTTACATGCCATAAACTACGACTATATACTATGCATTGTTTAGCTAAAATTCCAAAATAAGCAGAGTCAACATTTACTTAGTTTTTTAGAATAATTCTGGTACTCAATTTTGTGGTTTCAATTATAAATCAACATGTTTACTGAAGTAGTCAATAATATCTATTTAGAAACTTTCTATATAATAAAAATAATATTATTTATTATAAATTGCTAGCCTGGCCCCTACCTCAAGGCAAAAGGGACAACTGGTTATAATATCATGGAATTTACGATTATATAATTCTTAGGCAACGAAAATAATAAAAACAGCTAAAATGTTTGGAGTGAGCTATATAGGCCTTTAGAGTCATATACATATTTTCAGCAGTAGAACTTTTTAATATATGTGAGCAGGAGAAAGAGAGGTATGCTACAGTGTAGGAGGCAATTAAGAGAAAGGATGCTTCCCTAACTTTTTACCTCTTAGATCTCAACCTCTCTCATAATCTTATACTCCTTTTGAGTTTCAGTTTCTCTTCTTCCTTTGTATTATATGTCCTTTTAATTATAAACCCAGCACTAAAGGGAGATCCAGGCAATTTAGAATGCATCATAGCTACACAGAGGGTAAATGCCATCACTTAGTATCATCTGATTTAGTACAAAATAAGATCAACATTAAATAGTCAGACAAAGGACAGGTCAGATAGGAATTTCCAACAATTATCAATAGTTTTCCGCTTCTTATATTTGATCAGCTCAGGGTTATGCTAAGAATGTAACATTCCATTATTGTCTGTTAATGCAATTATATAAAGAACCTAATTTACAAATATCTCAAAAGAACCAAGTTGCACAAACCTGAGTAATTCTTAAACTTTGTTATAACTTAATTATTCACATATACTCTTATCTTGGAAAGAGCTTAAAGGTATAACTGAACATTTTTTAGCTTTCCAGTAGTATCCAGAGTGCTCTCCCTAAAATGTACATCTCATCATGTTGCTTCCTTGCTATAAATCCTTTAACGGCTCTCCCTGCTTACAGATTGGAAGCCCAAATTCTTAGAAGGGTCTGTCTTTTGCTCATCTATGTAGCCTCATCCTTTGTCAATACCCTTTTCTTTTCAACTGTTCCAGCTTTATTTAATTAGTCATTCCTCCACATACTCTCTCAATCTGAAAGTCTGCAACATTACTTCATCTACTTGGAAATGTACTTTTTTTTTTTTTTTGGCCTTACTAACTTCTATAAATCCATCAAGATTCTGGCATCCTATCTGGGAAGCCTCCCTTAGATTTCCTTACAGTGTTTTCTCCTGTATGTTTCCTTAATGCTTACTGCTTACTTTTATTACAGCACTTATTTGATAATATACTGTAACTTTAATTTTTAGTTTGTTTTGCCAAATGAACTGAGACCTCCATGAAAGCAGGTACCAGGGTATTCTTATTTATATTTCCAGCACTGAGCACTATGTCACGTAGCACTGATCATGTTCACAATAAATGTATGCTTACTAAAAATATTTTTGCCTGTATTTACTAATGCATTTATCCTCTTGATTTTTACTCTTTTCCTTCAATGTTTGGCATAGAGGGTTCAATAAATTTTTGTTGAATGAAATACTACTTACTAAATGGAGGAAAAATATATTTCTAAAGAATAATCTCAAAAATATCTTCAAGTACTTCTACCTAATACTAAACCATACGGGCAGTACAAATTTTTCTGCCCCTTTGTCTGATTTTTCATTCAATCTACTATCTGCTTTGTAAATGATCCTCTGCTTTGATTTTTAAAAACTCCTTGAAACAGAGACCAGCATTTATTTTCACAGTGATACATGCTGGTTTCAAACTGATTATAATTCAATGTTAACAAATAACAACAAAACACAAATCATTTTAATGATAATTTGCCTGTGTTATCTGTGAAGATATCATAACCAATATTTAAATTTAAGCTATTTAGTCCTAAATGGGCCCAAATAAACATTCTATTTGTTAAACATATATTCTAACAAGCTACACTTCCTAACAAGTTGTATAAACACATATAAATACATAAATTCAATAGTCAATATAATTGTTCTACTAATACACAAATCATATTAGTTTAAAAACTAAGATGATGTCCGATATTTCTCCCTCATAAAAATACCATCCTTTCCACCCTCATCTTGAAAATACCATTAGGAGTCAATATGTTCATTTTATTTTTTGTTCTGAGATGGAGTCTCACTCTGTCACCCAGGCTGGAGTGCAGTGGCACAATCTTGGCTCACTGCAACCTCCACCTCCCGAGTTCAAGCGATTCTCCTGCCTGAGCCTCCCCAGTAGCTGGGATTATAGGCGCCCACCACCGCACCTGGCTAATTTTTGTATTTTTTGTAGAGTTGGGGTTTCGCCATGTTGGCCAGGCTGGTCTCAAACTCCTGACCTCAGGTGATCTGCCCGCCTTGGCTTCCCAAAGTGCTGGGATTACAGTCATGAGCCACTGCACCAGACCTTGAGTTAGTATGTTCTTAAAATAGCATAAAGACCGGTTAAAATATTAAAAGTTCTCATAATTTTTGCTAAATTTCAAGGCATAAATGGAAAAAAAAATCAAGCAATTAAAAATATTGCCACGCCCCACGTGATGTTATATCAGTATTCAATGTCATCATTCTGGCAGAAAAAAGAAGCCGGTTTCTTTTTTTTTTTGGAGATGGAATCTCACTTTGTTGTCCAGGCTGGAGTGCAGAGCACAATGGCGTGATCTCAGCTCACTGCAATCTCTGCCTCCCAGGTTCAAGAAATTCTCCTGCCTCAGCCTCCCAAGTAGCTGGGATTACAGGCACGTGCCACCATGCCTGGCTAATTTTTGTATTTTTAGTGGAGACGGGGTTTCACCATGTTGGCCAGGCTGGTCTTGAACTCCTGACCTCAAGTGATCTGCCCACCTTGGCCTCTCAAAGTGCTAGGATTACAGGCGTGAGCCACCGCACCTGGCTGAAGCCAGTTTCTTAAAGTTGGTCATAATGTAGTTTGATTAGTAATTACTTTATGCAATTCATTATTTAACATTTTCACATGAGGCTATCTTAGAACATGAACATTTTTGACAATTATAAGAACACTAGTTACTTGGACTGGCTGCAATTAAATACCATGTTTTAATGAACAAAGATAATTTTCAGTCAACAATAATTTATTGTACATTTAAAAATAACTAAAAGAGCATAATTGGATTATTTGAAACATGAAGGAGGGATAAATGCTTGAAGTGATGGATACCTAATTTACCCTGATGTGATTATTATACATTGAATTCCTTTATCAAAATACCTCATGTACCCCCTAAATGTATACACCTACTATGTACCCATAAAAATTAAAAATACATAAAATTAAAAATGTATAATTTTTATAAGGTAATTAAAATAATAATCAGTTCTGAAGTATCTATCTCGAAGATTCTTCTACTATAAAAAAATCATTTTCCTATCAGATGAGACTATCCCAAAACAATTCTTTTCTTAAAGACATATATGTTTTAAAAATCTTCCATGTGTAGGTAGCAGTAGAAAACTTCCCTTTTATCCTGTAAGACACTTTACTGAGTGATGCATTATAATATGGACTAAAAATCGGATATGTGTTGTGCCTACGTGAATATCTCTTACTCTCAATGCTTCCTGGACTGTTAAACAGGACAAAACTTTCTGCAACAGCCATGGTTGTTCTTAATAAAAACTGAGAATATATATGAATGTATCATGACAAATGAAAGAGATTATATAAACAGTATTAGTTAGTATGTTATTTTTGTGGCTACTTATAAGTTTTGTGACATGTCTACCAGTCTCATGCCATTTGGAGCTATGCCCCTGTTAATTTATTGGAGTTCAACTGCCTGACATTAACAAATGCCAAAACTTCAGTGTTTCAGGAGAACTAGATCTTAAAATTTATCACTAATATAACAAGGTCCAAATATGAGGCTATGTGACTGATCATAAAACATATTTCTTAAGCCACATTTTTGTTTATATCATAATGGTACCTACTGTTGGTCCTAAAATTGGGTAGAATTTAAATATGTTAAAAATAAAGCAATAGCCAGACTAAAGAAAAAGACTTTGTACTAATAGTTCCAATTTTTAATGAAAAAGAGAAAAAGAAAAAAATTTATATTAACAAGTAAATGTACTTATTAACTAGGTTATTTTTATATTTAAATATTTTCAAATGCTCCTATGTAAGTTATTAGCACACAAAACTGACAACAGCATTTGAAAATTTAAGGATTAAAAAACTAAATTTCATATTTAGTATATGGTAGACTTTTGGAGCTCACTAACCATGATATAATGACTGGTTGGAAAGTTTAGGACATGAGCTATTATGAAAAGTTGATCCATGAGTAATGATTAAAAAACTAAATTTCATATTTAATATATGGTAGACTTTTGGAATTCACTATGATATAATGACTGTTGGAAAGTTTAGGACATGAGCTATTATGAAAAGCTGATCCACAAGGAAAGGTAACAATGGCTATTGTATGTGCAAGACAATTATTTAGTGAGAAATGACTGCTAAGTGGTTTTGTGGTTTTGAACTGGCTTTGTGGTTCTCTACTTGTGCCTTCATATATATTTTATATGGGAAACTGCAAGTAATAAGAGTACTCGAATTTGAATTAGGCGTCTTAAGACATATTCCTTAGTTTAATGTATTGAGACTGCATGCACTCTTGCCTTTCTTAGAATATTCATCCCCTATAAGAAATTCCTATTTATTCTTAAACACTTATTTCAACATCTCTTCTAAATGTCGTATCTTCCTCTGTGTATCAAGGAAGAACGAATATTCCTTTCTCTGGGCTAACTTGATACCTCGAACTCCGTTACACCGCACTTGAGAGCAGAGTCTATGTCTTATTCACCCTTGTACCTCAGGGTCTATCACAATATCGGGCACACTCAAACAGGTATGTGGAATGAATGGGAACTTGTATAGTAGAAAGATTAGAAGTAGTCCTTAGAGAGACTTAGAGCAGTGAGAAAAAACTTGACTAAAATGAGATCTGAATTGCACTCTGTTATAATTCAAATGCAGCCCAAAGTTCTCCATGTTCAAAAATAAAAGTCCAAATGATGCCTAAAGAGGTTTTCCTAATGAAGGAAAATAACCCTTATGATTTCCCCAACAACTATCAAGATAAATCCGTAAGGAAAAGGTATGCAAAGGAAATATGTTTGGAAATATATTTTTATGAAGATCATTTCCCCTAAATCTTCAACCTCGAAGCAGACATAAAAATTCTAAAGAAGAATTATTCTAAATAATCAAATGTCTCATCCAATGGACACTCTGTGATATGGTTCAATATATTCAGGCCATTAATTACACCTTGAAGAATTATTTATAAAAATATTTGAATGGTTTATGCATTCTTTATTAAAGTACTAATTCTCTATTAAAAACTCTCTAGTTATAAATACCCTTCCTTAACCTAATATCCTAAAACTGAAATATTATGCAAAATATGATTTTCTTTTGTTATGTAATTACTTGGAAAGATGCAATGCATTGCACATAACTTTTCTTTATATACACATGCACAAATTCTATTGCTCTTCCATTATTTTCAGAAAGTACTTCTACTAAGTATGTTCTGACTAATAAGCCTGATGTTTCTAGAGTTATCTGAAAAAATATAACTGCTGCATGTAAGAGTCTCAATTTTGTATTTTGCTAAATTTCTACATAAGTTTTTTATAAATTGATGAAGTCAAATAATGTTCTATTATATAACCAAATCTCAAGTCTTCAGTCAACATATTTTAGGAAATGAATAATTAATAGCCATCCCAATAACTTGTAATGCATTTGGAATTTCCCCAGTACCTGGAAAATAGCCAAAGTAATCCCCTTCAAAAAGAGAAAGTTGTCTTTTGTAATGCTGAATATGAACCACTCCCTTTCTGTTCAGGTGCTCCAGAAGCCCAATTCTCAAGTGATCATGTATGCTCACTATTTTAGTAAACCGGTAACTAGAACAGGAAAGAAAACAAACTTAATTTTTGATTACCTAAAGCTTTTGAGTTGTGTAACTCATTCTATAACTAATCAAAAGGTAATACCACTCACAACCCTTAAAAAAATGGCTATACCTTCTAACTGACCAGTACTAAAAATAAAAGCCCATTCTAAATAAAATAAGGGATTCATTCTTAGTTTGTTATGATTTAAAAAATAAAACTTGAAGTAATCCATGGTTAAAGTCATCTTGGAATACCTTTAAACAGTTTTTTTCTGGATTTTAAGGTTAGATGGAAAAGAATTTTCATATTCGCCATGTCAATTGTTTTCTAATTAATCATGACAATAGTATAAGCATTCTGAAAAGGTACTGTATGATTCCAAAGCAATCTACTAATATTGGGATATTGGCTCTAGTTCTGTAATGCTACACAAGTGGATAACACAGCAAAGTTTGAGGTAAACTTTTTCAATTAAAAACTACAAATATAGGCCTGTTTCTTCATCAAGCAGATTTTTAAAATGATATATTTTAAGTCACTTGATGTTCTTATTTTTGTTATATTTTTTCTAAGAAAGGGAAATCTCATTAAATTTGAGAGATCAATTCTGAAGATCACATATTTTGTGACAGCAATACAGCTACAGCTCTGTTTTACTTTATATCTCCATTTTTCTTCAACTTTAAAAAAAGAACAAACTTAGGCAAGTAAAATAGAAATGGATATAATTTTCCTCTTATATTTTTAAGACTTTTAACTGCTTTTTTTCCCCCGTCAGTGAAGAGAGAACTAGCATACTCTACTTAAAATATTAAAATGTTAAATAAAGGTAGTTTTAAAGGCAAGGTTTTTGAACTGGACAAGGATGTTGTCCTAACACTTGAATATATATCATTAATCTGGTCCCTGTGCTTAAGACATGAATAAAATTAAACTTCATTTAAAGTCCCCACTGTTGTCCCTTCTTTGAAATTCTATGGTATTTCTTCTTCACATACTATTTGAATTCAATGAAGAATTATCAAAGTTCTAGGAAGTATAAATACTGACACTGATGGGAAACATTTTGTTGGCTAGCAAAGAAATGTCAATCCTTTTTTGCCCTCATCTACACAGGACCAAGGAAGGAAAACTCTAAGTTTGTCAAAAAGACTACCCTATTACTTGCAGTGAGTAAATTCTGTAACTACAGATGTCAATGTTAAAAAAGCCATGATTATGTGAAGACCATTAATTTTCATATTGAAAGCCAAAAAAAATATGGATAGAGGATTCACTTATGACACAGATAAAAGTGGAAGTCTCTGTGATAATTATTTCACCAGCAAAAAGGCTAGAAGACTAGGACAAGTTGTTTTTAAATAAGGTTTTGAAACTATTAATACTAGATTATGTCAGCAGTTGTCTGACTTCATTATTTTATTTTTAGTAACAGGCTATTCGTGAATTTTAAAACTTTTTCATATATTCACTTTATGGGAAGTATGCTAAAACCAGAAGGTTCTAATAACATTAAGAAATGTTGGTGTAAGTTATATTTATTTTAAAGAATGGAAGCTTAAATAGAAGAATTGAATGGAATTCAATTTTAATGTTAAATTACGTTATTTCCTATCCCATTAATAATTCAAAACTGACTCACAATGAAATTTAAAAGAATTAACTTTTTAGGCAAGCAAGACAGTCAAAGGATTTATGAAAAAATGGTTCTTTATAATTTTGTATGTGTTCAGTCCCTTGCACATAATATTCAGTAAAGAAACAATTTTGAATAAATAAATATTAAGAATTGTGTGAGTTTACTGATCTTAGTTCTTCTGCAAAGGCATACAGGAAAGGACAGCAGAATTTTTTTTTAAAGTTTATTGATTTGTTACATTCTTTAAGAGAAACAAGCCATTTTTGTAATAAAAAAACTTTAATTGTTCAACAAATATTAAGAGATCATTACTTCAAGAGTCTCTGTAAGTATACAAATAATGTTCTAAAAGAATTTTTTTCCTATCATTCACTGAAATCTTTCAAGGAACTATTTCCATGGTGGTACTGATATGATCTGCCCAGCTGTGACTAACATGCCAGCTCAATTCAAGTGCTATCAGATCGACTGCATTTGCAGGACCGTATATGGTCCAAGAGTTATTATACATATATAGGTAGCTCTCTGACCCTCCAGTTGCAAGAAATAAATATATATATTATGTGCTATAATTCTTACTAAAATTACTGTGCAATCTTTGGGAATTTAGATAGCTCAGGTCAAGTTTCAAATATCTCTGGTAAATAATTTTTTCTAATGCAGTGTTTTGCAAACCAGGTGTGTGAAAGAACTAATTTTTTTTAAAATACCGAACACATTATTTTTATTAAAATACATCTTGATGTACATTTCACTAATTCTTGCAACAGCTCTGAAAAGTAAATTTAGTAAGCGTTATCTCCTGTTTTAGAGCTGAAGAAACTAAGTCTTGGAATAGATAAGTAACCTGCTTACTCACACACACAGAAGAAGTTGCAGAGCTAATATACAAACCCAAATATTTCCGCTCGAGCTATTTTTACCTCCTGATGCTATTCCCAGTTTTCAAATGATTAGCTCCACAGCAAAATACACTTTCCTCTAAATCTATATGGAAGATAATTTTCCATGTTTCTCAATGACCTAGAAGGCACTTCAGGTAGAAGCTTTATTGTGGGTGTGAAAGTGCAATAATTACATGGAAAGGACTAATTTTTTAAAAATTCCACCACAGATTGGTACTTGTGTAAGATATAATAAAAATGAACCGCTAGAAAAATAAAATTAAAAACACTCATATAAAAAACAAGTCTTGCTTTTTATTATTAAACTTGATATAAAATTACCCTATCAAATTGCTATAGAGACTTTTGATCACTTACAATTTCTGTGCTTATTTTATTGTTGACCAGAATTATCTTGTCCATAGACACATTGTAAAAAACACTGTTCTACTGTGCTTACGATTATCTGGTACTATACTAACACTGGGGATATAAAAGAAAACCAAAGATAGCCTCTGCTTTCACAATTCTCACCACATAATACGTATTTGTCCATGAGAAATGGATAGAAGAAAGAGAGAAAGTATGAAAAACGCAAGTAGGGAAGCGGTAACAGTATATACAAAGAGTTTTGAAACATAATAAATTCTAAGAATTGAAAGTAGTTTTGGCTAAACAGGTAGACAGAATCCAGTTTGAATTTTATCCTTTAGGTGATGGGGCACAGGTTTTAAACACATAATAATCATATTTGCCTTATAAAACAATAAATTTGGAAGCACTGTATTCAATGGATTTGAAGAGGACAAATGATGGAACAAAGAGATGACACAGATATATTTTGATAGTTCACAAAAAAGATGCTTAAGCATTGAAATAATGTAACAGGAGAGGAAAGGGAAAAATATGTGCTATATAAGAAGTAGAATGAACAGGACTTGGGATAAGTCTTCGGTTTTTGACTTGGGTTACTGGGTTGTACCTATAAGAAAGTGTAGGAAATAAAATAATCAAGATTAGTGTAAGTAGGCATCTTGAGTTTAAGTTACATGTAGTTTAACTTGGCAGGAATGTCCATTTAACAGTTACATATTGGAGGGAAATTCAGAAGAGAGAATTACGGATGAGGGAAATTTTGGATATTAGTATATAGATGGATGTCAAATTCTCAAAGGTAAAGGGGGTACAAGGAACCTAGCAAACAGGAGGTCAAGAGTGAGCTAATCAAAAGCAATTTCTATAGGGTGGTATCATGACAACAGTAATGATAACAGTATTTGATATTTTTATATGTTTACATGTGCCAAGCACTTCCTAAGCACTTTATCTTCATTTCACAGATGAAGAAACTACGAAGTTTCTTATCCAAGGTCACACAACTTGTAAGTGGCAGAATTAGGATTTGAATACAGGCAGTCTAGTTCCAAAATCCATGCTTTGACCTACCATGCTAAGCAGCTGACAGGCTATGGTGAGATAAGGACTATTGAATGGGAGATGGGAAAGTAGGGGGAAAGCACAGATCATCCTGTTCAAGGTCATGGGTCTCCCTCACTCTACTTCCCAGATGAAAAAAGACTTGACTATGTATATACGCTGAAAGGAAGAAAGACAGTGAAGAGGTGAGGTTAAAAGTATAAAACAAGGCCAGGCGTGGTGGCTCATGCCTGTAATCCCAGCACTTTGGGAGGCCGAGACGGGCAGATCACCCTGTCTCTACTAAAAATACAAATATTAGCCGGGAGTGGTGGTGCACGCTTGTGGTCCCAGCTACTCGGGAGGCTAAAGCAGGAGAATCGCTTGAACCCGGGAGGCAGAGGTTGCAGTAAGCTGAGATTGCGCTACTGCACTCCAGCCTGGTGATACAGCGAGACTCCGTCTCAAAAAACCAAACAAAAAAGAAGAATAAAACAAAGAGTAAACAAGGGAACAGGTCTCAGGGATGGTAAGAGGGGTTCCAGGTATCATCATGATGACACATATATTTTTGGTATGTTATTATACAATGATACTACTGTAAGTATAAAAGGAAGCTAAATGTATGTTTCATTCTACTATTAATATTAAGGATTTCCTTATTTAAAAAAGTAACATTTTTGTCACAAATTTGTTTCATTTTAAAAATACTTATTAGAAGTCTTCTCCTGGCAAAGTATAGAAAACTGCACTTAGAAAAGCCCTAGAAATTATTCATAATGCCTCAATTACGTATCAAATATAGTAAATAACAGAAGCAGCATTATGTGGTATACACCAAATCCGGTATATAATTGAGGCATTAAGAATAAGCATTATATATTGCTCAAGATATTTTAGGTACTCCTCTTTTTAGAGCTGGCACATGTGTGAAAAAGCATCGACAGCTGGCACATGAAAAAATAAAAAAATCAGGTAGCAGGAAAAAAAAAAACCAGTTGGCATATAAAGGATTCCAATATGTTTTTATTGAGTGTGTGAACAATGTGTTTTTGCTGTGGCAAAACGGATTTCTGATACGGGAATTTCTGAGGTGAAAAAAATGTAGAAACTAGCATAAGCTATAATGTTTTAATTTGCATCCCTGGTAATTCTCTATTTTATGACCAAATGAACATATAAGTTATAATGGACAGTAATGTGCTCTAATAAATGAAATAAAAATGTGACTCAAATTTCACCCTCCTGATACAGCCTCACTTATGTCCCATAGACTCAAAGAAAGAACTTTGCTTCCATGACATTTTGCTGATCATGTTTTCTATTATATAACATATTATATCTTATTTATATGTCTACCTCATTCACTAAACATGAACTTCTAGAGGACAAGTACTGTCTTTTAAAACTGGGTATGCCAATGTCTAGAATAATGCATGGCACATAGTAGAGACTCAATGAATGCTTGTTGAGTCAGCTAAATAAATTAGCTACTAAAAACACGGAAAGAACAACCAGTACCAGCCACTGCAAAAACATACCAAATTGTAAAGACCATTGACACTATGAAAAAACAGCATCAACCAATGGGCAAAATAACCAGTTACTATCGTAATGACAGGAACAAATTCACACATAACAAATATTCACCTTAAATGTAAATGGGCTAAATGCCTCAATTAAAAGACACAGGCAAACTGGATAAAGAGTCAAGACCCATGAATGTGCTGTATTCAGGAGACCCATCTCATGTGCAAAGACACACATAGGCTCAAAATAAAAGGATGGAAGAATATTTACCAACCAAATGGAAAGCAAGAAAAAAAAGCAGGGGTTGCGTAATCTTTGATAAAACATACTTTAAACCAACAAGGATCAAAAGAGACAAAGAAGGGCATTACATACTGGTAAAGGATCAATGCATCAAGAAGAACTAACTATCCTAAATATATATGCACCCAACACAGGAGCACCCAGATTCATAAAGCAAGTTCTTAGAGACCTACAAAGAGACTTAGACTCTCACACAGTAATAGTGGAAGATTTTAACACCCCACTGTTAATATTAGACAGATCAATGAGAGAGAAAATTAACAAGGATATTCGGGACTTGAACTCAGCTCTGGACGAAGCAGACCTAATAGACATTTACAGAACTCTCCACCCCAAATCAACAAAACATACATTCTTCTTGGCACCTCACTGTACTTATTCTAAAATTGACCAAATAATAAGAAGTAAAATACTCCTCAGCAAATGCAAAAGAACGGAAATCATAACAAACAGTCTCTCAGACCACAGTAAAATCAAATTAGAACTCAGGATTAAGAAACTCACTCAAAACTGCACAACTACATGGAAACTGAACAACCTGCTCCTGAATGACTACTGGGTAAATAATGAAATGAAGGCAGAAATAAAGATGTTCTTTGAAACCAATGAGAACAAAGATACAACGTACCAGAATCTCTGGGACACATTCAAAGCAGTGTAGAGGGAAATTTATAGCACTAAATGCCCACAAGAGAAAGCAGGAAAGATCTAAAATTGACACCCTAACATCACAATTAAAAGAACTAGAGAAGCAAGAGCAAACAAATTCAAAAGATAGCAGAAGACAAGAGATAACTAAGATCAGAGCAGAACTGAAGGAGACAGAGACACGAAAAACCTTTCAAAAAAATCAATGAAATCTAGGAGCTAGTTTTTAGAAAAGATAAACAAAATAGACAGACTGCTAGCCAGACTAATAAAGAAGAAAAGAGAGAAGAATCAAAAAGACGCAATAAAAAATGATAAAGGGGTTATCACCACTGACCCCACAGAAATAAAAACTACCATCAGAGAATACTATAAACACCTAGAAAATCTGGAAGAAATGGATAAATTCCTGGACACATACACTCTCCCAAGACTAAACCAGGAAGAAGTCAAATCCCTGAATAGGCCCATAAAAAAGTCTGAAATTTCTTTGGGAGGCCAAGGCAGGCGGATCACGAGGTCAGGAGATCGAGACCATCCTGGCTAACTGGTGAAACCCCATCTCTACTAAAAAATACAATTATCCAGGTGTGGTGGCGGGCGCCTGGAGTCCCAGCTACTCGGGAGGCTGAGGCAGGAGAATGGCATGAACCTGGGAGGCAGAGCTTGCAGTGAGCTGAGATCACGCCACTGCACTCCAGCCTGGGCGACAGAGTGAGACTCCATCTCAAAAAAACAAAAAACAAACAAACAAACAAAAAAACAACTCCGAAATCAAGGCAGTAATTAATAGTCTACCTACCAAAAACATTCCAGGACCACATGTATTCATAGCCGAATTCTACCAGAGGTACAAAGAGCAGCTGAAACTATTCCAAACAATACAAAAGAGGGACTCCACCCTAACTCATTTTATGAGGCTGGCATCATCCTGATACCAAAACCTGGCAGAGACACAACAAAAAAAGAAAATTTCAGGCCAATATCCCTGATGAACATCGACGTGAAAATCCTCAAGAAAATACTGGCAAACCGAATCCAGCACCACATCAAAAAGCTTATCCACCATGATTAAGTCGGCTTCATCCCTGGGATGCAAGGCTGGTTCAACATATGCAAATCAATAAAAGTAATCCATCACGTAAACAGAACCAATGACAAAAACCACATGAATATCTCAATAGATGCAGAAAAGGCCTTCGACAAAATTCAACACCCTTTCATGCTAAAAACTCTCAATAAACTAGGTATTGATGGAATGCATCTCAAAATAATAAGAGCTATTTATGACAAACCCACAGCCAATATCATACTGAATGGGCAAAAACTGGAAGCATTCCTTTGAAAACTGGCACAAGACAGGGATGCCCTCTCTCACCACTCCTATTCAACATATTATTGGAAGTTCTGGCCAGGGCAACTAGGCAAGAGAAAGAAATAAAGGGTATTCAAACAGGAAAAGAGGAAGTCAAATTGTCTCTGTTGGCAGATGGCATGATTGTATATTTAGAAAACCCCATCGTCTCAGCCCTAAATCTCCTTAACCTGATAAGCAACTTCAGCAAAGTCTCAGGATACAAAATCAATGTGCAAAAATCACAAGCATTCCTATATACCAATAACAGATAAACAGAGAGCCAAATCATGAGTGCACTTCCATTCACAATTGCTACTAAGGGAATAAAATACCTACGAATACCACTTACAAGGGATGTGAAGGACCTCTTCAAGGAGAACTACAAACCACTGCTCAAGGAAATAAGAGAGGACACAAACAAATGGAAAAACATTCCATGCTCATGGATAGGAAGAATCAATACTGTGAAAATGGCCATGCTTCCCAAAGTGATTTACTTTCAATGCTATCCCCATCAAGCTACACTGACTTTCTTCACAGAATTGGAAAAAACTACTTTAAACTTCATATGGAACCAGAAAAGAGCCGGCATAGCCAAGACAATCCTAAGCAAAGAGAACAAAGCTGAAGGCATCATGTTACCTGACTTGAAACTATACTACAAGGCTACAGTAGCCAAAACAGCATGGTACTGGTACCAAAACAGATATATAGACCAATGCAACAGAACAGAGGCATCAGAAATAACACCACACATTTACATCAATCTGATCTTTGACAAACCTGACACAAACAAGCAACGGGGAAAGGATTCTCTATTTAATAAATGTTGTTGGGAAAACTGGCTAGCCACATGCAGAAAACAGAAACTGGACCCCTTCCTTACAACTTATACAAAAATCAATTCAAGATGGATTAAAGACTTAAATGTAAGACCTAAAACCACAAAAATCCTAGAAGAAAACCTAGGCAATACCATTCAGGACACAGGCATGAGCAAAGACTTCATGTCTAAAACACCAAAAGCAATGGCAACAAAAGTCAAAATTGACAAATGGGATCTAATTAAACTAAAAAGCTTCTGCACAGGAAAAGAAACTACCATGAGCGTGAACAGGCAACCTACAGAATGGGAGAAAATTTTTGCAATCTATCCATCTGACAAAGGGCTAATATCCAGAATCTACAAAGAACTTAAACAAATTTACAAGAAAAAAACAAACAACCCCATCAAAAAGTGGGCAAAGGATATGAACAGACACTACTCGAAGACACTTATGCAGCCAACAAACATATGAAAAAAAGCTCTTCATCACTGGTCATTAGAGAAATGCAAATCAAAATCACAATGAGATACCATCTCATATACCAGTTAGAATGGCGATCATTAGTCAGGAAACAACAGATGCTGGAAAGGATGTGGAGAAATAGGAATGCTTTTACACTGTTGGTGGGAGTGTAAATTAGTTCAACCACTGTGGAAGACAGTGTGGCAATTCCTCAAGGATCTAGAACTAGAAATACCATTTGACCCAGCAATCCCATTACTGGGTATATACCCAAAGGATTATAAATTATTTGATTAAAAAGACACATGCACACATACACTTACTGCGGCACTTTTCACAATAGCAAAGTCTTGGAACCAACCCAAATGTCCATCAATGACAGACTGCATAAAAAAAAGTGGCACATATACACCATGGTATATTATGCAGCCATAAAAAAGGATGAGTTCATGTCCTTTGCAGGGACATGGATGAAGCTGGAAACCATCATTCTCAGCAAACTATCACAACAGAAAATCAAACACTGCATGTTCTCACTCATAAGTGGGAGTTGAAAAATGAGAACACATGGACACAGGGAGGGGGACATCACACACCAGGGCTTGTTGGGGGTTGGGGGGCTAGAGAAGGGATAGCATTAGGATAAATACCTAATGAAGGTGACAGGTTGATGAGTACAGCAAACCACCTTGGCACGTGTATACCTTTGTAACAAAACTGCATTTTGCGCACATGTACCCCAGAACTTAAAGTATAATAATATGATAAAAAAGAAAAATTAAAAAAATAATTCCATTCACTAAATAAATAAATAAATACAAACAAGAAAACAAGTTTGGTTGCTTTTTATTAATAACTCCTTTGCCCCTTTCTCTTTCCAACTCTAGATGAATCTAGGCATCTGTTTTATGCACCATGCAACTGAACATTGTTGGAAAAAAATTTCAAGTGAATACATTTATACTATTCTGAATTGATGATCTCCAATATCAAATGAGACCTCAATACTGCTGAGCAATCTTCTTACCCTTTCATTCTTAGCTAATGATCTAGTCTTGTATTTTGGGGATAATGGAAGCCGTCAGAGAATCTAGACATTGCTTGCATCCGTAATCCCTTTCTTTCCTCCTATTGCAAACGAAGTCTCATTCCTCCATTCAAATGTATTGCAGGGCTTAGTTCTCGGACGTCTTTTTCATAGATACCCTCATTTAGAAACAACCATTTCCATGATTTTAACCACCACCTACGACACGCAGATTTTTATTTCCAGCTTAGGCCTCTGATCTACATTCCATACTAGAATATCCAACTGTCTATGATCTATCTGCTTGGATGTTTCACAGACATCACAAACTGAACATGCCTAAAATTAACTCATAATCTCCTCCCCACCCCAAATTTACTTCTCCTACTATGTTCTTCTTCCTACTACTCTGGAATTTCATTAAATGGTTACATCTATCATTATGATATATAAGCCAAAAACTAGAGAGACACTTGTGATTCCCTTCACCTTTCATTAATTTGAGTGCCTTCTACATGCCAGACACTATTCCAGGCAATGGGGCTACAACAGTGACTAAAACAAAATTCCAGCAGTCATGGGAGAGAGGGAGAGAGGGAGAGAGAGAGCACGGGGTGGGGACGCGGGGAGAGGGTGTCTGTGTTGGGAGTAGGGGAAGATACACAGACAAGCAAAAAACCCTAATAGAAATAAAACATGCCAGATGGTTATGAGTACTGTGTGGAATGTGGGGCAGTCATTATTTTTTACAGGGTGACTGAAGAAGCACCTCACTGATAGATAATAGCGACCTAATGGAAGTGAGAGTGCAAGAATATATATATTTAGAGGAAGAACATTACAGGTATAGGAAACTGCAAGTTCACAGACCCTAAGGCAGGCACGCTCTTGGCACATGTGAGGGTGAGGATGGAACAAGGTAAGCATGGAGGTAAGTGATAGGAAATAAGCTAGCATGGGGCCAGATCCTACAGGGCTTTGTACTTTTTTTTAAGGACTCTGGCTTTCATTGATCGTTGAGTGAAATGAGAAGGCATTTTGTGTTATTGCCTAAGTAATAGAAAATGCCTTAGGTTTGAAACGAATTGCTGGCTGTTCTTTTAAGAACAGATTGTGGAGGGTAAGGATAGAAGCAAAGAAACCAGCTAGCAGACAAATGGAATGAACCAGTTAAGAAGATAGTAGCCTGAAACCTTTAGTGCCTTTGTAACATTAAAATCTAAATTCTCCCTATATGATCTGGCTTTTGCCTACTCCTTCAAACTCATTTTGTCTCACTCCCCTTCATACATTATTCCACAAACTACACTTCTGATTCCTCAAACTTGCCCTTCTTAGTGGCTTTGCACATGTTTTTGGTCCTTCTAACTTCACCTGCCAAACTCATACATATTCTTTGGTCAAAGCTCATGTTACTTTTCGTAAATATGACACCCAGCTTAAAACAGGTGCTCTCCAAGTTCCTGTTAGCACTCTACTTTCTCTTTCATGATACTTATCATAATTCATGATTGATTTAATATTTGTCTCCCTCATTAGACTGTAAACTCCATGGGAAAAAACTGTTTTGTTCATCATGGCATAATTAGTGATTATGAGAGTGAGAGTCACCTAATAGACCTTCAATAAATATTTGCTGAGTAAATGACTTCATCAGTCATTCATTACTTATGAATTACTTGAAAAAAATTACCCAGCTTGATAATCTACAATATTCTGAAAATAGTGCTCTGAATAACTTCTGGCTTTCAAAAATCAACTTTGTCATTGAAGGATGAAAAATATCCACCAGTGATACTCAGAAGAATAAAAGCAATTCCAAAAGGAGTACTTGAATAGTTTTTAACATTCTGAACATTGAATGAGTAAGTGTGTATATCACCTCCTAGGGAAACTGTTTTAAATGGCACAACATTAATGCTACTTAATGAGAGCATCTTGTATTATGGGGGCCAATCATTTGAACTAAACATAAAAACATTTTTAATAATTGTACAACATGTGAATATACTTAATGTTACTATACACTTAAAATGGTTAAACTGGCAAATTGTTATATTTTACCACAAAAAACAAAACATAAGCATTTCTTATAGGTTGATTGGCATAATTTCAAAAAAATACATTATCTCAAAATGTACTGAATAACAACTCATAATAACTTGTCTTAGTGACTGGAAATCAAACTTTCCTTGCTTCAATTTCCTCATTAGTGGAATAGAGATTCTTATGCCCTAACTCACAGACCTCTGTGAAGAGAAAATTAAGTGAAAAACAATATAAAAAAATAACCTGCATTATGCAAAGAAGGGTACCACTCTTAACAGAGGCTGCAGGTTCAATACAGGGCTGTTAATGTTTTAATATGGGTTTATATGAGAACTAGTAATTGATTTAGATATTACTATTAATCGAACAATGGTTTAAGTAACCAACTCACTGACCCTCTCCCCTGCCCAGAATAGTTTATAAATCATTGTAAAGAAGTAAATGGTAAACTTTTAGAAAACATTTTGACATCAAAAAAATGAGCTGCTTGATTTTAAGTAAGAGAAGTAAATCTGAAATAGGTTTTTCTTTCCTTTTATTTTCTTGGAGGGAGGGAGCAAATCTGTAGTTCCCATTACAGACTACAGATTGACATTTCTTTTGTTTTGCTTTTAATTACAAAAAAAATCCTTGAAATAATTATAATAATTGATACAAGATACTTCAGCCTAATTACATTAATAACTTCTGTTATAAGATGTAGTCACTACAATACTATCTAATAAGTATATTATTAAATTGGTGTTGGCCTTTCCTAGCCAGGATAGTAAAACCACTTTGTATTTTAGAATTAGATGTAATAATTTACAACTCTTTAAAAGAACCTCTCTATTTCTCTAAGATCTCTATTATGTCATTTTCCTACTACAGAATTAGGGACAGATAAACACATAAAAACTTAATTCAGAAAGAGGCACTAATCTTAGGGAATTTTGCTTATTCACTGAGAAGAATGTGAACAGCGACAAATCAAATCTCATGTCTCCATCTGAGATTAAGAAAGGCATGTTTTCATAACAAATCATTATTAGCCAAGTTACACAAGTGCAAGGCATTCTTTTAGAGATACCATTTTTCCCCTAGTTGTGAACACTAAATTTTTACAGAACTATCCCATATATACTCTTTCTTAAAATAATCTGTCTGAGAACGTAGGTTCTTCTTTCCCACCTCTGTTCTCTTTCAAAAAGGAAGGGCTATTCTAGTCCAAAGGGAAAAGTAAAAACATTGGTATTCATGTTGAGAAAAATGAATGGTTCTAATGCAAGTAAGGTTGTTTACATTTTTTTTTTTTGCTTTTATCAAAATGGATAGATGACCTGACTGAGTTGTCATTTGACAGAGGATTGAATATATTTTTGATGACAATTTGCTATGTAATTTCTGGCACATAACATGAAAGGAACTCACATAATTGAGTTTAACATCCTGGATTAGGATGAAAACCTGACCTAGAAAGTAGTAGTTTTAAATTTTTCATTAGCCACGTTCTCAGTTTATCAGAACAAATATAAGATCCTAAACTATTTTTTAAAAAGTGTTTTGTGTCTCAGAAGTGAGGTTTTTCCTTTTACGATGAAAAGTATATTCATTTAAATATAAGGTTGGTAATTTAAATAAAACTAGAAGGTTTAGTGTTAAACTGGACTTCTAAGAAACTGAGTTCCAATAAATGCAAAAAGAAAGTCTCAAGGTAAGAGTAGGCTAGTTGAAGTAATGTAACATAGAAATAACAGCTTCAGAAATAACTTTTTCTCTGTTTTACAATGTAATGAAGATCTATCTAGTTTCTTAAAAATGTTATTTCTGTGTAGTATTACTTATTCTCTTAAATTAAATCTTTAAAAAAGTTTAAACTTTCTATTTAACATTCTTCTAAATTTTTGAAATTAAGTTTTTTCCTAATAAACAGATCATAGAAAAAAAAGCTGACCTTAAAAATGCTTGAAATCCCAATTTATTTTATATATTATGACAGGAATAATGAATAAGTCTTTGATTAGTATCATTTTTTTCAATGACTTCCTAGAATCTATCTAAGGAGCTCTATTATGTCCAAGTAAATATTTTGAAAATAACCATCTTATGCCATGCTGCTTTCCAATGGAAAAGACCACATTACTCCCCTGCTTCAAATCCATCTGAGGAGATGCTTCATCCAGGAAACTAACCATGAGCCTCCTAGGTAGGCCTTGACAATGAAAAAGACAAGGGTTGAAGTGCTCTTGAATCTACTGAACTAATGCTAATTAAAATTATCACCAATAATGCAAAATTTAAAAACTGGGCATTCTCTAGATGGAGTAACAGATTTAGGGAACTAGAAAACTATCTTATTATATTATTTGAACCAATGGGACATGGTGGTATATGCCTATAATCATAACTACTCAGGAGGCAGGGGCTAGGGGTAACCAAACTCAACAATTTTGAATTTCCTAGTGCCCTACAGATAGAATATTCATAAACAATTCTATGCTATTATATCCCTTCCTTATCAGCTTGCCTAGGAAGAGTTAAATTAGCATAGTTCAGAAATTAAAGGGTTGATAAATACCATTCCTACAATAACACTATATGAAAAATAAAAGTACACTCAATTATTTCTTCTTAGTCCACTAAGGTCCACGTGGAAAAAGACTCAAGAAAAGAGGACAGATAGAACGGTTATGGAGAACAGAATCTTTCCAGAGTCATTCTGCTTAACTTGTTGAATTTTAAAAAAAGATGAGATAATTTCTACATAATATGTATTCAGTATTTATAATGTGCCAGTCAGCATCCTACGAGTTAAAACCATCAACTCACGTAACCCTTACAAAACTCCTAAGATAGGGTACTATTATTTTCTTGTCAGACGATGAGAAAAATGAATTGTGGAATTAACTTGTCTAGGGAAATACAGTTATTATAATAAGCAGGAAGGCCATGTTTTTAATCCAAGTAGTGTAACTCCATAAACTGTGATCTTAATCTGTATTATTAGTTTTTTATGTGTTTCTTTTTTTTTTTTTTTTTCAAGCCAGACTTTGGCTTTCAAACTGTTCCTCAGAGTCCTGGGATCCATGAGAAAGCTTCTGGGGCCATTGTGGAAAGTAAAGGAAAGCAGATGGGGTTCTGGGAACTTCACCCAACCAAAGCAATTTTACCATATCTACTTAAATATTGGGGATACAATTAAACTTTCCACGGTAACTTAAAAAAAAGTTTTGATGCTAAAATACAAAGAGTTTGAAAATCACAATATCTAGGCTATAATCTTCATAAGGTCAGGATATACAGTTGTTCTTGGTATCCACAGGGGATTGGTCACAGGAGCCCCCTCTCCACCTTGGGGATACCAAAATCCACAGATGCTCAAGTTCTTGATATAAAATGGTGTTGTTATTTGTATATAACCTACATATATCTTCACATATACTTTAAATCATCTCTAGATTTGTTATAATACTTAATAAAATGTAAATGCTATGTTAATTGTTATACTGCATTGTTTTAAAATTCACATTATTTTAAATTGTCATTTATTTATTTATTTTTGAGATGGAGTTTTGCTCTTGTCACCCAGGCTGGAGTGTAATGGTGTAATCTTGGCTCACTGCAACCTCTGCCTCCCGGGTTCAAGCGATTCTCCTGCCTTAGCCTCCCGAGTAGCTTGGATTACAGGTGTCCACCATCATGCCCGGCTAATTTTTGTATTTTTTAGTAGAGATGAGCTTTCATCATGTTGGCCAGGCTGGTCTCAAACTCCTGACTTCAGGTGATCCACTCGCCTTGGCCTCCCAAAGTGCTGGGATTACAGGCATGAGTCACCATGCCTGGACAAACTGTTGTATTGTTATTTTTTACTGTGCTATATGGCAGTACCATATTCACCAAACAAGGTTAATACTCATACCATTACATCAGAAAATCTTAAGTACCAATATCATTAAATTAAATAATAACAGTAATAATGTTAAATCACACTCAGATTGGTGCTGCTTAGTTTTTAATCATGTGTGGTCAAAAGATTTCACTATCTCAAGGCTACTGATGGGCTAAGTATAACCCACGCTTACATTAAAAAAGTATACTTTTTACACTCTTTTTTTTTTAACATATGTTAATACTATACCACCTGATGTGCTGAAATGATCACTTAAATTTGGAGGACACTGAATTAATTTAAGAGGTTACATTAAAATTCAAATTGTCAGTAGAGATAATATTTGATAATATTTTCTAAAATTCATGAACGTCTTCAATTTCAAAGAAGTTACAAGGAAACTTGAAAAAAGCATACTGAAGAAATAGTATCTGACAAAACCTAAAGAATCTATTCTATTAGTTATCTATTACCCTTTTTATTTTTGGATCTATGAACTACATGAATTTTTGTGAAATAGAGGAGTAAAGGCTACTGCCACCATTTTGTACTCCCTCTTACAGTCAATTTTCAGCTCGAGAGCTGACATCTTAATCAATTAAAAATCATGGAAGTTTTAAGAAAATAAAACTAAAGGCCTAGCTTTTCTAATTCCAGATGTGAACTAAAAGCTAAAGCCGCACAAGTAAAAACTCATTTTTCTCTTCTCCAAATTGTTTGAAGAATTTTATTTTAGAGACAATATAGTTTCCAACTAAATAAAGCTATAATGATGAAATAATATCCACTGCTTAAAATACTCACTGCTAAAATTTTTGTCAAAAAATTTTATGGCTATTACCATAAAATTATAAACCATCACGCTCACGGCTGTGTCTCAGATGAAATGGAATACGTGATGGTAAAATATATTAGGAGTGTCTGCAATAGAGCTATCAATTTATTCTAATAAAATAGTTTTGAATAGAAGCAAAAATGAATAAACTGAAGATCCTCACACCTTAAACATAACATGCAAGAAAGCTAAACGATGCCAAATCTAGCTTAACCTAGCTGGTTAAAAGATTCAATTTGAATACCTATTTCTGAGAAATTGCAGTTAACCATATGCAGACAATACTAAACAGATGTATCAAAGGCACAGAAAACTAGGATGCAGTATTGCTTTAGAAGGAATTTAGTCTGAATGCTGGCCCAAGCCTCCCATGAATGATTAGCATCAACACAAACTCTTGTGCTCTCCTGACAGATTCAAATTTTGAATCCCTATGTTGTTGAAATATTTTATTAATATTTATGAAAAAGCACCAAGATTGGTTTTCTAAACTAGGAAAAAAAACTCTAGCTGATATCAAGCATCTGGAACCAAAGTAATTTTGGCAGTTCAAGGATAAAGAGGTACATAAAAATTAATATAACTTGGTGATCTGAGAACAGGGTTTTCTAGTACTGGTATAAACACAATTTACATAAAACATGTTCCAGAGATGGTCCAACAGATATTATAATTTGTCTGTCCCATTCCTATCTCTGAAAGCTAAGCACCCATGTACTTTACTTTGTTATTTAACTATTAGGATAATAATACATTTTGGCTTTCTTCCTCATCTAGAAAAATAAAGATAAAAATTTAAATTGTCTCTATGTCTAACTAGTGCTAGAATTCTTGAAAAACTATTTTGAATAAAGTAATTCACACTATACTATGAGCAGGATTACTCATTTGAAGATTTAAAGGAAGAGTTTATTAACCTATATATTAACCTATCTGCTTAGGCAGATAGGCCACTTCCCAAGTGGTTCAACTCTAAAGCAAAATACCAGAAATCGATTATGCCTTCCCTATTCAATTTCTAAAAGGATGCTAACTCCTGGCCTATAGTGTATGACAGATTCTAATTTCCAAGAATGCTATAAAGGCAATGGTTAATTTAGGAAACAGCTGTATGAATGATGATGTACAAAAAGATTCACTTAGAATACTGAATGGTGAAGAGTCATCCTTTTCTCAGATAGTGAGAAAGATGTCTAATAATGTCCTTATCAATCTATACCCTGCATTTAATCTATATCTTTTGAGGCTGCCTCCTGGGCATAGGAGATTCAACAAAAAAATAAGAATAGAGAACAGAAAAGTTTAGATTTAAAACTAAAAATCCAGAATTCACAAGAGACTGACGAAAAAAAGGTTAAAATTCAAATATCAAAAATGGTTTGCCATTATTCTGAGCTTTTATAAACACAGAAATTTTATCTGTAAAAGGGGAATAAAATAACCAGCCCTAAGTTTATACACAGTAACAGTGATATTAAAAAATATATCTCTCTCATTACTTCAGAATCAATCAAAGACATAAATATTTAACAAGTTGAGGATATAGACTAGAGCAGAAAGAAAAGAAAAAGGGGGTGGGGGCAGGGGAAAAGTAGTTATCTCTTATATCCCCAAATTAAAAGACCTTTAAGGGAAAGTGATTTGTTAAAGTATGTATACAAAAAGAAGTTCCCAAGATTTTCCTTTTTAAAATTTTAATTTCCCATTAAGACAAAAAAAAAAAAAAAAGAAAAAAAAAGTGCAACAGACTTCTACTGAATAATGGAGGGAACTCATTAGTTTTGCTTTTTTTTCCCTCCCTTTTTAGACAGCTTAAGTTTTCTGTCTGATATTATATTTTTGCAAAGTGATATATAATCTTGTACATTATGTTAATCAATCACAGGTCACCTAATTGAGAAACATATATTCCACTACCAGTAGTAGAATGAATAAGTCAAATATGTATGCTTAAATCTTCCATGAAAAATGAACTTTCAAAACATATACTCATGTTCTGGCATGAAAAACCCAACTTTATCTTCTTGTATTACAGATTTCCATGAAACATGAGTTTCATTTTGTTTACAAAGACCTACCTGAATAGCTGAGTTCATGAAACACGTATTTCCCAAGTTACTTAGGCCACAGAGGCCTGGCTGTTCATTGTTTCTTCCAGGTTCCGAATAATCATAGTTCTTATAAGCGGTATATGATGGAAGACAGTAATTTGAGTTTTTCACACTGGAAGAAAAAAAATTTTCATAATGCAGCCAATTATATTACAACATATTTATAATAAAGAGTACTTTAGGCCTATTTATGAGATATGTGGTTGATCATTACATTTCTTTTATAAAGTACTCAACTCAGATACTTTTTTAAAGACTTGAACCTCAAAAAAATAACTCACCCTGAATTAAGATACTCCTTATCCAATCAACAAAATAACTCTCATATACCACACCAACCAATACAAAGCACTATTATATCTTCCTACCTTTGATTAACTAGAGCAGCTTTACAGTTTGCTCCATTCCCCATTGCTCCATCAAATTTAAAACATTCAGATTTTAAATACCACCCGCAGCAACAAATCATCTCCTTTATGACCCTTTGCATTCTGTTATTGTAATAGAGTAAAAATGGTAGAAACAGTAAGAGTTATGCTTTAAAAAGTTACAGGTAAGAGCAGAGATTTCCAAGGCCACTGTGACCTCACTGTTATGATGCACTGAAGATTCCATTTATAGTTTCTATGCGAGACCAGCAAAAACTAGTATTCAAATGCAGAAAAAAGCCTGGGTGAACAGGAATGCAAAAATGATTCCACGCAAGTATATCCCAGTGTTATTTGCCTTTTCTTTCTTTTGGTTTCTCAGAACAATGTAGTTTATTTAATCAGATAAATATAACCTCAAGATATTTTAAATGTTAATATTAAAAAACTGTAATATTCTAAAAGTTACAAAATCAGTATAATTTTTAGAAAGAAGAAAATAAGTTAAACGATCCCTCTTCCTTTGGCATATAATAAAAAATAATTTTGTGAAAAAGAATGGATTCTTTCTTATTTTTTAATAGGTTATCTTATAAAATATGTATGATGAATATTTTGGATATAATTCAAAAGCATGCTTTCAATCTGTTTTTATTAATTAGAAAAAACCTGAATGAGATCTTTCCTAAAAGCAAATGATGCTATAAATAGAACAGCTTTATAAATGAGCATGATAAATCAGTATCTCTAGCAATTCACAACTGGCTATAATTTATTCCTGGTATTACTTTTTTAAAGTAGTTTTTTCTTATAATTTTAAATACTTCACTTTATTATTCCATATAGGACGCTCTCACTTTATTATTATAAAAGTTTATGTGAACTATACTACCTGTTCTAAGAAAGTCTTTAGTAAACACACATACACACACACACACGCACACACACACACACCACCCCCAGAGAAAACACACAAAACCAAACCAACCTAAAATTACACATACAATGTTGGCCTACTAATGTTTTTGCATTTTTTAAAAAACACTCCTTTCTTCTACAAACAAAAGAGGTCAACTCCTCAACTCTGAAAAAATAATCCACCCTGAGATAAAAACAGCAGGCGCCAAAGAAATGTAACATTAATCAATTCAAATTCGGAATTGCTAGACTTATAGCTATTTACTTGACTTAAACTAAAACAAAACACAAAAAATATAATTCATGCATCTTTCTTTGGCAAATCATTAGCCCATGATTCACATTTTATTTCATATTCCTAGTAACTAATAAAGTACAAAGCGCCTATTAGCAATTTTAAGTATTTTCGCTCATAATTGGATTATTGAATCTAACTTTGGGTACACACAACAAAAAGCTGAAGTACAAAAAAAATCCTGTTTTTCTTTTATAAGTTTAAGTAGTGCTAAAAATGAAGATCTGCTGTATATTATTTTAAAAAAAGCAAGGCTTTCATTTTCTACACATTCTACACATTACAGAGAAGAAAAAACTTCTGGCTGTAAAATCATAGTAAAATTTAAGCAGCCAGAGCACACAGGAAAGTATGCCCAAATGCATGGTCATGCCTATACACACACACACACGTGAAAAGACTAAAAGCACATTTACATGCTCATTCCATAAGTATATATTCAGATATCCTGTCTCTCCCCACGTGTAACACAAAGGGATGCTGGAAGCTCTACTCTTCTTTGCAGCAACATGATGGAATTTGATGGGATAGAAATTGCTATTTACTGAGAACTGAACAAAAAACTTACTTGCAAAGCAGTTTTTTGGTTTTGTTTTTAAAAAAATCTAAATCCCTAAATAATATCTACAACTTTGCTCAAAGATTGAGATAGTCTAGATGCTCAAAATGATAATGAAAATCAATCAATTTAAGATACTTTAATATCTTGATCGGTCACTTATAATCCACATATTATGTGTGCTCTAAATGAAATATTAAGGCTTGTCATGGAAAATATCAAAACTAGCAGTTTATATAATTCAAAAAATATATGAAAATCTGGGCCCTAAAGATAGCCTCTAGTACCTTTCATGACTATGTCTACTAATTATTTCCTAAAGATCTTAAGCTAGTCATCATCTTTTAAGGCTATGCTACTTTGCAAAAATAAATTTACAGTAATAGTAATGGGAATTGTAATATTATATTAGATTAATTCTGTATTATATCCTTCTTTAATAAAAATACACTAAAAATACACTTTTTTTTTGTGAAATTGAACCTTACCTTTCCATAAAAGATGTCAGATTGACTTTTAAACTAGCACTGACACCTGACTTTATAAATATATAATTTAATCCTCAAAACTATAATTATGCCCATTTTTCAGTTAATGAAATGATGCTTTTAGCTAACAAATTTATCAAGAGCCAGATGGCTAGCTCTGGTAGTTTCCAAAATTCACAGTTCCTGTTGAGGCTCAATCTCATACAGGGAGTCATTTTCATTTCAAAGAAAAAGATATAAATGAATTAACAGAAAAATAAAAAAGTGTTCTGCATTTGGAATGTCAAATTGAGACAATAAACACGTTAAAAATATTTTTAAAAGGCAGTATTAGTAATATACCAAAGCAAATATAGCAGGGCAGAAAAATACAGGTTATAGAACTATTACCAGAAAGACAATCTGACAGATATTTAAAAATGTACTTAAATTATAACTGAGGCAAAACCAAATACACAAGGGACTAATAGGTAAAATTATGACACAAGGTAAACAAACTATATTACAGTAATGGATTTTTCATAATACTGGTTTTTAATAAAAACTTATTAAACTTAAATGAAATAATTCCAAGTATACTTTATTACTTGGAATTATTTTATAACAATATTCTTATTTCTGGAAATAAAAATTTTATATCTTAGAAATGTATCAGTGTAGGGTTAAATCTTGAATTTATAAATAAATTTCATAAACTATTGATTTTAATATATTACTTATACTTGTAGACTATTTCCACATACATAAGGTTTCAAAAACATACTTAATCCAAAAAGGTCATTACCTATTTTACATATTTTTAAAGAAACTATGCTATTTCTATCTGAAGTCTTCCCACAAGCTGAATGGAAATTCAAGAAATAAATTGTATGTAAAACAGTTGTTTAAATACGATAGAATTCAAGTTTTTTAAAGTTAAAAAAAAAAAACTTTCCATTTTACGAATGCTTAAGTTCTGTTCCTTACTAAGAAAGATAATCCTTACATAAAAATGTATTTTTAAGCTCAAAATGGTTCACAGCTTCATGGTACCTCAGTGACTATTCGCTATTAAAATTCCATAATATGACAGGGCTATTTTAGTGTTTGAATTAAAAAAATATAAATAGCTAAAAATATAATGTAGTCATATGATAGAATCATTCAAACTTAAGACTCTAATTTCTCTCAATAGTTTCTGCAGTCAGAGGTTTTGAGATTAGATTATACTGTCACGTATTTACTAAGAATGCAAACAGAACAAAACCAGAAACACACCAGACCACTCATACCAATATGGTAATTCTGGTCAAAATATAGTCTACATTCAACATAGTCTATATACAATGTTAAAAATCTCTCCAAAGAATGACTGTAAATACCTGTAAATGAATTCTCTTACAGTAAGTATGAGAGCCATCTGCAATGAGTAAATCATAAGTAATATTTTATCTAGTATGAAAAAATGACTTTTGGTAAGTTTACTTAAAGCTCTCATGTAATACAAACCAAATTACGAGGGGTTATTTTCACTCTTTTTTTTTGGCCTGTGCACATACATTTTTAAATAGAAGAGAAGATACTGCAGTGTAATTCTGAATATTCAGTGTCTTCAGTATTTTAGTATTACACTATGTTGTAATATTATTACACATAGTGCACATATCTTTTTATGAATTACTGAAATAAGAATGTAAATGTTTTAAATGTTCTTGATTCATATTGGTAAACAATTTTGCTAGAAAAAATTATTCTAGTACTCCAAACACTCAGAATCATTATAAAAATACATGTCATTGTTTAATTTTTCCCAATGTGACTGAGGTAAGGGAAAGCAAATGGGGTTTTTCATGGTTTTAATTTACATATCTCTAATCAGTAGTGAATGTGAAAATGTAAAATATTTATCCCAGCTGGGCAAGGTGGCTCATGCCTGCAATCTCAGCACTTGGGAGGCTGAGGCAGGAGGATTGCTTGAGCCCAGGAGTTCGAAACCAGCATGGGCAACATAGTGGGACTGTCTCTATGAAAATAATAAAAAGAAAATTAGCAGGGTGTAGTGGCGTGTGCTGTAATCCAAGTACTCAAGAGGCTAAGGTGGGAGGATCACTTGAGCCTGGGAGGTCATGGGTGCAGGGAGCTGTGATTGTGACACTGTACTTCAACCTGGGTGACAGGGTGAGATCCTACCTCAAAAAAAGTTTGTCCCTTATTTAATTCCTTTACTTGTATTGCCCAGTGTTTCTAAGACTGTCTTAGAAAATTTCTGATTTTTATGAGCTTGATATATTTAGAATATAAATCCTTTATCATTTGTAACAAGTTCTTTTTTCCATTTATTTTTCCTTTTTAAATATGCTTAACAATTATCTTGGATTTAAAATTCCAGAGAAGAATTCTCAGATATGAGCCAATTTTCTCAACCATATTTCCTGGATAATCTGCCCATTCGTATTAGTCTACAATGCCTCCTGATCATATTAAATTCTTTTTATACAAAGATCTGTTTCTGAGCTGTTAGAAAATAAATTTAACTATTGGTGTTTTAATTATTGGTGTTTTAATTTAATTATTGGTGTTTTAATTTTAAAGATTATTTCACAAATAGCTTTAGTCTTTTAGAATTTACTCACTGAGATAATCAGATGCCATTTAGAAACTGAAAAAAATCTAAATACTAAAATTTTTGATTAGTATAATAGTAATACATAATTAGTATAAGTATTAGATAAATATCTAATACTAATATGTTAGTGCAAATATCTAAATACTTTCAATCTAATCCATAAAAGGCACTATACATGTCAAAAAAAAATAAAAGGATAATCATCTCTAGATCAATGTTCTTCCCACAATTTGGGCTAATTACAAATAATAAAGGTTTTCTTTTTTCCTTTTTGAATTAAAAAAACATGTCAATGTTCAAGGTAATACACTAAGAGTCAATACAAGATAATACACTCAGAGTGAAGCTGTGTAACCTTGACTTTCAACTGTTTTTCTTATAGCAATATAACACACACTTCAATAAAATTTTTATAAATTCCATGATTCTAAATTTTATTTGGCAAGAGGTAAGGAAATTGTTTTTCTGAACTTCTCAAGAAAAAGTGATTGCCTTTTTCATAAACAAAAATTTATTGTGTGCTTTCCACTTGAGAATCACTGATACACACTTTTTAAAAATACTTTATTATATGTGATTACACATCTAGTTCTAAAATGACATCTGAATTTAAATTCTTCCTAAAAAGTTGTGTTCTAACAAACTTCTAAATATATTTTAATGATTAGTGTTTAGTATATAAAATTTAAGTGTTTTATTTCTTTCAGTATATGTATTAAATCAAGAAGCAATTTAATTGCTTTCTTTTTTGTTGTTACTCATGGAAGAACTGACCGGTAATTTAAAAGAAAACCAATTTTAATGCATTAAGACTTTTATCCTAAATTTTAGATACAAGAGATTTTTTGCAACCATAATAGGGTGATCAATTAAACAAAGAGTTTTTAAGATTCAGTGCTTACTTTCTGTTGTTCATGTTGTTATAATTATTTGATAGAGATGAAGGAGAGATCTTTGGTAAAGTTGAAAAATTGGATGCACCTGGGGACCTTTAAAAATATGAAAATGTTAAATTAGATAAAAAAATGAAGAATTTTTAAATTAATTATGAAATAAAAGAACAGATGACAATGTTTGTAGTAAATGAATGCTGAAAAATAGATTTATGAGCAAAATCACTATTATCCTTTGGTTTTCAATTTTGAATGTATTATTCCTTATAAAAACATAAAAGTACAAAAGGGAACTATTTTCAAATAAAATTTATCAAATTAAATATGCGACTTGCTATTATTCCTATAAATCTACTAACTACATATACCCATTTCCGAGTTTAGGTAACCATTTTTAACATTTTACGATCAATTTCCATCAGTCAATGGAATTAAACTATTCTACTTTGTTTCTCACTGGTACACCATGGCATTCTAATTATGTACAACACTGACACAGAGATCAGAGAACATTCCAATTTTTAAAAATTTAAGGCAATGGGGACAAAATAGATAAAATAATTCCAAGCATAATCCCAATATGCTATATTTGGCCAAAGGGAAAAGTCATAAATCTGACTATAGTATACATACCTTATTAATTCAGAATCTTTTTGAAGAAACTGCAATTACTATTGGTTTTTAATCAACAAGTATGTATTAAAGGCATGACTTATAATCAACAAATCTATAATACAGCAATAATTTAAGTACATAAAGGTCACTAAAAGTTTTATTTCCCCTTGTAATTTTGTAAACATGTTATTTTAATTTACTAGGCAACATCTAGGCAAGGGGCTGTAAAAAGCTAGGCTTCAGTCCAGTGACTCAGTCATTGTAAATTTTAAATCAGTGAGGCCCCGAATGATTCACTTTTAAATATTATGCTAACGAACAATGAAATGGTCAACAGGCAGAAAAGCATAATCTACAAAATTTGCTTTTAGGTGATTTGGATTTATCTAAATATATATATCTACAATGCATTATGCAGAACAAATGGTGGGCAATAAAATTTTTTAAATATAAAAAAATGTACATTTTAAATTTCATTTTTATTTACTTTTTTAGAGACAGGGTTTCGTTCTGTTGCCCAGGCTGGGGGGCAGTGACACAATCACAGCTCACTGCAGCCTTGACCTCCCAGGCTCAAGAGCTCCTCCATCTCAGCCTACTGAGAAACTGAAACTATAGGCGTGTGCCACCGTGCCCAGCTAATTTAAAAACAAATTTTTTTTGCAGAGACAGAGATCTCACCATATTGCCCAGCCTAGTCTCAAACTCCTGGCCTCAAGTGATCCTCTTGCCTCAGCCTCCCAAAGCACTGGGACTACAGGTGTGATTACAGGCTGCACCAGGCCTAATTTAACTTTTAAAGTTTTATACATTATAAAATCTTAGAAAAAAATGTTTTCTTTTCAACGAGGTTGTTTTAGCTGATAAATGATATATATTACTGGATTCTGTTAAGTGGGATTTCTAGTTACGTACCCTTCTGATAGAAGTCCCTTTAACAAGATTTTATTTTACTGTACTAAACTCAAAAACAAAATAGAATCAACCAAGTTTTCTCATAAAACAATGTATAGAACACACTTAAAAAGTAATTTTAATAATCCTAATATTCCCAGATAGTAGTTTTAAAATATTAATAAAAATGGAAATATCCTGGCATTTTTGCCTCCACATTAAGAATTCTAAATTAGGAAAAAACGTCTAAATTGATTAGAGACTGAGTTATAATAAATTAAGGAGGTTAATTTTTTAAAATGTAATTCATTACAACTTTTCAAAAACATATATAAATCGAATGTTCCCCTGAATCTTATAGTAAAAATTATGGAAATAAAGATCCATTGCTTCATCCAATAAAGTGACTGAGACATATATATTATATATAATATATATGCACAGTGTATACACTTTGTGTATATACACACACACTGTGTATGTCTGTGTACATATATATATGTACACACACACACTTTTTTCTTTTTCTTCTCATCTGTGGCCTTTTTTATTATTAATTAGCAACTCTGAGAACTATATTGGAAAAGAAAATGAAATACCATGGAATTAATTTGTATTTTCAGTTTTTATGGAGTTCATTTAAACACTCAAACATTTATTAAATGACTACTGTATGCCTCACCCTTGATAAGTACTGGGAATACAAA
The DNA here is from genome assembly GCF_000001405.40 of Homo sapiens. Lineage (NCBI taxonomy): Eukaryota > Metazoa > Chordata > Mammalia > Primates > Hominidae > Homo > Homo sapiens. The sequence continues at coordinate 62,347,100 of NC_000012.12, read as the reverse complement.
GAAAGACACAGTTCCTGACCTCAAACAGCTCACAATAGGAAAAAATGACATATAAGCAAAATGACTATAATACAATACAAGTATGATAACAAATTCTAATATAAAATTTTGTAGGTGGTGACATAAGGTGATTTAAAAATGACGTACAATTAGAGGGATAGGTGGGAAGTAAAAGAGTATTACAGTTAGGAAGAATAGCATGTAGAAATCATGTAGAAACCATGATGTGTTCAGGGAATTACCAGTAAATTCAGCTTGGCTGAAAGACTAGGAAGTACTGACAGGAACAGAGGTTACTAAGGTAGGTATGATAATAAAGGGTCTTTTATATTCTATGAAGAAATCTGGATTTTATCCAATTGTGCTGGAGCATGTGGAAAGATTTTAATAGTGTATCAACAAAATCAGATTTCTATTCTAGGAACTTTTAAGGAAGAGAAAAAGACTGAAGATTGGGAGACCAGTTAGGGAACTATAAAAACAACAAAGGTAAGAATTAATAAGGGGTGGAGTTAAGAAAGTAGAGTGGGCAAGGGCAACATATCTTGGATGTTTAGGAAGCAGTTCTCAAAGTATAGTCCATGGATCCTGGGGGTCATCAAGACCCTTTTTAAGGTGTCCATTGGTGAGGTCAAAACTATTTTCATAATAATATCAAAGTGTTATTTAAATGTTATTTGACCTCTTTCACTGAGTGGATATTGGCACTGATAGTGCAAAAGCAATGGTGGATAAAACTGCTGAAACCTTAGCATGAATCAAAGGAGTAGCACTAACCTATACTTCACATCACAGTAAAAAAGTTTCACTTGAGAATATCCACATTGAAAAAAATAAAAAATTATTGATTTTATTAAATCTTAACTCTTATATTTCTTTTTAATATTATCTGACAAACTGGGAAGTTTGCATAAAGCATATCTGCTACAAACTGAAGTATCATGGCTGTCATGAGGAAAAGCTTGTGTAGTTATTTGAACTGCATGAACTACAAGTGGAACCAGTCATTGTTTTCATGACACCACTCTTTTTTCTCTTTTACGTTAGGAAACGACTACGTGTGGTTATGTGAACTTGACTATTGATATGGTTTGATTCTGTGTCCCCACCCAAATCTCATCTTGTAGCTTTCATAATCCTCTGGTGTTGTGGGAGGGTCCTGGTGGGAAATGATTGAATCACGGGGGCGGGTCTTTCCCATGCAGTTCTTGTGATAGTGAATGAATCTCACAAGATCTGATGGTCTTAAAAATGGGAGTTTTTCTGCACAAGCTCTCTTTCTTTGCCTGCCACCATCCATGTAAGACATGACTTGCTCCTCCTTGCCTTCTGCCATGATTGTGAGGCCCCCCCACCCCAGAAACGTGGAACTGTTAAGTCCAATGAACCTCTTTCTTCTGTAAATTGCCCAGTCTCAAGTATGTCTTTATCAGCAGTATGAAAACTGACTAAAAGAGTAAATTGGTACCAGTAGAATGGGGTGTTGTTGAAAAGATACCCGAAAATGTGTAAGCAACTTTGGAACTGGGTAATAGGCAGAGAGGTTGGAACAGTTTGGAGGACTCAGAAGACAGGAAAATGTGGGAAAGTTTGGAACTTCCTGGAGACTTGGAGGACTCAGGAGACAGGACGATGTGGGAAAGTTTAAAACTTCCTAGAGACTTGCTGAATGGCTTTGACCAAAATGCTGACACTGTTATAGACAATAAAGTCCAGGCTGAGGTAGTCTCAGATGGAAATGAGGAACTTGTGAACTGGAGCAAGGGTGACTCTTGTTATGTTTTAGCAAAGAGACTGGTGGCATTTTGCCCCGACCCTAGAGATTTGTGGAACTTTGAACTTGGGAGAGATGATTTAGGGAATTTGGCAGAAGAAATCTAAGCAGCAAACCATTCAGGATGTGACTTGGGTGCTGCTAAAGGCATTCAGTTTTATAATGGGAACAGAGCATAAAAGGTTGGAGAATTTGCAGCCTGACAATGCAATAGAAATGAAAATCCCATTTTCTGAGGAGAAATTCAAGCCGGCAAAAGTACCGAGCAGCCAAATGTTAATCCCCAAGACAATGGGGAAAATGTCTCCAGGGCATGTCAGAGGTCTTCACAGCAGCCCCTCCCATCACAGGCCTGGAGGCCTAAAAGGAAAGATGGTTTTATGGGCTGGGCCCAGGACCACCCTGCTCTGTGCAGCCTAGGGACTTGGTACCCTGTGTTTCAGCTGCTCTGGCCATGGCTAAAAGGGGCCAAGGTACAGCTCAGGCTGTTGCTTCAGAGTGTGGAAGCCCCAAATCTTGGCAGCTTCCATGTGGTGTTGGGCCTGTGTGTGTACAGAAGTCAAGAATTGAGGTTTGGGAACCTCCACCTTGATTTCAGAGGATGTATGGAAACGCCTGGATAACCAGGCAGAAGTTGCTGTAGGGGCGGGGTCCTCATGGAGAACCTCTGCTAGGGCAGCCAGGAAGGGAAATATGGGTTTGGAGCCCCCATAGAGAGTCCCTACTGGGGCACCACCTACTGGAGCTGTGAGAAGAGGGCCGCTGTCCTCCAGACCCCAGAATGGTAGATCTACTGACAGCTTGCACTGTGCACCTGGAAAAGCTGCAGACAATGCTGGCCCATGAAAACAGCCAGGAGTGGGGCTACACCCTGCAAAGCCACAGGGAAAGAGCTGCTCAAGGCTGTGGGAGCCCACCTCTTGTGCCAGCGTGACCCAGATGCAAGACATGGAGTCAAAGGAGATCATTTTGGAGCTTTAAGATTTGACTGCCCTGCTGGATTTCGGACTTGCACTGGGCCTATAGACCCTTTGTTTTGGCCAATTTCTCCCATTTGGAATGGCTGTGTTGACCCAATGCCTGTATCTTCCTTGTATCTAGGAAGTAACTAACTTGTTTTTGATTTTACAGGCTCATAGGTGGAAGGGACTTGCCTTGTCTTGAATGAGACACTGGACTGTGTACTTCTGAGTTAATGCTGAAATGAGTTGAGACTTTAGGGGACTGTTGGGAGGGCATGACTGGTTTTGAAATGTGAAGAGATGAGATTTGGGAGGGGCCAGGGGCAGAATGATATGGTTTGGCTCTGTGTCCCCACCCAAATCTCATCTTGTAGCTCCTGTAATTCCCATGTGTTGTGGGATGGGCCTTGTGGGAGATGACTGAATCATGGAGGCGAGTCTTTTCCATGCTGTTCTGTGATAGTGAATGGGTCTCATGAGATCTGATGGTTTTAAAAATGGCAGTTTCGGGGAGGGGCCAAGATGGCCAAATAGAAACAGCTCTGGTCTGAGGTTCCCAGGGAGATCAATGGAGAAGGTAGGTGATTTCTGCATTTCCAACTGAGGTATCCATCTCATTGGGACTGGTTAGGTAGTGGGTACAACCCACAGAGAGTGAGCAGAAGCAGGGTGGGGCACTGCTTCACCAGGGAAGTGCAAGGAGTTGGGGGACCTCCCTCCTCCAGCCAAGGGAAGCCATGAGGGACTGTGCTACCTGGCCCGGGTACTACGCTTTTCCCATGGTTTTTGCAATCTGCAGATTAGGAGATTCCCTCCTGTGCCTACACCACCAGGGCCCTGGGTTTCAAGCACAAAACTGGGTGGCTGTTTGGGCAGGCACTGAGCTAGCTGTAGGAGTTTTTCTCGTAACTACAGTGGTGCCTGGAATGCCAGCGAGACAGAACCATTCGCTCCCCTGGAAAGGGGGCTGAAGCCAGGGAGCCAAGTGGTCTCGCTCAGCGGGTCCCACTCCCATGGATCCCAGAAAGCTAGGAACCACTGGCTGGAAATTCTCACTGCCAGCACAGGTCTGGAGTTGACCTGGGACGATCGAGCTTGTTTAGGGGAGGGGCATCTGCCATTACTGAGGCTTTAGTAGGTGGTTTCCCCTGACAGTGCTATGGAGACTGGGAGGTTTTGACTGGGCAGGATTCACCACAGTGTGGCAAAGTGGCTGTGGCCAGACTGCTTCTCTACATTCCTCCTCACTGGGCAGGGCATCTCTGAAGAAAATGCAGCAGCCCCAGCCAGGGGCTTACAGATGAAACTCTCATCTCCCTGGGACAGAGACACTGGGGGGAGGGACGGCTGTGGGTGTAGCTTCAGTGGACTTAATCTTTCCTGGCTGCTGGCTCTGAAGAGAGCAGCTGATCCTGACAAGGGGGATTCTCCCAGCACAGCGTACCAGCTCTGCTAAGGGACAGGCTGCCTCCTCAAGTGGGTCCCTGATCCCGTGTCTCCTGCCTGGGAGAGACCTCCCAACAGGGGTTGACAGACACCTCATACGGGAGAGCTCCGGCTGGCATCAGGCCAGTGCCCCTCTGGGACGAAGCTTCCAGAGGAAGGAGTAGGCAGCAATCTTTGCTGTTCTGCAGCCTCCACTGGTGATAACCAGGCGAACAGGGTCTGGAGTAGACCTCCAGCAAACTGCAGCAGACCTGCAGAAGAGGGGCCCGACTGTTAGAAGAAAAACAAACAAGCAGAAAGCAACAACATCAACAAAAAGACCCCCCAATAAAAACCCCATCCAAAGGTCATCAGCCTCAAAGACCAAAGGTAGACAAATCATGAAGATGAGGATAAACCAGCACAAAAACGCTGAAAATTCCAAAAGCCAGAATGCTTCTTCTCCAAATGATCACAACTCCTCTCCAGCAAGGGCACAAAACTGGATGGAGACTGAGACTGATGAATTAACAAAAGATTTCAGAAGGTGGGTAATAACAAACTCCTCTGAGCTAAAGCAGCATGTTCTAACCCAATGCAAGGAAGCTAAGAACCTTGATAAAAGGTTACAGGAACTGCTAACTACAATAACCAGTTTAGCGAGGAACATAAATGGCCTGATGGAACTGAAAAACATAGCACGAGAAATCAGAGAAGCATACAGAAGTATCAATAGCTCAATCGATCAAGCGGAAGAAAGGATACCACAGATTGAAGATCACCTTGCTGAAATAAGGTGTGAAGACAAGATTAGAGAAAAAAGAATGAAAAGGAATGAACAAAGCCTCCAAGAAATATGGGACTATGTGAAAAGACCAAACCTACAATTGATTAGTGTAACTGAAAGTGACGGGGAGAATGGAACCAAGTTGGAAAACACACTTCAGAGAGACGTGAACTCTCAGGAGAACTTCCTCAACCTAGTTCAGGAGAACCTCCCCAACCTTGTAAGACAGGCCAACATTCCCATTCAGGAAATACACAGACCACCACTAAGATACTCCATGAGAAGATCAACCCCAAGACACATAATCGTCAGATTCTCCAAGGTTGAAATGAAGGAAACAACGTTAAGGGCAGCCAGAGAGAAAGGTCAGGTCACCTACAAAGGGAAGCCCATCAGACTAACAGCAGATCTCTCTGCAGAAACCCTACAAGCCAGAAGAGAGTGGGGGCCAATATTCAACATTCTTAAAGAAAGGATTTTTCAACCCAGAGTTTCATATCCAGGCAAACAAAGCTTCAGAAGCAAAGGAGAAATAAAATCCTTTCCAGACAAGCAAATGCAGAGGGATTTTGTCACCACCAGGTAGCCCTTACAAGAATTCCTGAAGGAAGCACTAAATATGGAAAGGAAAAACTGGTACCAGCCACTGCAAAAACACACCAAAATATAATGACCAATGACACTATGAAGAAACTGCATCAACTAATGTGCAAAAAAACCAGCTAGCATCATGATGACTGGATCAAATTCACACATAACAATATTTAGCCTTAAATATAAATGGGCTAAATGCCCCAATTAAAAGACATAGACTGGCAAATTGGATGAAGAGTCAAGACCCATTGGTGTGCTTTATTCAGGACACCCATCTCACATGCAAAGACATACATAGGCTCAAAATAAAGGGTTGGAGGAGTACTTACCAAGCAAATGGAAAGGAAAAAAAAAAAGCAGGGGTTGAAATACTAGTCTCTGATAAAACAGACATAAAACCAACAAAGATCAAAAAAGACAAAGAAGGGCATTACATAACGGTAAAGGGATCAATGCCACAAGAAGAGCTAACTATCCTAAATATATGTGGACCCAATATAGGAGCACCCAGATTCATAAAACAAGTTCTTAGAGACCTAGAAAGAGACTCAGACTCCCATGCAATAATAGTGGGACTCTTTAACACCCTACTGTCAATACTAGACAGATCAATGAGATAGAAAATTAACAAGGATATTCAGGACTTGAACTCAGCTCTGGATCAAGTGGACCTCACAGACATCTACAAACTCTTCACCACTAATCAACAGAATATACATTCTTCTCAGCACCGCATGGCACTTATTCTAAAATCAATCACATAAATGGAAGTAAAACACTCCTCAGCAAATGCAAAAGAACAGAAATCCTAACAGTCTCTCAGACCACAGTGCAATCAAGTAAGAACTCAGGATAAGAAACTCACCCAAAATGGCACAACTACATGGAAATTGAAGAACCTGCTCCTGAATGACTCCTGAGTAAGTAACAAAATGAAGGCAGAAATAAAGAAGTTCTTTGAAACCAATGAGAACAAAGAGACAATGTACCAGAGATTCTGCTAAAGCAGTGTGTAGAGGGAAATTTATAGCACTAAATGCCCATATCAGAAAGCTGGAAAGATATGAAATTGAAACCCTAATATCACAATTAAAAGAACTAAAGAAGGAAGAGCAAACAAATTCAAAAGCTAGCAGAAGACAAGAAACAACTAAGATCAGAGCAGAACTGAAGGAGATAGAGACAGGAAGAACCCTTCAAAAAATAAAAATAAACGAATCCAGGAGCTGGTTTTTTGGAAAAAAATAAAATAGATAGACTGCTAGCTAGACTAATGAAGAATAAAGAGAGAAGAATCAAATAGACACAATAAAAATGATAAAGGGGATATCACCACTGATCCCACAGAAATAAAAACTACCATCAGAGAGTACTATAAACACCTCTATGCAAATAAACTAGAAAATCTAGAAGAAACGGATAAATTCCTGGACACATACACCCTCCCCAGACTAAACCAGGAAGAAGTCGAATCCCTGAATAGACCAATAACAAGTTCTGAAATTGAGGCAGTAATCAATAGCCTACCAACCACAAAAGGCCCAGGACCAGACTGATTCACAGCCAAATTGTACCAGAGGTACAAAGAGGAGCTGGTACCATTCCTTCTGAAAATATTCCAAACAATTGAAAAAGAGGGACTCCTCTCTAACTCATTTTATGGGGCCAGCATCATCCTGATACCAAAAGCTGGCAGAGACACAACAAAAAAAGAAAATTTCAGGCCAATATCCCTGATGCACATTGATGCAAAAATCCTTAATAAAATATTGGTCAACCGAATCCAGCAGCACATCAAAAAGCTTATCCACCATGATCAAGTGAGCTTCATCCCTGGGATGCAAAGCTGGTTCAACATATGCAAATCAATAAAAGTAATCCATCACATAAACAGAACCAATGACAAAAACCACATAAGTAACTCAATAGATGCACAAAAGGCCTTCAATAAAATTCAACATCCCTTCATGTTAAAAACTCTCAATAAACTATTGATGAAACATATCTCAAAATAATAAGAGCTATTTATGACAGACCCATAGCCAATATCATATTGAATGGGCAAAAGCTGGAAGCACTCCCTCTGAAAACCAGCACAAGACAAGGATGCCCTCTCACCACTCCTATTCAACAAAGTACTGGAAGTTCTGGCCAGGGCAACTAGGCAAGAGAAAGAAATAAAGAGTATTTAAATAGGAAGAGAGGAAGTCAAATGGTCTCTGTTTGCAGATGACATGATTGTATATTTAGAAAAGCCCATTGTCTCAGTCCAAAATCTCCTTAACCTGATAAGCAACTTCAGCAAAATCTCAGGATACAAAATCAACGTGCAAAAATCACAAGCATTCCTATACACCGAAAATAGACAAGCAGAGAGCCAAATCATGAGTGAACTCCCATTCATAACTGCTACAAAGGGAATAAAATACCTACGAATACCACCTACAATGGACGTGAAGGACCTCTTCAAGGAGAACTACTGTGAAAATGGCCACATTGCCCAAAGTAATTTATAGATTCAATGCTATCCCCATTGAATTGACATTGACATTCTTCACAGAATTAGAAAAAACTACTTTAAATTTCATGTGAAACAAAAAATGAGCCTGTATAGCCAAGACAGTCCTAAGCAAAAATAACAAAGCTGGAGGCATCACACTACCTGACTTCAAACTATACTACAAGGCTATAGTAACCAAAACAGCATGGTACTGGTACCAAAAAAGATATATAGACCAATGCAACAGAACAGAGACCCCAGAAATAACTCCACACATCTACAACCATGTGATCTTACACAAACCTGACAAATACAAGCAATAGGGAAATGATTCCCTATTTAATAAACAGTGCTGGGAAAACTGGCTAGCCATATGCAGAAAACAGAAACTGGACCCCTTCCTTATACCTTATAAAAAATTAAGATAGATTAAAGACTTAAATGTAAAACCCAAAACCATAAAAACCTAGAAGAAAACCTAGGCAATACCATTCAGGACACAGTCATGGGCAATGATTTCATGACTAAAACACCAAAAGCAATCACAACAAAAGCCAAAATTGACAAATGGGATCTAATCAAACTAAAGAGCTTCTACACAGGAAAAGAAACTATCATCAGAGTGAACAGGCAACCTACAGAATGGGAGAAAATTTCTGCAATCTATCCATCTGACAAAGGGCTATTATCCAGAATCTACAAGGAACATAAACAAATTTACATGAGAAAGAAAAATCCCATCAAAAAGTGGGCAAAGGATATGAACAGACAATTCACAAAAGAAGACATTTATGCAGCCAAAAACATATGAAAAAAAGCTCTTCATCACTGGTCATTAGACAAATGCAAATCACACCACGATGAGATACCATCTCACACCAGTCAGAATAGTGATTATTAAAAAGTCAGGAAACAAAAGATGCTGGAGAAGATGTGGAGAAACAGGAATGCTTTTACACTACTGGTGGGACCGTAAATTAGTTCAACCATTGTGGAAGACAGTGTGGCGATTCCTCAAGGATCTAGAACCAGAAATACCATTTGCCCCAGCAATCCCATTACTAGGTATATACCCAAAGGATTATAAACCATTCTACTATAAAGACACATGCACATGTATGTTTATTGCAGCACTATTTACAACAGCAAAGAATTGGAACCAACCCAAATCTCCATCCTGATAGACTGGATAAAGAAAATGTGGCACATATACACCATGGAATACTATGCAGCCATAAAAAAGAATGAGTTCATGTCCTTTGCAGGGACATGGGTGAAGCTGGAAACCATCATTCTCAGCAAACTAACACAGGAACAGAAAATCAAACACCACATGTTCTCACTCATAAGTGGGAGTTGAACAATGAGAACACATGGACACAGGGAGGGGGAACAACACACACCAGGGCCTGTTGGGGGGTGGGGGCAAGGGGAGGGAGAGCATTAGGACAAATACCTAATGCATGTGGGGCTTAAAACCTAGATGATGGGTTGATAGGTGCAGCAAACTACCACGGCACATGCATAGCTATGTAACAAACCTGCACATTCTGCACGTGTATCCCAGAACTTAAAATAAAATAAAATTTAAAAAAGACAAAAAACAAAACAAAACAAAACGGGAGTTTCTCTGCACAAGCTCTGAGACGTGACTTGCTCCTCCTTGCCTTCCACCATGATTGTGAGGCCTCGCTAGCCATGTGGAACTGTAAATCCAATAAACCTCTTTCTTTTGTAAATTGCCCCGTCTCCTATATGTCTTTATCAGCAGCATGAAAATGGACTAATACAGCTATCAAGCAGAGGTTTTCTGAAAAATGAATGAAGGAAGGCTGTGTCTTTAAGGAAAACAATGTATTTGCAGCCAATGATAAAATTTGGGCTTTCGATGAAGAATTAGAATCTTGGAAAACTTGACTCTGACACCACAAAGTTGACAGCTTCCCAATACTTAGGCGTTTCTCATAAGATAGGTGATGTTTTAAAAAATGTGATTTGAAAAAAATTGTAGAATAAAATGTGTCAACATTTGGAAGATCTGCATAACTCCGTGAATATTTCCCAAATGACCAAAATGCATGAAATTTACATTTGAAAGATTTTAATACTATAAAAGGTTCATTGATATGGTTTCAGATTCTATCATTTAACTTTAAGACTTAAACCACCACTAGTCAAGTTTTGATGTAGTATTAATGATCTGAAAATACTCCTTTTCAACTATGTATCTGTGTGAGGCTGATTTTGCTTCATGTACTTCAACCCAAACATTGTATTACAATAAATTAAATGCAGAAGAATATACAAGAATTTAGCTGTCCTCTATTCAGTCAGATAGTAAAGAAATTTCAAAAATAAAAAACAATGCAACTTTTTGGTAATTTTATTGTTTTGGAATATAGTTATTTTCATAAAAGTGTTATTCATGTCAAAATACAATGGTTTTGTACTGTTATTTTAAAATACCTTAAAATCTTATTTCAATTTCGAATATGACAAATATTAACAGCTATAACCCATATAACAGAAGTTCTTTGGATCTTTAATAATTTTCAAGAATGTAAAGGGGTACTGTTTGAAAACTTCAGGTGAGGAGGCAGAATCTGCAAGACTTGCTGACTAACTAGACAAGAGAAGAAAGGCTGGAGGAGGAACTCAGGATGGCTCTTGGATGGTACTTGAAATAGGCAATACAGGAAATGAAGACAGTTTAGGTTGAGGGGATGGGAGAAGGAGGGGTAAAAAGATTTGGTTTAATTTGAGGTGGTGAGTCCTACATGAAATTTATGAAAAATCTGGAATTCAGAAAAGTGGTCTAGTCTAGAAATACAGAATGGCATATTTTGTGTCAGTTTGAGCTGGGGGAGAGGATTAGCATAGAATCACCTAATTTTGAACACCTACTATGGTATGATAAAAGAGGTCTTCTGACAGAAATTTAGTGAATGTCAATGCATTTAAGGTCTGAGTAGAGCTGCTGCAAACAGTTAGTGAAGCTGCACTGCACCGTGCCAAGGAGGGCCTATCACATAGACTACATATGATATGAATGATGCCTCCTAGAGCTGTGCACAATTTGCAAAACTAAATGTGGCAACCCTAAAGAGGAACCGAGCTAGACAGACAAAGGACTGGTCAGAGAGGCAAAGTCCTTGGCATAAAAGGTCGTATCATGCATTCAAATTCAGAGAATTTCTTTAGAAGATGGTTATCAAAAAGAAATACTAAAGACAGGTCAAATAAACTAGGTTAAAAGAAAGACAAATAAGAACTTTGTTAAATCCTGAATGGGTGGCAAGCAACATTAAGTATAGCCTTTTAAATGTAGGTGGCTGTCAAAGAAAAAAAAGCTTAAGGATGGTAAATGGAGGAAGTATATGGTTTTTGGTTTTAAAGATGAAGATGTGTTTATATTCATAGGCTGAGGGGGAAGATGACATTAGAAAAGAAATAAAAATAATAAACTGGTGTTTACCATATGTGTGGCACTATGCTAGGCATTTATATATGTAGGAGAGAGGAGATAATAAAAGAAAAAGCAAGGACCAGGAAGCATTGAGATAAATACTACAGGTAGAGTAGAGGGACTGTCCTTAAATAGTAAGGTGATCAGAGAGCTAAGGATGGATGTGGTCGACAGGTAAAGTACAACAATTTTACAATACTGTTGCAGACATTACTGTTGAGTGATAACGCATCATTTATCTCTTCTGATTCCGACTTCTGACTCAGATTACACATGGTCCAATCTAGCTAACATTTGTGGAGTTAATATCAGGTTATTTAGGGGTTGACTGGTCAGTCTGTGGATGATAACCAGAGCCCTTTAGCTCTCTTTCTGTGACGTATGTGGAAATTAAACTGTTCACTAGCAACTCTGCTCTAGTGGCTTTCTAGAAAAAGGAGAAAAAAAAGTGCTAAGAATATCATACATTAACTAGACATCAAACCACTTACCTAGAATTAAACTAATTTTGGCCAGTTTGGGCTAGGTGTAACATATCGTGCCCTCAGACAGAAAAAGGTAAGACTTCCATTTAGCTGAAGTGGTTTCATGAAGACAGAAAATTCAGCCTTACTCCTGACAAATGGAAGTTTGTAGTATCTGAATTTCCCTATGCCCAATATGTTTCAACTAAAAACATGCAATTCAAGGCTAAGTTGAGCCTCTTACTTCAATAGAAAAACATAACTTGCTTTTAGTAAGTCAACTAAACATTTAACACTCATGGAAATCTACCACCATATTAAGCAACCAAAATACAGAGAAGTTAAGTCTGAACGTTGAGACAGCAAAACAGTTATTTAAAGATTTTTATATTTTCAAACCCAACATTGTAAAACAACGTAACTTCATACAACCTAACATCATAAAACAAAAATTAGCTTAGTAACTAAAACAAGACCAACATTACACTCTCCATTTCTAATCAACATTCTAAGACAAGTTCTGAAAGAAAAAGAAAATTCTAAATCTCCTAAAAAATTAAACACTTTTACTGTTGTAAGATACAGATTAGTTCAGTTCAACAGCATTTACTGTATGCTTCCTATATGCCAGGTAGGGTGTTAGGTACTTAAAGATACACAAAAGAGAGTTTAAGTAGATTTATACTATATATAAATTGTTTTTCATAGCTCTATTTTTCCTTATTTTGACTGCTTACTTTTACATATAATATTTGATAACACAAAATGTTCCATTTTAAATAAATGAAATTACAATAATTTTTTCAGCCAATTATGAATCTAAGCACCAAAACTTGCAACCCATTTTTAAACTTTATTACAGAAATTTTGAAACATACATTAACCCTCATGTACCTAATATCAGAAACTTAGCTTTAAAAATAACATTCTAGTGCTCGCTTCAGCAGCACATATACCAAAATTGGAACGATACAGAGAAGATTAGTATGGCCACTACAAAAGGATGGTATTCAAAAATTAACATTCTACCATTCTTACTTTTTCTATAATCCCTTCAGCTTCCCTCCGACCCCCTCTTTTGCTGGAGTAGTTTGAAGCAAATTCTAGACACCCATAATTTCACCTGAAAACACAACAGTATGTATGTATCCCTAAAAAATAAGGGATTTTTTGTTTTAATCAGCACAAGTTTTCCTGAGCCTTCATGATTATTCTATTTGATGCCAACTGTCCTTCTTCATTACCTCAGGATGCTCTTTAAGGTTTTGGTATGTTGTCTCTACATTTTTGGTTAGATAATTTATATATGCTTATATTCCCATTTATAGGAATATGACTCCATACCTGCAGTTCTCAGTACTCCATACTGCAGTTCCCTTTAATTGTAACCTAAGCATTTTTGTTTGGCTATTTCATTACCTCCAACTTTAAAGTCTCAGAAAACACCATTCTACATCTGTTTCTTAATGAGAATAACAACATAAAAAAAGGCATAAAAGGAAATTTAAGGATTCAAAATGTCTTTTAAAAAGATAACAGCTGGGCATGGTGGCTCACACTTGTAATCCCAACACTTTGGGAGGCTGAAGTGGGCAGACTGCTTGAGCCCAGGAGACCAGCCTGGGCAACATGGTGAAACCCCATCTTTATAAAAACAAAACAAAACAAACAAACAAAAGAACAAAAAAACCCAAAAATTAGCCAGGTGTGGTGGTGTGCCTGTAGTCCCAGCTACTTGGGAGGCTGAGGTGGGAGGATCACCTGAGCCTGGGAATTTGAGGCTACAGTGAGCTGTGACTGCTCCACTGCATTCCAGCCTGGGTAATGAGAGTGAGGTCCTGTCTTAAAACAACAACAACAACAAATTATAGATTTTGGAGTATCACTCTAGATTTATGGTTCACAGATTGCATTTCAAATTGAAGATTGGTGTTACTGAAATGTATGAACTGGCTGAATGACAAGGAATAAAGAATGGCTACAGCCAACATGTATTTTAATAATTTTTAACCAAATGAGTCTATGCATCATTTCCAAATCCATTTAGCTGCTTCGCAGTTATAAATGCAAACAGGGATTGAATACTCTCTAAAAATTTCTAAAGACGTTTAAGATAGTGTAAAAAAAATAAAAACAGAATATTGCAGAATCACCTAAGTGCTTACTATCTGTCTCAACCAAAAAAGTAGTATGCAATGGTTTTATTTATAAAGTTCTTCCTCTCTCCAAGCAGAGCACTCAAGAAGACAGTGCTGTGAAAATACTATTGTGTCATGAAATTAAGTTTATAGTGTTTCAGTCATCAATTTGGAATTCCCTTAATCAGAACACCACAAATGGCAGAGGGACAGTGTATGAGTAAGAGCTATTAGCATGGTTTTCCATTTGATTTTTCTTTCTGCCACTCATGTCCTATTCTGGACGATAGTACATTTTTCTCTGGATGTTTTCCAGTCCAAGAAAAATCACCTCTTCAAAATCATCAATGACTCTTATTTTTTTTCCACCCAATACTTAAGCACATATCTTTTGACAATACTTTTTGACTAATCAATGAAAATGAATAAATTTAAATCAAATTTTCTCTTTAGGAACCCCCAGGTTTCTATAATGACTCCACTGTAAAATCATTTTTTAGAAATCCAAGATTTTACTAGCTACACGTCTGCAATAGAACAACTAGATTATCCACCCAATGCTAACATCCTTAAAAAAAAAGAAATGAAATTTTACAGAATTTTTAAAACTAGGGGGGAAAACTTTTTCTAAGGTATCATTAGAAAAGATCATGTTTTTAAGAGGCTGTTTAAGAAATCAAACTTAAAAACTAGATAAGAAATGCAAATCCTGATAAAACAAGTAGTGTTAAAAATGCAGCATGAACATAAAAATAAAAATTTCAAATTCTTTGTTGATATCTAGTAGAAAAATTCAGTTAGAAAACTTTTTTTTTTTTTTTCTTTTTGAGACAGAGTCTTGCTCTGCTACCCAAAGTGGAGTGCACTGGCGCGATCTCAGCTCACTGCAACCTTCACCTTTAGCATTCAAGTGATTCTCCGGCCTCAGCCTCCCGAGTAGCTGGGACTACAGGCGCCGCCACCACCCCTGGCTAATTTTTGTATTTTTAGTGGAGACGGGGTTTCACCATGTTGGCCAGGCTGGTCTCAAACTCCTGGCCTCAAGTGATCCGTTCACCTTGGCCTCCCAAAGTGCTGGGATCATAGGAGTGAGCCACTGTGCTTGAACAGAAGACTTTTGAGTGAGTATTTTTTGGGTAGGTTCTTAGATCTCTAATACAGACTTTGAGTTGTTTTAGGTGCTGATTAAAAGCATATACACATATTTTTTTTGTAACTAAATGACTACATGTTTTAAATTAAATTTTACCCTTAACATTTTTTGAATATTTAGCATTTCTTCTCAAGGAGCCCAAAAATTTATGCTTCAGCTGAAGACACAGTTTCAAAACTAATCAAAATGGGGCCAATACAATAGGACATCAGAGCACTAAGTAGGTTCCTCTATTTTCAGCAGTATAGAACAGACAAAATACTAACATGTGGTTTCACGTGTGCCTACTTGTGGTAATATTCTTCTATTTTCTTGTTCATATGAAGTACTTAAAATGCAAATTCCTTGGCTAACTATATTTATATTTTGCTGGTCTGGGGTGGGAACCCTGGATGCCACTATGTGGTTCACCTAGTAAATGTCAATAAACATCACCTACAAAATTTCTGAGTGTCATCCTTAGACCAACAGCATTGGTGTGACCTGCAAGCTTATTAGAAATGAGCCACACCCAGACATAATAAGAAATTCTGAGGATGGGGCCCAGGAAACTGTTTTAATAAATTCTACCAGTGATTCTTCTTTCTATCACCATATTACAGCTTTAATTATCTTTCTTTGGTGTTTGACACCCTAGCTAGGAACTGGTTATGTGCTATGCAACATTATGGACAAATTCCAGGTTAGTGATATATATCAGAACTAGCATTTTCATGCCATCTTGAAGGCCAGGGGTTGTCTTCTGGCAAATGTGAGAATTTTGAGGAGTATAAACTGTTCTGTATCTTAATATCTTGAAGTCCTTCCTAAGGACTTAAAATTACGTGTTCTGTGCTGGAGTTAAATTTGCCTAAGCTAACATCATGTGCTTATAACATGCTTTTCTGTTTTTTTTTTTTTTTTTCCTTTTTGGAGACAGAGTCTCACTCTTTTGCACAGGCTAGAGTGCAGTTGTGTGATCACAGCTCTTTGCAGCCTTGAACTCCTGGGCTCATGCAATCTTCCCACCCCAGCTTCTGGAGTAGCTGAGACTACAGGTGCATGCCACCATAACTGGCTAATTTTTGTTTTTTTTTTTTTGTAGAGACGGGGTCTTGTTATGTTGCACAGAGTCGTCTTGAACTCCTGGGCTCAAGTGATACTCCTATTCTGGCCTCCCAAAATGCTAGGATTACAGGTGTGAGCCACCTTGCTCAGCCTAAAATGTGCTTTTCAATGAACACAGAGGCATTCTATTTTTTTTTTTTTTTTTGAGATGGAGTCTCACTCTATCACCCAGGCTGGGGTGTAGTGGTGTGATCTTGGCTCACTGCAACCTCTGCCTCCTGGGTTCAAGCAATTCTCCTTGCCTCAGCCTCCTGAATAGCTGGGGTTACAGGCGCCTGTTACCATGCCTAATTTTTGTATTTTTAGTAGAGATGGGGTTTCACCATGTTGATCAGGCTGGTTTTGAAATCCTGACCTCAAATGATCTGCCTGCCTCGGCCTCCCAAAGTGCTAGGATTACAGGCATGAGCCACTGTGCCCAGCCCCATTTGTTTTTTTTTCAAGCCAGGCTTCATCCAGAAAAAAGAATCTGTATCATCCTTGCTTCATCTATAGAAATATAATATAAATAAATTTAGCAAGTGATATTTCCTCAAACTTGTTTCCTCTTTCCTCCTATTATCTCTACTCCGATTTCCTTCTACTGTGCTTTTTCTATTTTCTTAAATATTTATGAATCTCATTGTTTCTTTCTCTCAACTGTATGTTTTAAAGTTTCATCTAGTTTTAAAGATCTCACCATTGTTACTCCCATTTCATTTTTCTTATTTGCTCTATTTACCAGTGATGGATATTTAGCTAGGCTATCTCCAAATCCCCACTACTACAAACTATGCAGCTACAAAGATTATATCCTCAAAGATCTGTTTAAAAATTCCTCTGAGTGCTGGGTCAGAGGGATTAAACACTTCTGATTTAATTATTGACTGGTTTACAGAATGACAATATTAGTTTACACTCACATCGTAAGTACACAGATATCTACACCATACCCAATACTTGGCATCAGAAAACTTTTAAATATTTGTCATTTTGATGGGTGAAAAATTGTATCTCATTTACTTTCATTTTTTTCTGATTACTAGTGAGTTTGTCTATCTTCTCATCTACCTGTTAGCACTTAGCTACCCTTTATTTAAATTGTCTGTTAGTATCTTTTACCTATTTTTTTAAAAGCTATTGTTCTTTGTTTCTGTTAACTTTTAGGAGTTCTTAATATATTACAGGTATTATTCCCTTTAGGTTTTAAAAGTTCCAAAGCTGACATCTGACTTTTAACTCTGTGTATAGTTCTTTTAACAGAAATCTTTAATTCTGATGTAATCAGATCTACTAAATTTGAACATTATGTTCTATGATCCCTATGATGTAGTTATTCTCCAAAATTTCTACTATTCACATTTATTTATTTATTTATTTTCAGATAGAGTCTCACTGTGTCACCGAGGCTGGAGTGCAGTGGCACGATCTTGGCTCACGGAAACCTCCGCCTCCTGGGTTCAAGTGATTCTCCTGCCTCAGCCTCCCGAGTAGCTGGGACTACAGGTGTCCACCACCATACCAGCTAATTTTTGTATTTTTAGTAGAGGTAGGATTTCACCATGTTGGCCAGGCTGGTCTTGAACTCCTGACCACTCAAAGTGCTGGGATTACAGGCATAAGCCACCATGCCCAGCCTACTATTCACTAAATATAAGTGAATATTCACTAAATATAAGTGAATTCATTAAATATAAGTGTTATATTTCTTATTTAGGTCTTTAATCCTTCAAGAGTTAGCCTTTGCATATAAAGTTGAAAGTAGGGATCTAGCTTTTTTTTCCAAATAGCCAGTACTCCTACTAAATCTAAATAATCATCTTCTTTAAGCAACCTCACTACCTAGTTGTGCCACATCATATACCAAGTTGTCAAATATACATGAATCTTTCTGAGATTACTAGTTTATACCAATCTATTTGCCTTTCTTTTGCTAGCATTATGTTGTTTTTATTAGTATAATTTTACAGTAACTCTCATTTACCTTGTAGGTCTAGTGTTCCTTCCTTCCTCTTTCTGTCAAAACTGACTCAGCTAATTCTGGACCTGTATTGGTCTATGCTAACTTTAAAATGAATTTGTCAAGTTTCTAGGAAAAAAAAAATTTTGAACAGGAGACACTGATGTGCTTTAAAGAAAACAGGCATTACTAGGTTAAGCCATATATCACATAACAATCTTTTATTTTCTAATAAACTTAGATTTTTTTTTTCCCATGAAGGTTTTATGCGTTTTTAATTAAGTTAATTTTTGTTAGACTATTTTCTAAGTGGGTTTCTCATGATAAATGGCAGGGGTTAGAAATTTATGGCTCACAGGCCAAATCCAAGCTTGCCATCTACTTACAAAGAAAGCTTTATTGGAACACAGGCATTGCCATGTCTTGACATGATGTCTAAGGCTGCTTTCATACTACATCAGCAGTTATAGTTATGACAGAGACCATATGGCCCACAAAGCTGAAAACATTTAAAAAAGATTGCTGATCTCTCGGTATAGAAAAAACAACTGCTTTTTATAAATTAATCTTATATTAGACAACCTTGCTGAATTTTCTCAGTTCTAGTAGTTTGCTGTTTTGGATTTTATACAAATGACTATATCATATACGAATAGTGAACTTTATTTCTTCTTTCTTATCTTCTCCTCTTACTTAAATTGTGCTCAAAATTTCTCAATGAAATGTAACTTTTGCTATAGACTTGAGGTGCACAGGATGTATCAAGTTAGAATTTCCCTTTATTCTTAGTTTTCTGAGAATCTTTTCATACATAGGTGCAGATCTTTTTCTGTATTACAGTAAATTATTATTTGGCAATTTATGACATATTACTGCATAGTATTTCTTAGATTTTATAGGGAATGGATATTTAACTTTTCTATGCTTTAGTATATGGCATCCTTATTCAACTAGTAGATCCAGTGAAAAATAGGACTCTTAATTGTACTTTTGTCATCTCTAGTACAGCACCTGTATTCACCAATATTTATTGCATGAGTATGGTGTGTTGGGTATTACATAGGGAATTCTGTTTTCTTTCACACAAAGCCAAGTACTAAAGTTGTTGGAATAAATAAAAATGATATTGTGCTATTAGGGAATAAAAGAAAATATAAAATTAGTCATCTTTTGGGCAAAAATCAGTCATTTTAAGTAGAAAAGATTTCTCAATCTTTAGAACTCATGGGTTTTTTTTAATATTAATCCACAAACAATTTTGTAATTTCAAAAATAACTTAAAGATATAGCAAGTACATAGCAATCTAAACATTTAGGAAACAACAGTGGTTCTGCTTTGAAGACTAAAAGTAAATGTTCACAAAAAATATTCCTATCTAAACCTTCATCAGTTATGAAATCTCCATAATTCAACCCACATGCTTTTAATATTAACATCTTCTTAAAAGTTCTACTTTTATACTAAGTTCTACCCTTGTACTGCATCCAACTAAGTAGGGTAAGAATAAAAATCACCTCCATGTAATTAACATATTTAGGTGCCTTCTCATGATATTTTTAAATGGGAAAAAAAAATTTCACGTAAGATAAAAAAGGATAGAAAACCACTTATAAAAGGTACATTGTAGTTTTATTTTATTTATTTATATTTATTTATTTTTTGGAGAAAGTCGCATTCTGTTGGCCAGGCTGGAAGTACAGCAGCACGATCTCAGCTCACTGCAACCTCTGCCTCCTGGGTTCAAGTGATTCTCATGCATCAGCCTCCCGAGTAGCTGGGATTACAGGGATGCATCATCACTCCTGGCTAATTTTTGTATTTTTAGTAGAGATGGGGTTTCACCATGTTGGCCAGGCTGGTCTTAAACTCCTGACCTCTTGATCTGCCTGTCTTCGCCTCCCAAAGTGCTGGGATTACAGGGATGTGCCACTGCACCCGGAGGGCATTGTAGTTTTAAATCAAATAAAGTAGCAGATTTTTTTATTCACTTGGTTAAAATGTACTAAATTGTTATTAGTTTTTTAAAAATATCATTATTTTAAGAATTTCAAAATATATGTTCACAATCCCTTATCAGAACATGTGAAATTCCAAAGCTCCAAAAACTTAAAAATTTTTTCACAGTTCATTTGGTGGCAACCTAACCTGAACTGATATAATGCTATTTATAGTCCTTATTTATCCCACTTAGTGTGAATATTTGCTGAAAAAATATTAATGTGTTTGATTATAAAGAAGTGTCCTTTTGCAGAAACAGAAACATTACAGTAATGGAGGGACATGTACCATATTACTTCTTAGAGCTTTGAGAAGTCTGTATATTTAAACACAACTGGCCTTGTGTTTTGATAATGGAGTGTAGATCTATTAGTTCTAAAACAGATAAAAAGATTCCTAATTCTTCTTTCATTTACCCTCAAAAATACCTCATATACTCCTCTACCTCTATTTGTTCTTTTTTATTCTAAAACTTTTCATTTGAATAAATATATTACTTTCACATCAGATTCATTTTGATAAAGAAATATTTTAAGATACTTTTAAAAACCACGAAAAAGCTTCAAGAAATTAAACAAATGTTTAATGATTTGACTGTATCAGACAACGCAACTTTCTCATTTATACCATACATTTATACTATGCCTTAAGATATTTGAATTGGAGGCTTTTAAAATAGTAACATATTAATTAAGAGCAAATTTAGATAGCTTGTATACTAAGAACAAAATACTCAAATATAAACAAGGCATGAATTTCTGCAATACACATCTAGGTTCTTCTATCATTGTGGATTTGATTATCTAGCATCAAGGGCTTCAAAATCATACAATAAGCCATAAGAAGTGGGAGCACTTACTTAGGAGTAGAAGGACCCCTTGGCCATGTTCCATCTTCATTTTTCTGTTCTATCACTAATACCTGCAAATATGACACAATAAAAGGGTGTTTTTCCATAACTCTGAAGTTAAAATAACTTTAGAAGATAGCTGGATAAACTAAGAAACTAAAGTAACTCTGTGATTATTTAAAGGAAAACAGTAGACAAGGTGAACAGGTAATCTGCATTTCGATTCCAAAGCTAGGCAGGTGAGACTAAAAGACCTCAAATAACAAGAAATCAGTAATGATAGTGAGAAGGAATCCTAGAAGATAAACTGTAAAGAAACTATTGGTTCCATTAAGTATAAGAAAACTTAAACCAAGTAAACAGAATATAAATTCCTTGAATTTAGAGAATATATTTTCTATTTGTATTTGTAGGTTGAACAGAGAACTCTGTAAATAACAGATGGTCAATAAATGTTTGCAGTTGTTAAACATACTTACATAGGATCTTGGGTAACTTATTTTTATGCAAATGCAGACGAAGGGCGACACAGATAATTCCAAATTACAGATTATGTAGAATTTATTTGGGGTTTTGAAATTAGTGTGTATTTACATTATCACAATGGAAATTATAGAATCTTTAAATATACAAATGATAGAGTCCCATTTATGAGAATCAGACTGAAGTTCTCTGTTACAGCATGGATGAGGCAGACAGAAATCACCTCTAATAAATAAAAAGTATAGGCTTAGGGAGAGCTATACTTTATTTTAAAACACCCGAAAATCTTTCCTTATATCGTCCAGTCTAATAAGTCTTTCTAGTTTTTGCTATGGATTAGTCTGTGCAAAGAAGAAAAACTTAGCAAAAATAATTAAATTAGCAAAGGAAATATACGATAATACCAATAAAAAGTTAAAATCTACAATTTCCATTGAAAAACTGTAATACAGACAATATGACGTGAAATAAATCCAAGGCATTATAAATTTGAATACATTTCATTTACTGTTTCATTAAGTCTTTTTCTTAAAGTTGCAATTTCATAAACTACTCTACATGCACTTAGTAATATATTTTTGTGAACTATATGTTTCCAGGTCATTTATAAATTGGCATTTAGAGCCTAGCTATGTAAAATGTAAGCATGTTTCAGAGTATATGTAACAATAAAATGTTGATTTTAAAAAAATTCATGAAATCTTGTTGTTAAAAGAGATGCTAATTAAAATATTAAAGTTAGCTTTAAAAAATCTATTATTTCACACATTAAAAAGTGTATTTGTACCATATAAAAAATAAATGTACCATGTACCTAATATACTGATCCCTTCCTGATCACCTTCCTCTCCCTACCTACTAGAGACAAGTAATCACTGTCTCAATTTTCTGATTTTCATTCTGATATAGTTTTATAAATTTATGAAGATTTACAAAGTAGAATTTAGAGAGTGATTTTTCACTTCTCCAGAATGTTTTGCTTTACTGCAATTTATACAAGAGTAACAGTTACATATTAACTATATGTATAAATATACATATAAACTTTACAATCATTTGAGGACTTAAATCAGTTTTAAAACAAGAGATTTTAGCTATAGAAGATTTCAAAGTTATGCATTTAATATAATTATTTAACCATAATGCCTTAATTCCTAACAGTATTTATACTTAAAATTCCATGTTTTAAAAACCACAAATACTAATGCTGAAGACCATCAGAAAGATTAAAATTCAGTCCTTTATTCAAGTGCATCATTTTCTGCATAAAATTTTGTTATAGTTAAAACTTTAACTCCAAATAAAAATATTTTTGAAAAGATTTCAAAATTAAAATTAAACCCACACAAAAAGGAGAGAAGAAATGCTTCACATTTTGGGAGGCAAACTCTTCAATAATATGTCTTTGTTTTATTTTCTAGTAAGGATACTTTCAATCTAAGTATTAAAAAAAAAAAGGTCCAGGAGAGGGTTTATGTCACTTATCTTCTCTGGCTGAAGAATTATTATAAAGTCTGAAAAATTTAATGACTATTCTTTGAAACATTCCTGTTTTTAAAGGTCAAGTCCTTAAGGATACTTAATCTTATTAAATTATTTTCTCATCTGCCATCTGATAAATACATACCTATCAAGAACATCAAATTATTTAACTTCTCTGAGTCTCAGTTTTCTAATGTACACGATGAAAAGAGTAACACTCATTTCAGAGGATTGCTGAAAAGGTTTAAATAAAGAATTCTATAGATTTCAAATTGTACTTTTGGAGCTACCTCAAGGCCTAATGGATGAAAACCAAGGAGAGAGGTTATGTCTACTGGAAGACAGAAAGAGAGAGCTGGCTACATAAAAGGGCGGTGTTGGCTAATCAGTGGATTTCCAAGGTCCACACTTCAAGCTTCTATCAGCTTCATTTCCCTTTTAACTGTAATACATATTGGATTTTGTAAGATTTCTCTTAAGAATATAATGACTAAAATAAATCTGAAAACCACTGTATTTTGACAGCCTAGTACAATTCTTGACATATAGTGGGCATTTACTAAAAATTAATTTCCCTCACTTTATCTGAATTTTTCCACAACTCAGAATCATATTATTGATGTTAACAGTAATTTTTAAACAAAACAAAAAAATCTTCCATTTATCAGAGCACCGGGCATGTTAGGTTCTGAAAATAAAAATAGGGTACAAAGTCTAACCAAAACAAGGACCTCATAGTCTGGGGAGATTAAAATACAAATAACTAAAGCATATAATGAACGATACAAAACAAATATACATACATCTTTGTGGAAGTTAAGGAAGCAATTCTTTTCTCCAAAGTAGAAACATCCTATACCTCAATGGACATTGAGAGAAATAGGGAAGGCTGAATAGATGATGTGACAGTTGAGCTAGAACCTGAAGGATGAATAATCTGATACGGCTGGCCTACATGATGGTATGGGATGGTTAATTTTATTATATGGATGGTTAAAAGGACTTTTTGCTGGATGAATACAGGGACTCCAAAGACGTTTACATCATCAGGCAGATGGAATAACACATCAGAAAGCACAAGAATATGGAATAGCATAGTGTGTTCAGGGAACTATAAGCAGCTCAGTTTGGTACTGCTTGAGTATAAACCACAAAACAAAGATAATCTAGAGATGGTGGAAGAGTAGGTACAAGGTTAAACCATAACTTGCATGCTGGCTTAAAGTGCCTGGACTTAATTATTAAGGAACCAGGAAAAGTTTATGAAAGGAAGACAGTGAAGTTTACATTTTAGAATGAGTATTCTTGCAAAAACAAGACTGTCCTATGGTTATCTGCTAATAACAAAAAAACAAAGGAAGAAAGATTGAACAGACATACAAGAGCCTGGAGATACAGGAATTTGTAAAGAGACTATGAAAGATAAGGGCTGAGAATGGAGCACAGAGATTACTTCAAGACACAGTTAGAAGATAGAATCAGTAGGACTTGCTGACAGTGACTAAACCTCTTCATTTCTCAATACTTTATTAAAAAAATACCGGCCGGGCACGGTGGCGCACACCTGTAATCCCAGCACTTTGGGAGGCTGAGGCGGGCAGATCAAGAGGTCAAGAGATCGAGACCATTCTGGCCCATCCTGGCCAACATGATGAAACCCCATCTCTACTATAAACACAAAAATTAGCTGGGTGTGGTGGCACATGTCTGCAGTCCCAGCTACTCAAGAGGCTGAGGCAGGAGAATCACTTCAACTTGGGAAGCAGAGGTTGCAGTGAGCCGAGATTGCATCACTGCACTCCAGCCTGGGCAACAGAGTGAGACTCCGTCTCAAACAAACAAACAAAAAAGCCAAATTGGGAGCTGACACCTTTCAACAAGGGCTGGCAAACTAGAGTTCACTTAGCCTGCTGCACATTTATATAAATAGCTTTATTAGAACATAGCCATACTCATTTATTCATGTATCATCTATGCTTGTTTTTGTGTACTACAATGGCAATGTTTTAGATGCTACTTTATGGCCTGCAGAGAACTGTAATTTGTAATAAAGAACTGTGTAAATAAGAGATGCTCCATATATGTTTACTATTTGGTCTTTCACAGAAAGTTTGCTGACCCACCTTATAATATTAGCTGGGATTTTTTTCTAATTAAAAATGATTTCTTTTTAACAAGTAGATTATTCCCAAGCTCAAGGAGGGAATCAAAAGTCAGAGTCAGTAACCAGCAAGGAAAGACAAGAGATGAGTTTAGAAAGAGGAAGCCAGAAACAGTACAGCCCATTATATATTGCCAGGATAATTATTAAAGTTTGTGAATCCAAAAACCTTCATGTATAATACAGTATGCTTAAAATAAACAATACCTGTCCTTGGTATAAACCAGCATCCTGAATGGTGCTGTCTGGTTTATTCAGTGGTTCAAATGTGTTACTCATGTATTTGTTCCACAATCTGGTCTCCTTTTCATCTGGAATACTGAAGATTTTTCTTATTTCCTTTTCAATTGTATCTAGATTTAAGGAGGAAAGATATATAAATATAGTATGTATTTCAAAATATACCACATACAGCTAAATGTTACCAGCACAAAAATTCTTTAAAATACTAATAGAAAATCAAGACTAAATATGTAATAAATCTATAAAACACAAACCAACAAAAGGGTTTTTAAGACCAAGTTTTTATGGAAAAAATGGTATTTGTACTCCAACAAATTACTTGGGGAATTTAAAATCTCAAAAGGTAAGAGTTCAATCACCTAACACTAAAATACAATTTATGCTACACAGGATAAACTTTAAATTTTAACATACTATAATTCAAATATTTTCTGAGGAGATGTAGGAATTAGAAATTAAAGTATGATTAAGAGATGTTACAGATTTTTTTTAGTGTGCAAAATTTTTTAAGTACCACATAAGCAATTTAAAAATAATTTATATTAAACTGAACAGCTCACTAGAATATATGGACACAATAAAAAAGAAAGTGCCTTGTTTGAAGGGATGTCTGTATTCACCAAAATTTAGTATTTTCAAAGTAAAGTCACGTCTTTTTCTGATTTCTAAATCAATTTACTGAAATTTCATCTAGTTCTGGTCAATAACTTGCCTAATCAACTCAAGAAAATAGTAATCAAAATATTTTATGATATATGAATACAGAATACTTTTAGATTTTAGAATAGTTGTAGTTTTGAAAAAATTTATAAAATATTAAACTTAATAATATACGTTCTCCGAAGAAATATGAAAACCCACATCTATCCTACATAATTTAGTCCAATAATACTATCTACTTAGCAGCTAATGTTTTGTAATAGTCTTGTAGTCAGTAAGGTTTTGATAAGGGCATTAAATCAGTAGGAAAAAAAGGCACTAATTCAAAATATCAACAGCGTTATCTCAAAACTTAAAGCAAATCACCCAGAATATTTAAATAATTACATAAAATAAATATACTGTTAGTACTTGTATTAGTCTGTTCTCACACTGCTATAGAGAACTACCTGAGACTGGGTAACTTATGAAGAAAAGAGGTTTAATTGACTTACAGTTCCATGGGCTGTACAAGAAGCATGGCTAGGAGGCCTCAGGAAACTTACAATCATGGTGGAAGGCGAAGGGGAAGCAAGCACATCTTATCATGGAGGAGCAGGAGAGAGTGCGAAGGGGGAAGTGCTACACACAAACAACCGTATCTCATGAGAACTCATTCACTATCACAAGAACAGCAAGGGGGAAATCTGCCTCTATGATCTAAACACCTCCCAGCAGGCACCTCCTCCAACACATGGGGGATTACAATTTGACATGAGATTTGGGTGGGAACACATAGCCAAGCCTTATCAGTACTGCTTTCTACTTTGGCAGGGTTGTATTTTTTTCTTTTTGTTCTTTTTATTAAAGTGAACATGTATACAGAAACATGCACTAATCATCAGTATCTTGTGATAAATTTCCAAAGTGGACACACCCATGTAAATTGCACCAAGATCAAGAAACAAAACATTACCTAGAAAGAGGATAAAGGAAGAAGCCAAGGAAGGGAGCTGTTTTAATCTTTCTATAAAAATGAATAAATGTTTCCTGAGGGCAGAAATAATTTTTGCTTTTGGCAAAAATACCAAAAATACTGACAAATATAAATAAAATGTCTACCTAGATATAACCACTGTTGACATTCTGATATTTCTTCTAGATGTTTTTTCTATTAATACAGGCATCTGTGTACATAACATGTTATAAACAAATGTGGAAATTTCCTCTTCATTGAGTTTTGTGATCTAATTTACATATGGGGGAACATTACAGGCATAGGGGTAGTAACGCAAAAGCCTTGAGGTGCAAATGTGCTTGGCATGTTTTAGAATAGCCTGATACATCAATGTGGCTGAAGTAGAATAAGTGAGGTAGAAATGAGACTATAAAGGTACTTCTGTAGGATTATATACACTTCTGTGACCTATCAAAGTATTTATATTTTAATCTGAGCAAAAGAGAAAGCTATTGAGGAGTTGGGAAGAGAAGTGGCATGATATGACTGACATTTTAAATGTTCACTTTTGCTGGTAGTGAAGAACACTGCAGAAGGTCTGATAAGGTTTGGCTCTGTGTCCCCACCCAAATCTCATGCCAAATTGTAATCCCCAGTGTTTGAGGAGGCACCTGGTGGGAGATGACTGGATCATGGGGGCAGATTTCCCCCTTGCTGTTCCCATGACAGTGAGTGAGTTCTCATGTGATCTGGTTGTTTGAAAGTGTGTAGCACTTCCCCCTTTGCTCTCTCTCTCTTGCTATGCCACGGTAAGATGTGGTTGCTTCCCCTTTGCCTTCCACCATGACTGTTAAGTTTCCTGAGGCCTTCTAGCCATGCTTCCTGTACGGCCTATGGAACTGTAAGTCAATTAAACCTCTTTTCTTCATAAATTACCTAGTCTCCAGTAGTTCTTTATAGCAGTGCGAGAATGGACTAATTCAAGGTCAAAGGTGGGAAACTAGGTTACTGCAACAATCCTAACCAAAGTGGTAGCAATGGAAGCAGTGTTAAGTGGTCTGACTGAGAATAAATTCTGAAGGAATTGCTAAGAAGATATGCTGCTAGATTACATGAAGGGTGAGAAATAAAAGAATCAGAAATGATTTTTGGCCTAAGCAATTGGAAGAGCAGAAGTGGGAATTATGGAGATAAGGAAGAATGACAGAGCCTAAGGTTTTTTGGGAAAGGGAGCTTAGTTTTATATCTGATAGTCTTCTTGAGAAGCCTGTCAGATATACAAATGAAGATATGGGATAGTTCAAACTGGAATTATGGGAGACTTCAGGGCAGGACCTATCAACTTAAAAGATATCAACACATGGAAAATATTTAAAGCCAGGAGAACAAAAGAAATCACCAAGGAAAGGAGGGCTGGGAGAATATGGAGACACTGATATTTTGAGATAAAGAATATGAAGAAGGTTTTACAAAGGACTCCAACAAGATGCAGCCAGTGAGAAACTGTGCCCAGGAAGCCAAGTGAAGAGAAAGTGCTTCTAGATAGAAAAGTAGTTTATCTGTGTTGTACTTTGCTGGCAGGTCAGGAAAATGGAAGATTTCTATATTACCACTGGATTTGTCAATGGCAAGGTCATGAGAGACTATGACAGTAGTAGTACCAACAGAGTGGTAGGTTTCGATGTCTCATGTAGTGGGCTCAAGAGAAAATGGGAGCAGAGAAAGTGGTGGCCAGAATGCAGGATGCTAAAATTGAGATCTGGCAAGTGCAGTTACAGATAACAACAGCCTAGGGTTTAACTGTAATAATTGGTGGCTGAGCTTGGCTGATGGTTGAGATCACTGAAGTTGAGAATGGTCAAAGGACTGACAGTGTGTGCTTATTTTTCCACATATTAATTCAACTGTACTAGCCAGTTAATGAAAAGCATACAGAGGTAGAAAAATAATACAGGTTACTCACAAAAATTAGAAATTAAAAAATATTAATACAGGTCATAGAAATTAAATCATATTTTTCAAGAAGTTTTATGTTTTTGGTAGTTAATCTTAAAGGAAAATAAAACTATTATTTTATCTCTTACTTAAACATGCTCAATGCTCAAATATATCAATTTTGGCAGAAAACATTTGAAGGCAGAAGATTTTGGCCCTGATAGGTAAATCATTTAGATATGGCCTATGGCCTGCTATCATTTTTACTATATATCAGTGTAGGTAGTACTAGCTGAAAACAGAATATTTTATTAATTTGGTAACAAGAGAAAACAGACACTTATATTTCCTAAATCTGTTCATAAAATTTATACAGCTGTATTTCACATACATAGCTATTTTAATCATTTTCAATCAAGATTTCTTAAAAGACCATAAGGGAAAAATACATATCCATCTTAAGTTCCTTATGTAAATTCTGTGTTTCAAAACCCACTTCCTTTAGAAAAACAAAATCAGCCCAGTTAATATCTCCAAAACGAATATTCCTTTAGCATACACAGATTGTGTAAGGCAGCAATTGAGAGATGAGACTCTAGTTTAAGAGCTCTGCTTATGAAGTTAAAGTACTAGCTCTACCACTTGGTACCAGGGTGAATTGAAGTAGATTCTAAATCTCAGCTTCATTATCTATAAGAGGAAGATACCTGCTTGTTTAACTTCAAACAAGAAAATTCCTGTAAAGTGCTTAAAACATAGTAAATATTCAACAACTGTTAACCTGTACTATAACCATAACCATGAAGTGTCTAAAATTCCTGACTTGACTAATTTTTGCAAACCTTTTTGCTTAAGAAGAAGACTCATTCTACCACAGACTTTCAAATTTTTTAAACTAAGAGCTATAGTAAGAAATTGTGACCCAGGAAATAAACATATATGTTGATATTTTGTATTCTAATATCTCCCATTCAATTTTCTTTACTCCCAAAACTGTTTAATGAACCACCAAAATATCAACAATCCAGTTTGAAAAACAATGATTTAATACAGTAAAAAATTATAGCTATGCAAAAATTGGGTTCATATATAATGTTAAAGTACATATCCAATTTATCTAGCATTTTAAAGTATTAGTATATATGTTGATTAAAATCTATGCTAGATTGTAAACTTTTTGAAGCAGTGATCCTTTATAAATTACATATCTTCGTGACAAATTCTTACACAGTTCTTATCATGAGAACCCATAATTCTTGTTTTGAATTCAGAAATTAAATCAGTTGCTGATTTTCCTGAGTTTCAAAATACCTAGTATAATAATGTTCTAAAATAATATCTCTGATGGTCTCATATTTAATTTTCCTATCAAAATGAGGCAGGGAGAGAAGAAAATACCAAACTTTAAAAATAACTAGAAAACATTATTTTAAGAGGTAGCTTCTCATTTATATTCCAATTGGCTATAAACTTCAGAGACGACTCTCTGAATTAATTTTAACAGACTACCCTTATTAAATTTATAGACTCTTCTCATGTACATATTCATATGATTAAAATAATTTTCATATGTTGAAAACTTTGTTTTTAATATGTAGAAATATCTTATTTTCCTGAATATATTCTACAAATGTGGAAATTCAAAAGTCAAGCAATTTATCTGTAATAATAATTATAATAAAACTTACATATGAAATTCCTTATCTTTTAAGCATTCATTTTAGAAAGATGACTCTATGGGCTTTTTTTTTTTTTTTTGAGATAAAGTCTCACTCTGTTGCCAGGCTAGAGTACAGAGGTACGGTTTCGGCCCACTGCAACCTCCACCTCCCGGTTCAAGCAATTTTTTTGCCTCAGCCTCCCAAGTAGCTGGGACTACAGGCGCACACCCACTACACCCGGCTAATTTTTGTACTTTTAGTAGAGATGGGGTTTCACCATGTTGGCCAGGCTGGTCTCGAACTCCTCACTTCAGGCGATCCACCCGCCTGAGCCTCCCAAAGTGCTGGGATTACAGGTGTGAGCCACTGCGTCCGGCCAACTATCAGCTTATTGAAACTTAATCTCGAACTTATAAATGTTCTAGCTAAATGAAGAGGGGAGAATAAAGATTCATAACATAATGCTGTATTTTATTTGGTGCAAACATTAGGATTAACCAAGCACTGAGTACTTGAATAATGCTACTATTTCATAAAAAATACGGGTTAAAAGGATTTTCCAGCTGTGAAGTGGGTAAGTGGTGAAAGAAAGCCAAATGCAGTTAATGAAATTCAGAAATACTTTCATTTACTTTAATGACTGGTTCCAACAAGGAAATCTTATGCCACGCTATAATTCATAAATTGGCTAATCTGTTTCCAAGCTGGGTTCTACAAGTTATGTGTCCTTCTTCACTGTTCATTTGTATTTTCTAAGATCAATGGTATTACCATTAATCTTGTTTTACAACTTCATTTGAAATTAAATACTTTAAAAATTCTTGAGTTTTATGAAACAAAAACCATGTAATTTTTATTAAATTCATAATCATTTATTTTAAAAAACATTTTATTCAATCTATTCTTTACCTAAAATTAAAAATGTGTCTTTTAAATAGAAAGAAAACAATTTATATATATTTTAATATATAGAGAGAATTAAGTCCACTTATATTTGACTTACAACTGCTTACGCTACTCATTAATTTGAAAAATCAATGTGTCAAAATAACGCTAAGCCTGCTGCCTTGGCTACTTGACTGTATTTATAGTACCAAAGAATAAACTAAGAGAAAAAAGGAAATAACCAATTGTCATTTTCCATGCTACCTTACCAAGTTTTAATTAAGTTTTTATTTAAAGGTCTATGTTACAAATGACACACCAGTTGCTAAATAAAAACAATAATTATTTGATGTTTTATAAAAAAGCAAAACAGCACAAATGTTAAAATTCATTTAATAAATGCAAAAGCATACAAGAAACAATAAATAATTTAACTCTAAGACATTGTATCAAAGCTGGAAATCAAATGTCTATATATAAATCCTTAAAATGGTTATCATCCAAGTAGCATATACAAAGATAATTCTAATTAAATATCTAATAGCAATGGATTAAAAACAAGACAGGATCTTGCATTACCTATTGTGTCAGCTTTGCTAAATCTTCGAGTTACAACATTATTCATGTTTCCATTTTCACATAGCTTCAATTCTGTGAGATATACTTCTACTTTGCAGTGCTTTACAAACATACCCTGTTCAACCACCTAAAATAATGAAACAAAACAAATCAGTGTCACCTATATCAATATATTTCACTCTAATAACAATACATTTAAAGAGACTTTAGAAAACTGCAGATCTCCAGTGAAAAACCAGTCACTATTAAAGCCTGCCAATATATATAAAAAAAGATATTGGATAGTTAAAACTTCAAAAGCAAGAAAACTTTTTGGAAATTTTGATATTTAAAAGAAAGAAATAATCATGATTTTAAAACATTAAGTGACAGTTTGGAAAGGCATTCTATTGATCTATGAAGATACACTAGTACACCATAAATAATTAATATTCAGTATTTATAATGAGAAAGATTACCCAAAATGACTATGTGCAAATATATATGTACGTTCTCTGTTTATACATTATAATACAAATAAACAGAGTTCTGATTGAAGATACAAACATACTTCTTAGCTTTTAGTAGTGATCCCAAGCAGAAAACCTTTAAAAAGTTGTTTATACAATTTGAACTTAATGGCTATATTATCACTGTTATGTTAAAATATATCTATTAAAATGATAACTCCAAATCACTGTTGCCAAAATATCCAGCTATGGCTAGGTAACTGATATGTTAGTTTCACCCTACAGTGACTTACTTTGTTTGACCTTTAACTACACACTTAGTAATTCTATGCAGCAATTAAAAGAAAGCTGTTAAGCATGCAAGCCATAAAGCATAAAAAGGAAATATGTATATATTAAGGTCACCTTTTAAATAAGTATAATTCCTTTCGATCTTCTAAAGGTTAACTGTAGGATTTCAGTCATGAATACTGTTTCTGAAAATAGTAATAGGCCTGATATGTGATCCATTAGACAAATATGGCAAAAGGGAGGCTCCAAATGACCGTTGGGATATACTCACAAGCTTACATCAATTCAAAAGAGGACTTTACAAACTTGTCTTTCACTGCATTGAAAAAATTCAAATGCAGTTCATCTAGTATTTACTATCTAATCCAACACACATTTTTATGATACTTTGTCATATATATTTTCTTAATCATACTTGTTACAATTTTTTTAAACAGGTAGCAGCCTGTACCTCTCCTTCTGCTAATAAATGTAATTTGTTTTGTAAAACCAATATGTTAAACTACTGAGATTTGTTTTAAACATCTTAGGCTGATTTACTTCATGGTTACAAATGTAGTAACATTTAATTTTATAAGATTACTTGTAGTTATATTTAAGTAGAGAAACAAGGAATCAAATATTCTTATCAGTCAGTAATTTCTATACTGGGGCTCAATAGCTGAGTAAAATCCTAAAATAAACTACATTAAAGTAGCTACTAATCACTGGTAGTAACTAAAACTAAGGTAAACTGCAGGCCTCATTTTTATGGAAGAAAAAGAAAAATGGAATGACCAACACAAAGCAGGAAAAGGAATAAGTATGGTTAAAAAACAAAACCCCCATTATGATTTATATTGAGGTATATACTTTCTAAATAGGCATAGTTTTCTAAAAATGAAAATACATTTTCATAATACTATAGATATTTTCCTGGAAAGAACCTGGTGACTTAACTGTCAGAGTTATTGTGAGATCTATGAAAACAAAATATCAAGAATATTTCAAAGTCCACACTACTGGGATTCAGAATTTTTCTCAACATTTTTTTCTTCTTTCCTACATTTTACATTGCTAAAATCTTCATCATCACTACTCAGAAAACTGCTACTATATTTATAAGATATTTATTTTACTAATTCCCAAAGTAGTGTATTAACAAGGTGTTGTTTTTAAAAATATGAGTTTGTTGTCAAACTATTTTTATATGAAAAGGTCATACTATATGTACTATTAAAGCTTGAAAATAACAGCACCATAAAAAGAAAAATAATTAGCACATTTACGAATCAATGTGTAATGGTCACATGTAGATTATTTGCTTATATAATCTCCTTCATATTTGTTTACATAAAATCTCCTTCCTACCTTAATTAAAAATGTATGCATTGAAAATGATGGTCATGAAGACTAACAGGAAGAAACAAGCTTATAAAAAAAGTATAGTTTTATTTACCTAATTATTATAACTATTAAAATATGTATTTGAAATAAGATCGGAAGGGGGATATTCAGAAGTGATAGTTATGTTTCAGTATTATAGATGATAGTTATAATGTTTACTCTAAGTGAATTATAACACTGTTATATTACCATAAATAAAAAGTGAGTACATGATGAAATCTGGCTCCTTGTCCAAAATGGAAGACTTATGGATATGTAAACATATTTTCATTAATTTATAACCATAATGAAGGCAAAGTCTCTTTACTAAGTATTTGAGCTACATATAAGTTTACAGAGGATTAAAATAAATAATTTCTATTTGTTCATTTTTTGCTGTGAATATTTAGGGTATTTTTTACAAGGCCATTAAACATATTAAATAAACCTAATATAGTCTACCCTTTATGTCTGTGTATGAAAAGTTTCATGGAAACTTTACCTTCATTCCAAGTATGCTCCCTCCCTGAAATGGGAAGAGAAATATAAGTAATTTCTAAAAAAATCTAGTACTATATAAACAATTTCATAATACCAGGCCTCTAACAGACTGACTTACTCTTTTGTAGAGCTAGCTTCATTCATTTTAAAAGCATTTATTGAGTACCTACATTTGGTGCAGATAAATTAGACCTAGATCCTGGAGCCTGAGTGAGAACAGATAACGGTGAAGACAGAGAAGTAGATAAATACAACAAAACTATGAAATCATAGTTCTTAATGTGTAAGAAACAAATCCTATGTATGTGATTTTCCATCCACAAATACTTCAGAATATTCAGAAACAAAGACTCAAACATAACCACAATACCATCATCACACCTAAAAAATTAAAACTAATCAATTAATATCAAATATCCAGTCAAAAGTCAAATTTTTCCTTCTGTCTCATTTTTAATGTATTGTTTGAATCAGGATCCAAATAAGGTCCATATATTGCCAATAGACTAATTCGTCTCTTAAGTGTCTTTTAACCTAGAAGTTCTCCATCTTTCCTATTCTTGTAATTTTTACTTTAGACCACTGCATAGATGGTGACATACACTCACTCTGAACAGGATGCAAACATCTAGTTGCTCCTTTTTTTGTGATGCTGGTAGACATTAAAGCCAATGCCTAGATCTAGTGATGGGCAAACTTATGAACTAAGTTTGGCTAAACTTAGGTTTAGATGGCTAAATCTACCCATCAATCTATTTTTGTATATAGTGCTTTACCGGAACACAACAACCCCCATTCATTTATGTTTACGGCTACTTTCATACCCAATTATTAATTATCTAGGGCTGCTTTTATGCCTAAATCAGCAAAGTTTAGTCATTTCAAAAGAAACTAAAGGGCGCATAAAGCTAAAAATATTTACTATCTGGCCCTTTACAGAAAAACATTAGTGACCTACTCCTTCTCCTACATCTTCAGCTTCTAGACCTTCAGGCTAGATCCATTAATTCATTAAGTCTTCTTTAATTTTACCCAGTAATGTTTCACAATTTTCAGTATAGAAAAACACAGTTCTTACTAGGTTTATTCCTAAGTATTTTGACCTGTAAATGTTATTTTAAAATTCAACTTTATTAAGAGACAACCTGTTGAAGTGTAGAAAATATTTATAAGCTATTCATCCAACAGAGGATTAATATCCAGAATATACAAGGACTCAACAACTCAACAGGTAAAAATCAATCCCATTTAAAAGTAGGCAAAGGACATGAATAGACATTTCTCAAAAGACAAATGAATGGCCAACAGGTATATAAAAATGTTCAACATCACTAATCATCAGAGAAATGCAAATCAAAACCACAATGAGATATCACCTTAACCAAGCCATAATGGTTATTATTAAAAAGACAAAAGACAACAGATGTTAGCGAAGATGCGGAGAAAAGGGAACACTTATACACTGTTGATGGGAATGTAAACTAGTACAGCCACTACAGAAAACAGTGTGGAGATTCTCAAAAATCTAAAAACAGAATTACCATTGAATCCAGCAATCCTACTACCGCATATCTACCCAAAGGAAAAGAAGTCAGTATATGAAAGGGATACCTGCACTCACATGTTTATTGTAGCACTATCTACAATAGCAAGATATGGAACCAACCTAGGTGCTCATCAATGGATGAATGGATAAATATTGTATATATATATAAACAATGGAGTACTATTCCGCCATTACAAAGAATGAAATCATGTCTTTTGAGCAACATGGATGAAGCCGGAGGTCGTTATATTAAGTGAAATAAGCCAGGGACAAAACGACAAATATCATCTGTTCTTACTTTTACGTGGAAGCTAAAAAATTTGATCACATGAAGTAAAGAGTGGAAAGATAGATAACAGACACTGGGAAGGATAAGGAAGGGAGCAGGGAAGGATGAAGGGAACTGGCTTAAAAGTACAAACATACAGTAAAATGGAATAAATTCAATGTTTGGTAGCAGAGCAGGGTGACTATACTTAACAAAAATGTATTGAATTTGGGTGAAGGACACCCAAAATACCCTGACTTCATTACTACTTATTATATATATGTAACAGATTTTCTCATGTACACCACTAATTTGTACAAATAAAAATAAACTTTATTTGTTGCCAATAAAAAACTGGTTTCCCTATACTGCCCTTATATCAGGCAACCTGTTAAATTTACCTATTAATTCTAATTGTTTACCAGTACATATTTTTGGAATTTTAAACCTGTAGAATCGTGCCTTCTAAAAACACTGACAGTCTTGTATCTTCTTTTACAAGATTCACTCTTTTAGTTCTTTTTACTATATTACCATACTGGCTAAGATTTCTAACACAGTTATTCTTGACTTGGGAAGAACTTTTAATATTTTACCAATAAGTACAATATTTACAGGCGATTTCTAGTCCTAGTTTTCTAGGAGTTTTTTTTTTTAAGATCATACATGGATGTTGAGCATCAAATGTTCTTTGTATCTCTATTGAGATTATTTTTCTCCTTTAGTCTGCTAAAATTATGAATGCTTTTCAAAGTTAAAATTGTATTCTTTGAAAAATATCCACCTTGGTCATTTTTGTCCTTTTTACATAATGCTGGATTTGTCTTGCTAACATTGTGTTTAGGACTTAAGCATCTATGTTCATGAGTGAGACCAGCCTGTAATTTTTCTTTCTTGTAATGTCCTTCAGGTTTTATGTCATGTTTATGCTAGCCTTATAAAATAAGTTGGGGAGTACTGCTTCTATTCTCAGAAAGAATCTGTGTGGTATTGGTTTATGGCTTCCCTAAATATTTGGTAGAATACACTGGTAAAGCTTTCTTGGCCTGAAGCTTTCTTTGTGGGAAGGTTTTCAATGACTCAATTTCTTTAATCACATAGGTGAATTCGAGTTTCCTATTTCTTACTGTATTGACATTTTAAAGTTCTGTTTGTCTAGAAATTATCCACTTCATCTAAATTTTCAAATTTACATAAAACTGTTCAAAACATAATCTTTTCAAAAAAGTCTTTAGACTCTGCTATGATGTTTCCTTTTTCATTCGCAATATAGGTTATTTGTGCCTACTCTCTTTTTATTCTTAAACAATCCTGCCAGGACTCATCTTTACTTTACTGGTCTAATTTCACTGCTCTCTACAATGACTGAATTTTGTTCATTTAATGTAGGTTTGTTTTCTATTTTGTTAATGTCTACATTATAATGTTTCTTCTTAAGTTCAATTTCCTTAACTTGTTGAGACAATAGATTTTCACTTTCTTTTCCAATATTTGCACTGAAGCTATAAAATTCCTTCTGAGAATTTCAGCCAATCTTTTAAGTTGTATTTTAATTATTATTCAGTTTAAAATATGTCTAATTTTCATTCTTCTCTTTGCCTCAAGGATTACTTAAAAGTATATTTTTCCATTTCTAGATAGTTGGGGGATAATCAGGTTATCTCTTTGTTACTGATTTTAGCTTAATCCCACTAATGACAGAAAATACAGTGAACAATTTCTATCATTTGAAGTTTACTGGAATTTTGATAACCCAGAATATGGTCAATTTTGCTTAAAAATTCCACTTAATAGAAATGTGTATTCTGCAATGACTAAGTACAATGTACATGTCAATTAGGTTATGGTGGTTAATCATGTTGTTCAAATCTTAATTACAAGCTCACTCATGTAGCTGTTGGCAGCCTCTGTTCCTCATTATGTGAGTCTCTCTATAGGGTAAGTTAAGGGCAAAGTTATGGCTTCGCCCAGAGTGAGTGATCCGAGGGGAGGGGATGAGGGAGGTATGTGCACTCCCAATAGAAGTACAGGCATCCATTAAGGACTAATCTCAGAAGTGACATACCACCACTTCTGCCACATGCTACTGACTGCATAGACCAACTGTCGTACAATGTGGGAAAGGATTACACCAGACTAAGGATTCTAAGAGGTCACAATCACTGGGGAGCATCTTTGAGGCTGGCTACCACAGTCTACCCCCTGGCCCCCAATGATTCACAGTTCCTTCCCCCAAAATACAAAATACACTCAGTTCTTCCAAAGGCCCCAACTAGTCTCAATTCATTTTAGCAACCTGGAGTTCAGAAATTTGTCATCTATAATTGACAAATTATAAATTTTCTATAAGCCTTTGAAGACATATATTCCGAGACCCCTAGTGGATGCCTGAAACTACAAATAGCACACTAATCCCTATATTCACTATGTTTTTTCCTTTACAAACATACATACCTATGACGAAGTTTAATTTATTAATTACGCACACTAAGAGATTAACAATAGCTAATAATAAAATAGAACAATTAGAACAATATACTATAATAAAGGTTATGTGTATGTGGTCTCTCAAGGTAGCTTATCATATTGTACTCACCCTTTTTCTTGTAATGATATGAGATGATTAAATGTCTACCTGATGAGAAGAGGTGAAGTGAATGATGTACATTGTAACGCTGCATTATGCTACTAATGCCCTTCAACAAAGCACTGTGACAGTAGATTGATAACCAAGATGGCTACTAAGTGACAAACGGGAAGGTAGTGTATAGTGTCCATGGGGAGGACATGGAGTGGGATGGCATCATGTTACTCAGAATGGTGCACAATTTAAAACTCACGAATTGTTTATTTCCAGAATTTCCCACTTAATATTTTTGGACCATGGTTGCTTGCAGGTAACTGAAATCGCGGAAAGCAAAACCATAGATAAGGGGGACTACTGTAGTGCCTCTTGATGTATAGGCCTGTGAACTAAGAGACAAGTTTTCTGCCCCCCATACACCCAAAATAAAACAATGAAGCACACAGAACATAGCCTTTTAAATATTCCTGTTTTGTAAGAGGGGAAATAGGACGTACAAAGGAATCAATGGTCCATAACGATTATGAAATCTACCTGGACAAATACTAGAAATTCCTTGACTGGAACTCAGTTCTACCCTTGCCTGAAAATTATTCTATCTAACATTTGGTTCTGTTCTCTGAGTCATCCTTTTTTCATGCATTAGCACATGCTTGAAGTTA
Organism: Homo sapiens; assembly: GCF_000001405.40. Taxonomy (NCBI): domain Eukaryota; kingdom Metazoa; phylum Chordata; class Mammalia; order Primates; family Hominidae; genus Homo; species Homo sapiens. The sequence continues at coordinate 62,307,250 of NC_000012.12, read as the reverse complement.
AGTAAATTTTCAGCCTGATTCCTACTTATTGGAGTTTGGGAGGTCAAAGGCGTCTTTCATTTAATACTGCTTCTGCAGTCCAAAATGGCAGTGGTTCTGCGAGGTAATTCGAAAACAATGTAGGTCTCCACTGGATCTTACTGGAGTTCATTCCATTAGACAAAAGCCATATCCACAAATGTTCTGTAGGATAAGTCCTCTCTACTTTGGCTTTATGCTGAGAAAGCTAAGGGGTTGCCCGTAAGCTTCTTGAAGCCCTCCTGTTCTTAGAAGCCACATATTGAGAAGACACCCTTAATATTAATTAATATTACTACTGACAGGACAACCTCTAAGTTAACCCTTAAATACTTTATAGGGCCTTTTGTCTGAATAGTACTGTGAGGCATGACCTTTGATTTTTCTGAGGTAACTTACAGTCACACCCTTGGCTGCCAGATTAGATCACACTTTTTTTCTGAGAATACTCTGAGTTTTATCTTTGCTCAGAAACACTGCTTAGTATTAGCACCGTTTGCCATCTGGAGGGACTAGGAATCTTCAAAACTAGTAAATATTGGCTCTGTTTTATTGAACAATCCTTTCTTTAGTGTATTTCTCTTCTCTCACATCTGACTATAACCAACACAAAAAGAAACTAGGCAGTACTTTTAACACTTTGGCAGACCTATAATTTCATTAAATACTATCTTTAACCTTTCAGTTTACTGCAGGCAACATGTTGCTAAACTTACTCTACCACTGTATAACAAAGACCACTTTCTACCAGTTTCCAGTAAGACTTTCCTCACTTCAAGTTCTCACTGGCAGCTATCTCAAAGTCTAGTAATCTACTAACGGTTTGTTTAAGGCCCTTTAAGCTTTCATTGATACTCTTAAAGTTCTGACAACCTCTATTCACTGTCAGCTCCAAAGCCACGCCACATTTCAAGTTTTCATATCAGCACCTATTTACAGGTACCATGATTAGTATTAGTTATCTATTGCTGCATAATAAATTACCCCAAAATTTACCAGCTTAACACAGCAAACATTATCTCACAATGTTTCTGAGGGTCAAGAATCTGGGAGCAGCTTAACTGGGTTGATTTGGTGTAGAGTTTCTCATGAGGTTGCTCTCAAGGTATGGCTGGGGTTTCAATCATCTGAAAGCTAAACTAGAACTAAAGGATCCACTTCCAAGGTCACTCACATGGTTGTTGCAGGCCTCCGTTCCTCTCTATTGGCCAGAGATCTCAGTTCCTCACCATGTGGGCCTCTCCATAGGCTGCCTGAGTGTCCTCGCCATATGCAGTTGAATTCCCCGAGTGAGAAATGAGAAAGAGAGACAGCTAGAGTGCGTGTGCACCCAAGATGTAAGCCGCGGTGTTTTTTTATAACCTAATCTCGAAAGCGATGTACCATGAGTACTGCTATATGCTATTGGCCACACAGACCAACCTCAGTACAACATGGAAGAAGAGTGCCCAAGAATATGGATATGAGGAGCTGGGGATCACCAGGGAACATAGTAGAGAATATTATCTTAACTTACATGCTAACACTATTGTGTAGTTAATTCTATACACATTTTCAACTCCATAAAAATTATTATTAATGTTTTCAACAGTCCATCTTAAGACTTACTCACAACATTTACATTTTGTCAGTCTACACTGTTTTCCTGCATCTCCAAGCTTTCATCTGGAATAATTTTCCTTCCATTCTTAAGATTATTTTGTAGTGCCTTTAATACACGTCTGCAGGTAACAAATTCTATTAGTTTTCATTTGAAAATGGCTTTTTTCACCTTCATCCCTGAAGGATTATTTTCTTAGTCACAGAATCCTACATTGGCAGTTATTTTCTTTTAACATATCAAAGTCCATTGTTTTCTGGCTTCCATGGTTTCTCTTGAGAAATCATTATTTTGTCTTATCCTTATTTTGAAGATAACATGTCTTTTTCTCTGGCTATTATTAGAAATTTTTTTGCCTTTGCTTTTCAACATTTGTACTAGGTACAGTTTTGTTTGTATTATTTCAGTTTGGGATTCATAGCATTTCTTTAAAGCATGACACCTTTCTCAGTTTGGGAAAATTCTCAGCTATTACGTCCTTTGGTATTAGTTCTACCCACTCTTTCTTTCCTCTCCAAGATTCCAACTATATGTATGCATGTTAAACTTACTTACTGCATTCCATTTATGCCTTAGCTTTTTTCTGTATTTTCTATTCTTTTGTCTCTCTAAGCTTTAGACTCTATATTTTCTATTGACAAATCATTTAGTTTACAAATTTTCTCTTCAGTTCTGTTTGGTCTAATAATTTTATTCCCAAACATTAAATCCATAAAATTTCCATATTATTAGTTTTAGAATTCTATTTGCTTCTTCTTTAATAGTTTTGCCCTACTTCTCATCTGCCTTTTTTTTTTTTTTTAAGCATAATAAGCCCACTATTCTAAAATCTACTAACTCAATTACCTGGGTTTCTTATGGGTCTGTTTCTATTGTCTGCTGTTTCTCTTGGATTTTGATTCCATCGTATTTTCTGCTTATATCCTTGCTTTCTTTTCGTCCATTCTTTGAGTGTTGACACTATAAATGACGCATTTTAGAGATCTTTGAGGTACAGGAAGATGTTTAACTTGGTTTCTGCATTATAGCTAGGGGAACCACCAATCCTAGATTCTTTAATGCAATCAGAGATGGGTAACATTGAAAGTTGGGCTTCAGACACTATAAGCTGGTCTATTTACTTCTTTGAGTTCCACCTGCATCAGTCATGTGGGCCACAGTGAAAATGCAAATGAAATTCCCAAATTTAAGTGTGATTAATTAAATTTTACTGCAGATTTAATGTTGTAGGAAATTGCATCTGTAATAAGAACTCCACGCAATGTAATATAGCACATGAACATTTGCAAACTATTTTACAGGTTGAATATATTTCATTCATCTTGTTAAAAATAAGTATGTGGTCTCCCAAGAGATTTGTCAATGTTTTTTCTTCTACTTGTGTGAAATTTTTGATTATATTTTACTTTGTTATTAGACACAGGTTTCAAGAACTCTCAATGAGGACTATTTCAAAGAGTAATGGCAATGAAATTGGTAGTTGATCTGTTTATCATACTGAAGACCGCTAGTGTATAATGTGCTACATTTATAAGAAAAAAAAGTGTATCATTAAGATTAAAGGAATACAGTGTAATACCTTTAGAGATATTTTGGACACAAATTTTCCTTTATCCTAGGAATGAAATAATTCTAGACAGTTTTACAGCTAAATAGGCTACCTTTGATCAAAACACTCAATTCTCCAGCAACTATAGATAAAGCAACTAGATCATTTCACAGATCTATAAGGCTAGCATTCCTACAACAGAGAAATTCTAATTTTGAAGTGGCTGAGTGAAACTAAGGAATAAAACTAAACAAAAATAAATAAAAGGTACATTCAAGATCTATTCAGAAAATAAGATCCAAGGTTAGCTTCTAATATACCTAAAACCATGGATACACAAATACAAATTGTTAACATGGCAACTTTGTAGCATCAATTCCAAATAAATTCAAATATAGTTAGGTCTACTAGAGGTTTTTTTACCCTTATGTTACCTAATCCAACTTTTTAATTGTTTCTATGTGGCGGGGGATGGGGGGAGGGTCGGGGGACCCAAACCAGATACAAAATTATGCCAAGAGATTTTGGTCCCTTCTCAGCCTCCCACCCCTCCTACAATAAATGATCAAATACATGTGTAAGGTTCACTCATTTACCTTGAATATTTGGTATTCTACTACAGCAACACCCTTACTTATTGCTTTTTAGTTCCCTAAAAAAACGAAATTGGTTATTCTTAATGTTTCTAGACTACAATTTTAAAATGTTAAAGGATATGAAAAAAAATCTACATTTTCAAGTTTAAAAAATTTTTATGTTCCAAAAAACATTGCTTCAACTTTTAGTTTCTTCATTGTTTTCTAATTGTTTTATCAAAAACAGTGCAGCACAGAAAACAGGGTCAGGTTGCCAAAGTCTGTATCCTGATATGACTTTCTAAAATAACTAGATCCTAACTTTTTATCCTCATTTCCTACTACTTACCTTACAGAGTTTTCTCTCTATATATAGAGGATTAATCAATAATACATACTTACAATAGTGGCTAGCATAAGTAAACCTTCTTAACATGTTACTTGCCATTATTGTAACACAGTGTACGGTTATTTTGCTGGCTTTTTCTCTAAGATAAGTGATGAAACTTCACAATTCATTGAATTAATAATAAAATGTGAACTAATCAAGAAAAATAATATTTATAGTCAGTTATTATTAAAATGTACCTTTCGTGCTATTGGCTCTTGACCTTCCATCAATGTGTACCAGCTGACAAGTTTATTCCAACCTTCAGTTGGCAACAGTATGTAATCCAATTCATCAATAAGGTGTTCCTTAAGTGACTGGGCATCACCATCTGCAAAAGAAAAAATAAACTCAATACCTAACTCTAAATACTTTGTTTGGACACATTACAAATTAAACTCATGAAGGCTAATTTAAGTATTTAAAACAAGTTTTAAGCTCTAAAGCAATTCAGCTCCCTTACATCAGGGGTGTCCAATTTTTGGGTTTCTCTGGGCCGTATTGGAAGAATTGTAACACTAACAATAGTTGATGAGCTTAAAAAAATCATAAAAAAAAACTCATAATGTTTTAAGAAAGTTTACAAATTTGTGTTTGGCTGTATTCAAAGCCATCCTGGGCCGCATGCAGCCCATGGGCTGCAGGTTGGACAAGCCTGCCATACATATTTCAAAATAAACTATTGCTTTAAAACTTTCAGTTTGTACCATAAATCAAAAAGCAATATTTAAAAACATAATTCTTTTATTAGGTTCTTTAAAAAATACTATGGAGTAACTGTTAGTCAAGAGACTTGACAAAAGAGTGTTTCCCACATATTTTGAGTAGCAGAGATCCCTCATATGGTAACAATATTCATTCTAGCATCAGCTTTTGTAGGAAATTCAGAAGCAAATCAACAACCTTTTACAATGACACCAAGACACACGGGCTAGGAACCATGACAGAAATCACAAATGGGCATCTTGTGAACCATTTCATTATTCCAGAAGGCCCACAATCTGGATTTCTCCCAAGAACTAAAATGGAGGTAATTCTTCAGATGTGATTCTAATTCACAGTCCACTTTCAAATTTCTAGCTAGACTAAAAAAATTTAGTATAAGACAGGCCACAGATCTAGAAGAAATTTCTGGAACCATACCTACATCACAGTCCTAATCTGAGACTTGTTATCTGTCCATGTGAATTTTTAAAATGCAGAAAGAGGAACAGAAATATCTCACTGAGTTATATCCAACTTAATGGAGATTTTTCTTGTCCTAAGTTAGTCTTAATTAACAGATACGGAAAGCAAAATTGTTCTTGGTAGCATTTCAATAATGAGAACACAGTATTCCCAATAAGATATAAACAATAAAAATCAAGAAGCGAGAAAAAACCTGAGGGATTAAGAGAATGTTACTTATTCTGTGTTTTGCAACTATAGTCTACTTTGCATTTTCTAGACTTGTACATGAAAACAGTACTTGCTTTCTGTTACTATAGACGAATTTGCAATTTCTAGAGTCTTACATAAAAATAGTATGTCCTCTTTTTTGTTTGGCTTTGTTCATGCCATGTAATTATTTTGAGATCTATCCATGTTTTTACATATCAATACTTAATTTCTTTTAATTGCTGAGTGGGATTTCATTGTATGGATATGCTACATTTTGTTTCTCCATTCAGGTGTTGATGGGCATTTGAGTTGTTCACAACTTTTTCTATTACAAATAACACTGTATGACCATTTGTGTACAATCGGTCATATGGATAAAATGCTTTCATTTATTCTGGGTAAATACCTAGGAGTGGAATGACTGGGCTCTACAATAAACGTATGTCTAACTTGTTAAGAAACTGCCAGACTATTTTCTGAAGTGCTTTTATGATATGACATCGATAGAAACAGTGTATGAGAGTTCTACTTCCTCTACAATCTTGCCAACACTTGGTATGGATCAGTTTTCTCATTGTGGTTTTAATCTTCATTTCTCTAATATGAATTATGTTGAGCATTTTTGCACGTGCTTTTTGAAACCTATATCTTCTTTGGTGAATTATGTGTTCAAATCTTTTGCCTACTTTTTCCATTGGGCTTTACGTTTTCTTCAAAATGAGTTTTATAAACTGTATATTCTACAAACAAGTCTTTTATCTGCTACATGATTGTAAATATCTTCTCCCACACTGTGGCTTCTCTTTTCTTTCTCTTAACAGTGTCATTTAAAGAAGCTTTTGTTACTGATGAGACACAACTACATTTTTTCTTTTAGCAACCTTGCTTTTGAATCATATCCAAGAAAACTTTGGCTAATACAACATCGCAAAGACTTTTTCCTAAAAGTTTTAGTTTTTACATTCAGGTCTATAATCCATTTTGGATTAATACTGTATACAGTGCCATGTATGCATCAAAATTCAGTTTTTTGCAAACAGATATCCAAATACTCAAGGCGCATTTGTTTAAAAGACTATCCTTTTGCCAGTGAATTCCTCTTTTACCTTTTTCTAAAGCTGAATGACTATATATGTGTAGATCTATTTCTGGATTCTCTAATCTGGTCAACTGATGTATTTGTCTTTATATCAATATCAACTATATTTATTATTACAGCTTTAAAATAAGGATTGAAATCAAATAGTGTTAACTTCTATGATTTTATTTTAAAATTCAAAGTTGTTTCAGCCATTCTGTCATTTGAATTTCCACATGAATTTTTGGATCAGCTTATCCTTTTCTATTAAAAAGCTTACTGGACAACTTAATATCCACATGCAAAAGGATGAAGTTAGAACACTACTGCACACCATATACAAAACTAACTTAAAGTAGACCAATGCTGTAAATGTAACAGCCAAAACTATAAAACTCGTAAAAGAAAATGTAAGTATAAATCTTACATAAATCTTTGCAACCTTGGTTTCAGCAATGCTCTCTGACACCAAAAGCACAAGCAACAAAGAAAAAAAAGGCAAATTGGACTTAAAATTAAAAAACTTTTGTGCTTCAAAGGTCACCATCAAGAATATAAAAAGCCCACAGAATAAGAAAAAATTTTTGCAAATCATACATCTGATAAGGGTCTAGCATCCTAAATAAATAACAAACTGAAAATACAACAATAAAAAGACAAACAATTCTATTAAAAATAGGCACAGGATCTGAATGTATTTCACTAAAAAAGATATATAACAAGCACACAAAAAAAGAACTTATCATCAATCACTAGGGAAATGCACGTCAAAAATCACAATGAGATACCACTTCACACCCACTTGGACGGCTATAATAAAAAGGACAGACAAGAACAAGTGTTGGTAATAATGTGAAGCAATGAATCCTCATACACTGCCAGCAATGATGTAAAAGGATGCAATGACTTTGGAAAAACAGTCTAAGAGTTCCTAAAATAGTTAAACAACGAAGTTTAAAAAGACCCAACAATTTCATGTCTAGGTATCTACCCATTAGAAAGGAAAACACATTATCTACCCAAAAACTTTTACATGAATGTTCATAGCAACAATATCCAGAAGAGCCAAAACGTGAAAACAACTCAAATGTCCATCAACTGATGAGTGCATAAAGTAAATGTGCACCATTCAGTAGAAATCATTCATCTATAAAAAGAAATCAAGTACTGATTCATGCAACAACATGGATAAAACATGAAAACATTGTGCTGTCCTAAATAAAAGAAGACAAACATAAAAGAATTCATATTGGGCCAGGCACAGTGGCTAACACCTGTAATCCCAGTACTTTGGGGGACTGAGGCGGATGGATCACCTGAGGTCAGGAGTTCAGAGACCAGCCTGGCCAACGTGGTGAAACCCCATCTCAACAAAAATGCAAAGATCAGCCAGGTGTGGTGGCACGCATCTGTAATCCCAGCTACTTGGCAGGCTGAGGTAGGATAATCGCTCGAACCTGGGATGCGGAGGTTGCAGTGAGCTGAGATTCTAGCCTGGGCAACAGAGTGAGACTCCATCTCAAAAAATAAAATAAACAAAAAAACACACATATTGTATGATTCCATTTATATGAGATGTCCAGAATAAGCAAATACATACAGACAAAGGAGATTAGTAGTTGTCTAGAGTGGGGGGTGGCAGCAAAGAAGGGATAGGGTGTGATTCTTAATGGGTACAAGGAATGTTTTACAAAATTCAATTAGGTCAAGTTGATTAACAGTGTTGTTCAACTCTTTGGGCTTCGTGAATGTAGATGTCCAATTTCCCTTCCCAGTTTCAGGAAGTTTCAGCCATTATTTCACTCATTCTTTTTTTTTTTTTTTTTTTTTTTGCAAGACAGGGTCTTACTCTGTCACCCATGCTGGAGTGCAGTGGTACAATCTCGGCTCCATACAACCTCTGTCTCCTGGGCTGAAGCAATCATCTCACCTCAGCCTCCCAAGTACTGGGACTACAGGTGTATGCCACCACCCACATATTATGTTATTTTATTTTTTTGAGATGGAGTCTTGCTCTGTCGCCAGGCTAGAGTGCAGTAGCATGATCTCAGCTTGCTGAACCGCTGCCTTCCAGGTTCAAGCGATTCTCCTGCCTCAGCCTCCTGAGTAGATGGGACTACAAGTGCGCGCCACCACACCCAGCTAATTTTTTGTATTTTTAATAGAGACGGGGTTTCACCATGTTGGCCAGAATGGTCTCGATCTCTTGACCTTGTGATCCTCCTGCCTCGGCCTCCCAAAGTGCTGGGATTACAGGTGTGAGCCATCGCGACTGGCTGGATTATTTTTTTTGTATTTATTCTAGAGACAAGGTTTCACCATGTTGCCCAAGCTGATCTCGAACTCCTGTGTTCATGTGATCCGTCCACTTTGGCCTCCCACAGTGCTGGGATTACAGGTGTGAGCCACTACACCTGGCCTCAGCCAGTATGTCTTTAAATATGCTTTCTGCCCCTCTCACTTTCCTCCTTCTGGAACTTCCATACACACAAATTGGTTCATTTGATGGTGTCCCAGAAGTCACTTGGACTTCCTTTATGCTTTTTTATTATTTTTAATCCTCTGATTAGATAATTTCAAATGATCCGTCTACAAGTTTGCCAATTCATCTACTTGTCCAAGTCTGCTGTTGAAGACCTCTAGTGAATTTTTCAGTTATCGTATTCCAAAATTTGTTTGGTTCTTCATAATTTTTAGCTCCTTGTTGATATTTTAATTTTGTGAATTTTTATTTTTCTTGTTTTGTTAAGTTGTCTATGTTTTCGTGTAACTCAGTGAGCTTTATAAGACAATTATTTTGAATTCTCTGTCAGGCAATTCATCTCTATTTCTTTAGGGTCAGTTTCTGGAGATTTTGTTTTTTTGTGTCACGTTTCCCTGATTGAGTTCTTGTAGCTTTGCACAGGTGTTTGTGCAACTGAAGAAACAGCCACCTCTCTCCCAGTCTTTATCAACTGGCTTTGAAAGGCAAATAGCTTCACTTCCACCCAAAAGCCTGGCTAGAGATTCTGAGAACATCTCAAACTTTTTTTGTGGATATGTCTTTTCTGTACTTGTGCATGCAGATTCCTAATTAGAAGGATTTGTTGATTTCCTTTTTTTTCAGAAACCCATAATCTCTTCCTCCTTCTGGTATCTTACATCATACTGCAGACCAGAACATTAGAGGAACATCCCACTTGTCTCCCTCTTCCTTGAGTTCTCTGCCTTCTCAAATCTTGTAGAGCTGTGCTGAGTGCAGCAAGCCACTTGCCCCTCTTCCTTTGTTCCTATCTGCCCCCACCAAACACTGGGTAAGGTAAGACAGAAGTCAGTCCTTCAAGCAGTACCCTGAAAGACTGGAACACTGGGGGTACACTCCACTCCTTTTCCTCTTCCTTGGAAGACAAGTCTCAGGTTCTATGCCTTCTCCCAATATTACAGGGTTGTGGCAGCTGCAGCAAGCCACCTATCCCTTTTCTTTTGTTGTTAACTTCCCCCAGTTATTTGAACTATGTCAGCTCTCTGGTACAATAAGGCATGACAGAAACTGGCCCCTCAAGCAGCACACTGAAAGGCATGGGCAGTGCAGGATGCCCCCACTCCTCTCCTTCCTTCCTGGGAGAGAAGCCTCAGGTTCTTAGCCTTCTCTCAATCTCTCAGAGCCTTCCAGCTGCAGCAACCACCTACCCTCTTTCCTTTGTTAACTGCCCCCAGGCATCAGAACTATGCTGGTTCCTTCAGCACTCTATGTAAGGTGATCAAAATTTTTTTTTAGAAAACTGGCCTGTTGGGTAGTACACTGAAGGGCTGGAAAATTAAGCACGTGATCTCCCTCTTTTCCCCCAAGGGAGAGGTCCTGATCTGAGACAATCTCTCTTGAGACTAAGCTAAGACTCCTTGGAGGAGGGGCTGATGTGGGCAAAATAAAATTGTTCTTACTCATTTCAATGTTGTTGTTCTCAGTTTTGGGCTCATCTGGAGTACTACAAATTCTTAACTGGATCTTGGGTTTCTCATAAAGAGTCTGGTCCATTGTTACTTCAGTGTTTCTGTTGGGTGTTGGGGGCTGGGACTTTCTATTCTATCATCCTGCTGACATCACTCTTCTTCACATATTTTCAAGTTATGCCATTAGGTAGGTATGTATTTAGGATTACTATATTCTCTTGATGAACTATCCCATCCCATTAGTCATTATCAAGTGACCTTTTCTATCCCTGATTATGTTCTTTATTCTGAAACTTAATGTCTCCGGCTTTTTAAAAAACAGTGTTAGCATGTGTTATTAGTTTTCCACTGTTACATAATGAATTACCATAGTGGCTTAAACATCACCGATTTATTAGTTCACAGTTCTGTGGGTCAGTAGTTAAGGAGGGCCCAAATGGATTTGTGCTTAGGGCTTTACAAGGCTGAAGTCAAGATATCACCCCTGCTGGGCTCTTATCTGAAGGTCTGAGGGAGAATCTGCTTCCAAGCCCATTCAGTTGTTGGCAGAATTCAGTTACTCATGGTTGTGAGTTTGAGGTTCCCGTTTCCTTGCTGGCTGTCAACCTGAGGCCACTCTCTGTTCCTAGAGGCTGCCTGCCTTGCATCTCACATGATTCCTTCCAACTTCAAACCAGCAATGACATATTGACCCTCTTTCATGCATCTCTGAATTCTTTTGCCACCAGACAGAGAAAACTCTCTGTTTTTAAAGGGTATGTGTGATTAGATTACGTTCACCAGGATAGTCTCTTTTTGCCACATAACATAATCACAAGAGTGATATCTTCATCCTATTTACAGGTTTCACCTACACTCAAAGGGGAGAGTATTATACAAGAGTGAGGATCACTGGGGGTTAGTCTTGCTTACCACAGCCTGGTGTTATCTTGTTCCATATCTTAATCTATCTGTGTTCTTGCATTTAAAGTGAGTTTCTTGTAGGCAGTTATAGCTGGTTCTTAACTTTTTAATCTAGTCTCACCCTCACTACCTTTAGTTGAGGTGTTTACATTTAATGTGATTATTCATAGAGCTGGGTTTCAATCTAGCAACTTTTAATTTTGTATTTGTCTCATCTGTTCTTTATTAATTTTTTCCATGTCTTGTGGGGGAGATTTGTTTTTAAGATTGACATTGCTTGTCATTATTGATCATATTTTCCTGCTTCTTCACATGCCAGGTAATATTTGGTCAGATCCAAGCCATTATAAATTTTACATTTTTGTATGCTGGATATTTTTGTATTCTTATAAATACTCAAGTTTTATTCTGAAATGCAGTTAAGTTTCTTCGAAATAGTTTGATGCTTTCAGGTTAGCAGAGCAGGAAAATTAATTTCACCCTATTACATAAGTAAAACTGTTCTCAGAAGTCTACTCTAAATTATGTGGTTTTCCACTCTGGCTGCTGAGAACACAAACGATTCCCAATCCTATATTAGCCTCGATGATTGTTCCTTCTTTTCAGTGGTACCTTGTCTGACCTTGGGCAGTTTTCTTATATGCAAAGTGCGGTTTAATAGTTGAAGACTTAAGAGCAACCCTATGGGGGGGGGTCTAGGTCTCTCTCTCTCTGAGCTACTCACTACTTTCTGGTATTTTCCTGGACTCTTGTAGCCTTGGTTTTCCTAGACTGCAAACTCTGTTTCCTCAACTAAGGGAGATAGCAAGGGTCTGCATGGGTTTCATCTTCCCATGTTGTGTCTTGGAAATCTCTTTTAATGCAGTAAACTGAAGGCAGTTGGAGGGCTTACCTATTTTGTTTCGCATCTCTCAAGGATCACTGTTTTCCGTTGCCTGATACACAGTGTTTTGAGAACCACTGTTAGAAATGGAAGTTCTGGTACTTATGTTTTGTTCCCTTTACCCATAATAAGAGGTATATAGAAGGACTGGCAAGTAGTGAGGGTTGTAGAAAGCTAATGCAAAAATTTAAGAACTTAAGCATATATGATTATTCCTCAAATTTTAAAAAATGTCATGTGTCCACTAGGAAAAACAATATGTGACATAGCATTTCTCAAAATAATCAGTGTTTAATTATTTAATAACAAATAATGAGTCTTATTATTTAGTAATAAATAATCATTAAATAATGATTACTTAATAATGAAATCTTTAAATGAAGAAATCAGTTCTTCATTTAAGGGTTTAAACAACAATAAAACCTTATTACATCATAAATGAAAAACAAAACTTGTCATACAGAATAATAACTAATAAAATTTTTAATAACTTATTAGAATAATGAGTTCATTAGGTAAAATCTGTAATGCAAAACTTTATCAACTTATTTGCGCTAACATTTTCCAAATTCAACCCACTGACATTTATATAATGAAATTTAACACATTTACAACTTGACTGAAGGAAGAAAATAATGACCTTTGAGAAGTCCAGAGTTATCAATGGGTCCAGGATACACATTTTGATCTCCCATCTGGTATTTGTCCCAACTGTCAAAGCCAACATATTTTTTCCACTGTTTGAACCAGCGACTATCGACTAGGTACCTAAAAAATAAAAGAAATTGGTTAAGGAAAATACCTGAAAATACAGGAACAGTAGAACAGCCATCTATTTTTTGATATTTCCTTTTATATTAAAAGACATATCTACTTCAAAGGATATTTGAAAACTGTAATGCCCCTTAGTATTAGAAAGACAAGACTTCATTTGTATAAAGTATTATTCCTATTGTTCTATAAATATATACTACTTAATGACAAATACTGACATAAAAATACAAATATACGTATTCAAGAAAATGCTTCTCATTGAATAAAAATGGAAATAACCGTAAGAATTTGTCAAAATAAATTTAAAAATGCAATATGGTAAATAGAAAAAATGGTTCTTTTACAAGAAGCTTGCAAATAATTTTATGTACTTTATTGTGTGTTTCGGAGGTAAAGGAAACCAGTTATCAAGGGTTGCAAGGTTAATTATAATAATCATAATCAGAGAGAGAGGTTCAAGATGGCTGACTAAAGACATCAAGTTCCAGTTCTCTTCAGAAAAAAGAACCAAAATTACAGCCGGGCGCAGTGGCTTACGCCTGTAATCCCAGCGCTTTGGAAGGCTGAGGTGGGTGGATCAGTTGAGGTCAGGAGTTCAAGACCAGCCTGGCCAACATCGTGAAACCCCGTCTCTACTAAAAATACAAAAATTGGGAGGCATAGTGGTAGGTGCCTGTAACCCCAGCTACTCAAGAGGCTGAGGCAGGAGAATTGCTTGAACCTGGGAGGCAGAGGTTGCAGTGAGCCGGGATCGCACCACTGCAGTCCAGCCTGGGCGACAGAGAGAGACTCGGTCTCAAAAAAGAACCAAAATTACAAACACATAATCACAGCTCTAACAGAATATCAGAGAGAGAATACTAGTACACAAAAATCACAGGAAAAAATTTAGGCATAGAAAAAGAAGGAAGTGAGAGGCCAAAAAAGAGTGGCTGGGAGCCCCAAGGGACTTGGTGTTGCACGGAAAGGGTAAGCGAGAGTGTTTGGGATCCTTCATTCCTGTGGCAGAGTGCTAGTATGCGATCTATGGGAGAGCTCCTCTGCTCTCACAAACCTAGACTGTGGTATGGGTAGGGATTTCTTGAGGGTGTTACACCAGACTGCAAGCTCACGCTGGGTTGCTCACCTTCCCACCATCCTAGACTCGAGCATCTGTGGCAAGGCATCATTATCAGAGCATATCCATCAGGGGACTTTATCTTGCCCAGGGAACCTCAGCCCTTGTGCTTCCACATCCTGGGAGCTCTTGCTGACATTCCCCAGCACCCACTCAGCAGGCAGCAGTGGCACAGTGCTAGTTAGACCCGGGGTGCTGCAGGGTTCCCAATAATCTATCCCACAAGGAGTGCTACTTTTAAGAGAAGGAAAAGTGCAGTGCACCAAAAGGACAGCCTCTGGGACAAAGGAAACCAAAGCATGCATTTTCCAGCGCCCCCCAAGAGCTCTCTGCTTGGGGCTGCAAGTGAATGCCTGCTCCTGGCAGAGACACAGAGACACAAACTCTGCTCAGCACTGCAAGTGAGGAGTAAGGTCCTGTACCACTGGCCAAGTGGCCTCTGTGCTTGAGCCCAGACATAGAGAAGGGAACTTCTCCTCCCCCTCCACCCACTGCTGCAGACACAGTAATTGCTGCTCCCATGGGAAGCTGGCACAAGAAACCAGAGGGCAGGCTATCTGAAGCTGTGAGGGGCAACTGCAGTTCCACTGGCAGTGGCCTCTGGGCCCAGGTTCATGAGAAAGGTGGGTCCTGTCCCACTCTCTGCCTAGAGTTTCAGGGGTCCTGCCATGGGGAGGGAGCAGAGTCTGCATGGCACCCATTTCCAGATAGCACAGAAGTGTACTGTCAAGCCATGGGGCAAGCATCTCCTGTAGTTCTAGGCTACATTGCAGCTTGGAGATAAACAGCAGTGTCTAAGAGAACTGAACAACCTGAGCACCAGAATAGGAGTGTGAGAGGGAAACATCACATTCCTGCCTGCTGAGGCCAGGGTGCTAAGACAGCTCATCACCTGGCCCACACCCCCCCATCCCACCCCTCTCCACAAGAGACCTCAGTGCATTTTACCAGTGGCCCAATGACTCCCCTCTCCCCTGCCACCCTTGTCAGGGCTGGTGCCTCTGCCAGTCATCAGAATATCTGAGCTTTCCCTGGCAAACAAAGGTCAAGCGTAAACCCCACTGTTACCACTGAAGCTGACTCATACCTGCAAATGCTACTTATTGGCCTGGAGATGAACTGCACAACCCAATCTGGTAACATAAATGCACACAATTTGGGAACAAGATACACTTCTTGAGACCTCTGCTACCCTGACTTACAGGAGGCTGTGAGCCTGCTCACAAGCCAAGTATACCACTATCACACCTGATGTTTGAGAAAGCCACCAAAGGCTATCTAAAACCAGGAAATTCATATAGAGTCTTTGCCACTAAAAGCACCCAGAAGCAAAGCCAAATGACCATATTCAACATACATTACAGTCACATCCTCAAGGGAAAACAGTCTCGTTCAAACAAAAATTAATTCAAACTGAGAAATGTGTTTTTCCAGATGAGAAAGAACCAGTGTAATAATTCTGGAAGTTTGAAAAAACAGGGTGTTACGATACCCTCAAAGGATCACACTAACTCTCTAGCAATAAATCCTAACCAACATTACTGAAATGCTAAATAATTCACAATATTGATTTTTAAGGAAGCTCAATGAGATTCATGGAAAATGTGAAAAACCAACACAAAGAAACAGAATATCAATTAAGGATATAAATGAAATCTTTTGAAAATAAAAAATTCACTGAAGGATTTACAAAATACAGATGAAAGCTTCAACAATAAACTAGATCAAGGAGAATAAACAATCTCAGAACATAAAGACAGGTCTTTTGAAGAAAGAAAAAAGAATGTTAAAGATGAACAAAGCCTTTGAGAAGTAGGAGACTACAATAAAATGTCTGGATCTAGGAATTGTAGGTATTCTCGAGAAAGAAAAGAAAAGAAAGCAAAAAGTTTGGAAAACCAACTTCTCTTGTCCAGCAAGTGATCTAGACATCCAGAGTAAGAGGCTCAATGAAACCCAGAAAAATACATTGCAAGAAGGGCCTCACCATGACATAGAGTCATCAGACTGTGTGGTCTCAGCAAGAGAAAAGCATTTGGACACCTACAAAGGAAACTCCATCAGACTAACAGCAGACTTCCTGGCAGATGACTTACAAGTCAGAAGAGACTGGGATTCTATTTTCAAAATAGGCTTAAAGAAAAAAAAAACTGTCAACCTGAAAATTTGTATCCTGCTAGAAAAAGCTTCAGGAATAAAGGAGATATAAAGTCTTTCCTAGAAAAACAATCATTGAGGGAATCTGTCATCACTAGACTGGCTCTACAAAAATGATCAAGGGAAGTCTAAACATGGAAATGAAGGGTCAATACTTGCCATCATAAAAATGTAAGAAAGTAAAAAATCCACAGGTCTTGTAAAATAATTACACCAACGAAACTACAAAGCAATGTGATAACAATTAACATTACTACAGGAATAAAACCTCACATATCAATATTTACCTTAAACATAAATGAGTTAAATGCTCTACTTAAAAGATAAAGATTGGCAGGACGAATTTAGAAAACAAGATCCAACTATATGCTGCTTACAATAAACTCACCTTAGTGGTAAAGAAACTTACAGACTGAAGAAAGGGGTGCAAAAAGATACTCCATGCAAACGGAAACCAAAAACAAGTAGGAGTAGCTATACTTAGATCAGATAAAGCTGACTTTAAATCAAAAACAGTAAAAAAATACACAAAGTTATTATAAAGGGATCAATTCAATAGAAAGACATAACAATCCTAAATATATATGTACCCAACACCAGAAGACCCAAACCCAGATTCATAAAACTAATATTACTAGACCTAAGAAAAGATATAAACAGCAATACAATAATAGTGGGGGACTTCCATATTCCACTGACAGCACTAGACAGATCATCAGGACACAAAACCAACAAAGAAACACCAGAATTAAATTGGACTCTAAACTAAATGTATTTGGCAGACATTTGCAGAACATTCTAGCCCCAAATAGCAGAATATACATTCTTTTTCATCATGCATGAAACATTCTCCAAAATAGGCCATATGGTATGCCACAAAACAAGTCTTAAAGAATTTTTTTTTAAATTGAAATCATATCAAGTATCTTCTTAAACCACAGTGAAATAAAGCTAGAAATCAATCCCAAGGGGGAATTCTTGAAGCTATACAAATACATGGAAATTCAGCAACATGTTCCTGAACGATCTTTGGGTCAACAACAAAATTAAGATGAAAATTTTAAAAAATGTTTAAATGAATGAAAAAGGAGATACAACATACCAAACCTCTGGGATACAGCAAAAGCAGTGCTAAGAGGAAAGTTTATACTGCTGTCTAAACACACACACACACACACACACACACACACACACACACACAAATTAACAACCTAATGTCACACCCAATGAAACAGAAAAACAAGAACTAAATCCAAATTTGACAGAAGAAAAGACATAAAGATCAGAGGAAAAGTAAGTGACACTGAGACCAAAAACACAATACAAAAAGATCAATGAAATGAAAAGTTAGTTCTTTGAAAAGAGAAACAAAACGGACAGACTGCTAGCTAGACTAACCAAGAAGAGAGAAGATTCGAATAAACACAATCGGAAATAAAAAAGAAGATATTATAACGGATACTGCAGAAATACAAAAGGTCATCAGAGACTACTATGAGCATCACTACATGCACAAACTAGAAAACCTAGAGGAAGTGGGTAAACTCCTGGAAACATACAACCTCCCAAGATTGTACTGAACCAGAAAGAACTGGAAGCCCTGAACAGACCAATAATGAGTACTAAGATTAAATCAGTAAGATGAAAATCTCCCAACAACAACAACAACAACAACAACAACAAGCTCAGGAGAGGACAGATTCAGAGCTGAATACTACCAGACATACAAAGAACTTGTACCAATCCCACTGAAACTGTTCCAAAATAGTAGAGGGAATCTTCCCTTTCTAATTCTACAAGGCCAGTGTCACCCGGATACCAAAGCCAAACAAGGACTCATCAAATAAAGAAAACTACAGATCAATATCTCCTGATGAATATAGATGCAAAATTCCTCAAGAAAATATTAGCAAATTGAATACAACAGCATTCGAAAAGATAATACACCATGATCAAGTGGGTTTTACTCCAGGCACGCAAAGGAAGTTCAACATATGCAAATCAATAAATGCAATTCACCACCTAAACAAAATTAAAAACAAAAACCATATAATAATCTCAATAGACGCAAAAACAGCATCTGGTAAAATTCAACATCTCATGATAAAAACCTGCAACAAACTAGGCACAGAAGGAACATATCTCAAAATAATAAAAGTCACAAACAACGAAACTACAACCAATATCATACGAATGGAGAAAAGTTGAAAGAATTCCTGCTAAAAATGGGAACAAGACAAAAATGCCCACTTACACACTCCGATTCAGTATAGTACTAAAAGTCACAGCCAGAAAAGAGGCAACAGAAATAAGTCATCCAAGTTGGAAAAGAGGAAGCCAAGTTATCTCTGTTTGCTGACAATATCATCTTATACCTAGATAACTCTAAAGATTCCACGAAGACTTCTTTGAGAAACGAACTCAGTAAAGTTTCAGCATACAAAATCAACTTACAAAAACCAGAAGCAATTTTATACACTAGTAACAATCGAGCTGAGAACCAAATCAAAGTCAGTTTCATTTACCAAAGCTACCAAAAAAAAAAAAAAAAAAAGTAAAATGCCAGGGAACACATCTAATCAAGGAGGTGAAAGACCTCTATAAGGAAAACTACAAAACACTGATGAAAGAAACTGTAGATGACACAAATAAGTGGAACAACATCCCATGCTGATGGATCAGAAGAATCGATAATGTTAAAATAACTCATACTTCCCCGCCCAAAGCAATCTACAGATTCAATGTAATTTCTATCAAAATACCAACATCATGTTTCACTGAATTAGAAAAAACAATTCTAAAACTCATATGAAATAAAAAAAAGAATCTCAATAGATTAAGCAATACTAAGCAAAAAGAACAAAGCTGGAGGCATCACATTACCCAACTTCAAATTAAACTGCAAGGTTATAGTAACCAAAGCAGCATGGTACTGGTACAAAAATAGACACACAGATCAATGGAACAGAATAGAGAGCCCAGAAATAAAGCCACATACCTTTGCCAACTGATCTTCAACGAAGCTGACAAAAACATTCGCTGGGAAAGGAGACCCTATTCAATAAATGGTACAGGGAAAACTGGATTGCCACATGCAGAAGAATGAAACTGGGCCCCTACTTCTCACTATATAAAATATTTAACTCAAGGTGGAAAAACAACAACAACAAAAATTAACGCAAGGTGTATTCAAGATCTTGAAACTTTTATAAAAGTCCTAAAAAAAACCTAGGAAAAACTCTCTGTTCACTGGCCTACACAAAGAATTTATGACTAACATCTCAAAAACAAATCCAACAAAAAACAAAAATAGACAAAAGTGACTTAGTTTAACTGAAAAACTTCTGTACAGCAAAGGAAATAATTGAGAGAACAGACAACCTAACAATGGGAGAAAACATCTGTAATCTATGCCTCCAACAAAGGACTAATATTCAGAATTTACAAGGAACTCAAACTACTCAATGACAACAATGGCAACCAAAAAAACTCATTTAAATGTGGGCAAAGAACACAGATTTTTAAAATTTATTTTTATATCATAAATTCGTTTTAAAAAATTTTAAATTTTATTTTAAATATTAGATTCAGGGGGTACATATGCAGGTTTGTTACATGGGTATATTGCGTGATGCTGAGGTTTCGGCTTCTAATGATCCTGTTGCCCAGTAGCAAATACGGTACCTGAGAGGTTTTTTTCCAACCGCTACTCCCCTCTCTCCCTCTTCTCTTTTGGAATCCCCAGTGTCTATTGTTCTCAATTTTGTGTTCGTGTATACCCAATGTTTAGCTCCTACTTATAAGTGAGAACACACAGTATTTGGTCTTCTGTATCTGTGTTAATTTGCTTAGAATAATGGCCTCCAGCTGCATCCATGTTGCTGTAAAGGATACAATTTCATTCTTTTTGATAGCTGCACAGTATTGCATGGTATATATGTATCACTTTTTTTTTTTTTTTGAGACAGAGTTTCGCTCTTGTTGCCCAGGCTGGAGTGCAATGGTGCGATCTCAGCTCACCGCAACTTCCACCTCCCGGGTTCAAGCGATTCCCCTGCCTCAGCCTTCCGAGTAGCCGGGATTACAGGCATGCGCCACCTCGCCTGGCTAATTTTGTATTTTTAATAGAGACGGGGTTTTACCATGTTGGTCAGGCTGGTCTCGAACTCCTGACCTCAGGTGACCCGCCCACCTCAGCCTCCCAAAGTGCTGGGATTACAGGCATGAGCCACCACGCCCGGCCATGTATCACATTTTCTTTATCCAATCCATCAATGATGGGCACCTGGGTTGATTCCATGTCTTTACTATTGTGAACAGTACTGTGATAAACATATGAGTGTAAGTGTCTTTTTGGTAGAATGATTTATTTTCTAGTAATGGGACTGCTGAGCGAATGGTATTTCTATTTTTAGTTCTTTGAGAAATCTCCAAACTGCTTTCTTTCCACAGGGGCTGAACTAATTTGCATTCTCACCAATAACATATTAAACATTCCCTTTTCTCTGCAATCTTGCTAAAATCTGTTAACTTTTTAATAATAGCCATTTCAACTGGTGTGAGATGGTATCTTACTGTGGTTTTGATTTGTATTTCTCTGATTATTAGTGATTTTGTGCATTTTT
The DNA here is from genome assembly GCF_000001405.40 of Homo sapiens. Taxonomy (NCBI): domain Eukaryota; kingdom Metazoa; phylum Chordata; class Mammalia; order Primates; family Hominidae; genus Homo; species Homo sapiens. The sequence continues at coordinate 62,286,273 of NC_000012.12, read as the reverse complement.
TCATACATTTGCTGGCTGTCTGTATGTGTTCTTTGGAGAATTCTCTTCATGTTCTTTGTCCACTTTTTAATGGGCGTTTTTTTTCTTATTAAGTTCCTTATAGAGTCCAGATATTAGTCTTTTGTTGTATGCATAGTTTGAAAATATTTTCTCCCATTTTGTAGATTGTCTGTTTACTCTAAACAGAAAAATTTCAAACTAACACATATGAATGGTCAACATATGAAAAAAAATTCCACATCACTAATTATCAGATAAATACAAGTAAAACCACAGTGAAAAAGCATCCATACCAGTCAGAATGGCTATTATTAGAAGCTCAAAAGATAACAGATGTTGGCAAGGATGCAGAAGAAAAGGAATGGTGGGAATGGAGGGAATGGAAATTAGTACAACCTTTATGGAAAACAGTATGGAGATTTCTCAAAAAACTAAAAATAGAACTATCACTGGATCTAGTAATTCCACTACTAGGTATATACCCAAAGGAAATGAAATCATTCTATCAAAAAGACACCTGCACTTGTATGTTTATCACAGCACTATTCACAATAGTGAAGATATGGAAACAACCTAAGTGTCCATCAGTGGATGATTGGATAAAGGCAATGTAGCATATATGGATACACACACACACACCATGGAATACTACTCAGCCATAAAAAAGAATAAAACCATGTTTTTTGCAGCACCATGGATGGAAGTGGAGGCCATTATCTTAGGAAACACTTTAAGTGTCCATAAATGGATGACTGGATAAAGACAATGTGGCACACTCATGTACACACACACATACACAAACACAAAGACACAAACACCATGGAATACTACTTAGCCATAAAAAAGAAGGAAGCCATGTTTTTTGCAGCAACATGGATGGAACTGGAGGCCATTATCTTAGGGGAAATAATTCAGAAATACAAAATCAAATACTGCATGTTATCACTTATAAGTGGGAGCTAAATCATGTATACACATAGAGCGTGAATAACAGACATTGGAGACTCAGAAGGGTGGGAGGCAGGAGAGGGATGATAAATTATTAAATGAGTACAATATACACTATTCAGCTGATGGCTACATTAGAAGCCCTTACTTCACCATTATGCAGTTCATCCATGTAACAAAACTGCATTTGTAGTCCCTAAATCTATAAAAATATTAATAGAAAGTATAATCAACTCTTAAAACCTTAATTAAGCTTCTTTACCAACAGAAGTTAATAACAACAATACTATCTCTGACTGTTCCTCCTATAGTAGTAAAATATGGGGCAAGCAGGATTGGTTTTTGAATGATTTCAAAAGTGTGATACAGCTAACACTGTAAACATTACTGAAACTATATCCATCTTATTTTCAGCTGCCTAGAAACTAGCTTCTCATCAGATGACCAATGACAGAAAAAGTAAAACAAGAGTTCACTAGGATAGAAAGCATTAAAAAAAAACCTAAAACATTGTAAAAATTTATTCTGACTACAGTATGCCTGCTATAAAATACTGCTTTGTCATTGGTTCACAATGATTTTAAATTTTTCTAGAAACATTTCTCCCACATTTAACCAGGTTCAATCACAAGCAGAATCAAAGGTAAAGATAAAGGTTAATGAGAGATTTAAAGCTCATGTGTGTAATACTACAGGTAACAAAGCTTTTTAGAAGATTATCCATTCTAGTGTTTCTTTTCTATGCTTACCATATATAGCACTATAAGAACAAAAACCCACAGTTACGTCCGAAAATAGCTAAAGCAAAGGCACTAACCTAACAAAACCTCAGATTTCTTAAAGAATATTCATGAGTTTAACTCCCTAAAAGTGGATATGCAGAATTATCTATGTACCAGTATTCTGAACTCACTGTCAAGATTATGCAATTGAAAGCCCCCACACATTGTGGAATTTAAGATTTGTGAGAAAAGAATTGAGGGACTAAGTCTTAAGAAAATCCTATTTTCTAAAATAAATATTGACTAGACTAGCAATGACTTTACTTATACTCAGACATTCGACTTGCTTTCTTCGCAAAGTTCCACAAAAAAGTCTAATAAGATTTTGATTGGAAGTACATTACACTTACAAAGTTGAGGGACACTGCCATCTTTACCAAAGTGAGTCTTCTTATCCACAGCCACGGCGTATCTCTCCATTATTCAGGTTAATGTCTTTCAATAAATTTTATATGTTTTTCCAATAAAAATCATGTTTTGCTAAATTCGTTCCTAGAAACCTCAGTTTTTCTATGTGAATTTTACATTTTTTCCCCAATTAATTAAATTCTATAACTGCTTGTAGTTGATGCATAGAAATAATATTTGTTGTTTGTTTTTTGGAGATAGGGTCTCGCTCTGCTGCCCAGGCTGGAGTGTGGTGGCACGATCTTGGCTTACTGCAACCTCCACTTCCCAGGTTCAAGCAATTCTCGTGCCTCAGCCTCCAGAGTAGCTGGGATTATGGCTTGTGCCACCATGCCCAGCTAATTTTTCTATTTTTAGTAAAGACCGGGTTTTGCCATCTTAGCCAGGCTGGTCTCAAACTCCTGGCCTCAAGTGATCCGCCTGCCTCGGCCTCTCAAAGTGCTAGGATAACAAGCATGAACCACTGTGCTCAGCCTAATTTTTTTAAGTGATTAATCTGATATCCACCAGCATCCTGAACTCTTAGTAGTTTTACCTGGTTGTAGGTTCCCTTAGATTTTTCTATGTAAAAACTCATACTGTTGCTGCAAATAATGTGTTTAATCATTCCTTTCTAATTGTATTCCTATTGTTCTTGTCTATTGCCTATTTTTCTTGGCTAGGGCTCCTAAAATATAGGTGAAGAGACAGCAAACATTTTTGTCTTTTTTTTTATGACAACATTTAAAGTTTCACCACTAGGTAGATTTTTGATAAATGCTGCTTATTAGCTTGCTGTAGGTTTTTGATAAATACTGCTTATGAACTTAGAGAAGTTCCTTTCTATTCAACATTTGTTTAGACTATCATGACTAAGTGTTAAAGGTGATGAAAATTTTCTGCACTTGCCAAGCTTTTTCTCCTGTACTCTTCTGAACAAACCTGGAATAGCTTTTACTCTTCTACTATCTACAAAAGTAGTTTGTAACGGGTTATCTGCCCCTTAATGATTTACTTGTATGAAAAACTACTGGGGAGTATAGTATCATTTGGGAGGGTAGACTCTGATCTTCAGTTAATTTTTCTTAGTTACTGATTTTTCCCTTTAAAATGGAAATGCAAAATTTCCCGTTAGTTTTCTTAAAAAGCTAATGCCATATCCATTAAAAATAGAATATGGACTTGAGATAACATTAATACTACAGTTACAAATATCATTTATAAAACACATTAAAAACAATTTGTGGAAAAGTATAGAAATTCTATTTATAGTTACTTAGACATTTTTAAGATATAGAGTTTTATCTCCCAAAGTACTTAATAAATCCTTTACAGTTATACAGTAGCCTCCTTTTATCTGCAGTTTCACTTTCTGCGGGTTAACTGTCAACTGTGGTACTCTCACTACTCTTGCATTTTGGGTCATTATTAAATAAAATAAGGGATACTTGAACATAAGGATTGTGATACTGCAACAGTCAACCTGATAACCAAGAGGGCTTGAAGGCAGTTTGGGTGGAATGGCACAGTATTTCATCATGCTATGCAGCACACATGTAATTTAAAACCTATAAATTATTTCTGAAATCTTCCATTTACATCACAATGCCTATGTCATTTACCTCATGTCATCTCATCACCTATGCATTTTATCATCTCACACTATTACAAAAAGGGTAAGTACAGTACAGTAAGGTATTTTGAGAAACCACATCCACATAACTTTTACAGAATATTGTCATAACTGTCCTATTTTATTATTAATTGTTGCTGTTAATCTTCCTGTGGCTAATTTATAAGTTAAACTTATTTATTTATTTTTTTTTGGAGACAGGGTCTTGCTCTGTCACCCAGGCTGGAGTGCAGTGGGGCATGATCACAGCTCACTGTAGTCTCAACCTCCCTGGCTCAAGTGATCTTCCCACCTCAGTCTCCTGAGTAGCTGGGACTACAGGCATGTGCCACAAACTCAGCTAATTTTGTTTATTTTTTGTAGAGATGAGATATCACTACGTTGCCCAGGATGGTTTCAAGCTCCTGGGCTCAAGGTGCCCTCCCACTTTGGCCTCCGAAAGTGCTGGGATTACAGACATGAGCCAGTGTGCCTGGCCTATAAATTAAACTTTATTATATGTAAGCATAGGAAAAAGCAGTGTATATAAGGTTTGCTACTATTTGCAGGTTCAGGCATCCACTGAGGGTCTTGGAACTTATACTCTGCAGATAAAAAGGGACTGCGGTACTAAAAGTATATACTTGGTAAACCTTCTATAATGTCATACATTTCTATGTCAACTGTCTATTGTCATATATTTCTGTATCAACTATCTTTCCTAGATCTTGTAGTGACTTCTTTCTGTACAATGATACTATTATGATAGGAGACTTTCCCATTTGATGATATTTAATTGCTTTCAATACTATCTTCAATTGAAAAAGGGCACCATATTTCTCTTAGGGCTATCTACACAATTTTATGGTAATGAAACATCAGGAAAGTAGAAAAATAGGAGAATCTGGCCAGGTGCTGTGGCTCACGCCTGTAATCCCAGCACTGTGGGAGGCCAAGATGGCTGGATCACTTGAGGCCAGGAGTTCAAGACCAGCCTGGCCCACATGTTGAAACCCCGTCTCCACTAAAAATACAAAAATTAGTCAAGTGTGGTGGCGCATACTTTTGTAACCCCAGCTACTCAGGAGGCTGAGGCACAAGAATTGCTTGAACCCAGGAGGTGGAGGTTGCACTGAGCTGAGAGCATGCCACTGCACTCCAGCCTGGGCAATAGAGCAAGATTCTGTCTCAAAAAGCAAACAGAAAAAGAAAAATAGGAGAATCTACTCCAGAAACAATGTATAGTGTTGTTAGGTATATATTAGAAAGATGAGATTAGAAGACGTAGACAAGAAAGAAGACTAAGAAAGGTAAGATTAGATGACACAGACAAATAAATGAAAAGATTTTATTTCAATACATTTATATAGATCTGTTGCACTGTAAAAACTATACTTCTACATCTATGAAATCTGCCAAAATTCCCAATGTTCAATCTGAACTGATAAAATACTAGAACGGAATCAACAGATTACAAAGACTACAAACAATGAACAAAGACCTGAATTCATATATTCTCAATGGTATTCTTAATCCTTATATACTATTAGGGTCCAGATAAGCCCAATTTTCACTTTGAGTTTCTTTTATGGACTTAAAGTCATTAGGATATCAACCAATACAAATAGTTATAACTATGTAGGATGAAGTCTAAAATGCTTAACATTGTCTAAAAGGTCTTGCATGATCTAATCCCTAGCTACCTCTTTAGACTCAGCTGGTACCATTTTTCTTTGTGCCCAGATCCAGCTGCAAGAGCCTTCTTTCATTTCCTTGACACACCATTTTCTGCCTCATAACCCCTTCTACCTAGAAAATTCCCTTATTCTTTTCAACATGTAGAGCTATGGTCTGAATGCGTGTGTCTCCTCCCCCAGAATTAATGTTAAAATCCTAACCCCCAAGGATAGGGAATTAGGAGGTGATTAGATCATAAGGGCAGAGTCCTCACGAATGGAATTTATGCCTTTATAAAAGAGGCTCCCAGAGAGACACCTCATCCCTTCCACTATAGCTAGAAGGTTCCATCTATGAACCAGAAAGTATGCTGTGTCCTCCTCACCAGACACAGAACCTGCCAGTACCTAGTCATCTTGGACTTACCAGCCTCCAGAACAGTGACAAATAAATTTGCTGTTTTTAAGCCACTTACAGGTACTTTGTTATAGCAGCCTGAAGGGGCTAAGACACATAGTTAACAACTATAATCTTTCACATATCTGCCTAAATGTCACTGCTTCAGGGAATCCCTCCATAACCCTCTCCCCACTTCCCCAGAAAGTCTGGAAGAAAAACAAAGTGGAAATCTCAGTTTCCTCATTACTAAGCCTCTTTATTAAGCTTAATTTATTATTAATTATTAACATATTAAGGTTAATTATTACCTTTATTAAGTTTAATAACAAAATCACTAATATTTGAGTTTTACTCTTGAGCCATGTGCATACTTCTAAGCACATTCATATATTTTCATTTACCCAATGAAGTAGGTACTATTATCTTAATTTCAGATGGAGTATATATACACACAGAAATTAACTTGCCCAAGGTTACAAAGTGTCAAAGCTGTGATTAAGAAAATGTGATATTGGCATAGAGAGAAGTAAAAAGACCAATGAAAACAGTGGAAAGAAATAAGAGCCAGACTCACATATATATGAAGACATATGTCAAAAGCATCATTACAAACTAATAGGCAAAGATGGACTATTCTATAAAAGGTACTGGCACAACAGATCATGCATAAAGGAAAAAATCAATTACAGCTCTATCTTATTATACATGCAGTCGGTTCTTTTCTAATGCTTGTTTTTGAAAATTTCAAGGTGTTACAACACTTAATTAGGCAAATCAAAACCACAATGAGATATCACCTCACACGTGTTAGGATGGCTATTATTGAAAAAAACAAAAGGTAACTGTTGGTGAGGATGTGGAGAAATTGGAACTCTTGTAGACTATATAATATGGTGCACTGGCTATGGAAAATGGTATGAAGGTTCCTCAAAAAATTAAAAATAGAATGACCATATGATCCAGCAATCCTACTTTTGGGTACATATCCAAAAGGATTAAAATCAGAGTCCTGAAGATATATGTACTATCATGTTTACTGCAGCATTATTCACAATAGCCAAGATGCGGAAACAACCTTAATGTCTTTTGATGGATGAAAGAATAAAGAAAAATGGAGTACTATTTAGCCTGAAAAAAGAAAATCCTGCCATATGCAGCAACATGGATGAACCTGAAGGTCACTATGCTAAATGAAGTAAATGAGTCACAGAAAGACAAATCCTGCATGATTCCACTTATGAGGTATCTAAAACATCATAGTCATAGAAACAGAGTAAAATGGTGACTGCCAGGGGCTGGGGAAAGGAAGAAATAAGGAGGTGATGATATTCAGTGGGTATAAAGTTTCAGTTATGCAAAATGAGTAAGTCTATTGTACAATATTGTGCCTATAGTTAACAATATTATATTGTACAGAAAAAAATTAAGAGGGCAGCGCTCATGTTAAGTATTCTTACTACAATGAAAAAAGTTGATATAGACAGTTCAACTTACGGTGTGACTTAAGATTTTTGGACTTTATAATGGTGTGAAACTGATAAGCATTCAGCAGAAACCATATTTCTAATATCCATACGATGATTCTGTTTTTCATTTTCAGTACAGTAGTCAATGCTTTATTATAAAACAGATTTTCTGTTAGCTGGTTTTGCCCAACTGTAGATTAATTTAAGTGTTCTAAGCATGTTTAAGGTAGGCTAGTCTAACCTATATTGTATGGTACGTTAGGCATATTAAATGGATTTTTTACTTACAATATTTTCAATTTCTAATGAGTTTAGCAGGCTGTAACTCCATCATTAAGTTGAGGACCATCTGTATACAGTCATGCACTGCATAATGACTTTCTTGCCAATGACAAACTACATATATGATGGTGGTCCCATACACCATAATGTACCTAAAAAAGCCCTTTTGCTTAATGATGTAGCCATTGTGATGTTGTAGCATAACTCATTACTCACATGTTTACGGTGATGCTGGTGTAAACAGACCTACTGTGCTGCCAATCTTACAACAGTATAGCACATATAATTATGTACAGCATATAATACTTGACAATAATAAACAACTGTTATGAGTTTATGTATTTACTATACTTTGTTACTATAATCGTTATTTTAGAGTGTGCTCCTTCTACTTATATATAAAAAAAAGTTAGCTGTAGAACAGCCTCAGGCAGGTCCTTCAGGAAGTATTCCAGATGAAGGCACTGATATCACAGGAGATGACAGCTCCATGAATATTACTGCCCATGAAGACCTTCCAATGGGACAAGATATGGAGGCAGAAGACAGTGATACTGATCACCCTGACTGTGCAGGCCTAGGTTAATGTGTGTTTGTCTCTTAGTTTACGGCAAAAAAACTTTTTAATTAGAAAAAATTTAGAAATAGAAAAAAGCTTATAGAATAAGGATATGAAGAAAATATTTTTGTACAGCTGTATAATGTATTGGTGTTTTAAACCAAGTGTTATAACAAACGAGTCAAAAACATTTAAAACATTTTTAAGGTTTATAACGTAAAAATGTTACAGTAAGCTAAAGTTAATTTTATTATTGAAGAAAATATTTTTAAATTAACTTAGTGTAGCCTAAGTGTATGGTGTTTATAAAGATTACAGCAGTGTACATTAATGCACTAGGCCAAGCTTGTCCAACCTGAGGCCCACAGGTGGCCCAGGACACCTTTGAATGCAGCCCAATACAAATTCGTAAACTTTCTTAAAACATTATGAGATTTTTTTGTGATTTTTTTTTTCGCTTATCATCTATTTTTAGCGTTAGTGTATTTTACATGTGGTCCAAGACAATAATTCTTCTTCTGATTTGGCCCAGGGAAGCCAAAAGATGGGACAACCCTGCCCTAGGCCTTCACATTCACTCTCTACTAACTCACTGACTCACCCAGAGCAACGTCCAGCCCTGCAAACTCCATTCATGGTAAGTGTTCTAAATAAGTGTACCATTTAAAAAAATCTTTTATATGCCATTTTTACTGTTCTTTTTCTATATTTAGAAACACAAATACTTAACATTATATTAAAACTGCCTACACTATTCAGTATGGTAACATGCTGTACAGGTTTGCATGCTTCCCTAATACCATCCCCTTCCTTCTCTTGCTGAAGCACTGTCAGTGACATGTTTTAAAGAAGATAATAAAAACAGTAGCACAGCTTTACATGTGTTGAATGGTTAGGAAATATATAAATACCATAATAAACATGACATTTTATCTTAAAAAAGATTGTCTGCTTGTGGAAGTGGAATTCAGAAGAGTTGCAGCTTGTGAGTTATTATCAAGTGGTGCAAGGAGGGTTATCCAAAATCTGCCAGAAAGTTTTAACAGCAAGAGTAAACGTCTTTTGTTTAACACAGAAGTTATGTATAGATACATCTTCACATATATGCACACAGAATGAAGTACAGTCAAATAGACTAAGAATAATATTGAGGCTAGCAAAAGTGATAGTGTTCAGTGACAGTCAACAATGGAAATTTTATGCATAAAAATAAGAAAACTAATTACAAACACATTTAAAAATTGGGACAAAATATACACAGCAAAATGCATAAAAGGCACAGTTTTTATTCATTACTTTTTATTTCTGAAAAAATTCATAACTTTATATGATCTTTTGTATTTATTTTTTATAGTTGTACTTTTTCTAAACAGGTGAATTTGCATTAGATTTTAATTAAAAATTTACGTAAGTCTTGAAGAATTTTCTTCAAGACTTGGAAAAGCACAATTCATTTGCAATCATTTCTAAATTTATCAAAATGTGATTCTGATATACGGTAGTGTATTCATTCCTGAGAAAATACTTCCTTTTGGTAACTAGAGCAACCAGTGAATAAGCCAGAAAAATAATGAGTGTTATCTCATATATGATTTTATATGAGTGATATCTCATATAAAAGGAAAAGCACATAAAGGACAGATTATTACCCTTTATATCTTGGAAGATAATATAAGCAAAACAAACAATTCCAAAACTGACATATTTACTGATTTGAAGCTGATCAAATTTTGGTACCAAATATTATACTAACTACAGACCTGCAACCATCTAAAATTCATCTAAATACTAATGTACAAACCATCTTGAGCAGCCCAGAGTAGTAATTAAATTGTTTTGTGATGAACAGGCTAAATTTCTTATACAAAGGAGTCAATGCTTTATAAATGAAACCAAAGGTGAAGTATTTCTGAATACTAAGACATTTGACTGTGTTCCTGTAAAGAAGTTATGAAGTAAATGTACCAATGTATAATCTAAAAGATCTATGGCTTAATCACTATAATCTTCCTGTTTCAGAGGATTACAAGGAATTTTATGAGGGTGCCTCATACCTGGTCATTACACACGATTCTTACATACATCAATCTGAAATTATTTTTATCATAATGTTAATATTATCTGGGTTCATAGTTACTAAAGAAAATGATATAGAGACTGAAGACCTATGGTTTTCAATCTCTCAAGTCCTTCAAAGATGACCTGTAATCTTCCACCATGTCCATAGCATACCCTTCTATATCCTCAATAATTATTTCAAACCTTTGGCAGTCTTACCTAGTCTCTAACCCATTAGGTTGAACAACCTTGCTACCTACCTTACAAAGCAGTCAGAAGCCTGTCCAACTCTACTGCATCACACCTGAATCTTACCTGATTCCCTTACGTATCAGTAGAGGAAGTAATCTTCCTCAAATCCCAGGCCAATAATTTTTGCTCCTATGCTGTGGATCTAATTTCCTTCTGCTTCCTTGGAGACCTTTTCCTACCAGCATTTCAACAGGGATTAAGTCTTTTCCTCCTCTCCCCTCATATCACCTCTCAACTCTCGTATTTTCTCATCTATTCTCATTTTATGACTTGTCCTTACAGTCAAGCTTCTCAAGTTTCCATTTCCTCAACTTTCACTTACAGGTCTTCCTAGTCTAATGGGCCCTCACAAATCACCAATGACCACCTTAACAAATCCAACGGATTCATAATTTTATATATCTATTAATCCCTCTAAAAATTAGCCTCTGTAATTCTTTTTTTTTTTTGGGTGGGGGGGTGATACTCCTCCCAATTTTTTTTACAACCTTCTCTTTTGCTTAAATGTATTACATAGCCCTGCTCTTTGATTTCTTCTTTCACTGTTTATATTCTCCTATAATTCATATCAATAATTCCAAAATCTGCATCTCAGAGCTAGTCCTCAAGTTCTTGAATCGTATTTCCAATTCCTATTAGTCCATGTCAACTTGGATTTTCCAGACATCTCAACCTTGAGTCAATCCTCTCTCTCTCCATTTACCCATTCTCTACTATTACTTTAACAAGTGACTTCATCAGTAATTTAATTTCCCAAGCCACAAACCAGAATATTAACCTATATTCCCCGCTCCATAACATCCATTAACCAAGCACCTCCAGAATATTTCTAAGAGTCTGCCCCTCGCCTCTTCATCCTCAGAAAAGTACTTTAGTTCTGCAGCTCCCCTTCCACACTATTTTTAGTGGCATAGATTACTATGATAGCTGCTTGATTTGTCCAACTACTTTAAGTTTTGCTTGCTTCCAAGCTGTCCTCCACTCTGCTGCCAAACATTTTAAAACCACAAACGTGATCATCTCACTTCTGTTTAAAATCTTAGTATCTGCATAATATAAATGTTTAATGTTTATATAAGGTTTTCGTACAAAGTGTTTTTATATTAGTTGATGGTAGAGCAACCTTTTTCTTCCCTCCCTTCCCTCCTTCCTTTGAGACAGGGTAGAGCAACCTTTTATTTATCTTCATTTATTTATCTGTTTGTTTGTTTGAGGTGGTCTTACTCTTGCACAGGCTGGAATGCAGTGTTGTGATCATAGCTCACTGTAACCTCAAACACCTGAGCTCAAGTGATTCTCTTGCCTCAGCCTTCCAAGTAGCTGGGACGACAGACAGCACCACCACACCCGGTTAATTTTTAAAAATTTTTTGTAGGGACAGGTCTAATTTGAGGAAACCAGAGAGGTAGTAAATGCACCGTTTTTTTTTTTTGTTGTTGCTGATTTGTACATGTTTATGCTGACAATTTTCAGATAAATGTTCCTGCTTAATTGCCTAATATTAAAATAAATATAACCTTGTTTATTTTTTGAAATCCTATGTTCCCCAGGCTGGTTTTGAACTGCTCGCCTCAAGTGATCCTCCTGCCAGGGCCTCTCAAAGTGTTGGGATTACAGGTGTGAACCACTGTGCCCAGCCTCCTTTTTAACAGAAGGAAAAGCCAAAACTCAGAGAGGTTATATAACTTATCAAGGTCATGTAACACTACTCGGTGGGTACACAAAGTCCCGCACTCTAGTTTTCAGACTCTAAAGTTCAGTGTTCTTTTCATTACACCAAACTTTAAATTCCATTTATTTAACAAAGACCTAGAAATGTAACAGATGCCTAGTAAAATCATATACCACACTCCCTCTTTATGAAACAATAAGTTCACTTTTAAAAGTGAGATAGCAGAGGATATGATAACATTATCACCAAGCTATAAATAGAACTGGAAGGCTTATTTAGAAGATAAATTCCAACAATTTCTAACAATCCACTTTACTTATTGAGAAAATGAGTATTTTCAAAGTGAGTATCTTTAGGGTTAGAGCTTTGACTATCAGAAACTTCGTAGAATAAGAGCCCAAATGTTCACACGCATGCCTATAAGAGATTCATGTTTTCACATCAATAAAGATCACACACACACAAAAACACTACCATTCTCTGAAGAAGTTTCCTAGAAATGTAGCAAACACTAAACTGTGGATGAATTTGTCATACCAATCTCAATTTGTTTTCATGATTATTTTTGTTTATATATATTCTTATCTCCTGAAATCAGACTTGAGTAGATATAAATTCTAAATTTACTATAGAAAAAGCACCACACCAAACTTCTATTTTTGACACTACTTGCTATGAAGTCTTAGAAAAGTTACTCAGCAATAAAACCCTTCGACTGTCCATCTTAGAAATGGGAATTCATTCATTCAAAAAATACTTCATATGAATAAAGTGGTTGGCAAAACAGCCAAGGTCCCTTTGTTCAAGAGTCCAGTGGAGGAGAGAGGAAAAGTAAGCAATCAAGGTACATAATAAAATATTGTTAAGTGCTGTGAAGTAAACGTACAGGGAGCTATGAAAGCATATAATGAGGGCCCTATATAGAATAAATGAAAATCTCTCTGAAAAAATGTTTTAGCCTCTGAATAAGAGTTACTCCAAGAAAAGTGGTAAGAAAAAGTATCTAAACTGAATGAGGATGACATGCTAAGGCCAGAAGGACTTTGGGAATTTTGAGTGTTGAAGGAATGACTAAATAAAGTTGGAGTTTATGACAAGGTGGGGGAGAAATGGTAGATGAGACTAAAGAGTTAGACTGAGACCGAACTAAATAGTGCCTTTAATGCAATGACAAGGATTTCATCTCAAGTAATCTGAAAACCACTGAAAGATTTTTAACTGTAAAGAGATATGATTTGATTTACATTTCATGAAGACCACTGGGACTACCTCACAAGATTACTGGAACGATCAAATACATGTGAAATACTACGTCAAAAACTTACATAAAGTTATATTAACATGAATACCTCAAAATGATCTAAATTGTATGGTGCTAAATATTCTGAAGGCATTATGATAAATAATTTGTATTATGGTGTGGATAGAATAATTTTCAATGGCTCTGGAGAAACTGGGGCTTCAGAGTCAATTTTAAGACACTGTTCAAATGCAGTAAAGCTACTATATGAATGTAAAAGGTTTTGGAGTTGGCAGGGAGAAAGAGAATATCAAAAGTTGTTTGGTGCTTTTACACTAGATGCAAATTTAAGAAAGATATACAAGGACCAACAAATGATTAAGAAATAGTTCCAGATACAACAGAGTATAAAAGGAATATGTGGAAATTCCAACAGCAGGATTTAGGAAACCAGAGAGGTAGTAAAGCAGTTTTTTTGTTGTTATTGATTTGTACATGTTTATGCTGACAATTTTCAGATAAATGTTCCTGCTTAATTGCCTAATATTAAAATAAATATAACCTTGTTTATTTTTTGAAATCCTATCTGCCTCTTTACAGAGTAGGCATAGGCAGTCCTTTTATAAGTAAAAAAATACACAAAAATCTCAGCCTAATCCAATGTAGCACACTTAATCTCAGAAAAATATTTATAATCATCTTGTGCAGAATGGCATAAACAATTCTGGATACTAATTCACTCTTATGACTAATTCTCTTATTTAACAAAATGCTTAAATTATATTTGAGTAGTGATAGCATAAAACAATTTTCAACACTAAGGAGATACTGGCAGCATCTAGTATTTTAAATTATTATAAATCAGATATTTCACTGACTTTTTTTTTAAGTACCACAAACTAAGACTCAGAATTTCATGGTTTCAGTAAAACTGAAACAAATAAAACTATGAAATTCACTCAAATAAACCAATGGAATAGTTTACCATCTCTTTATAGCTTAATTTTTAGATTCCATGCACTTCTAACCTATTTTCTTCTCCACACATTAAATCCATCACCTAGCAATAAATAATTTTTATGATCTCTTTTTAGATCTAAACTAAGACAAATAAGAAACTCAAGGAGGCCAAGTAAGATTGTTTTTAAACTATTCATCCAGAATACACATACATGACCATTAATATCTTAAATGTGTATGTCTCTCCATACTAAAGATATCTTGTAACCATATGTGACATATAAGCGTGATAAGCATATATGAAGCAAGAAGGAAATGATAATTAATAATGCTTGACTCTACATAAATTCTCTCAGCTCTGTGTAACTTTTCTACACCGGGAGAATTAGGTTTGGTATTAACAATATAAAAATAATAAACAGAAAAAACTAAGAAAAATTGGGACTTCCTCAAAATAAAAAGCTCTTACAATCAACTTCGCTTTTTAAAAGTATTTTGTATCATATAAAGGCATACATTAAACTTCGAATAATAACGAGCATCTATATACATACCATCAAAACAAGCACCTAAAGAAAATTATCATAAATATTAATATAGCCCCTTGTGGGCCCCTCTCTTGGAATACCCTTACTCTGATTTAGCATTTATCATTCCATGAATATTTTTATACTTTTCTTGCATAACTGCATTTCCACAAAGACTCATAAATAATTATTCATAAATAATTTTGAATGTTTTAAAGCATTATTTAAAGGGTATGATGTGACGATTTTTTCATTTGAAGGATTAATGTGAGTTTAGCCTCCTTTTAGGATGCCAGGTCATTTTCATCTGCTGAGGGTGTTGTCTTACATTTTCCAGGTACTGTAAATGTGTTTTTGATAATTAGCACACTTATCTATGTTCTTAAGACAGCGCATTGTTTGTGCTTTTGGGGCATGAGATTAGGAGTGGAAGAGAGATCCATGGGTTAAATGACACAAAACATTCACTGCAAATACTACTATACCACATACCTCTAAGAAATAAAGAGATGGGGTAGATTTCGAATGAGAGAAGGTAAGAAGACAGGCTGCAAAAAGATGAGTGTGTCATTTATACGGAGTAATGAAATACACATATTTAAGAATATTTACAAAACAACATTTCAACATAGTGTAAACTAATAAGAGAAGAGGGCCAAAACAAACTTGAAAAGTTGTTGGAGGACACAGTTCCAGATTTTAAAACTGTCTACACAGTTATAATCTGGTACTGGTATATGTCAATCAAATATAGAATCTAGAAATAAACCCTCACTTTTACAGTCAATTGATTTTCAAGCAGGGTACCAAGATAATTGCACAGGGAAAAGAATGATCTTTTTGACAAATAGTTTTGGGACAACTGGATAACCACATGCAAAAGAATGAAATTGAACTCCTCCCCTGACCATATACACAAAAAATTAACTCGATTGAATTACAGACTTAAATGTAAGAGCCAGAACTACAAAACTTGGAAAAGAAAATATATGAGTAAATCCTCATGACCTTGAGTTAAGCCAAGCCTTCTTAGACATGATACCAAAAGCAAAAGTGACAAAGGAAAAAACAGGCAAATTGAATTTCAATAAAATAAAAACTTCCATGTTTCAGTGGACACTACCAAGAAAGTAAAAAGAAAATCCACAGAATGGGAGAAAAATTTGTAAATTAACTATTTAATAAGGAACCTGTATCTAGAGAACTTTTACAATGCAATAATAAAAAGACAAAATAACCAAATTTTTTAAATGGGCAAAGAATCTGGACAGACATCCAAAAGACATACAAATGGCCAATAAGCAGGTGAAAAGATACTCAACATCATTACCTATCAAGAAAATGCAAATCAAAACTACAATGAGATACTACTTCATATCCACTAAGATGGCTATATATTAAAAAAAAGAACATAAGTGCTGACGAGGTGAAAAAACTGGAACCCTCATACACTGCTGGTGGCAATGTAAAATTACGGCCACTTAGAAAAACAGTCTAGCAGTTCCTTAAAAAGTTAAACAGGGACCTAGCAATTCCACTTACAGGTATATACACGAGAAATGAAAACTTGTAATGGATGTTCATAGCAGGATTATTCAAAATAGGCAAAAATTGGAAATTCAAATGTCTATCAATTGATAAATGGATATATCAAATGTGTTATATCTATACAATGGAATATGGTCACATACCACATAACAACATTTAGGTCAATAACAGACACATTATGTCTGGCTAGACACAGTGGCTCATGCCTATAATCCCAACACTTTGGAAGACTAAGGTGGGAGGAGTGCTTGAGGCCAGGAGTTCAAGACCAGCCTGGGCAACACAGCAAGATCCTCATTTCTACAAAAAAATAAAAATAAAAAATAGACACAGTGGTGCTTGCCTGTAGTCCTAGCTAATTGGGAGGATGAGGCAGTGGAATTGCTTGAGCCCAGGAGATCAAGGGCAATGTGAGCCAATATTGGGCTACTGCATTTCAGTCTGGGTGACAGAGCCAGACCCTGTCTCTAAAAACAAAAAAGATCATAATATTGTATTTTTACTCTACCTTTTCTATGTTTAGATATATATATATACACACACACACATATATATATTTATACACACACACATATATATATACTTACCATTGTATTAGAATTGACTACAGTATGCACTACAGTAACATGTTGTACAGGTTTTTTTTGCCTAGGAGCAATAGGCAATACATCCTAGGTATGTAGTAGGCAATCCCATCTAGATTTGTGTAAGTACCCCCTTAAGATGTTCACACAACGACAAAATTGCCTAACCATACATTTCTCAGAAGTTATCCTTGTCATTAAGTGACTCATGACTGTATCATTCAGCAGTAAAAATAAACATTGATATATGCTATAACATGCATGAACCTAGAAAACATGTATGCTAAGTAAAAGAAGCAAGATGCAAAAATCGCACATACTATACGATTCCATTTATATAAAATATCCAGAATAGGCAAATATATAAAGACAGAAAATAGATTAGTAGCTGCCTAGAACAGAGGAGTTTGGGAGAGAAATGGGAGGTGACTATTAATGGGTATGAGGTTCCTTTTTGGATTCCAAAATTGATTATGGTCATGGCTGCACAACTCTTTCGAGTATACTAAAACCCAGTGAACTGTCCACTTTAAGTGGGCAAATTGTAAGGTATGTGAATAGCATCACAATAAAGCTGTTTTATATATACATATATATTTTAAAAGCAAAGAATGGAGGGGCCACAAATTTGGATGAGATTAGAGGTGGTTTTAGAGACTGACTTTGAACTAGGTTTTGAAATGAAAGTCAGTAATTTTTAAGAAGTATCTGAAACAACAGAAATGGGGCATAAAGGCCCCAAAAGCAGGAAAAAGCAAATAATTTGCAGGAAATGGGAGACACTATCTGTATCAAAACAGAGATATGTTAATTAGAAATGAGACTGCTGAGACTACAAGGCTAAAACAAGAAGACTCACAAAATTCTAGAGGCTCTTGATATTAATAACAAATGAAAATGTGTTTAACAAGTATTACAAAGCTGTCATTTCTTGATTTTAATACTTTCAAGTATTTGTCTTTCAAAAAGTTGCTTCCATAATCTGGGTATGGCTCTATCACACATAGGCAGGCAGTACACTTAGAATTTAAAATGCAAGCTTTAAGTTAGACCTCCTGCTCTACCACTGACTAAGTGTTATGACCATATACATTTAACTATCCCAGTTTCTGTACTGGTAAAATGAGAATACTACCATGTATTTCATATATGTAATATATTTGGAATAAATATATTACATTATATATGGAACCTGTATCTAGAGAACTTTTAAAATGCTCTTAACATAGTAAATGAGTAATAAGTTATTGTAAACCATAGCCACAACTATGTGGTACATATAAATACTTAGCTACATCTCTCCTGAGAATTAAAAAGTTCTTCAGCTTGAAATCCATTCAAATGTATGAATATAAATTTCCCATCTTTTTATCAAAGGCAAATCTCTTGACTAACCTGTTAAACTTTGTTAAGCTGTAAAAACATATGGGTAAATAACAGAAATCAATCCAGATTACCAGGTGTTTTCTACCTGGAACAAGGAACTTGATGCTCTTTTCAGTTAAGTAACTTTGTCTCTAAATGTTCTCAGGTCTTGATTTAACTGGCTCTAAACTTAGAATACCCTGGCCTCAGAGCCACCCTTGAACTTCTTTGTGAGATCTTTGACTTCCTTCACAAAGAAGTCCTTGCTACTGGTACTTCTGCTAAATGATTTTCTCTTATGGTGGGGAATTACCACGCTAATATCTGGGTCTTCTCAAAACTAAAGGGAGAATGGAAGGGACAGTTAGCATTCTTAGTTCTCCATTCCTTGGAGGAAAAAAAGGCATCATTACTCTTTTCTTTTTGGAGAGCTATAAGGAAACCATGTAGAATCTTAGTGATGGAAGTAGTAAAGGCAGTCTAGACATAATCAAATGCAGGTTAATCCTACAGGGGTTTTCTGTTTTATATTATAATTGGAACTTATTTCCTTCTTTGTAAGGAGCCATTTTTGACCCTTCCCTCAAATAATTTTAATCTGTATCCAAAACTGAGGCTACTTACTAGGCTTATGCTAGATTTCTTGAATAGTGACTTTTGTGTAAACTGGGTGATAAAATCTAAAGGATCTACATTCCCCTGTTTAAAGGATAAATGGGAGAACGAGTCTGGCGAAGTGGCTTCAGAGGAATGAATATGAGACACAGAATGTGAATTACAGTGGTAAGTGAGGAAATTAAAAGAAACAAGCTAGACTGACATTACTCAGGGAAGAAAAAAAGTATTTAGTAATTGTTGAAAAATTCTATACAAGGACTAAGAAAAAAGAGAAATTCCCATGGTTTAATGAAATATTGTTTGAATTACATTCGAGTAGTGACAGCATAAAACCATTTTTAATACTAAGGATCTATTCTTAGTATTAGATAGTATCTAGTACTTTAAATCTTTATAAACCAGGTATTTAAACCAGCTCTGAAATCATCAAAGATAAAATGAAGTGTAATAAGAGCATGTACTTTAAAGGCTATGTAAGTGTAAAGCATTTAAAATAGTGGCTGCGACAGACTAAGCATTTAATAAATGTCCGCTGGTAGTAAACTATGAGCAAGCAAATTAATTTCTCTCAGATTCCTCATCTATAAGTCATATAAATATATATATTTTGGTCCTTCTTTTGAGGATCAAATCTCGTAATGCACATAATCAACCTTTATCAGTTGTTCTCTATCTTCCCCTTATTTCCCTACCAATATGCCCAATGGTTTCAATTTACTTTTGTCAATAATCATGACTTATTAATGAAGTGATTTTCAGTGAAAAAAAGAAGAATCACTCTAAACTCACATCATAAGATAAATTCAAGACTAAGATAGCAAAATTGACTGTTTTATTATCATTGTATCTTCCACTATCTTAATTTAAATGTTCTTTCACTTCAAAAATTCTTTAAGAGTTATCTCTAGGGAAAAAATCAGTTGGTGAACATAATAATGCATTCATATTTGCATTTTCTGTGCTGAGTGGTTCATATGGATTTAAGTCCAAGAAGAAAGCCGTATGTATTTGTGGCTTATAGTAAACCAATACCATACTTTTAAAATATGGACCAAGTACCGAAACAAAATAGCCTACAAGATCTTACTATATGCTTCATGGGTTATTTCTGTAAAACTATATGTGAAGGGGCCATATCATCTCTAATAAGAGCTTATGATTATTGATAGACAATTAAAATTCAAAAGCTCAATAGTAAATGACCTCAAATTTTTTTGTCTGAATGTACTTGTGGATCAAAATGACATTTGCTCTGTACATTCAATTATTCACCTATCAATCTTTAAGCATGTTTTAATATCCAGAAGCAAGGTGTTAAGATTTCCTACATGTTCTATCATATCTAAACTGAACAGTCACAAGAGGCAAATGGTAGAATTCTGCTACTAAATATAAAATAGACTTCCTTTAAAAAGAAAAATAGGTTCTTTTCTTTTTAAAGTGAATCTACTTTTTAAAAAATGAATCTTTAAAATAAGAGACAGAGGCTGGGCATAGGGGTTCACACCTGTAATCCCAGCTATTAATACTTGCGAGGCTGAAGTCAGAGGATCATTTGAGGTCAGGAGTTTCAAACCAGTCTAGGCAACACAGTAAGATCCCGTCTCCACAAAAACTTTAAAAATTAGCTGGGTGTGGTGGCGCACACCTGTAGTTCCAGCTATTTCAGAGGCTGAGGCAGGAAAATTGCTTGAGCCAAGGAGTTTGAAGCTACAGTGAGCTATGACTATGCCACTACACTCCAGCCTGGGTGATGAAGCGAGACTCTGTCTCTAGAAAAAATTTTTTTAAATAAAATCAGAGGCAATGTGGTACAGTGCTTTAAGGGCACAAACCAAAGACCTAAACTACTTGGGTTCAAATCCCAGCTATACCACTATGTGAAAACCTTTTTGAGCCTATGATTCCTATTTTGTCAAATGTGAATAACACCGATTCCCAGAATTGTGGTAATATGGTGATGAGTAAATAAGTCAATATGCATTTATAACAGTACCTGGCACATAGTGTTTTTAAATGTAATATTACAGGTCATGGCCTGACAAACTGATTTTATCTTGTTACACTTACGTAGAAGCAAAATTGTTAACTGTCACAAAACCATTTTGCAAAAAGGTCATTTAATGCCTTATATGTGCTAACAGGAAAATGGTATAATTTAGGAAAAAAAGCCTTAATTTCACAAAACAGATAAACGAAATCATTGACTAGCTCTGGACCTTCCTGGACTATTAGGGTACATTAACCCTGGACTCACTAACAGAAGTCATTTAAAAACTTACGAAAAAGGCTTAAATTAAGAAAAGTTGCTTTCCTAGATTTTTAAGCATCTAAGATGTGAAACATGCCTTAAGGTCACTATCTCTGTCCTTGTTTTCACCAATTTACCAAGACTGAAGAAGTTTTTCCTTTTAGTTTCATTTCCTATAAATGATGTAGTATATACCCTACTCTGGTCGTAAACACCCTGGCACTACTGAAACTAATTTTAAAAGTAATAGTAATATAAAAATTTCTTTAAGTATACACTAAATATTTTGAAATTCATGTTGAGTAATAGTGTTCCTTTTCATTATTAAGGGATTTGTGAGTATAAGGTTATTTTCTTTTAGTTTCAAAGTTGCACGAACATAAGGGATCAAATAAAATTAAGCCTCAAAGATTTCTAAGTAAAAGTCGGAATGGACAGAAAGCTCTAAAAACTGAAATCAATGTCTCTTGTCTAAAACTTCACTGATCAGATTCTTTGGCAATTATTGAAATGAAAATGTCACAGAGATTTTAAATGACTTCACACACAAATTACTTACTCTGTAAAGTTACCTACTACAGTTATTAGGGTTTATACAAAAATGGCATGCAATGTTTTGCTAAACTGCAAAAGTTAACTACACATTACCACTTAACATAATCACACATAAAAATTACTGAAAATGATTGGCAGATGAATAACATTTAATAAAAATGGTGGAAACGAAGCAGTGCTTTGGATGATTTGTGGTTATGTTTTACTTACTCATAATAGGCCCATTTCTTTAAAAATTTCCAGGCCAGAAATTTTGCAGGTGGTTCACACCTGTAATCCCGGCCCTCTGGGAGGCCAAGGTAGGCAGATCACTTGAGGCCAGGAGTTCGAGACCAACCCGGGTAACATGGGGAAACCCTGTCTCTACTAAAAATAAAAAATTAGCTGGGCGTGGTGGCATGTGCCTGCAGGCCCAGCTACTGCGGAGGCTGAGGTGGGAGGATCACTTGAACCCTGGAGGTGGTTGCGGTGAGCCGAGACCACGCACTGTACTCTAGCCTGGGCGACACAGCGAGACTCTGTTTCAAAAACTTTTTTTCCAAAGAGAGTATTTTATAACCCATAATTTTCTTTGTAACTCATTAACTACCATTCCTTAAATATGTTCCTAAAATACTCATATGTACCTTAAGCAAATTATCTTTTTGTCTCATCAGAAGAAACCACCATGTATCTGAAAATTGTTTTTAATTCATCCTAAGCGATACAATTCTAGTTCATTTATCTCTTTCCTATAGTTCCTAAACTCTAAATTTTGTTCGTGTTTTTCTGATCTCTTGTTGAAATTGAAACACAGATCAACAAATATCATTTTGAGACTGCTTTATTCCTTATACAAATCAGTGCTACCTTCTTCTTGCTTTTTAAAAAGGTATTACTCTCGTATTAATTTTGATTTACTTCTCAATATAAAGTCTAGAACTAAATACATCATAAAGTATGTTTCTCTTCATCTCACACTTGTGTAACTTATTTTCATCTCTAGAAAATCAGTTTTTAGATAAAAATCATTCACTGCTTACAAATAAAGAGAAACTGTAGTACTTACACAGAATGAAATAAATCTTTATACTTGCCTAGGTATGGAAGTTAGTTACCCGAGTTACCATGAGACAGTCATTATCTGCAAAGTGCTCAAAAGCTAGTAAATGAAATTTATTCACTGTGATGCATATGACTATAACTTCAGACATGTGTATTAAACTTTCAAGAATAAACTTATGGTAAACCCACCATTTTTTCTCAACAGCCCAATCAGTCTTTCCTAGACAGTTACATACATATGCCACGACAATATTCCACAGGGCAAATTTCAAATAACCTGATTCAAAGATTAAAAAAAGATATTAAAAGGAAAAACAACTTTCTAGTGAGTTCCAAAAACATAAACTAAATTATTACATATCACCACCAGTTCTGTACCTGTAAGTTCATCATCAAATTTATACTTATCAAATTATTCTCTTTAAAATTCTGAATCAAATTTTTGCTCTCTACTACTTTGTTTTTGGACAGGTTTCACTTGCTAATTTGCAAATAAACTGGCTCACAAATAAACCAAACTGGTTTCTGCAACTCCCAGTACCATCTTTCTCTTGCAGTTTTTTTCCTTTAAGAGAAAATTAACGTGAGGATAAACTTGCACAATCTGCTTTTATCTAAATATGTGGCCCTCAGTTTACTTTTATTTAAAATAAAAGCACTGAAATGACTTAAATTTATGAGCCTCTTGTATTTAGTCATGGTTCATACTTGTAATACTAGCATTTTGGGAGGCTGAGGTGGATCACTTGAAGCCAGGAGTTCAAGATCAGCATGGGCAATATAGTGAGACACTGTACCTATACAGCTATACACGCACACACACACGCACATATATAAAACAATTTACATTAATTTTGTAAAAAAGCAAAAATATACTTATTTGAAAATACCAAACTTCATAAAGTTAAACGCCCACAATGCACATATTGCTCCTATCATCCTGTAGTGTCAATGCTACCAATTACTCTATATACAAAAACGTGACATTAATGAGAGACAATAACACTTATATTTTAACTTATAGACTTACAGATTTCTATTTTAAGGAAATTCACTTTTTAAAATAAGGTGGTACTAGGTTGGGTGAATTAAGAATTTTTAAATGTTCTTTAACTTACAATAGCCAGCGGGGACTTATTTGTCATTACCACAAGCCAAGGTAAACATGGGTGTCCTAGGAAATGTCCAATTTCCCCACAGTAATAAACATCTAACATTATAATAAAAACAATAACTTTTTTTTTTCTTTTTTTGAGATGGAGTCTCACGTTGCCCAGGCTAGAGTGCAGTGGCCGGATCTCGGCTCACTGCAACCTCCGCTTCCTAGGCTCAGGCAATCCTCCCACCTCAGCCTCCTGAGTAGCTGGGACCACAGGCGTGCCACCATGCCCAGCTAATTTTTTTGTATTTTTGTAGAGACGGGGTTTCACCATGGTGCCCAGGCTGGTCTGGAACTCCTGAGTTCAAGTGATCCTCCCTCCTCGGCCTCCCAAAGTGCTGGGTTACAGGCGTGAACCACCCTGCCAGGCCAACAATAACTATTATTAAGTCACTTGAAGATTCTATTTTTTTGATATAATGAAACAAGTATGTATTTACATCCTTAGGGATTTCTATCATACAAACATAGTATATAGCCTACCAAAAAAGAAAAAAGAGACTAAGACTTAGATCAAGGTTAAATTAAGGTCCTAAGTCTGCCACCTATTAGCTTAACTGAAAATGATCCCAATATCACAGCCTTTTGTCAGGAGTAAAGAGCAGAGATAAGAGGATAACTAAAATTTGATATCTCATAAATATGAAATTCTTAAGATATTAAAACGAATCAAGATAAAATCCTTATAATAAAATTACTGTCCATTTTACAGCATGAAGATAATGAGGTGCAATGATTTAAATTAACTCTCCTCAAAGCCATACTGCAAGTTGAGTGGTGAAACTGTGACATAACTCAGGTCTAAATCTTACTGTTCCTTTCACTATGCCATACTGAAACACTCTATGAATTATATACTACTGTTATGGTAACAGTGGAAAGTGAAAATATGTTTTATTATAATGAAGAGGCACATTATGCTTCCCAAAAAATAAGGAATTTTAAATTATGTTACATATTCACATATTTAAGTTATTGTAGATGCCACTTGATATGGTCGACAAGTGTGAAAATGTCCACATACATCCTTCAGTATTTTAAATGTATAACCTTTGGTATTTTACAAGTTTGAATATTAGCAGTTAGTTAAGCCTCAAGTGGACTTATCTACTTTTTGCAGGCCTACATTATCTTTCAAACAGAAGGGAAGGGCTGCACGTCTAACAGAAACGCTGCCGGCTTCTATCAAGCCACCACTAAAGCACAAGACCACGTG
This sequence comes from Homo sapiens, assembly GCF_000001405.40. Lineage (NCBI taxonomy): Eukaryota > Metazoa > Chordata > Mammalia > Primates > Hominidae > Homo > Homo sapiens. The sequence continues at coordinate 62,261,112 of NC_000012.12, read as the reverse complement.
GTCTCTCATAAGCCCAAGGTTCCCTACTCCTCTCCCTCCTTTGACAAGGAACTGGAAACTAGGGTTTCTTTCTCTTATGTGGAGCCCTGACATGCCACCTGTGTAGTACAGACCGCAAACATCCTGCAGCCTGCCTCCCGGAAGACCAAGAATCAGAATAAAAGGGAACTTGGACGCCGACAATTCTAGGAAAGGAAATGAACAGAGAAGTAAAGCCGGTGAGATCGTGATAAGCCGCGGCACCGGGACCTGTCAAAACGGCGTATATAAGACTCAAACCAAACCACTATAACCTATCATTCGGGAAGGCCTGAGGTGGGAGCGGCACTACGGAAGGAAGGAGGACGAAGAGAACCGCACGAGTCAGAACCGCCGCCGCCGCCGCTCCCCGGATACCTTTCAGCATGCCCTGGCAAGCCAAGAACCCTGACCCTCATCTAGAGTCCAACCTTTGCCCCAACATTTCAGAAGCGGCCAAAATCCCGCTGCCCCGGCGGCCGCCGCCGGACCTGCCCGCACCTGTCACTAGCGAAAGAACCAGCTCGCGGCTCCCGCCCACTTCTCCACTATCCTCGGGCAACCGCGGGCATCTCAACCCCTTTCTCTTACCAGGTGTCCCCTTTCCGGAGCGAGGTTTTGAGCAGCGTCGCGATGTCAGACCGCTGGGTGTCCAGATCCGCCGCTCCGCCTTCCGCCATCTTCTTCCACTAGCGGTAGGGGAGGTGGCAGCGACGGCGGCGGCACGCCCCAGAGCATTATGGGAATGGCGTCCCACGGCCCCTCCCAGTCGGCCGGTCGAAACCAAAAGACACCGGGAGCGGGGGTGCTCCTCGGGACAAGAGGAGGCCCCGGGGGCGCACTGGGTGCGCGGCCATGGTCTGCTGCCCCCCATCGGTCCCCGCCCGTCCAGCATCTTGCCTTGGCCTCCTCTGGCCCGGGACTGCCGGGTTTTAGCTTTCCTCGCCGCCGAGGGCTCTGGCTCTCTCTCGCTAGAGGGATGCCACCGCCCTGTCCTCCCGTCCTCAGCGTTGCCTTCCCCTCCCTCTTTCCCACTGACGCCTTGAAAACCCTTATTTGCGCATTCACTCACGCTTGAGGGTGAGGTAGGGTGGGGCGGTGGTGTGGGGGCGTGGGGACGGCTAAGATATGGCAGAAAATGTAGCAGCTCAGTGACTGGGCTTTTCGTTACGAGTGGGAGAACCCAAGCTCGGTGAATATGGGCACACACAAAAAACACTCCGAAACCGAACGCTTGGTCTCCATGCCCTTCCTGGGTTCCTTCCAGCGCTCTTACTCCCGTTGTAGGTGGGGACCCTTTATAGGCTCTTTGTGACGCCTCCCCAGGCACACCCAGACGACTAAGCTGCAGTGAAAAACATGTCCCAGTTCATCGGTGAACAGGGAGTAGAATATGGACAGTATTGAATAATGCCAGATACTAAAGGAAGAAAACGTGCGAGAAACCCTCTTGTTTATACAGGATAGTAACATTTTCTTAGCCCCATCTTCGTATGGTGCCGTACACCTGAAATGAAACTAGATATGTCTTTAATTTGAAGTCAACGATTATGTTACAAAATAGAAAATCGAGTCGCTTAAAAATCAAATGCCAAGGTCACACAGCAGGTGGAGAGGTGAGTGGAGAGGCTGGTTCAAGAGCCCACATGCTATACAGTATAGCACACTCACTGCCTCTCCTTCTGAAAGCCTGAACTAAAATGTAAACTCTTTAAGAGCTGGAACTGGGTTCATCTTTTGTTTTAGCCTTTGTACACCTGGTGGTTAGCACAGTACTGATGGACATGTAAAAATTACCTAAATATTTGTTTAGTAAATGAATTGTGGCAAAATTACTTAAGTATTCCCGAGCATGATGTCCAGGGGTGTGATTTTAACATACCATATTGATGTGAAAAGTCTAAAAGATGGGCCGGAATCCCCACATCATTTCTCGTTTGCCCATTTTAAACCCTAACTCATTTGGTGAGAATGCGATAAAGGTAGGTGTAGTTATGCTAGTAGGAAGTGCTGAATCCAAGTGAAAGTAGTGTATATTGGCATTATGATTTGTGTATATCAGTATTATGATTATGATTGCTTATTTCTGCGTAATAATACTATTTTGCATTATCATGCCAACCTTGAATTGAGAGTTTTAAAACAACTTTCAGTGACTGCTATTTCTGGCTTTTCTCCTGACAGGTTAAAAGATTAAGAGTTTCTCTAACCACGGCTACCCTCTAAAAGTCACATTTTCCCCCTTTTTCCAGTCACTCTCTGAAAGAGAACAAAGTAATTTTCTGAAGGGAAGCTGCAGAATATGGAAAACATATATTGGAGCTACATGGATGTAAGTTCAAACCTCACTTCAACCTTTAGCTGCAAAGTTCTTGCCCTTTAATTGAATCATAAAATTGAGTATAATAATACCTACCTTAAGGGATTTTTATGAAGATTAAATGAAACAATTTGTGTTTATTGCCTGGGACGTAATAGCCATTCAATAAACACTAGTATTGTTTATTGATGACAGGGTGAATTGTACAGTATGTGAATTATACCTCAATAAAGCTATTGAAAAAAGGTGTTAGGGGCTTTGAAGGCAAAACTGTGCTCTCCTTCATTGTATAAACATAACATAACCAAGTAGCAATAAATCATTTATACCCTAATGTCCACTTTCCCTTAAGAGAAAATGCATTTTTGAAGTGTTGACAGCTACAACCATACAATGAAGTAAAATAATATTTTCTTCACTTGCACCATGCTCAAGGCAGCAGGTTAACTGGATATAGACGTGTAAATTCAATGCCAATTTGAATTATACATCAGATTTATGGAGCCGTTTTGTAGACCTAAGTAACTGCCATCAGAGTCAGGAAAGAGATAAAATTATAGTATTTTATTTAGCAAGCACTTACAGAGTGCCTAGCATGGTTCTAAACACTTTAAAATACTAACTTAATTCTCACAGCAATCACATGATTTTGGTACTATTATTATTTCAAGTCTATAGATAAGGAATTGAGGCAAGTAAGTGGCAGAACCTAAATTGAAACCAGGCAGTCTGGCTGCAGAATCTGGAAAGTTTGGGTAAACTTCAATTTTTCTATTGACCTTTATTATTTTGTTTACAGCAATCAACGTTTTAGTGATCTCAGTTGATCAGTTTATGGAAATTCTGCTTATTTTACTGGTGCTTCTCTCAATTATGAAGAGAAATAAGATATTGTTCATAAATTGGTTAAAGTCCACATCCCTACTGAATAATTAAGTAGATAAATTGATGAGAAAAGCTACTTCACCTTAATCACCAATAATTGAATATAAATCAGGGATTATATCTGCTTATTTAGAATGAATGTCTTCACTGATGCATTCCTTAGTTAACTTTTGATGAATGTACCAGTTTGCTTGGTGATTGTTATTGCCTTCTCAGACTCTCTGTACCTTTTTTGTCAATTTAAAACGTAACCTAGAGAGCTGAGTATGCTGAGTACTTAGGCTAGATATGAACAAGCTGGACCTCTTAAAGTCACAGTTGGTTGTGAAATTAGAGATTCTCTAGGAAGGATTCCTTTACCCTCTAGTAATTCCAAACCTCTCTGCTTACTGATATTTAAACAATTCCTTTAAGAGAGGTTCTTTTACTCAACAATTAAGAGATGGGACTTCAAATGTAAATACTCCAGGAGAGAGTTAGGTTTAAAACTAAAGTGTCAAAGAGAGCCAGTTTTCAGCCTGGGGTGAACCAGAGAAAAAAAGCACTGCATTTTGTAATACAGTTTAATGGAAGAAAGTACAAAGGAGAATTTCAAGATAAGTTTTGCCTATTTCATAATTTTTTGTGGGACTGGCTACATGAGCCTAAGGGAAAAATCTGCCTAAAATTTGAGTGGACTTAGCAAATCACACACACACACACACACACACACACACACACACACACATATATATGTATATATATATACACATGTACATACACACACACAGAATCAGCACATCCCATAAAAGAACAGTGTTTGATGACTGGCTGTCTTTATTTCTCAACTCTTCCTGTCTTTGATATTCAGGAACCACTGTCTCAGTTTTTCCTTCTCCTTGTCCTTCCTCTACAGTTATTCCCGCCCACGACCCTACCACCCCCTCATTCTTACTCACCTCTCTAAACCTTTCATTCTTTTATCTTATGTAATTGTATAATTCTCGTCTCTCTTTACCAGCTCTCAGAGCAGCTAAAAGGCAGTGGAAAGGCGGGGGAGTAGTGCAAACACCAAAATAGCATGTAGTAAAGTGCTTAATCTGTTAATGATATTTTGAAACTTGGGATATGAATAAAAATTGTAAGTGCCACGAGGCACTTTTGAAAGCTAAAAAAAATTACGGAGGGTCCTTATTTCAGACAAATGTTAGGTTCTGAAAAAGAGAATGAAAATATAGTAAGATGAAAACACTGCCTTTTACAAAGAGCCACTATACTTGGATTTTGACTCTGGCTCAGTGCCACTTGCTAGCTGGTAACCTTGGCTAAGTTATTTATTCTCTGTGACCATTCGTTTTCTTATTATAAAATAAAGTGATTAGATTTCGGAGGCTGAAACTCAAATACTTGCAGGGGTTAGATACAGCTAATGTAAATGGGTGAAGGAAATCTGTTGGGGATAATAAGGAGTTGTGGGACTGTTGAGCTGTCTATCCCAATTAAAGGTCTAAATTTAAAAAAATTAGAGCAAACAAAATTATATTTTCTGTCCTATAGGATCTAGAAAGTTTAATTTTAGCATGGGCATAAGGTCTACAAATTAATTAATCTAGGTTCCTACTTTATATCCTTTTTTTTTTTGGAGATGGAGTCTCACTCTGTTGCCCAGGCTGGAGTGCAATGGCATGATCTGGGCTCACTGCAACCTCTGCCTCCCGGGTTCAAGCGATTCTCCTGCCTCAGCTTCTTGAGTAGCTGGGATTACAGGCACCTGTCAACATGCCTGGCTAAATTTTGTATTTTTAGTAGAGACAGGGTTTCACCATGCTGGCCAGGCTGGTCTCAAACTCCCGACCTCTGGCGATCTGCCCGCCTCAGCCTCCCAAAGTGCTGGGATTAAAGGCATGAGCCACGTGCCTGGCCTATCCTCTTTTTAAGAAGTACATAAAGTGTACTAGAAAGCTGACTATACCATGAAATTTGATATCAGTCTGCCCTATAGTGGACTCTCACTACATGCTAATAGAACTAAATTGATTTGTTTTTATTTATTTGAGACAGAGTCTCACTCTCCAGTTGCCCAGACTGGAGTGCAGTGGTATGATCTCCGCTCACTGCAACCTTCGCCTCTCAAGTTCAAGAGATTCTCGTGCCTCAGCCTCCTGAGTAGCTGGGATTACATGCATGTGCCACCATGCCCAGCCTAATTTTTGTATTTTTAGTAGAGATGGGGTTTCACCATGTTGGCCAGGCTGGTCTCGATCTCCTGACCTCAAGTGATCCACCTGCCTCAGCCTCCCAAAGTGCTGCGATTACAGGCATGAGCCACTGTGCCTGGCCAGAACTAAATTGATTTGAATTGATAAGCAAATCAAGTATCTAACAGGTCTATAATTATAATAAAAAAACCTTAATAGGCATAGTATATTCTGCAGGTCCTGAATATTTAAAAATTAAATGTACGTGTATGGTAGGAAACTTTCAAGAAAGTGTTAATTTATCCCATTCAACTAAGAGTGATATAGATAAAATCAAGGTTCATAGTAGGAAAAATCTGCCTACTTTATATTTTCTTGTTATTTACATTTATTGACAGATTTCAAGGTTGATAAAGAACCTCTACATGAAAATATTGAAATGTTTAAGCAGCCTCTGAAGTCTTTCTTAAGCCTCATAATAATGGATGGACTTTAGAAAGCTAAAAATCATTTCAAATATGCTGATCATTTTTAAATTTTTATACTCATTTAAAAATATGCTGATCTTTTGTTTTAAATGTCAAATTTAATTAAAATACGTTAATGTTATATACTTGATCCGTTTTACTTTAAATCTGTTTCATTCGAAAGTTTAAAAATAATTATTTTATGCTCATGGATCTTGGAAATCTATACTACCAAAGTGAAGTAGAGAGTTGTTCAATGGTCCAGTGATTCTGCAGCTATATAGATTCCAGAGAGATTAACTTTGTTTTCTCCCAAGAGAAGCTGAATTATTCAGACTTTCTGTTTGGACAACCCTTCACTTCATTTGGGCTGAGATGGCAAAAGGATTTAAATTGCTCACAAAGAGTCTTAGAACAATATAATAGCATGTCTTCAAGAATGTATCTATGTTTCAGGACTGATGGAAACATTAAATAGGTATTCTTTATAATGTGTTCCAGGTTTTGCTAAGCAACAGGACACTATAGACCACACAGTAGATTTAGGTCAAATTAGAAGATACCAACAATGAAGTAAAAAACAAGTCTAGTGATTTCATAAAAATATTTACCATTGATTTTTGTTTCTAGCCAGTATGCTTCTATCTAGGTCGTCTTGAACTATGTCAGTTCAAGAATTATTAGTGGCCCAAGGCTTCTGTGTAATACATTGGACATGATTTCTACAGCATGAGAAATTCATGAAATGTGCTGGATGTATAGTATACCTCTACAAATAATTTAATTTACTCAATGGGAATTTATTAAGGATATAGTGAAAATAGTATGCATTTTAGAGTCAAAAAGACCTATATTTGTATGCCCTACTCCGATACTTAACTAGTTCTGTGATACTGGAAACATTAGTTTTCTCATCTGTAAAATAGTGATACTAGACTTCTTTTATAGGATTCATTTAAAGGTGAATAAAATAATGAATGTGAAACTCATATTAGAGCTTAACATATAGTAGTAATGATTTATAAAATATTTGCCTCCCTTAGACCAGAGCAGCTACTAAATTTGATTTTAATAATAAGATAAACAAATTAATAAGATCACAAAGTTGTTATGTAATAACATAAACAGCTGTGTTAAAATTAGTAGTGACCCATATCAAAGAAACACAATTACAAAGAGATTAAGAAGGATAATATTTAAAGTGTAGCTTTACTCAGTCTTTTGTGTGAAGGTATTCTTAGGGATAAAACAATGTATTTGGAAGCTGTTGGAAGAATATGGTGCAAAGAATATTTTTAAATGCTTGTGAATGTTCTGTAACCACAAACATAGATACATAACAGATCAAAGACATATTTTAGACTGCCATGTGGACTTAAATCATGGAAGGCAGAAGAGTGGCTCCCCAAAGAGGACTATATCGTAATACCAGAACTTGTGAATATATTACTTTAAATGGCAAAAGGGACTTTACAGATGTGATTAAAATTAAGGACCTTGAAATGGGGGGATTTTCCTGAATAATTCAGTTGGGTCCAATCTAATCATATGAATCCTTAAAAGTAGGAGACACTTTCCTGGTTATGGCCAGAGAGTGATGTGACTATGGAAGAATGGCTTTGAAGATGGAATAAAGGGGCCATGAGCCAAGGAATGTGGAAGGCTTCTCGAATTTAGAAGGAACAAGGAAATGAATTCTCTGTTAAAGCCTCCAGAAAGGATCAGAGCCTTGCTAAAACCTTGATTTTTAGCACAGTAAGAATTGTGTCAGACTTTTACAGAAATGTAAGAGACAATACTTCTGTTGTCTCAGTCACTAAGTTTATGGTAATTTGTTATAGCAGTGATAAGTAGTAGAAGAGCCTACTTTAAGGAAGAAGAAATGTTAGAAAGTTTAGGACTAGGAAGTCTGATGAGAAAGTATGTGGATGGACCTATGGGACTCGGCACAAAGTGTAAAGATTTTTGCATTACAAGTGAACACCAACCATAAAGGATATATCACAAAAGAGGTACTGAATAAACAGAATGACTCCAATGGTTGGCATCAACAAGCTTCTATCCTCAAAGCTGGAACAATGGGCACAAGAAGGGTAGTCATCATGACTGTGGATGGCCCCACAGCATGAGCTCTCACTTACCAACAGTGATTTGGCTATTGCTGCTGCCAAATGTCCAACCTGTCAGGAACAGAGACCAATATTGAGCCCTTGATATAGAATCATCCATGGAGGAGAATCAAATGACAAGTTAATTACATGGATCCCTTCTATTATGTAAGGGGCAATGAATGATTCATCTTGATTAGAATTGACACATATTTCAGGTATGGATTTTCCTTTCCTGCCAATAGTGCTTCAGCTGCTTCCACCATACTTATGGAGTGTTTGATCTCATGACACAGGATCTTCCCAATATCACATCAAACAAAGGGATTCATTTTATTGCAAAAGAGATGTGGTAGTGAGCACGTGACCATGTGATTCACTGATTCTTTCACATAACACTTCACCCAGAACTGTAAACAATTGCCGGCCGGATAGAGCAACGGAATGGCCTGTTGAAGAATCAGCTTAAGCACCACCTTAGATACAATAATACCCTATGCAGTATACCCTCTGAATCAATGGCCAGCATATGTTGCTGTGTTCCCAGCAAATAGAATTTATGGATATGGGAATCAAATGTAGAAGTAGAGGTGGTCCTGTTTACCATCATTGTCAGTGACCCAATTGGGGATTTTGTGCTACTCATCTCCATAGCTCTGAGATTTGTAGGTTTAGAGGTATTGTTCCCAAAAGGTGAGCATTTCCACCAGGAGACACAGCAAGAGGCCCAGTGAACTTTAAACTATGGCTGTCACTGGGGCATTTCTGCCTTCTACTGCCAAAGGATCAGGCAACGAGAGCAGTCACCATCCTGGCAGGTTTATCATTCTAAATACTGGGAGGAGGTCAGGCTGCTCTTATACAGTGATGGCAAAAAGGAATGTATTTGGCATCTCTTGGTATGCCCTTGCACAACTTTGACAGTAAATTGACTAGTAAAGTATTGATGACCTGAGAAAGGTATGGTGACTCTCAAGGATGAGTGACTGGATCATCCCACCAGGTAAGCCAACAAGACCAGCAGAGGAGCTAGTCAAGGTGAGGAAACTCTAGAATGGTAGATCAGGAAGCATATATTGAGTATCACTTTTGGTCTTTGCAATGGAATCTATGTATCTCGCTAACTTTCTTCCCAAGTTCTGGAGCTGCTTCAAAAACTTTTGCAAAAATAAAGGTCTGAGTGGAGCATGGGGTGAATTGAATTGGATAATCTACTGTGCCATTAACATCATCCTTCATGACTAAAGAATTTATTCCTCTAGCTGCTGGGATTTCTACTGATCTCAGCTGTCAGTCTTCTTTGGGAATCACTCTCAATAGAAAAGAGGCACCCTGTGTAGTTCATGCTCTCTTCAGGGGGCAGCCAGTGTGCAATAACTAATTGATGTAGGGTTTTAAAGACTTGGCTTCATTTCCTCTATTGGAAACAACTGTGAGGAGCAATCTAGCTTCAGTGGGTTGGTTAAGTTCTTTTTATAAATTAATTACAGCCCACTTTCTTTCTCTGCTCAATCTTGTTTGCTTCCTTTCTTCCACAAGTGTTGATCCTGAGAGCACTTCTTTACAGGCTATTTTCCATCTCAGAGTCTGCTTTCAGGGCACTTGGGCCTGCACCACACCCTTGTTTTGGTCTTTACCCTGGCAGTGGCCAAAATTTACTTTTTCTTTGAGCTGGGGACATGTTGAGAAACAGTTTCATTTTTAAGCCTACAACTTTCAGTATTTCTAAACTCTCTATTTCCTCTCAATTCTGTTTGTAACCCAGGCAGTTCATTTTGAGCTCACCACTTTCTTATGCTTTTTCAAAGGCACCTGGCAGCAGCCTGCTCTTCAATATTCTTCTTTGAAATCACCTCATCCAAATTCACAAGTTTACTAGATCTGCATGTTCTGTATTCCATAGTATTGCAGGTGACAATTTTACCAAATGTTTTGCCACTGCATAATACTGTTGTCATTATTCCAGCCTCCTATAACAATTACATGACTACCTGCTGCCCATTCCCAAAGCCAGTGCCACATATTTTGGGTTTTAGTTATGGCAGCACTGTACTTTATACATCAAATTCTGAATCAGCCCAATTTTTCTGACTTTCAAAACACCCAAAGTCCTAGTGCCATACAACAATATACGCATATTTCCTACTCATGCATTTTTGGGTTAGCTGGAGATTGGCTGGTCTTGGCGAGACTCAGCTGCTCTCTGAGGATTAGGTCAGGTCCTGGTCTGTTCCACATATCTCTCATCCTCTTTAAACCAGAGGCTAGCTGAGTCATGTTCTCGTTGCAAAAAGAGATCAAGAGACAAGCCTAACTATGCAAGACCTCAATTAATATCAGGGAAGTACATTCCTTCTGTAGGAGAGGGGAAGGGAGTAATCATTTGCTGAAAATTTCTCTAATATACTGCTTTGCCAGAAAGATAAAGCATGAAAATATGGAAGAACAGTTAAGATACATAGAGAATGGCCAAAACCCAACATGTTTAATAGGAGTTCCAGAATAAAAAATAAACAGGCAATATTCAAAGACATAATACCTATTTTTTTTCCAGAATGGAAAAAAACCTCTAGTTTTTAGATTCAGAAATTACAATGAATTTAATAAGAACAAAACTCACACACATACACACCCACACACATCTATATGTACAGAAATTATAATGAGTTTGAGAAGAACAATAAAAATAAAACAAGTCATACATATACATGCATAACTATAAATACCTTGACCCATTCTCATGAACATAAAAATATGAACTCAGAGAAAAATCTTAAATATAAAAAGAAAAGATAGTTCCTTATTTTAAAAATGCGATTTAGATAGAAGCATTGGATAGAAAACTTATCATCAGTTATAGTATATGCCAGAAATATATGCCAGAATATCATCTTCAAAGTGCCAAGGGGAAAATTACTGTTAACTTAAAATTCTGTATTCAGTTAAAGTATTCAAGACGAAGGGAAATAAAGAGTTATTTTTAAAGAGACTGAATTTACAACATATTGATGCTTGCTAAAAGAAGTCCTTCTGCCTTCCACCATGAGTGCTTCTCACCAGATGCAGATGCCCCATCTTGAACTTTTACAGACATCAGAATCTGAGACAAATAAACCCTTTTTCATTATAAATTACCCAGACTCAGGTATTCCTTTAGAGTAACACTAAATGGACTAAGACATTACTTAATTTTAGGCCCCCCAAAAAAGTGAAACCACCCTTGCTAGACTGCCAATACTGTAATCCAAACCCGCTGTGAGGCACAGGTGGAGAGGGCAAAAATTCTCTTCAGGGCTCTTTGTCTGAATCTCCTGTTTAGAGATGGAGATGGAAACTCTTGCTCTTAAAGAAAAAAGAGAGTTTGAAAAAGAAGCCCACATAAAATGTAGACCTCACACTTTTGCACCCAGCGAAATATCTGGTGTTGGAAGAATGCAATGGGTTTTTGCTGGTACTGAGCACTGAGTCTGAGAGGGAACAATGGGTATTTGGAAGGTTGCTCTGAATCTTGCTGACTACACCAGAAATTTTGACCTAAGGGAAGAATCTCAGGCAAAGAGGAAGAAACTGAGGCACATTTAGCATATGCAAAGATCACATGGTGAGAGAGGAAAAGTGGGAGAGCGTGGGGAGAGGTGCCAGGCTCTTTTTAATAATCAACTGTCATGGGAACTAATAGAGTAAGAACTTACTCATTACCACAAGGATGGCATCAAGCTATTCTTGAAGGACACAGATTAAGTAGAGAGTTAATTTAAGCCAAAGGTGAGGACTGCAGCCTGGAAATCAGATTCTAGTTGCCCTCAATATATGCTCTGATTAACAGCAGTTACAAGTGGTCTTTTTCCTTTTTTTTTTTTTTTTTAGGAAAAAAAAGGAGGGAGCAGTCCCTAAGTTGTTTACCAAGAATTTAAAAAATAACAGTCTATCAATTGGCTGTACATTGTTCTTTCTATCACAAATTCCAGGAACATGAAGATACTGGGTGAGGGTCACATTGTGCAATGTGTGGTAACATTTTAGGTAATTTATCAGCTAGTCTGAAACCACAGGGAAGGAATGAAAAAAAAAAATTTTTAAACAATTACCCTGGGGCATGGGTGTGGGGGATGCGACTGAAGTATCATGCTCACTGCTGTCTGGGCCTGATAATTTTGCATCTCTCACATTCTTCAGACTGCTCTGAGCCATTTTCTCAAATGATGATTGCTAGATGCTGAGGGAAGGGAGCAATGGGTAGTTGTTGTTTAATGGGTACAGAGTGTCAGTTTTGCAAGATGAGTTTGGGAGACTGGGTGCACAACAATGTTAATGTACTTAACTACTAAATCACACACTTAAAAATGTTTAAGTTAGTAAATTTTATTATATATATTTTGCCGCAATTAAAAATAAAAAAGAATTTGAAGGGAAATAATTTCAACAAATAAAGTAAATGGAGTGGAAGGAGATATGGAGAGCTGGTAATAAACAGGCATTAAGTCCAGCAAGATGAATAAGCTCTAGAGATCTGCTTGACGACTTGGTACCTATAGTCAACAATAATTTACTGTACACTTAAAAATGTGTTGAGATCTCATGTTAAGTGTTCTTGCCACAATACAGTAAAATAATAAGTTTTACACATTTTTAAAAAGGTTATACACCTCATAAAAGTGATAGAGAAGGAGACAGCCAAATGCTGCCCAGGCCATTGTGCACAGGGAGCTTACCTAAACGTGCCCACAGTGAAAAATTCTGTCCCTTAACACATGCGTTGTATGTATAGACGAGCTCCTTGGGTTTTCCTACTTTGCTGTGCATTACAACTCATGTGTCATGTTCAAAGACATTCTGTCCCTTAACACATGCCTAGTAAGGGAAATAAATCAATATGGAGTGGCTCAAACTAAGGGCCCACCCCTGCACTGGGACAATGGGGTGGACCCACCTGGAATCCACACCTGATAAAGTTGGGCAAAGCCTGGCCTCTTCAGCTCATGTGTGGTGACCTGGTATTCAGTCTGTGAGGTGGAAGCCTGTTGAAAGGACCGCCTTTTTTCTGAGAGCTTTCTTTTAATAAATTCTGCTCTCCTCACCTTTCAATGTGTCCATGTACCTAATTTTTCCTGGTTGTGACACAAGAACAAGATTTTAGCTGAACTAAAGAGCAAAAAATTCTGCATCAAAAGGAGAGCCAAGAAAAGAAAAAGAAACAAAAACTCAAAAACTCAAAAAAAGAAACAGTCTTTCTAATTTTTCATTGATTTTAATTCAGTGACTATTTCTCTGAACAATAAAGTTGCAACTTATTTGAATAAAAACACTCAAAATAAAGGGAACACTAAAACTTACAACTGAATGTGTCATTTGCCTGATTATAGGTCTTTGGGAATCTGCAAGGTAACTTTTATTCCTGCAAGGTATAGATTTTAGCTTTTCTTTTAAAAATCTAATTGTTTATGGATCTTCTAGTTGGCCTGGTAAAAGGAAAAAATATATCACTGTGAAGTCACATTCTACGTAAGGGTTATGTTCCAAAGCTATCTAGAAAATTGTTGTGTAGTCAAAGGTACTGTTGAAAATTCCTTACTTTGCCCTTAAAGTAAAAAAATGCGGTTTTGTACTTTGAACATGACATGAGTTGTAATGCACAGTAAAGTAGGAAAACTCGAGGAGCTTGTCTACAAGAAAGAACAAGGCAAATGCTGATGTCTGCACTTTCAGAATGTTTGGTGATAATAGTTTTTGAGAGAAGTTGAATGAGAGTAAGTGGAATTAGAGTGCTCTCACTGACCTGTAGGGTTTACTCAATTCTGTTTTGACATTACACCTCTATAACTTTAATACTACACAATAATAAATGATTTTGTTGTGAAAAAAATGGTGGCGAGGAATTAGTTCCAACTTACATAAGATAGAAGTATCAGTTAACTTTAGATCTTAAGACAAGCATGTTAAAAATTTAAGGGTCACTGATTAAAAAAAGAGTTAAAAACTTTCAAAAGAGTAGAAGGGGGAAATAATACAGTAAATTAAGCAATCTAATATAAGGCAGACAAGGAAACAATAACAGCAGCATGCAGGAAAAAGAAGCAATGGAAGGCATAGCATATAGAAAACATATATATAAGATTGTAGAAATAAGGCCAAATATATTCACATTAAATGTAAATAGATTAATTTGACTTGTTAAAAATCAGAGGTTCTTATACCTAATTAAAAAAAACAAAACAAAACAGCCTTAAGCTGTTTATAAGAGGCATCTTAAAGACAGAAATGTTGAAAGTAAGAGGATAGAAAACAACATGCCAGGCAAATGGAATGCAAGATGAAAGAATACTGGTTTTGCTGGCATATCAAAATTTAGAGTTGTCTTTACATCTGCTATCAATCAAATATCAATAATACAGACTTTGAGGGAAAAAGACTTATTAGAAAAAAAGTCACTAATGGTAAAAAGAACAGCTTATTAGGAAAATGTACCATTCTGAATCTTTTTGTTTCTAAATAAATGACCTCAAAACACATAAAGCAGAAAGACAAAGAATTACAAGTAGAAAGTGACAAACTGTTTTAAAAACTCATAAAGCAAAAATTAGTAAAGATACAGAAGATTAGGACAACATAATTAACAAGCTTGATCTAATGATAATATATTGATTCTTCAGCCCAATTAAAGAATATAGGTTATTTCAAATAATGATGAAATATTTACAAAAATTGAGTAGTACAATCATAAAGCAAATTTCAACAAATCTAAAACAGTCCATGTGGTAAATACCACCTTGAAAACTAAACCAAATGGTTCATGGTAAAATAAATCATAGTTAGAGATTACATAGCATATAGAAAGGAATAACAATAAAAGTGGGCCGGGCACGGTGGCTCACGCTTGTAATCCCAGCACTTTGGGAGGCCCAGGCGGGCAGATCACGAGGTCAGGAGATTGAGACCATCCTGGCTAACACGGTGAAACCCCGTCTCTACTAAAAATACAAAAAATTAGCTGGGCATTGTGGCGGGCGCCTGTAGTCCCAGCTACTTGGGAGCCTGAGGCGGGAGAATGGTGTGAACCTGGGAGGCGGAGCTTGCAGTGAGCTGAGATTGCGCCACTGCACTCCAGCCTGGGCGACAGAGTGAGACTCCGTCTCAAAAAAAAAAAAAAGGAATAACAATAAAAGTAATTTGGTGCTAAAACAATACCAAGAGTGATATTTAAGGTCTTATATATATATAAGAAAAGATGAAAACTAATGAGCTAAAATTTTATCTTAAGGTGTTGAAAAAAGTACAACAGAATAAGCTACAGAAATTAATAAAATAGAAAACAGAAACCAAAATAAGAATCAAAAAACCCCAAATCTGATCTTTTGAAAAGGCATATATATATATTGCTTTATATATAAATATGTATATATGTATCTATATGTATTATAAATAAAATATATAAATATATAAAAATTACATTTTTATATATTTATAAAAATATTTTAATGTATATTCTATAAAATATACATTTTATATATTTATGTATAATATATATTTATATGTATTACATAGAAAAATGTGTATATATATATTTCAACAAAACTGGTCAAGAAAACTAAGTCATACTAAACAATATTAATAATATAAAAATAGAGCATAATTGTGAGATAAGAGGAAAATTGTCTCTATTTATTGACAATATGTCAATGTCCATGTGGAAATTCAAGATAATCTGCAGACATGTAAAAGTACTTGGCAAACTTGTTGAACATAAGATCACACAAATATCAATTATCTATTAAGTAAAATATTGTGGTATTAGTAAGGGATGGACAAAGGGAAGAAATTGAGAGCTTGCAATTAGATAAATGCATATAGAGGAAATTGAAATATAACAGAGGTTCCATTACAAAGCAATGGAGAAATGTTGCACTATTCATTATGTGGTGCTGAGACACTAGATATCCATAGGAAAAAATAAAATGTAATTTTGATTTCATATCAAACACAGATTACATTCCAGATGTAAAAACAACTTAAAATTTTTAGAAAAAAAATATTTTTATACACTCTGAGTAGGGAAAGCTTTATTTTATGAGATATAAAATATCAACCTTAAAGTAAGAGAGTGACAAATTTGCCTATACTGAAATGAAAAACTTCTGTACAATGTAAGATATCATTAAAGATAAACCACAGAGTGGCAGAAGATATTTGAAGTGAGTATTACTGACAAAAAATGGAATTACTACAAATTGTAAGAAAATAAACAAAGAGAAATAGGCAAAAGATAGATAAATTTACCAAAAAGGAGACCTGAATGACAATAAACATACCAAAACTAGTAAATATGAAAAGGCAAAATAAAAGTGCAATGAGATACCATTTCACATCCATCAGTTTGGCAAATTTTTTAAAAGTTTGACATTATCTAGTGTTAATGAGGTTGTGCAACAATAAGAATTTTAATGCTCTGCTGATAGGAGTATAAATAGAAAAAAACTACTTTGGGGGACAATTTGGTGTTTAGTAAAGTTGTAGATGTTTCAACCTCATGCCTCAGCAATTTTACATCTTGGAATCTACCGTAGTGAAACTTCTTCAGATATCCAGAAGGAAACATACCCAAGTATACTGATTAGAGCATTATTTATTCTGGCAAAATGGAAGTAAATCAAATAGTAAACGATTGTGGATGGTTTAATAAACTGTTGCATATTTGGTCAATAAATTGTCACATCTTAAAAATTATTTCATAAGGAGTGCATGATAACATGGGAAAAGCCTTGATGCAGTGTTATTAAAATAGAAAAGATTAAAAAAATGCATGTGTGTGTATGTAACTATAATATATATGTGGCATGATTTATATATCTATCTTTGTTCTTCCGTAAACCCCAAATAAAACATTATGCAAAAAAAAAAAAAAAGACAAAAGAAACACCCCCAAATAACAATGATTGAGTTCAGATGATAGACTATGGATTATGGATGATTTTTTTTTCTTTTTAGTTTTCTTTGTTTTTCTTAATTTTCTTAATGAGCATACAATACATTCCTGATAGAAAAAAAAAAAAAGGCCAGGTATGGTGGCTCATACTTGTAATCCCAACACTTTGGGAAGTCAAGGCAGGAGGACTGCTTAAACCCAGTAGTTAGAGACAAGCCTGGGCAACATAGTGAGACCCTGCATCTACAAAAGACAAAACAAATTAGCCCTGTGTGGTGGCACATGCCCTGGGAGCTAGAGTAGTCCCAGTTACTTGAGAGGCTAAGGCAGGATTGCTTGAGCTGGAGAGGTCAAGGCTGCAGTGAGCCATGATGCTACCACTGCCCTTCAGTCTGGGTGATAGAGCAAGACCCTGTCTCAAAAAAGAATGTTAAACAGCTTGGAAGAGGAATAAAAAGCAGATGTTGTAATGGTTCAATGACATTTTCGTGTCTTAACTTTGTTTGATGTTAACTGTAAATTCACTGGGCAGGGTCATTTTATAAAATGATTAGAATGCTGCCAATGTGCAGCGAATGTTAAATAATAGCTGTAGTGATTAGAGAATATTGCTACTGAGCCATCATCTCAGCTTTCTGGCATATAGTTAGTTTTTGCTGGTTCAAGTGCCTGGCATTTTAGCACACAATGAAACAGAAAATCAGTCCATAAGTGGTAGCCTTTACAAATAGTCATGAGTATGTATTGTTGCTTTGTGTAATCAACTGCATAATGTTTTTAAAAAATTACTTCATTTACTTGATAAACTGAAATGGCTATAGGGCTTCATTCCAGCCTAGTAGATACATAACATGCATTTATAAATATGTAATTAGGCAGTTCTTAAAGCCAAATTTGTTAGGGCTATATTGCAGGTTCAGCATCATAAGTATTAAAGCATTTTCCTGCCATGCTTCTTTTATCAGTAAGGTTAGTAAGTGGAGCAGCCTGACATTCAAACATTGTCTCAATATAAAAATATGTAATGAGAAACTGGCTTCCAGCTGGTCTTTCTTATTCAAAGCATGAAAATCTTTTATAACTACAGGTATTTTCATTTTCTTAATATATTAAACAGCTTAATATTTAAAAAATCTAAATAACTGGCTTAAAATCTTAATAATTTAGGCTATAGTTTTCCAAACAATTTGGTAAAACACACATTGTTATCCAATTTTCAGGTCAATGGCTCATTTCAAAGGATGTTTAAATGAATCTGGGTTTGAAAAAAGGTGCTTTTGTTAACAAAATGTTTTTGATGGGAGTTTTAAAAGTTGGTTAGTTCCTATTACTCATAGATTATGTTTACAAGGGTATGTATACTTCCATCTATGTTAATTTTACTTCAAAGGACTGTATTTTCTCAAACTAAGAAGCTTGGCTTTTTAACCCTTATAGACTATGCCCAGCCAAAGCTGCCGCTTTTCAAAAACTTAATCAGATATTTATCTCCATTAAAAAATAATATGTGCATACTGCCATCTCTAGATTATCAGTCATGGACATCTGTTGTTTTCCTGTTTGGGAACATAAAAACTTTAGCTTATCTACATCTTGTCATTCCTTTCTGTCACTCTTCTATGTAATTGTACCTTAATTTCTTATTAGAGAGGATCACATGAAGCCAAGAGTTGAAGACCAGCCTGGGTAACACAGTGAGACCTCCTCATCTCAAAACAACCCAGTGTGGTGGTCCAGCATGGGTGACAGAGACCCATCTCTAAAATTAATAAACAAATAAATCTCTATTCTGTGTCTGCATCTTATGGCTATGCAAATATCTATCACTGCTGAGCCAAGTGTTAAACTATACTTTTATCTTCTATCTTGTTCATTTTTCCTTTTTTCTTTTTTTAAGTTGATAATTGCTTGATTTTTAATTTTTATTTATTAGTTTTTTGAATTTGGCTAGAATTTTCTCATACTTTCAAAATATTCATAAAATATGTCTCAGTGTAATTTTCATTACTCCTAAACTTTAAGATAATTTATCAGTTCCATTTTCTTTTTTGGAAACATCAACACTGGACACATCTGACCTTCTGCTAGTCTGAATTAATTGCATTCTCTGCTTTGATGTTTGCTATTGTCTTGGTAATTTCCTTTGTCATCATTCTTAGAATTCTCTTTATTTTCCTTTTTTCTTCTCTCTGAAGTTAAAGAGAGGAAAGAGGGGAAGGCTTTCACTGCTCAGTATGAACTCTCTTAACTATCTTCATCTATGCCTGGTGACCTTCAAATTGTTAAAAATATCCTTTTTTTACCTCACTTAAAGCATGTAGCACAGGGACTTGTGTAAGTGGGTATTCAATAAATATTTGTTTGTTGCATGGAATTTTGATGAGGTGCTTGTTTTTAATGAAGAAAACTGAGATTAGAAGTCTATAGGATGTGATGATAAGGTCATATTCAGTGGCAGGTCAGTATTAATCATTCTTTCTTTCATGTTTGAATGTAGAGTTTAAAATATTAAAAGTCTGGCTAGCTATAATATTTCCAAATGTAGGTAACATACAAATCTTCAAGGGTTTATTCAAGCCTACAATCTGTAAGTCCCTATGTCAGAAAACAACTCTGCAATGAAAGCCACCTTAGATCTCCATGCCTGATAATTAGGAAGCCAATTAAGTATTATTTACTGGCTAAAATATTACACAACAATGGAAACAAGAAATTATAGTGCAACGAATAAATGCAATAGTACTTATAAATTCAGACTGCCTGAGTCAGCCATCATTTGCCTGGTAAGTCCACTCAGGTTGAGGTCAAGCTAAAAACTTCTTGAATCTGAGAATTACATTTACCTCTCCTGGAGAAATGCTTGGCTGCTATAATGGTCATGCTTTTCTTTGATTAGCAGCCAAGAAAAATTAGTTTTATGGCATCAAAAGAAAAATAGGGATAGTTACAGTCCAAATAACAATTGCTAGTATTTCCTATCTTTGCTGCTTGCTTAACTACCCTTGATTCTGGGTCTGCAACTCTCCTCATGTGCTGCAAAGGGAGTGTCTGAGCCTAGAAATGAGTTCTACTGTTCTGTGTTTGGTGCTGGTTGGTACCAAAACCGAAATCAGACATACTTCCTCAAGGAGTTTATATAACATGTTGCAAAAGTAGACAGAATAAGCCTTTAAAACAGTGGTCCCCAACCTTTTTTGGCACCAGGGACTGGTTTCCTGGAGGACAATTTTTCCACAAACTTGGGTGGGAGAATAGTTTTGGGATGAAACTATTTCACTTCAAATCATCAGGCATTAGATTCTCATAAGGGGCATGCAACTTAGATCCCTCCCATGCACCGTTCACAATATGGTTCATGCTACTATGAGAATCTAATGCCGCCGCTAATCTGACAGAAGGTGGACCTCAGCTTCTCTCACTTGCCCACTGCTCACTTCCTGCTCTGCAGTCTGGTTCCTAACAGACCATGGACTGCTACCGGTCCGTGGCCTGGGGGTTGGGAACCCCTGCTTTATTGGATGTATTCTATAATGGATGCTATTTTTCTGGTCAACCATTGTAGATGCCAAAATTTGAATAAAATAATTGAATGGAATCTATTCATTCAACTAGTTGTCATGATTCCCAAGGGCTTTATCTTGGGACTTAGTGATAATATTAATAAAAATAATACTAGCAAAAATAATACATTATAATAATTTAAAAGCATATGTGAGCATTACAATTATAAACCATACAACAAACTACATTAAGTTTACTATACAGTAAATTAATTATTGTTAGTTTTTTTTTTTTCCCTGAGACAGAGTCTTGCTCTGTCACCCAGGCTGGAGTGCCATAGCGCTATCTCGGCTCACTGCAATCTCTGCCTCCTGGGTTTAAGAGATTCTCCTGCCTCAGCCTCCAGAGTAGCTGGGATTACAGGTGCACACCATCACGCCCAGCTAATTTTTGTATTTTTAATAGAGACAGGGTTTCATCATGTTGGCCAGGCTGATCTTGAACTCCTGACCTCAGGTGATCCGCCCACATCGGCCTCCCAGAGTGCTGGGATTACAGATGTGAGCCACGGAGCCTGGCCCAGTTTTGTTTTTATTATTATCATTATATAACATATTTAGTATATATTTATGTACGATAAATATATATAATTATGCAACATATATATTTGTTATATAATATATATAACTAGAAACATTTTTTATACTCTTTCTCTGTCCTTCTTGGAGAGTAGATCTTTAGTAATGTTGAGAGAAGCATTGGCTGACTATTCTAGTTATCTTTTCTGCGTAACAACCCACTTGAAAGTTAGTGGCTTAAAACAACAACAATCATTTATTTAACTCATGAAACTTCAATTTGAAAAGGGCTCAGTGGGGACAGCTCACTTCTGCTTCATGCAGCATCAGATGGGGTGGTGTATAACTCAATGGTGGGAGATTGGAATCATTTGAAGACTCACTCGGTCACATATCTGATGGTTAATACTGGCTGTTGCATAGGACCTCAGTTGGGGTTCTTGGTCAGATGGATCACTTACACATGGCCTCTACAAGCAGCTGTTTTTCTTTTTTCACAACATGGTGGCTAGGTTAAAAGAGGGAGCATCCCAAGAAAACAAGGTAGAAGTGCATATCATTTCTGTGATCTGTTCTTGGGAGTCATTTAGCATCACTCCTACCCTGCTCTTTTGATTGAACTAGTCACAATTGTCCACCAAAACTAAAAAGAGGAGCTATTAATTGATGAGAGGAGTATCACTGTCATTCTGTAATGAGATTTGTATTATAATGTTTTGTGTAAAAGTCTAAAGATGAGGATCAGTGCTTATAATTCAGGGGCCATTAGCATACTAATGGTAGTTAAAATACAGAGATAAGGTGGAATTACTTAGGAAGAATACATCAAGAAAAAGATGTGAACCAAGAATGAACAGCACTTAAGAGGTGGGCTTGTGGTATGAGATTTATTGTGGTGGTCACCTTTAGAAAATATAATCAGCCCATTGCAGATAGAAATGGAATAAACCTAAAGAAAGAGCTAAATTTATCTTCACTATAGATTGAACAGTCAGGGAGAAAACTCTGGAGGTAGAAATAACTGAAATTGGCACAGAGGGAAAAAAGGGAGTGAAAGGCTGGCTTCTGTGGAAAGAGAAATTCTGTGAAAAGATCTAAAGTCTTCAAAGGGAATTTGGAAAAAGTTTTGTTCTTCTGTTTCATAAAAACGTGCATATTTATAAATCGTCTTGGAATCAGACATTTGTTTTCTGGAATTGCAAAGATGGATTATAATTGGCTTAGAGGAAGCTGCAGTGGCAGAGCAAGAGTGGTCCAAGGATAATCAGTCACATTTAGGATATATATAAATATACAGAAAACATACCTACGTATCCATATACTGTATACTGTAGTTCTGCTGATAACTTGTAAATACAAGTCATTATAGATTAGGTTTAGTTCAACAAATATTTAGTAAGTACTTAGAATATTTCAGACAATGCTAGTTATCAGGGCTAAAAAGATAAATAAAGTATAATTTCTGCTCTAAATCTTGTGGGATGGTCAGATTTATAAATTGAAGGTTTCAATTAAAATTACTGAGTATTAAGGGTTTGGATTGTGGAATCAAAATGTCTAACTCTGGGCAAGTTACTTATCTCTCCAAGCCTCAGATTTGTCATTTGTAAAATAGGAACATAATAGTTCCTAACTCAGAGAGCTGTTGGGAGGATTAAATGAGATAATGTAGGTAAAATATTTAGCACAGTGCCTGGCACATGGAAAGTGCTCACAAAAACAAATGGTTATTGTTGAGTGATGTAACCAAAATGTGAAGTGGAAGCAATCTGGCTTCACTCTTCCCCACGGAAAATTGAAAACAAATATCTGGTGCCAAGATTATAGCCAGCAGTATCCTAGAATTTAAATTTGGGGCTGAGATGACCCCTAGGACCACAAAGCACTGAGAAACTCTGAGAAGACAATAAGAGAAATGGACTTTTCTACCCATCAAGCCCCTCCTTCCATCTGCCAGATGCCATGTGGAAACCCATTGTTTCCACACTATAAAAAGTGACATCAAGGGAGACAGCCAATTTTCCCACCATCCTGGGTTCCCTTGCAGGAAAACCATTCCTGCTTTATTTCATGGGAAGCATTGCAAATGCCTATAGGGAGAAAAACTCCTGAGTCTAGCTAGCAACAAAGAACAGAGGCAGGACTGGAGACCCCAGCTCATGAAACTCTGCTCTTTATCTCAGCCAGAGACGTAAAAGCAGATTGGCTGTTCAGCAACACCAAGATGTAGGATGCACCCTCCATTGGTCTTCTGTGCATGAACTCCTAGCCAACCTTCCCACACAATCAGGGTATCCCCTTTGGGACCCTGTAACCCCTAATCTGGGTTGGGAAGTGCTCTGAATGATTTCAAGAGCTGAAGCAAACTGGGGCTTAATGCACCATCTAATGCCAAAAAGGAAGCAGCAATCTAGGATTAAGGGCACTTACAGGCAACTGCAAAGAATCTCTAGGTAAACATATCCTAGAAAGTTGAAAACAAGCCAGATAGCAAAGACTAGAATAAATTATTCTTCAAAGTGAAGCAACACATGTATGTTTATAAGAAACAACAACAAACAGGGAATCATGACATCTCCAAATGGACAAAGCAAGAAACCCGGAACCAATTCTAATGACATGGTAATAGTAAGCTCCCAGATCAAGAAATCAAAAAGCAGTTTTAAGGAAACTCAGTGAATTCCAAGATAACACAGCAAAACAATATATAAATTTGCTAGATAAATTTAACAAAGAGATTAAAATAATTTAAAAAGTCAAACAGAAATCTGGAACAGAGAAATACGTTTGTTAAACTGAAAAATGCATTAGAAGCTCTCAACAGAATGGATCTACGATCTCCTGACCTCATGATCTGCCCGCCTCGGCCTCCCAAAGTGCTGGGATTACAGGCGTGAGCCACCGCGCCCGGCGAACAGAATGGATCATGTGAAAAAAGAATTACTGAGCTAAAAGACAGGCTATTAGAATATGCACATCCAGAAAAGAAAAAAGAATAAAAAGGAACACAGAATGCCTGCAAGATATAGAAAATAAACTCAAAAGAGAAAAATATAAGAGTCATTGGTGTTCAAGGAAGAGTTGAGAAAGAGCAAGGGGTAGAATGACTATTCAACAAAATAATAACCAAAAACTTTCCAAACCTAGAGAAAGATACTGATATTCAGGTACAGGAAGGTCACATATCACCAAACAGATTCAACCCGAATAAGACTACCTCAAGGCGTATAATAAACTCTCAAAAGTCAAGAACAAAGATGGGATTCTAAAAGTAGTGAGAAAAAAGAAGCAAATAACAAATAAAGGAGCTCATTTTCATCTAACAGCAGATTTCTCAGTGGAAAGCAACTTGCCAGGAGGAAGTTGGATGACATTCGGTCAAGGGAAAAAATTATCCAACAAGAATACTGTACCTAACAAAGCTTTCCTTCAAACATAAAGCAGAGATAAAGTCTTCCCAGACAACCAAAAGCTGAGGAAATTCATCATTGCTAGACCTGTCTTACAAGAAATACTGAAGGGAGTTCTTCAATCTGAAGGAAAAGGATACTAACATGCAAAAAGAAAACATTTGGGCTGGGTGCGGTGGCTCACGCCTGTAATCCCAGCACTTTGGGAGGCTGAGGTGGGTAGATCACGAGGTCAGGAGATGGAGACCATCTTGGCTAACACGGTGAAACCCTGTCTCTACTAATAATACAAAAAAATTAGCCAGGCATGGTGGCAGGCACCTGTAGTCCCAGCTACTGGGGAGGCTGAGGCAGGAGAATGGTGTGAACCCGGGAGGTGGAGCTTGCAGTGAGCCGAGATTGCACCATTGCACTCCAGCCTGGGTGACAGAGTGAGACTGGCTCAAAAAAAAAAAAGAAAAAAAAAAGAAAAAAAACATTTGAAGGCATAAACTCGCTGGTAAAGTAAATACACGCATAAATTCAGAATATTCTAGTACTGTAATTATGGTATACAATCCTTCATATCTCTAGTATGGACTAAAGGACAAATCTATCAAAAATAATAACTGCAGAAATCTGTTAAAAGATAGGAAGTATAAAAAGATATACTTGAGACAACACAAAGTCAGAATGTATGAGTGGGGGAATTAAGTTAAAGTGTAGAGACTTTTAGGTTTTCCTTCATTTGTTTTTTTTTTAATTTTCTTTGCGACAGAAGTTGTCATCTATTTAAAATAACTTGCCATGTCTATAAGACATTTTTTGGAAAGCCTTATGGTAATAACAAAGCAAAAAATCTATAATAGGCTGGGTGCAGTGCCATGAACCCGTAGTCCCAGCTACTCAGGAGGCTAAGGTGGAAGGATCTCTGGAGCCCAAGGGTCCAGCCTGGGTGACACAATGAGACCCCATCTCTAAAAAACAAAAACAAACAAGCAAACCTTCCTCCAAAAACCTAAAATAGATCCACTAAAAATAAAAAGCAACAAATTTAAACATATTACCATTAAATGAGAAACTCATTTAACCACTGAGGAAGACAGTAACAAAGGAATAAAGGAAGAAAGGAGTTACAAAACAACCAGGGGCAATGTCCCGATAACCACCTGCGATGCCGTGGTGGGTTGCTCCCTGTCTGTTCAGCAGAGAGTCTAGACACCACCTAGTCTTCATGTACAGCCGACCACAGGCTGAGAAGGAGCAGGAAGCTGGGAAGCTGAGCCAGTGGCAGGCGGCGCACCAGGCTGCCCAGGATAAGTAGAACTCAGCACCCATCTTGAACATGACTCATCTTCTGGAAGCTCCGGAGTGCACACCTCTTGGAACCATGGCCTACCAAGCATTCAGCACTTTCCTCACAGGACAGAGATGCCGAGGGCCCCCTTGTTGTCTGTTGAGGCATCAGGGAAGATTGTGGATGAAGGGGGGCCACAGTTCAGTATGCCACTGCCTGAGCATGGCGTGAGCTACTGCCCCTAAGCGACTCCCACTCCTTTCCGGATGATTTACTGTCAGGGAGTGTCTCCCCCTCAGCAAGAGATGATGATTTTCAGTGGGCCCCAGATAATGCCTGTAGGAGAGGCCAGTACTCCAAAGGTGGCCAGGGCCTTCAGGCTGCCAGTCTCAGCTTCCACTGGAATTCCAGTGATGTCTCATATTGGGGACCCTACAATGCCTTACCCTGGCCTCTCGACAGTACCTTCTGATGAAACATTGTTGGCCTCGACCATGCCTTCCACTGAGGCCCAGGCTATGCCCCCTCCGTGGCTCAGATGTTGCCCCCACAAGATGCCCATGATCGTGGGATGCCCCGAGCTGAGTCCCAGTCATTGCTGGTTTTAGGATCTCAGGACTCTCGTAAGTCAGCCAGACTCCCAAGCAGGCCCATTCCTACCGGAGCATCCCAGACCTGCTCCACAGACAGCAGAGCAGAACTCCAGGCCTCAGGAAAGGACTGGTAGACGGGGCTCCTCAGAGGCAAGGCCTTACTGCTGCAACTACGAGAACTGCGGAAAAGCTTATACCAAACGCTCCTACCTTGTTAGCCACCAGTGCAAGCACATGGGTGAGAGGCCCTATTTGTGCAACGGGAAAGGTGTTTATGGTCTTTCTTCCGTTCTAATGAGCGTAGATGACATACGTGGGTACACACCAGACATTGACCATATAAATGTGATCAGTGCAGCCAAGAGTTCATGAGGTCTGACCATCTCAAGCAACACCAGAAGACTCATTGGCCAGGACCCTCAGACCCACGGGCCAACAATGGACAGCAGGACGGTCCTGTTCCTGGTCCTTAGGTGAATGAAGGAAGAGGATTCTAGGCAGAGAACACTGGACCTGGCAACTGCTCAGAGGAGAGGCAGTCTTCAAGTTCTATATTCATTCAGCAAATGTTTTTTGAGCCTACAATACTGAGAGCACCAAGGCTGTGGGGACCCATGGCGAGGAGCATGGAGATAACTAAAGAATGTGTCAGGGAAGAAAGACTTCTCAAGGAGGTGCCTCAGTCAGATCCAAAGGACTCATGGCGGCTAGCTGCACCTCCCATTTCTTGGACATATACCATTGGACATGTCTCTATCTTCTGAAAACTATGGCATGGACAGTAAGGATTCAGAGGTGTATGAAGGCACCCTGCCTCTGCAGAGCAGAAAGATCATAGACAAAATTTCTGAATGTGCCCAGTGCTGCCAAGGAGATAAGCTGGTCCTCTACAGGCTCAAGCTTATCTGGGCCTCTAGAGAAGCCCACAGCCTTGGCTGTGTCTGCCCTGCTCTCCCACCCCTACCCTGACCCTGTCCTACTTTGCTGCCTCGGTCTGTGTTACTAGTGGCCCCAGTATACCTGGGATGGACATCCAGGTGCCCTCCATCCAAGCTCCCAAGTGAGGGGAGTGGACATGATTAAAAGAACAGGAGCAGAAGGGGCTCATTTTTGACCCATTCACTAGCCCCAGGGATTGAGGTCTTGGATACTCAAAGAATCTTTCATTTCTACCAGGGCACCAGATCCCTTCCATGGAGCAGGCCATCTCGGGTTCACTGGGCCAGGGCTGGTCTCTGTTCCCCAGCCCACCTGGCTCACACACAGCCTCGTGGGTAGGGTCAGCAGACCAGATTGCTTGTTATGTAAGACGAGAGGTCTGGTTGATGATCTAGCACTTTCACCAAGAAATGGACGTGGAGAGGATCAGAGTGATCAAGAGTGTATGAAGTGCATTCCAATGGTGGGCAAAACAGGCTCCTGCTCTTGTGGAGGTCACAATCTAGTGGAGGAGGGATGTTACTAGAAATGCACAAAGTGGGCTGAACACAGTGGCTCACACCTGTAATCCTAGCACTTTGGGAGGCTGAGGTGGGCAGATCACTTGAGGTTAGAAGTTAGAGTCCAGCCTGGCCAACATGGTGAAACCCCATCTCTACAAAAAGTACAAAAATTAGCCGGGCATGTTGGCACACACCTATAGTCCCACCTACTCAGGAGGCTGAGGCAGGATAATCACTTGAACGTGGGAGGCGGAGGTTGTAGTGAGCCAGGATGGCACAATTGCACTCCAGCCCGAGTGACAGAATGAGGCTGTATCTCAAAAAAAAAAAAAAAAAAAAAAAAAAAAAAAAGAGATGCAGAAATTGCTGGGAGGACAAATAGTGAGGACTTGCAATTGGGTAAGGGGGTTAGAAAGGCATTTCTTGAAAGTTGTGGTTTGAAGTCATATTTAAGGAAAACTAGGAGCTAACGGCAGATAAAAGGAGGTGGGGTGGTGATTGGAGGAGAAATAAGTCTTTATCCAGAGATGGCCCTGTGCTAGGCAGTGGCTAAGTCTTTCCTAGTATCACCCAAAGTAGGACAGTGGGTGGATAAGACGTGGACTCAGCTGCGTGTGGTGGCTCATGCCTGTAATCTCAGCACTTTGGGAGGCTGAGGCGGGTGGATCACCTGAAATCAGGAGTTCAAGACCAGCCTGGCCATCATGGTGAAACCCTATCTCTACTAAAAATACAAAAATTAGCCGGGCATGATGGTGGGTGCCTGTAATCCCAGCTACTCGGGGGGCTGAGATGGGAAAATTGCTTGAACCTGGGGGACAGGTTGCAGTGAGCTGAGATTGTGCCATTGCACTCCAGCCTGGGTGACTGAGTGAGACTCCATGTCAGAACAAACAAACAAAGACGTGGACTCTCTAGTAGATTTTGAATCCTGCCTCTGCCATTTCCTGGCTATGAGATGTCTTGGGAAATTTACTTGTCACTCTTGCTTCTGATAGTAAAGGGGATGGTGAGATAGATTCAAGATGGAGAGATAAGGCTGAAAGTGTTTTCTTTGGCTGCAATGTGGAGATTAGATTAGAGTGAGGGTGTAATGGAGAGAAAGGGACATATCAGTATTTCAGGAGAGAGTCAAGGTGGCTTTGGCCAGGGTGTGAGAGTGGAGGTAAGGAGAAGTAGGAAAGTGACAGTTAACTGAATTTTTGGTAGGTGAGGGAGAGGTCAAGGGTGACCTCCAGGTTTCTGGCTTGTGTTATAAGTAACACAGAAGAAGAATGATGAACTTCATTAATTTTCCATTTATTGTGATGTCTATCACACCTGCAAGAAATATTTTGTATATATCCAATTTAATAATAAATGCACTCACATTGGGAAGGTCAAAGAAAAAAGGAAAAAAAGAAAACTAATAAAAATACTTATTTACCCCTAAGATCAGGCCTGTAATCTTTGGGATGCCAAGGTGGAGGATAACTTGAGGCCAGGAGTTTGAGACCAGCAAGACCTTGTCTCTGTAAAAAATAAAATTAAAAGAAAAGAAGGAAAAATAATGTACTAATACATTTAAAGCTTTGAGTTCCCCAGCCTTCTCTGCAGAGGTAACCACTATACTGAATTTTGATTAATCTTGCCTTAGCTATTTATTGTTTTTACCACATAACGTATCCGTTCTTAAGTATAGTGATTGCTTTTGTTTGGTTTTAAACTTAAATTTATTCTGTTTGTGATTCATTGAACTTTTTCAATCTAAATCTTTATAGTCTTAATAAAATTTGGAAAATTTTGTTAAAAAAAACAAAAAACATGTAACAAAATAGCAGTAGTAAGTCTTTACCTATCAATAATAACACTGAATGTAAACAGACTCAATTCTCTGATTAAAAGACAGTGGCTGAATGGATAGAAATCAAAACGTAACTATATGCTGCCTACGTGAAACTCACTTTACCAAAAAGACGTAGAAAGTGAAGAAATGGAAAAAGATATTTCACACAAATGGAAAACCAAAAAGAGTACAAGTAGCTATATTTATATCAGATAAAATAAACTTCAAGTTAAAGACTGTAAAAAGAGACAAGGTCATTATTTAATGATAAAGAGGCCAAGAGTATATAATAATTGTGAATCTATATGCACCCAACATTGGAGCAAACAATATAGAGCAAACATTATAGAATATATAAAGCAAACATATAAATATATAAAGCAAATATATAAAGCAAACATTAATAGATATAAAGGGAGAGATGGACTGCAATACAGTAATAGTATGGGACTTCAACACCCAGCTCTTAGTAATAGATCATCCAGACCAAAAATAAATACAGAAACATCAGAGTTAAACTACACTGTGGATCAAATGGACATAAATGACATTTACAGATAATTTTATCCAACTGTTGCAGAATACATATTTTTCTCATTGGCATATTAAACATTCTTGGCTGGGTGTGGTAGCTCATGCCTATAATCCCAGCACTTTGGGAGGCCAAGGAAGGAGGATCGCTTGAGCCCAGGAGTTCAAGACCAGCCTGTGTAACATAGTGATACCTCATCTCTATGAAAGATAAAAAATTAGTCAGACCTAGTGGTACACACTGTGGTCTCTGTTAGTTGAGAGGCCGAAGCAAGAAGATCATGTGAGCCCTAGAGGTTGAAGTTACACTAAGTCATGATTGTGTCACTGCACTCCAGCCTGGGTGACAGGGTGAGACCCTATATCAAAAACAAACAAACAAACAAACAAAGAAAAACCAAAACCCAAAAACATTCTTTAGAATAGACCTTATGTTAGGCCACAAAACAAGCCTCAACAAATTCAAAAAAGTCTAAATAATATCAAATATCTTTTCTGACCACAATGGAATAAGACTAGAAATTAATAACAAGAGGAACTTTGAAAACCATAGAAATCATGGAAATAAAACAACATCCTCCTGAATGATCAAGGGGCTGATGAAGAAATTAGAGAGAAAATTCAAAAATTTCTTGAAAGAGATGAAAATGAAAACACAACATACCCAATTCTATGGGATCTAGTAAAAGCAGTACTAAGAGGGAAGTTTGTAGCAATAAATGCTTACATCAAAAACATAGAACGATTTCAGATAACCAACCTAATGATGCATCACAAGGATCATAAGAAAAGCAAGAATATGCCAAACTAAAAATTAGTAGAATGAAAGAAATAACAAAGATCAGAGAAGAAATAAAATACAATTGATACCAAAAAAAATCAATTAAAAGTTAGTTTTTAAAAAAGATAAACAAAACCAACATAACCTTAGCTAGACTAAGAAAAAAAATTAGACCCAAATAAATAAAATCAGAAATGAAAAGGGGAACATAACCACATAGCCACAGAAATGCAAAGGATCATTAAAGACTATTATGAACACCTATATGCCAACAGATTGGAAAACTTGAAGGAATGGAAAAATTTATGGACACATATAACCTACTAACATTGAACCATGAAGAAACAGAAAACCAGAACTCACCAGTAATGAATAAT
Source organism: Homo sapiens (assembly GCF_000001405.40). Taxonomy (NCBI): domain Eukaryota; kingdom Metazoa; phylum Chordata; class Mammalia; order Primates; family Hominidae; genus Homo; species Homo sapiens. The sequence goes on along the minus strand of NC_000012.12, from coordinate 62,229,903 downwards.
GAAATCAAAGCAATAATTTAAAAGTCTCCCAACAACAACAACAACAACAACAACAAAAATCCAGGACACGATGACTTCACTTCTAAATTCTACCAAACATTTAAAAAAGAACTAATACAATTTTACCTAAACTATTCCAAAAAATTGAAGAGGAAGGAATATTTCCAAATTAATTCTACAAATCTTGAATTACCTTGACATTAAAACTAGACAGACACAATTAAAAAAAAAAGAAAATACAGGCAAGTGTTCCTGATGGACATAGATGTAGAAATCCTGAACAAAATACTAGCAACCAAATACAATAGCACATTAAAAAGAAAATTGATAATGATTAGATGGGAAGCCCAGGAATACAAGAATGGTTCAACATATGCAAATCAATAAAAATATGCATTACCTTAACAGAATCAAGAACAAAAACCATATGATCATTTCATTAGATGATGAAAAAGTGTTTGACAATATTCAACATCCCTTTATGATAAAAACCCTCAACAAGCTGGTTATAAAAAAGACATACCTCAAAACCATAAAGGCCACATATGACAAACCAACAGCTAGCATTATAGTGAATGGGGAAAAATTGAAAGCCATTCTTTTAGATCTGGAAAAAGACAAAAAGGCCTACTTTTACCTCTTTTATTCAATGTAGTACTAGTACTGGAAGTCCTAACGGGAGCAATTAGGCAAGAAAAATAAATTGAAGGCATCCAAACAGGAAAGGAAGAAGTCAAATTATCCTTGTTTGCAGATGACATAATAGTATATTTCGAAAAACCTAGACACCACCAAGAATTGTTAGAACTGATAAATGAATTTAGTAAAGTTGCAGGATGCAAAATCAACATATAAAAACCAGTAGAATTTATATATGCCAACAGCCAACTGAAAAAGAAATAAAAAAGAATAATTCCATTTATAGTAGCTATAAAAATATATAATACATAGGAGTAAATGTAACCAGAGAAGTGAAAGTTCTCTACAAGGAAAATTGTTAAGACACTGATGAAAGAAGTTGAAGAGGGTGTATAAATATAGAAGATATTCCATACTCATTAATTAGAAGAGTTAATATCATTAAAATGTCAATGCTACCCAAATTTTTCTACAGATTCAATGCAATTCCTATCAAAATACCAATGACATTCTTCACAGAAAAAATTCTCAAATTTGTATGGTAGCACAAATGATCCTGAATAACCAAAAAAATCCTGAACTTAAAAAATAAAGTAGGAGATATCACACTACCTGAGTTCAAAATATACTATAATCAGAGAGGTGCAAATCAAAACTACAGTGAGATACTATCTTATACTAGCCAGAATGGCTATTATAAAAAAGTCAAAAAATAACAGATGTTGGTGAGGTTGCAGAGAAAAGGGAATGCTTATGCACTGTTGGTGGGAAAGCAAATTAGTTTAGCCTCTGTGGAAAGCAGTTTGGAGATTTCTCAAAGAACTGGAAATTGAAATACCATTTGATCCAGCAATTCCATTACTAGGTATATACCCACAGGAAAATAAGTCATTCTACCAAAAAGACACCTGCACTCATATATTTATCACAGCACTATTCACAATAGCAAAGACATGAAATCAACCCAAGCCAAAGCCAAATACTGCATGTTCTGACTTATAAGTGGGAGCTAAACATTCCGTACACATGGACACATAGATGGAAACAATAAACACGAAGGATTCCAAGTGTGGGGAGGGAGGAAGAGGGAAAGGGTTGAAAAACTACCTATCAGGTGCTAAGTTTACTACTTGGGCAACGATAAAAAAATTAAAAATTAAAACAATTATTTCAGAGATAAGTGTGTGTGTATGTACACACGTGTATATATACATGTGTATGTGTATATACAAAGTAAATATATACACTACAAAGCCATAGTAACCAAAACAACATGGCACCCACATAAAAACATATACATAGACCCATGGAACAGAAGAGAGAATCAAGAAATAAATCCACACATTTACAGCCAACTCATTTTTGGAAAAGGCACCAAGAACGTACATTGGGGAAAGGGCAGTCTCTTCAATAAATGATACTGAGAAAACTACAAACCATAAGCAGAAGAATGAAGCTTGAGCCCTCTCACCATATACACAAATAAAATAAAAATGGATTAAATACTTAAGTCTAGGATTGAGACTATGAGAAGAAAACTTTGGGAAACGCTTCAGGACATTGGTCTGGGCAAAGACATTTTGGATAAGACCTCAAAAGCACAGGCAACAAAAGCACAAATAGACAAATGTTATTATATCAAGCTAAAATCTTCTACACAGGAAAGGAAATAATCCACAAAGAGAAAAGACAACCTACAGAATGGGAGGAAATATTGCTCGGTATCTATCCAACAAAGGAGTAATAACCAGAATGCATGAGAAACTCAGCTCAATAGCAAGAAAACAAATAATTTACTTTAAAATGGGCAAAAGATCTGCAGAGCTATTTCTCAAAAAAAGACAAATACCCTTCTGCCAGAGAGTTTGCTGCCCCTGCTTGTCCCATCAGCCAGACACTTTAGTGTATGCATATGTAACTGTACACAGTAGGACTGCATACTTACTCCGACCAGGAAGTTCAGAGCAGGCTTTTTGGGGGATATGATTAACGACTTCTGTCTTGAGAGATAAATAAGGCTTAGCCAAGAAGAAATGTAAGAGTGTAAGAGAGGTTAGAGGGAAAAAATAATGTGATCTGAGGAAGAAACTACCAGAAATTCTACACCACCAGAACACAAAGTGCAAGGTATGGAATAACAAGAAATAAAGTGAGGATAAGGAAAGGGGAATGGATTATGAAGACCTTATGTCATGATACATAGTCTAGGCTTCAGGCTGAAGGAAGTGGGGATTCACTGATGGATTTTAAGCAGGGTGTTCCCATATTGAAATCTGGGTTTCAGATAGACTACCAAGGCTTTGGTGACCTTGATGAGAGCAAGGCTATACACAGCAGGAGAAGTGGTTTAGCTGCTGCAATATGCCAGGCCAAAAAAGATGGGCCTGAACTAAAGCAGCAGTAGCAGGGTTACAGGGGACGGGCCAGATTTGAGAAATGTTTACAAGGGAAAACTGGCACCATTTGATTGTGAGTGAAAAGTAAAGAAGAATAAATTACTAAAGATGACTTCCATATTTTTGCCTTGGGTAACTTGGTGAATAGTAGAGTCATTAATTGATTTTGGAAATATGAGAGGAAGAATGTGTTTGGAGGATGGAAAGTGGGGTAAACTTTCTCTTAGATATTCAGGGTTTGAAGGGCTTGAGTTACACACAGGTTTAAAAGCCTCAAGATAGGTATCAGTATTAAAGATTTGGAGGTGATTAACCTACTGATGGTAGTTAAGGCCCAGAGAGTGGAATGAGATTGCTTAAAAGAGTAATCAAGGCCGGGTGCGGTGGCTCACGCCTGTAATCCCAGCACTTTGGGAGGCCGAGGAGGGTGGATCGTGAGGTCAGGAGATCGAGACCATCTTGGCTAACACAGTGAAACTCCGTCTCTACTAAAAATACAAAAACAAAATTAGCCAGGCGTGGTGGCGGGTGCCTGTAGTCCCAGCTACTGGGGAGGCAGAGGCGGGAGAATGGCGTGAACCCAGGAGGTGGAGCTTGCAGTGAGCGGAGATCACCCCACTGCACTCCAGCCTGGGCGGCAGAGCGAGACTCCGTCTCAAAAAAAAAAAAAAAAAGAGTAATCAAGAGAAAGATATAGACCAAGACTGGAGTCCTAAAACACAACAGCATTTAAGCAAAGGTACTTACTGGAGAAAGTAAAGAGAGCACACCACTATGAACATCTTAGAAAGAGCCAACAAACAAAACTTCTTGAAGGCAATGGGTATAACCTGAGGGGCAAAACCTAAACACTTTGAGGATGGAGTGCATGTTATGTGAGATCATCTGTAGTGTAAGTTTCTAGATGTGGGAGTACTGCCTCAAAATGCACATACTTTGGAAATTTTTATAAATATTGCCAAATTACCCTCCACAGATTTTAAACCCATTTATACACCAATCAGCAATGTATAAAACTGCCTGTTTCTCTATGCTTTTGCCAAGAATGTGTTATTAAACTTTCTGATCCTTGTCAAACTTACATGTAAAAATTCATATTTTGGGGTATCTTTATACATATTTCTTTTCTTGTGAGAAAGTTTGTGTATCCATATGACTAAGAGTCACTTGTATGTCCTTTTCTATAAAATGTCTCCTTTGATGTTTCTCTGTTTTCCATTTTTTTTCTTTAATATTGATTTGGAGGAATCTTTACTATATAAGGAAAATTAAGCATTTATTTGTATGTTGCAATAGCTTTCTCCAGTTTTTAACTTTGTTGGGTTTTTTTCATGTATTTAAAAAATTAATTTCTAGTAAAATTAATCAGTGCTTTCTTTTATGGCTTTTCAGTTTAGAAGCACGCTTAGAAAGGCTTTTCTGATTTCAAGATTATAACAGTTTTTCTCACATGATTTCTTATAGCTTCTTTATGATTTATTTACATTTGAGTCTGATCAGTCTGGAATTTTTATTGTTATAAGGTGGAAAGTGTGTATCCAATTTCATTATTTCCTGGAGGGATAATTATTGTCCCAACACCATTTGCTAAAGTAGTCATTCTCTACTGACTTGAAGCAACTAAATTCTCATTATATTTGATCAATTTCTGGACATTCTAGTTCATTTCTTCCAGCTGTTTGTCTAATATTGTGCTAGTACCACATTGTCTTAATTAATTGATTAAACTAAGCCCGCCACCATCCCCACCAACTTTTTTTTTTAAATTTTTTTATGAGACGGAGTCTCACTCTGTCGCCCAGGCTGGAGTGCAGTGGTGTGATCTCAGCTCACTGTAACCTCCGCCTCCTGGGTTCAAGTGATTCTCCTGCCTCTGCCTCCTGAGTAGCTGGGATTACAGGCGTGTGGAACTAAGCCCTTTTTAATGCTCTTCTTTTTCAGAAATGTATTGCCCATTACTTATTTTTTAATTTTAATTTTAAAAATCTGCGAAAATGTAAATAACGTAAAATTTACTATTTTATCAATGTTTAAGTATACAGTTGAGTGGCATTAAGTACACTCATTATTGTGCAACCACTGTTACCATCAATTCCTGTTACCAGGACTTTGTTCATCTTCCCAAACTGAAAGTCTGAACCCATTAAACAATAACTCCCCATCCCTCCCTTTCCCCAGCCTCTGGCAACCATTTTATTTTTTGTGTCTATGAATTTTAATACTCCAGTGCTATGGTCTAAATGTTTGTGTCACCCCAAAATTCATATGTTAAGTTTTAATGCTCAATGTGATGGTATTAGGGGGTGAGGCATTTGGGAGGTATAATTACCTCCCGAATGAGAGTGAAGCCCTCATGAATAAGATTAGTGCCCCTATTAAGAGACCTCAGAGAGCTCCCTGGCCCCTTCCACCATGTAAGGACACAGTGAGAAGACAGCCACCTATGAAGCAGAAAGTGGGCACTCACCAGACTCAGAATTTACTGGCACCATGATCTTGGATTTCTCAGCCTCCAGAACTGTAAGAAATAAATTTCTATTATTGATAAGCCACCCAGATTATGGTATTTTGCTGTGGCAGCCTAAATACACCAAGACATCTAACATGGTACGTCATACAGGTGGAATCATACAAATGCTTATGCTTATGAAGCATTTGTATGGACTTCACATAATGTCCTAAAACCTCCTCCATGTTTTAGCATGTGTCAGAATTTCCTTCCTTTTTAAGGCTGAATAATATTCCATTGTGTGTGTGTGTGTGTGTGTGTGTGTGTGTGTGTGTGTATGCACATATAAAACACATTTTGTTTATTCATTCATCCATTGATGGATACCTGAGTTGCTTCCACTATTTGGCTATTGTGAATAATAAGATTATAGGTGTAAAAATATCTATTCAAGTCCCTCCTTTCAATGATTTTGGATATATACTCAGAAATAGAATTGCTGGATCATATGGTAATTATATGTTTCTTTTATCTTTTTGAGTACCCAGTATACTAATTTCCAAAGCAATCATACTATCTTATGTTTCCTTTACACTATGTTGATAGTGTTTTTTGATGCACAAAATTTAAAAACTTGATAAAGTCCAACTTATCTATTTTTTATTGTTTCCTGTGCTTTTGGTGACATATCCAAGAAATCATTGCCAAATCCAATATCATGAAATGTTTCCCTTTTTTTCCACTACAAATTTTGTAGTTTTAGCTCTTACATTTAGGTCTTAATCACAAATTTTGTAGTTTTAGCACTTGCATTTAGGTCTTAATCTATTTTTGAGTTGATTTTTGTATGTAGTGTTGGGTAAAGATCCAACTTCGTTTTTTTTGCATATTTGTATCCAGTTTTTTTCAGCATCATTTATTGAAAAGACTGTCCTATCTGAATTGAATGGTCTTGGCACTGTTGTCAAAAATCACTTCATTTGGGAGGCCGAGGTGAGGGGATTGCTTGAGCCCAGGAGTTTTAGGCCAGCCTAGACAACATACGGAGACCTCATCTCCACACACACAAAATATTAGCCAGGGATGGTTGGCGCATGCTTGTGGTCCCAGCTTCTTGAGAGGCTGAGGTGGGAGGATCATTTGAGCCCAAGAAGTAGAGGCTTCAGTGAGCTGAGCCATGATCATGCCCCTGCACCATTCCAGCCTGGGTGACAAAGTGAGACCCTGTCTCAAAATAAATCATTTGATCATATATTACTTACTTTTTTATGTATCAAACTTAGAATCAGCTTGCCTAATTAAAAAGATTGCATTAAATTTATAGATTAATTTAAGAAAACTTTATATTTTAATACAGCTGAGTCTTTCTAATCAAGAACATGGTTTCCTGCTTCATTTGTCTTCTTTTTTGTCCTTTAATATCATTTTAAAATTGTCTTTATATAGATTTTGCTTACATTTTGTTTAGTATATTCTCAGGTGTTTTATCTTTTTAAAAATTGTTATAAGATCTTTTCTTAGTATCTTTTAATTGGTTGCTGTGTGTGTACATGAAGACATTGCATTTCTTTGTTTTCAGTTCATGGAGCAAAAATAATATCCTTGAGGCCAGGCACAATGGCTCACGCCTGTAATCCCAGCACTTTGGGAGGCCCAGGCGGGCGGATCACGAGATCAGGAGATCGAGACCATCCTGGCTAACATGGTGAAACCCCATCTCTACTAAAAATAAAAAAAAAAAAAAAATTAGCTGGGCGTGGTGGCGGGCACCTGTAGTCCCAGCTACTCGTGAGACTGAGGCAGGAGAATGGCATGACCCGGGAGGTGGAGCTTGCACTGAGCCGAGATCGCATCACGGCACTCCAGCCTGGGCGACAGAGCAAGACTCCGTCTCAAAATAATAATAATAATAATAATAAATAATATCCTTGAATATTTATGTTGATTTCATGGTAAAATGTGTGGGCCACCATTTTCACTTACACTTCAGCAGTATTTTTTGAAGAAAGTTTTAAAAAAGTCTATCATTAAGCTCTCCCTATTAATTTTCTCTGGTGGTTTCTTTGATTAGATCCTGCACTGGTTCTTTCTTGATTACTCATTTTGAGGGAGGTAAGTTTTTCCTGGACAAGGTACATGTAGGTGGCTTATACTGAGAATGAGCCAGGGCTGTGTTGAAGTGAGGTGAAATTTCCCTATGACTCCAGATGTGTGTGTGTGTGTGTTTATTATACCTTTGCTTCTCTGTAGGCATATAGGCACAGGTAGGCATCTGTGAGGGTTCTTACAATGCAATGTCTCTCTTCACCCCTCTATCACAGAAACAGACCGACTTCCTAAAATAAACATTGCTTGTTTTAATCTTACTTTTTTTCAGGTCCACTCCCATCTTCTTAGACTCTTTGCTTTACATGGTTTAGAAATCTCTACTGTGGCAATTTCTTTTCTCCAACTTACTGATTTCTAAGAGTTTGAATACTAGCACTTTGTAGTTGCGTGTTAAAAATATATTCTCCCCTCTTTAAGCTTTCTCTTATCACCCTTTTATGTTGTTATTTGGTGAACATAAATTCTTTACCTTAATGTACTAGATTTTTTCAATCTTAACTTGATGGTCAGAGCTTTTTGCATCTTATTTAAAAATGATTTCCTTCTCTAGGGTCATAAAAATATCCTCCAATTCTATTTTCTAAAATCTTTATCATTTTTGTCTTTATATTTACTTCTCTGATCCTCCTGGAATTGATTCTCATGAATCAATGAGAGGTTAGGGTCCAATTTTATTTTTCCCAATTATCCCACACCCATTTGCTAAAAACCACCAATCTTTTGTGCCACTGCTGTCATATATTAAGTATTCATATATGAATAGATCTTTCTGAGTTATCTATCCTGAGTCATTGATCTATTTGTTTTTCCCTGAACTAATAGCACTTAGACTATTAGTTTCCCTGAACTAATAGTCTTAGTTATCATAGCCCAGTAATAAGTCTTAGTATCTGTTACCAACCTAGATGCCTACTAAATCAGTTGGTTGGTCTAATATTTTCAATGTTTTTGAACAATGAATATCAAAGAATACAAAAATGATCTGTACATCTAGCTATTTGGAGATGGGTATTTTGGTGAATATTTTTGTTTCTTTTCTTTCAAACTTCCTTCCTTCCTTCCTTCCTTCCTTCCTTCCTTCCTTCCTTCCTTCCCCCCTTCCTTCCTTCCCTCCTTCCTTCTCCCCTCCCCTCCCCTTCCTTACCTTTCCCTTCCTTTCCCTTCCCTTCCCTTGTGTTTTGTTTTTGTTTTTGTTTTTGTTTTTTTTTAGACGGAGTCTCGCTCTGTCGCTCAGGCTGGAGTGCAGTGGCACAAACTTGGCTCACTGCAAGCTCCGCCTCCCGGGTTCATGCCATTCTCCTGCCTCAGCCTCCCTAGCTGGGACTACAGGCGCCCGCTACCATGCCCGGCTAATTTTTCTATTTTTTAGTAGAGATGGGGTTTCACCGTGTTAGCGAGGATGGTCTCGACTCCTGACCTCGTGATCCGCCCGCCTCGGCCTCACCAAAGTGCTGGTCTTACAGGCGTGAGCCACCGCGCCCGGCCCCCTTCCCTTCTTTCTTTTCGCTCTTCCTTCCTTTGTTCTTTTCTTTCTCTCTAAATAGACTATTTTTTTTTAGCAGTTTTAGATTAATAGCAAGGTTGAGTGGAAAGTACAGAGAGATCCCATATGCCACTGCGTACACACACGCATACTCTTCCCCCACTATCAACATCTCCCACCAGAGTGGTACATTTGTTACAGTCAATGAACTTACATTGATGCGTCATTATCACTCAATGTCCACAGTTATTATTAGGATCCACCCTTGATGTTATATATTTTGTGGGTTTTGACAAATATATGATGACATGCATCCGCAATTAATTTTGTAAGAAACTGCAAAACTGTCTCCCAAAATGGCTGTACTATTTTGCATTACTACCAGCAGTGAGTGACAGTTCCTGTTGCTCTATATCCTCACCAGGATTTGGGGTTGTAATGTTTTGATTTTGACCATTCTTACAGGTGTGTAGTGGTATCTCATTATTGTTTTAGATATTTTTAAAAATTTTTTGTCTTGTTTTTTATATTTTATTTCTCATTTTATTAATTTGTAGTTTTTTCCTTTTTAGTAAGTGGGTGTAATTTTGTAATTTTTTAAAAGTAATGATTAGTTTTTAAAATGATTTTTCCTTTGAGTTTATTGTTTCCATTTCTTTCATTTGACTTTTACTTTGTTCTAGTTCTAACTTCATTAGGTTTTTTTTATTTGGTGGCTTGTTTCTGCCTCTAGTGAGGTTTTGCCTTTATTAAATAAAACAATTGCATCTGAGCAGTTGTTTTATTTTTGGTAACATTTCAATAATTTAGTTGTTTAAAAATGCTCCATAACTTTCTTCTAGATTTTTCCACTTCCCAAAATGTACTAGGTATTTTCAGTTTTCATCTTATATTCTCTTTGATCTGCTGATCACTGGGTTTAAAAATAGTTCATATCTACAGCTTAGCTTGTTGAGTATTTTCTGCAAAAGAATGAGATTTTGTGTTGTGTTTTAAAGGTAATGTGTTAGAATCATTTCTTTACTTTAACAACCTATTGAAAGAGGAACACTTGCAGATATAGTTATAACTTAATAGAAGGAGGCACAGTTTTCATGTACTGGGTGAGTGATTTATATTAAAAGCAGTTAGGTTATATAGTCAGTGATTTAATTGTAAATTTGGTGAGCAAATTCAACCCCTTATGACAAATAGTGCTTACAACTTTAAGTGAACAAACTTTTCTTTAGAAAATAAGTTTCTTTTATAACAAACACCCAATTTCAAAGGTTCAATTCAACAAGACTTGGAATTTTCTATTAAAATTAACTTTTGATTATTATCGAATAACTTCATCCTTGGTATACAAAAATTCAGGTTTATGTGATTTAGACTAACTGTAGATTTAATTTAAATTCTGGGGTTGCTGTGTGTAAATATTCTCTAACCTTCTCCTGTATCTGCCAATGCTTTGCATTTCCAAAAGCACTTGTGTTAGCAACTTCTTCAAGTTTTCTATTAAAGACTAATAAAATTGTGACCTATGATTTCATTTACAGTTTTAACCGAAGCTAATTTTTCATCTCTACACTTTAAGTAATTTCACAGATGAATTTCTCTTAGTTTTGTTTTTGAATTCTTTTATGTTAACCTAAGTTTTTTTTTTCAAAGCTGGAGCATATTTTTATTCATCAATTTGCAGAGATATAATCTTACTGTGAGAAACTTAAGTTGTTTTGTGTGTTTTCAAAAATGTTTTCCCACTAAATTTTCTTTTGCTATATTCTCCCTGGTATGTTATTCATTGTCAGTAATTAAAATGCTATTTTGTCCTCATCTTTTCTAATTATGTGTAAATTACAGTTTTCTTATATTGTCATTTTAATTCTATCATCTCAAATCCAAAATGTCATAATGTCTAGCTACTTTGCAAGTATGATATTATTGAATCTCCTATGTAAATGTGTAACAGCCTGAAAAATGTCCTTCAGAATATCTTTGGTAAATAGAAAACTATTCCAATTTAAATGTCCTTTAGATATCTACTCTGATTATCACTGATTTATTGACTTTGTGACTTGCAATGAGAAAGCAACAAAAAAAAAGAGAAAGAAAATAAATGGCTATGTATAATATTATATCCAAGAATATCTGAAACATCTATTTCATTCATAGATTTAAAGCTATAAAGATCGTAAAGATAGTAGTACTATATTATAAAATATAGAGCTGTGCTTGACATATTGTAGGTGCTAAATAAATATTTATTAAATGAGTGAATGAAATTCAGAATTTTCACAGGAGGCAAACACAGTACGGGTTGGGTTAGGATATTTAGCTTTTTCTTTGCTGAATAGCAAATTGTGGTAGTTCTCCAGGCTAACATTATCCCTCACTTTGATAACTAGGGATGTGAGCCTACCCAACTGATCACATACTAGCATTTCAAGTAATAGGGGATGTGTTCATCAGACACGGGTAGGAGAGACTCTTTTCCTTTCCTTCCCTCATTTCCTTTCTTCCACTGTTTTTTCTTTACAAATTAAAATTCAGGCCAGGTGCAGTGGCTCACTCCTGTAATCCCAGCACTTTGGGAGGCTGAGCGGGGAGGATTGCTTGAGTTTAGGGGTTCAAGACCAGCCTGGGCAACATAGTAAGACCTCATCTCTACTAAAAATTTAAAAAGTTAGCCCGGTGTGACGGTGCGTGCCTGTAGTCCCAGCTACTTGGGAGACTGAAGTGGGAGGATCTATTGAGCCCAGGAGGCTGAGGCTGCAGTGAGCTATGATCGCATCACTGCAGTCCAGCCAGGGCAACAGAGTGAGACCCTGTCTCAAAAATAAATAAATAAATAAATAAATAAATAAATAAATAAATAAATACATACATAAAAATAGATAAATTCAATCAGCATTAGTTTTGAAAAGTTCAGAAGTAAAACTTTTTTCTCCTGGCTCATTTTCACTTACTCAACTCAATAGCATTTTGGTAAGTACCCATCTCAGGTATGTTTGCTTGGGAAAAAAGATTCTAAGATGCAAATTTGTCTGAAAGAAGTTTACTGAAGAATGTCCTTGGGATCGATATCTGTGAGAGAGCAGAGGAAGTAAGAATATTCATGGGAGAGCTGAGCTGTGATGCAATTGTGATAATGGCTTCAGCCACCTCGAGGGAAGCTCTGGAACAGGTATGGCCCTTCAGAGTTGGCCTACTTTGAAGGAAGGGCTGGGCCTTATAACTTTACATCTGGATCAGTCACTGAAAATGAGCTTCCCTCTGGAAAGGGACTTGATCTTGGGCAAGAGGCTTTCTTCAGCTGACTTGGGCAGCTCTGGGAGAACCTACCTCATAACAGACAGTTTTAGTCCATTAATCACTTGATCTTCTGTAATTAGACTCTTTGTCTTTTCTCTCTGTCTACCAGGGCCCAGTTGCACTGCAGAGAGCTTTTATTTTAAAAAATGGTGTGTAACTCCTTACTTCAGATGGAGTGGTTTGATCCAGAATCCTAGGTATTTACATTGTGGTTTTACTTTAGGGCCTTGCCATAAACTCCACATATTATCTTTTCCTATTACTGATGCTTTTCATACTGAAAGGTCTGCTGGATCATATGGCCCAAGTACTCCCTGTACCTGCTGCAGGGCTGTCTGCTGCTTTGGACCCCACTCAAAGCTTGTAGCCTTTCATGCTATCTAGAGGGTGGGTAAAAGCAGTATTTGCCAATATGTAATATGTTAAACATGTTAGCCAAAGAGGAATACCAGAATACCAGGCATGGTGCTTCCCTTTTTGCGGAGAGACATATAAGATACAATAATTTGTTTCATTTAGAGAGGATGTCGCAGCTTGTACCAGATCACTGGACTCCCATATACTACCTACATGGCATTTCCCTGAACCCTTATAGGGTTTAGCTCCCGCACTCTGGAATGCATATGGTATACCGTAATGTATATGCTAACTTCTTGCTTGTCTAGTCCAATTAATATGGTACCACTGAAATAGTGAACCAATGCTATGTTTTGACAAATGACCAGTTCGGGCATCTTTGAAATACATTATGTCAGAGGGCAAAAGAATTAACCTAGCTTTGGGTAAGACTGTAAACATATACACCTATCTGTTTCAAGTGAATTCAAACCATTTCTGATCTTTCCAATAAGATTGGAAAATAAAGCGTTTTTCAGATCAACAATAGTATACTGTGTATTAAGAATTTGTGGTAATCTGCTCTAGCAAAGAAGCCACATCTGGGACAACATCTATAGTTGGAACTACTTTTCTGATCGAGTTTGCCTTACTTTACTGTCATTCTCCAAGATATGTCTGTTTTTTGTAGGGTCCTTGCTGGTCAGTTGAAAGGGAATAGGATGAAAATCAGCAACCAAATATTATGTAGGTTTTTAAAGGTGTCATTAATCTCTGCCACCACTTCCCCAATACCCACACTAACAAACAGATGAAATGCTGTTTGTTAAAATTTACTGTCTTGGGAAGGAGCAGTTTCAGAGTTTAAAATTACCTTTCTCTACTATATGGGTCTTATTCCACAGTCTAAGGTACCAACATGGGGGTTCTGCTAATTACCAAGCATGTCCACTATTGTTATTCAATTAGCAATGGCAGTAGTGACTACTGGATAGGTGTGTGGACCCGCAATTGGATAGCACTTGGCCAGACTCCATTTGTTACTTTACCCCCATATGCTGGTTCTCTAACAGAGGAATGTAATGATGCTTTAGTGTCAACTCAGACTCTGTGTCCAAAAGTCCTTGAAACATTTGGGTATTTTCTTAGTTGAGAAAATGGCTTTTGGTACTGTCCCCTTGGGGAAGGATTGAGGAAACTGTTACTTTATTCACTTGCCATGGTGATACAGGGTCTCTAGAAACCCCATCTTTTGATGGGCAAAACCCACTGGTCTTTACAAATAGCAATTCTTATAAAATTTCATTTGATGCTCATGACAACCATTATCATTAGAGTAGCTGCTATTATATAAGAGCTCTCTGTCTACAAATAAGAAACCAAGATTCAGGGAGTTTAGGTCACACAAAATGTAACTTGCAAGTGTCATATCTCTTTTTTTTTTTTTTTTTGAGAAACAAGTTGTTTCTCTTAAGCAAGAGAAACAAGTTGTTTCTCTTAAGCAAGAGAAACAAGTTCTTCCTCTTAAGCAAGAAAAACAAGTTCTTCCTCTTGTTTTTTTTTTTTTTTGATAAACGAGTTGTTTCTCTTAAGCAAGAGAAACAAGTTCTTCCGCCCCTTTTTTTTTTTTTTTTGAAAGACAAGTTCTTTCTTTTTTCCAGCAGAGACTGTGGCTGCAGTAAATTTTCCCTGAGTAAGATTGTACTTATTTAATTTTTTGTGTCTAAAAAGCAGAGTTGAATAGCAAGAGCTTGGTGAAAATGTCAGTACTTCCCCAGGCTATGAGATGTTCTGGAAAATTTGTTATTCTTGTATCCTATTACCTTGCCTTTTCCCATTTCAGGTTATTCCTACTGTTGGAGCAACTACTGAGAAGGGAAAACTCAAATGATTTAGAGATAAGACACACAGGGCTGCTTTTGGTGACTGCACATCTGCATTCAATTAATAAACAATTTGTGAAAAATTGACTTACCAATAACCCAAAATGTGAACAAGTAGACATTGACTTTTGTTCTTCAATTCCAAAACCTGGAGGTATGATTGTCTTGGAAAGTTTTGGTCTCTTATGAGGATATACAGAGATAGCTTGTGCAAAAGTAATGATTTCACTTCTTAGTACTCTCTCTTAGGTGAGAGTTGCACAACTTCCTTTTCTCTCTAGTCTGGCCCCTTTGAGTCAGGAGAGTGGGTCTCAGAATTGGTGCAGGGATGTAAGTAGAAATGGTTATCAAAATAAATGGAGCCTTTAAAGATAGTATCTCTAGAGTGGTATCCCTTCTTATCACTGCTTTGAGGCATATTATATTAGAAGGTGGGGATAATGGGTGTGTGTGTTAGTTTGTGAGGGATGCCATAACAAAGTACCATAGACTGATGTCTTAAACAACAGAAATTCACTTTCTCACAGTTCTGGAGACTAGATTTCTCAGAGCAAGGGGTCAGCAGGTTCATTTTTTCCAAGGCCTTTTTATTTGGCTATCTTTCTATGATATTGCTGTGTGTGTGCATGTCTGTGTCCACGGGCACAAGGGCACCAGTCATATTCGATTAAGTCCCACCCTAAAGACCTCATTTTAATTTAATTACTTTAAAAAAGATCTTATCTCCAAATACAGTTACATTCTGAGATAGTAGGAGTTAGGACTTCAACATATAAATTTTTGGGGGTGTATTAATTCATTTTCATGCTGCTGGTAAAGACATACCCAAGACTGGGAAGAAAAAATGGTTTAATGGACTTACAGTTCCACATGGCTGGGGAGGCCTCACAATCATGGCAGAAGGAAGGAGGAGCAAGTCACATCTTAAATGGGTGGTGGCAGGCAAAGAGAGAGCGAGCTTGTGCAGGGGAACTCCCATTTTGAAAACCATCAGATCTCGTGAGACTTATTCCCTATCATGAAAACAGCACAGGAAAGAACTGCCCCCGTAATTCAATTACCTCCCACAACACATGGGAATTCAAGATGAGATTTGGGTGGGCATACAGCCAAACCATATTGGGGTTAGGGGCCATAAGTCAGCCTCTTATAAGGGGGATTATTTCTCACATTGGCAGTTAAATTCCTAAATAAACAAGGGGCTAAATCAACCCTTCTTAACCTGGTGCATCTTAATGGTTTGTGAAATTTTAGAAGTACATGCTTTCATTAGGTTCTTAGTTCCCCAAAAGGCTAAGAGTCCAAATAGTGTTTACATACTGGTAATGATGCAAACTGGGAACTTGATTCGATATCTCTGTGTTTAATAGTTTTTTGTTTGTTTGTACACAGGTCTAGGAACCTAGTTTCCATCTTAATGAGTTTCTATAGGATGGGGACATTCTGAGTTCAAAACAATATATAAAAATCTTGAAAGGTATCTTATTCACAAGTTGAGGCTACCTACTCTTGGAGTAAAGAAGAATAATTGAGTTTAATGAATTTCAGTGGATGATAAGTATTTATTATTTAACTTGGATTGTAAATTCTGAAAGACAAGACCATGTGTATTAACAAGGCACAGCACCACACACAGGAGTACCTAATGGCAACTTACACTTTTTTTTTTTTTTGAGACAGAGTCTCAGTCTGTCACCAGACTGGAGTGCAGTGGCACGATCTCGGCTCACTGCAACCTCTGCTTCATGGGTTCAAGTGATTCTCCTGCCTTAGCCTCCTGAGCAGCTGGGACTACAGGCACGCGCCACCATGCCCAGCTAATTTTTGTATTTTTAGTACAGACGGGGTTTCACCATGTTGATCAGGATGGTCTCAATCTCTTGACCTCATGATCTGCCCACCTCGGCCTCCCAAAATGCTGGGATTACAGGTGTGAGCCACCACGCCCAGCTGCAACTTATACTTTTAATAATTATTTAACAAATTGAACTTACCTAAATGGTTCAGGTAATCATCTTGAAAACTAGGCAGCTTATCCATAAACAGAGTACACCTAGGGATTTTGTTTTTACCTGAATTCTGAAGCATGGCTTTAACACTATTCCATTCATCCTTCTTACTACTTCTCTAACTGTGACCCTTACCCAAGTAAGAAGGGAATGAACCGTGGTGGGGTATATGAGCAGCTGCCTGGTGTAAATCCAAAAGAAAAGACAGGCATTTATAGTGGCTCCCGGGTATGAATTGATTCAGAGATGGGCCAAAATTTGCGGCCTCTATTTTATATAATTTCATAATTGCACTTTTTTTAGAACTAGCATATGAAGCAAAGACTTCAGATAGCAATAATATATTTAGGCTTATTTTCAGGCATCTTTAAGCACTCTAATATTAAAAGTTTTAATCTTCTGTTAATAATTTTTACCTTAACATTTATATCTTTTGGATTCATGTGGTTAGGTGTATTTTTTGCTCTCATTAATGCAATCATTAAGAAATCTGTTGTATCAGTACAGTTATAATTTATTTATTTCTCTTGAGAAATGGCTTACACCTTTGATAATTTAGAATGCCAAATGAATAAAAAAGAGGATTTTTCAAATGTTTCGCTTTTATTAGTACCTTTTTTCGGCAGAGCATATGAGAATCTCAACTATTGTAACAGGGTTTCAAAGGAAAGCAATTCTATCTACCAAGAAAAGAGGACACATATTTAGAGAATCGTTATTCAGCAGACAGAGGAGAAGAGGGACTTTTCCTTCATGGATGTCAGACGACTTTGGTAGGCTCAGCTATAATAGTTTGCAAGCTCGAAAAGTGTCTAATGGGGGCAGAAAGGAGTTATTCCTAGAGGGTATCCCTGGGGAATATGAATCATGATCATAAAGAGATGAAAATGTGCTTATCCAAACCCCTTAAAGGGCAAAACCTGAAGAAGTAGGCTTATGTGTGAAATACAGGGCTCAATGAAACACCTCTTTATAGGTGGATTCTTGGAGAGGTTGTTGAATTTCCATTGCTGAATATCATTAAAATGACAGGAAGGTTTTGGGTCTGGGATATTTTGAATACAAACTTTTGGAAATAAAGGAAAGCTGAGTACTATTTGAAACTTCCTCTCCAATTCTGTTAGCTAATGGTGACTATACACCAAATTTCTTTCTACCTGCTTTTCCCTGATTTGCTGTATATCTTGAATCACAAAGGATAATTAAATTATTACCTTTAACAATATTTATTGCTTGACTACAGGTTTCATACTAGTTGATAATTTGTTGTGAAGTGGGTCACTAATAATAAAGTTACTACTGACAGAGTATTGACTTTTGGGATGTATTTACTTTGAAATGTAAAGTAGAATAGTTACTATAATTGTTCTTTTTACTGACTTGCATTAACCATGCTTTTTTCAGTGGAAGAGAAAGAACTTTCAGGAAAGGAGTCAGGAATTTTGAATAACTCAAGTACATATATGAGAGTGCTTCCTATCCCATATATGGAACCTGATAAAAATGTTGAGAGCCACTGGTCTAATCTATATCTATAGTCTTATACATTCATGCACTGTGCTTGGGCAGACACCCTAAAAAGATAGGATTTCACAATAGCGGTTGACTCAGGGAGCCTAAGCCCAACCCCTGAATGATTATGAAAGAAGACCTATTAACAATAAAAGTCCTTTTCTTATCATACCCAGAGTTCTATGGCCATTTTTCTACCTTTTTTTTTTTTTTTGAGACGGAGCCTCGCTCTGTCACCCAGGCTGGAGTGCAGCAGCACAATCTTGGCTCACTGCAACCTCCGCCTCCCAGGTTCAAGCAGTTCTCCTGCTTCAGCCTCCCGAGTAGCTGGGATTAAAGGCGGGCACCACCACGCCCAGCTAATTTTTTGTATTTTTAGTAGAGATAGGGTTTCACCATGTTAGCCAAGATGGTCTCGATGTCCTGACCTCCTTGATCCACCTGCCTTGGCCTGCCAAAGTGCTGGGATTACAGGCATGAGCCACTGTGCCTGGCCCATTTTTCTGCTTTTTAAATTTTAAGTAAGCACATACTCTATACCCATCTCTGAAATTCACTCCTCTTTGTCATTCATGTAATTGGATTAATGAGCTAATAACTTCTCTCTTTGGTGGTATCATCATTTTTATTTTATTAGATTGTGCTCGACAAAGGGCAGGTGCTATCTATGTACAATTAAATGTGTAGTAAATCCACTCAGATGACAGTGTTCTAACACTAGTCCTAAAGATCTCTTGCTGATATTGCTCACTTGAATTTGTCACTACAGCTTGGTAGAACTTGACTTCTATAGGTTTCCTTTCAGTTTTCCAGCTAGATATTTCTCTGAATAACACAATATTAGCAATTTCACCGTTTTTTTGGGGGGCGGGGGGTGTATGTGTGTGTCATTACCCTGTCTAATTAACTTCTACCTTAAAGAAAAGTGTGAAAAGACAATATACGTTCTCTTATTTTTGGCTGCTTCCTCACATACGATTATGTTCTATCTCATTTTCTCTATTCTTATTATTTTTTACTCCTTTCGATTGTTTCTAGCATTTTGGAATCGGTACATCCTTTTCACTACTAAAATCTTTCATTAAAAAATTTGGCTGCTCATTTTCATGTACTTCTCTCTGTTGTGGAAGCATCTTCAATATGTACATGCTTTTTGCCATTCAAAGACTCCGGAACCTCTGGCATGATTTATTTTTGTTGCTATAAAACAGACAACATGTACTGCGATGCTTGTCTAAAAATGTTAGCATCTGCCTGCAGTTGCCCTGTTTTGACGCTGGGTGGCCAAAGCGCATAAGGAATTTGAAGCTCTGTCTTAACTTTTCAAGCAACATTTTGACAATGTTGAATGAAGGAAATAATCCTATATCATATTAAAAGTGGGCAAAAAATTTGTAAAGGAATCTATAGAGAGTTTGGATGGAGGAATTTCAGAGTTTAAACTTAAGCTTTCTGGAAATAATTAAATCACAACAATATGTCAAATGAAAAAACAATGAACTGGGAACTAGAAAATAAGAATTCTTGTTGATGCTCTTGAGGGAAAATAATCTATTTGTAAATCTGGATGCCTTTATTTATTTATTTATTTATTTATTTATTTATTTAGAGACAGAGTCTCACTCTGTCACCCAGGCTGGAGAGCAGTGGCGTGATCTCGGCTCACTGCAAGCTCCGCCTCCTGGGTTCACTCCATTTTTCTGCCTTAGCCTCCCACAGGCGCCCACCACCACGCCCGGCTAATTTTTTGTATTTTTAGTAGAGACGGGGTTTCACTGTGTTAGCCAGGATGGTCTCGATTTCCTGACCTCGTGATCTGCCTCCCTCGGCCTCCCAAGGTGCTGGGATTACAGGCGTGAGCCCCTGCGCCTGGCCAGATGCCCTTATTTTTTAACTTAATTGCTTGGGCAAGTTACTTAATCTTTAAGCCTCAGTTTATAAGTCATAAAATGAGATAATATCTATCATATAGAATGATTACAAAAACAAAGAGATAAGTATTAGTTTTCTTTCCCACTTTTGGTTAAAAAATTGTAAACATCGTCCTCTACTTAGTTTAGTTAAAACCAGTCTTCAAAGTGCAGTTAAATAGTTCAGTGGCTCTCACTCCCCTTCTCCTCATTTTTAGCCCTGAGGATGAACATAATTAGGTATTGCTAATATCTATTTAGCTAGCAAATAATACAGAGGAATAGGACTTTGAGCTAAGCTCCTCTTAAGAATGGTACTGAAAATTGACTTTCACCATGGTTTGTACTTTCAGAATGTACTTTCACATGTGTATTAGTCCATTCTCACATTGCTATAAGAAAATACCTGAGACTGGGTAATTTATAAAGAAAAGAGGTTTAATTGACTCACAGTTCAGCATTGCTGGGGAGGCCTCAGGAAACTTACAATCATGGCAGAAGGTGAAGGGGAAGCAAGGCACTCTTTTCACAAGGCAGCAGGAAGAAGAAGTTTTGAGTGAAGGGGGAAGAGCCCCTTATAAAACCATCAGATCTTATGAGAACTTACTCACTATTATGAGAATGGCATGGAGGAAACTGTCCCCATGATTCAGTTACCTCCACCTGGTAATCCCTTGACAGATGGGGATTATGGAGATTATGGGGATTGCAATTCAAGATGAGATTTGGGTAGGGACACAAAGCCTAACTGTATCAGCATGTGAAGTCTTTGATTTCCTGCTGAAGTGGAAGTCTGTTTGTTTTCAAAAACCTTGTGTTGGGGAAGTGGGTAGAGGAAAGAGGGCAAAAAGAAATTCAGAGGCCAAAAGCGATCTTGTTAATCTAGTAAACCAGGCAGAAAGAAAGAGGATTAGAAGAAACATTAATTGTCCAAGATGACTACCAGCATGACAAAGTCAACAGAGAGATAACCTGGAGCTGGTAGTGTTGACAGGAGGCTGTGTATCACACCTCAGGTGGAGACTGAAGGAGGACTAATTCTGGGTAACCCTTATGAAAATCTTATGGCTCAAGACAGTCAATAAATTAAGTGAGATAAAGTTTTTAAAGACCTGGATTTCCTATGTCATACCAATGGATATTTTTATGATGGAAGAGGGGAATATTAAGTAAGACAATATCTTCAATCCTGATAATCCTATCCTCTAATCGGTACTTCTGAGACTATTCTATTCATTATATGGGCCATTAATTTCCTGATAAATTTGGAATTTATCAGTCCCTGCCTAATCCTAGCCCCATGCTAGGTATTCACAATGATTTTATAGCTACTTACTTGCTGCCTACCAAGTTGCAGAAATCCTTAGATCTCAGCCTACCATGTTATAAAGAGCCTTTTTTTTTTAACTAGAAGTGGTGTCTGTAAATAGTTTTCTGCTGCCTTATACTACAGAACTAAAATGTCTAAAAGACCAATATTCATAGAACCTAATGTTCAGCCCATTAATTCATGGGTGCAAACTGTTAAGTTCAATTAAGAAACAGCTTTTTTTTTTCTCCTATTGCCTGAATGTCTTAGGCCACTATCTTTTATGATGCCACTTGGTTCATATGTCCTTGACCCCTGAAATGATAGAATTGCTCCTTGACTATTTGATGACCTTTCTCCTTTGTCTGCTGTTCTTGGTCACATAAGCTAGCCTCCTATTTTCAGAATTTTTCAGACAAGAAGCAGGCCCGTTTCTCTAATTTCAAATTTTACCTCAAACTACTAGATAAAAAGGTTAGATTTTCCCATGGACTCTTTCTTGTTCTGGTCTCTGAATTCAACAAGCATCCAGCCAGGGAATGAGACCAAGATTGCCCATCTCACTTCATCCTCCTTGTGGCAGACCTCAGTGTTCACAAGGAATGAGGATGTCTAGATATTAAAGACCTGGGATTGAAGGAGGATTAAGCCCAGTGCCGAAGTTACCTGACTTACCACAGGGAGGGCCCAGTACTGGGTTCAGCATGAAGCTGATGCTGTGTCTCTTTCATACCTAGATACTCTGGCAATGTGGGCACACCTTGGGGAAAATGTCTACGTGCTTGTAACTCAGATGAGTTGATCATGAAGAGCTGGGACTTCTGGAGTCTAGGGCTTATTTTTCTTTGATCTTTGATTGAGTATAACATTGTGGAGAAGTGGAACATCCCCTGTACCCTAGGAACCACTGTGGTTCAGATGTTGGAGAAAATTGGACTTCATTTACAATTCTAAAATGAGGTTTAGTGCTAAAAAGTTCATGGAAGCAGCTAAATGTAGATAACAGAAACAAATGGGTGGGCCTCTGGAGGTCAGCAAGACAAAGGAGACCATAGGGGTGCATTTGAGCTTCTTGTCTCGTGTATGTGTGTGTGTGTGTGTGTTTGTGTGTGAAAGAGGGATAATTTTACAGACCATGTCAGCATTTTTCAAGATTTCCAGAAACCACTTGGGACTCTAGTAGCTAGGAGAATGTAACTCTTAGGATCAGCAGTATTGAGGCTTAAAGTCATTATTATTGGATATTAAAATAAATGTGGCCATATATTTTTCCCTAATCTTGTAAATTGAAATATATTAATTACTCCTTCATTTATGTCTGCAGGTTTACTATGTGAAACAAAGATGTACATCACTGTATACTGCAAAAGGCATGCAGTCTAATGTTGGATAATCTAGAAAAAGTAAGACAATTATAACACAATGGGATAAGTGTTAAGATGGAGGGAAGTATAGATGTTTGGGAACACATAGGAAAAATAATTAATAGAGTGGGTTACCAAAATTAAGTATGTTTTCCTAAAGAAGATAACTCTTGTCCTGAGCCTTAACAAATGAGTTGGAGCTAACTAGGCAGAGGAGGTTGTTGACAGATGCAGTATGATGGTGCCAAGGATTTCAATTAAGTCCATTTGAGGAGCCATTTATAACATATTCTTTATATCATGAACTCAATACTTTGAAACATGGTAAAAAAAACCAGGATGTAAACAAATAAAGCCTAAATAACCAAAATATGTGATATCAGGTCCATGCACCAAAGATGACATAACCACTGCCATATAAAAATTGCTAGTGGGCTGGGCACAGTGGCTCTTGCCTGTAATTCTAGCACTTTGGGAGGCCAAGGTGGGAGGACCACTTGAGCCCAGAAGTTTGAGACCAGCCTGGATAACAGTGAGAACTCGTGTCTACAAAAAAGTCAAAAAATGAGGCAGGAGGCTCTCTTGAGCCTGGAAGATTGAGGCTGCAATGAGCTGTGATTGTGCCACTGCATCCCGCCTGGGTGACAGGAGTGAGAACCTGTCTCAAAAAAAAAAAAGTTGCTAGTGATTTCTAGCATAACAAGTCAATTTTAGTATAAGGTTGATAGATTTCAATTGTAAAATAAAGCATTGGAATTAATTCTGTGTCTAAAGTGAAAACAATAATAAATCTTGGAAAATTTGTACTTCTTAGAAAAAGAATATGAAGACATGTTTCATGGTATTGGTGAATGCTGTTGGAGAGATTACATTAATTACACTGATCATGGGAGTGTGTCCAGACACTTGATATTCTAGACAAACTTCTTGTACTTATCCAAGACAGATGTCCTTTCATCTATGATGGGAATACTCTGCTTTCCATGTTAAATATCTAGGCTGGCTGGTTGGCTGATAAAATACATATGGTGGGGAAGGGTCAAGATGGCTGACTAGAAACAGCTGGGGTTGGAGGCTCCCATTGAGAAGAATAAAAACAGTGAGTGACTCCTGCACCGGCAAATGAGGTATCCAGGTTCTCTCATTCGGACTGACTAGGCGGTTGGCGTGACCCATGGAGAGCGAGGAAAAGCAGGGTGGAGTAACAGCCCATGTGGGAGCCGCATGGGGAAAAGGGAGCTTTCACTCCCAACCAAGGGAGTCAGTGAGTGATTGTGCTACCCCACCTGGGAAACCACACCTTATCCACAGATCTGTGCAACCCATGAATCAGAAGATCCCCTTTGTGAGCCCATGCCACCAGGGCCTTGGATCCCAAACACAGAACTGTGTACATTCTTGGTGGCCACTTGGCTGAAGACTGCCTAAGACTACTGAGTTTGCAGGGGGAGGGGCAACCATTGTCACTGTGGCTTCCTGGAAGGGCAGCAGTCATTATGGCCACTCCAGTCTGCTGTGTTTCCCCTGCTGATGCCAGGGAAACTGGGCGGTTTGGACCCAGGAGGAATTCCCCACAGTGCAGCACAGTGGCTGTGGCAGATCATGGCCAGACTCCCTCTTTAGGCTGGACCCTGACCCATCCCTCCTCACTGGGTGGGGCCTCCCTGGGGAATTTCAGCAATTCCAGCCAGGGGTTTACAAACAGAACTCTGATATCACTGGGATGGAACTGCTGAGGGGAGGAGTGGCCAAAGTCTCTCTGGGTCAGCAGACTTAGTCTTTCTCCCTGTTGGCTCTGAGGAATCCAGGCAGTCTGGATGAGTGAGATTTCCCCCTGTGCAGTGCACCCCCTCTGCCAAAGGGCAGCCAGAGTGCTTTATTAAGTGGGTTCCTGATCCTGTGCCTCTTGACTGGGTGAGACCCCCCCAAGAGTGGTCACCAGACACCTTACACAGGAGCATTCCCACTGGCATTATATCAGTGCCCCTCTGGGACAGAACTTCCAGAGGAAGGAGCAGGCAGCCATCTTTGCTATTGTGCAGCCTCCACTGGTGATACCTACAGGTGCAGGAGGGACCCAGGTGAAGGGGTCTTGAGTAGACCCCCAGCAAACTGCAGCAGCCCATGGAAAAGGGGCCTGACTGTTAAAAGAAAAACAAACAGAAAACAACAACAACCACAGCATCAACAAAATGTCCCCATAAAAACCCATCCAAAGGTGAGCAGTCTCAAAGTTGAAGCTAAATAAACTCATGAAGATGAGAAAGAATCAATGAAAACATGCTGAAGACTCAAAAAGCCAGAATACCTCTTCTCCTCCAAATGATCATAGCACCTCCCCAGCAAGGGCATAGAACTGGGTGGAAGCTGAGATGAATGAATTGACAGAAGTAGGCTTCAGAAAGTGGGTAATAATGAACTTCACTGAGCTAAAGGAGCATGTTCTAACCCAATGTAAAGAATCTGAGAACCATGATAAAACATGACAGAATAACTGGTTATTCTCTGGTTAGAGAGGAACATAAATGACCTGATGGAGCTGAAAAACACAGCACAAGAACTTCACATTGCAACCACAAGTATCAATAGCCAACTAGACCAAGCAGACGAAAAAATTTCAGAGCTTAAAGACTATCTTGTGGAAATAACACAGGCAGACAATATTAGAGAAAAAAAGAATAAAAAGTAATGAACAAAACCTCCGAGAACTATGGGCTTATGTAAAAAGACTGAACCTACAACTGATTGCACTACCTGAAAGAGACAAGGGGATTGGAAAACATACTTTGGGTTATCATCCAGGAGAACATTCCCAACTTAGCAAGACAGGCCAACATTCAAATTCACGAAATCCAGAGAACACCAGTAAGATACTCCATGAGGAGATCAACCCCAAGACACATAATCATCAGATTCTCCAAGGTCGAAATGAAGGAAAAAATGTTAAGGGCAGCCAGAGAGAAAGGCCAGGTCACCTACAAAGGCAAGTTCGTCAGACTCACTGTGGACTTCTCCTGAGAAACCCAACAAGCCAGAAGAGATTGGGGGCCAATATTCAACATTCTTAAAAAAAAAAGAATTTCCAACCCAGAATTTCATATCTGGCCAAACTAAGCTTCATGAGCAAAGGAGAAATAAGATCCTTTCCAGGCAAGCAAATGCTGAGGGAATTTGCCACCACCAGGCCTGCCTTGCAAGAGCTCCTGAAGGAAGCACTAAATGTGGAAAAGAAAAACCATTACCAGCCACTACAAAACCACACTGAAGTACAAAGACCAAAGACACTATGAGGCAACTACATCAACAAGTCTGCAAAATAGCCAGCTAGCATCATGATGACAGTATCAAATTCACATAAAACAGCATTAACCTTAAACGTAAATGGGCTAAATGCCCCAATTAAAAAACACAGAATGGCAAGCTGGGTAAAGAGTCAAGACCCATTGGTATGTTGTATTCAAGAGACTGAGCTCATGGGCGAAGACACACATAGGCTCAAAATAAAGGGATGGAGGAGAATTTCCCAAGCAAATGGAAAGCCAAAAAAAGCAGGGGTTGCAATCCTAGTTTCTGACAAAACAGACTTTAAACCAATGAAGATTAAAAAAAGACAAGGGCATTACATAATGGTAAAGAGTTAAATTCAACAAGAAGAGCTAACTGTCCTAAATATATAGGCACCCAATACAGGAGGACCCAGATTCATAAAACAAATTCTTAGAGACCTACATAGAGACTTAGATGCCCACACAATAATAGTGGGAGACTTTAACACCCCACTGTCAATATTAGACAGATGATCGAGACAGAAAATTAACAAGGATATTCAGGACTTGAACTCAGCTCTGGATCAAGTGGACCTGATAAATATCTACAGAACTCTCCACCCAAAAACAACAGAATATACGTTATTCTTGGCGCCACATGGCGCTTACTCTAAACTTAATCACATAATTGGAAGTAAAACACTCCTCAGCAAATGCAAAAGAACCAAAATCATAACAAACAGTCTCTCAGACCACAGCACAATCAAATTAGAGCTCAAGACTTAAGAAACCCCCTCAGAACCACATAACTACATGTAAGATGGGTGTGGTGGCTCATGCCTGTAATCTCAGCACTTTGGGAGGCTGAGGTGGGTGAATCACTTGAGGTCAGGAGTTCAAGACGAGCCTGGTCAACATGATGAAACCGTGTCTCTACTAGAAATACAAAAATTAGCTGGGCATGTTGGCATGTGCCTTTAGTCCCAGCTACAAAGGAGGCTGAGGTATGAGAATTACTTGAGCCAGGGGGTGGAGGTTGCAGTGAGCTGCGATTGCACCACTGCACTCTAGCCTGGGTGACAGAGCAAGACTGTCTAAAAAAAAAAAAAAAAAAAAAAAAAAAGAACCACACAGCTACATGTAAATTGAACAACTTGCTCGTGAATGACTCCTGGGTAAATAATGAAATTAAGGCAGAAATCAAGAAGTTCTTAGAAACCAATCAGAACAAAGAGACAAAGTACCAGGATCTCTGGGATGCAGTTAAAGCAGTATTAAGAGGGAAATTTATAACACTAAATGCCACATCAAAAAGCTAGAAAG
The DNA here is from genome assembly GCF_000001405.40 of Homo sapiens. Classification (NCBI taxonomy): domain Eukaryota; kingdom Metazoa; phylum Chordata; class Mammalia; order Primates; family Hominidae; genus Homo; species Homo sapiens. Next base: position 62,202,621 of record NC_000012.12, on the reverse strand, counting down.
GACCGGGCACAGTGGCTCACGCCTGTAATCCCAGCACTTTGGGAGGCCAAAGCAGGTGGATCATCTGAGGTCAGGAGTTTGAGACCAGTCTGTCCACCTCTACTAAAAATACAAAAATTAGCTGGGCATGGTGGTGGGTGCCCAGCTACTAGGGAGGCTGAGGCGAGAGAATCACTTGAACTGGGAGGCAGAAGTTGCAGTGAGCCAAGATCGTATCATTGCACTCCAGCCTGGGCCACAGAGCGAGACTCTGTCTCAAAAAGAAAAAAAAAAAACTAGAAAGATCTCAAATCTAACATCACAATTAATAGAACTAGAAAACCAAGGGCAAACAAACCCCAAAGCTAGCAGAAGACAAGAAATAACCAAGATCACAGTAGAAATGAAGTAGATAGGGATATGAAAAACCCTTAAAAAATCAGCTAATCCAGGAGCTTGTTTTTTGAAAAAAATTAATAAAATAGACTGTTAGCTAAACTCATAAAGGAGAAAAGAGAGAAGAATAAAATAGACACAATAAAAAATCATAAAGGGGATATCATCATTGACCCCACAGAAATACAAACAGCCGTCAGAGAATACTATAAACACATCTATGCAAATAAACTAGAAAATCTGGAAGAAATAAATAAATTCCTGGACACATACAACCTCTGAAGACTGAATCTGAAAGAATTTGAATCCCTAAATAGACCAATAAAAGGTTATGAAATTGAGGCAATAATAAATAGCCTACCAACCAAAAAAAGCCTAGGACCAGACAGATTTGCAGCTGAATTCTACCAGAGGTACGAAGAGGCACTGGTACCATTTCTTCTGAAACTATTCCAGACAATTGAAAAGGAGAGACCCCTCCCAACTCATCTTTTGAGGCCAGCATCATCCTGATACCAGAACCTTGCAGCAATACAGCAACAGCAACAACAACAACAAAGTTCAGGCCAATGTCCCTGATGAACATCAATGCAAAAATCCTCAACTGGCAAATCAAATGCAGCAGCACATCAAAAAGCTTATCCACCATGATCAAGTTGTCTTCATCCCTGGGATGCAAGGCTGGTTCAACATATGCAAATCAATAAACATAATTCATCACATAAACAGAATTAAAGACAGTAACCACATAATTATCTCAATAGACATAGGAAAAGGCTTTTGCTGAAATTCAACATCTCTTCATGTTAAAAACTCTCAATATACTAGGTATTGATGGAACATACCTCAAAATAAAAAGAACCTTTTATGACAAACTGACAGCCAATGTCATACTGAATAGGCAAAAGCTGGGAGCATTCCTTTTAACCAGCATAAGACAAGGATGCCCTCTCTTACCACTCCTATTCAACATAGTATTGGAAGTTCTGGCCAGGGAAGTCAGGCAAGAGAAAGAAATAAAGCATATTCAAATAGGAAGAGAGGAAGTCAAACTGTCTCTGTTTGCAGATAACATGATCCTATATCTAGAAAACCCCATCATCTCAGCCCAAAAGCTTCTTAAGCTGATATGCAAATTCAGCGGTCTCAGGATACAAAATAAACATACAAAAATCACAAGTATTTCTATACAGCAACAATAGACAAGCAGAGAGCCAAATCATGAATGAATTCCCATTACAATTGTTACAAAGAGAATAAAATACCTAGGAATACAGCTAACAAGGGATGTGGAGGACCTCTTCAAGGAGAACTACGAACCACTGCTCAGGGAAATAAGAGAGGACACAAACAAATGGAAAAACATTCTATGCTCATGGATAGGAAGAATCAATGGCCATACCGCCCAAAGTAATTTAGAGATTCAATGCTATTCTCATTAAACTACCATTGACATTCTTCACGGAATTAGAGAAAGCTACTATAAAATTAACATGGATCCAAAAAAGAGCCCATATAGCCAAGACAATCTTAAGCATAAAGAACAAAGCTGGAGGCATCACACTACCTGACTTCAAACTATACAACAAAACTACAGTAACCAAAACAGCATGGTACTGATACAAAAACAGACAATAGACCAATGGAACAGAATAGAGATCTCAGAAATAAGATTGCATATCTACAACCATCTGATCTTTGACAAATCTGACAAAAATGAGCAATAGGGAAAGGATACCCTGTTGAATAAACTGTGCTGGGATAACTGGCTAGCCATATGCAGAAAATGAAACTGGACCCTTTCCTTACACCTTGTACAAAAATTAACTCATGATGGATTAAAGACTTAAATGTAAAGTCCAAAAATATAAAAACCCTAGAAGAAAATCTAGGCAATACCATTTAGTACATAGGCACGGGCAAAAATTTCATGATGAAAACATAAACAGCAATTGCAACAAAAGGAAAAATTGACAAATGGGATCTAATTAAACCAAAGAGCTTCTACACAGCAAAAGAAACTATCATCAGAGTGAGCAAACATTCTACAGAATGAGAGAAAATTTTGCAGTCTATCCATCTGACAAAGTCTAATATCCAGAATCTACAAGGAACTTAAACAAATTTACAAGAAGAAAACAAACAACCCTATTAAAAAGTGGGCAAAGGACTTGAACAGAGACACTTCTCAAGAGAAGACATATATGCAACTAACAAGCATGTGAAAAAAACTCAACATCACTGATCATTAGAGAAATGCAAATTAACACCACAATGAGATATCATCTCACACCAATCAGAATAGTGTTTATTAAAAAGCAAGAAACAACAGATGCTGTTGAGGTTGTGGACAAACAGAAACACTTTTACACTGTTGGTGGGAATGTAAATTAGTTCAACCATTGTGGAAGACAATGTGGTGATTCCTCAGAGACCTAGGACCAGAAATACCATTTGACCCAGCAATGCCATTACTGGGTATATACCCAAAGGAACATCAATCATTCTATTATAAAGATACATGCATGTATATGTTCATTGCAATACTATTTACAATAGCAAAGATATAGAATCCACACAAATTCCCACTAGTGATAGACTCGATAAAGACAATGTTTTATATATATATACACATACATATATATATATATACACACACATACACACACACACACCATGGAATGCTATGTAGCTGTAAAAAGGAATGAGATCATGTCCTTTGCAGGGAAATGGATGGAGCCCAAAGCCATTATCCTCAGCAAACTAACACAGGAACAGAACACCAAACACCGCATGTTCTCATTTATAAGTGGGAGCTGAACAATGTGAACACATGAACACAGGGAGGGAAACAACACACACAGGGGCCTGATGGCGTTGGCAGGGTGTGGGGAGGGAGAGTATCAGAATAAATAGCTTATGCATGGGGGTATAATACCCAGGTGATGGGTTGATAGGTGCAGCAAACCACAATGGTACATGTTTACCTATGTAACAAACCTAGACGTCTTGCACATGTATCCAGGCACTTAAAACAAAATGAAGTAAAATAAAATAAAAAGGCATGTGGCCTACTTATCCCCAGTACTCCAGCTTACAATCAGCCAATTGTCAGATAATGACGGAGGCAATGCACTGCCAGTTGATTTCAGACACATGAGTAAGCCCAACCGAGTCGGGAAGAATGAGCCAAAAACAAATTGCCAATCCACAGAAATGTGAACTAAATAAATGTTTCTTCTTTAAGTAACTAAGTTTTGGGGTGGTTTGTTATATTTGCCTACTACATGTAGGACAGTTTTCCTGCCTCAGTTGTTTCTCACATCACTTTGTGAAATGGTCTTCTTGACTTATCTCCATGGCATGTGTCTATTCAGTTGGCCTGTTTGGTTTCCTGAGTTTTGACCACAAAGTATTTATAGAGTATTTATTGTGTGTAAGGTACCATGCTAGGGGATGGGGATAGCATAAGTTAATAACATGCATGTAACCTTGGGTTGTGTGGAATGAATTCTGTGCTTCCTTCCATTCACTTGATTACATGAAAATATTCTGTAAATGTTTTTAAAAAACATTTAAAAGATAAGTGAGAGACACATTATTGCATAAGTTAGAAATAACTTGGTTAACATCAAATAAAATAAGAGGAGACAAGTGGGGATGAATGGCTTGTAGGTAGCAATCCTACAAGCTAAGAACTATGAACTGGGACTCGTAAGTTTTAATTTAATTGTTATAATACCGTATCTTGCAGAACACTGCGGGGAGCCAGAGCTAATTTTTCTCCTTATTCTATCTCTCTTACTAATCTCTTCTCTTTATTCTTACTAATGAACCCAGGTTCTCTGGCTAAAGCCTTTTCCATATCCAGATCCAAATGAGTTTGATCTCCCTGTGATACAGGGGTTGGAGGCAGAAAGAGAGGAGGCTGGGAAAACAAAAACAAGAACAAAACCAAGCCAAACAAAAAATCAATGACTGGCTCTGACTTTAGATAGATCTGGTTTGAATCTCAGCTCCAATATATAATAACAGGTAGATTGTCTCATTTTTTTTTTCATGTGATAAGTGGGTTTATATCGTCTGCTTTATGAGATGTTGTGGGGATTTGAGGTAAGGAGTTTGGATATAATACAAAGCCTTTTGTAGAAAGCTAGAAGTGCTCCAAAAGCTCTCCACCACAGCAGATGGGAATACAAAATGGCACAGACACTTTAGAAAATACTTCTTGTTTTTAAGTTAAACATACCCTACCATATGATCCAGCCATTTCATTTCTAGGTAGTAACCCAAGAGCAATGAAAACATAGGTTCACTCAAAGCCTTCTTCACAAATGTTCATAGCAGCTTTATTTTTAATATCCCCAAACTAGAAGTAACCCAAATGTTCATTAAGAGGTGAATGGTTAAAGAAATTGTGGTATATCTACAATGTGAAATACTACTTGGAAGTAAAAAAGAATGACCTATTGCTATGTACAACAACACAGATGATCTGAAAATAATTATTCCAATGGGAAGAAGCCTGACAAAAAAAGAACACATAAAATACTATTCAATTTATATAAACTGTGGAAAATGCAAACTATAGTGACAGAAACTAGATCAGTGGATGCTAGAGACAGGACTGGAAGAAGATATGGATTATAAATGGGCATGAGGTAACTTTTGGGGGAATGGAAACATTTGGTATTTTGACTGGTGGTAGTTTCACAGATATACCCATGTGTCAAAACTCATCAAATTGTACACTTTAAATACATGCAGTTGATTGTATATCAATTATACTTCAATAAAGTAATTTTCTATAAAAGGCAAAAAAGAAAAAGCCTGAAGTGCACCAAAGTGATTTTTAGCGAACAGAACATGGAAAGCTATGATAGAGTTACAATCCAGTTAAGTTCAGTGTTTAAAGAAATTATTTTTTACTGCTTAGACTTGAGGAGGATGGCAATTTAAACAAATATGGCTATTCCTCAGCTTGTTGTGCCTTACTTTATTGCAGCAGTCCCCAACCTTTTCAGCACCAGGGACCGGTTTCATGGAGGACAATTTTTTTCAATGGACAGTTGGTGGGGGATAATTTCGGGATGAAACCATCCCACCTCAGATCATCAGGCATTAGATTCTCATAAGGAGCGCACAACCTGGATCCCTTGCATGTGCAGTTTACAATAGGGTTCAGGCTCCTGTGAGAATCTAATGCCGCAGCTGATCTGACAGGAGATGGAGCTCAGGCGGTAATGCTCATTTGCCCACAGCTCACCCCTGCTGTGAGGCTGGGTTACTAACAGGGAGGGTACCAGTCCCTGGGGGTTGGAGACCCCTTCTTTGCTGCACTTTGCAAATATTGTTTTTATTTATTATTATTATTTTCTTTTATTTTTACAAATTTAAGGTTTGTGGTAACCCTGTGTTGAATAAGTCCCTCAGTGCCATTTTTTCAGCAGCATGTGCTCACTTCATGTCTCTGTGTTAGATTTTGGTAATTCTCACAATATTTCAGACTTTTTGTATTATTCTTGTATCTGTTATGGCGGTCTGTGATCACTGGTCTTTGATGTTACTATTATAATTGTCTTAGGATGCAATGAACTGTGCCTATGTAAGATGGCAAACTTAATTAATAAATGTTGTGTGGTTCTGACTGTTTCACCAACTGGCTGTTCCCCCAACTCCCTCTCTCTCCTGGGGTCTCCCTATTCCCTGACCTAATATTGAAATTAGGCCCATTAATATAACCCTACAGTGGTCTGTAAGTGTTCAAATGAAAGGAAGAGTCTCATGTCTCTCACTTTAAATCAAAAGCTTAATAGGGAGGAAGGCATGTCAAAAGCTGAGAACTAGGCCTCTTGAGCCAAACTGCTAGGCAAGTTGTGAATGCAAAGGAAAAGTTCAAGAAGGAAATGAAAAGTGCTGCTCCAGTGAACACACAATGATAAGGAAGCAAAACAGTCTTATTGCTGACATAGAGAAAGCTTTGGTGGTCTAGATAGAAAATCAAACCAGCCACAACATTCCTTTTAGCCAGGGTCTAATCCAGAGCAAAGCCTTAACTCTCTTCAATTCTATAAAGGCTGAAAGAAAGGTAAAAAATCTTCAGAAGAAAAATTTGAAACTAGCAGAGGTTGGTTCATGAGATTTAAAGAAAGAAGCTGTCTCCATAATACATGAGTAAAAGGTGAGGCAGTAAGTGCTTAGGTAGAAGCTGCAGCAAGTTATCCAGAAGATCTAGCTAAGATCATTGATGAAGGTGGATACACTAAACAACAGATTTTCAATGTAAATAAACATCCTTATATTGGAAGAGGATGACATCTGGGACTTTCCCAGCTAGAGAGAAGTCAGTGCCTGGCTTCGAAGCTTCAAAGGACAGGATGACTCTCTTGTTAGAGGATAATGCAGCTGGTGACTTTAAGTTGGAGCCAATGCTCATTTGCTATTCTGAAAATCGTATGGCCCTTAAGAATTATAATAAATCTACTCTGCTTGTGTTTTATAAATGGAAAAAGAAAGCCTGATAGCAGCACATTTGTTTACAGCATATTTTATTAAATATTTTAAGCCTACTGTTGAGAGCTACTGGCTTCACAAAAAGATTCCTTTCAAAATACTACTGCTTATTGACAATACATTTGGTCATCCAACAGCTCTGATGAAGATGTACAAGAAGGTTCATGTTGTTTTCATGCCTGCTAACACAACATCTGTTCTGCAGCCCATAGGTCAAGGAGTAATTTTGCCTTTCAAGTCTTCTTATTTAAGAAATATATTTTGCTAGGCTACATCTGTCATAGATAATGATTCCTCTGATGGATCTGGGCAAAGTAAATTGAAAAGCTTCTGGAGATCATTCACCATTCTAGATGCTAGAAGAGTTGCTTCTGTGGATGAGCAAAGTAGTTTTTTTTGAGATGGAATTTACTCATGGTGAAGATGCTGTGAATATTGTTGAAATGACAACAAAGGATTTTGAATATTTTATAAACCTGACTGATAAAGCAGTGGCAGAGTTGAGAGGACTAACTCCAATTTTGAAAGAAGTTCTACTGTGGATAAAATGCTATCAAGCAGCATTGCATGTTACAGAGAAATCTTTTGTGAAAGGAAGAGTCAATTGACACAGCAAACCTCATTATTGTCTTATTTTAAGAAATCGCCACAGCAATTCCAACCTTCAGCAACCACTACCCTGATCCATCAGCAGCCATCAACACTGAAACAAGACTCTCCATCAGCAAAGAGATTAGGAATCACTGAAGGCTCAGATCATCAGTACACTTTTTTTAAAAAAAGCATTAAACCATTTTCAAGGTAAGATATGTACATTTTTAAGACAAAATGCTATTGCATACCTAATGGACTGCAGTATGGTGTAAACATAACTTTCACATGTGTTGAGAAACCAAAAAAATTGTGTGACTCACTTTATTGCAATATTTGTGGTGGTTTGGAACCAAACCTGCAACATTTTTGAGGCATGCCTGTAGAAGGTAAGAAGTATCAACAAAAAATTTCTGTTAAATTAGGAGAATCTTTACTACTTTGTTTCCTTTGAAGAGAATGCAAAAGATTTTATTTTGTCTAGGAGATGCTGGAAATAGGAATATCTTGATCTAAAAATTATTGGGAATTATTTACAAAAAGCACAGAGGTTATGATAGAATTTCAGCATCATATGACATTGGATAAGAAATTTTGTTCTATTTTGTAATTAATTTATATATCTGTTCTCTTTACTTTTTCATATATTGTAAAAACACAGTGGGTTTAGTTAGAAAAATAAGGCTGAAAATGTCCCACACTTAAACAATACAAATAAAATTTTAACAAGATGACAAAACTATAGATTACAACCACAAAAAGTTAATGAATTAGAAGGTAGAAAGATTATAATGTATGCTTTATGTTTTTTTGTATGTGTGTGTGTGTGTGTGTGTGTGTGAAAAGAAAGCCAATGTTCTAAAGTGATTTTGTAAGTGACTTCTTTCTAGTACAGAGTCCAAGTTTCCAATGTCATTCCTGCTTGAATTTCATCACACTATTGAACACAGCAGACAAAAAAATACTGTAAGATTTGCAGTGCAACAGTGCCAGGTGTTTTAAAATGTAAACGTTGCTTTCCTGGATATAAGTTACTATGTAAGTGGAATGAAATATTTAATCACATGGCATAAATCTTTTGAAAGAGACTATCTGAGAGATCCTTGGAAACAAATGATTGCTGTATACTACTAGACAAAGTCAAATATGCCATAGAGCAATTAGTTACGGTAAAACTTGCCTTGTTTAGTTTTGGTGCTTTGTTTTAAATGATTTCAACTAGTCTCAGCTATTTAAAAAATACATTCTTTTCTTTCTTTATGACTGTGCTAATTTAGATTATCAAGTTAAAATAGAACTGCTCCAGAAATTCAGAGTGAATGGAAGGGTGTTTAATAATAACTTTAATACACATTTTACAATTTTTGAACATACAGAAACATTTTGAAAGCAAACCCCCAGCTCAAATAGTAAGTTCACAAAAATCTAAATGTTAAGGTTACAGATGGGACCTAGCTTGATTTGGACTGATGTAACAAAACTTTATAAAATCGGTGGAGCTATTTTTTATAAAAATGACCACCTCAACATAATTAAATTACTTGATGCATTTTAGATACAAAATATGGTTGATTTACTAAGCATGTTAAGATAAAATAGCTAAGTGAAGCACATATTCTATATTTCTTTGTAAATATGGTATGTAGTATTACTTTTATTTTATAGCTGGTGAAGAGAGCTTGTGATACCTAATTTGTCAATGGTTTCAGTGAATCACAGCTATATAAAAGCACAGACCTTTAGAGCTGGAAGGAATTTAGCTATCTTGACCATTATTGGTCTAGTTGAAAAAGAGGTATGAAAACTGGCTCCAAAACCAGATTCTTGAGTTATCTTTCCTTGTAAAGGACTTGTAAAATTTCCTGGGTCAGCATTCCCTTTCTTTGTTTCAGATTTTCTTTTTCTGAATTCATTCTTACTAATTATTCATTTTTGAATAGTCTTCTAATCACTAGATTAAGGTTTTGCTCATCTCCAAACATGATCGAAGTGAGCCTCAGAAGACCCTTCATTTGAGCTCATATGCACAGCGCTTAAACCGACACCCAATTTGACCAAACATGTAAGGACATGACCTTCCAGCGTCATGAATATCACGACGTTCCTTTAGCAAGGGCTTTGCTTAATAGGGCTGCAGTGAAAATCCTCCGTCTAAATCCTTGAGAAGTTGTAATTTGTAAAAATGCAAATTATCTGAAACCAGATATTTTTTTCTTTTTCTTTATGGAGAGAAACTGGTCTGTTACATCTAGTAAAGCGTTCTAATCCGGTTGACCCTCTAGAGGGAGACATAGTCCAGCTTTTATACCAGTTGCCTCCTCATCTTTTACTGTCTCGTTCTTTTTCTGCAGGACCGTTGTTTGCTCTCAACGGCAGTTGCTGGGGCTAACAGAACTGGCTGTTGGGAGAGAGAGGCGAGGCAACGCCGCCCGGCCCTGCCATTCCATTTTACTGCTTAACTCAACCTGGAGTGTCAGGACCTATTCTCCTGCATTCTCGCTGCACTATACGGGGGAGCCAAGTCACTCTGTACTCACTGGACAGCCAGGCTGGGTGGAATAGGGTTCTAGAGTGGAGCAGGGGCTCTGCCCTTTATGGCGACTTTCTAAAAGATTAGCATCAGTGTCTTTTGACAGTATAGCATCTGGGGTGGGACGCGGAGAGGAGGCTTTGCTTGCTAAACGGCTTCTTTCTCCGCCGGTGATCTGGATTTGTTTCCTCGGCCCCCTCCCCCCGCTCCTTTCTTTCTCCCCTCCCGCCTTTAGCAAAGTGACACAGGCGACACCTGCTCGCTTGTGTTCGATGTTGGAACTCGCACCTCCTCGGTGGTGACGGTGCCAGGGCACTGCTACCAGGGGGACATCGGCGGGTTTCCCTTCCTTCCAGCCCACGATGCCTAGAAGGGCAGCGGGTGGGCTGCGTGGGGCTCTGCCCGCAGCACTTCGAGGCGGGATTGAGGGGCTGAAGCTGGCCAGGAGTTGCTGCTAAGTGGATTCGAGTGGAAGGCGCCAAGTCTCCGCGAGGGCACCAGCGGGGACCTATCTGCGAGCAGTGGGAACAGGGGCACCTGGACGGAGGAACGCGGGCGTCTGGAGGGGGGACATCGGCTGAGCTCAGAGCCTCTCCTCCTTCCTGTCCCGAGCTTCCCAGCAACTCCGCCACGTTGGAGACCCGGTACCTGCGAGAGCCAGGGAACTCGAGAAGTGCGTGGCCGAGGCTGCTTTCCTGAAGGTGAATCATTCTGTCCAATTGCCTTTCCCCAGAGAACAAGAGGGAGGGCGGGAGAGAGGGAACGGAGGATGTGTGAGTGTGTGTGTGTGTGAGAGGGAGAGACGACGTGAGGCGAGAGGAAAAGTCTTTAGTCGGCCTTAAAAGCAAACAAATCAGAGATGGAATAAGAGCGGTAATTGCAGCAAGACCGCCTTGATTCTTGCAGTCCAGGGAGCTGAGCGCACCGCGCGCATCCGGCGAGGACAGGAGGCGACCGCGGGCGCTGCCAAGGGCTGCGGGACTTTGGCTTTTCCTCAGTAAACAAATCTTTTGATTACTTTGACACTGTGGAATAAAGAAGCGGGGAGAAGGATCAGGCTCACCTTCACCCGCTTCAGGGGGATTCCAGCTTGGATGTCAGATTCCTGAACCGTCTTTGCCATCGGAGGAGGAAACACATCCACACACGCGCGCGCACACTCGCACGCTCAGGGCCACACTCACACGCCGCCCTCCACGATCACACAGCACCAGACTTCGGTTCCCTATGCCCCTGGATGGTGACGGCGGATTGGCATCTTGGAAGCGATGCGAGAGCGATAAGGCTGGCGCCGGCCCGCAAAAGCTGCAGGAGCATCGCTAGGTGTTGCCGCCACCGGGAAGCGGGGCTGCAGGTAGGTGCGAGCCGCGCCTCGGGTCGCCGGCCAGCGCTGGGGACCGGAGCGGCAACTGCAGGACCGCGGTCCCGGAAGCCCCCGTGTGCACACGTCTCCCTTCCCCTTTCTCGGGGGTCCGGGACTGTAGAGGGATCGCCCGGGGAAGGCGAGAGGTGAGGGCAGATGCGGGTCCATCGGCCGGCGTCTCCCTCGCGGGCGGTCAGGGTAGGGGCGGAGTAGAGGGACGCCGAGAGGGGATCGGAGCATGCGAAATGAGGCTCCGTGAGCGGTGCCCTCCCTCTCTGCCCCATTTCTCCTAATAACAGCAAACGACCAGGTCGAGGATTGAAGTGGGTTGTAATTCGATTCCTCACCCAGACCCATCCTGGCTGGTAACCATTTTGGACTCTTAATAAGGAGTTGGGGGTCGCATTCCAGGGAAGATCAATGGGATGTGTCAGGTCATCTTTCTGAAATCCCTACTTTTTGTCCACTTCTGATTAGTTAATTCTCAGGCCTGTTTGCAGAAGGTGGGTGTTTCAGCGAGTCTATTGATTTATCCACCTCTAACTATCTTCATAAAGAATCAAGCTGATAATTTCCGGAGCCTCATCTATGTAAGGTTTATTTAGATTTGGGACGGGGCGCTTTCTTACTGAATGAAATAAAGCTTTTGTAAAGGCTACTACAAGAGAGCTTTAGTAAATGATTCTCTTAACGAACAGCGTTCAGAATAAGAATGGCTTCGGGAAACTAATGGTTTTTTATTTCTTTCCGGTTAGATGTCTCCCGGATCTTGCTACTAGTACCCGGGTTTTCTGCTAACTGCTTTGCCATTCCTTCCCCCTTCAATTCTGAAAGGCCAGGTGCCTACCAAGTATTGTTTTCTTGAGGCTACTGATCTTCACTTATCAATGGGGGAACGTGTTATTTTCAGAAACTGGCTTTGCAAAGGAAAGTTTGAGATCCGTCGCCCTATTTCTCTCAGAACTGCAGGTTGAGTTATCCTGTCTGAAAAGGAAGAACCATAGACGCTCGTAGAGCCTTTGGGTGGACGCGAGGCTTCCCTATTGAGTATTCCACGTCCTGACCGAGTGTTAAACAATTGCCTGAAGCGTTTGGAATCAAATGTGTAGTAATGTTACTCCAGCGGCTAGTCTCTCTTCACCTTTGCTGCGTGAGTTTGATTATGGCAATAAGAGAGAGAGAGGGAAAAAATTATCTTTTTGTGAGTATGAAATCCCCTCTTGGATTTTACAAAATGGTTCGTGGAGAAAAAAAACCTTAAAAACCACAGACACACACACACACACACACACACACACACACACACACAAAGCAAACTCATAAGCAACCTTTACTCTGAAGTGTCCCCAAAGTACTTGGTAGTGTAGCAGGGTCCTTCACACAGGACAGGATGAATTTCAGTTACTATTGACTGAATGATAATTATCTGATTCTTGTCTTCTCAACTAGATTGTTTTAAACATCAACATTCAGAGTTGTCAATTAACACTCCTAAACTGCTTTATTAGGCATATAAGTTAAGACAAATGAACAATTAATTTAAGATTTTTGTGTAAAGTGCTAAACCAAAATAACCAGGAAAGGAGATTAAAAACACTTCTAAAGCTTTAAAAATCAGAAGATTAAGATTATTTGTACTTACCCCAGCCTTTCCATGTTTGCATTTGTACTCTCAGACTGATTAATCATTTGCAATATCAAAATTGGCACCTAACATCCTATATTTCAAATAAAAGATCAGACATGTTTGTCTCTTTCCTTACTTTATTTTGTTTTGAATCTCATCCTGAGTCAATTGTTTGAGTTGACCTTTCTTTTTAGAATCTTAATTTTTAAAGCCACCAGTAGCCACTTAAAGGCCATCAGTTACCACACTGGAGCTTATAAATATTTTCATTTTCCTAATTTTCAATAAAAAAGTTGGATTGTATTATTTATAGATACTAAAAGTCCGTGAGGTTGATGTCACTGCCAACTGAATACTTAGGCACAGGGAATCTTTTAAGAGGCAAATGGCTTTAGTGTGTTGTTTTATTCAGATTAGGCATTTTTTTTTTTATGTGAAAATCTTGATTCTTTTCTTGCCTTTAAAAAATTTAGTACTTTAGGATGCTTGAATTCATATTTATGTAGAGTGCTACGATATGTGTCTCTTAAAGATGAACCCAGAATTTTTGACATTAAAGCAAATGCCTATATAATGCTACAGGTTCTGCTAAAGGGGAATTAAGGCTTCTAAGTATATGTGATATTGCATTAGAAAAATATTAGCTATTTTAACAATGACAAATTGGAGAATGAAGATTCATTGAGTTGCCTATGGATTTATGTAAAAATAGATTACATATTGCTTAGAGATGGCAATATGGTATTTACTAACCACCAAGTTATAAAATGTGATGACATGGCTGTAAAAATATGTTTTTAGATATGGCCAGTTTTCCTATTTAAAAATTTATAAAATGATAAAATTTAGAGGGTGGTAGAAAAATTTAAAAATTATTTTATATTTTATCAGAAAATGTTAGTAGTCCTGGATCCAGTGTCTTCAATGTAGTATTTTGATGATCATTTTTAAATGTATTTTTGTGTTAAAATACACATTTAAGGATGATTTATCACTAATTGCAAGTTATGGATTACCTTATACAGGAAGGGTAAGATATGTATCTTCAGGATTTCTCAGTCATTTCTTATCTTGGCCCCTAAGAAAAGGTCCTGTCAGATTGCACCAAAGTTCAGCAATCACTGCAAACTGATGAACATTTACTGACGAACTCTCTAATGCATGTCCCAAACAAGGAATGTTCCAAAGTGTCATCAGTTATTTCTAATATATTTGAAAAGATGAAACAACCAGAGTGCAAACAGTTCAGTGCCCCTGCTTTTACTTCTGCAGTATTTTATTAGGGATGCCTCATTAAGTCACATTTTTCTGCAGCTGTTTTGTTCATTGAAGATTCAAGTAAAAATAAGGAACCTTACTGTGCAATGCAGTTTTGTTTTCTTGGTGAAAAATCACAACTTGGGGTAAAATAATCATCCAAGCCGTCATCCCCTTTGATCTATGCCTGACATTTGCAAATGCAATTCATCAACCTGTTATTAGTAGGGCTTCATCGAAACAAAGAGAAGAAATGCATTAACACAGCCTGCTGCTAGATATGAAGGCCAAACCAGCTGCATCAACTTCATATCTGGCCACATGCTTACACAAAATTTCACATGATATAGCCTGCTTTTGGACCACTGATTTTATAATGCCATGTAATATGGTGAATTTACCATCTTATTTGAAAATTCTTTGGTTAACTTTATTTTGAACTACTTTGAGCATATTGAACTATTTAATTATTCCATCGAAAGAGAAGAAATAATTTCACACTGAGTTACCATTAGTCTTTAGAAAACAGTTTTACTTTAGGTTCGGAGCACAATCTGAAACAGGAGATTGACAGGTGAGCCCAGCAAACAGAGACATAGAAGTTAGTTTCTGTTTTTTAATTGTCATTGGCCACTGACTTATTGGGTAATTTTTAGAAGGTCTGATTTTGTTCATTCAGTGCAGTGATTCATTCAGTGCAGTGTCGTCAATGAAATAAACAATTCTTGTCTTCTTAATCTTACAGAAATTTTAAGAGGATAAGTTAGACATATTGGAATGTGAAAGTATTTAAATATATTTCTCTGTAGTACCTAACAATATAATCTCTGTATCTATACATATATGCACATGCATACATACATACATACATACATATGCTTTAAATGACACCCATGTAAAATACTGGTTTTACGTAACAGGGTGATCAGAACAACTTTGTAGAATGTCTGCCTTTATAGGTGCATAGTTTTTCCACTATTTTCCATGATTTGACTTGCAGTACAACTGTATGCATAGTGTGACAACGTCATTTATAACTGAGTTTTACTGTTTGAGCCATTGTTAATACATTCTATTTTTCTCATGAATTTTTCTTTTGGAGATACTTTTATTTACTAGGCTACAAATGCAAAAAAAATCATTTTTGTCCTCAATGCGGAGACACTGTGGATGTTTTTATTGACACTACAACTGGGAATTTTGACACATTTTGAACGCTGAACATATCTGTGTGCTGCTGTCTTTATTGAATATACACCTCCATAGTCAATGCACAAACTATGTATTACATTGGCGTGTACTATTCTCGTTTAAAATGGTATCTACAAAATTGCCAGAAATATATTGATATCATACTCCAAATTTATGTTAGTTTTCCAAAATCCACCTGTTTCTAATGTGTATACCACATGGATATGTTGGATTTTATCCTGTGCTGTAATATTAGGCAAGCTAGTCAGTGGAATACTTAGGCAATTGATTGGTATTGCCATTGGAAAACATAAGGTTTCTAGTTTACTTGAAATCAGATGAAGAGTAAATATTTAAGCTGTAAGAAGAATACTCTATTTTGTTCAGTGGTTCATGTGGAGTATGAGATATATAACTAAGGAATCAGAGCTTATATGTTTATATTAGATAAAGTCCTTTTAATCACTTCCTTCAATCTCCTAAGTTACTCCATAGTAGCTGTAATTGTTTTATGATTTCCCCTGAATGGCTAGTTAGCAAAGTTACATCTCCCTTTCCCCAGCAATAGTACAAACATAGTCATTCAATTAAATTTATATTTATATTGCTTCTTTTAAACGTAGCTTTATGCAGTAGATTTTGGAAACTCTACAGAGAGATTCAATAATGTGATAATGTTGCATTCTAGCAATTACGGTGATAGGCTGAATTTAGTAATTTGACAAAATGAAGAGAACCAGCTGAACAAGTCTCCTGTACTATGTAAAGCTAACTCTCTACATGAAGCCTGGAAAGTTCAAAGTAGTTTTTGATGAATGCAAGGTTTGTTTTACTAAATATAAATAAATATATATATATTTGCTGCTACAAACTAGTCACTGCATAATTGCATGCATGTGAATGGGCAACGGTGTTGCCCTTTAAAGGTCATGCAAACATTCTGAACCTTTCAATTTTCAGTGTTAATTGCCTATGGCCTCCTGTAGCTGCACATGGAACTTTCTGTTGAGTTTAATAATAAAGAAAAACACTTTGACTT
The DNA here is from genome assembly GCF_000001405.40 of Homo sapiens. Classification (NCBI taxonomy): domain Eukaryota; kingdom Metazoa; phylum Chordata; class Mammalia; order Primates; family Hominidae; genus Homo; species Homo sapiens. The sequence goes on along the minus strand of NC_000012.12, from coordinate 62,186,135 downwards.
TCTTTGGGTGGATTATGCAGCTCTTTATAAACAAGTCTTTGAAAATAAATTATAGTGGGCACTAGAACAGAAGATTTTTGTAAAGGTGCATTTGTGCTTTGGAATTAAAGTTTTCAAACCAGAATGTCCTGGGCTATGAGGAGACAGATTCCTTCTGGTACAAAAAACTGATCATTCAAAATTATTGTCTATATCTGAAAACTCTGCCATGGTTTTAAAAGGGTTATGTGGTTATAGGAATTTTAATAGCAAACTTCCACCTAGTGATAGAACAAAGAGACTTTATTAAAATATATTCTTTGAGAGGGCAGGCCTTCCAGGACCTTACAAACAATAGGGCATTATATATTGATGGAATGAATTTGTGACTTTCAGATCAGTCAAGAATTTAGAAATGGCCATTCATATTACTTGAGAAAAACAACATTTATACTTATATTTTTATCATTACTAGCTTATAGACAGTTCTAATTTCACAGAGGCACTGTCCAGTACTATTTTATTTAAAGTAGGAAACCTGGTTACTGTTACCATTTCTTTCTTAGTTTAGTTTTACCTTGTTATAGTTATATGGTAAATGGCATACTCAAATTTGTTGGTGCTAGAGTGTTCAGAAAATTTCTCAGAAATGGCTATCAGACAAGTCAGTAGCTGTGAACTGGTCTTGCTTGCTATTTGGGTTCTCCAGCTTTGTTTGTATTTTCTTTGGAAAGTTGAGTCAAATTGAGTGAAATAGCTCTAACTTTAGTTCTTTTTCACAGTGTAGAAAGAGAAAAGAGGTAGACGATCCACATTTCAGTGAAGCAATTCAAAGGCCAAGGGGAGAATGAGAGGGCATTGAAATCTCATCCTCCACAAAACAGAGGCCCCATTTTGGAAAACTTTAAGGAAAAAACTTAACCTAATTTTTAAAAGTTTAGTTCTTGGACTAAATCTAATGACTGTTATATGACAGTTTTTTTCCTGCTAAGATATGTATGTATTTAAACATTATTGCCAACCCCTATTAGACTGATAATTGGCATGCTTATAAATATACATTCAGAATTGGGTCAGAATTTATACTTTTTTAGTTGAAGGTATGTTTGCTCCTTCCATCATTTGTTGAGTGGTTAAAATTCATTAGCTTGCTATTTGGGTTAGCAGATAAATTTTGAAATTGACTATTATAAAACCAGTGTGGTGCAGTGGCGAGAGCTCTGGAGATGCTTTGTAGCTCTAACAATAAATAACCATGTGGCCATGAAAAAACCACTTTATTTCTCTGTGCCTCAGTTTCTCAGCAACATATTTCTTCAGTGGAGTTTTTAAGACAATTAAAATAAAGTGTTTTTTCAGCCAGGCACGGTGGCTCATGCCTGTAATCCCAGCACTTTGGGAAGCTGAGGCAAGAGGATCACTTGAGCCCAGGAGTTCAAGACCATCCGGGCAACATGATGAAACCCTGCCTTTACAAAAGTAAAAAAAAAAAAATTAGCCAGGCATGGGTGTGTGTGCCTGTAGTCCCAGCTACTTGAGAGGCTGAGAGGGGGGAGGATCACTTGAGCCTGGGAGGTCACAGCTGCATTGAGCTGTGATCACACCATGCACTCTAGCCTGGGTGACAGAGTGAGACTATGCCTCAAAAAAAAAAGAATTTTTTTTTTCCCGTGTGTTCAGACCCACTAAGTATCATGGCATGGAAGTGCAATAATATAGCGTGACATATTTAACCTTAAGGAGCTTCCCTTTTAGTTAGGAAGTCAAGGAAAATCTAGCAGATAGTTTCTGGCATTTAAATACCTCATATATACTTTCCAATAGATAAGTAATCTGTTATATGACAGTTGTTTCCTGCTAAGATATGTATGCATTTAAGCATTATTGTAAACCCCTTTTAGACTGATGATTGGTGTGCTTATCAATATACATTCAGAATTGGGTCAAAATTTATACTTTTCTAGTTGAAGATATGTTTGCTCCTTCCGTCATTTGTTGAGTGGTTAAAATTCATTAGCTTGCTATTTGGGTTCTTCAGCTTTGTAAGATTGAGATGGAGATGATGAAGATGATGATAATGATGATTATGGTGATGACTAAAGGCTATAGACCTTGGGACATAAAATTGAATCAGATTTAATCTTATAATTTAGTAATGTTGCTTTATCTGCATGATGCTGTTTTGTTATAAAACAAGTTGTGATAGGTCATGGGTCTCAGGTTTTTTAGGGTTACATGTCTTTGCTCTACTGATGGCTTTCATAGTCACTGAAATAAAATTAGTTCGATCAACTAGGCTAGAAAATAAATAATCTTCATATATTATATGATAATTAAACATATTCATTCAAAATCTATGTATGAATTTTGAGAATTTATAATCCTTGGAAAAGTCTGTTCATTTATTCAATAAGTATTTATTGGGCACTGTCTTAGTCAGTTTGAGCTGCTGTGATAAAAATACCACAGATTGACTGGGTGCAGTGACTCACGCTTGTAATCCCAACACTTTGGGAGGCCGAAGTAGGTGGATCACTTGAGCCCAAAAGTTTGAGACCAGCCTGGGCAATATGATGAAACCCTGTCTCTGCAAGAAAATACAAAAATCAGCCGGGCATGGTGGCAAGTGCCTGTAGTCCCAGCTACTGGGGAGGCTGAGGTGGGAGGTTTGCTTGAGCCCAGGAGGTTGAGGCTGCAGTGAGCTGTGATGGTGCCACTGCACTCCAGCCTGACTGACAGAGCAAGACCCTGTATCAAAACAACTACCACCACAAACAAAAACAAAACCACAGACTGAGTGATAAACAATAAGCAGTAATTTCTCACAATTCTGGAGGCTGGGAAGTTCAAGATCAAGGCACCAGCAGATTTGTCTGGTGAAGGTCATCTTCCTGGCTTGTAGACACCCACCATCTTACTAGACCCTCATGTGGTGGTTGTGGGGTGGGGGAACAGGTATCATCTCTCTCATGTCTCTTCTTATAAGACAATAATACTATTCATGAGGGCTCCACTTTCATGATATAATTACTTCTCAAAGGTCCCACCTACAAATACCATCACATTGGAGATTTAGGCTTTAGTATATGAATTTTGGGAAGACACAAACATTCAGTCCATAGAAAGCACTCTCTAGGTGTTTGGGCTATCTTAGTATACAAAAAAGGCAGACATCTGCCCTCATGATATTTACCATTTTAGTATATTACTTGGAGTTTTGAAATTAATCTGAAGGAATGGTTCAACAATGTATTGTGCTGTATGTTTTCTTCTTAGTCATTCTTATTTATAGCTGTGAAGTATAGGTCTGAAAAGAAATAATTAAAATAGTTAAATATTTGAGTTGAAATGGATTGTGAAGAAAAATATTATAGAATATATTTGAGGTGAGGTATGTAATGCAGTGGATTGATTCTAGCTCACAAGGTCTGTCCTCAAATGGAGGGTGACACAAATGGTAGATGCAGAAGTTTAAATTTATGCAAAATATTTGGAACAGGCTCTGTAGTCCCAGAATGCCTTATTCCTCATAACAGTGCCTTTTAAACTTCTATGTGTACACAAATTACCAGGGAAATTTTGCTAAAATGAAGGTTCTGGAAGAGGGCCTGAGATTCTGCCTTTTTAACAAGCTCCCAGCTGAATACTGTTGGCCCGTGGACTATGGTTTGAGTTGCATGGCTTTAGAAAGCATTTTTATCACTAAATTTTATTCTGCACATTCGAAAAGGTGGGAAGCCTTCAACTCTTACCCCTTTGACAGGTTTCTCCCTGTGGCAAGCAGCTCAAACCTGGTCACTGACTCCAAACATTTTTCTCATAGGCTCTTTCATAGGAGCACAGAATTTGTAAGTGTTTTGCTTAGTTTTTTAACCTTCCATTTAGAGAACATATTTTTCCTCCAATACGTAAATTAGAAATTGTTTTTCACATATTAATACAAGTTTGGTTTACATCCTACAGTTTGAAGAGATGTTTATTTCATAACTAAGACATTATATTATATATCAATATATTCTAGTATACAAAGTCAATTTTAGTTCTCCAAATTATTTTTGGAATTTCAATAGTGACTTATTCCTTTTAGGGCTTAGATGTCAAAATTTTGGCCATAATGTCTAGGTTTTTGTTCTACTTGAGTAGCTACTATGTGTAGCGGGGGGGGGATGGACTTGAGAAAAGATGAAGCTTTCCTTGTGTATTTATTGGGCTTACAATTTTAAAATGAATATCTCTTCCTTTTTGTAAATTTTGCCCTGTTAATCTTAAATAACTTTCCATAAGTGATTCCTATAGGATTGAAGACATAATACTTTATGATTTAGGAAGTTTGAACTTCTTATCTTCATATATTAGAAGGATTTTCTCACCCTAAGCCAGTTTGGCTAATGTCAGAAGGTGTCATAGCTAAGGTACGTGACTCTATTCTACTGCTGTCTAGGACCTCATGTCACAAGCTCAGTTCACTGGATGAAATATTTCGTCATCAGTTTTATCAATGCTCTGGAAGTTCTTATGTTTCCTTATGCTGGTGTATTAATTATAAACTGAGATTAGATTTAGACATGTCAGTCTGAGGGAGTGAAGCAATTTGTTTTCTTTCAAGTTGTATGATTAATATAGTTCGTAATAGTCATGCTATTAAATCTTACTCAGTTTTTTTCTTCTAAGTGTTTACAAGTTTCTACTATATAGAATAGCTTTGCTTATAGCAGAGGAATGATATCAATTCATTCCACTGAATCTGTTAGACTGTAAGCTCTGTGAGGCAGACCCATGTATATCTCATTTCTATTGATTCTCAATGTTTAGCATAGTGTCTGGCATCTAATAGGTACTTAATAAACTTAATGGGAAGATGGGATCAGTAGTTACATAGTTACAAATTGATAGAGTGTAGCTTTATATGTTTCTTCAATGCCGAAGGGAGAATTCTGTGAAGAAGTGTCATTTCTAATTATGTGTGTGTGCACACGCGTGTGTGTATGTGAGAGAGAGACTCAGGGGGCGGGGGGCACCAGTTTTTCTGACCTACACCCGAATTAACAAATACATTCTAGGCAAAAGGTCAAGGACAAAAATAAAGTAAGCATGCTGACTGAAATTCTCATTCTTTCCATAATTTATTGTAACCTGGAGACTTAGAGACTACATACACTTGTGATTCTACTGTTGTATAAATTAAATAATATTTGTCAATGTCAAATTTAAGTGTTGTTAATCACATATGGAATATATTTTGATTGCTCTTGTCAGTAACTTGACTCATTCATTAGGGAATTTAAAGCCATTTATTCTTATCTACATAATTACCATTTTTGTAATTTATCATGAACTGGGATTTGCTTTTTTTTTGTTAACTTCAGAAACATTATTGACCATGATACCATTGTTCTTGGCTTCAATGATACTAAATTTTTTTGGCTATTCTAATTCTAAATGCTATTTAGTATAGCTAATATGCTCAGATATTTATTGATTTCATTTTCACCCTTCTGAGTTAAGTAAGGCTTCTAAATTCTTGCCACCATAGAAGATTCCACAAAATTAAAACTCTTTGACTGTACTTGATTATTTAAAAAACACATATGTTTAATAAAACCTGAAAAAGTTCAGTTTATTAGATTATAAAAAAGTTGAATATTTTTTCTTTGCATGTATTTTAAAAGATTATAACTGTATATATTAGCATTGCTACACACTTAGAAACTTTCTCAAAACCCTTGAATATGATGTCTTTAGTCTTTGAAGTATAATATTTTTGGGATTCTCTGATGATTCTCAAGAAAGGCTTTAAATGGAATGAACCTGATTTTTCCTTGTATTGTCCCAAAACACTCAGACTTGTGTAACTAAGCTCTAAGCTCAATCTAATTTTTGAGCTATGGCTACGGTGGTACTTATTGAAAAAGATGTATCTATTCTTCTTCCCCAATGCAATCCCAAATATGAAAATTCGTAAAAAATTCAGGTACTGTATAGTACTGAAAAAAATTTAAAATCAATACATGGAATTGAAATCAAGCTTACTGCACATTGGTGAATTTTACCTTGGAGCAGAGTCCATGTTACACTACTAGGAAAACTGGGTGAGCTATGATTTTCCTTGCTTACTGTCTTTTCCTAGCAGCTGATTACCTAGTCTTTAAGGTGAACTTCAGGGTTTGTAGCTAATATTTTACTTTGCATTTTATGAAATCTGCATCAAGTTCACTGGGCAGATGGTATGGCAGACCGGAGTGAACTGAGAGAAAAAAGCAGACTGAATAACTGGCAGTCAGGGATTGAGAAGGTGGCAGGGTTAGCATTTTGTGGGATATAACGAGGAAGAATTATCAGGTAGGGAGCCAGATGGAGTAAAAGTAAGAGAGAAAAGAAGATCAGAAGGGAAGTTTGTTCTAGATTTCTCTCTAAAAAAAGAGGAAATCCTTGACCTTTGAGAAAAGTAAGAAGTTAGAAAAGAATAAATCCATTGAAATTCTTGGGGAACAAAGAGGTAAAATGGCAATGCACTGAAGTAAGACCATAGAGGAGAGAAAAATGCGTGGAGCCAAACCGAGTGTCCTGCCTCAGTCTTGTAAAACCTCTATTCAGGAACAAGAAATTTCTGTCAAGGTTGTTTATTAAACTAAAAGTCAAAAATAATGAGTTCCAGTTCTGACACTGCCACAGATAGCTATCAGCCCTTGGAAAAAAATTACTGATCATTTTCATCACCAGTTTTCTCTATGGCAAATGAGAGGGTTGGATTTAATGGTTACTTAGATTCTTCCAAGTTCTATAAAGATTTCTCCAAGTTCTATAGAAGCATATAATGCTTCTATTCTGTCACTTGAACACATCTTGGTCATTGTCCTTTCTGTCGACTTCCTCCCTAGAATGTGAAATTCTTGAGGTTGAGGAATGTGTCATAATTCTTCACCTTGTACCACCCAAATCTAACCTTTAATAAGGCATTTAATAAGCGTTTCATTAATTGTATAATTTAAAAATTCTAAATAATTTTTCTCTTTCATTTCCATAAGAAACAACAAAATACATTCCAGAATCATAAATAATAACTATACTTAAATAGTGCTATATTGTTTACAAAACATTTGTATGCAAGTGATTTCTTTTGATATTGTAAAATGGCTGTGAGTTAGAAATGAGTGCGATCCTCAATTTCAGGTAAGGAAACTCTGATAGAGAAAGGTAAAAATCATACAGACAGTGAATGCCAGAGGCAGGTTTGAATTCAAAACCTGATTCTCTACAAGTGTCTCAGAACACTAACTACTCTTCTGTTCCAAAATATCTTTTCAAGGATGTTTAACAAGTGACTAGTCTTGGAAAACAATCTCTGTCTCTGGATTACAGGGCAGATTTACTTACTGTCCAACATAATAAAAATAATCTCCCTTCGAGGCAAAGGGCAGATCTTCTTGTAGCCCATTATAAAAGATATGGGTTCCATAAGTGCTAGGGATGCCACATGCAGCATCTGCATGGGATCCTTTATGTCATACCTGTGAGTCTTGGGGAGAAAGAGAACTGACTTAAACAGGATATTCATGCTGCTTGCTGTATGATGAATAATAAACTCCTCTGTCTCTAATCTGGGAATCTTGTGTCTTTTGCCAGGATCTGTGAAATATGGTAGACTAACTTGTGAGTTTGCAAATAGGGTAAACTCTCAGACCCTTCAGAGTTCTTGATAGTATCTCTGTCACATCAAAGTAAACCTTTGTTTCCTAGTTTATGTCTGCTATAATAGCTACTCTAAGAAAAATTATAACATAAACGGTGACCTTTTATACTCCTGACAGAATTTTATTACTGCCCCACTGAGGTCTCTTTCTTTTTTCATATTTTATTTTATTTTTTAGAGACTCTGTCATTCAGGCTGGAGCGCAGAGGTACAATCATAGCTGACTGCAGCCTCGATCTCTCGGGCTCAAGTGATCCTCCTGCCTCAGCCTTCCAAAAAGTTAGGACTACAGACTTGCACCACCATGCCTGGCTAATTTTTCAATTTTTTATAGAGATGGGGTCTTGTTATGTTGCCCAGGCTGGTTTTGAACTCCTGGCCTCAAGTGATCCTCTTGTCTCAGCCTCCCAAAGTGCTGTGATTACAGGTGTGAGCTGCCGTGCCTAACTGTGGTCTCTTTGAGGCTTACCCTCCTCTGATATTTAGAAAGATGCTTTGGTGAGAATATAGGGGATAGACTCCATGGAGGGGAGAGTAGGAAGCCAGTGACACCAGCTACAGAGCTATTCAGTCATTCTGGTGAGAACTGGCAAAAGTTTGAAGAAAAGAGGTGGAAGAAAGGTGGAAAAGAAGGAACAGTTGAGAGGTAGGAGATGAAACGAACTGGTCTTGGAGACTGAATATGTGGTAGTGGGAGAGAAAAGAGTCAATAATGGGTCCTGGCTTAGGTGACTGCTGGGGGTTATAAAATGAGATCCCCAGAGCAACTGTAGCCCACCTAGATGAAGATAATTGGTTTAATTTTAAGCATTTTGAGTTTGAGGTACCTTTGCGATACCCAAGAGGAAATGTGAGTAATGGTAAATTTGGGTTTGAAGTTCAGAACAGAATTACGGCTTAAATACACAGGTTTGGAAGTCATTAGTGTACTGTTAGCAGCTGAAATCCTCTGAATGGTTGAGATCTCCCAGGAAATGTCTTAACACCAAGGAGAGAGATTTGGGGAACAATAATGTGTATAAAAGAACTTAGCTTTAAAAATGTCAGCAGAAAGTCACCTCTCTCTCTATTGTTGTCTTCCTGAGTTTTTGCCCAGCTTGCAGCAACTTGGCCTCATAGACCATGAAGTCCACTTTTCTAGCAGCATTCTGCTGCCTAGACAAGTTGGTGGTGGCAGGAAGAGAGAGCCATGGATGAAAGTGAGGAGCATGCCCAGAGTTCTGTATTTCCATTTTGCTTTCTGTTACCACTTGAGTGTCATTGTGCACTGAGGCTGTGCCCCTGCATAGTTGTCATGGACAGGAACACTCTGAAGGGATGAAGGTTTCCCCCCTGTTGTCTTTGCTTTCTATGGAGATCTGTAAACATTAAAAGAATTTAAAACCTGACCAACATGCCAGGCACTGTGCTAAGTACTTCACGTGAGTGATCTTTTTAAACTCACACAGCAATTCAAGAGTAAGGGACTAGTGTCCTTCCTATTTTATAAGCAAGTGGCTTGACCAAGGCCACACAGCTTGTAGGAAGCAAACATGAGTCTTGAATCAGATGTTCTGCCTTCAGAGCTGAGTTTTTAACCACACAGTATTGCATCTCAATCATACCATTAGAACATTAGATTCATTCTGCTTAACAGAATGCTGGTTAGAGAATTCTTTTGGTTCAAATTATTTGTATCTGGAAATGCTAAGTAGGACCCCCTTTTTCAATTTTAGAATTGTTCAGTTAAAATTATACCATAACATCCATAGCATTCTTTGAATATGTCTCAGATTTCCTATAAATGCATTTCTATGATTCTCCAATTTCATTTGATGAAAAGCGTTGTTATGTATTAAAATAAGGAACTAGCATCTAAGGAAATTTGAAAAATTCATGTTATGTACTCAAATATTTATTCATTCGAATTGAAAAAAAAGCTCTAACTCTTCAATAAATGTGAGCCAAAGTGTGTCTTTTTCTGGAATTTAAACTCAGGCCAAAATGTACGATTACATTTACCTTCTGAAAACCTCTCTTGGGCTCTTTGCTGTGTAAGAAATGGGTTTCTTGGGGGTAGGGTGGGAATAGTCTATGCAGCAGTTCTGGTGCAGAACTCAGTTGCATTTGTAGAACATCAATAGAAGACTAGTTAGATGCTAAATGCTGGGTGAGTGATGAACAATGCAATCTTTTAATTTTTTGATTAATGACAAAGCCTTATGAAAACATTAGTTATATGGGAAGAATTCAGACAATCCCTTTCCAAGTAAATCTATTTTAAATTAATTTTATTTGTAACAAATGGCAGAATAAAACCAAAATATATATGTAAATAGATTTTTTCTAATAATATGACAATGCAGGCAGCAGATATTGTATGGTAATATGATGGTGTAATATGATGGTATTGTAATAGTGGATTTCTATTCTTGAAGTTTATGGATGTCTTTAATATGGCAACATCAAAGGAGGAGCAGTGTATTACACCTATGTTGTATTTTCTTTTGAATGTCTTAGAAATATTGCTGAAAAAGGTGGGAACAGGTTGAATTCTTTTTTTTTAATAGATGAGAGGTATCAGGCAAATTTTCTTGTAATTTAATATATATATATATATAATATGTTCTTTGTATACTTAATTCACTTTCTTGGTCTCATTAGAATTGTTGCTTATATAATGGAATAGTAATTGTTGATAATTCGCCTTAATTATCAATAAGTATTGCTATAGATTGTGCTTTAGAATTATAACTAGCAATAAAACTTCCTAGCTGAGGCTAAGAGAAAGGCCCCTTTTGAAAGAATAGATTCAGTGTCATAGAAAACAACAATGTAATTCAATTTGAAGAACTACTTTGTTAGAGATGATAGGGCAGTTGTATTTCAGATGATTGAAGATGTGGCAAAGTGAAAATATGGTATAAAAGGAGCTTATTATAGCTATACAATAGCTTCAAAAAAAAGAGAAATGTGAAGTTTGAAGAAATGATAATATAATCAGAGCAATGACTAGGCATTTCAGGTATCTTTCTTTACACAGTATATTATAATATTTACATTTTTTATAGTCTTATATATTAAACTAGAAAAAGACCTTGGAGTGTGTAGATACAAAAGGTTCACTTTATAAATGTGGTCCCAAGGCCCAGAGAAGTAGCCAGGCTTATTGAAGAGCACAGAAATAGTGACAGACCTGTGTCTGGGACCCAGGTTTCCTAATTTTCCAATGAGATGTTCCCACTGCATGTAATCTTTGTCAGCTTTTCACAGAATCAAAGTTCTGGAAGGAAGTTTGAGAGGGCACCCAATATATCTTGCTTTCTTGCATTGACTTAGAAGTTACATAAGCATTGATCCAATTAAGAAAAAAAATCCACAGGGAAAGGAATGCTAAAATTTCATTCAATAATTAATTCTGGAGTCTAAATCCCTGCTCATCAATACACTTATTAATTCAATCGTTGTATGTGGAGCATCTAATAGGTTTCAGGCACTGTGCTATGTGCTGTGGATACTTAGTGAAACAGGGAGCATCATTACTCTCGGAGTTTATAATCAAGAATATATCTGTATGTATTGACATATACACAAATAGATCTGCAAATTATGATAAGTGCTATATTAGAAAAGTTATCTTCAAATATTTGAAAACGGTATTGTATCAGTGGACAGTTATATAAGGAGAAATATTCGTATTCAAAATGAGGAAGATTTTGATAATATTTAGAGCCGTGTAAAGATTAAGGGTTTCATTAAGTGGTAAAGTTTTAACACTGGGAGTGTTCATAAAAGTGCAACTGGACAGTTCCCAAGACAGCATTATTTTGAGGGCATTCAAATTTTAGATGGACCCTTTATTAAATTATCTTTCTTTGAACTGCCTGATAGGTAGATTAAATTCTTTAGTGGATTTTATTTATCCTTAATTTTGTTTGATATCCCTCACATTTGATGTAGGTGACCACTCCCTTTCTTTCCAACTCAATTTCCCTCCACTCCTAGGCTTATGAAACAGTATCTGTGGTTCTCTCCTTATTTCTATGATACTTTCTTTAAAGCCTCCTTGCTGGCTCCTCTTCCTCAGCCTTTCCTTGAAATATTGGTGTTCCCCAGCAGCCTGTTCTCGATATGTCTCTCTTACCAACGTTTCCTTCTTCTTCTTTTTTTTTTGAGTCTGGGTCTCACCCTGTCGCCCAGCTGGAGGGCAGTGGTGCAATCCCAGCTCACTACAACTTCCACTTCCCAGGTTCAAGCGATTCTCCTGCCTCAGCCTCCTGAGTAGCTGGGACTACAGGCGTGTGAGTAGCTGGGACTACAGGCGTGCGCCACCACACCGGCTAATTTTTGTATTTTTTGGTAGTGACGGAGTTTCACTGTGTTGGCCAGTCTGGTCTTGAACTCCTGGCCTCAAGCGATCCGCCCACCTTGGCCTCCCAAAGTGCTGGCATTACAGGCATGAACCACCACGCCTGGCCAACATTTTCTTATTGATCTCATTTATTCTCATCACTTAACTACTGCATATGTGTTGACAATTTCCAAATCTAAGGTTCCTGGTAAGACCTTTTGGTCTGATTTTCCACCTATACGCTATGTCTCTCCATCTGGATATCTCAGATTAATCTCAAACTCAGCAATCTCAGATAGAGCTCATTTCCTGTTCTCTCTGAACTCTTCTCCGTTTTCCTGCATCAGTAAATAATACTGAAATCTGTCCAAAGACTAAGAATTGTTAAAGAAAATGATGAATTTCCAACACTAGAGGTTGTTTGATACTTAGCATTCATTGGTTCATATAGATCAGAAACTTGGACACAGGTTTAAATGACACTTGTCTGGAAAATAATCCATGGCATGTGGGAGATACTTAATAAATGTTAAATAAACGAATTGATGAGGTTTATGCTAGATACTCAGGCCACTTTCTTTTGTGCTGCTTCCTAGAAAGATGAAACCATATGATGGGGTATATTGTAGAATGACCTTCTCTATGTACTTTCAGTTTAGAATGTCTTAAAGGGAAATTGACGAGGAGACCCTTTAAGGTCTTTCACACTATTTTTTTTTCTTTTTGAGATGGAGTCTTGCTCTGTCACCCAGGCTGGAGTGCAGTGGTGTGATCTTGGCTCACCACAACCTCCGCCTCCTGGGTTCAAGTGATTCTCCTGCCTCAGCCTCCGAGTAGCTGGGATTACAGGCGCGCACGACGTGCAGCTAATTTTTTTCGTATTTTTAGTAGAGACAGGGTTTCACCATGTTGGCCAGGCTGTTCTCAAACTCCTGACCTCAGGTGATCCTCCCGCCTCGGCCTCCCAAAGTGCTGGGATTACAGGCATGAGCCACCACACCCAGCCTTTTACACTTTTTGGAAATCTTTTTTCCGTGTATGTAATAAGGACATGAAGCTAACATTTCTTGAGTACCCTACATTGGGCCATGCCTTGAGTTAGGAACCTTAATATATTAGTTCATGTATTCCTCACAAAGACCCAAGCCTAAGGGATCAGTATCAATATCCTCATTTTATGGTTAGATAGTTGAGAGTCAAATAAGCTAAATACCCAGCTAAAGGCCACTGAGCTTATTCAGTGACTAAATTGGAATTGAACACAGGTGGTTTGAATTTAAAGGCAAAGCATTGCTTCAGTCTTCATTTATTTTCTCTTGATATTTTAAATTTATCAAGGTTACTAGCATTTAAATTCTATCTTAATATGTGAAAATATTTTGCGTGTTCCTTTAGCTTTCAGTGTGCAATTAGTCTGTATTAGGCACCTACTTTGTGTTTATACTGAGCATTTTACCTGTTAAAAAGAGGCAGAAGTCAGCCCCTACCTTGAAATAACTTTTGACATAGTTGGCTACAGTGTTACTGAGCATTTTGTTTGGTCCATCATGAATGTCACAGAAAAACTCCTCTGAATCAAGATTAGTGCCTGTGGTACTTCATTTCTTCTAATCAACTGTTGGAGTTACATGCTCTTAGAAACTTTTTTTGGCATATTGATGACTATATCATTCAAGTAACATCAGGAGAGACTTCCTTCTATGTGGAGCTTTTGGGGCCCTCTTTTGGACACATACACAACTTCAATTTACATCGAAGACACCTTATTGTAATGAAATTGCTTATTTGTTTGCTTTAGTCATTAGATTATATGATCCTTGGGACAGGAACTGTTCTTTGCACATTTCCTGGCACATTTTTGTCTCTTAATAAAGCGGAGGATGAAGGAAGGGAGGAAGGAAGGGAGGAAGGGAGGGAGGAAGGCATCCTTGTTTTTTATATCCTAAACCTATAATTTTGTCAAAGAAGAATATTAAATTTGTCTGAAATGTTTTCTTTTTTAAAAGAATCATTTTTAAACTCATGATCTATACTGTTTTTCTTTTTGACACAGAGATTTTGTGATAATTTGCTTCAGTAGGTTTCTAGTTATACTAAAAATACATTTATAAGAGACAATACAGATACACTCTGACCATTTTCCTAATCCTCCATGAATTTTAAAAAGTGATATATGTGGGCTTCTGGCCAGTTTCTTAGTATTATAATAGATAAATATATTTATCCTTGCTTGATCTCAGAATTATCAGCATGCAATGCATCACAAAAGAAGGAAACAAGTTCTTTAAAGTACTCTGTGAAATTTTTGTCTGTTGGTAGGGGGTATACTTTTTCTAGATGATTTATTATTGTCTTAGTTTATTTGGACTGCTATAATAAAATAACATAAACTGGTAGCTTATAAACAATAGCAATTTATTTCTCAAAGCTATGGACGCTGGGAAGTTCAAGATCAAGGCACTGACAGATCTGGTGTCTGGTGAGGGACGGTTCCTTGTAGAAGGCACCCCTTGCTGTGTCCTCACATGGTGAAAAGGGCAAGCAAGCTCCCTTCGGCCTCTTTTATAAGGACACTAATCCCATGTGCCCTCATTATCTGATCATATCCCAAAGGCTCCATCTCCTAACATGATTTTGAGGGCCAGGACCCCAACACATAAATTTCGGGGGACACATTTAGACCATAGCAATTACCAAAGGAAATGCCATATAGCAGAAGTTTCTTGTTATTGCTGCAACTTTGCTGTAGTCACAGCTGGCATTTTCTTTAAATACTGTCAACATACAGGACCTAAGTTACAGGATCTGGAATTGTTCTGCAGTGTAAAATTTTAGTAGAGTGGAACACAAAAATGGTGCATGGAGGATTTGCTTATTTATGTTCTTTCTTTTATCCTTTTTCTTCAAATACTATAGGTTGTCCACATGAGTTACTTATTAATTGAGAGGTGATGATTAAGAATAAAATGTTAATAATAATAATAATAATGGGGATTATACTAAAATAATAACAACAAGGGTATAATTGTGACACCTTAAATGTTACATTTAAAGTGTCACAATTATATTAAATGTCATGAGTCATAATAAAGTGAATAATATATTGATGTTAGATGGTAAACTACTTATTTGTCCTAAACTATGGATCAATTTAGAAATGCTACAGGAGTGTAAGTATAAAATTAAGAGTAAACCTAGTTTTAAAAATTGTGACTACAAAATGTTCTTGGTTAGAGACATAACAATAAGCCAACGGCCAAGGTAATCTGCTACCTGATGAAACCCATATTGTAATGTGTACACATGAACACAGAGTGTAGAATAATAGACATTGGAGGCTAGAAAGGATGGAGGGTGGGAAGGAGGTAAGGGATTTGAGGGATGAGAATTTACTTAATGGGTGCAATGTACATTATTCAGGTAATGGTTACAATAGAGACACAGACTTCGCCACTCTGCATTGTATCGATGTAAAAAAACTGCATGTGTACCCCTTAAATTGATACAAATAGAAAAACCCCATATAGTATTTGAGGTGAATAGATCTAGATGGTCCCTCTTTAGTGAGTGAATCCTATAGAGAAGTAATAAACACACACATAACTCTGGCACAGTAAATAAGCAAACATGAAAATGGAAAAGCATCAAAGCAGAGTGATCTATCTCAAGATCCTGACTGACTTGATGTACAAGTTGGACAAGTTTCAAAACTAGTATTTCTTTCATGTCTTGGCAACATTTCAGAAGAAGGTGCACCTTGACGCTAGCCATATCAGTAGAAGATTTCTTTCCTCAAAGAGATTGCCTCAAGTCCTCACCCAATGTGATGCTAATGACTTAACATCAGGTTCACCTGACTTAAACATATTTTTACTTATTATTATTATTATGATAACACTGGACCTCAACATATAGTTTCCTTTGTTCCACATTTCAAAGAGAGATATCAATTATTTTAGTCATCAAGGGTACTATTAAGTCTTGCCCTAGGGTCCTTGTGACTGCAGTTTTCACTTTTGGCTTCCACAAATCACTGGCACAACAAGATAAACAAGAGAGCATTTATGGTTTTTAAGGAACTCGGAAAGCAATATAATATATAAATTATCTTAGAATCTTAACTTGGTTTTTCGATATGTGCTTGTAAGCTCATTTCTATTATATATCTTAGGCTCATTTTTATTATACAGCTACTATCAGTTTTGGGTAGAACAAATTAACAAAAGCATTTATTAAAGAAGACCTGCTATTTATTTTAAAACATTTCTTTTTTTTTTTTTTTTTTTGAGACGGAGTCTCGCCCTGTCGCCCAGTCTGGAGTGTAGTGGCGTGATCTCAGCTCACTGCAAGCTCCGCCTCCCGGGTTCATGCCATTCTCCTGCCTCAGCCTCCCCAGTAGCTTGGTCTTCAGGCACTCACCACTATGCCAGGCTAATTTTTTGTATTTTTAGTAGCGACAGGGTTTCACTGCATTAGCCAGGATGGTCTCGATCTCCTGACCTCGTGATCTGCCCGCCTCGGCCTCCCAAAATGCTGGGATTACAGGCGTGAGCCACTGTGCCCGGCCTAAAACATCTATTTCTTGTGATGCTTTTCTAAGTCTAATGTATCACCTCTTCTAGGTGGCTTTACGAATTATTATAACCAATAAACACTTACAAAATTTTTACTAAATACGTATTTAAGGCACAGAAAACCCTGCAGAGCCAGGTAATACAGCTATTCATCAGTTTACAAGTGGTTGTGTGCCAGTTATCTGTAGGGGTGCTTTTGAGAGGCATCGTAGGTGTATTGAAGATAACATAGACTTTGGAATCAGACAACTAGTATTGGAGTGCTAACTCCATTGCTTACTAGATGTGTGGTATTGGCCAGATCACCTAACTTTTACAAGGCCAGCTTATGGCTAGATTGTTTCATTTAGAACTAGGCACATTCCTCTACCCATCCATTATTTTGTAGAAGGTTCAAGATATCTATCATTTATTTTGTAAATATTTCAGTATCTCTCTAAAAGATAATGACTCTTCCAGAAAATATTTAACCACAATAATGTCATCACACCTAAAAAGTTAACATTAATTCCCAAACATTATCAAATAGCTAATCAGTGTTGAAATTTCCCCAATTTTTAAATATATACATATATGGGGTTTTAAAAATATGTGTGTGTGTGTGTGTGTGTGTGTGTAGAGAGTGAGTGAGAATGAGAGAGTGAGTGCTTGTTTCAATTAGGGTCCAAAAGAGGTCCATACAGTCATTTGTTGATATGCCTGTTTTGTTTGTTTGTTTGTTTGTTTTTGACAACATCTTGCTCTGTTGTCTAGGCTGGAGTGCAGTGGTGCAATCATAACTCACTGCAGCCTCTACCTCCTGTGCTCAAGTGATCCTCCCACCTCAGCCTCCAGAGTACTTGGGACCACAGGTGCACGCCTCCATGCTCAGCTAATTTTAAAATGTTTTGTTTAGAGACTGGGTCTTGCCATATTGCCCAGACTGGTCTCAAACGCCTGGGCTTAAGAGATCCTTCTGCCTCAGCCTCCCAAAGTTCTGGGATTGTAAGCATGAGTCATGACACCTGGCCTTAAATAACTGTTGGCCTGTACTTCCCCCTCATATCTTTTTTCCTTTTCTTTGCAGTTTATCAGCAGAATAATTTAGGTCATTTGTCCAGTAGAATTTCTCAGTCTGAATTTTGCTGATTGAATCTTTGCCATGTTTTTAACCTCTTTATTTGTTCTCTGTTTTGGTTAATTGGTAGTTCAAACAAGAAGCTTGATCATATTCAATTTAGATTTTTTTGGGCAAGAATATTTCATAGGTGGTGGTGTATAGTTGTGTATCTTTATTGATGCTAGTAGCCACTAATGCTCAGTTCCTAAATCTATTAATTAGTGATGGGTTACAAAGTCGTGATATAAGAATTCTATGATTCCTTTTTTATTTATTGGTGAGACTATCTCTATAAAGAGAAATTTCTCCTTGTCAGCTAATCACTTACCCAGAGGTACAATACAGGAAAGGCAGGCTAGACACACACTCAGACACATGCACACACACAGACACACACAAATGTTTATGTGTTTTTAAATATTAGTGGAATCTTTAGCATCTTTCAAAGATTGCTAATGAGTTTTTTAAAGAAAGTATGATTATGAATTTATAGAATTTAGCCATATTTCATGTATTTCAATCCATTGCAGATATTATTTTCATTGAGGCTCAAATTGCCCTATCTTTGGTCAGTAAGCATCTTTTCAAGTTGGGTTGTGAGTCTTTTTGAACAACCTGATTTTTAATATGACAAGATGATTCAAGTGTGTCTTTTACTTTTCCTTCCCCAAATCTGTAATAAATGATTTTCCCAAGAAGCCATGGCTCCTTTTAGTAGGAATGACTAGAAATTTAGAACTACAGTCTGGGAGCTAGGGACATCTGTTGTTTTTTAGGTTGAATGTTATTTCAAAGCCTTTCCAGTGTATAGTACTAGGATATGTGAACTTTTAAAGATAAAATGTATTATAAAGTCATAATAATACCTCCAGTTCAAGTTTAGGGCTAAAGGGTTTTAACTTAATTTCTTTGATTTATGTCTGTACCTTCTTCCACGCTTGAAATCCTGGATATCAATGACACCAATATAATTGTTTATTTGTTTTATCCTGCAATGTACATACAACAGTCTCCGAATGACAATACTAACACTACTACCAAAAATGATTACTAAAAGCACGTAACATTAGTTAACAGTTTCTCTCTGGTTATACTGCTGGTTTGTTACAGAGATTCATTGGTTCATGTTGCTTTTAGTTTTTAAAGCTTGCTTTTTAAAATTTAATTTTTTATTATGTAAGATATTTACGTTGAAAACAAGACATATTCAGAGAAGTTTAGCTTCTGTCCTTGTCCCCTTCATCTTCCTTTCTTTCTTTCTCTATAAGTAACTTTAGAAATTTTGGTTTATAATTTAAGAAAAATATATACATAAATACATATGTATATTTATGTCCAATACCTTAGATAACTGATAACATACTCCACACAACTTTTTCTCCATTGATTTTTTTTTCACTTAGTGTTTTCGGAGATCATTCCATTGTGGCATATGGAAACATCGCTAAGTCATTTTTTTACAGCTGCATGGCACTTCATTTGTGCATGTAGCATAGTTTATTTAGCCAGTCCTTTTTGACATACATTTGGGTTTGTCAAAGAAAATAATAGCTGAAATGATTTGAATAGAGATCAAAGGTTTTATTTCACTGGCGTGTATCAGGGAGCACATGAAGACCAGATAATTCTTCAAGCTGTGTCACGATTGGAATTTTATAGTGCAAGAAGAAGATGAGGGTATGTGTTGTTGTGTATTGGTCATGTTGCTCAACTTCTAACTATGTGGAACTTGTGACTGGAACAGATGGAGATGGTTTTCATTCTTCATGCTTCTTGTTTGGGATCACTGGGACAATCCCCTTCTGGCAATTGCCAGAGTAGTTCTTTAAAGAGCTATTTTGCAATCCTTGCAGTTTGTCAAGTTTCAGGGGAGGTGGAGGTAGCAAACAGAGGGGAAAGGGAAAAAGATGAGAAAAAAAGGGAAAGGAAGCAAAAGTTGAAGCAAGGGAAACTGGGGTTTGCTTTAATCCATTTGGAAATATTACCATTCCTTTACTATTATTAAATAGTGCAACAAAAATGAGCTCTTGTATTTTTGCCAGTATTACTTTGTGATGGATTCCCAGAAGTGATATTGTTGGATCAAAGGCTAAAACTACATGTAATTTTGCCAAATGTCTCTCCATAGGGGTTGCTATTTTGTGTTAACACCAGCAGTGTATAAACTGCCAATTGTTATACCAAATTGCCAAAAGAATATGTTGTCAAATTTTCCATTTATGCCAATCTTATAGGTGAGAACTAGTGTTTCAGTATAATTTAAATTTGCATTAGAGAGATAATTTTTTTAAAGAATAAGAAATACATAAAAGAAAAATAGATAAAATATAAGAAAAGATGAGAAAATTAAGGAACCACTCTCGTGGATGTGTTTCTTCACAGAGGGATTTAGCCAATAGCTTTCCTGGGGGACATTCATGACACCAGTCTCTAAACAGCCTGAGGAGTCAGAATTCAGATCATTTTTGCAAATTCTGTAATGTTTGCGTCTGTGTGTGTGTGTGTGTGTGTGTGTGTGTGTGTGAGAGAGAGAGAGAGAGAGAGGAAGAGAGAGAGAGAGAGACTGTATTAAGTTTAAACTGGCAACATGTTAAATTCTATGTCCCTAAGCTGGGTCCCCTAACTTGGGGAGTTTGTAAGATTGTGAGGACTAAAGACACAGCCATCAGTTAAGAAGCTCTTGGAGTAGTTCTGGCCTTGGTGGTGAGAAACTGAACTGATGTGATGTCAGTGGAAATGGGAAGGAAGTAAAAAGAAAGGATATGATGGAATTTGTGGCAGATTACTTACGAAGGGTGAGGAAACACAGAGATATCTCTATGGTTTCAAGACTGGAGGAATTATGGGACTGTTACACCATGAAAGTAAAGATTTTGAGCTACTTTTGAGGGAAATGATGACTGATTCTGGACATGGTAATTTTGAGATAATATCACAACATCTAGGTAGTAACATCCAATAGGAAACTGGAAATTTGTGGCTAAATTTCAGGAAAGACTAGGGCTCAAGATAAATGTTTTGAGGTTATCTTCATACAGAGATTATTTGGGAATATATGGGATCTCTCAAGGATGAGTGTAGAGATTCAAGAGTGGAGCTTTGGAAAGTTCCATGCCTTGAGTACATGAGGAAGGAGGAAGAAAGTAAATACAGAGGGAGGTAAGTAGACAGAGAGGTAGAAGTTGGTTTAGCGTGGTGTTGCTCAGGTTAAAGGGCAGTGTAAGCAATGGTTGCTAAATGCAGCAGAAAGGTTAAAAGAAGAGAGGGCTGGGAAAGGCCATCAGATTCTGAAATTACAAATTAATCAGAATAGCCACTGAGAAGGTTTGCTATCTGAAGATATGTGAAGTCTCGCCCTCTGTATGTTTTATATGAGAGACCAATTCAGCATAATTGAAAAAATGATTTTCCCCAAGGTATTGGGGACAGTATTAGACTAGTTAAGGAACTTCCATTTCAGTTTCAGCTCTGCCACTAACAAGCTTTGTAGCTTTGGGAAAATCATTTAATTTCTCTGGGTTTCATCTGTAAATTGGACTGTTGAAGAGGATGTAGGGCTACTGTTGCCACTATTGCACTACTAAATTAGGAGCTATTATTTGTTTAGCCCTCTGTGCCAGGCCTTGTACTAATTATTTTACACCTATTCTTTCATTTATGTGATCCTCAATGTCCTTTCTATTTAAAGTTTCATGGTCATTCTGGAAGCTAACAGAAGCGTTAACAATTAGAAACTACTCTGAATTAACCAAGATTATGTCTGAAAATGTTTCCACTTTGGTTAATTGCTGGGTGGACTTTTAGAAATAACAATAATTATCTTGTTTTTTAGGTTCACAGGTACACGTACAGGTTTGTCATATGGGTAAACTCATGTCACGAGGGTTTGTTGTACAGATTATTTTGTCTATCTCAAATCATGAGTGAATCGTGTGTGTTAAGGCCTGAGCCTTAACTAGATTTAAAACATGGAAATGCCCACGGGAAGTAGCACTTGCAATTTTGGGCATATTTCTTCTAAAAACTGATAATTGATTAAGAATCTAAATGAAATAATTATTTAAAAACAACTCAGTGTCTCAGTAAGGCTGCCTGGCTTTTGTCTGCAAGTTCCAGCACTATGATGTCCAGAGTATAAAAATGGATCTTAAGTTCTCGAGGAACAAGATAGATGTTCTCATGTTCAAGAGAGAGAGTTGTTGAGAAACTAAGTGAAACTTTGGCTGCCCTTCAAAAACCTCAAGTTTACCAAATCGCAGATCAATGGACTCAGCTATTACTAAAACTTCTAAGGAAGAGCGCTATGCAGAAGGATTCATGGCATAAGCACAGATGTTCTTTGAATCGTACTTGTGAAAACAAATCAAATACAAGATTTCTTGTTCCACTCTCTTTGATTGCCTGAAACAAGACTATTCATAACATTTTCATTTTCTGTTTTCCAAAAATAAATTATATCTCAGCTATGATTATAGAAGTATCTGTTGAAGTGAAAATCCTTTTAATAAAGTCCTAAGAAAAAGTTAAAAAGGAACTTTTTTTCTTACTTCTCCCCATCTCCCAATCTCTGTGTTTTTAATGTACCCTTCAAAAGAAATACTACACGTTAATACAGATGGTTATTGCTGATGGCTATTTTTTTTACTTTGTCCAGCTTTTTGAAGATTCTTTGCAGTTAGGATAAACCAATGAGGGATTTACATTAGTTTGAAGACAAACTGATATATTTGCCATATTTAAATAGCCTCTCTAAAAGCATCTGTCTTGGAATACAGATTTTACAAATGAAAGAGGACATTCTGTGGGCACTTACATTTCCGTGACTGCTCATTTGGTTTCAACAAATCATCTTTAAATAGGTAAGACACCTCCCTGAATATGAGAAGGAAGGTCAAAGAAAAACTAAAACCACTTGCCTTAGCCACTGTGGGAGACAGCATAAGAAAAGTGATAGCAATGGTTGCTTCTGGCCCAAAAGTTAAGGACTTGAGAACAAAAAATGGCTCTTTTAAACAGCCATGCCATCTTAGTACAACACCCCAAACTGCTGTTAGCTGTTATGGAGATAAAGCAGATAATTGCTGTCAGATAAAAACAAAAACAAAAACAAAAACCCAGCTCCTAAGAGCAATGGAAAGTTGTGATTCGTGTTTTCTTTCAGTGTTTGGAGATTTTTTCTAGAACTGAGGCTCATTTTTGCAGAATTGTAAAGGGAGCCTGGTACTGAACATACCTCATCATATTTCTGGGGCGAGATCCTTGTAAAGTCATGTTACTCCTTTCAGAGACAAGTAGAGTTCTATTTTAGTAGTCGAGCAGAAAGTCTTTATCCTGGCATTTGGTTCTCTGTCTATTGTCCTGACTTCCATTACTGGTTTTGTCTTCCAGCTCCTATGCATACTCAATATTTTAATATGATTAGACTACTCAGCATTTACAAAAATCCTTTATTTTTCCTCCTTTGTGCTTTGTTCATGCTGTGTCTTCTATTTGCAGTGCTGCCTTTTTTGATTTATGCCTTTGGATAAATCTTCCCCATTCTTCAGACCTTAAGTACCATTTCTTCCATGAACTCTGGAAGTTCTCAAGCAGAAGCTGACCACTTTTTTCTTCTTTTGGGGGAAAATCCCACAGAGAGGTATTCATATAGTAATATAGAGTTCTTTTAATTGATCTAAATTTCTATTTGTTGATCTAAATTCCTTTCAAATTATAAGATTTTATTATTCCATGACATCAGATATCAATGGGGAATCCCAGTCAAATTGACAAGGCAGACTAGTTGGGGCCAGAGAAAGCCTGCAGTGGACCAGACATTTCAGTGTCCACAGTTCACATATGATACTGTTGGAGAGATGTAATTAAAGACAAGAACTCCTTCATCCCAGAAAACCTCTTTACAAAGGTAGAAGAGAAGGAAAACAGTTTTATTATTGAATAAACATTAAAAGTAGGTGATATGCATCACGGGTAATCTGCTAAGGGATTGCAAAGACAGGAAATCTCAGTCTTATATAGCTAAGCAGGTAAACCCCACTATATACACAGTTTCAAGATAAACAGGAACTACTTCTCCAGTAAGAGGACTTGACAGCAGCATTTGTTGCACATAGCTCATCCTAAGTGTACCTGGTAATTAGAGCTACCATCAGTGTTAGCTAAGAAGTTTTATGTAAAGGAAAAATAAATTTCTCACATATTTATGATGAGAGATAGTTCTACAATGTAGAGCGAGATGCTTGCTGAAGCTGGACTCCTATCTTCCCACAGAAACTGAGAGATAGGGCTCTATCTTCCCTAAAGTTTAGATTTCCAAGAGATGGCTCCTGGGTCCTTGAGAAAGACATTCCTGAGTCTTAAAACTAGCAAAAGTCTTATTTAGCATTTAGAAGGATTTACATACATTTCAAAGAGACAGAGAAAGAACTTAACACATTTCAGCAAGTCTTCACTTAATAGCATTTATAGGTTCTTAGAAACTGTGACTTAAGTGAAATGATGTATAATGAAATCAATTTTACCATAGGCTAATTGATTTAGACAAGAGTTAACTCCTATGACATATTTCTGGTCATAAAAACATCATCAAATTTCTAAATAAAGACCCCAAACACTTATAATATTAAACATTGAAATACATGTGTGGTATATAGACATTTAAGAAAGATTAATAAAATCACACAAGATAATTATTTACACAATTTTAAAATAAAGAACAAAAGAGTGTTTACATTTGTCTTTTTTTATTTTACCCTTTTAGAAATTTGTATAAATTTATGGGTACAAGTACAATTTTGTTACAAGTGTAGATTGTGTAGTGGCCAAGTCAGGGCTTTCAGGGCATCCATCACCTGAATAACCTACACTGCACCCATTAAGTCATCTCTCAGCATCACCCCCTCCTGCCCTCTCACCATTCTGAGTCTCCATCCTCTATCATTCCACTCTCTATGTCCATGTGTACACATTGTTTAGCTCCCACTTATGGGTGAGAACATGTGATATTTGACTTTGTCTGGCTTGTTTCACTCAAGATAATGATCTTCAGTTCCATCCATGTTGCTGCAAAACACATGACTTTGTTCTTTTTATGGCTGAATAGTATTCCATTATATATAGACACCATATTTTCTTTATGCAGTTATCCACTGATGGACACTTAGGTTGATTCCATATCTTTGCGATGTGAATAGTGATGTGATAAAAATGAGTGTGAGTATCTTTTTGATATATTGATTTCTTTTTCTTTGGTATTTATCTGATTTTTGATGAATCAGTGAGTGATGGCATTTGTAGTGGTGGTGAATTAAATCAAGAAATAGATGTTTGCAAAGCGAAAGTTGTAAGGAATACCTCCTACCACAGGGTAGTTCAAAACCAAATAATAACAAATAGAGTAGGCTCACTGAGTACTTTTGTACCGTATCTTTAATTGTCATACATTCATATGATTCTTGCAGACTTGACAGATTTTTATTTTACAATAATCTGTATTCATTCATTCATTCATTCATTCATTTTCCAGTTCACTTATTCCACTTTGGAGTCTTGGGTGGCTGGAGTCTCTCCCACAGCTCAGGGTGCAAGGGGGGCACCAGCACTGGACTGGATACCAGACCATCGCAGGGCAAACTCACACACATACCCACCTACACTCACTTAGACTGGGACCATTTAGATATGATGATTTACCTAATGGGTATAGAACGTGGGAGGAAATCAGAGTACCTGGAGATAACTCACGCAGACATGGGGAGAACGTGTAAACTCTACATAGATAATGGCCCCCAACTGCAGGTGATCATGTTGAGGAAGTCAGAAGCGTCTGTCATATGCTGAAGTTATGACATGACTTTGCATGACTTGGGGCCTTGGATGGCAGGCAAAACACAATTTCTAACTCCTTCACATTTAGCAACATTTATTTAATACTTACTGTGACGTAGGCACCGTGCTAAGGGTTAGGGGTACAAAGACAAATGCAGAGGTCACAGTTTACTAGGAGAAACCAGGTAATTGCAATGCAACTGGCCAAGGCCTTTAATAGAAGTATGAACGAAATGATCTGAGAGCTCAAAGAAGCAAGTGAGTAATTACCTGAAGGATTCTGGAAAGCTTTCCTTAGGAGGTAACATTGGACCTTTGTAAAAATTTCTCCCATGAGCTGCCTCAATGCATACTCATAGACACATTGGATTTTTCTTGTACCTAATCATTTTTTGGGATCATGGATCTGTTAGGGAGAGAAGAAAGCCCAACAGGGACATCTCTAGTGGGAGGAAAGGGCAGCTGCATGGCTGGGTTCCCAGGAGATTTGACAAAAAGAGCTTCAGATATTTTCTCAACACCCACTAGTTTGCCTCTTTGAGCTCTAACACTATGGGACTGTATGGGAACTGGCACGCAGATGATGTTCATTACTTATTTCTTGAGCTGAATGACTTGAGTATGGGTAAAGAGTGAGAGGAGAAGCTAAAATACATAGAGTAGCAGGGGCAGGATGCCCAAGAAGTGCAGAAACACGCATATCATGGGGAGTCTAAGAACATCCAATACAGTCTTCCCCTACTATTTTATCTTATAATAATAATTATTACTTTATTTTTTCCACAAGTTATTGGGGTACAGGTGGTGTTTAGTTACATGAGTAAGCTCTTTAGTGGTGATTTGTGAGATTTTGGTGCACCCATCACCCGAGCAGTATACACTGTACCATATTTGTAGTCTTTTATCCCTCATCCCCCTCCCACTCTTCCCCCAAGTCCCTAAAGTCCACTGTGTCATTCTTATGCCTTGCAGTCCTCATAGCTTAGCTCCTAAACTCAGTCCAATCAAGACAAAATAGAAAAAGAATTTCCCTACAATTTTATCTTGATTGGACTAAGTTTAGTTTAAAAGCTGAGACTTGTTGGAAAATGCAAGCATTTATTTAGATTCTACTGTAAAAATATTTATTGTGGCTTCTGACACTCAAAGGAACAGTCTGTTCCTTTTAGAATGTTTCTTCCTGAGTTGTAATTCCTAAATGGGGGAAATGCATCTTACAAGATACTTAAGAATTTTATGATACTCAGTAATTCACCATAGTCTACTCAGTTTATGGTGGCTGTTCTGCTGGTAATGATAGCACAAATATTTTTATTAATGGCCATTACACTGAATGTTAGTTTCTTCAGAATTATTAGAATCCTTTGGCTAGTTACTTGTGTTTGTTTTATTCTCTCCTGCACCCACCTTTTGGCGAGTGACTCTGCATGTGGCAATGCTTTAAGGAAACAACTTCAACCTTAAAAACGTGTCTTTTAGCCACATCTAACGCATTTACAGAAACAGAAGAGCTCTTCAGTGCCATGCTAAATTATACCATGGGACAGGAAGAAATTATGTTTCCTGTCAACAGCCTGAACTCTAATGATTTTTTTGGAACTCTATATTTAATTAAAGATTTTGTTATCATACCTGTATAATCTGTAAAGTTACAACTTTTTCCTTCTAAACTGGAGTATTTCAAGTAAAGATGAACATTCCCTTTTTCCTTGCTTCAAATTAGTTGAAGGTATTGAATGCCTCTTCTGATGCCTTTTCTGTATCACTTGTGCTGGGTCTTTAGACTTTGTAAGCACATGAACCTTGTTTAAGTAATGGAGACAACTCAGGAGATTAACATTCTGTTTTGCTTTTAAGTAGATATCTTACCTTTCCCATACTGTCTTGGAAACTAAAGAAGGGAGAATGGACATTTGCTTTTAAAAAAGAAACTTGTTCAAATTAAGATCAGTTACATTTTTACAACTGTTTCACAATCACTGGGCTGGGTAGGAAGGAACTTGGAACAGAACAGAACCAAAGTTTGCAATGAAGATTTAAGATGATACAGCAATTTAAGAGTCCTTAGTCTAGGAAAGTTAGCTCATAGGTTTGAGAGGACTCACTTTACACTGTTTCCATTGAGAATTGACAGCATCTGGAAAAATAGCTTCTTACGTGCTAATAAATTGCGAAGAACTCACCAGGAGAAGACCTGGGTCAGCTGTTTAGCTGTTTTCTTTAGGTATTTAGACTCTCTCCCTTTTAGACTAGTACCAAAAGAATGTGTTTTAACAAAATATTATTTGAGGAAGAATTACATTTATGATCTGAGATACTGCCTACTATATACACCTATATACAACAGCTTATTCCTTTCCAAATATTCTCTTTTTACTTTGTCATATTTAAATATTAAATAGAAACAAAATTTGAATTAATGCAATTCAGCAAATAATTATTGAGATCTACTATGTGCCAGGCTCTATCTCTTTAGATTATACAAAGTATAGAATGTTGATTGTGGTTTAAAGAATTTATTTGGGATAAACCATGAATGTATTGACTTTTTTTCCAGAAAAGTTTATAGGGAATGTGATTTAACCTATGACTATCAGAGTCACATAAGAATGAGAAATGTCATATATGTATTATTTATATATAAGACATATAGATATGTAAATTTTCACCTGACAAGTATTTATGGTGCACTTTGTGATGAACCCAGTTCTATGTATTTGGAGATAGAGCTCTAAACAAGACAGACAGTGCCCCTGCTTTTGTGGAGGTTATAGTCTAATCAGCGGGAAGACGTAAGAGACACAAATAAACCCAGTTAAGATATGACAGATAATGGTAAATTGTATGAAGAGATAAAAGCAGGGGGATGGAGGGTGACTCGTTTAGGGAAGGAGGGGCTGGAGGATGTTAGCTACTTTAGTCAGGATGGTCACAGTGGTGAGGAGGTGACATTTGAGCCAGCACTGGAATACCAAGGAGACAGCCATGTAGAAAACTGAGGAGCGGACAGCAAGTGCAAAAGCCCTGATCTGGGAATGACCTGGTGTGACTCAGTGAGGTAGATAGAGGTGGAGCCAGGTAGGGCAGACTGGACCGCAGAGTGGTTCATCAGCCGTGGTGAGCTGTAGGTGAAGATAAGGTGTTTTCAGATGCTTTCCAAACAATCTGCTCCTTAAGATTCCTGACTACTCTGACACCATGCATGTTCAAATTGCATTTTAATGTTCATGTGTGCTTTGGTATTCAATAAAAATCAGATTACTGTGCCAACTTCTTTCTTCATAGGGCACTGTAATTATATTGTCAAAGAGACAGAATATTTTCCTAGTTTCTTCTTTCCTACATTGACTTTTTTTAAATAAAAAAAAATCCTCTTCCCAAATCATTTTTTGATATATGAAAAAATTCATAGGCTTCTTGAAAGAAAAAAACACAATAAGTCTATTATATGTTGTTGGATATTGAAGATAATTGTAAAAAAATTGTACTTAACATTTTTTATTATTGTCCTTCATTTTTTGAAGAGCATTGTGCTTCAGGCATTTTAATTCACAAACTGCATAATTACAGTTTAATTTTATCACTTGCAAATGAGGTCTAAGGGCATATATACCCAATTTTAGACAAAATTTAGTCATCCAAGGCAAATAATGTACTTAAAGAAATAAAGCAAAGAGTAAAAAAAATCCTATTATACTGTGCCTTAAATTATAGACCATAGTGAATCACATATAGTTTTTAAATTTTTTTCCCTTAAGTTATTGGGGTACAGGCGGTATTTAGTTACATGAGTAAGTTCCTTATTGGTAATTTGTGAGATTTTGGTGCACCCAACATCCAAGCAGTGTACACTGCACCGTATTTGTAGTCTTTTATCCGTCTTCATAGCTTAGCTCCCACATATCAGTGAGAGCATATGATGTCTGGTTGTCCATTCTTGAGTTATTTCACTGAGAACAATAATCTCCAATCTCATCCAGGTCGCTGCAAATGCTGTTAATTCATTCCTTTTTATGGCTAAGTAGTATTTCATCATATATATTATATATATATTACAGTTTCTTTATCCTCTTGTTGATTAATGGGCATTTGGGTTGGTTCCACGGTTTTGAAATTGTGAATTGTGCTGCTATAAACATGTGTGTGCAAGTATCTTTTTCATATAGTAATTTCTTTTCCTCTGGGTAGATACCTAGTAGTGGGATTGCTGGATCAAGTGGTAGTTCTACTTTTAGTTCTTTAAGAAATCTCCACACTGTTTTCCACAGTGGCTGTACTCGTTTACATTCCCACCAGCAGTGTGGCAGTGTTCACTGATCACGGCATCCATACCAACATCTACTGTTTTTAGATGTTTTGATTATGGACGTTCTTGCAGGAGTAAGGTGGTATCGCATTGTGATTTTGATTTGCATTTCCCTAATCATTAGTGATGTTGAGCATTTTTTCATATGTTTGTTGGCCATTTGTATATCTTCTTTTGAGAATTGTCTATTCATGTCCTTAGCCCACTTTTTGATGGGATTGTTTCTTTCTTTCTTACTGATTTGTTTGAGTTTGTTGTAGATTCTGGATATTAGTCCTGTGTCAGATGTATAGATTGTGAAGATTTTCTCCCACTCTGTGGGTTGTCTGTTTACTCTACTGACTGTTCTTTTTGGCATGCAAAAGCTCTTCAGTCTAATTAAGTCCCAATTATTTATCTTTGGTTTTATTGCATTTGCTTTTGGGTTCTCGATCATGAAATCCTTGCCTAGGCCAATGTCTAGAAGGGTTTTTCCAATGTTATCTTCTAAGATTTTCATAGTTTCAGGTCTTAGTTTTAAATCCTTAATCCATCTTGAGTTGATTTTTGTATAAGGTGAGAGATGAAGATCCAGTTTCATTCTCCTACATGTGGCTAGCCAGTTATCCCAGCACCATTTGTTGAAAAGGGTGTCCTTTCCCCACTTTAGGTTTTTGTTTGCTTTGTTGAAGATCAGTTGGCTGTAAGTATTTGGGTTTATTTTGGGTTCTCTATTCTGTTCCATTGGTCTATGTGCCTATTTTTATACCAGTACCATGCTGTTTTGGTGATATGGCCTTATAGTATAGTTTGAAGTCAGGTAGTGTGATGCCTCCAGGTTTGTTCATTTTGCTTAGTCTTGATTTGGCTATGTGGGCTCTCTTTTGGTTCTATATGAATTTTAGAATTTTTTTTTCCAATTCTGTGAAGAATGATGGTGTTTTGATGGGGATTGCATTGAATTTGTAGATTGCTTTTGTTAGTATGGCCATTTTCACAGTGTTGATACTACCCATCCATGAGCATGGGATGTGTCTCTATTTGTTTGTGTCATCTATGATTTCTTTCAGTATTATTTTGTAGTTTTACTTGTAGAGGTCTTTCGACTCCTTGGTTAGGTATATTCCTAAGCATTATGTATATATTTTTGCAGCTATTGTAAAAGAGGTTGAGTTCTTGATTTGATTCTCCACTTGGTTGCTGTTGGTGTATAGAAGAGCTACTGATTTGTGTACATTAATCTTGTATCTGGAAACTTTGCTGAATTCTTTTATCAGTTCTAGGAGCTTTCTGGAGGAGTCTTTAGGGGTTTCAAGGTAAATGACCACATTGTCTGCAAACAGGGACAGTTTGATGTCCTCTTTACCGATTGGATGCCCTTTATTTCTTTCTCTTGTCTGATTGCTCTGGCTAGGACTTCCAGTACTATGTTGAAGAGGAGTGCTGAGAGTGGGCACCTTGTCCTATTTCACCTGTCATGGGGAATGCTGTGAATCACATATGTTTTTAATTTATATTGTCTAAAATATACAGGAAAAAGAAAGTCACTCCTCCTGTTTGAGTCAGCAATGTGTGTGTTTGTGTGTGTGTATGTGTGTGAGCTAACATATATTAGGTAATGTTTATACATTAGAAAAATTATCGTAAATGTTTTATTTAAAGGTCTTTTTCATGATACCGGATGCACGTGAAAATGGTATAACACTTAGTGCATTCAAAAATAAATTGACTTCCTTAACTTTATGGTTAACAAAACACTTTCAAATATATTATCTCTTATAATTCTTTACACCAACTCTCTAAATATTGACAAAGACACTATTAGTGGCCTATTCATTCCCATCCTTCTTTTCTGTACTAACATAACCCTAATTTTAACTGGGCTAGAAATGTGTCTAGCTTTAAGAGCCTACATTTTCTAACTTCCCTTGTTATCAGGGGTAGCATGTGACATAAATGTAGCCAATGAGCTATTAGTGGAAGCCTGACTCTGATCTGGAAAGCTTTGTCTCCTCCAAAAAAGCTTCTCCCCTATTCTCCTGCTTCCCCCATCCTTCCTTCATATATCACAGACACAATAGTTAGAGCTGTTATAGATTTCTTGGGACCAGAGGGAAAGATCAAGAGAACTCTAGTGACTATGACCTTGGCAGCCTTAAATCATTAAACCAACTCCAGCAGCCCTTTACTCCTGGACTTCTTGTATGAAAACAAATAACCATCACATTTGTTTATCCACATGCATTCCTTTAATAATAAAATACATTATTTAGCCAGGTGTGGTGGCAGGTGCCTGTAGGTTCAGCTACTCAGGAGGTTGAGGCAAAGGATCATTTGATTCCAGGAGTATGAGGCTCTAGTACAAAACAACATAACATAACATAACATAACATAACATAACATAACATAACATAACATAACATAACATAATTTTGTTATGTTCATGCCTGTGTATAGACACTGTGCTCACTCCAACTTGGGCAATATAATGAGACTTCCATCTCTAAATATATAGGTGTAAACTTTATATCTAGAGTTTCAGTGATTTGACTAAGAGCACACAGCACCTAAGTGTCAGTCTTTGGGACTTAAAGATGTCTTTTTATTCCGCATCCTATACTCTTTTCCACTATACGACATTGCTTTATTTATAGCACACAATTGATGTTGCCTTTTTTTTTTTGAGACAAGGTCTTACTCTGTCACCCGGCTGGAGTGCAGGGGTTCAATCATAGCTGACTGTGGCCTCAAACTCCAGGGGTTAAGCGGTCCTCCTGCCTCAGCCTCCAAAGTAGCTAGGATGACAGTTGCGCGTTATCACACCTGGCTAATTTTTAATGTTAATTTTTTTTGTAGAGATGGGGTCTTGCTCTGTTGCCCAGACTGGTCTCAAACTCCTAGCTTCAAGTGATCCTCCCACCATTGTCTCCCAAAGTGCTGGGATTACAGGTGTGAGCCACCACAGCTGACCACTGATACTGGCACTTTGATTGTATGTTCCTGTTATTATTCTTCTCAGAAATCTTGTCTAATTAGATTGGAACATTTTCCAGAGCAAGGAATAATGTTCCACTTCTTGTATGTCTTATATCACATAATATAATAATGGGATGTGATAGTTCAAGTGTGACAAACACCTGCATGGGTAGCAGATAAATCCATTTTTGTTGTAGTCACCACCTTACTTTCCACAGCCACCACCAGCCACTCTCATGCATCATAGCTGGACCTTCTGCTTTCAACTTGCAAATTTCCAATTTCAATTGTGGGAATTAGACATTGTATTCATTCATTAAAAAAATTATTGAATGTCTTTTTTATGCCAAAAGCTGGGTGAGGCGGTGGTGCTAGCATTATTAATAGATCCTTTCCATCATGGAAACTTAGAGTCCGGTAGTATATGCAGTTTCAACACCCTTTCTCTGTTTGTCATGCTAGACATCAACGTATCACAATACCTTGGCAGCTTTTTGTCCTATAGCAAGGGCTCAACACATTCGTGGAGATTGGTTAAAATTAAAACATGAATATTTTCTGGAGAACTGGCTCTATTGTTGTAATATGATTTGGCACTTCAATGGCTTTTAAATATATGTCTTTTAGAGCCACAATAATGCTGGTGATTTGGGCAAAAGCAATTACCCATGCAAGTAGCTGCAGCTGTGTACAACTAGCCTAAAATTATTCACTGCCCCCATCAGAGCTTTATGCCTCACTTCTATGGGAGAGTGACCCTGAATTTTGGAATAGCATAACACACATCTTTAAGCAGGAGATAAATTATCATGCAAAAGAGAACATTGTTAAAATATTCTTGTCTATCCTTCAAATCCAGACTAAACAATTTTGGATTACAAGTCTCCAGAGAACTTGGGACCCCTTTATGCCACAGGCAATCAATCCATGCATAAGTAAAATCTCTAAGGAGTGAATGATTCATCACATTTTCGTGGTGTCATTTGGGTCTAGTGAATTTCTGAATTTTGGGAATGTCAGGGTGACTTATCTTCCTGGGGGTTTTCTTATGCCTGTGCTGTTTTATCTGTGTAAGAAACTGACATTTCTTCCAGTAGTTTGCAGAAAATCATATTCATTTTAAATTTTTTCTCTGCATTGTTCACTGTGCATACAAAACAGTATCTGAGAATGTGAATGTAATTAAAAAATGCTCTCTAATGAGTGTGGCAGGAAAAAGCTTCTAGAGATCATCTTTTTTTCTCCTCTAGATAGAGTTGACTGCAGTGTAAGGATGCTTACACATTTCCCAAAGCAATAGCATTCTGTTGTGTATTTTACAGATGGGCCTGCTGTTTCAGAGGAATACACTAAATCAAAAATGTCCACTTTATTGAAAATATTTTGCACTACAGCTTTCCATGGTTTTCCCTATTCCTCCCTAGAACCATAAACCTCTAAAGGCTAACATTACTTTGTTTCACTAGTTCACTAGGTAACTGTATCTGATAGCTAAATGAAACATAACTGAAGAATTTATTTCTTGAGTCTTCTTAGTATTCTTAACCCCGTAAATATACTTCTTTAAATAATAGAGTCTATTCTAATGTATGGCTTAGAAGCCCTGTTGGACTAAAGCATGATTAGAAGTAGAGATTTCTATTTTATGTACAAGATACACAAGTCTGGGGAAGAAAGAAATTAGTTTACTAACACTTTTCTGGCAAGAACAGTGGAAAAATTACAGTTGGAATCAGAATAAATAGCTAAAGGATTTTTGTCTCTATGCCACTATATATTTGCATGACTAAATTGGCACTAAAGTCTCGTCATAAAGTATCAAGTCTTTTCTCTATGACACTAAATAACTACACAAACATCAGCTACTGCAAATGAACCATATATATTGTCATTCCGGGCAATCTTCTACATTGAAAGTAAAGAAGACCTTCCTTTTTATAGAGAACACATTTTAAGTTTCTCTGCAAGTGACAAAATCTAGGAACACTAGCTTCCTCTGTGGCGAAAGACTTTCAACCAAGGACTAACCCGCAAGAGGAATGCCTTCATGGACAGCAGGCAGTCACTGTGGGTGGCCTTCAGCATGGGCTGCATTCTGCTTCTTAGAGGCACATCAGGAGGAAGCAAGCAAGATAGGTACTGATTAGCCAGGTGACCTCGGATCTGGGTTTGCTCCAGTTGTTGAGTTTGTAAAGGGCAAGAAGAATACCCTTCCTGCCTAAAAGAAGGTGATGGTGGTGATGTGAATTTGAACAGACGTGAGAAATAATGTTAATAACTTATGTGGTTGATATGTAAGATCCCAAATGGCTAAATAAAGAAATTAGTGTTTTAGAAGAAAGTTCATGTGGATTTACTGTGACTGTCTTTTTTTTTTTTTGACAAGGCCTTCAACACTTGGATGTGCCTATTTCAGTCTAGGAATGGGTAACCCAGCCCCATCCATTGATAAGTGCTTATGAGGGATGAAGCAGTTTTTTTTTTTTTGGACAGGGTCTCACTGTGTTGCCCAGGCTGAAGTGCAGTAGCACAACCTCCGTCTCCTGGGTTCAAGTGATTCTTGTGCCTCAGCCTCCTGAGTATCTGGAACTACAGGCACACACCACCATGCCTGGCGAAGTTTTTGTATTTTTTTGGTAGAGATGGGGTTTCACCATGTTGGCTAGGCTGGTCTCGAACTCCTGACCTCAAATGATCCAACAGCCTCGGCCTCCCAAAGTGCTGTGATTACAGGTGTGAGCCACCATGCCCAGCCAGGTTTGCTACTGTTTTGTGACTTTATTTTGAAGGCAATGTGTGTGGTACTGACAGTAGTATTTTTGAGTAGAAGATGAATGATATGATTAGAATAGGCTTGTTAGAATATTAATCAGATGATTGTGTGTAGGATGGGTTGGAAGAGGGGCTCAGTCTTTGAGATGATTTAGGAGGCTAAGAGAGAAGAATATAGTATTAGTTATCTACGCCTCTAGATGAATTTAAGTCAATGCCTTCTTTTTCTAGAATATGCTAATTTATTTTATTTACTTGTATCTAATACCATATCTGTTTTCAAAAATAGGAATGAGATAGGCTACAAATAAAGGTCCATATACAGAAAGATCATGAAAATAAAATGAAAGAACAAGAGGTACTCATCCAAGATCTCTTTTAGGGAAAGCATCTTGTTTTAATAATCTTTGTGCCCTTGGCGTCTATCACAGTGCTTAGCACCTAAATACTCAATTCATGTTGGCTGAATTAGAAAAGAACTGGGTGGTAATTGGGTCAAAAAACACAGCATCTGAATGTACCCCTGCCCCATCCCCTGCTGCTTAAACACTAAATTTAACTTTCAGTTTACTGGAGGCTAAAGGCAAACCTAAGGGATTACAGGTTTCTTGGAATTTCAAAAATAGGAAAGAGAAGAGTTTTCTGTCCCTTAGCTTTAAGGAGAGTAATTGCGTCGATCTTTATAAAAGGGAGATGGATGGTATCTTCAACAGCAATTTCACAAATAAGGCAGAAATGTTTGTCATATTGCAGTTCCTTGTATCAACCTCTGATAAAGGCCAAGGCATAATATTAAATTATAGTCTGTGAAAGCATTTTTGTGGCTGAGTGAGAGTTGGAGGAAAGTATTTAGTACAGCTGAATATTGAAGAATGAACCTTAAAAATGATGCTTATATTTTGTCATAGTTATTAATATACTTTTTTTATGATAGTAATTTGTAAAATTAAGTTCAGCTTCTCCTTAAGGCAGAATTTATTCTCATTTGATAAGTCAAGAGTATATATATATATATAATGTGTATATATATATAAATAGAATATATATATTCTATTTAAGGAAATTCATATAGCAAATGTTTATTTTTTGGCAGCAAAACTGTATTTTCATATAAAATCTTAGTTAGAAGCCTGATATATAAAGCATGTAAAATAAAATCCTTTCGGTTCAGAATGTGGGAGAGAGAGCAAG
Organism: Homo sapiens; assembly: GCF_000001405.40. Classification (NCBI taxonomy): domain Eukaryota; kingdom Metazoa; phylum Chordata; class Mammalia; order Primates; family Hominidae; genus Homo; species Homo sapiens. Next base: position 62,149,412 of record NC_000012.12, on the reverse strand, counting down.
GAGAGCCTCACTTCTGAATTTCCCCCCTCTGTGAAAGCTCCTATGATACCTCTGAGGAACCCCAGGCTCTGCAGAGCACAGATTTTAAAACTCTTTTTAAGGGCTTTAGCATTGCCTAGATCTATGTCTTATCCTTTATTCTACACCATTGAACAGGACCTGGATTTTAATTCTCGAGAGCCAATTCCTATCCATATTGATTCTTAAGTAATTACAAGAAAGAACCTGAAGGAATATTACTAGAGTTCATATCAAGAATACATAGTGGGTTCATGAATCTTTTTGTCTTGGAACTGAAAGCAAATGATACGTTAATAAATGCTGTAAGTCTGTGCTAAGGCCTAGCTCTGGATCAGGCTGAGGGTGTGGTCCATTCTAGCTGAGGTACTGGTTAGGCAAGGCCTAGAAAAGAATTCCAGGTGAACCTAAGATTATAATGCTAGGTAATGGGATCAAAGAAAAACTTGAAAGGCAATTAGATTGGAATGTCTCAAAAATCCATGAATACCTCAACAAGGGGAGACCTGCATATACATTAAGACATATGTATTATTTTTTAATTGGAGACAGGGTCATATTGGCATTAGAAGGACTGAATTCCAATTGAGTATACCGGTTACTCAGAAAAATCTCTTTAAGGTTACTCAAGATTAGTGAGACAAAACCCTTTGTCTCTACATTTCTTAGTGGTCATATTTTACTTATTGATTTATTTAATTTTAGATCCAGAGGGTACATGTGCAGGTATGTTATATGGGTATATTGAGTGATGCTGGGGTTTGGGCTTCTAATGTTCCTGTTGCCCAAGTAGTGAACATAGTATCTGATAGGTAGTTTTTCAACTCTTGCCCTCCTTCCTCCTTCCCCTCTTTTGGAATCTCTAGTGTTTATTGTTCCCAACTTTATGTCTGTGTGTACTGAATGTTTAGCTCCCACTGATAGTGGGAACATGTGGTATTTGGTTTTCTGTTTCTATATCAATTCGCTTAGGATAGTGGTCTCCAGCTATATTCATGTTGCTGCAAAAAACTTGGTTTTACCCTTTTTATGGCTGCATAGTATTCCATGTTGTATATATGCCACATTTTCTTTATCCAACCCACCATTGATGGGCACCTGGTTTAATTCTATGTCTTTGCCATTGTGAATAGTGCTGTTATGAATTTATAAGTGCAAGTGTATTTTTGGTAGAATGACTTATTTTCCTTTGGGATTGCTGGATTGAATGGTAATTTTATTTTTAGTTTTTTGAGAAATCTCAAACTGGTTTCCACAGGAACTTTAATAATTTGCATTCCCACCAACAGTGTATAAGCATACATTTTTCTCTGCAAGCTCGCCAACATCTGCTTTTTTTTGACTTTTTAGTAATAGCCATTCTGACTGGCGTTCGATGGTATCTTATTGTGGTCTTGATTTGCATTTCTCTGATGATCAGTGATGTTGAACATTTTTTTCCATATGTTCGTTGATCACTTGTATGCCTTCTTTTGAGAAGTTTCTGCTCATGTCCTTTGCCAACTTCTTATTGCGGTTATTTTTTTCTTGTTGATGTTTTTAAGTTCCTTATTAATTCTGGATATTAGTCCCTTGTCAGATGCATAATTTGCAAATATTTTTTCACATTCTGTAGGTTGTCTGTTTATTCTGTTAATGGTTTCTTTTTTTTTTTTTTTTTTTTTTGAGACAGAGTCTTGCTCTGTTGCCCAGGCTGGAGTGCAGTGGCGGGATCTTGGCTCACTGCAAGCTCCGCCTCCCGGGTTCACCCCATTCTCCTGCCTCAGCCTCCCAAGTAGCTGGGACTACAGGCCCCCGCCACCGTGCCTGGCTAATTTTTTGTATTTTTTAGTAGAGACAAGGGTTCACTGTGTTAGCCAGGATGGTCTTGATCTCCTGACCTTGTGATCTGCCCGCCTCAGCCTCCAAAGTGCTGGGATTACAGGCGTGAGCCACCATGCCCGGCCGATAGTTTCTTCTGTTGTGCAGAAGCTCTTTGGTTAAATTAGGTCTCAGGTGTCAATTTTTGTTTTTGTTGCATTTGCTATATATATATATATATATATATATATATATATATATATATATACATACATACACACACACACACATGCATACATATATACATACATATATATACACACACACATATATATACACATACATATATACATATATATATATGTATTTGGTTTTCTTCTGGAACTTTTATAGTTTGAGGACTTACCTTTAACCTTTAATCCATCTTGAGTTAATTTTTGTATATAGTGAGAGGTATGGATCTAGTTTCAGTCTTCTGTGCCTGGTTAACCAGTTTTCCTAACACTCTTTATTGAATAGAGTATCCTTTCCTCATGGTTCATTTTTGCTGACTTTGTCAAAGATCAGTTGGTTGTAGGTATGCAGCTTTATTTCAGGGGTCTCCATTCTGTTCCACTGGTCTGTGTGTCTATTTTTATACCAGTATTAGTGGTCATATTTTAATAAAGGACCCAAACTTTACCAAGAGGGAGTAACTCTCTAGGATCTTAGTCTCTATACAAACAAATAGTTTTAAAGCTCCCAAAAGAAGATTATCAGGTTAGAGGCTATATCTTACATATCTTGAGATTATTAATTTTTATCAGGTGTATTCCAGAGAACTGTCAGGGTCATGGAAAAGGTAGCTCTTTGCCTCTAAAAGCCCTGGATTGTGTTTCTATTTGTAACAGGATGTTGCATGGCACTTTTCATATTGCCTGGGATACAGGGACTAGATATCAAAATTAGGGACAGAGAGGTTAAGTACCTCCCATTCTTAAGAGAGCCATCGTTATAGGGAGCCATACAATTCATTCAGGGTTAAGAACCAGAAGCCTTCCTACCTCCAGTCATTTCCCAAGACCACTTCCTATTTCCAGCCGATTAAAGGAGAAGTGGCAGCCTAGGCAACATGATGAAACAGTCTCTACAAAAAAATACAAAACATTAGCTGGTTGTGGTGGCATGCCTGTAGTCCCAGCTACTTGGGAGGCTGAGGTAGGAGGATCACTTGAGCCTCAGAGGTCGAGGCTGCAGGGAGCCAAGATTGTGCCACTGCACTCCAGCCTGGGCAACAGAGCCAGATCCTGTCAAAAAAAAAAAAAAAAAAAGCAGCAAAGGGGAGAAAGCTTTGAAGGCAAAGCAACCTTAGGAGGGCAGTGGTATGGCATATGGATGGGAGAATTAAGGTGCTTCCCCTTCTTGAGGTGAGATGAGAGGGCCTCCAAGAAACCTCTTCACAGAAACTTGAGGGATCCTTCATGACGGGGAAACTGTTACTCCAGGATAGATGTTAGATTTGGCAAAGAACTGTGCTTATGCCAGTGGGGAAATGGAGAACTGGAGTGAAAGAGTAGGGTGAAGAGGAGGCATAGTAACCAACATTCCCATCATTTGGCATGGCAAGGAAGGAAGCATGAATTTTTCATTGGTTATGTAGATACCAAAGAATAGTTGTGCTTAAGCTGCCTTCCTGGTATCCTACCCAAGGGGGTATCGCCAACAGCAAAAGGCTGTGGGGTATAACACTTGGGATAGGAGTTGATAGCACACTAGCAAAGGTTAAGTCACAACTAAATTCCATTATGTCAAGCGAGGATGCCTTGCTGAATCAGCTAGAGAATTCATGTGCATGCCTCACCAAGAGAGTGAGGAGTTGGATATTTTCTCCAGACTGGGCATCCGCAGCCAGCTAGTGGTAGATAGTGCCATTCAAGTATTAATAAAAGACCCTTCTCTCTTTCTCCTGAATAGGCGGAGGCTCCGAACAGGGAGGAGAATGTCCCAGAGGGAGGCTACTGCTTTTCATTCCAAGGTGAAGGAGGAGGATGAGTTCATGAATATATTTTCTTCCACTTCTTTAGGTCCCTTATATCAGTGGTCCCCAACATTTTTGGCAACAGACTCCGGTTTCGTGGAAGACAATTTTTCCACGGACGGGGGTGCGGAGGATGGTTTCGGGATGAAACTCTTCCACCTCACATCATCAGGCATTAGTTAGATTTTCATAAGGAGCACGCATCCCGGATTCCTTGCATGCGCAGTTCACAGTAGGGTTCTGGCTCCTACGAGAATCTGAGGCCACCGCCAACTGACAGGAGGCAGAGCTCAGGCGGTACTGCTCTCTGGACTACCGCTCACCTGTTGTGTGGCCTCTTTCCTAACAGTCTAGGGACAAGTACCAGTCTGCGGCCTGGTGGATGGGGACCCCTGCCATGTAGCACAAACTAAACAGTGATGGGGGAAAGACAAGCTTTGAATTTGGTAGGCGACTGGAACATTAGATTGGACAAACTATTATAAACAAAAGCTGAATAAGAAGTTATGGTGTCTACCTAAGGTGTTAAATGATCATCACCTTTGATTATTGTTGAAGGGAACATCCACTTAGAAGGCTTTGGAGAAAAGTAAAATCCATTTTATACATATACCTCACCAAGTACAAGCTTTGACATTAACTGATTACAAGTAGTTGACCATTGATCAGTATTGCTAGACTGGACATCAAGGCAAGTTCATTTGGTTGAGGCATAACTACTAGACCGATTTCTTATGAAATGGGATATAAGGCTTTCTCAACCAGTCCATCCTGGGAAGGCAGTGGTTTAATAAAAAAAACTGCCAGCCTTGGGATGGTGGCATCCTATGACATAGGACATAGGTTGGGTTCTACTTAAGGGCCTGGGACATTGCTTTAAATGTATGCCAAATATTAAGGGTGCCTTCTTTTGGATAATCTGAATGTTTGTATCTTAATGTTTTTATTAAGACAAAAAAGAAATGTAACAATTCCCCAAGAGGCAAATCAGTAGAGTTGCTCTGTGGCTGCTTCTGTATCCACAATTTGTGTACTACCACAATGGTGTCAGCTCTGTGCTGGTTCTTGAAAAAATTTTTTTCCACAAATATACAACTAGATTTGGATCTTTTTTTTTTGGTGGAGGGAGGGATAGAATCATTCCTTCATGGGGCTTAGGTGACCTTACCTCTTTTTTGAGCTCTCCTGCGACAGAAGTAACTGGCAGGAACGATATCCAGTCATGACTGCATGCCTCTATAGTGGTGGTTCCAGAGGCAGGCCACTTTCTGCTTTTCAATAGTGATATTCAACACTAACCTAGCATAATTTTGGACAGAGATGTTTCTTACAGGAGGTTGCCTAACATCTCATTCTCTGTACTATATTGAAATGTATCTTCTAGAGAAGGACACACAGATCTTACTTAAGAACAAGAGGCAATAGTCACAGTTTGCCAGTTCCATTTGTTTCCTGCAGAGAAGGAAAACTATCAACTCTATGGTCATCGTATGAGAGTTTTAGGACTTTTTTTTTTTTTTTTTTTTTTTTAAGATAGGGTCTCACTCTGTCACCCAGGCTGGAGTGCAGTGGCATGATCTCAGCTCACTGCAGCCTCAACCTCCTTGGCTCAAGCGATCCTCCCACCTCAGCCTCCCGAGTAGCTTGGACCACAGGCATGTGCCACCATGCTCAGCTAATTTTTTTTTTGTATTTTTTGTAGAGAGAGGGTTTTGCCACTTTGTCCATGCTGGTCTTGAGCTCCTGAGCTCAAGCCATCCACCTGCCTTGGTCTCCCAAAGTGCTAGAATTACAGACATAAGCCACCACACCCTGCCGAATTTTAAGACTCTAAAGGATAATTTGACTGAGGGTCTATAGGAAAGATGACATCAAGAAGAGATTTGGTTAATAAGGTTGTGGGGGGTGGGCAGAGGCTGCCATTAGAAGTGTCAGGGCTACTGCTGAAAGCTGCTCAGGTTGTGGGCTGTATTGGTCTAGCCAGCTACCTTCACATAGATCACATGAATGGCACATGCTGGAGTCAAGCTGTGTGGTGTCCCTAGGGATGTTACCCTGGACAGGTTTTATAGATGAAACAAAGTTCTTAGTTAGATAGTCCTTGGGCTGGTCAGATTCTTTAAGAATTTCAGCAGGGGAAAAAATTCCGTTTTATAATTAGTTTTAAGGCCTAAGCTCTGTATACTGATTACTTTGTAGATCAGGCATGGCCTTAATGATACCTGGTTCTTTCCCAAGTCAATTTGCAAATGCAATTAGGAGACTTTCTCCAATTGACTACTCATCCATGGGGGATTCTTCTGCTGAAGGGGGTTAGCATTTTTAGGGAGATAAAGAAGGCTGTTAGTCTTGGAAGGATTCTTATCTGGCCATGGCTGGTGCAAGAGGAGGCTGGGAGGTAACCCTACATGTTGCAGCCATCTCCGTGTTGAAAAACCTTGCTAGGCAAAATTTTAAACTTAGCCAGTGCTTAGGTCTCCTTAAAAACAAAGAAGTTTGGAAAGGCAGGTATGGAGGGGTTGTATAGCATAGTGATATCCGTAGAATCCTGGATTTGAACTTTGGGTAAGCCCTTATTCACAGTATAGCTTTGAGTACATTCCTTGACCTCTCTGTGCTTCACTTTTTTCCTCTGGAAAATGAAAACAATAGTAGTACTTATATAATAGCGTTCTCATAAGGATTAAAGATGTTAATCTGCACCAGGTGGTTAAAACATTGCCCAGCAAATAGTTACAATCCAGTAAATATTAAACATTAAAGAAATTATCTGTGACACACTGCTTTGACAAAAGGTGGATCTTTTTCATTGGAGTTTTTCAAGAAGCCACCAAGATTTAAAGAGGATTCTCATAATTTAATTAAAGACTTTTATACCCTCTTCCAGCAAATACCATGGGAAACTTTGCTTGAGATAAAGCAGAGGCATTTAATAGAAAGATCTGACTTGGGTAGAACTTTTCTCCTACTCTCTCCTCTAAGTGTGGTGTAGCTGCTCTGCAATATTGGCCAATATTGGGTAGTCATGCATGGAAGACACTATGAATTGTCACTGTGGTAGTATGTTTTTAGTTAGGCTCCAGTTTTTTTTCTGAAAACATTACAGTGCCATGATCTGAAACATGATGTCATGGAGTGAAAGGAACATAGGCATTTGTAACTACTTACCACTATGAAATGACAATAACATAGCCACCATTTGCCACACACTGTCCTAGTCAGTTTTCTTACAGTATTTATAATTCTCATCCTATTCAATTCTTATGACTTTCGTTTATTCAACAAATGTTAATTGAAGGCCTGCTGTGGGCCAGGCAGAGCATTAGGGGTGTGGGCACTACACCAGGCTCAGGTAGTTATTATTTTTCTCATTGTATACATGACAAAACTGTCTCAGATAGGTTAAATAGCTTCCTTAAGATCACAAGCTTATAAAGTGGCAAGTTACTTAACCTTTCTGAGCCCCAGTTTCTTCATTTATAAGAAGGGGAACGTAATCCTACTGGTAGCTAGCACATATGAACATAAAGGTGCTTCCCTGTTGGATGGTGAGGAGACCGTGTGATGCCTGGCATTAGTGGGCACTCAATACGTGGTTGTTAATACTTACAGAAACAATGATAACCTAGTGTTAGGGACAGTTTCAATGCATTTCCATAGGAAGATTTTGTTTGTGGTTTTCCCAAATGATCAAGATCAGTGATGAGTGTGGCTCTGTCAATTTTTCTTAGTTGACTGAATTTAATGTTTACTGGGGCTTGCCTAGGAGTCTTCCTTAGGGATAAAGAAAAGCCCTGTGCAGAACTAACTATATAAAATAGTCATTCAGCTCCCCCTGTTTGGGGCATGGCTGTTAGCATAATTGTTTGGCTTGCATATCTCTTAGTGTTTACAGTTTAGGAAAGTTTTAAAAAGCAGAAGTAACAATATAATAATATAAAGCCAAATCAAAAGATTACTCACTAAAAAAGACAAAACCATTGAACTGCAATGTATAGTAAAATTTAAACACTGAAATAGCAGTCAAAATGTCAGGCAAAATTCTTTGTTTGAATGGCATGAATAGCAAGTCTGAGGTTTATCCTCAAAGAAGGGAACAGAGACATAGAAGATGGCAGGTAAAGCTTCTGCAGGTTGAAGCTGCATGCACCTCTTTGGAGAGCCTGACCAACGGTGCTAGGAACTGGAACCTTCGAGGCAAGCAGAAACAACTGGAACCACTTCAGAGAAAAGCAAAGCTGTTCACTGCAGTAAGCCCCATTCTCGCAGTGCTATAGGTCAATTACACGATCAGTCTACATAGACAGAACACACAGGCTTCAGAAACCCAGTCATTGTTCTCTCTGAACTTTCCTCCTCAGAGATGCTTAGGGGCTTTAAGCCCACCTTCTCTGTGTAAAATGAAGAACTTTGTTCATTGTTCAAGGTATTTCAGGCATCTGTGATCTGACTGGTAACCTTGGACAATTTACTTAACTTCTCTGAGACTATTTTTAAAACTGTAAAATGAGGATAAAGAAATCTGCCTTAGAACAGAAGGTGGTTGTGAGGATTTAAAGGCACAACATATGTAAAGCACTCAGCACAGCACCTGATCCTGAGAAGCTGATCAAGATAAAACATGAACAGTGGGTTCTTCCCTGGTGTCTACCAGGGGCTCATCTGTTCTCTCTACAGTCAAGGCTGTTTTAATTTGACCCCATGTGCTAACTTTTTGATGTGATGCAAGCAAGGCCTATAGTCTTTGATCAGCTAGTCTCTTGTATTTCCCTGTTCCTATAGGACATAAAACCTACTTCTGATGGTCCTGGCAGCCCTGGGGAAGCTGGTTCTAGTATGAACTGGGCACCACCCTAGGCTGGCTGAAAACTTGTGGCTAGAGTGTCTGCCTGAGAAACCAAGCAGACATTTGTTGCAGGTTGGATTGAGTGGAAGCAGACAGTGAGGCAGAGTTCTGCCTATGAGATATTTATTAGAGATTAACCTTTATGAAGGTTAAGAGGAGAAGCATATTGGGTGGAGGGAGAATTTGAATTGTGATGTGGGTCTGAAAAAGCCTTGATCACTGTCAGGGAGCTCTGAAGTGAGTACTGTTCATCAGAGCTCTTCTGCGTTGGTCAAACTGTCTAAGCCTTTCTACTCCTCATGTCTTGCTTGGTCACCAGATATGGATAGCACCAGAAGGCCTTGACCTGCAGCACAGCAGTTCTCTGAAGCTGGTGGGAAGCTGAAGAAGCTGAGAGCTGATTTCTTGCAGACAGGAGAAGTTCTTCTTTGAATGTCTACCAAAACATTCTTTAAAGAAGAAAGCCATAATTCTTGCCAGCACTCCCTCACAAAACCACTTATAACTTGCAGACATCGGTCTGGGGCAGCTGGGATAAAAATTTAATCCCACAACTAAATAATAGGAAACTGTTAAAATATTTACAGTAAAATCTGCCAACTTCCCAGGACAAATCTCTTCATAAAACACATTTACCCAAGAACACATCATGCTCTGGGGAAATAAAATACACATTGCCGCTTTGGTATTGTCTTTCTAAAGTCCTTATATTAAAAAATACAAAAAACAATAATAAATGGCAATGTCCTTTCTCTCTGTCTTTCCTCCTGCTGCTTAAAAGAAAGAGAAACCAATGTTTATTGAGTACCCACATGGTAGTGAAAAGATAATTGGATTGGGAGTTAGGAGACGTGATTTTTGTCCTGGCTAAGTCACTGTGTGACCTTGGGCGAGTCACTTCTCAAATCCAAACCCCCATTTTCTTGTCTGTATAGTGAGGAAATTGGTCTAGATCCCTTGCAGCTCTAATGTGTTATGCCTTTTGAATAATAAGAAAGCCTCTCCCCAAAGTGTTGGCCTTAGTCTTTTTTTCTTTTTATCACATGCTATGGTTCAAGTAATGCTTGTTACTAAGATGCATGCTACTGCTCACACAGCCTCCTAAATGGAGAAAATGTTTCTCTGGTGCAGATGTTGGCTAAAGTATCCCTTCTTCTGTCCCAAACCAGGAGAAGAGGTATTAATTAATTCTTTGAATTGCTATGTTTGATTTTATATTAGATTAATGTATAAACTATAACATGGTAGGCATAATTCTCACATTCTATTATAAAATTTTGTATTTTGCTTTTCCACTAAGAACAACCTGAGTTGACACTCTGGGGTGTAATGTTTCATTTTATTTCACTTTGTCAATGACAATCCGTAAATGGGGAAAATGAATTCTGCAAAATACTTAAGCATTTTATAACATTCAGTAATTCAGTAAGGTGTACTCATTTTGCACTGCTGGAAGCCCTGTTTGTGACAGCACAAGTAATTATAATACTGACTATCTTGCTGACTATTAGTTTTTTCAGGAGTATTAAAACACATTTGCTTATTTGTCTTTATTTTATTTTCCCCTAACACACCTTTTAGCAGAGATTGACAAGATCTTTTCCTAGGTTGGTAAAGGTAAACAGCTTTGGGAGGATTCTTCTTCTCATCCTCTCCCCCGCCCCCAAGCATTTAACCATATCTAACAATTTCTTAAAACCATAGATGTCCTCACTTATATATCTAATTACTCCATGGAAAAGGAAGGAAACTGTTTTTTTCACCTTATTTCTGATCTCTGGGTGGCATGAAATCTATTAATTCTTGTGGCACTTATTATTTAACTAAGGATAAAGTTGGCAAACTTGCTTAAAATGTAAAGCTCACACCTCTTCTGCAAAGGCTATTTTAAATTAAAATGAACGTTTCTGTTTCCATTGATTTAGATGTCTTAAGTGGTGCACTGAACTGAAAAGATGACATGCAGGAGCCCTTTGGTTGTACCAGGGGAGGCCAAACTTTGCTGGGGACTGTGCACACACTCACAGGCTGCATTTAATTGGCGTGCAGTGGAGTGTTGAGAGGCAGCCCTCCTATTACAGCAGTTATCATGCAAGTAGACTCTAGAAGACTGCACAGTTCAGTGTGTTCTGTTGGTCTGTCAATTAAGACTTGGAGTGCCAGTGACCATTTATTTACTTATTCATTCATCAAACATTAATTGTGCACATACTGTGTGCCTGGAATTGTTTCAGGAACTAAAACTATAGCAGTAAACTATCAGGCAACAATTCCTGCGCTTATGAAACTTATATTCTACAGGAGGCAAGAAGGAGAACATAAGCATATGAGTGCTATTAAAGGTATATCAAATGATAATACATACCATGGAAAAAATAAAGAAGGGTAGGAGAATAAGGAACATTGGGGTATTAGTTGGTGCACAATTTTATTTTATTTTATTTTTTAGAGACAGGGTCCCACTGTGTTGCCTAGGCAGGAGTGCAGTGGTACAATCATAGCTCACTGTAACTTTGAACTCCTGGGCTCAAACCATCCTCTTGCCTCATCCTTTCAAGTAGCTTTGGACAACAGGCGGGTGCCACCACACCTGGCTGATGTGCAATTTTAAATAGCATAACTGGGGAAGCCCTCATAAAGGAGGCGGCATTTGAGGCAAAGACATAAGATTTGAGGAGTTTGTGATAGAGATATGGGGGAAGAGCATTCCAGACAGAGGGGATAAGCAGTACAAAATTGAAGAGTGCATCAAGCAGGCTAATGAGGCTAGACAGGAGGATTTTGAAGATCTAAGGTGAGGTCAGAGAGGCAGGTCTGAGACCTGATGAAATTGGACTTTGTAGGCTTTCATAAGGCATGCAGTTTTTATTCTGAGCATGTTGGAGAGCCATTGCAGGGTTTGAATACAGGAGCGATGCTGTGATCTAACTTTTGTTCTTAAAGCATCACTTTGGCTGCTGTGTTGAGTATGGGCTGTATGAGGGTCAGGGAGGAAGCTGCAGGACTAGTGAGGAGGCCATTACAATAATCCAGGGGGAGATGATGATGCTTTGTATCAGGGTGGTTGGAGTGGAGGTGGTGGGGAGGGGTTGGGATTCTTTTGAGTGGATTAGTTATGTACTCCATGAGAAAGGCCCTAAGCTCTAACGTGTTTTCCAAGCACAGTGGATGACCATGCCATAAACTTAGCCATGAAGAAATAGAAGGTAAAGGAAAGAAGATGAGCTTTGGAATGAGATAATTCCGAGTTAGAACCTAAATTCCATCCTCAACCAGCAGTGTGACCTTGTGCAGGTTAGTTAACTTCTTGGAACCATTGTTTCCATTTATTCTTGAGTAGGAATAATAATAACTAGCTCCCAGGGTTCTTGTGAAGATTTAATGTGGTAATTTGTATTAAAGCAGCTCATAGAGGGCTTAGCATACCTAAATACTTCATAAATATTACTTTCCTTCAATTCCTCATTAGCTTATATATGATCATTTACAGTGTAAGTTTATTTGCCCATGAACTGTAAATATGTTCCCTTGACTCTTCAGGAAGAATCGGTGCAGGACATTTCTCTACATATCTGTCCTTGAGGTAGCAGGGGTAAGAAACAGGAGCTTTTCTGCTAAATAGGTGTGATTGTATTGAAGACAAATTCCTAACAGCATAGTACTTTTTTCTCCCTGTAAGCTTCAGTCCCATGTTTAAGGTGAGGGTTCTCTCCAAAGTAGAGACTTCTGCTGGGGATGGGGGTGGAGGATGGAGGAAAGTTCTAAGGACAGACTTGAGAGCCTCAGGGAATCTCTTCAAATTTTATGAAAAATTCTGTGCATATGCATATATTTTCTGGGAATAAGAAATGGTAGATTATGACATTTTTCAAAGGGGTGCATGTCCCCCCAAACATTACCAATTACTGTTCTATAAAGCTTTACTTAGCCAATGGCTATACTCTAAATACCACTCTCTGCATGCGAGAGAAATTGTTGCCTACTCTTGCTAATTCTCTTAACAAATATTTCACCACACAACACTTTGTGGTTAGAAGATGTTATCCTGGCTTCTCAGTTGTCAATATCTTCTGTCTTTGGTTCCCTCAACCACTGCTAATTATAAACTTCTCTGCGTATATAGTGTTTACAGAAAAAGCTTTGGATGTCTTTATACCTTATGCTTAACTGCCATTGTGAATTACAAGGATAGCTCATTTTTTCTGTGCAGTGATTTCCCAAAACCTTAGGAGAAATTATATTCTGAAAAGTTTTGTCCTCTGTTATTTGTATTTTTTGAATATTGGAATGAGATAGTTTCATAGAGGGAAAAAGCAGATCTATTTTCCTCTGAAATTATTAGGGTTGACAGAAGAATCATAAAGAAGACAAAAACTGCCACATGTTGTATGATTCTAGATTTATATCTATTTAGCTCATCTGTATCTCCATAGACATGAAACGATTCACAACAATTGTGGGTCACTGTATTAAAGAAAATAACTTTGAAGATTATTGCATCTTTTAATTGATTCTTGGATCAACTTAATCTAAACTGATGAAAGTAAATATACCTTTTCTTCTAATAAAATCCCTGTAATTTAAAAACAAAAATGTTCACCTGCTAACTAGGAATCGCACCCCAAATACTGCTGTGTGTGCAAGCCAATGAATTGATGAAGAAGTTGAAAGATTGCATGCAAAATAACCATCTAAGCAGTGATGAGTCAAATATTGTCTCATCAGCATTCATCATGATGCGTCTGGCATAAAAAAGAGCATTCTTCTCCTGAGACACATGGGGAGCAGGGAAAAGTCAATCAGGGTGAAGAAGCCATGCATTTCTTCTATACATGTATGATTTCTCCTGAGATTTATGTTGTTTATCAGTTCACATCACAGAATAAGAAAATCCTCACTTTTTAACTGTCTACTGACCAGCCAAAAGGTAAGCTTTCCTAATAACATTTTGCATAATATGATTTTTTTTTACTTTATTGCGCAATGCAGGCTTTGTTACTAACTTAATTGAGCTGATGATATTCATAAGTGAAATAATTCAGAGATGGTAAATCAGTCTCTGAGTTTGCTTTCTAAAAAGAAAGCCTATTTCCTTGTTTAATTTTGTTGTTTTACCATATGTGAAATCTATTTTTTATTACCTGTTTTTTTCTAATGTTTAATTTTATTTTCAAATAACCCTTTATTTCTATAGTGAATTTTCTGAATCTTTTCAACCTTGTAATAGTAACACTCTGCTGGCCCTATAACCTTGTGATGAAGAGATTTTTACTTGAGTAGTTGAGTTTTCAAATCATAAATCTGATGGCAATCTTGCGATGCCTGTCACTGGAGTTCTGTGCAATTTATTGAACTATCTAGTCCTTCAGAACTGACATTTTGCTTGATATCAAGTTAGAGGAGTCAGATTTTGTTAAGAATGTGGCTTTGCTTGAATAGACTTTGGACTTTGGGAATAGTCCAAAAGTCTCTCTCTTGCAATAGGATGTTGTTGACAACCTCAGATTTAGGTACCAGTCTTATCAAAAGAGGGAAGGGAATAGGTTTTATTGAGCACCTACTATGTGTTTCAGCTGTGACTAAGACACAGTCCTTGACTCCATAGAGCTTACCATGGAAAAGAGGTAATTTAGTAATTATTATAGTACTTGTGATTAGTATTATGACATGGAATTATTGCAGTGAATAGTAGGGGGTTTTAACTTAGTATTTGGGGTCAGAGAAAGCCTTCTGGAAAAAGAACAATGTTAAACTAAGATCTGATAGAAGAGTAGAAATTAGACAGGTAAAGGAGATGAGATCAGGAAGAAAGTAGGTAATGTTACAGTGCTGGGATGAAAGAAGGCTTCAGGCAGGGGGAATGGAATGTGCAATAGCAGCTTGAGGAATTAAAATAAGGCCTATATAGCTAGAGAATATAGAGATTGAGGAGTATGAAGTTAACTGGAGAAGTAGTAGGAACCATTCATTCGATATTAGGTATTGACAATTATATGCTAGGTGTTGGTGATGGATTAACTAGATGGACGTGCTCCCTGCCTTCATGGATTTTCCTTTCTAGTGAAAGAGACACTAGATGAACAAGGAAACAAATCATAGCCACAAAGTGTAGATTGTGACAAGTGCTATTGATATCTATCAGTTGTCTTTCTCAGCTTGGGCTAACAAACTACTGTAGACTGAGTGCCTTAAACAACCATTTTTTCTTGCAGCTCTGGAGGCTGGAAGGTCCAAGTTCAAAGTGCTGGTGGATTCAGTATCTGCTGATGGCCATCTTCTTGGTTTTCAGATGGCTGTCTTCATGCTGTGTCCTCACATGGGGTGGAGAGAGAGAGGGAAAGAGAGAGGAAGAGAGGATGTGCAAATGCTCTGGTCTCCTCCTCTGTTTATAAGGGCACTAATCTCATCGTGTGCTCCATGCTTAGGACCTCATTTAACCCTAATTACCTCCCAAAGCCCCACCTCTAATACCATCATATTGGGTATTAGGGCTCCACAAATATTCAGTTTGTATCAACAGTATTGTGATAGCAATCTGGGAAAGGCTGTAGGTTTGTCAGGGATGACTTGGTGGAGGAAGCAGCACTTTAAATTGAATCTTGAAGGACCAGAAAAATCCAAGCATAAGAAGGGGAAGAGAAAGAGTGTCCTAAGCAGATGAAATATTCTTTGCAGAGGCCATGCCTCAGAAAAGAGAGTGAGGTGTTTGAGGTTCTTGCAAAGAGGTTAGTGTTGCTGGAGTGTAATAATCTAGGAGTAGAGTATCGTGAGATGAAGTTAGAGAGGTGAGCAGGTAGAACTCTGCCTCCAGTTTTATAGGTAAGAAAATGGATAAGCTATTTGCCTAGGGTTATCTCAGGTAGTAAATGGCAAAGCCACGAAGCTAGCCCAAGCCTATATGCTCAATGATTATTTGTCCAAGCCTATGTTTGTTTGTTCATTCATTCAACTAACTAATATTTACTGGCACCCACATACCATGCTACAGTCCAAGGACAAACAATTAAACCAGGTATTCAAGTTCCTTGCCTTCATGGGGCTCTATCTTGCTTGCTCTTTTCCCTGAGTCATGTATCCTTGGAGGGCAAGGGGAAGATAAGAGAACTTTCATTTGTAAGCAATGGAAAAACAAAGCTCAATATGGCTTACGTATTTAACGGAACTGTTTGCTCACATAATGGAGATAAGGTTTCTGGGATGATTGAGGAAATCTCCCTCTCTATTTTTTTTTCTACCCTTCTTTTAGTTCTTTCCTCTTCTTTGATTTAGTTTTGCCCAGTTTTGGACTTTGTATCTACATTATCCAAAAGGAAAGAGGGTTCCAGAATTTTCATTATAAGTCCTGAGCTTTGTGCTCACTGAGTTGACCTTCATGGAGCCAGGAAAATACTCACACTGACATGCTTAGTCCTGGGTTCCATATTTATTACTGAAACAACCATGGTGACAAGGATATTCCCAGTTATTTAGAATATCCAATGTGGAAAGTTATACCAGTCTTTGGGAGTGTGTCAACAGGGAGTTATACCAACATTTGGGAATGTGTGTGCATGGAAAATTATGGAAGATGCACATGGAATTTTGTGGGAAATATTGGGTTGTGACAATGCTGGGGGTGCCTGTGTGTCAAAATTGACATATAGTGGATGAGGGTCAAGGATGCTATGGAGGTCTTGCAATGTACAGGATGGGCCTGTACCACAAATAATTATTCCACATTCTGCATTCCCTTGGAATGTGCTTCTGGACAATATTGTATTGAAAATGTTGTACTGACAACACAATATTGGTGAAAAATTGTATATAATTTTATATAATCTGAATCTAGACTTCTGCAAAATATATTTTTGGGGGCAGTATTTTAACATACACTGAATTTTCCAGAAATGTAGCTATGGATGTATTGTAATAATATTATACTTTGTTCAGAACTTTTCTGAGATTTGTTTGCTCATTTGAAAAATCATATCACAGATGGGAGGGTGATCTGGCATCTGAATTATCTGTGCAACATGCCTTATCACCTGTTTTTTAGGTGTCTCACTTCATGGTAATTCCATATAAAGGTGTATGCATCTGACTACAATATTGTGATTTACATATTAAAATACATTTTAAAACAAATTACTTTTGTTTATTTCTACGTTGTTTTATTTTGAGCAATGTATTGATTTTAAAAAATGTGTGGAGATAATTGTATTTATTAAAAAAATTTAGTATAGAGAGAGGCCATTATAAAATATTTATTATATAATTGGACTATTGCATTTAGTGGGGTTGAAAAAACTGGTTTAGACACATCAGAGACCACTCTTGGAGCTGGGGATAGGGTCAATACCTGTATTGCCTGGTTACTGTAAGCCACAGGAGAGAGGAAATAGATACTGGGGAGATACCCTCAGTGTCTCCTGGAAACTCATTTTTTTTTTTTTCTGCTAACTGTGGGCCTTTCTTAATATAGAAGTGATTAGAGTTTAATATTTTCATGTTAAGTGCTTTCTGAGGGAAAAATCCAGATTAAGGTAACTTTTTGTGAATGTGAGCTCGAATTGTTTATTTTAAAAAGGAAGTTAATTTGGGGAGAAATGTGATACAAATTTTATTTCATGTTGAAAATTTTATCTTATCAATGTAGATTTTAAATTCTTTTTTTTTTTTTGACTTGATTCAGTTTTGTGTAGGCATCTCTCACTTGTTCATTGTTTTAACATACCATTTCCTATTTTTGTGCTGTGTACTAAATGCATGCTTTGAACATCAAGGGTTTTCAAATACAAAAGCTGACCTGGCCATGAAGCTGTGAATAGGAATGACAGAAATACTAAATTTCTAGTGAAACAGTCATCATAGAAACAATGAAAGGATAGAAATGGAATACAGCAAATAAAAAATGGGGAATAGTGGTTTGGCTTATTTAATAGGTTGAACAGTGATATACTAACTCAGACTGAAGTTATACAAACATATCTGACTCCTTTAAAGTAGAGATTAAAAAAGAACATTAAAAAATGGTCATTTTAGATAGTGGAAACAGATTTTCTCTACTGCTACAAAATTTACACTCAAGTGAACACTTTGTCTGTTTCCTTGAATTAATTTTTTTTAAATCGTGTTTCTATTGCTTTGTTATAATGTATTTGGTGCAGTACACACAGGGCCACTCTTCAAAAGTGGTCTTGGAAATGGCCTGGGAAGCCAATCTGGAGTGTTGCAGGAGCACAATTGAAAACATTTTTCAAAGATAATTAGTGGAACACTACTCAGGTAACATGCCTGAAGCCCTGTAATTCCAGGACTTTTTAAATGTTTTAACAAAATAATTGATTATACATAGCAACCCGCTGCCCCGGCATCCAGCCCTTAATAGGGAGGAGCTAACTATTTGCTGTTGGGTAAGGTTAAGTGCGTAGAGAAATTGCAAATGTTACTTCTTTTTTCTTTCTCTGTGTGTGGATGCCACCCAGAGTCCCTACAGTTTAAGGGGTTGTAGGTGATCTATTTATTTTATAATTACTTAGCAGAGGATGGGCTCTGACATTTTGCTTTTGTGCCCTCAATTTCTAGCTACTCCAGTGAACTGCCATGTATGTTTTTGCATTGCTTCATATGTGCCATTCCCCACCCCCAACAAAAGCCAATGAGCTATAGAGCATTGTCCCTTTTCATTAGTGCGGTTTTCAGTTTTAACATGTTATTTTATGTCAGCTGGCTTTTTCCGTTCTGCATCAACATTGTAATCAGTAGCTAACATTTTGTTAAGCAATTTGTTGATGCTTATCACTTGTCAAGTTTTCAGTTTGCTAGCCACTGACATGATTTTCGCTTTCTTGTTCAGAAAGAGATTTTCACAGTTTAATAAAATGTTATTCAACATGCCATTTTCTCTCCTCTCTTCTCCCTTTCTTGACCCTTGTCCAAAAATAGGCATGTCCCTCTCAAAGAAACATATTGTGTTTGAAAATCAGAACACTTAAAACAGATCAAATATGGGTCAGTGAATTTCAAGTATCACTTAGAGAAGACCATTATGTGGAGCATGTAATATAGATCTATGTGTGGAAATACTGTCAACCGCTGTGAATGTCCCTAGCACAGTGCCTGCCACATAGTAGGTACTCAGGAAATGTCCAGTGAAACGAAAAGAGGAACACATGTGAATAGTCACAAAGTTGAAATAATAAGGAACACTAATTTTCATTCATTTCCCTACCCCCATACACCCTGGGGAGCGGGTTAGCCAGCAAAAATGTCATAACTGGTCTTTCTTTATTTGCAATATTAATTTATATTAATATAATATATCCACTAATTCCTTACCCCCTTGAATTGTGTATTTCAATTTCATTACTTTAATTTTGAACAAAAATATAAAGTTTTTCCTTCTCTGCAAAATTTGTTCCTTCATATGAGTTTCTGCAACAGCAAGAGAAAGTCTAAAGTCTTCCTGATAGCAGCCGAAAAGATGTGAATTACTTTGTTTACGGAGAGTAAAGGAAAATGCTAAGGGGGACATTATGTGTTAGGCTGCAACTATGGTTGTACAGTCCCTCAGGCCTCCAGTCACTTGGGAAGATGAAAGCAATTTACCAGAGGAACTCTCCCTTGTCTTATAATTTACTGTTAAAAATAGCTGCTAAAAGGTAAGAAAGTTAAGTTCCTGAATAGAGCAAGTACTTTGGATTTATGTTTATCATTGTTATAACTGGGAAATGGGATTTATGGGTTAATCTGATATGCTGGGTAATGGAGTGCTACTAAAACATAACATGAAAACTTATTATTTATCCAGAATGGTTGAGAAATGGTATGTTTTAGAATTCTGGATCTTCAAGAGTTGCCACACATTATAACCTGTACAGCAGTGGTTCTCACCACAGATAGTATTTTGCCGTATAGCGGACATTTGGTAATGCCTGGAGACATTTTTGACTGTCCTGGGGATGAAAGGAAGAGGTGCTAGAAGCATTTCGTGGGTGAAGTCCAGGAATGCTGCTAAGCATCCTACTGTGCACTAATGGTCCTCAAAGCAAATAATTATCTGGTCCAAAATGTCAGTAGTTCTGAATTTGAGAGACCCTACCCTGCACTTAACATTTTTTAAAATTAAATTAGGATTTAGTAAAATTACAAGATGACAGTGAGCATTTTTGGTGATTTAGATAACAATTTAGCATCTTACAGTGCTTCAGTGTCTTTGTCAACGTTCATTACCACCGTATCGGTGAACTGCAGAAATGTTGGTTTGTGGAGATTCCTGATTGCCAGATGGGTAGAGACGTTATGCTGTGGTATAGTTATCTGAAGAGGCTCAATTGATTCTTATGTCATAACAGTTATTTGAGTTAGAATTGTTACTTCTTATAGACAAAATTATTCACTTTTCACATTACAACAGAATGGAAATACAACTGGATCTTTCTTAATGAGTTTTTAATCTCCTTTAAAAATAATAGGTGGTATGGTATTGAAAGAGTACTTCTCTCAGCACTGCTGTTATTACAGTGTACTATGCTTTTATTTTTAGGTTACCAGGAGAACCTAAAAAAGAAGAAAAACATTTTTTCTGCCATTTAGATAAAGTTTGTGTATACAGTCCAAGAAAATAAAAAAGAAAAATACCTGCTTCTGGGTAGAAAACCAGAGGAATCTATTTATTGGTCAGTGACTTAAATATTTACCGAGGACTGTCTTCTTCACATTCAGGCTAGAGCAGTAAATAAGATAGGACTTTTTATGATGTTGTTTACTGATTTATTTGAAAAATAATAAAAGTTTAAAGCATGAGACTGAAATTAATTTTATGTGTCTGCAGTAACCTCTTTCACACATGGATTCAGATTTAATGTATCGTATTTACAACTATACAGACTTACACAATAGAAACTGCCTGTTATGTGACCCTGATCTTATCCACGGAAGTACGTTTTCAATTATGAGGTGATTAAGGAGCTTATCATCAGGAAGTGGCTTTATGCAACAATGATTCCTTTTTAACTAAGCACATATTAAACACCTAATATGTGCCATGCTATTCTGGGAACAAGGGGCATAAACATGAATTATGAATAGTCCTTGCCATCCTGCACAGCTATGGAAAGAGATGTCAGGGACAGGGAAGGGAGAGCGGGGAGAGGGCAGTACTGAGAATGGTGAGCGGAACAGGAGTGGTGGGGAGATATACGTGGTAAAAGGCTAAATAAGCATGAAAGCAATTTACACCTGTGCTGGCCTCTTGTTCTTTACCTGGATTTGTTTTTAGCCCTTTCTGTTAGAAACTCTTAAGTCTCAGCTATGTTGAATAATTAGCTTTGGGAAAGGCAGGGTAAACACAAGCTTAATTTATGTTTGTTTCACAACCTCTGAGTTTCCAAGGAAATGAATTATCTGAGTACAAAACCAGTGCATTGATTTTGTCACAGTTAACAATAACAAGCATGTGGCTTCTAGGACCATTTCCCTGAATAGATTAACATCGAATAGACAATGAAAATTCTTGAACCTATATTATTTCTGTTTCTATCTCAAACCATAATCCTAATTGGACTTAATCTTTTTTGTCCTAGAAGGCAGTGATAAAATTGACCTGAACAAACTGCTGAGATAGAAGTAAAAGAATTTTACTCAGGCACCTTAATCGCAACATGTCCAAAATAAAACACATTATTTTCCACCATATGCTTGCTTCTTATTCCCTACCCATTTTTTTTCTTGCCTTGATTGTGCCTCCCATGGATTTCTTTCTTGATGGTCTTGATACCCTCAAATGTGTTCCCCACTGTGCTGTCAGTGTGAATTACAGACACTAAAAATGTGAAGAAAATAATAATATTAGCAGACAACATTTAATTGAGTACTTACTATGTACTTGGTATTTTTCTAAATCTTTCCATTTTTACAGCAGTATGATATTAGAACTATTATTACCTTTATTTCACAGACAAGAAATCCAGACAAGAAAGACAAGGCACAAGAAGAAACTTGCTCTAGGTAACATACCTAGAATGTGGCAGAGACACATTTTAGCCCCAGGCATTTTGACTTGGGAGCACTGGCTCATAACTTGCTCAAGCCCTTGTGTTTAAGACCTTCATGGTCTCCTCAAAGCCTACCGTGAAGTTCAAAGTACGTCCATCCCCCATTAATGACTTTAATTCATTTCTGAAAAACTTTTTGCTAAATGAAAAACTAAAGGTAAAAACTTTTATTAATTTTAATAAGAAAAATTATAATGGATTTTGTCACAACTTAAGATGAACCAGTTTTCACAGAAAAAAGATAGCAATTCAATACTGAAAATGAGTGTATATAACTCAACAACAAGAATGCAAAAATAAGTAAGTCCAATTTCTACAAAAAATAAAGGTTTATTATACCTGCCAATGGAGAAAGGAAAGACTTAGGAGTGGGTAGGGAATGATGGAGGTGGGTGGGGTGCAATTGAATCATTCTTCGGAAGGTGCAATCTTCCTTCTGACCCGTTTTCTAAACCAATCCTTCAGCAGCCTTTTTGGGTTTCTGATAACCTTGCACTCAAACTTTACTTTGTAACTGATAGCATACCTTTAGGGCAAAATAAAGGCCTGACTTGAGACCACATGTAGTAATACATAAACCCATGATGAAACTAGCACATACATATATGTATAATAGACTGATACTTTCTTTTCAACTTACTTAAGAAGTGTTTGGGTTCATCCAAATGTGATGTTTAATTCAAATGTGTCCTATAAGATATTCTCTGGCTAGTCAAGTACATGGGTGACCATGTCTCCCTGAAACTGTAATATTACTATATCATGTCTTATGTGTATTTATTTAGTGGATCTTGGGGGAAAAGATTTCTCTACTGAAAAAGAAAGATTTGTTCAAAAACTGGCATAACTTTTCAAGAGCTATAATTGTAAAATTGTTAGCTAAATGATTATTATGAAGTAAGTTTATACCTGGCCTGTAAAGTCCCCAAGGTTCTGTCCTTCTGTGGCTCTCCGGCGTCATCTCTTCCCTCTTCTCATCTCATCTCTAATTTGTCAGCATTACTGCATCGTTTATACTTATGCATTCATACTATGCTGTTTCATACCTTGATTCTCTCAGCATGGAATATCAACTTTCCCCTTCTATGCACATAGAGGGGGTTTGTGGCACAACGGAAGAATCTCAAACTTTGGAAACCTCCATGTTTTCAAAAGGATGCCAGCAAACCTGCTCAAACTTTACCCTGGAAAGAAAAAATATCTTTATTATCCTAGTGAGAAAACAAACCTGCCTTCTGCCCTGGAAAGAGACACTATTTCTACCTTCCAAGGCAGTTTGACATAAAAACATTCCTGAACAGCTAATCTGGAACGAAATATATGTTAATGCCTTTGCTTGGAAAGTGCAGAAATGGGAGCCACCCATGGAGAATTGTCTCCCAACAGCTGATGCACTTGGCACATTGTATTAAAATTATCCACTTAAGTGTCTGGTTGGTGAGCTCATTTAGGGCAGAAAGGTAATCTTTTTCATCTTTTCATCCCTACTATTCAGCATAATGCTTGTCAGCGAGTAGAGAATCAATGTATGTTTATAAAATCAATGAATTAATAAAGACTTTTAAAATATGGAGAATATGGGGAGCTATATTTCAAATTATTTTATAGCGAATAATCCATTAAACCACACTAAGACAACTGGTTTTCAAATGCCAAGTGGCCCACAGACAACCAGCTGGTTTTCCGTGATCTGGATTCTAATATATGCGAAAAAAATTTATTATATGATGATAATATCAGATTCACTTATTATATGCCAAGCACTGAGTTAAACTCTTTATAAATAATGCCTCAGTATATCCCAATAAACAACCCTATGAGTAGTACTATTATTATCTGCTAGTGGTAACAGAGACTCAGAAAGTTTAAAGAAAGACTCAAACAAAAAGTTTAAGTAACTTGTTCAAAGTCATACAGGTGGTCAGTGGTGGAGATGGAATTTGAACCCAGGCAGTTCGACGCTGAAGATTGTGTTTTAACAACTTAAGTTGTGCGACTCCTCACAGGAAACAAAAGAAAAAAAATATCTGCGGGAGTTATCTTAGGTTCTCTAAACATGTGCTCTGTCTCTCATACCAAACTTGGATAGACAGAACACAAATATGCCCTATTAACAGGTTCAGTGAGCATTTGGGAAACTAAACTGAACCGTTTAGCATTTGGGAACTAAACTAAACTGAACCGTTTTAGTAAAGATGTCTCTCTGAAAGGAAATTCTTCACGACGGTAAGATGAGTGTCTTCGTCTGTGAATGCTGAGGTTGGGGATGCATGAAGATATGTTATTGCTAACCTTCAACTAAACTAGGGCAGAGCCGGGCCAGCTTCATGGGCATGTGATCTGTGTAGTCACACAGGGCCCCATACTTAGAAGAGCTGTGCTTAGAGCAGTTTGCTTGGTTTGGTTCCTGCTCTGTTTTCAATCAGTCAGTCCCTGGATATTTCTAAGGGTGAGGACTCCAGAGGGGAAGGGTGAATTCCTATCAATCATATTCCTGTAATTATTAATTTTTTAAAAAAATAAAAGGTATACAATTCTGCAGAGGGAGTGAACGTCTGTTTTACAACTCAGGTGCTCATAGAATCCTTTTTGGCTTTTTCCCCAACCTCTTTCTATGTACATGAAAGTTCACTATCACCCATCTTAAAAGAGCTGTGCTTAGAAGAGTTGACTTGGTTGGGTTCCTGCTCCGTTTTCACTGTTTTGAAATTCTTGGTACTTTTTTTGAACAAGGGGCCCTGCATTTTCATTTTGCACTGGCTATTTCAAATTATGTAGTGAGTTATGGGCTGGAGTCTTGATTGACCCTTTACAACAGTGCATTATTTGACAATAGAGAAAGGATATGGGCTGGCTACACCAGTAACTAGAGGTTCTGCCAATATCTGTACTGGAATTTCTAAGCCGTGGAATATCCAATTCCCTGTGTATTTGACGATTCTGCAAGATCACGCTGGGATTGATTTAAGATGTATTTATTGTTGAATACTAGCCTATCTTAAGGAAAATAATATTACAGACAGTTATATATAATTTCCTAATTTTTAAAGGTCTTAGATCTATTTTCATTCTTTTTTTCTGGTCTGATGGTTTGTTTTAGGCCAATTTAACCATTCTCCTTTTATAATAAACACCAAATCAATTCAATGAGAGATAACATTTCCTTTTAACAGCAATCAATATTTACTATTTCCCTTTTGATGTATAAGTTACATTTCTGTTATCCTTAGTAAATGTGGAATGCACTTTGTGATTCCATTTTCTTTTATTTCTTGGTGTGTGTGACTGTAGGCTCAATATACTCTACTCTTGGGTTGGCTAATATATTTCAGTGATGTTATCAACAGCTTTGATTTGTATTCTTTTAGTAATACTTCTTAACTCCCTTTTTTTTTTAACTTCCTCAGAAATCTTACTTAGAGACCTTATATGACCTTTGGTCATACTCATCTGCATTTATTTCTGACAAATACATATGTAATCCAGAGCTTATCTCTTGAAGCTTTTTTTTCTGTACAGTTTTATATCATTATCTTTGCAATCTTTGCGATTCTCTGATGAATTCTACCATTCTTCTACAAATGGAAATAAGCAGGGGCAAAAATACTGATTCGCAGTGGTTTAAAAACCACTTGTCTTGAGTTATTGTTACTAATTTATCCAACTTCTAAATCTTTTCTGTTTCCAAATTGTTGCATCTTGTAGGCTAGTCAGCTTAAATTCGAGTTTAAACAGGAGAATATTTGATGAATAAGTTCTGTAACCTCCTAACTCTACAGACTTGTCTGTTGTACTGCTGCAGACCCAGCAGAGGGAGCCCAAGTTCATGAACCAATCTCAGGAGCGATTTTGATGGTTTAGAACTAGTTCTCCCTCAAAAGGTGGTGTGTGTGTGTGTGTGTGTGTGTGTGTGTGTATGTGTGTGGTGGGGGAGATTTGAGAATATGTGGGGTAGGTGTGTGTGTGTGTGTGTTGGGGGAGGGTTCAGAATGTATGTGTGTGTGTGTGTGAGAGAGAGGGAGAAAGTAGAATGAAGAAGTATAAAGTGTTAACCATTTGAATTTTAATATATACTTCAAATGTGGGGGATATATTACATCTTCTGAAGAAAAATGACAGAAATGATGAGGAGAAGCATTTGATTTTCAGATCCTGAAAAGATCTGACCACTTTTTTTTTCTTACTTTTCCAGTTAGCCTGTTCTCCCTTTAAAAGTTTTCAGATTGAATTCTTATACATTTCCATTTCTTGTGATTTTTATATTTAGGGCAATTTCCCAGTGAAAGCTTTTTTTTTTATTCCCTTCTTCAGTCTATTACCTTACAGGCCCACACATTGTGTGTGCACCTACATCTGAGATAGCAACTCTTGGAGATTATTTAAGTTTAGGTGAATGTTTATTCAATAGATTAATCAATTAGTCCACCAACTATCCAAACAGACTTATTGAGCTTCTAGTGCTATATGAGGTGTGGAGTGTGGGCATAGAGAGAGAGTATGCAGTTGAGAGAGGGAATAAAAGCTGTTTTCTGTCCTCGATAAACTTAAATGTGGCTGAGTATATAAGCGTATTTGGTAAAATACAAAATGTTATGTATCTAAATGCTAAGCAGTAGTTCAAAATGTCCATAAAGTGAATATGAAATAGGTGTTCAGAGGAGAAATATGTAGATACCTGTAGCTGGAAGAGCCTAGAAAAGCTTCAAGGGTGATATGAGCTAGATGATGACTGGTTTTATGCATGTTGAGATGAGAGAAGAGGGTTCTCCATGGTAGAAAAGCAACATAAGAAAGGCCATGGAAAAGAAGGTATGGTTTATGATGGGGCTGCAGGTCACAGTGTGGGATTATGCTGTTTGTGTGCTGCATACCCCTATGCGGTGCAGTTCACACCAAGCCAGTGTGAATGGTGTTTCTCAATGTACCCAGTGCCCTAGAATGAATTCTGTGGTGATTGGGGTTATATGGAACAGTGAGTGGTTCCTAGCCCTTTGTATGTTATCAATCACTCATTGAGAGGAATCTATACAGAGGCAGTGCAGTACGGTGGGTATATATGGACTATGTAATACATTGGAATCTTGGGTTCATCAGAAAATAACTGTGTGACCTAGCTCAAGTTATTAACCTCTTTATGCCTTATTTCCCCCTCATTTATAAAACCACACGATAATGATAGTACCTACTACCTGGAGTTGTAATGGCTAAATGAGATAAAAAGTCAATGCTTAAAGGAGCACCTAGAGCCTGAGTGTTAGCTGTTATCCTCAAAGAGCTGATGTGTTGCTCTAACAGAAGGAAATATCCTACTTTTTCAAGTGTAGAAATATTCCATTAGGCTTTTCGTTATGAACATCCTGGGTTTCATCTAGACTACTTTGTCTTTTGCTCTTTGAGAATGATGGAGCAGATCATATGCTGATCTCACAGGCGGATTCATTGAGGTAAATCAGATAGCATGGGCTTTTAAAAAAACTTATAAGTTCAGGGATACAAGTGCAGGTTTTTTACATAGGTAAACTTGTGTCATGGGGATTTGTTGTGCAGGTTATTTCATCACCCAGGTATTAAACCTAGTACCGATTAGTTATTTTTCCTGATCCTCTCCCTCCTTCCACCCTTCACCCTCCAAAGGCCCCAGTGTGTGTTGTTCCCTTTTGTGTGTTCATGTGTTCTCATCATTTAGCTTCCACTTATAAGTGAGAATGTGTGGTAGTTGGTTTTCTGTTCCTGTGTTAATTTGCTAAGCTCCATCTCTGTTCTTTCTGGTTTCAGTAAAATACAAAGGTGACACTGATTTCAGGAAGAGTGATGTTCACCTGGGAATTCAATGGTCATGCTTGTGCTTGCAGCTTTCCCACATTTTCTAGTTGTTTTGAACCATGGACAGAATATAAGCTCCATGAGAACAGGGGTTATGTCTACCTTGGTCACTGTCCTATCTCCTGAACCTTACATTTGCTTTTACCCTCAAATGAATGGGTCAGTGATTGAATAGAGGCATGATTTAGATAATTATCTCTTTTTCTCACAAATTTGTTGGCTGTCCTATCCTTAGCATAGTTGAAACAGGTTATTACTACAGAATATCTTGAGAGATGCCAAATTTAATATCTTTCCTGGTGGTTGAATCATTGCCATAAGATGAAAATCACTTATACTTTAGATCACGTTATAGTTTAAAAATACTCTCTCATACATCATGTAATTTCTGACAGCATTCATGGGAATTCGTTATTTCTCATAACTAATAGATTTAGTCACTGAGTCTCAGTAAAGTTGAATCACTGGCTCAATGTTACACACAAATCATTGTGGACTTTGGACTTAATCTGAGGTCTCTGACTACAAGCGCAAATTTTTGTGGCACTATACTTTTTAAATATCTGACTTGAAAGCCTTATGATGATACTCACTCCCCCGGCAGGAATAAAGTCTTTCTAACTTCCTCATATTGGTGTATATATGTTTATGAGATTAGGTAGGGGTTATCATGGAAGACCCCAAGAGGGATTCATAGGGAATGTGATACTGAGCAGAACCTTGAGGTGAGGAGAGATTGAACTTACCTAGGGTAGTTCATAGAAATCATGATGCAGCCAGATCACCGGAGGTCAGGAGTTTGAGACCAGCCTGACCAACATGGAGAAACCCCGTCTCTACTAAAAATACAAAATTAGCTGGGCCTGGTGGCATGCGTCTGTAATCCCACCTATTCGGGAGGCTGAGGCAGGAGAATGCTTGAACCCAGGAGGCAGAGGCTGCAGTGAGCCGAGATCACGCCATTGCACTCCAGCGTGGGCAATAAGAGCGAAACTCCATCTCCAAAAATAAATAAATAAATAAAATAAATAATAATAATAATAATAAAGAAACCATAATGCAGCCATTGGAAATGGAAGGCCTAGATGGGATACCCCACTAGAGACTCTGGAGTAAAGGCAGGAGTGCATAAAGAGATAGAACAGGAGAGACTGGAAAATAGAGAGCCTGGAGTGGGCATTATAGATTTTCATACCTTTATGTGAAGCTGGTCATGCTGTTGGGTCAGCTGGAAACCTAAAGCCAAGTAACTGAGTAGGCTGGAGTTGTGTTTGACTGTACATACCACACGAAGGAAGAGTTTGGAAAGACTATTTCTTACTTTCTCTTCTTCTCTAGTTTTGGAGAAAAGTCTTCATCAAATATGTTAGTAATATTCAACATTTTCTATGCCAATGTTTACATTATAGTCTGAAGCATGTCTGGAAATGGATGTTGTTTAAAAATTTTACCGCTATTGACTGCTTCTATTTTAAATTTCCTACATAATGAAATTACTAAATGGAATCTTTAAAAAGAAATACAAATGCCTATTTAATGAGACCATTGAAATGTACAATGCCATATCCTCTTACGTGCTTAGTAATTACAGACGTAGTTGAAGTCAGTCAACATTTGTGGGTATATCAGTTGTGGAACGACATAGATGGGCCTATTTTAGATTTATTTATGGCTCCCTGATTATATTGTGGAGCAAATTTTTGTTCTTTACAGTATCTAGCACAGCACTTTCTCATAGTAGATGTTTAATAGATGTTTGTTAAATGGTTTGGAAATTAAACACTTTTACTTTTTTTTTTAATGTTTTTTTTTGAGATGGAGTTTCGCTCTTTTTCCCCAGGCTGGAGTGCAATGGCGCACCAGAACTTCTGCCTCCCAGGTTCAAGTGATTCTCCTGCCTCAATCTCCTGAGTAGCTGGGATTACAGGCTTGCACCACCACACCCAGCTAATTTTGTATTTCTAGTAGAGATAGGGTTTCTCCATGTTGGTCAGGCTGGTCTCAAACTCCTGACCTCTGGTGATCCAACCGTCTCGGCCTCCCAAAATGCTGGGATTATAGGTGTGAGCCACCGTGCCCGGCCAAACCCTTTTGCTTTTACAGAGATGCAGTCATACCATGATGGAGCAGAAACAGAGAAACAAGAGCTCCTCTGAAATAGTGGATATGTGGCAATTAATTTACTTTTTGGTGTGCCTTTTCTTCATTTGTGACCTACTTATCTATAAGGTACAGGTTAATTCGGTTTCATTTAAAGCAGCGTTCAAAAGAGCTAATACAAAAATGAGGTAAAACAAATTATGTCATAGTAGGAATGCAAAAATGAAAATAGAAGTGGATATGTGGAGCAATGATTATGCTTGCCTTTCCCATATTGTGGTTACTTTTGTGTATGGTGTATGTGTATATATGTATGTGTGAATTTGTGTGTGTTCCAGTTAGTCAAAACAGATTTTTAAATATGCCTTGTTGAGACGATTGGGGATGCTTCGGGGAAATCATCTTCTTGTTTCTCTTCTTTTTATAATCATTCTGATTGTATTTGATAGTATTGGTAACCTCAACTCCTACTATGCAAATTTTTTTTCATTTAAGAAAACATTATATAACTAATTAGAATTTTATGTAAGTAGTAAAATTTGGGAGTGTTTTTTTAAGAATAATGTAATAATAATTTCCAGTAACTACAGATCAATGCCTGAAGAGTAAATAATTCATTAAATGTCTATGAAAACATGACACTAGGTCCTTCCCTCACACTACATGAAAAAACAACTCCATATAGATTAAGGATTTAAGTATCAAAAGCAAATCTTTAAACACTTAGTAGATAATCCAGATGAATGGTTTTTAGGTCTAGGATGTAGAAAGATATTTCTTAAATAAGGCATAAAACATGTTAACTATAAAAGAAAAGACATATATTTTGCTATATTAAAATTAAAAGCTTTAGTTCATTAAAGAGATGTCTTAAAGTGAGAAGTACTGTCACAAACTAGTTGACAATCTACATAACGGACAAAGGATTGGTGTTAAGAGCACAAAAAATTATCTACAAATCAGTAAGAAAAGTAGCAAAAGTTATAAATAGACACAGAAGAGAAAACTCATATGACTAACAAACATATGAAGAGATGTTTATTACACGATATCACATCCATTAGTGATCATGAAAACACAAAGAAACATAATAATACAACATAAATTTACACTGTTCTTTTGGAAGAAAATATAAAAGCCTGATAGTGTCAATTATTGGAGAGGAAATAGGTCCACTGAATGTTCTTCGCTGACTGGAGGGCAAATTGGTGCAATCATTTTAAAAAACATTAAACAATTTGGAAAAATTGAACATTCATATATCATATGACTTCAGAATTATACTCCTAGATATCCAATAAAACTCATTTACATATACAACAAAAATATGTGTAAAGATGTTAACATCATTGCCACTTGGAATGGAATAGCCTGGAAACAATCTAAATAGACATCAGTAGGAGAGTGGATGAATAAACTGTGGTATATTCACATTAAAATATGACACAGTAGTAAAATGAATGAAGTACAGCATTTACAAATATGAATAAATTTTAGCAATATAATACTGCACAAAAATAGCAAGTTCTAAAAAATTAATGATACCATTTTATAGAGTTAAAAACTAAAATATCCCTTTAGATACATATATATGTAATTATTCTTTGTGTACAACAGCAAGGGAATAAAGGGAATAATGAGTATGGGATGAAATTTGGTTATTGCCTCAAATCTGAAGATTCAGAGGGATGTCATATGAGGTGACTGCATAGTTGAATGTGGGTTGCAATCAGAGCCCCAATATTTGTTTTGGGAAAATTCATGTGTACTTATCACATTATTAAAAATGGCCAAATAGATAAAAGTGGGTCATACAATTACCAATGCTGAGAGTATGTTATAAGCCACGGATTATTATTAATCCAATTCTGTGCACCTGAAGTACAAAGAGGAAAAAAAGATGAACTAGTTCCCAAAATAGATGAATATTAAGGAAATTC
The DNA here is from genome assembly GCF_000001405.40 of Homo sapiens. NCBI lineage: Eukaryota > Metazoa > Chordata > Mammalia > Primates > Hominidae > Homo > Homo sapiens. The sequence continues at coordinate 62,117,834 of NC_000012.12, read as the reverse complement.
AGTTTTTAGCTATATTTTAAGAGTTGGCATGGCAGGCTCTATTTTGTTGCTATTTTTATATTATTTATCAATGCATGTTTAGATTGTATGTTATAAGAAAAACAGCTTTAAGAACTCATTCCCAGGTTATCTGTGTCTATCACATAAAAAAGGAAACATAGGACTCATTCTACTACATTTTCTTGGTGCTCACTTAAATTATATTTTATATATTTTCTAAAGAAAAAATTGAGACAGTACTGAAACCAGTTTTAATACAGATAAGATACTTGGAACATTTGAAGTGTTGAGCATTTAAATAATCAGCCTAAACACATCTGTTGGAAATATGTGGGGTCCCAGGCTGAATACTGTGAGTCAATATGTGGAATTTCAGATCTAAATATCTAATTTACTAAAACATAGTTCCTAAAATGCACCACTTTTTTTTTATATTTAGAAAACAAAATTGGAAGCATTCTAGAATAGCAAAATTAAAACTATTGTGAATTATTGCAAATATAACACAATGCCAATATAATGAGGGCATATGCAAGATCCAAACAAACACAGGAACTAACCAATAAAACGAGTAGGAATTTCAGCTTACAAAAGCAACTGGCAGTCTTTAGAATTTGTAAATACTATTTTGTAATGAAGCCCAGATACTTATTCACATCTGTTTGTTAGGGTTGCCATAACAAAATACTACAGACTGAGTGATATTAAAGAACAGAAATTTCAAAGTTTCCGGAAGATAGAAGTCCAAGATCAAGAGTTGGCAGATTTGGTTTCTCTTGAGGCCTCTTTCTTTGGCTTGCAGTTGGCCATTTTCTCCCTGGATCCTCACCTAGTCTTTCCTCTGTGTATGCATCCCCGGTGTCTCCTCTTCTTTTAAGGATACCAGTCATGGTGGATTAGGGTCCTACCCCAACAGCCTAATTTTAACTTATTTAAAATGGCCAAATAGATAAAAGTGGCCAAATAGACAACCTCATTTATCTCCAAATAAGGTTACATTTTGAGGAACTAGGGGCTGGGGCTTCAGCATATGAGTTTAGGAGGAACACAGATCAGCCCATTACAACCTCCATTTCTGTTACTGTGATTCCCACGACTTAACTCCATAATTAGTGTCTGCTGTTTTCCAGGTCCCGTTCTAGGTTCTGCTGGGACACAACAGTAAAGCCTACAGTCTGTACATCACAGATGTACGTGAGAAAGCAGCAAAGACCCAAAATTAGAGGAAAAATTTTACATTTGCAAGTGCCATTATCCCTAAATCCCTGTCATTTTTATTGAGGACTAAAGGCTTCCTTCTTAATTGTTTGAAAAAATTAACCACTGTTAAATAAATAAATCCCTGCTGCCACATACGCCAGAGCCTACAAGATACTTTATGGAGGTTTGCACATGAGAGCAGTTTAATGGCAATGGAACACCTGTAATTAGAAGCATCTGTCGTTGTGATAATGATTGTGGGCTTATATTTAGAACCACTACGTTTTCTCTGTCCACAAGGTCTTACTGTGTTTTCTCCCTGGCTCTCACACAGGCTTTCCTCTGTGTATGCATGCCTCAGGTATGTCTCCTCCAATTGTAGCCACATGGGCTTCGTGCATCTCAGTGTATGCTGCTGTGAAAGATAGCTATCTGTCTTGTTTGAGGTACTTCTCAGGTCCCTTCAAAGTGGAATTTGGGTTAGCCACACTGTACGTATTTGAAGTCAAAGAGTTCCAAGCACACCCTCCAAATTTTGTGAAAATCTGGTGCCAGTTATTTTCATTTTTTTTCAGTAACAGACTAAAGAACTAATATTCAATTTTATTTAAAATGTTACTTTCCTAGATTAGTTAATGATTCCTTTTTCTCTCCATATGACTTTCTGTTATTCCCTTGACTGTCCTTTATCTGGGAGGCTAGACCACACAGAAGGATGCAGAGAACAACAGGGTCAAATGATTTTACTGAAGTTGAGCCAGCTAGACGTAATGGGGCTAATGTGGATGGTCCTGAGGAACACCGTGTAATCACCTGCTTGGGCCAGTGACCAAGGACAAGAAAGGAAGCTGGATGTCAGAGTGGATACCACTGCAGATAAATAGAGTTTGCGAATCAGATTCACTTTCTCCTTCCTGTGCAGTTAAGTAAGCTCCCTCCATCTGGTACAAACCAGACACAACCGTGGGAAGCAGGACTGTGGGAGGTGAGAGTGGGTGTGAGGGTTGGGAGGGGATACATCTTTAAATGTACTGAGATGACATTTTCATCACACAGTTATAAAAACATAAATATACAAAAAGTGGTACTTCTTGCCCACCTGAGCTTACAGACTGTGATTTGGACATGACACTCTATATTCCGTATATTTTAGTTTAGACATGATGTGCACTGCTAACAAAGACTGAAAAAGATTGAGCTGCGGCATGGCTTGATCCAAGGCTAGAGGCTCATGAACTTTAAAAATCTTACCATAGCGCTGTAATATGCTGTCATAAATAGAAAAAAAATCAGTGCAGTGTGAATTACTGGCCTCCTGCTGCAGCATGGAGTTGATCTGATACATACACTTGGAAAGTGGGGCCTGGGGAAGGAGACATACACAATTTTGGTGCAAAGGGTGCAAATTTTGGTGTTTTCAGTTTGATAACTGACCTGTTCTGGTCAGGATGATCTTAGTAGTTTCTTTTCTAGGCTTAGAATTAAAATTCTAGGCTTAGAATTAAAATTAAAATGGAAAATAGACAAATTATAGGGAAGAAATTACCCAAAGGAGGTCAATGTTTTGAGAAAATATGTAAAAATGAAGATATTGCATTGGTTTTAGAATTTAATGTTGGTCTAAATGACCAAAGTCACACTGCATAAGATCAGTCAATTTTTAATTAAACGAGCCCCTTGAATTAGAATATGGCCCATGTAAGAGCTATGACAAAAATTACTAATAAAAATTGAGTTATTGGAGGAATCTTTGGGGACCCTTGGTGCTATGAATTATACCAAGAAAAGCAACCTGTACAAATATAATAGTGAGACTTTGTATAAATGTGCCTGGTAATATTAAGGAATGGTTAAAAGTATGGATTTTGGATTCAGGTATACTCTGATTCAAAGGCTGGCCCTATAGTTTAGTACCTTTGTGAACCTCGGCCATGTACTTTGCCTTTCTGTAAAATGGGAATATGGACACGCTCCACAGTATTGGGATATTAAATCTGACTACATAATTAATATGCCTGGCAATGGTAATTGGAGGTCTTTTAGCAACATGACCCATGATATAAACATTGTTCTTAGTTAAATAAAATATCATCAATTATTGAGACATTATAATTTTTGCATTCTTAAACAATTTTGTTACACATTATAAATCATTGATATATGACAAAAGTTTTATGAGGGGACCTGGGCAAGATGGCCGAATAGGAACAGCTCCTATTTGCAGCTCCCAGTGAGATCAATGCAGAAGGTAGGTGATTTCTACATTTCTAACTGAGGTACCCAGCTCATCTCATTGGGACTGGTTAGACAGTGGGTGCAGCCCACGGAGGACGAGCCAAAGCAGGGTGGGGCATCACCTTACCTGGGAAGCACAAGGGGTCAGGGAACTCCCTCCCCTAGCCAAGGGAAGCCATGAGAGACTGTGTCTTGAGGAATGGTGCATTCTGGCCCAGATACTACGCTTTTCCCATGGTCTTCACAACTTGCAGACCAGGAGATTCCCTTGGGTACCTACACTACCAGGGCCCTGGGTTTCAAGCACAAAATTGGGTGGCTGTTTGGGCAGACACCGAGCTGCTGCAGGAGGTTTTTTTTCACACCCTGGTGGCACCTGGAATGCCAGCGAGACAGAATCATTCACTCCCTTGGAAAGGGGCGTAAGCCAGGGAGCCAAGTGGTCTAGCTCAGTGGATCCCAACCCCATGGAGCCCAGCAAGCTCAGATCCATTGGGATGAAATTCTTACTGCCAGTACAGCAGTCTGAAGTCGACCTGGATGCTCGAGCTTGGTTGGGGGAGGGGCGGTCAGCACTACTGAGGCTTGAGTAGGTGGTTTTTCCCTCACATTGTAAACAAAGCCGCCAGGAAGTTTAAACTGGGGAGTGCCCATTGCAGCTCTGCAAAGCTGTTGTAGCCAGACTGCCTCTCTATTTTTCTCCTCTCTGGGCAGGGCATCTCTGAAAGAAAGGCAGCAGTCCCAGTCAGGGGCTTATAGATAAAACTTTCATCTCCCTGGGACAGAGCACCTGGGGGAAGGGGCAGCTCTGGGCGCAGCTTCAGCAGACTTGAACGTACCTGTCTGCTGGCTCAGAAGAGCAGTGGATCTCCTAGCACAGTACTCAAGCTCTGCTAAGGGACAGACTGCCTCCTCAAGTGAGTCCCTGAACTCCGTGCCTCCTGTGCCTCCTGACTGGGAGACACTTCTCAGCAGGGGTCGACAGGCACCTCATATAGGAGAGCTCTGGCTGGCATCTGGTGGGTGGCTCTCTGGGATGAAGCTTCCAGAGGAAGGAACAGGCAGCAATCTTTGCTGCTCTGCAGCTTCTGCTGGTGATACCCAGGGAAACGGGGTCTGGAGTGGACTTTCAGCAAACTCCAGCAGACCTGCAGCAGAGGGTCCTGACTGTTAGAAAGAAAACTAACAAACAGAAAGGAATAGCATCAACATCAACAAAAAGGACAGCCACACAAACACCCGATCCGAAGATCACTGACATCAAAGAACAAAGGTATATAAATTCACCAAGATGAGGAAAAACCAGCCCAAAAAGCCTGAAAATTCCAAAAACAGAATCCCTCTTCTCCTTCAAAGGATCATAACTCCTTGCCAGCAAGGGAAGAAAACTGGATGGAGAATGAGTTTGACAAATTGACAGAAGTAGGCTTCAGAAGGTGGGTAATAACAAACTCCTCTGAGTTAAAGGAGCATGTTCTAACCCAGTGCAAGGAAGCTAAGAACCCTGATAAAAGGTTAGAGAAACTGCTAACTAGAATAATCAGTTTAGAGAAGAACATAAATGACCTAGTGGAGCTGAAAAACACAGCATGAGAACTTCTTGAAGCATACACAAATATCAATAGCCAAATTGATCAAGTGGAAGAAAAGATACGAGATTGAAGATCAACTTAATGAAATAAAGCTTGAAGATGAGATTAGAGAAAAAAGAATGAAAAGGAACGAAGAAAGCCTCCAAGAAATATGGGACTGTGTGAAAAGACCAAACCTACGTTTCATTGGTGTACCTAAAAGTGACTGGGAGAAGGGAACCAAGTTGGAAATTCTTCAGGATATTATCCAGGAGAACTTCCTCAGCCTAGAAAGACAGGCCAACATTCAAATTAGAAATACAGAGAACACCACAAAGATACTCCTTGAGAAGAGCAATCCCAAGACACATAATCATCAGATTAACCAAGGTTGAAATGAAGGAAAAAATGTTAAGGGCAGCCAGAGAGAAAGGTCGGGTTACCCACAAAGGGAAGTCCATCAGACTAACAGCAGATCTCTCTGCAGAAACCCTACAAGCCAGAAGAGAGTGGAGCCAATATTCAACATTCTTAAAGAAAATAATTTTCAACACAGAATTTCATATCCAGCCAAACTAAGCTTCATAAGCAAAGGAGAAATAAAATCCTTTACAGACAAGCAAATACTGAGAGATTTTGTCACCACCAGACCTGCCTTACAAGAGCTCCTGAAGGAAGCACTAAATATGGAAAGGAAAGACTGGTACCAGCCACTGCAAAAACACACCAAATTGTAAAGACCATCGACACTATGAAGAAACTGCATCAACTAATGGGCAAAATAACCAGCTACCATCATAATGACAGGATCAAATTCACACATAACAATATTAACCTTAAATGTAAATGAGCCAAATGCCCTAATTAAAAGACACATACTGGCAAATTGGATAAAGAGTCAAGACACATCAGTGTTCTGTATTCAAGAGACCTATCTCACGTGCAAAGACACACATAGGCTCAAAATAAAGGGATGGAGGATTATTTACCAAGCAAATAGAAAGCAAAAGAAAAAGTAGGGGTTGCAATCCTACTCTCTGATAAAACAGACTTTAAACCAACAAAGATAAAAAAAGACAAAGAAGGGAATTACATTGGTAAAGGGATCAATTCAACAAGAAGAGCTAACTATACTAAATATATATGTACCCAATACAGGAGCACCTAGATTCATACAGCAAGTTCTTAGAGACCTACAAAGAGACTTACACTATCACACAATAATAGTGGGAGATTTTAATACCACACTGTCAGTATTAGACAGATCAATGAGACAGAAAATTAACAAGGATATTCAGGACTTGAACTCAGCTCTGGACAAAGCAGACCTAATAGACATCTACAGAAATCTCCACCGCAAATCAACAGAAAATACATTCTTCTCAGCACCACATTGTATTTGTTCTAAAATTGACCACATACTTGGAAGTAAAACACTCCTCAGCAAATGCAAAAGAATGGAAATCATAACAAACAATCTCTCAGACCACAGTGTAATCAAATTAGAATTTAGGATTAAGAAACTCAGTCAAAACTGCACAACTACATGGAAACTGAACAACCTGGTCCTGAATGACTACTGGGTAAATAACAAAATTAAGGGAGAAATAAATAAGTTCTTTGAAACCAATGAGAACAAAGACACAATGTACCAGAATCTCTGGGACACAGTTAAAGCAGTATTTAGAGGGAAACTTAATAGCACTAAATGCCCACAGGAGAAAGTGGGAAAGATCTAAAATCAACACCCTAACATCAAAATTGAAAGAACTAGAGAAGCAAGAGAAAACAAATACAAAAGCTAGCAGAAGACAAATAACTAAGATGAGAGCAGAACTGAAGGAGAATACAGACACAAAAAACCCTTCAAAAAAATCAATGAATCCAGAAGCTGTTTTTTTGAAAAGATTAACAAAATAGACTGCTAGACAGACTAATAAAGAAGGAAAGAGAGAAGAATCAAATAGACACAATAAAAAATGATAAAGGGGATATCACTGCTGATCCCACAGCAATATAAACTACCACCAGAGAATACTATAAACACCTCTATGTATAGAAACTTGAAAATCTAGAAGAAATGAACAAACACCTGGACACATACACCCTCCCAAGACTAAACCAGGAAGAAGTTGAATCCCTGAATAGACCAATAACAAGTTCTGAAATTGAGGCAGTAATTAATAGCCTACCAACCAAAAAAAAAAAAAAAAAAAGCCCAGGACCAGATGGATTCACAGCTGAATTCTACCAGAGGTGCAAAAGGAAGCTGGTGCCATTCCTTCTGAAATTATTCCAAACAATAGAAAAAGAGGGAGTCCTCCCTAACTCATTTTATGAGGCCAGCATCATTCTGTTACCAAAACCTCACAGAGACCCAAGAAAAAAAGAAAATTCCAGGCCAATATCCCTGATGAACATCAAGGTGAAAATCCTCAATAAAATACTTGCAAACTGAATCCAGCAGCACATCAAAAAGCTTATCCAGCACCATCAAGTCGGCTTCATCTCTGGGATGCAAGGCTGGTTCAACATACACAAATCAATAAAGAGAATCCATTATATAAACAGAAGCAATGACGAAAACCACATGATTATTTCAGTAGATGCAGAAAAGGCCTTCGATAAAATTCAACATCCCTTCATGCTAAAAACTCTCAATAAACTAGGTATAGATGGAACACATCTGAAAATAATAAGAGCTATTTATGACTAACCCACAGCCAATATCATACTGAATGGGCAAAAGCTGGAGCATTACCTTTGAAAACGAAAACATGACAAGGATGCCCTCTCTCACCACTCCTATTCAACATAGTATTAGAAGTTCTGGCCAGGGCAACCAGGCAAGAGAAAGAAATAAAGGGTATTCAAATAGGAAGAGAGGAAGTCACATTCACTCTGTTTGCAGATGACATGATTGTATATTTAGAAAACCCCATTGTCTCAGCCCCAAATCTCCTTAAACTGATAAACAACTTCAGCAAAGTCTCAGGATACAAAATCAATGTGCAAAAATCACAGGCATTCCTATACACCATTAACAGACAAACAGAGAGCCAAATCATGAGTGGACTCCCATTCACAATTACTATAAAGAGAATAAAATACCTAGGAGTACAACTTACAAGAGATGTGAAGGACCTCTTTGAGGAGAACTACAAACCATTGCTCAAGGAATAAGAGAGAACACAAACAAATGGAAAAACATTCATGCTCATGGATAGGAAGAATCAATATTGTGACAATATACATACAGCCCAAAGTAATTTACAGATTCAATGTTATCCCCATCAAGCTACCAATGACTTTCTTCACAGAATTAGAAAAAACCACTTTAAATTTCATGTGAAACCAAAAAAGAGCCGGCATAGCCAAGACAGTCCTAAGCAAAAATAACAAAGGTGGAGGCATCATACTACCTGACTTCAAACTATACTACAAGGCTACAGTAACCAAAACAGCATGGTACTGGTACCAAAACAGATATATAGACCAATGGAACAGAACAGAGGCCTCAGAAATAATGCTACACATCTACAACGATCTGATCTTCGACAAACCTGACAAAAACAAGCAATGGGGAAAGGATTCTTTATTTAATAAATGGTGTTGGGAGAACTGGCTAGCCACATGCAGAAAACTGAAACTGGACCCCTTCCTTACACCTTATACAAAAATTAACTCAAGATGAATTAAAGACTTAAACGTAAAACCTAAAACCATAAAAATCCTAGAAGAAAACCTAGGCAATACCATTCAGGACATAGGCATGGGCAAAGACTTAATGACTAAAACACCAAAAGCAATGGCAACAAAAGCCAAAATTGACAAATTGGATCTAATTAAACTAAAGAGCTTCTGCATAGCAAAATAAACTGTCATCAGAATGAACCAGCAAGCTACAGAATGGGAGAAAAATTTTGCAATCTTTCCATCTGACAAAGGGCTAATATCCAGAATCTACAAGGAACTTAAATTTAGAAGAAAAAAACAACTCCTTCAAAAAGTGGGTGAAGGATATGAACAGACACTTCTCAAAATAAGGCATTTATGTGGCCAAAAAACATATGTAAAAAAACTCACCATCACTGGTCATTAGAGAAATGCAAATCAAAACCATAATGAGATACCATCTCACACCAGTTAGAATTGTGATCATTAAAAAGTCAGGAAACAACAGATACTGGAGAGGATGTGGAGAAATAGGAACGCTTTTACACTGTTGGTGGGAGTGTAAATTAGTTCAACCATTGTGGAAGACAGTGTGGCGATTCCTCAAGGATCTAGAACCAGAAATACCATTTGACCCAGCAATCCCCTTACTGGGTATGTACCCAAAGGATTATAAATTCTACTGTAAAGACATATACACATGTACATTTAATGCACCATTGTTCACAATAGCAAAGACTTGGGACCAACCCAAATGCTCATTAAACTGGATAAACTGGATAAAGAAAATGTGGCACATATACACCATGGAATTCTATGCAGCCAAAAAAGGGATGAGTTCATGTCCTTTGCAGGGACATGGATGAAGCTGGAAACCATCATTCTCAGCAAACTAGCACAGGAACAGAAAACCAAACATCGCATGTTCTCACTCATAAGTGGGAGTTGAACAGTGAGAACACATGGATACAGGGAGGGGAACATCACACACTGGGGCCTGTTGGGGGGTGGGGGACTAGAGGAGGGATAGCATTAGGAGAAATATCTAATGTAGATGACAGGTTGAGGGGTGCAGCAAACCACCATGGCACGTGTATACCTACGTAAGAAACCTGCACGTTCTGCACATGTATCCCAGAACTTAAAGTGTATATAAAAAAAGCTTTTATATGGAAGTGAATTAAAAGTGTGGTAAAAAAGCCATGAAAAGGTAAGAAATGAAACAATTAAATTCTTTAGACAATACTCTTTACAGCATATTAAGCAAAATAGGAAAAAGAAGATAATTTTTATGGCCTCTTGCAGATACTAATAATAACATTAAAGTAACAAATACTACAGTAATTTGTATTTTATTTAGTAGTATTCTTATTTCAGTCATCCAGGAGATTTTAAACTAAAAGTAAATGGTAAGGTTTTCTATGCTAAGTAAGGAAAGAGGAGGCTGTTATGAATTTGCACTAAAAAAAATGAACACAGAAGAGTTAAAAAGTCCAGCAATGGCATCCTAATTAAATAATTATTCTTCCAGATCTTCTATTTCAGTTTCCTTTCTGAATGCAAACCTTACTTAAGAAAATAATCTTAGCTCATTTTGGTAAGTCAGAATTCTGAAAAATATCTAAGGAAAAGTTAACTTTTGAGGTCCCTAGGCTAAAATTGACAAGACCAAAATTAAGAAAATATGGCTTTAATAATGTTTTTGAGTTCACTACTTTATTTTTATTTTGGGGACAGAATTTGGTTTATTTGGAAAAATAGAGTAGAAGCCAAACTTAAGACTCTGGTAGAATTTATTTGCTCTTCCCTTTGGTAGTTTTTCCTTTTTTCTCTTCTGGCATTTTGAGGAAATGATGTATATAGTTCTTCCAGTAGCTTTATCAACTCTGATTGGTCCTCCATTCTCATCCCTTTTTTAAAAAAGTGTATGTGTGCATGTGGGAGTGGGTTGGGGGGCGGGTGGGTGGAGAAATACCAGAGATATTTTACACTTTTGTCTGAAGTAGAGAATGACCTGCATTTTTGTTGTACGTTTAACTTCTATTAATTACTTTCATTACTGGGAGGTAGATAGAAGTGAATCTTAACAATATAAGAAAATGAAATCAAAACTCTGCGTGAGGAACATTAAGAAAGCAGAACCTTTCTCGTTCTGCTTTTGGAATTTTGTCTTGACCTATGTCAACAGGGGGAACAGCAGAGAGGGTGATAATAGAGGAAGGGTGTCATTTCTTCGAAGACTGTGCTGAAATAATAATAAAAAAAAGGTACGGTGATCCTTTGGAAAACAGAACGCTCTATTGCAGTAAAATGAGCTCTTTTACAAGTCTTTCAATTGCTGCTGCTACTCCTGACAGTGAAGCTATTTTAACTTTTAATTTGCTGAAAGGCAAATAAGGCAGCTGTCTTCACAGTGGGATGTTAGGGGCGAGTGTTGGAGAAACAGCTTCTCTTTTCATGTAAATTAAAGGGGAGTATACTAAAGAAAAGTTTACTGTTACTCTACAGATTCTCATCAAGCAGGCCACAGTGTCATCTATAGCAATTTTTCTACGCTTTCTTTTAATTTGCCAAACACATCAGATTGGAGGGCAGATTTTAGAATTGACAGAATTAAAATTCAAGTCAGGAATTCGAAGCATCCCTTCCCTTCTGCCTCTCCCTTTATTTTCCCAGAAACCCCAAACCAGTTAACTTTTTGGATAACGTCTGAATTTAGGACTCTCCTTAGTGTTCGCCTTAAACCTTTATAGTTTTTGTTTGTTCGTTTGTTTTTGTTTTTGTTTTTTTGTTTTTGTTTTTTGTTTTTTGTTCTTTTTTGAGATGGAGTCTCACTCTGTTGCTTAGGCTGGAGTGCAGTGGCATGATCTCGGCTCACTGCAATGTCTGCCTCCCAGGTTCAAGCGATTTTTCTGCCTCAGCCTCTTGAGTAGCTGGGATTACAGGCGCCCACCACCACACCCGGCTATTTTTTTTTATTTTTAGCAGAGATGGGGTTTCACCATGTTGGCCAGGCTGGTCTCAAACTCCTGACCTGAGGTGATCTGCCCACCTTGGCCTCCCTAAGTGCTGGGATTACAGGCGTGAGCCACCGCGCCCGGCCTATACTTTTCTTTATGACATTTCTTTTTACCGTAGCACTTTCCAAGATAAATTGAAACACAGTTAGCAAGAGCTAAGAGTGCACCTATTTTTCATTAAATAGGAACTCTGTTAGCAACTTCCTAACGGTTGCATGTGATCTGCTAATGGCAGCAGACGCTGGATGATTCCTTTTGATGTTGCCCTCTAAAGAAAGGTCTCATCAGAAAGCATTACTCTCTGCATTATCCCCTTCTGACTTCTGGTGGTTTTGTTTTATTTGGCTATTGATTCGTATTACACATCCCTCTTAATGCTAACATTAGATGGTGCTTTATCAGAGCACTTAGTGGGAAATTACTGTATATAGGTAGAAAGTTCATTAAATAGTTTGAACTACGTATCTGGGATGCGTCATCAGCCAAATGTATCAGCTAAATAAGTTCTAACATGAGCACTGATTTGAAATTTTGGTAAGTTGACTCATTTAACTCATCTCTGTTATACATTTTGTATTTGGTAGAGTAACATGCATTATTTAGATGAATACAAAACTCCCCTTTGTACTCAATCTAATACATTTTTAATGGCTAATGATACTATAGATAATCTCATACAGGGGAGCAAATTGTTTCCCTTTGGTTATCATTATAAACTTACTTCTGAACAAATTAAAAATGAAATCATCATCCCTGTCAGAAACAGGCAGGAAAACAAAGGCTTATTAAGAATTTGCTTTTTCCCCCTGGTGAAATACATTATCAATAATCATTGCAGTCTATAATGCATGTGGTTTGGCATGACATATTAATTTGTGCTGATTTAATGGTTTAGAAACCATTTTCATTTTGTTCTTTTTGTTTTTGATTTTCTCTTCTGGGGACTCGGAGCAGTCACATATCTTCTGTAAATGAGTTTGCATTATGGTAATCACACCAAACCTGTATGGTGTAAGGACAAATAAAAGTTGAAAATAAGAGGCTTAATTCTCTCTGTAGAAAACAAAACAAAACAAAAAAAAGGGAGACCTTTCCCCCTTCCTTTACTTTAGGAAACTTGTAATTATAAGTACTTTCTCCTCTCTTTGAAATGTATGTAAATCCTTTTGAAAACTAAATAGACTTTTTGTCAGTTTACCCCCTCAAGGACTTGGCAGCCAACGTTTTGAAATGTAAACATCCAGGGAGATAGCAACTCAATCTCTCAGTTTCTGTGAGACGTAGGAGCCAAACTTGAGCCTCAAAATCACCTTGTCATAAAGAGATGAGAAGTTTGCTCTCCCCTAGAGAAAGCCAGTTAGCTTACACCGATGGTCACCCCGATTACCAGGTAAATTTAGGATGAAGCGTGCATGACAAATTGTACCATCAAGTCCTCTTAGTTGAGGACTAGTTATTGCTTATCTTGAAAATATGTATGTAATGATTTGTATCTGTGTGGCTGTATACAAGAGTGAGATTTCTTTCATTCTCTGGAATCTCTAAGCAGATTACCTATGATGCACATTCCATTTTGGTTTAATGCTTATTCAATGGTAAAAATGTTTTCTTTCTTGCTACTTTTATGGATAAGATTTCTGGGTTGGGAAAAGATTTTGTTTTTAATTCTCCTCAACAAAAGACACGGGCTAATATAAAAAGTAACACTTTGACCAGCTTGTGACTTTAGTTGTACTATGCTTTTCCTTCTTTAATCAGATGCGCAATTCAGAGCAAACCCTGGTGTCTAAAATCGCTGAGGGTTAATCAATATTATGTAAAAAGAAAAAGACCATTACATTAGCTTTTTTTTTTTTTGCTTCAGAAGAACAGCATTCCAAATTCAACTGTGAAAGCTATTGTGAAGATAGGATTAGCTAAATGGCACGTTTGTCACTTTTCCTTTTAATTATTACTCAATAAATTCCCTCAAACAAGCTATATTTAGGCTAATTTTATTCTATTAAAATTATCACTATTCATTTTAAATATCACTTGCTTTCAATTATATTGTAGGATTCTGCAAAATGTTAAACTTGGCATTGCCAACTCAAAGGTGACTTGTGGTACAGGAATGATTTATGCCTGTGGAATTGCAGAAGTCTAAAAATAGGTCTTGATGTTACTTTAATATGTACTGCAGTACACAGGCACAATAGGGTTAGAGGAGGATGGAGTTTCATCCCTAACTCTCAGTTTTCCTGCTTTTGTCTCTGAGTCTGAGCAATGCCTGAATAATTAGACATTGTTCATTTATCATTTGTATCATTTCCTATCAATGCATACCATCCTGCCCCTCCAGTTCCCAGGTGTTTATGAGGAAGCATGTAGTCTTTTTTTTTTTTTTCTTTTTGAGAAGGAGTTTCATGCTTGTTGCCCAGGCTGGAGTTCAATGGCGCAATCTTGGCTCACCGCAACCTCCGCCTCCCGGGTTCAAGCGGTTCTCCTGCCTCAGGCTCCCGAGTAGCTGGGACTACAGGCATACGCCATCACACCTGGTTAATTTTATATTTTTAGTAGAGATGGGATTTCTCCATGTTGGTCAGGCTGGTCTCGAACTCCTGACCTCAGGTGATCCATCTGCCTCAGCCTCCCTGTAATGCTGGGATTACAGGTGTGAGCCACCATGCCTGGCCGGAAGCATGTAGTCTTTAATAAGCCATTCTGCACAACTCTAGTTGCTGTTTGAAGACACCCTTCATATATTGGACTGGATAATAACAGATCATTGCTGGTTCTGATGGGGTAAGTGTGTGATTTTGACCTTAGGATGAAATTGGAAATGAAAACATCCAGCTAGACATACAGCAAATATTACAGATTTGAAGAAGTAGTCAGTGTTAGCAAGGTGAATGCCAGAAGTTCTGGGGAAGCAACATTTCTGAATGAACAGCAAACAGGATTTTGGTCAACGTTTCCTCCAGTGCGATGCTTCTGATTTCAGCTGTAATGAGTGTAAGATGACAGTGTTAAAAGATGCTTTTCTTCAACTTTTCTGAGTGTGAACTCTGATCAGATGAATGGGAGTCATGAAATTGAGTTCACACATCTATTGTCAGCAGGGCTAGAGGTTGCATGAGCACAAGGATGTGCTGTAGAAAGAGAAGTCGAGGCTAGTACTACCCAGAATATATGTGGGAAACATAAGTTTCTCTCCTCTTTGGAGAGACTGTAGTAGACTGCTGATAAGACAGATACAAAGGCGATGGACCAACTGTGCTCAGGACAGCCCTAGAGTCTTCTTAAGTGAAGTCTATGAGTATTAAACATGGTAGATATATGATTTACCTAAATATGTGCTAGCTTATTTTTCCTCTACCGTAATACATCTTAGTATTTTTCTCTTTCTTTAAGCTGATGAGGAAATTGGGTCCAGAGTACATTATTGTATCATAATACAGGAATTGTTCAGATTTAGGAGGTAGCTCTGGAGTTCTCTATAAAGCCATGTAGTTTAGAACACTTCTGACACTGCTGTTTAGGAAGTAGTTCAGCTCATGGGGTTTACTGGAAAAGATCTCAGGAATCACCATTTCAGCAATCATTGTACATTCTGTAAAGATTTCTATGTTGCTATGGTGCAACAATGTGGAACACGTTACCCTAGTCACCAGCTGTCAATTTAAATACACACTGGGGGGAGTAATCTAATTTTCAGAGAGTATTAACTTGATCTTAATAAATGTTGATGTTTAATTTAATTGTGACCTTCAAGTTACACTTTTCTGAAGAAAAATATCTCATGTTTTCACAACATGAACTGTTGAAAAGTCATGATATTGCAGCTGATTTTTTAATGGACCCAGAAAAATATTTTAAAAATAGCAATAGTTTCTACCTGAACCCAGACCATTCCACTTCAATCCAAATAACATTCTAGTGAATCTCCCCTGATTGCTTACTTTAAACTCAAAGAAAATATAATCAAGGGAGGACAAAGCACAAGTATAATGAAAGCAGGAAGAAAATTTCCTTTTATGCTCTTGCAGTTAATTATATAGCAAGAAACAGCTTTCTCCCACCTGCTCTCCACCTCAGCTTCTTAACTAGGCAAACTCCTACTTGTCCTCCAAGACCCATTAGTACTGTCACTTTTTTTTTTCTATGAATCTTTCTCCAACCTCCTGTCCCACCCACAGGCAGAGCTAATTGCTCTTTCACCATTTTGTCAGCACTACTATGTGTTTTAGGATTTATCTATTTTTACATCTTCCTCCTTCCTTTTCCTGTGGGTTCTTTGAGGACAGGGACTATTCCTTTTCATTTCAATATACCATTGGCTAGTGCTACACTTTCATTTCAATATACCATTGGCTAGTGCTATACCATTGGCTAGTATTAGACTTAGAGTAGGTACTCAGTAAACAGTAAAAATTGAGATAAATGAAAGGGCTCTCAAATAGACTCCAGAAATGGTCCATTCCTACTGTGCTGAAGTAGAACTTACTGTGTAGGGTAGTGATGGTACATGCCATCTGATGGATTGCTCTTATAGAAGCTGCACAAAAGGTTCTGTGGCTTATCAGCTGCAGAGCTGCCTTGGAACCTGCTTGAACTCTACAGTGTTTACCTTTCTGAATAAGAGTTACGTTTGGGCTTATGGAAGAACTAACAATCTAGGGAAATTTGGTTACCAAGTATTGCATGATGAGTGTGCATCTCCAGGTAAATGCAAAGTGTATTCAGTGTATATTTCCAGCTAAGTCCAAATTCGTACTGGACATGGTTATGGATCAGAGATGTATCAGTTCTTAGCACCTATAGACTCATTTAGGAATTAGTTTGATAATTTGATGTCAGCCATGGCACTGTATTGGTTAAATCCATTAGTCATGTATGTATTGGCTCTTAGGGATCTTAGGTGGGCATGGGTAATTCGTTCCATAATCTAATCTATGGAGCTGTTCTTATATTTGAGGGGTCTCTTAGGATCATCAGGACTCTTCTGGGTCCTGGTTTATTCTGGGGCACTCTTGAGAAGTAGATAGTTGTTGTTGGGTAATCTACTAACCTAGGCCATTTCTGCATTCTGAGTGCTTGTGTATAGATATATCTGAAGTGTCTGCAAGTATGGGTATGTTTTAAGGTATCAAAACTCAACATTATTCTGTAGGAAAATGTAGGGTGCAGTATAACACAGTGATTAAGACCTTTTTTCCTGACATACCTATATCACTTAAACTTTTACGCTTCAGTTTCCTCAATTTCTGTGCCATGGGAATCCAATAATACCTACCTTTATGCCACTGTGTAGGTTGGGCATTGTACATTTGCAAGGAGTACCACTCACCTAGTAGTCCATATAACTGGCACTCAAAAGTTTTGAAGAGCACAATGTGCATACCACAATGGGCAGAACTGTTTGCTTATGAGATTAGTGAGTCACTGCATGCAGAGTGCCTAGTGCAGTGCTTGACATTCAAGAAGTACACAAGTGATGATCTTCATTGTTATAGAAAGGTCTACACTGTTCTTTTAGGATGACTGGATGGGATGAGATGTATGATATAGGCTATAACAAGATTTTCAAGTGATCTAACAGGTGGGTAAGGGATTGCAAATATGATCTAGTCCATAAATCATTGCTGGAGTCTATATTTAGAAGTTAGCTAGTATACCAGAAATCTCAGACCAAACTGTACAGGGGTATAAATACAGCCACTTTTCATGTATTTGGAAGCAATTTTCTATCTCCAGCCTTCATTTCTGAAATTTCAGTCCTTTGGGATGTAAATGTTACTAGGAGTAAGGGAATAAACCAAGGAGGCCTCTGACATAGTGGTTTCAAAGACTTTGGTAACATGGAATTGACTTTTTCAGTTCTTCCAGAATTTTAATGGCTCTCAATGAACATATAATAGTTAAACAACATGGTGTTCTCGTTTCCCACCCAGAGAAGATTGAAAGAACAAACTTGAAGGGCTGTGTGTGTGTGTGTGTGTGTGTGTGTGTGTGTAGAGGGAGTTGCTATTATGAAGAGGCAGTGTTTGTGGCAGACATAATGACAGGAAGTGGAATAATCAAAAACTTGACCTTGAGGGATAACAAGAAAAATAAAAAAATTCATATTGATAATTATCCTTGAGACTTTGAGAAAATACATTCAATATTTTCTACTTTAAAAGAATATTTACATCTATAATTTGTTCTCATTTTATAAGCATTTATTGAATAAAACATCATCTAAATGAAAAAAATTTTTCTGACTCAGAGTCAGACTGTATTTGCATCCAGATCCATCTCTTAGGCTGAAGTGATGTGGGCAAGTTACTTATGCTCTGAGCTTTGGTTTACTGATCTGTAAAGTGAAGGGGATACTTCCCACCATGCAGGGGTGCCACGGGGCTGGGATGACATCATATATGTGAAGTGCAGCCAGCAAGGGCCTGGCATATTGCTGGCTCTTGGTGTATTATTTGCCTCCTCATATGCTTGGCAAAATTTATTTATCTAAAATGCTCCATTCTCAATGAGATTTTACTGCATTGCTATTTCTCCGACTGGAAGTTAAATTTATAATGCACATCCTATGCATAAATGGTCATTGAACTCAGTAATTATAAACTTTGAATGTTCTAAATATTGCCAAAAGCCTGCAGGTGTGAGTCTGTAGTTAAGTGCTAGTGTGGTCTAAGATTCTCAAAACTATTTGTTTTCTAGTTTTGTGAGGTTTCTGGAGCGTTATAACTCTCTATTATGAAGAAGGAAAGATAAATTTTATTTATTGTCAGTGCTACTGCAGTTAAGAAGACTGATCACATTTTTGTGTTAAATGCTCTTTTAATATAGTACGGATAATAGTTCTGGGCTGGGAGACAATTCACTTTTTTTTTCATTTACGTGCTTCTTGTCATTATTATATATCATATTGATTTGGAGGATGTTCTATAGACTTACACTATTGATTAGGCAGAGTGTTTCTATATTTTGTGATTTACCAGTTTTTACTCCTTATATCATCATTACCACTAAAATGAAATTACAAGTCTCTTTCTGTCATGGCATTTTAGGTCTTTTATGACATGTACTGGATTAAATAATTTTATGTGAGCTACCTAATTCCATTAAATTTGTCTAAAATATGCCATCTAGTTTGTAACCTCAAGTGGTCTTATGGTTTATTAGATTATTAAGCAAACATTTAATGTGTAAATATAATTTAATAAGCTTCCCACAGGTGTCTAATTAGGCTTTAATTTCTGCTGCTAGAACTAAATCTGGTAAAATATCTGTAGGTAGTCATAGTAATATCTCTGAAAGTTAAGTGGTCAAATATGAATTCATATTTTTATTCAATTTCAATTTTAATATCTTTAAGTCTCTGATGGATTTCGATATCAGATCATTACACTGAAGAGATAATTCTTAAGGATTTGAGTATTATTTTATAAGCCAGGACTAATTTTCTTGCAAGAGGCGTAGACTTCCAACTCAAGCTAGCTTAACAAAAAGAGAATTAATCAGCTCAAGTAGCTTGGAAGGATACTGGGGTAGATTCCAGAACTGGAGGAACAGAGGCAAGAATTAGAGCCTTAATTTAATGATGGCAGAAATCTGTCTGTCTCTGCCTGTTTTGTTTGTTTGTTTTTAACCTAAATGTCTATTTTTTGATACTTTTGTCCTATTTTGGAAGGATTTTTCCACATGGCAGGGAACATAGCCACTGCAGCCCAAGCTTAGGAATTCCAGCGAAAACCTAGCTTTTTTCTCTTCATATCCGTTTATCAGTGTCAGGGAAGATTCTGATTGGCCAGCCTTGGTCATGTGCCTGTTGAGATGATGAGAAAGCTTGCTAGCCATGGGTAGGTAAACCTCAGCCACTCACTCTTGAATCCTGCTGAAACTCTGATGAGTGTTACAGACCTCTGCAGAAAAGTCTTCAAGCACGAATGCATCTAAGTGTTTGCATACTCTTTCAGGATATTAATGGTCTTTCCTTAGTGTTTATAGATGTCAAGTTAAGGACCCGGGTGATAAAATGTTAAGGCAACACCATTTATCACTGAAGTCAAATTTTGACAGATGTGTTTTCACTTCCAAAATGGGAAATTCTTGCTGATAAGTATATATTAAAGTTATATATATTGT
Source organism: Homo sapiens (assembly GCF_000001405.40). Taxonomy (NCBI): domain Eukaryota; kingdom Metazoa; phylum Chordata; class Mammalia; order Primates; family Hominidae; genus Homo; species Homo sapiens. The sequence continues at coordinate 62,098,006 of NC_000012.12, read as the reverse complement.
CACATAGAATCCATGAAACTATCTCTTTTTAATATAGTGGAATGTAGACTTTAGTTTTCCGGGGTTCAGCTTCACAAGCTTAAGACATCTTTAAACTTTCATGACAAAGCAGCCTCTGGGAATCTTGAACACAGCTGAGAAAAGCTGGAACTTTTCTCATGCTGATTGTTTGATTTACCACATGGAAGAAAAGAGAAAACTACTGAGGGATACCAGTGCCTCTAAGTCAAGCTTTTCCATGAAAAATCAGAGTGGGTCATAAGTGACTGGAGGAGACAGAATAAACTCACTGAGAAGAGATGGAGTCCACGTGCATTACTGCAATGTCCCTGTAATTGACTTTCTAACTTCCACTCTTGCCTTCTTCTTAGTTCTGTCCTATAGGACAGACAAGACAGCCATTTAAAATATAATCAAGCAGATCATGTCAATACTGTTTACTAGCCAACCCTTGTGTTAAAAATATTTAACATGACCTACAAGCCATGATCTGACTCCTACTTCTTTTGCTACTTGATTGCATGCCAGTTTCACTCTTCCCGTTTACCAACCTATTTCCATTCCCCACATGTGCCAAGCTCTCATTGGTTTCAGGCCTTTGCCTGTGTTGCACCTTATGCCTTCAGTGTCTTCTCTTCACTCTTTCTCTGGCTTTTTCCTATTTATCTGTTAGGCCTTAGTTTAATTATTACCTCCTCAGAAATGCCTTCAGGAACCAGAGTCCAAATAAGCTCCTTTCTATCCTTCCCCCTCAAAGTATTATATTACTGCAAGTTCTAATGCTATATTTGTTTGTTTAACATCTGTCTACTCTGCATTTTAAGCTCCTTGCAATTAGAGATCATGTCTTTTTGGTTCAGTTTTTGCCTGACACAGTGCTTGGGACATAATTCTTAATAAATTCTTTTTGAATAATCAATGAAGAAACAGAAGCAGAATTGTGGAATTAGACACAGCTGCAACAGCTGACTACAGAGATTAGAAATAGCAAGGGGGTGTTAAACAGGAGACATTCTGATGGGGAATCAAAGAGAGAGAGAGATATGCAAAATGTCCATAAAACAGTTTTGCAACTTGGGGTGTGGAGCTGTGTGATTTCAGGCATGTGCCCCATGAGGACATGCACAGGTATGTGTACCTGCTGCTCAACAGCCCCTAAGAGAAATTGTGTGACATTACAGAGGCCTGGCAATCAGTACAGTTTGGCAGCTTGGGGAAGGGTTTGCAAACTGCACGAGAGTGACAAGCTAAGCCATTTGTGCCTATGTTTCAACACTGGCTTACCCACCAGATTTGGCTTCATTTGTGACACTGAGTTATCATTATTAAAATTTTGGAAATTGCATTGTATGCTTTAGAAGTTTTTTCATTAACATAGTTTTAAGGCAAAATGTGGTCATTTATCTTATTCTGGAAATACTTAGAAAAGGGGAGACTCAAATAGTAATTGGGATTTATAATCCTGGACACCCAATTTAGTAAAGCCTTTTTTAAGAAACCAGACCTTGGTCTGGTTCATTTATTCCTCTGCTTTTTAAAAAACAAATGTTCTGCATTTTCTTGTTTATGAATAGGATCCTGTTGTGACATCTTATGTGTCTGTGTATCTCAGATTTTTTAAACAGTTTCCTTTTGACTCAGGTATAGTTAAAGCAAAGGTCCTTCACCTTTCCTGCTTTCTCTATAGTACTTATGTGACTTCAGTGTTTTTATTATCAGTGATGTGTGGATGCTTGGCTTTTGAAAGAGTACCTCACAATCTAAGCAACATCTCTGGCACCAAGACAGGAATCCCAGATCCAGCAGGGGAGTTGGGCTGTGCTTAAAGATTAAGAGTCCAAACGCAGATAAGACCTCCAAATAAGAGAACCAGCAGTTACCCCTTTGCTTCCCTTGATAATGGTTTCCACATCTTAATATGGGATGCTGGCTTTATGGTAATGGGAAATGGTAATGTTAAAAGGGACCAGTAAAGATATGCCAATTTAGAGAGATGTTTTGCTAATATCAGTCTTTGTAAAAGTTTGCTTTTTGAACCAGACCTGTAGCATTCTTTTTCCTGAAGTTCTGCAAAACTGGCTCCTTCTCATCCTTTAGATTTCAGTTTAAATATTAAATGCTCACAGAGGCTTTCTGGGGAAAGACAGTTCACAAAGACTGGTTCAAACTTGAGGACTGGCAAAAAGCGTTCTTTACCTCTGAGCAATATTAGTTTTCCTTTGTATGATTGAAGCCAGAAAATAAGCAATGCAAGCCTACACATGAGACTAACAATATTATGGTAGGGTTGAATGCAGATTCCTGGAACCACCTGTTTTTCAGAGGCTCACTCAAAGTTTACTAAAATCAGGTGAGAGATCCTTTAGGTAACCAGGGCCTTTTGCTTTTTAACCATTTATAGGTTAGTATGGGAATTGGACATATCAACTCACGGAGTCTGCCTTACTAAATGAAATTTGTTTGAGCTGTGCCACTCAGATATAGATACTAATTTCTTGCTATGCAATTTCTTAATGTTATTCATTGCTATGCCATCTGGCCTTACAGAATTTCAGTGCACTGGACCTGACCATGTTCTTTTAGACCTTTCCTAACCACCCACTTTATTCTCTATCACAGTGTCATGTTTATTTTCCTCATGATTAGAATAACACTCACGTATTTATTTGTTTAATTGTTAATCGACTGTCTATCCCTTAAGACATTAACTCCAGCAGGGTGGCAATTATATCCCTTCTTTCACTTGCAGCCTGAGTGCCTAGCACAGTGCCTGATGCTCAAAGACCTTGCATTTCTTACTCTTATCATAGCATTCTTATGATGCTCTTATAGTTGTATGTGTCATGTGGTAGGACAGTTTTCTAAGACCGTATAATAATAAGTAAGTGTCCTACGAAGGACACTTTTACTATGTCACTCAGATTCCCTAGCAAGGACTTATCTAAGTGGCCTGGTGCCTGGGGTTAGATAAACAGGAATAATGATACAATTACAAATATTCTTAGCATTTAAAAAACTGAACAATTTAGAAGAATTTGTTAATGGCTAATGCTTTACTGTTGCTTTTCTCCTCATTTCTGCATATCTTATTATCTTTGTAATATATATTTTTCTAATATGTCTTGATAATTTGGTGAATATTCTCAGAATGGAGTGCAGTAGTTCAAAGAACAGCTCTGGATTGAATTGCCTGTGTTCCTGTTCTGGCTCTATGTGATTTTTGGTAGTCTCTTAATTTCTCTGACTTCATTTTTTTTATGTGTAAAATGAAGCTAGTAATAGAATGTATCTTACAAGTTTCTTATAAAGATGGAATGAATGAATATGCTTAATGTGTTTAGAAGTATCTGAAATAGAGTAAGCATTCAATGTTAGCCAAAATAAATAAACAAATCTGTAAATTAAGGAATTTTGGAATGATATTAAGGTTTATATTTTTTCTGTTATTATCCATTTAAAATTTTAAAAGGTAAACTGATTTCTTTCTAAAATTATTTCTTTTTTTAAAAATTTTTATTTGTATTTCAAAGGTTTTGGGGTACAGGTGGTTTTTGGTTACATGCGTAAGTTCTTCAGTGGTGATTTCTGAGAATTTATTGCACACGTCATCTGAGCAGTGTACAGTCTACCCAATGTGTAGTCTTTTGTCCTTCACCGCCTCTTCCCAACCTCCCCACCTGAGTCTCCAAAGTCCATTATATCATTCTTAGGCCTTTTCATCCTCATAGCTTAGCTCCCACTTATAAGTGAGAACACACAATATTTGGTTTTCCATTCCGGAGTGAGGCTAAAATTATTTCTTAATAAAAAGCTAAGAGCTACCTTAGTCAATTATACAGATATTTTTGAAGTTGAGAAGCATAACCCTGAGAAGAATGGGGAACATTAGCTTCTAGTGTCTTAGGTACCTAAGTTACAAAATATCCACCGAAAAGAAGTTTTAAAACAAAGTTTTCTGAATTTAAAACCAAAGTGATTGGTACCCTTCACAGTAGCCACCCTGGAGGCTACATTCATTTTAACCTTGCTTCAGTTGCTCAATACATACTTAAATCTCCTCCTCTTTGGGACTTGCCTTCAGAGCAGATTTGCAATCTTTTACAAGGAAATTTGACTTTTTATTTTGTAGTTAAATCTCATTTTGGATTCATGATGGTATTACTCAATTTTATCATTATCTGATTTGTTGGTCTTAACACTGAATAATTTTGTTTTGTCTTGTTTTTTAAAAGAATACACCCTCAAAGTATGAACACATGGCCCTCTGAGGGCAATAAAGAGTGCAATGTAGGCTTTGGTGCTGTTTTTGAAGATGGAGTTCCAAAAATGTTCTGAGCATATGACACCAACACTGGAATGTGGGGCAGCTTTGCAAGGTTATCACTGTGAGGGGAACAATACCTGTTTGGATGTATAAATTCTAGTGGTTATTATTTTTATAGCTAAAATTTACAGACTTCCCCAGGGGGTCTTGCTGATTCTTTGTTTTTAAGATATGTAACCGGTTTGAAATGAAAATTCATTTGAATGTGTAAATTCTATTTGTTAAAAAGCCACTTCTAGCAATGCCAATATACAATAGATTTTGTCTGTGCTGCACCTTGCTATTAAGCATTTATTATTTTAATTACATGTATTTGAAATCTTCATTTCCATCATTAATATTACCTTGATAAACCCACAGAATGTACACAGAGTCTCTTACAATAAAAACTTGTAAATTGCTTTCCATCACAATGCATTCCTGAAAATGGTTCTATATGTCAGATTAATATTTTCCTAAAAGAATAATATTGTTGCAAGTTTGTGCTCCTAACCAATGACTCAAAAGCAAACAAATCAGAGATTCAGCAATAAAGCATTGTAAAAGAAAATTTATAACAGCCAAGTTCTCTGTAATAGTCTAAAATAATAAAGTTGAATACCAAATCCTATAAAAATCCATAAATAGACTGATGTATTGATTATAAAGAAGATGCGAATGGACTAAAAAGCAAATTTCCTATATCAAATAAAGCCTTCGCTGATATGTAAATTTGATTGGAAACTGATGGCTGACCATGGTAAGTGCCGAGTATTCACTTAATTGTAATGGTTTAAAAATTATATGGGATTTGGGAGAAGATAATTTGCAGGGCCCATATCTCTGAAACTGTCTAGAGAAGTTTAAACATTATGCCCTTCTTTCCTTGATAGAATATTTCCTTTGCAGATGGATATGTTAAAAAAATCATATCATTGACCTTGGAGCCAGCTTCTAATCTACTATAGTAGGTGTTTGTTAATGAGGTTGATTTATCCATTCACTTATTCACAAAATACATATTGGACATATACCATATTTCAAATCCTTTTCTAGACATTGGGGTTATTAGAAGTTGGAGAGGAGAGCAGGAACCAGTAAAGGAGGCTAAGAAGGAGTAGAAAGGAAAACCAGATGAGTTTGGTATTCTAGAAGTCAAATGAGGATGACATTTCAAAGAATTTAGATTATTCATGTCAAGGAATATGAAGGCTAAGAACTGACTGTGGGATTTATCAAACTGGAGGGTCATTTGTGACCCTGATAGGAATGGTTTTGGCAGGAGCAAAGCCCTGATTAGAGAGAATGAAAGGCTAGAAATTGGAGACAGGAATTTAAATAACTCCTTCAAGGAGGTTTGGTGGAAATAGTTGAAGAGAAATGGGGTAATAGAAGATGAAGTTACAGGGGGAGTGGGGTGAAGAAACTAGTTTTTATTTAAGAGAAATTACAGCATATTTATGTTTTTATATAGTGGTTTAATAGGACAATCTGTTCCTGTAAGAGCCAGTGGAGAAGAGCTGGTTCCCATGCTCTTGAGTAGGTACATGGGGATGGAATCAAGTGTACAAATGGTGGGTTAATCTTAACTAGGAGCACAGACTGGTTATCTATATTATCAAGAAAGAAGGTAGAATTTTGGGCACCGATGCCAACAGGTTGGTAGATTTAACAGTGGGTACTAGTTATTCTTTTAAAAATAATTTTAAATGTTCAAATGGTTCAGTATTATTGTTCAGTGTCACACCAAAGAATGACTAGCTGAAAAGAATATGTCACTCAACTTGATACTCTGTCGACAGCAATTAGAATGCTTTACATTTCTTTGGAAGCTTATTAAAAACACTTAATAGCAAATCTTCAAAAAGTGTTTCAAAATATCTTTCCTAGAGCAGATATGAGACAGTTATGAAACAGTATTGTGATTGAGCTTGCACTTTACCTTGAGTTTGACAAATCACTGAATGACTATCGTGGGTCTGGGATCACCTAGGGGATGTGGCGGTTAATTAGGACCTTCAGATGATTGCATTGGAGGTATGGGTAATGATAAAAATGGCAAATTGTTGTATGAGATTGGAATCACTGGCTCAGAGTATCAACTGACCTATCAGTTGTGATGTTCTAGCTGCTACCACCTCAGCTTCATGGGTAGTTTGGTGACCTTCCTCTTCTTCACCCCTCTAGTGATAACAAGATTGTAAAGTGCATGGTATAAAAATATAAGAGCTGTACCTAGAGATATGTTACATAGTGAGTTCCATGTATTTAAGTATAGACATTATCTTAAAGAGGGAAGCAAATATTCATTTTTAATACTTAATTTTAACAGTATTTAATACAGTAGATACATATCTACTACATACAAAGCATGTGCCAAGCTCTGCAATGATGTTATTTAACATCATCAATTCCATCAAATGGAATTCACTGCCTTGAATTAAAATAAGAAATACAGATATAAATGCTATAGTTGCTTAGAGAAAGAAAAAATTCACTGTGGACTGGAATGGCTGCAGACAACTACTTAGATGAAAAGCTGGAACTTGGACTGGGACTTCAAACCAACTTTTTTGTCTTGGCACCTGAGATAAGAAAAGGAGGTACCTGTTTCTAGCAAAATGCTTGCTACATATGAAGCACTCAACAAATACCTGTTGATTAATTTTGATATATAATGTGTCTGGATATTCAAATCTTTTGTTCAAATTCTCTGAAAGTGGCAAAACAATGGAAAATAGGCATAAGTATCTGTATATATGAGGTAAAAACTCAGCTTTGCCAGCATCATTCTATCTTAATTATTGAAAACATAATTTTGGCCCAAACTAGTTATCCTTGGATTTATGAAATGTGTTGGCAGAAGTGGCAGATTTCTGGAAAGGACTGAACAACCAAAGAAGAGAGATACTTTTGTTCATTCTTCTTACTCTAACAGAATATTTTCCATGGAAAATGAATGCTGCAATAGGGTTTATATATTCTTTAGAAAAAATATTTGTCATGTTCAGCAAGAACAAAAAGGGAATAATCACATGATTGTGGGAAAGAGGTAGAGAACAGTCTAGTTCTTCAGTTGACCTTGAGGCTCTGGTGCTAAGATTGGTAGTGACTCTATTTCTGTCCCCAACGATTTCTTGATTGCCAAAGGAAAATGGCTTATTCACAGTCTTGAGGCACTCTTTCTCTTTCCAAATCAGCAGACTACTCAAAGTGATGCCAACTGTTCTGTTTAGAAACTTCACCATTCTTCATACAGTAAAAAATGCTCCTATTTTTCTAAAGTAGAAACATTTTTCTTTAATTTTACAGTATAATTTTGATATGTGGTCCAGTTTGAAAATCATCTATTAGATTATGGATGTGTAAATGACTGCCAAGGCATTTTGTTCAGAGTCAAATTTCCTATATAGCTCATCACTTGTTTATAGGAAAAGCTTTTTCAATTCAGTCCATTAATTGAAATTCTTGAAGAAAGTCCCCAAGAGTTTAACTCTGCTGGACTAGAGGCTGGAGACTACTTTAAAATCATGTTGAAATTTTATCCACTGGAAAAGCCAAGATCTGAACGTGAATTAAAACCAAGGGAGACTAATGTTAGGTAAAATGAGCAATCACTGCATTGGCCTGGAGGTAGCTATGTGTGGCTCACAATATTCAGGCAGTCTTATGAGAATTGATAATATTTGGGTAGCACATAACACGTGAAAGATAACATCTCAGTGTTATTCAGCTTAATTTAGAGTCCAGGATACAATAATGAATGCGATTTGATGGATCTGTGGAAACAACTACGATTAAAGAACTCTGTTAAGGGACTAAAGCAAATGCTGGTGGCAAGATGAATGATATTTGCATAAGCAAAAGTGGAATCAAGTATGTTTGGGGCAGCTGTTGATCATGAAAACCTGAAGAAATAGTGGGCTTCACCTAGCCTTCTAATCCAATGACTCTTTAGCAATTACTTGTTTCAGCTCTGTGGTTTTAAAAAGATCATTCAGATGCTTCCATGAATCATATGTATTTAAAATATTGGGGCAGGTTGCCATAAATATAGATTTGGCTGGCCTAAAAGGATTCTTTCTGTATCTCTCTCTGTCTCCCCCATCCTTTCTCTCCCTCGCTCGCTCCCTTTCTCTCACTCTTTCTTTATGTTAGAGCTGAATTTAGACTTTAGTTAAGTCCTGGTGCTCTTCATATCCTAGGGCTATCAACTGACAAAAAACAATTACTGAAATTTAAAAAAAATCAGCTTTGAGTCCCTGGGCACTACTAGAGTTCTTCTATTTAGGGTAATATTCGAAATCATAGTATGTAGATGGTCACAAAACCAAGGCTTAAAATAGCCTGAAAATTATGGGTAGCAGGTGACATACAGTAATTCCCTTTGAAACACAACTAATCTATTTTCTTCTTTACCCAGATAACATTCACTGACAGTCCCCAGTCAATTACCCATCACTTTAAAAAAGTATATCGGTTCATTGTGTAACAAGAGGTGTAAATTTTGACGAATTTGCTTTCAAATGTTAATAAACGTGGATAGTTCTAGTACTAAGCTTTGGTGTTAATTTCGTTTAACAGTTATTTCAGGGTGGCCTGAAGTTCTATTTTGGCCTTGTGGATATTTGTTGAACTTCAGAATTATGAAAGCAAACTTCAGAGGATTTTTTTCATTGCTGCTACTTCTTTGGATAAAGGAAGAAAGCAATAATGTATCATAAGAACTGTGTGTGTGTTTGTGTGTATGTGAGACAGATGCGTGCGCGCGCGTGCACACACACACACACACAGAGATAGAGAGAGAGAGAGAGAGAGAGAGAAAGAAAAACATATGTAGCAGGTATTTTCTCAGGCCACATCAGCCTGTGGTTTTTTTCAGAATGCAAAATAATAATGTGTTTGGCACTCCTTGAGGGTTATCTCAGGAAATAACAGCTTCCAGATAGAAAAATATGTTTCTTGGTTTTAGATGCTAGATATTCCTGTGCCACAATCCTCCTTCAAAGGAAGAATTCTCATATAGCCTTCTTCATTTTTGATGCTTTTTTCTAACTAATTTCCAGTGTCTTTTTTTTTTTTTTTTTTTAATGTGGTCCAGGCCCTCTACAGGGCTGTTTCCCCGAGAGTCTTCTTTTCTATCTCTTCGTAGCATAAAATCTTCCCTGGTCCAGGATCCAGGATAAAGCTCCTTCTACCACAGTGTTAGCAGACCAAAGACCCGGTTCCATGTTCTTTGTCTCTGTCTGAGCAGAAGGACCGGGGACAGCCTAAGAGCTACTCCTGTACGTGCTGCTGTCTCCTGGGAATTGCTCCTTTTCTCTTGTATTTCTTGATCAATTACTTGAACTGTCTTTTAGTTGGCTAATTCAATTTGCCTTGTTTTTTTTTTTCTTCTGAAGTTTTAGTACATTTACATAGCTACTGAATTGGGATGGAAAGAGGAATGTGAGATTGTTAAGTGACTATGGACAAAAAGGACTCATGAATAAAACAAATGTGGAGTTCTGTTGTTTTTCCTTCATTAACAATACTGTTAATAGTGCATCTTTGAAACATCAATACTACAAATTTGCCTTAAGCTGAGGAGTTACCCTTGATTCTTATTTTTCCTTTGTTCTTCATAGCTAGGGCAACCATATGATTTATTCTTCAAACTGGGATACTGTTGAGAATAAAAGAGATACTAACCATACAGGGCACTGGGACAACAGACAGAAATCAGCTCTGTCCCAGGGAAACAGGGAATGTATGATTACCCTATTTATAATGAAAACAGCAAGATTTGTTGGCTTTACCTTCAAAACATATGTTGAATGCCTCCATTTTTCTCTGTCATGACTGCTATCATCTATTCCAAGCCACCACCGTCCCTACTGTTAGAACAACTCCTAATGGATCTGCTTCAACTCTTGCCCTCTTATGATTCATTTCCTACACAGTGGCCAAAGTGATCTTTTACAAACAAATTAGATCACTTAATTCTCCTGCTCAAAAATCCTCCAAGTTTTACATTGTCCTTAGAAGAAAATCTAGGCTCCTTCCCTGGCCTACCACATCTTACCTATCCCTTGTAGGTCATCCCTTATCTACATTCCCAGGATCCACTCTAGTGTGCCTTTTTTCTGTTTCTTCAACATGCAGAGCTCATCCCTGCTTCAAGGACTTTGCATTTGCTATACTCTCTGCTTCAAATGCTTGTCCCCCAGGTCTCACCTTTCTGATTCTTTCTTGTCAATCAGACCTCAGTCAAATGTCATTTCCACTGAGTACTCTCATTCTAATGTAGTTTTCGGGCTTCTTCCAGTCACTTTCAGTGATACAATGTTTCTTTGTAGCACTTCTTACTGCCTGAAATTATCTTTGTATACTTTGTTTTTACCGTGGTAAAGTGTACATAATCTGAAATTTACCATTTTAACCATTTTAAGTGTACAGTTCAATGGTATTAAGTATATTCACATTGTTGTATAACCATCATGACTATCCATCTCCATGACTTTTTTCAGCTTCCCAGTCCCATAACTCTACACCCACCAAGCACTAACTTCCCATTCCTCTCTTTCACCCAGCTCCTGGCAACCACCATTCTACTTTCTGTCTCTATGAACAAATTTGACTACTCTAAGTGCCTCTTATAAATGGAATCATACGGTATTTGTCATTTTGTAACTGGCTTATTTCACTTAGCCTAAAATCCTCAAGGTTAATCCATATTGTAGCATGTGTCAGAATTGGTTCCTTTTTTATGTCTGAATATTATTCCATCTTATGTATATACCACATTTTATTTATCCATTTATCTGTTAGTGGACACTTGGGTAGCTTTTACATTTTGGCTATTGTGAATAGTGTTGCTATGAATATAGGTGTATAGATAACTGCTTGAGTCCTTGCTCCCAACTCTCTTGGTTATATAACCAGATGTGAAATTGCTGGATCACATAGTAATTCTATTTTTAATACTGTTTTCCATAGTAGCAATACCATTTTGCCTTCCCTCCAGCAATGAGCAAGATTTCATTTTCTCTACATCCTCACTAACATTCATTCCCCACCCCCTACCCTTTTTTGGGTAATAGCCATCCTTTATATGTATGAAGTGGTATCTTATTGTGGTTTTGATTTGCATTTCTCTAATGATTAGTGATGTTAAGCATCTTTTTATATTCTTATTACCCATTTGTATACATTCTTTGAAGAAATCTCTATTCAAGTCTTTGTCCGTTTTTAAATTGGATGGTTGGTTTGTTGTTATTCAGTTGTAGGAGTTCTTTATATATGCTGGATATTATTCCCTTATCAGGTATATGATTGGCAAATATTTTGTCTCATTTTATGGGTTGTCTTTTCACTCTGTTGATACTGTCCTCTGACATACAAAAGTTTTTAACCTTGAGGAAATCCAAATTACCTATTTTTTTCTTCTGTTGCCTCTGCTTTTGATGTCATATCCAAACAATCTTGCTAAATCCAATGTCATGATGCTTTTTCCTGTTTTTTTTTTTGTTTTTGTTTTGTTTTGTTTTGTTTTTTTGAGACTGTCTTAGTCCGTTCTCATAATGCTATGAAGAACCACCTGAGACTGGGTAATTTGTAAAGAAAAGAGTTTCAATTCGCTCATGGTTCTGCAGGCTGTATATGCTTCTGCTTCTTGGGAGACCTCAGGAAACTTACAATCATGGCAGAAGGAGAAGGGAAAGCAAGAAACTTCTTCACATGGTGGCAGGAGAGAAAGAGAAAGAGTGAGTAGGGAAGTGCCACACTCTTTTAAACCATCAGATCTCATGAGAACTCACTATCACAAGAACAGCATGGGAAAAATCTGCCCCCATGATCTAGTCACCTCCACCAGGTCCCTCCCCCATCACTGGAAATTACAATTCAACAGGAGTTTAGGATGGGGACACAGAAACAAACCATATCAGAATCTTACAGTTTTAGCTCTTACATTTAGGCCTGTTATCCATTTTGATTTAAATTTTATGTCAGGTATATGGTACCTATTCTACTTTTTGAATTCTATAATTCCAATGAAATATTTGCTCAATGAGATCATGGATCATGCCTGTCTTACACTACATTCCATCTCCAATCCTTAAATCAGGGATTGGCACATAGTAAAATGTGGAATGAATGAATAAAAGAAGGCATTTAAATGGGATATTTAAGGCAAATACATGTTTACTTCTCAGAATCATAGAATCCTGTGCCAGCATGAGAATTAATTAATTAATTTAATTAATATTGGTTACCTCCAGGACAATTTTCTTCTGCTACTTTTGCTTCTTTTGTAAACACGTGGTCTACAAGTTATACTCCTAGAAGCATTGTTAATTAGATTTATCTCAATCTGCTAAGCTTGGGATAAAACATAACATAACACAAATATAACATTGAAAACAGTTCTTTCATCTGAAGAAGAAATAAGGACAATGAGCTTCAGAATAGATGCACTTTTCATTTTCTTTAGGTTTTATGTCAGATGTCTTTTCCCTGTGACTTTGGCTAGTTTCTATATTTAGCCTGAAGAAATCCAGTCCTTTTTATTGTTATTAACATATGAAGCAACAAAGTAAAATTAATTGCTGGATGTCTGGGATGCTACTGCAGCAGGATCATCAGTTTCTCTCTTTTCTGGGGAGGCTCGAGAACAGATGATAGAAAACACTGAGTTATGAACACTTGTTGATGGTTTAGCAGGAGTAGTGTTCTTCAGGAAGGTATCAAGTTTGGCTGCACAGTGTATTTTTTCTTTTCATTATGATCCCAAAACCCTGTTGTTTACCTCCGTGCATGGCTGACTGGGTGCTGCAGCTTGTTGATGCTATTCAGCATTGGGAGAAAGAGTATTCTACCAGATATCGCTAGTCTGAAAAAAGATCAAAATTCAAAATCTGAAGTATAGTTCTGCTGAATGCATATCACTCTCAAAAAATTTTAAAGTCTAAAAATTGGAAGTCTCACTATTGTAAGTTTGGGACCTGTATTTGTCTGATAACTCTACTACTTCTTTGTCCAGTTTTTACCTCTAAGCCTGAGTGTTTTTGATTGCCCAAGCATAAGGCCTTCTAATTAGAAAGGAAAAAATCAGCAGACGTGAATGAGCCCCTGGAGGAAATTTGCTTTTGACTATTCTCTTTTTCTCTCCTTTTGGGGAGCAAAATTTCCTTTCTCTTAAAAATGATTGCAGACTCACCTCCAAACACTGCTTTGGCAAACATTTTTGACTCTGCGTTAGTAAATATGCCAAGAGACCCTTCCCTCCTTCTTGTGAATAAATGACTTTGCATTGCTCTGCTCAGCATCGTTTGTGTTACGTCTCTACCTTTGTACTGTACTATTATAATTAGAGAAGAGTAAATGGAGAAATGCTAATGATTGTCATAATTGGGCTCATTTAAATAAGTATTAGATAAGTTGTTAGGTATTTAAGTATCAAGCATATAATTGGGAAGTGGTTTTGTGCTCTCAAAAAGCTTTCCTGTAAATTTGGATTTTAAAATTGTAGGAGGAAAAGGAATGTAAAATAGTGAGGGGAAATGTTGGAAAAATGTAGCGCTGTTGCCAGATGATTTTGTTTCTCTTTGCTTACCTATTACAGATTTTGATGAAAGGTTGGCTTTTTTGAAAATGTACTGTGTACTCATACTTAAACCATAAATCTCTTGAATTTGGAGTTCAGTTTAAAAACACCCTGAGAATATTGATGTATCTTTTCTTGTATGTGTCTTTTGAAGCACACACACTCAAGCACACATACAATGAGAATAAAGCATTCTCCAAATAACAGCAGTGTGGGAAGAATTCAAATTAGATTATAAAAAATAAAAAAGTCACATAAATGCTAAGGTTACTAACACAATGTAAATGTTGCAGATATGTTAATGATGAAGATAATCTATTAAGACTCCAATACACTAAAGATACTCCTACACTGGTTTCTCTGCTATTTAGCTAGCCATTGCTACAAAAAAAAATATATTTAAAAAGTGTAAGACACATTTCTCTGTCTTATGTTAAAACTTTGGAAGATGAACCAAATTTCTTAATGGCAGAATAAAATTTTATTTGTAAATGATGTTCATGTCTTTGTAGTCAAATGTGGTTTGGGTTTGCAACTATAAAAGTATTGTTCAGGCTCAAATTGATAAGAACCCACCCTTATTTTGTTTTACTTTCATGGCGGAGAGGAGAGAGGTTTTATTGAAGGATAGAGGCATTTCCAAAGAGAAAACCTGATATATATGGCATATGCCCCAGAAAAATGTTTACCTGAATTTTGGCTAGGGGGTGTCCAATAAGTATTTTTCTTCTTTTTGGAAACTCCTTTACTCTCTTCTGAGAAGACACTCTTGTAATAGCAGGGAGGTATAGAAGGAAGAAGTTGTCATTACCATTCAGAAACTTATAGAAACTGTAGTAGTGCATTTTCCACCCAAAGAAATGATTCAGATAAGCTCATATGCAAATCAGGTCATACGAGATTTATATCAGATCAGATTTCTCCTTCAGTTCATAATCCTATTAATAAAACGAAAACAGCTTTTCAATCCCCGGTGCCTGGAATTTAGAAGATGCTCAGCAAATATTTACTGGGTAACAGAGCCTACTGGTTAAAAGCCTGAATTCCAGAATGAGATACTGGGGATTTAGATCTTGGCTTTTACTGGCTGTGTGATCTTGGGCAAGTTTCTGTTTTTGCCTTGGTTTCCTCATCTGTAAAAGGAGGTTAGTAATAGCACCTACTCTCAAAGGGATGTTGCAAGGATTAAATGGAAAAAAAATCACTGTAGAGCAATGCAGATTAATAGTATATCTTGTGTTAAGTGTTAAGTTTCCTTTTTTGTGAATGACTAAATGACATAAATTATTCTTAGAGGCTATATTTTAAATTTATATTGAATATTCTTCAGAATTCAATTGAAATGTTCCACTGTGATGAGTTGGTGACTGGTTATTATTTCAATACTTGATGTAATTACTGTTTCCTTTGCTTGACTTCATATCCTACATCAAAAGATTCTATGTGCTCAGATGTTTAAGTGCTCCTTGGAGACTTAGTCAGAAATCATGCTCCTTGGAAGAAATATCTAAACTTGACAAGCTTCATGAAAGCAGGGCTGTGTCATGTGTGTCAGATAGCCCCAGCGCCTCACTGCTTGGAACCATATCTGGCACTTAGCAGTGCTCAATGTTGGTTGCATCAACAAACATTGACTGTGCTATGCCCCTTGGAATGCAAGATAAACAAGATGTGATATTTGTACACCTTAAAAAAATAGCTGCTTACTACTAAAGATGAAAGGAGCATTAGTGGAATAGGAAGTGCCTCAGGCCACATTAGAAAAAACCTAGAGGCAGAAATACCATTTGACCCAGAAATTCCATTACTGGTATATACCCAAAGGAATATAATTTGTTCTATTATAAAGATACATGCACACATATGTTCACTGTGGCACTACTCACAATAGCAAAGACATAGAATCAACCTAAATGTCCATCAATGATAGTCTGGATAAAAGAAAATTTGGTACAAATACATCATAGAATACTAGGCAGCCATAAAAAGGAATGAGATCATGTCCTTTGCAGGGATATGGATGGAGTTGGAAGCCATTATCCTCAGCAAACTAATGCTGAAACAGAAAACCAAACACTGTATATTCTCACTTATAAGTGGGAGCTGAACAATGAGAACACATGGACACATGGGGGTAACAACATACACTGGGGCCTGTCGGGGGTGGGGAGGAGGGGAGGGAGAGCATCAGGAAGAATAGCTAACGGATGCTGGGCCTAATACCTAGGTGATGGGATGATCTGTGCAGCAAACCACCATGGCACACGTTTACCTACCTAACAAACCTGCACATCCTGCACATGTACTCCTGAACTTAAAATACAAGTTGAAGAGGTTGGGCGCGGTGGCTCATGCCTGTAATCACAGCACTTTGGGAGGCTGAGGCGGGCGGATCATTTGAGGTCAGCAGTTCAAGACAAGCCTGGCCAAAAAAGTGAAACCCCGTCTCTACTAAAAATACAAAAATTAGCCAGGTGTGGTGGCGGGCTCCTGTTGTCCCAGCTACTTGAGAGGCTGAGGCAGGAGAATCACTTGAACCTGGGAGGCGGAGGTTGTAGTGAGTCGAGATTGCACCACCGTACTCCAGCCTGGGTGACAGAGAGAGACTCCATATCAAAACAAACAAACAAACAAACAAAATAAAAAACAAAAAAAACAAGTTGAAGAAAAAAATTGGAATCTGCTTCTTGGTTCTTTACCTAACTTGCTGTGGAAAAATATTTATTCTTTCTCAGACTCAGGGTTTTTTCCACTTGTGAAATGAAGAAAGTAATTCATGTTTTACCTATTTTATATAGTTTTTTAAATAACGAATGTGACAATAATTATGAAAGTAACTTGAAAAATTAAAGTGATTAAATAATTGCAAATATTTTCTTAAAATTCTATAAATAGAAATAATATATAGGGGAATTTTTTTTGTGAGATGGAGTCTCGCTCTGTCGCCCAGGCTGGAGTGCAGTGGCGCGATCTCGGTTCACTGCAAGCTCCACCTCCCGGGTTCACGCTGTTCTCCTGCCTCAGCCTCCCGAGTAGCTGGGACTACAGGCGCCCCCCACTACGCCCGGCTAATTTTTTGTGTCTTTTCGTAGAGACAGGGTTTCACCGTGTCAGGCAGAATGGTCTCGATCTCCTGACCTCGTGATCCGCCCGCCTTGGCCTCCCAAAGTGCTGGGGTTACAGGCGTGAGCCACCGCGCCTGGCCAGGGGAATGTTTTAATGCAAGGTCAAATAGATCATTTATCAAAGGTTTAGGAGGCTACTTTTTAATGAACCTGTTGTAGAGATTACTTTTCATGGACATTAACAGAAAGATAAGTTGAGACCATTTTTTTCATTTCCGTCACCTTGTAAATTTTAGAATATAAATATTTTATTTATGACTGTATTTATGACTATTTCATACAAAGTGGCAATCATTGTTTTACAAATTATGAAACTGAAGACCAAAGAAGTTCAGGGATTTAATAGATGCACACTACATTATGTATAGATTTTAGAATTTTGTAAAGTTCACATATGTGTCAAATCAGAGAAGCCATACCAGTAGCACACATTCATTCCCATGTCTATGATTCACTTTTACTTTTTTTTTTTCTTTTCTTTCTACCCAGGGGATAATTCAATTTAGTGCATGATTATGTGGTAGAAAGAAACTATTATCAGTAGGAAGGGTAATGTGGTAGGCAGAATTTTAAGACAACCCCCAAGATTTTCACCCCCTGTACATACTTGTATAATCCTCTGCCTTCAAGAGTGGGCCAGAACTGTGAATAAAAGGGACTTTAAGACAAGAAAAACATCCTTGATAAGCCTGACCGAATCAGGTAAGCTTTTAAAAGAGACTGGGCATTTCCTGGAGAAAGGGATTCTAAGTGAGTGGGATATACATATCCCTTTGACATAAGGGAGAATCTTTGTTGCTTGCTTTGAGGATGAAGGGGGCCCTATGGCAAGAATTGTAGCTGGCCCCTCAGAGCTGAGCAGCCTCTGCTGACAGAGAGTGATGAATTGGGGACCACAGTTCTACAACTTCAAGGAACTGAATTCTGCTACCATTACATGGTCTTGGAAGAGCACTTGAGCTCCGGATGAGAATGCAGCCTGGCTGACCCCTTGATTTTAGCCTATAAGATCTGAGCAGAGAAACCAGTCTCTTTGTGCCTGAAATTCTGACCTGTAGAACTGTGAGCTAATAAGTGGGTATTGTTTTAAGCTGTCAAGTTTGTCGTAATTTGCGATGTGGCAGTAGAGAATTAATAAAGAGGGAAGATACTGACTTTGCTGTTAGTGTGCTGCTTGATGCACTTTTTTTGTGAGAAGCTTCACCTGATAAAAGTGGATAGATTGGGTCAGATTAACCTGAATATCCTAGAATTATTTTGAGACAGGAATGTTGATTTTTGATCACAGATTTAGTAACAACATGCTGTTAAAAATTTTTTTTTTTTTTTGAGACAGAGTCTTGCTCTGTCACCCAGGCTGGAGTGTAGTGGCACGATCTCGGCTTACTGCAACCTCTACTTCCCTGGTTCAAGCAATTCTCCTGCCTCCGTCTCCCGAGTAGCTGGGAGTACAGGCACATGCCACTATGTCTGGCTAATTTTTTTTTTTTTTTTGTATTTTTAGTAGAGACGGGGTTTCACCATGTTGGCCAGACTGGTCTCAAACTCCTGACCTCAGGCAATCAGCCCTCCTCAGCCTCCCAAAGTGCTGGGATTACAGGTGTGAGCCACGGCGCCCGGCCACTGTTAAACTTTTATCAAGCCACAGTGTTGTCTACAGTCCCAGAGGCCTATCAGGAATATCAACTAATTTGCAATTAATTGATAAAATATATATTTGATAGAGAGGCATGTATGGGTGATCCAGTTGTAGCTGGGTGTATGGGACCAACAATTTCCCTAGGCTTCTTTGTTCATGGGTAGACTTGTTTAGAGGAAAGCATCCTGCAAGGGAGATGTTAGTGTGTGGTTCCTGAAGAGCTGACGCTGGAGAGAGGGGCAGCTGCAGATGATAACATGGCATCGTAAACTCAGTGTGACTTCACTGGCAACACTCGAGTCCTTTAGAAAGAAAGGCTGTAGTTGGAAGCTAAAGAATTGTTTTTAAGAAAAATTTGTGAAACATGCCCATAAGCTGAACTACATGGATCTCCAGGGGACAAAGTGAACCAGGGTGGAGCATTTTAGTGTTCTTCCCTCTTCCTCCTGTCGCACATGGCATTGCTCTGGTGATATGAAGGCCATAGCTCATGATGGAGGTACCCAGAGTGTCACTGTAGTTCAGATAAATATTGGCTCTTGCATAAATAGAAATTAACATCACGCCAAAAAGAAATTTTTCTCAGGCAAGGTTTAATAGGCTTGCAGCTCTAGCAAGACAAGGGAGGAGCATAAGGGAAAGAGATCCTGGTGCCAGCTCCCCAAAGGGCTAAGCTCTTGTCATTTTAAGGAAGCTGAAGCGAGAAAAGGAGTGATGTGTAGGCACGTAGAGGTGGGGAATTTTTAGCATCTGCACAGTCTGATAACATGCTTCTTTATGTGTCATATGTCTCATTGGCCTGTTAAATCTACACCCCTGGGTGTGATTTTAGTATTATAATGAGATTATGAAGAGGAAAAAAATCAGTGAAAGGCCAGTGCTGAGTCCAACTTGTCTTTAGCTGGCTGGATCTGATCCAGTTCTTTTTTTTTTTTTTCCAATTATACTTTAAGTTTTAGGGTACGTGTGCATAGTTCTTATGGGGAATGCCAGACTCTTCCTTTTGTAACCTTGGGAGATGGTCAGTTTCTTATCAGGAATACCAGAGTCCCACTTTAGCAACCTTGGGAGACATTGTTCAAGGAGGTAAACGTTAGGCTCTGCCTTTTATGGTTAGGAATTCAGCTTGGCCGGGTAAGTTAGGAGGGGGCAGCTTTCTGCTACGTGACTTGGGTCAGCTTGTTAAGGGAGGTAAGAGGGTAGGGGAGGAAATATGCCCGGACATATGAGGCCCATGGAGATCCTGAGCTCTGTGTCTCTTGTCTACCGGGACCTGTGCTGTCTCAAGAGGAACACTGACAAAGCCCTGAAGGAGAAGACTGAAACCACTCATTTAGGGGAGAATGTAGGAGGGCTAACAGATTATTTGAATGTGTGATAGGGAGTAGATATAGCAAATTAGGGACATGTTGATTTTGAGATCCCTATAATAATTTAGAAGTAGAGATGCTCAGTGTTTTTAGGTCCCTGTGATATAGAAGTAGTATAAAAATAAGGCTTGAGAGCTTAGAATGGGGTTTGTGTTGAAGATGTGGATTTTGGTAATTAACATATTGGTGCCAGTGCGATTCATGGCTGTGGATGAGGTACTCTTGTGAGAGTACATGGCATAATAAGAAAAGAACTCTGGGGGCAGACAGGCAATACTGGAAAATACTGATTAGTCTTTAGAGAGTGCAGAAGAGAATTGGGACAAAGTGGTATACTGGCAGCCAAGGGAGAAAAGAGGTTTGATGTCTTTATAAAATTTATTGCATGCTTTATAATACCTGTTGCATAGCCTTAGAGGGATTTAACAATCCAGTCATTAAAGGAAATTTCTTCTCCGAAATTGGCCACACTTGATGCTGATCCTCGTTCTGTCACCAACAATATTACTTTCCTTTTAGCAATTTAAAAAGGAGTAGCCAAGCTTTCCTCTTTTCTAATTGAACAATCATTACTTGCTAATTTAAGAAAGAATTTTAATTTTTAATTTACTCTTATGCGAAAGATAGCTTTTGCAATGACTTTGAGCCAAAATATCAGTGAATATTTCTTTGTCAATTAATGGGAACAGAACACAGAATAAAAGCATCCTCATTAAACCATGTTTATATGTTTTTCAGCTTCTGAAATCACTAGTGTCAAATTAATTGAAAGAAGTGTCTCTACACTGTTGGTTTTAAGGAGAGACTTAATCAAGTCAGCCAACAATAATTCTCTATGTTGGTAATTAATGACTTTAATAATTTATCTGGTGTTGAATAATTCCTTTTATGCTTAATGGATCCATAAATAATTATCTAGGATTAGAAGAATTTGCAATATTTTCATTTATATTGAACATATCAGAAAGTTAATCACCTAAACCTAGACTAATATAATGAGGAATCTAAAACTCATCGAGGCTTCATTTCTTTTAGACTTCCACTCATGAGCTCTTTTCTCCTTCTCAGAGGTTCCAGTTTTAGATTATTTTTTCCTGAAAGTCTTTGATGCTGCTCTGAGCAGCTCTGCACATCTCCAGGGCCTTCAAAGAAGCTGTCTCATCTGAATATGAACCCATGAAGATATTTGCGTGATAAGAAATCAATTATATCTTTCTTCCTTGTGCTTTGTGTGCATAGCAATAGAACTGTTGGGTAATTCTGTGGAAGAAAGTATTTAGTGGAAGCTATTGTTTTATTCCCTTCTGTTTGGGGGTAGGAGAAGTATTGTTTAAATACACCATGAGACAGGGTGAAGAATGCTCCTGGAAGGTTCTTGGCCACAATACACAGACTTATGTGTGGTGTCGAACCTTAGCAGAAGAGGAATTTGGAAGAGTAGTGAGGAGAACATTAGATTTCATTGGAGTAGATGAATTGAAAACCCTAAAGAAAATCTTAGGAAGCAGAAAAAGTATAATTATCTCACAGTGACACTTTGCTGAATTGTAGGGCAGAAAAGTGATTTTCAAAAAAGCTTTTGCACTATAAATATTTATGTATTTATTTTAAATTAACTTCTGTTTCTAATGCCTTAAATCTCACTGAGTTACTCTGCTAACAAAACTGAAGATAATCTGGAGGCTTTTTCTCAAAGAAACTTCAAATAAATTTTTTTTTCATATTTCTCCACATGTCTGTTTGATCTTTCAGCATACTATGGATTATACCAGACATGCTCAAATATAAAGAAGTAGGGAAGACTGATCTTAGCTAACTTTTAATACAACAACACCAGGCAAAATTCACTTCCCTTTTGAAAAGTACAATTTAAATCAGTTTCATTTACCAAGTCAAAGGTTAAAGATATTGTCACAAAGAGGAAGTATGAATTTAAAGGGCGTGGATTTTGGCTCAGTTCAGTCTATGCCAATTGATAACTGAGTAATATTTGCCAGGGTACTTAACCACTCTGAAGTTCAGTTTAGGGTCTACAAAATAAAAAGAGTGTAAGGAAGACAAAGTAAGAATATTTTTGGAAAAGGTTTATAAACAATAAAATTCAAATTCAAAACCATATAATTGAAGTTAGTTATCACTAACAATATAATAATCAGAAAACAATGGTTTTATGTATAGCTCATGTGGTCAGTAAGTATTCTTAAATAACTTAGTGGATTAATAAGTCTGCAAGAGTAAAAACAAAAACCCTTACTGGTAATTGACCATAAAACAATATATATGTGTGCGTATGTATATATATATGCGTGTATGTGTGCCTGTGTGATCTATTACTTTGGGTAGGCTAAGCTGCTGAAATGAATGGACATGAAATGATTAAATAATTGTCCCAAGTTTAATCTTTTTATCTGACTGGCAGCTTCACTCCTTATAGTTGTCTAGGAACAGGTCTGATGTGACCAGTCTAGCTGTGAGAAGGGGGAGAGAGTCTAATCTGGGTCCAGTGATTTCCATTCAAGCAAGAGAGGTGGAATTTACACATGTTGCCTCCTTCCATATTCCATTGTCAAGAGCTTGGACACATGGCCATGCCTAACTGCAAAAGAGCCTGGGGATGTATGCCCTCTAGCTTAGCATCTGTGTCCTACCTACATATTAATTACTATCAGAAGAATAACTGATTTTAGTGGATAGTTAGTATGTCCACCATGATGGACACTGCTTTTTCCTTATTTCCCCCTTAATGAAATACACAGTACATTAAATTATTTACATATTAAATAATATATAAATAGTGCCTAGCATATAGTAAGTACTCAAGTGATAGCTGTTATTGTTATACAAATATTTCATTTCATAACAATGAAGAAGAATGTTGTGTTATTGGTTCAATGGTTGTCATCTGAAAATGTAATAACATTTATGTCCATATTTCATTTGTGATGAGTTTCTTGTAGTCATTAAATCTTTAAAATTCAAGATCTTCAAGTGTGGTGGCTCACGCCTGTAATCCCAGCACTTTGGGAGGCTGAGGCAGGCAGATCACTTGAGGCCAGGAGTTTGAAACCAGCCTGGGCAACGTGGCAAAACCCCATCTCTACTAAAAATACAAAAATTAGCTGGGTGTGGTGGTGTGTGCCTGTAGTCCCAGCTACTCGGGAGGCTGAGGCAGGAGAATTGCTTGAACATAGGAAATGGAAGTTGCAGTGTCCCGAGATCACACCACTACACTCCAGCCTGTGTGACAGAGTGAGACTCTGTCTCAAAAAAAAAAAAAAAAAAAAATTCATGTAGTTAGAAGGATTTGGATGTGCTAGATGTGAATATTTCATTTATAAGCTCGCATTCTACTGTCTGTATGAAAACAAATTTGATGGTTGAAGATCATGGCTTCAGAAGCAAGAGGAAACAAGACTTTCTTAATTTTATGGCATTTTATAGCTATGGATTTGTTAGCTAAACGAAAATGTAGAATGTTTTCCTGCAGAAGTTCCAAAATTAATAAACTTATCACCACTTAATTTTAATAAATTATTAATTAGCTCATAAGACATGTCACTCTCCAAACAATTAAATTGCAGTAGAGATTAGAATTTGAAGGGTTTTAAAAAATGTTCCCTTTAAATGAACCCTTTAATTTCAAGATTAAGCAAAATTAAGTATTGAAATTTTTGTGATGCAAAAATAAAGTACTTAATGATATTTGCTGGAAAAACTCTGTGCCTGTGCAGTCATGCTGGCTGGAATGCCATGGTACTGTCTGAGCACAGAAACCTAAAATTAATCTTGACTTTGCCATACATTATCTTTCTCGTGTGTGTGTGTGTTCTAACTTTGGGAAGGGGAAGGGTAAAACACTTTAAACTTAAATGACTGTGCTGCATAAGTTAATTATTGTACATTCAATGAGAAATAGTTCCTATTTAATGCTATGCTAGGCAAGTCAACAAACTGGAAGCAAGTTTGTACTCACCAACCTCGAATTCAGCACACATAGACTCAAAACATTTGTATTGTATACTATGGCACAGTCAAGATACAAAGACACCTAGTTTGCTTAACAGCATGCCATGTGTGAGGGCTATTTCATCTCACTGGAGACAATCCCTACTCTTGCCATTCTACAAAATGATTCATTTTCATCTGTATAGTCGTGGCATAGGAAGACCTCAGTACCATGTGGGTCCACTTGGTTCATGGCCTGTCAGTTTATGACTGCAGATAACTAAAACTATTCTAAGTATCTACCATATAATCAAAAATGTAATAAAAAATAAGGGGATACTAACATGAATTTTGAAGTTAAACAGACCTAAAGTCAAATTTTGGCTCTGCCACTTACCAACTGTGCAATGCTATTCAAGTATTTCTGAACATGAGATTTCTGAACATGAGTTTTCTTATCTATAATATATAGATAAGATAATAACACCTACCTATAACACCTACCTCAAAGGTGTTTTCTTATCTATAATATATAGATAAGATAATAACACCTACCTATAATATAACACCTACCTCAAAGGTGTTTTCTTATCTATAATATATAGATAAGATAATAACACCTACCTATAATATAACACCTACCTCAAAGGTGTTTTCTTATCTATAATATATAGATAAGATAATAACACCTACCTATAGTATAATAACATCTACCTCAAAGGCTTAATGCAAAGATGAAATGGAGGAATACAAGATATGTAAAATGTGTGGTACACAGAAGGGAACAATACCAAAGTAATAGTGAAATCTTCTGGTGAACATTTAGGATATCCGTAGGATGTTTTTCAGATTCCAGTCTCTATTCTTTGTCTTACTCTGTCCCCTGATCTGTATTGCCTGCTTTTGTTTTCCATGATACTATAAACTGGATATGGCACTTCCTGCCATCAGAAGCAGTATCTTGGATTAGTTTGTTTTAGCTCTTGCTCTGTCCTCTGTGCTGCTCAGTTGGAAGAGATTTTAAAGGTTTCACTGGCTTTAGATGGGAACAAGAACATTTTTTAGGTTGATGGGCTTCCCCTATCATTTAAGAGCTAACTAAACAGTTCTCATTGCAAAAGAATAAGTCATCCTAGGATTAAAGTAAACTTTTTCAGTTGATCAGGGTATCAGTTTTCTTTCTTTACTTTGCTCCATCTTATTTGGATCATTCGGTATTTTGATCTTTGGAATGGATTATTATTTATTTATTTTAGACAAGGTCTCACTCTGTCACTCAGGCTGAAGTGCAGTGGTGTGATCACGGCTTATTTCAGCCTCAACTTCCCAGGCTCAGATGATTCTTCTACCTCAGCCTCCCAAGTAGCTGGCTGGGACTACAGGTGCACATCACCTCACCCTGCTAATTTTTTGTATTTTTTGTAGAGATGGGATTTTGCCATGTTGCCCAGGTTGGTCTTGAACTCCTGGGCTCAAGTGATCTGCCCACTTCAGCCTCCCAAAGTGCTGGAATTACAGGCATGAGACATCATGCCCGGCCTGGAATGGATTATTATTATTATTATTTTTTGAGATGGAGTCTCGCTCTGTCACCCAGGTTGGAGTGCAGTGGCGCGATCTTGGCTCACTGCAACCTCTGCCTCCTGGGTTCACGCCATTCTCCTGCCTCAGCCTCCTCGGTAGCTGGGACTACAGGTGCCCACCACCATGCCCGGCTAATTTTTTTATTTTTATTTTTAGTAGAGATGGGGTTTCACCGTGTTAGCCAGGGTGGTCTCGATCTCCTGACCTTGTGATCCGCCCGCCTCGGCCTTCCAAAGTGCTGGGATTACAGGCGTGAGCCACCGCGCCCGGCCAGGAATGGATTATTTTAACACAAAAGGTGCAAGATTTTTGCTCAAGGATGTTCGTCCTCATGCCCATTTTACATTTTACTTTACCTATCTTTCTCTGGATATGCAACTTTGTCTAAGCCAGGATGCTTGGAGAAAAATGAGTGTGAAAAAATAGTACCTGAAATGTAATGTAAGAAGTTTAGTTGCCTTGCTTATGAATATGCTATTAATTTTTTATAAATATTAGTGCAGTGAAGTGTATTGCATAATAAAACATCAAGAACTAATGTTCTAGGCATCTCAAAAAGAACACAGCCAAAACACAACTGTATTTCCCCTATCCTCACAAGTTTGCTTTTTCTAGTCTTTTTCATCTCAGGATGACACTATCATCCACCCAGTTGTTCAAGCCAAGTATCTAGAAGTTAGCCTTATTCTCCACATTTATCCTGTCAGCCAGGTATGATTAAACTAATATTCAAAAGCTATCTCAAATTGTCTCCTCTCCTCTAACATCATGGCTCAGGTCTACAACTCTCTTTAGAGTCCTCCCATGGATTATTATGTCCCAACAGTACATCCCTCCATGGAGAAGTTGAAGTAATTTTTGAAAAATTTTTATTTTGTAAAGACAGAGTCACCCTATGTTGCCCAGGCTAGTGTCCAGCTCCTGGCCTCAAATAATCCTCCTGTCTCGGCCTCCCAAAGTGCTTGGAGTAATGTTTTAAAAGTGCGAATGAGACCATGTTGCTCTCCTGCTTGAACTCCCTCAAAGCTTCCCATCTCACCTAGAAGAAAAATCACTCTCCTTACTCAGGCTTACAAAGTCCTACATGATCATTCACCTGTCTCCTCTTTGAGCTTATTTTGTGATCCTTTTCTCACCCCCGCTTCCTGTGCTCTAGCCACATGCTGACCTTCCCGGGTCCGAGAGCTGTTCCTTCTTAGCATTCCGATTTCAGCCTAAATGCCACCTTTCTAGAGAGGCCTTTTCTATTGCTTTCCATCACATTGTTGCATTTAGTCTTTCTGTAGCACTTATACCCTCTGATCACTAGGCTGTCAGCTTCATGAGAGGAACTCCACAGATTCTCTTCATCACTGTATTCACAGTACTCAGAACTGTGTCTGCAAGAGGTTTAATACGTTATTTGTTGAAAGACTTCTTTTGCTTTTTACTTAAGTAGCATTATTTGCAGTTTGCATCTTAAACAGGACTTAACTTCACATTAATAATGTAAGGGCATTAAGTGATGGTGGGTTGTGCCAATTTATTTCGTATGTTCAGATTTGATAATTCTATCTGAAATTTGGTGCAGCTGAAACATTCATGTTTTATAACCAAAAGCTGAACAATAAGAATATAATAAACCAGACACTGTCCCCTGCAATGATGAACGTGAAAAACAGAAAAGAGAAAAAATAAATAAGAAAGAGTGTAGTGACAGCTTATAATATACTAATATGATATTCATGATTATTTAGCCTTTAGGTAAAGTATTCGGAGTCCAAGGCAGTTAGGAGGCTTTTCTGTGGAAAGCTGGGATGCTATTTTTTTTGAAGTGCAAATGATTTCTGAATTTGTTATCAGATCACTCTGAACTCATTGGATAATTACAATTGATTTTTCTTTTACTCTAGGTGTAGCCCTAACTACTAGCAGAGGCAAGAGAATAGAGCTATGCCACTTCTTCCATCAGTAAGGGAGCACTCAATGTAAACTCCCTAGGAAAGAGCTGCTAACAAAAGTCTTTGTGTTTCAATTAAACCAAGGAAAGTGAAGTATCAGGTTGTTGACTATAATTGCTTTTGTGGTTATTGCTCTTAGCTGGTATATTTTAATGCCATTTTTCACTATGTGTCTCATGAGCTTTGTAGCATATTCTCTCTCACATACACACACACAGACTTTTCTTGTCTGTATAGAAAAAATAGTATTACTTGGGGTTTGCTTAAAAATGTTGCCAATTGTGTCAGTATTAGAAAGAGATTAAGATATCTCTGCAGTCCATTGCTATTATTGCACCTCATTCAAGACATTTTTTAACCTCAAATTCCCCAATAATGTTCTAAAAATAAAGCAGCACAAGAAACAAATATCTTAAAGAGGAAACTGCCTTCTGTGTCTTTGGAATTTCCTCTAGTTTCTTGCTGAGAGCTGGTCTCAGGCAGCTCTGGGAGGAATGAATGAATGGATGAATTAATATTACTCCCAAAACTTGCATGCAAGTGTATAAATGTCTTCAGGAAGTAAGGCCACCTTGCAACATTATAAATTTTATGAAGAACTTGACATATATACATTGGCTATAGCAAACATCGTATTTAATCTAAATAAAAGTGTTATTTTAAAGTGGGTTAGCAAATCTTTTTAGTGTTAATGGTGCATGCCATGATTATGCACATTGAAGTGAAGCAGTGTGCTTGGTCACTATTGTGTTGTTCTTGTCATGTGAAGGAACTAAAATTCAAACAACCAAAGGGGACAGTTGAGTCCTATGTAACAATATATTATGTGTTTTCTTTTTTCAAGTATAAAAAACGAGCACTTGGACTCTATGTATGTAAGGAATTTATATGTTTTCTGGTTCTTTTGAACTGCTCAACCTTTGTTAGCTAGTGTTATTATAAGGTTTAAGGCATTTCTTGTCCATTTTTCATGTACCATTGGGAGTTGTTCATGCTATTGAAATACAGTTTGACTGTACTCCTGGTGTACGTAGCATCTGAAAGTAGCTATCTATCCAGGAAGTACCTTAAGCCCTAGAAAGCTGTAGTTCAGCATGCTCTTAATTTTGGTAATTCATTATGTGGTGTGTATAGGGCAGAGGATTAGATGCCATCCCTGTCCCCTTGGACTCATAGTAAGAGCATCAGATTAGTGATTTCCAGAAAATAAACAAAACACACCTTTAAAGAAACCTCTGTTTTGATTCTTTCCTGCCCCTATGCCATTAGGGATTTGCTGTTAGGGTCACAGATAAACTAAAAAGGTTAATAGGCTGCCATGGAGCAGTGAGAAAGGAGTCAGCCTGGAGAACTACAGACCAGTGTGGAGCCCAGAAGCCATTTAATGATGGCTTCCATAGATCACATAAATAAATCCTCTCTGTGGAAATTGCAGCACAAAAATTGCTCTGCTTTTGTGATTGAGGTTTTCAAGCTGGCTTTCTTTATTTCTAGAGAGGATATGCTTTATGATGTCCCCACACAGGAAACTTTAAGAACATGGAGAAAATTTGTGACATTCAGACCTCATAGTTTAGGAGTCACATCTTTCTATTTGTGTTGGCATTGATGTTGGTAACACTGATGCATTCAGTTAGTATGAATTCATAGTTTCTACTTTTAAATGATTGTCTATGATTATAAATATTTCTGATGGATGTAATCATGTAGTCTGTTTGTTCTTATTTCCCAGTGATTCTTGACAATGGCCAAGTAGTACAAGACATCTGAATCCTTTATATGAAGTCAAAAATAATTTTAGGCTTGGTAAAGGAGAAATCTTCTAAATTGGTTTTTTGAATTATATTTGTAAATTTTGAATAATATTTTGTAAATTTTCCATTGTCATGTTCTAATAGAATGTGAGCCCCTCTGATGATTTGACTGGCATGATAGATGAGCCCCTTGCTTAACTATTGTAAGACCTATTTCAAAGAGACAGGTAGAAGATTTGCTAATTTTTCTTTGGATACCAGCAGAAAAAATAGCTTAAGTTTTCTAATGTTTAGCATTTCAAAAGAGAGCAGAGGTGAGTTATAAAAAGAGAATGAATACCATCTCATCTTGTTCTCTCAGAACTCCATCCTCAAGACACTAATGTGGTTGATTTGCCTAGGTAGCTGAGGGTGTGCTATAGGAACTGAACAGAGGTTCACAGAGAGCGAAAGTCACCTTATGTGGAGGTATTTGTAGTTTAAACTTTCTTGAAGATTAACTTTGTATAGCTAGTTCATGCCTTTCATATCTATAAGAACATTCATCACAACATTTCCTGTATTTAAAAAATAGAGATCTGTTCTGATTTGTGTTAGAGTTTGTATTTTCAAAGTGAGGAAGGTAAATAAGCTTTTTTTAAAATTTTTATTTAATTTTTTTTTTGGTAAAAGGAATTGTAGTCCAGTGACTACAGAATTGCATTATTGTGGAATTGTGGAATGCAGTTTGTGGACATGAAGATCTGACACTAAGAATTTTCCTTTTTTTAGAAGAATCTGAAAAAAAAAGTAAAAACAAAAATTATTAAAAGGAAAGAAAAGGAAAGTAATAGACACATACTCAAGTTGAAATAAATGCAGTAAACAAATAATATACAAATGCAAATCTAATTGTGAAGTCTGATGTTTTATTAGTTTTTTCAATGATATCTGGATATTTAAAAGTCACCTGAATATTTCTTGAAAGTTCATTTTGATATTGTAAGGAGAGTGAAATTCTGTCTGATACTTTACCATTGAAAAATTGGGCTACTATGCTACAGAAGTATAGTAACTAAAATGGCATGGTACTGCCATAAAAACAGACATAGATCAGTGGAACAGAAAAGATAACCCAGAGATAAATCCATACATCTACAGTGAACTCATTTTTTGACAGAGGTGCCAAGAATATACATTGGAGAAAGGACCTTCTCTTCAATAAGTGGTGCTGAGAAAACTGGATATCCATATGCAGAATAATGAAACTTACCTCTATCTCTCTTCATACACAAAAACCAAATAAAAGTGGATTAAAGACTTAAATCTAAGACCTCAAACATTGAAACTACTAAAAGAAAACATAGGGGAAACTCTCCAGGACATGGGACTGGACAAACATTTCTTGAGTAATACCCCACAGGCACAGGCAACCAAAGCAAAAATGAACAAATGGGATCACATCAAGTTAGAAAGCTTCTGCACAGCAAAGGAAACAATCAACAAAGTGAAGATACAACCCAAAGAATGGGAGAAAATATTTGCAAACTACCCCTCTGACAAGGGATTAATAACCAGAATACATAAATAGCTCAAACAACTCTATAGGAAAAAATCAAATAACCCAATTAAAAAATGAGCAAAGGATTTGAATAGACATTTTTCAAAGGAAGACATACAAATGGCAAACAGGCATATGAAAAGGTGCTCAACATCACTGATCTTCAGATAAATGCATATCAAAACTACAATGAAATATTATCTCATCCCAGTTAAAATGGCTTTTATCCAAAAGACAAGCAATAACAAATGCTGAGGAGGATGTGGAGAAAAGGGAACCCTCTACACTGTTGGTAGGAATGTAAATTAGTACAACCACTATAGAGAGCAGGTTGGAGGTTCCTTAAGAAACTGAAAATAGAGCTAACATATAAGCCAGCAATCCCACTGCTGAATATATGTCCAAAAGAAAGGAAATCAGTAGGTTGAAAATATATCTGCATTCCCTTGTTTATTACAGCACTATTCAACATAGCCATGATTTGAAAGCAACCTGTGTTCATCAATAGATGAATGGATAAAGAAAATGTGGTACACATACACAATGAAGTACTATTCAGCCATAAAAAGAATGAGATCCTGTTATTTGCAACAACATGGATGGAACTGGAAGTCATTATGTTAAGTGAAATAAGCCAGACACAGAAACAAACAAACAAACATTGCTTGTTCTCTCACTTATTTGTGGAAACTAAAAATGAAAATAATTGAACTCATTGAAATAGAGAGTAGAAGGATGGTTACCAGTAGCTGGGAAGAGTAGTGAGGGTGGTGGGGGGAAGTGGGGGAAGTGAGGATGGTTAATGGGTACAAAAAATTGTTAGAAAGAATGAATAAGACCTAGCGTTTGTTAGCACAACTGGGTGGATGGTAAAAAATAATTTAATTGGACACTTAAAAGGACACTTAAGAATAACTAAAAGAGTATAATTGGATTGTTTGTAATACAAAGGATAAATGCTTGAGGTGATGGATACTCTATTTATCTGAATGTGATTATCATGCATTGCATGCTGATACCAAATATCTCATATACCCCATAAATATATATACCCTACTATGTACACACACACACACACACACACACACACACACGGCTGTTTCAGCAAAAAACAGTGTTATCCAGCCTTTTATTTGAATGGGGAATTCTGTTTTTTACTTTTCAGTTACTAATTCTCAGTTACTAATTCTTTCACTTTGAAAAAATTACTGTTCCTAATCACACAGAAATGACAGGGTTTATCTACAGCTTTTCCTACATGCACTGGTGCTTTCAAGATTACATTGATATTAATAATTGTAACCAGCTTTTTTATAAAGTGGTATGGCTCTGGAGGCTGTTGGTGTGTTCTGCAGCTGACATGCAAGTAAAAACCACTTTTCTTTTATTATTTTGTGGATGATAAGGCTGAGTACAGGTGTAAATATTACTTTTGAGGTGAAATATATGTACAGAACTCAGTTTTAGTTCTACCCCTACTAATCAGTAAACACACACACACAACACACACACACACACAGAATTTTTATCAGCATACACAGTTCTTCTTGGCTAGTGAAACCATATGATTTTAAAAATTGACCACACTTGATGCTTTTTATGATATGAACACATGCTAAGAATAAATATAAAGAAGCTTATAATATATGGGGCTCTGGGCCTGTGCCCAGATACTATCACACATATTTTAGTTTCAATACTGATTATGATTTGGAGTTTTCAAGTGCACATTTTTTCAACATTGTTTTGGTATTTTCATTGGTAAGACAAGGCAGGAAAATGAGAGCCAAGAGGCTCTCTGCTATAATCCGTCATTGTTTATTCACAGAATCCTAGTCTGCAATAGGTTGCTGAATATTTGATTTTTGTAATTTGGAAATTCCTTTTCCTGTTTACTACTCATATTAATATTGTTGACGTTTGGACTGATGTTCTGTGCTCAGGTTTTTTCCTGGAAGTGAGGTGTATCACCTTAACGAGCTTTTTCTTAGTAAAACACATAAGTTGTGTAATACTTTCTGATTTCATGCAAAGCTTATACTCAATATGAAAATAGCTTGCAGAAAATGCTTGTACTATGACTGGTTTTTGGAACTAAATTCCTTGGAGGAAAAACAAGGCTGTGTGATTTTAATCTTGAGGGAGCATAGTGTTAAAATATAGCAACAACAGCTATCTAAAGTAATATTATATGTAGCATTCAATAGTATATGCACAAGACTTCATATTGTCAGTTAAAATAGTAAAATTAATATTGATGCCTTAGAGAAACATAGACAATGGAAACTGAACCTCTAGTTTATAAAATGGTACAAATTCAATAGAAGACTTACTGTGAAGATTGTTAGTGGTATTCCTACAGTAATAGGTATTGGAAGTTCTGAGGATTATATGAAAACCATGCTCATTTGGAAGCTATTACTGACCACAATTTGTGACAGGTTTGCAGATGGATTAATACATAGTGAACTAAAGTGTACCTTAATAGCACTTATGAGGGAATGCAATTCAGTCATATAAGTTACTTAAAAATTACATATGAAGAAAATGAAACATTTAATGATATTGAACAGAAACATTTTTATGTGGATAACTAGCTTAAGATTTTGCATTCTTTCTGTTGAATCCACCAAGTGGTATGGTTCTGGAGGAAATTTGAAAACCGAAGTCCAACAGATTTGAGTGGTGTATATTTTTTCTTTTATCCTCTTTTCATTGTTCTTGGCTGACAAGTTGCCTCTGGGTTCCCTTTTAATGTTATACTGGCAATACATTAATAAGAAAACAGGTAAGTTGTTTATTGGCACAACTGTGTTTTTGTTTTTTTAATTATTCAAAACCAAGTGGGTTTGTGGAATGGCAACTACAGGTTTTAAATAGGCTCAAACTTTTTTGTGTATATGTACAGTGATACACTATGGCAAAATAGCTCTGTCTATGTGTTCCAAAATTCCACAAAATATAAATATCTTTGTCTTCATCATGTAAAAAATAATAGTGTTTACAATTGTTGGGTAAAGTTTTTAGTGCATTTAAAAAATGAACTCAGATTCAGATGTAAAATTCCAGCGCTGTCATTTGTTAGTTACTTAACCTTAAATCAGCTTAGAAATTTCCCCCTGAGCCTCAGTTTTCTCATCTCTAAAATGATCATGACACATAAATTACACAGCTCTCGTAAGCAATGTATTAATATATATTAAGCACCTACCATTGTCTAAGAAACAATGTAAGTGAACAACAAATAATAGCTCTCATTGTTTTTCTACAAGTTGCTTTCCTTTTCTTAATCTTAAATATTAGGATTATCCAATCTATTTTGTGTGTGTGTATGCATGTGTGTGTGTGTGTGTGTGTGTGTGTGTCCAGCCACCCTTACATAGCAAAAACCATTGGTTTTCTTTATATTTTGATTCATTTTTAGAAATATCTATATCATGAACAATGATTAAGCTTTGCTCTTAAAGGTTTTTGATTATAGGAAATTTGTATGTTGTATGTCTCTATTAACCATAACAGTTGATACATCAAACCACCTGGTGTTCATTTGGATAACACAGAATTTTCTATGTGAATAGCATTCATTGTGCAAATGGAAAGACAGCAAAATATAATTTGGTTAATCATTAAGATGAACACTTCGGTGTCTCTGTATCTGCCTTTCTATCAAAGGTGCCTTTTCTAAGGCTGCATACTAAATGGATTCCATTGCAATAGAAAGTTCCCAGGAGTGTTGAATAAAGGTTAACCCAAACTATATATAGAATACATATTTCTGTTTCTTCAGGTAAACTTTAACAGATAAATGAATAAGAATTTGATGGTAGGAAATGGCTCCTGGATTTATTCATAACTCTGAGTAGATAGATATATAGCCCAATTATTATGGTTATTAGTTTAGATTAGCATCAGGAATTAGACTACTATTTCATGTTAAGATTTTAAGGAAATATTTAATAGTAAGAGATTATAACCAATTTTACCTTCTACAAATAGCCAGGACAACTTTCATGCTGAAGGACCACCATAGAGTCAAGTCACTAGGGCTGTGTGGCAGGCGGAATAACGGTCCCCCCAAATATGTCCATGTCCTAATATTCAGAAATTGTGAATATATTACCTTATATGACACAGGTTGTGATCAAGAGTAGGGGTATTGAGATGGGAGATCTTCCTAGATTATCTAGATATGCCCTCTAATCATGAGTCCATCAAAGCAGTGAACCTTTCCCTGGTTGGGTCAGAGAGATAAGACAGAAAGAGAAAGAAGAAAAATGTGAAGCATGACATGGACTCCATCCGCTGTTGCTGGCTTTGAAGGCAGAAGAAAGGGGCCATGAGCCAAGGAATGCGGTGGCCTTTAAAAGCTGGGAAAGGCCTTTACCTTAGGGCCAGCAGGAAAATGGTTACCTCCACTATTCAACCATAAGGACCTTAATTTTGTCAGCAACATAAATAAGCAAGAAATGGATTCACCTCTAGAGCCTCCAGAAAGGAATGCAGCCTGCTGACAGCTTGATATTAGTCTGGTGAGACCTTTATTGTACTTGAGAAATGGAAGATAATAAGTTTATGTTGTTTTAAGTCACTAAGTTTGTGTTAATTTGTTATGGCAACAACAGAAAATGGATACAGGTGTGTTAACGTCTCCATACCGTTCCAAGCAAGTCAAGACAAGGAGGTAGTGGGATTGGACCTTATTAGATATAACCTCAGAGTGGAAAGAGGCCAAGGTGGCTTGGCGTCTGTACTACTGACTCAATGAGTAGCCTCCTATCACAGCTGCAGCATGAGGAAGGCTTTCACTTCTTGTCAGGTCGCAATGAAACCACATCTCCTATTCCAGTATTATTAGTCTTACGCCCCATCAGTGTTCCCCTCCAGATGCAAGAAGTGTGAGTTCTCCCAAGAGGATACAGTGTATTGTTAACAGATTTAGCAAATATATTAAGACAGTAGACTTGATCTTGAAAATGAGGGGTAACATTCAACTGTAAGTAAAGTGGCCAGGTAAGGGAGTTTTATGTTTTGCATCTCTTTTTTTTTGTTGAGAGAGTCTTGCTCTGTCATCCAGGCTGGAGTGCAGTGGTACCATCTCAGCTCAGTGCAACCTCTGTCTCTCAGGCTCAAGCAATTCCCATGCCTCAGCTT
This sequence comes from Homo sapiens, assembly GCF_000001405.40. Classification (NCBI taxonomy): domain Eukaryota; kingdom Metazoa; phylum Chordata; class Mammalia; order Primates; family Hominidae; genus Homo; species Homo sapiens. The sequence goes on along the minus strand of NC_000012.12, from coordinate 62,062,069 downwards.
CTGGAGTAGTTGGTTCTACAGGCGTGCACCATTGCACCTGGCTAATTTTTGTATTTTTAGTAGACATGGGGTTTTGCCATGTTGGCCAGGCTGGCATCTCTTTTTTTTCCCCGAGCCTCCCCTGGGCCTCTTGGTGCTGCGTCTTCTCCGCTCTTACAATAAATAGCTCAGTACTCTCATGCTTACTAGAATGTAGGTTCCCAGTAGGCAAGGATTTTTGTCACCTTTATCCACTAATATGTCTTCAAAAGTAAAAAAATAGTCTGATCTGATACATTGTAGATGTTCAATAAATATTCAATGAATGAATAAATGATGTTTTCTTAGTTTTCCTTAGGCATAGTATAGTTTAACTTATTCATGTGGTGCCTCTACTTTCCAAAATTAATTCTTGCACCTCATAAAATGAGTAACCTCCTAGTGACAATCTCATTAAATTATATTAGGAGATTATACTAAAAATGTAGCATATTTTTCTTTTTCTCATCTTGTGACTCCTCTTTCATTACCCGATGGTAGCATATACAGTCTTATATCTCTTAACGATGGAGATATGTTCTGAAAAAATGCGCTGTTAGGCGATTTTGTCATGTGACATCACAGAGTGTAATTTCACAAACTTCGATAGTAAAGCCGACTACACACCGAGGCTATATGGTATAGTCTGTTGCTCCTAGGCTACACACATGTACATCATGTTACTGTACTGAATGCTGTGGGCAATTGTAACATAATGGTAAGTACAAGTGAATTTAAAATATTAAAATATGGAAAAGGTAGAGTTAAAATACTGTAGAAAAGACAAAACATGGCCCACCTGTACAGAGCACTTCACCATGAATGGAGATTGCAGGATTGGAAGTTGCTCTGGGTGAGTCAGTTAGTGAGTAATGAGAGAAGGTGAAGATTTAGGACATTATTATATGGCACTGTAGATTTTATAAATGCTGTACATTTAGGCTACACTAAATTTATTAAAAATATTCTTTCTCCAATAATAAATTAACCCTAGCTTACTAAAACTTTTTTACTTTATAGGCTTTTTTTTTTTCTTTTAAACTTTTGACTCTGGTAATAACACTTTACTTAAAATGCATTTTACAGCTGTACAAAAATATTTTCTTTCCCTTTAAACTTTTTTAATTTTTAATTTTTATGCATACATAGTAGATATTTATGGGGTACATGGGATGTTCTTAATTCTTATTCTATAAGCTTTTTTCTATTTTTAAAATTTTAAATACATTTTTTACTTTTAAAGTTTTTGTTAAAAACTATGACACAAACATACACATTAGGCCTAGGCCTAGACGGGGTCAGGATCATCAGTATCACTGTCTGCAGCCTCCATATCTTGTCCCACTGGAAGGTCTTCAGGGGCAGTAACCCGCATGAAGCTACCATCTCCTGTAATATCAATGTCTTCTTCTGGAATACCTCCTGAAGGACCTCCCTGAGGCTGTTTTACAGTTAAATTTTTTTAAGCAGAAGGAGTACACACTAAAACAATGATAAATATGGTATAGTAGATACATAAACCAATAACATTGTCATTTATTGTTATTATTAAGTATTATGTATTGTACATTATTGTATGTGCTACGCTTTTATAAGACTGGCAACACAGTAAGTTTGTTTACACCAGCATCACTACAAACAGCATCATTACAAACTGAGTAATGCATTGATCTAGGACATTATAACAGTTATCACAAGGTGAAAAAATTTTCAGCTCCATTATGATCTTATAGGACCTCCATTGTTTATGTGGCCCATTGTTGACCAAAATGTCATTATGTGATGCATGATTGTATTTATTATTTGCAACATTCCTAGATCTGTCTGCCTGTAGAAGCTTGTATTTCTTGGCTGCTGAGGGCAGAGGACAGGAGACAAAGTCTAAAGCCCACCCAAAGTGGGTCATTTTAGAGACTAAAAGCCTGTATCCTCAGTGAAGGAGTAAAATGGTAAAAATCCATTGTGCAAGAAAGCAAGGCAAGACTCCTGACCCCCAGAAACTGTGAAACAATAAATGTGTGTAATTTTAAGTTACTAAGTTTGTGGTAATATTGTTCTGAAACAATGATAACTGATAGCTAATACAGATCCTCAAAAACTTGAGATACAGGAATTATCAGACATAAAATTATAAAAATATTTTAATATAGTAGGAAGAAATAAAAGTTCAAATTAAAATATAAATGAGGAACAAGTGACCTTGAAACTGAGTATACAGAATTGAAAAATGAATAGAACATCTAAATGAAAAATAAAAATTGGTATTAAAAACTTAACGAACAGCCTAAACAATAGACATAGCTGAAAGTGGAATTTGTGGCCTACAAGAAGCACTGAAAATTATTCAAGATAAACTTATCATGACTCCTGCTGTTGACTCTGCCTGGAATACTTTTCTTCAGGTGGCCACATGGCTTGCTCCTTCATTTCTTTCAGATTTCTGCTCAAATAATACCTTATTCTGGAGCCCTTTCCTGACCATGTATTATAAAACAGCAACCCCCCGCCCCGCCCCACTGCTAAACTTCTGCTATCTCTTACCACACTTTACTTTTCTTCACAGTAGTTGTTACCTGGTGACATTCTATTTATTAACATAGTTGTTGCTTGTCTCCCCAATCCTACTCAATAGACTGTTCTTCATGCTTAGTGCAGCAGCCCCAGGGCCTAAAATAATGCTCGTTCCATAGCAGCAGTTCAATAATTACTTTCATCTTTTTATTTTTATTTTTTTAGAGACTGGGTATCCTTCTGTCGCCCAGGATGGAATGCAGTGGTGCAATCATAGATCACCGGAGCCTCAAGCTCCTGGGCTCAAGGGATCTTTCCGCTTCAGCCCTCTGATAGCTGGGACTACAGGCTCATGCCAGAACACTCAGATACACACACACACACACACACACACACACACATATACACACATATATATATATTATTATTATTTTTTTTGAGACGGAGTCTTGGTCTGTCACCCAGGCTGGAGTGCAGTGCCGTGATCTCGGCTCACTGCAAGCTCCGCCTCCCGGGTTCCCGCCATTCTCCTGCCTCAGCCTCCGGAGTAGCTGAGACTACAGGCGCCCGCCACCACGCCAGGCTAATTTTTTGTATTTTTAGTAGAGACGGGGTTTCACCGTGTTAGCCAGGATAGTCTCGATCGCCTGGCCTCGTGATCCGCCCTCCTTGGCCTCCCAAAGTGCTGGGATTACAGGCGTGAGCCATTGCACCCGCACTCAGATATATTTTTTAAAATTTCTTTAGAGATGGGGTCTCACTGTGTTGCTTAGGCTGGTCTCAAACTCTTGGACTCAAGTGATCCTGTCACCTTGGCTTCCCAAAATGACGAGAATACAAGCGTGAGTTACCATGCCCAGTTGAACAATTACTTCTTGAATGAAAGAATGCATGAAAGGGACACAGAAAAAAAAGGGGGGAGGTGAGAAAACATGAAAAGGAGGGCAGGATATGAAACACAGCGCTGTCAGACATACTATAGCTGTACTTATTTACTGACTGCCTTGCCTCATTCAAATGTGAGACCTCTGAGGGAAGGACTCAGACGGAATTATTCACTGCTGTATCTCCAGTGTCTGTAAATCAGTGCCCAGCACATAGTGAGCACTCTATAAATATGGCTAAATAAAACAATACGTGAAAAGTCTAATATCTATCTAATTAGAATTGTGGGAGGAGAGAGAGAATGAGGGAGAAGCAAATTTTGAAGAGTGGGAATTTCCAAAATTGATGAAAGATTCTACTCCTTAGGTTAGGAAAACCCAAGGAATCCCAAGTGAACAAACGGAAATCTCACTAAAGGCCCATCATCATGGGAGTGAGATGATCTTATAATCAGCTCCACAGTAAAGACAGATTCCTTACAAAGGAATGACAGGCATAGTTGACTTCTCAATAGCAAGAATGGAAACCAGGAGACAGTGGAATAATATCTTAAATTATTAAAAGAAAACAATGTCTAGCTTCAATTTTATATTCAACAAATCAGTTTTATTTATTTGTTTTTATTTATTTTTAGAATGAGAGCAAAATGAAAGTATTTTCAGACAAAGAGAGAGCTTGCCATTGGGTGATCCTTCATTAAAGGAAATTATAAATAATGAATTCAGAAGTGATTCCTTAAGTGAGATCTGAATGCAAGAGGGAATGGTGAGCGAAGAAAATCAGAAACCTGTGGTTACAGCTGAACTGATACCCACCACATGAATCAATAAAAACAATGTCTAATTAGTGTGGTTAAAATGATAGAACTTAAATATATGGCAATTGCAAATAATTGAGTGTGAAGTATTAAGGATTTAAAGTGGCCTAAATTCCTATCTTTTTTGAAAGAAAGGTAATGATACTGATTAATTTTAGACTTTACCTTCTTAAGTATGCATAGTAAAATTTCACAGAAAAGGAACTCAAGGAAAAGAGACAAGAGTACATAATTTCCAAACTGAGTAAAGTAAAACAAATTGAATGACAAAGTAATTTAATAATTTAAAATAAAGCAAAAAATAAGAAAAACCAACAGTATAGAAAATGAGAGAAAAATAGCAAGCACAACATAATACAGTAGGAATAAACCCTCATATAATCATAATTAGAAAGAAAACACAGTTTTAGGAGATGGATCACCAAAATCAAAATTTGGTTTCTTGAGAAGACTAACATAACATCTTGTGAGATGGATCAGAAGAAGAAGAGAAAAAAGCAATCAAGAAAAAATACTAAGAATTAAAAGAAGGGACAAAACTGAGATATTAACAAGATCAGAAACATTCTGTGAATAATTTAATGGTAATAAGTTTGAGAACTTAAACAAAAGGGGGAAAATTTTGAAAATCACCTCCTACCAAAATTCAAGAAGAAATAGAAAACTTGAAACATTTTATGAGCATTGAAGACATTAAATCAGTAAAAATCTTCCCACAAGTTAAACACTAGCCTCAGATGGTATTATGGGTAAGTTCATCCCAACCTTCAAAAACAAATAATTTCAGTATTCCACCAAAAAGGTTTCCAGGGAATAGCAATGGAGGTACGTACACTCTTGACACCAAACTTAGAAAAGGACAGCATGAGAGACTAAAAACTACAGGCCTTTCTCTCTCAAGAGCATAGATAGAAAAACTTTAAACAAAATGCTAGCTAACTTTATCCTAACGACAGATTAGAAGCGCCTTCGGGCCCCCATCTTTTTTTGTTGTTGTGGTTATTGTTACGCTTGATGTAGGCAGCACCCATTTCTCCTCCTAGTGAATGCAGTAGTTGGTGTGTCCAAAATGGTTTTTGATTTTCATTTTCATGGTCAAAACATAGGTGATGTCCCTGTTTTTGGGATATCTTTGAGGAAGGACTTGCTTATTCCTAGGTGTTAAGATTGAGTCAGAGCAGACCCAAGTGTCCAGTGGTTGCCTTAGCTCAGCCTTAGAAAGTTGCAAAATGCAGAGATGGGACACCAGAAGAGTGGGCATGTTGTGTGGGAAGTGGGGTTGGTGGGGGAGCCCATGGACTTCAGGCCTCCAGGTCACTGCAAGTTCTAGAACAATTTCTTCCACCAATACACTATCACTGACTGGTTATGCCATGTACAAACACTACTACTAATTTAAATTTAATTATTATTATATGCCACACTGGTGGTTGTAAACATCAGTTGAACTTTTCAATGTCTAAATATTGTGGTTAGTTGTTTTTATGTAATCGTATTCTATTCATACTTTCAAAAATTAGAGGAAATATTGGTTACTGTAATAGCATTTTGCTAAATTGAAGAAGGGAGTGTTTTAAATATCTGGCGATGTAGCAAGCTATTGTGTGGGTTGCCTTGTCCTACTCAACTTCAAATATTCACCACCCCCCTCATAATAAAAGCATTATAGGAGATAGAGAAATAAAAAAAGAAAAGTATAATTTCCATTTTTCAAAAACCTAAGTCATAATATCAGGAATGAATTCGGCCTTTAATGCAGAAAACAATTTTTCTATATTTGTTAGAACTTTAGATATTGTGGGCATATACTGAAATCCTGATTTTGAGTGGGAAGTGAACTACATAGAAGCAAGAGTTAAGAATTTTGCATTTTAGTTTTATACTTACATTTATGTATGATAGCTCTCTATTGACTTTCAAAGGTTTTTGACAGTAACCTATAATAAGAAATGGATTTTAATTGTAATCCAACATACACACACACTCATGTAACTAAAAATATACTTTATGAAAAGATACTTTTATTATAGATATGATGTGTTCTAGTATCTCTATTCTTTTGTATTTTTTTCTAGTCTATCATTTTACTAAAAAATTGCAAGTTGTGAGCCACTGCTTTGATTCTGGGGATTTATAAAAAGGTTATAACCTGAACTTTGAAAAAGGCGATCTAAAATATAACCAGATAGCTAATATCTTTTTAGATGACTGTTGATTTTTATTATTAGAAATTATTTAGGTATAGTTATCTAAAATCATTACTGTTTTTTTCAATCTTTCTAGTTTGTCATTGAAATGGTGGCACAATAGTAATTGTGACCTGCATAACACATAATCATCTTTGATAAGTTTAATTCTGCTGCTGAAGATCAAAATTAATACCAGTGGAGACAATGTAGAAATATTTATACTTATCATTGTAATAAGTTGACTAAATGGTATGAGAAAATATCACATGGAGAGACTCTTTTCTATTTCAGGGGTTTATTTTTTTAGTATTCTGAAGTATATGGGCTAAATATTGACTGCTATAGTTATCTTAGTCTGTTTGGGATTTTGTAACAAAATACAAATGACCGTGTTGTTTATAAAGGACAGAAATTTATTTCTCACAGTTCTGAAGGCTGAGAAGTCCAAGATCAAGGTGCTGGCAGATTCAGTATATGGTGGGGGACTGCTTCCTGGAGTCCTCACATGGTGGAAGTGGGGAGGGAGCTCTCTGGGACCTCTTTTATAAGGGCATTGATCCCATCTATGAGGACTCCACTCTCATGACTTAATCAGCCTCAAAGGCCTCACCTCCTAATACTATCACATTGACCATTAGAATTTAACACATGAATTTTTGGAGGGATACAAACATTGTCTATAGCAATAGTGATCTAGAAAAACCTACTATATGTATGAGACTAATTTCTGTTCTTTAATCTTATTTAGAAGATAAAAAAATACTGTTTTAAAAATAAGATTCTGTGATGAAATCATGTTTGCATACTTGAAATTGTGACACTGTTTTATAATTCTGTATTCCTGAAATCACCAATAAATGCAAGTCCAGAAAACAATGCATTTTAAAATGCCATGAAATGTACCCAAGCGTTATATATTTAGAACACAGCTTTATAGAAGAGCATATTGTTTTATGTAAAGTAGCAGCTTTAACATTTCAAGTATCTGGAAGAGCTTTATGGAACAAAGCATTAAGTATGAACTGATCCATTTTTATTCAAAGTTTATGAGGTTCTAAAAGTACCATTATATTGCTTTTGCTTTAAAATGTAATTCACATTAAAATATACCTTCCCTTTCTGTTTAAAAATAAGTTACAGTTCACTAAAGCTTAAAGTATCTTGTACTTTTTATCCATTTTCTTCAGGCCGAAGATATTGAGGTGAACTCTGAGATTGTGTATGATCTCAGACTTAGATTCGAGTGTCCTGGAACTTTAATTTTGAAATGTTTCTTTGTTGGCAATACAATGGGTAAGTCTTTACATTGAATCTAGGACATTAATGGTGAAAAGGGCTGAAAAGACTAACTAAAAACTTTTCAGCATCACGTCCATATTTGAATTTGTACACACATAGACAGGCTTTCTGTATTTAAGTTACAGTTGCTAACCATAGAATCTGTTACTGTATGTAATTTTTTTGATTTCTGATCTGCTTAATGCTGCTGACACAAAACATTGCTTTAGTATCCTGCCTGCAACAGCATCCACTGTTAGTCACTGGAAGTACACAGCTGTATCATGTATGCTGAGTTGAGCTCTAGTGTGTTTCTCCTGTCTGAACTACTTGACCCCAATTCTCCTTTTTATGTAGCTATAGCCTGTAGTCTCTGTTATTTATGAGATCAAATTGTACTAAATAATAAAATCACATTCAACCAAGAAAAATGAACATATTACTAATGGCTGACATTTATTCAACATTTTCTATGTATTAAGCTCTGTTTGTAGTGGATTATAAATATTATCTCATGTAAGTGGCACATCAAGCCTGTGAGATAGGTTCTAATACTATTTCCAGTTTATGAAACTCAGAGCCAGGTTAAATAACTTGCCCAGTCATTCAGCTGCTAAGCAGTAGAACCAGGTTTCAAATTAGGGAATTTCATTCCACTATGTCATGCAGCTCCTCAACTTGTAAAGGAGCGAAAAGGGGTAGAGAGTCCTCTTCAACATTTTTCTAATGAATTGGGTTATTAAAACACATTTTGTTGGCAGTCTAGAAGCTTTGTGTTATTTTTGGCTAAAATAAGTTTTTAGTAAACAATACGTATTTCAAACAGAATTACATTAAATAGCTTAAGTTACAAAATTTTCAATTTGTTAATGGTTGGTGTTATTTCAAAGTTAAAGCAGCATTTATTATATTCATATAACAATTTTACATACTCTCTATGTTAGTTTTTGTATTTAGGGTCTTTTCTTTTTTTATATGCATAAAGGTGCTCTTTCAAAGTCTCAATGAAAGGAAATAAGACTATTTTTAAAAACATACCAGAATATTAAATATATGTATTTAGAGCAGCATCTTATGCTAACAAAACAAGTAAAAATATACTACTGAGAAAATATTACTCTGGGTTGTAGCAATATACATGAAACTTGGAGAAAGGAAAATTATTACTTGGAGAAAATGTACTGATTGCTTTTTTATATACTTTCACAATTTTGATTTGGATGACAATGAATTAAATTAACTCTCATTTTGGAAGTCTTTATGGTACCATCAAAAATTGGTTTGCTGGTCCCAGGAAATTAAATTTTGAATCTTTGCAATATTTTGGCTGAAGCTCCATTCAGAAATTTCTGTGCAATAAAAACGACAACGACCCACTAACCTTTTCACCTTTTCTTCCCATCACCTTTTAGCCAGTGCTAGTTTAATTTAATTTATGAAAAGGTCAGAATGAACTGACTTCTCAGTAAAGATTCAAATAAATAACTAAATAACTTTTAAAGAAATGATCTTACTGATTTTAAACTTGCACTCTTTATTTAGCAAACAATAAATATCGGTGCTTGGATACAGTCTTCGTTTGTGGCTAATATCTCCACAAATCTAAGAATCTCTTAGATTCTACTTTTGCATTTATGCTGCGGCTCAGACCCTGAAGTTCTAGAATAATTAGAATTTAGGTAGAGCAGCTTTCATCATTCTAATGGAATCAATGGTGTCAATTGCGTATACTGGGGACTTACCTGCTTCTTATTGATTGCCAGGTGCTAGGAAAACAGAGTGAAGGTGAGCAAGCAGAGGATTGTTTCAAAATAAAATATTAATATATAAAAGTGTCTAATTACTAATTGCTTAGAGCACAAAGAGAAGAGGGTTGGCTGAGTGCAATGCAGTGGCTCACACTTGTATTTCCAGCACTTTGGGAGGCCAAGGCGGGCAGATCACCTGAGGCCAGGAGTTCAAGACCAGCCTGGGGAACATAGTGAGACTCCATCTGTACAACAACAAAAAAATTAGATGGGCATGGTGGCGTGCACCTGTAGTCCAGCTACTTGAGAGGCTAAGGCTGGAGGATCACTTGAGCCTGGGATTGAGACTGCAGTGAGTTGTGATCATGCCACTGCCTTCCAGTCCCTGGGAAACAGACTCTCTCTCTCACACACACATGCACACACGCACGCATGCACACATGCACACACACAAAAGAAGGAGAAGGTAAAATGAGAAGAGACATTGGTAAATGTCAGAGGCACCCATGAAAATGTTTGAGTCATCTCAATTTTTATAATTGAAATTGGAGTTGGAGTGGAAAACTATGGCTATGGGCCACTTATGGCCTACTGCCTGCCTTTTGCAATTAAAGTTTTATGGAAATATAACATGTTTATTAGTTTATGTATTGTCTATTAGTGCTTTCATACTACAAAGGCAGACTTAGTAGTTGCAACAGAGACCATATGGACTACAAAGTGTAAAATATTTACTATCTGGCCCATTTTAGAAAACATTTGCTGACTCCTGGTGTAAATTATCTATAAAACTTATTTGCAAGTTTCTTTAAGTTCAATGTACAATTTTCCTTACATGGATACTTCAATTTAATGTAATCCATTTACTTAGTGCCCCCAGTGAATCAGGCACTATGCACACCTGTCACCTCTCTCCTCATGGACAGGTGACAGGTATGCATAGTTCCTGTCGCCTCTCTCCTCATGGACAGGTGACAGGTGTGCCTAGTGCCTGGCTCACTGTGGGCACTAAGTAAACGAATTACATTGAATTGAAGTGTTTGTGTAATGAAAAATTGTACATTTTTGAATTTCTCCTGGAATCTCAATTCTTGCTGCTCCTATTCTTACTGGAAGCTTACTTAAAATGGGGTAGAAAAGCAGTTGCTTAAATGTCTGTTTTCCATACCTGACCTTGTATCCTCTCATAAGGAGGAAGTGTGTTTGATTCATTTTTCTATTGTCAGTACCTACCATAGAGCATGATCTATAGACTTGTGAAGTGAGGTTATTAGCTATAAAATTGGCATTCTTTATGAAAAACATGGGAATTTGTTTCTGGATCTGAATGAAGTCCTTTTGCATGAAGCAGGCAGGAGGAGGAGGAGTAAGGACCAATCTGTATGCCTCACTGGGTTGAAGATAGTCAAAGATTGCTGAATGGATGAATGGGAGAGTGGTAATTAGACTCCTAGCTGTCAGGAAGCACAGAGCTAAAATATTACAGCAACACCAAAAGCTGATCTAGCAAAAAAGAATTTTTTTCCTCTGGTATAATTTAGCAACACTAAGGATGCTGTTAAGGTCTGTTACCTTGGAGAGAGTAAACTTTCAGAGTGGGAAATGTTGGCATTTTGGAAATCCTGGAGAACTCTTCGAGACTGAGCGATGGGAAGGGATTCAATTCTGCTTTTTAAAGCACTGATGAAAAGGATGCTTAGAGTAGTAATGTGATGGTAAAAGGTTTGATAACCAGCACTCTAGAAGGATATAAAACTGTAATTTATAGTGTTTGCCAGTTCCTATGGTGTAAATACTCCTACCATGGCTGATTCAAGCTACTGATGTGACATCACTGTACACAGAGCTGGAAAAGAATGCTCAGATTTGGCTCTTATTAGCACATGGCTAATTGAAAATCACTTCAGTTTTTGGTTGCAGGAGTTTACTGCCAGGTTAGTAGGGATAATGTGGAGGAGTTTCATGTTTTTAACTAATAAGTATAGATATGACCATTTGTTATACAAGGGAATATGGAGCTGTGTAAAGTTTGTAACAATTTTTTTTTTTTTTGAGACAGAGTCTCACTCTGTCGCCCAGGCTGGAGTGCAGTGGCACTATCTCGGCTCACTGCAAGCTCTGCCTCCCGGGTTCACGCCAGTCTCCTGCCTCAGCCTCCCAAGTAGCTGTGACTATAGGTGCCTGCCACCACGCCCGGCTAATTTTTTTGTATTTTTTAGTAGAGACGGGGTTTCACCGTGTTAGCCAGGATGGTCTTGATCTCCTGATGTCGTGATCTACCCACCTCGGCCTCCCAAAGTGCTGGGATTACAGGCGTGAGCCACCGAGCCCAGCTGTGATAAAATTTTAATTCCTTTTTATTGTTTGACATCTTGGTGAGAGAGGCAATTATAATTTTTAGAATCTGTGTCCCCTGGAAGGTCGGAGGGCATGGTCTCAGGCATTTACTTTGCCCATCAGTAGTAGTAACAATAGAAGCATCTCAAAATTCTCTTTTCAAAAGAGTAGGCTATCTTGCAGGTACAGGGGATAGATAACTTCAGGAATGTTACTCTACACCCAAATAAGCCAGCACAGGGCAATTGCTCTAGTCAGCATTAGTCTGGATTTACGCTTGTGAATCTGTACATTTTCATGTTTAGCTGAGTTATCATATTGGATATTCATGTGGCAATTTGCAAATTTTTCGAAGCCACTTTCTTTTATAGACAATTGGTAGCAACACTTTCCTGTGGTATCACGTCAATTCTGCTGATGTGCTCAGTTCAGAGAGTTGATCTTTGTTCTGCAATTTCTTGGCAAGATTCCTACATATTCTCTTGTTTCTAATATGTCTCTTAATGAACTTAATAATATACATACACAATATAATACATTATATATAAGGTGACTTCATACTGAAAACTCGGTTTTTGTAGCCTTCTGTTTTTCCTGTATATGTTGACTTTCTAGCAAGATTATGACATTTAAGATAATTTAAAACATCCCTTTATTGTCAATCTTTATGAAAAAAGGGTTTTTCATATTCTCCTGCTTCATACTGAACTCAGTGCAGTTTGGCTTCTTTGCTCATTATTCAACTGAAAATGTTTTAGTTGCTCTCCCCACTATGTGCTTGTTCCCTTTACAACCTCATCCAAACTCATGGATTCAGCTGCTTTCTTCCTGTTCCCAATAACACTGGTTGGGTGCAGGTGCTAGGTACTTCTTGCCTGAGTAATTCCAATTGTCTGCTAATGTTTCTTTGTGAGTGTAGGTGTCTCCCTTCCAAGTCACAGTGCTGCCAGAATGCATCATCTCACATGAAAATAGGATGTCTTGCTGTCCTGGTAGGATCATGATTTGGTGACTCTTTGAGAAAATTCTCTTTATTTCTTTATTCAATGTTCATTTAGAGGAGTGCCATGGAGGGTGGAGAAGGGGTTCTGGGGCAGCTTGCCAGGATGTATGGCTCATTCAGTAAATCCATACCCACCTCCCTAGAAGACATATTACCTTTGTGACTTTGACATATCCACTGGAGGTTGTACTCCACCTAATGAGACTTATCAAAGTATTCTTTCATATATCTCCTCCTTAAGAGGACATTGTTTAATATAATTTTCTCCATCTTATTATATTTCAACTGATAGCTTAGCAACATGAACAGCTGCATGGGTAGTCTGCCTCTTAGTGTGGCTCTGTCTACAGATATTTTGTCTAAATTGTTTAATCTTTGGATGACATATTCCTCTCCTTTGGTCTATCTATGTCCTATATATGCAGTACTCAGCTGAAATACACACTGCTGGTCGTGCTGTCATTTGCTATGCAGTAACTAAATTGTGATAGCAAAGTGTAGGCCTTGGGTTATGCAGAATCATTTATTTCTCCATTTTATTAATCTATTAACAATTTTCACATTAAGCTTACTTATCATAAGGCTTATTTGTAATAATAAAATGACACTAGTGGGGGCAAAGTAATAATGAATTTGATATAACAACATTATGATCAAAGGTTGAACAGTAAATAGAGTAAATGGTGACAAATGAAGATTTGAAAATTGGGGAAATATAATCAGGAAAAAAATGAGCTGCTAAGTGAGGATTTTAATTTCCAGTATTCCATGAGTATTGATATGGTTAGGCTTTGTGTGCCCACCCAAATCTCATCTTGAATTAAAATCCCCAGAATCCTGATAATCCCCACATGTCAAAGGAGAGACCAGGTGGAGGTAATTGAATCATGGGGGCAGTTTTCTCCATGCTGTTCTAGTGATAGTGAGTTCTCACGAGATCTGATAGTTTTATAAGAGGCTCTTCCCACTTTGCTTGGTACGTCTCCTCCCTGCTTCCTTGGCAAGAAGGTGCCTTACTTCCTCTTCACCTTCTGCCATGATTGTAAGTTTCCTGAGACCTCCCCAGCCATGCTGAACTGTAAGTCAATTAAACCTCTTTCCTTTATAAATCACTCAGTCTCGGGCAGTTCTTTATAGCAGTGTGAAAACAGACTAATACAAATATTGTCTTGTGTTGCTGTTATCAAAACTATTCAACTCAGATATTTGAAAGATTAATTCCGAATTAGAAGCAATCTCTAATCATCTTAGGGTGATCACAAAAAATTATTTGAAAAGATTTGCTTCAAAGATCACTTTATCGTAACACATTTTTTCCTTTAAAGCAGGAATTTATGTGGTTATGTTTTTTTGTTTTTCTTGTGATATTTTGAAGACCTACACATCTAGAACTTGTGAAGAGGTTCTATTTAGGAACTTTCAGCATGCATATTCTCCTTTTTAACCTCCATTTAGATGCATTCTGGCATTTGGAATCTGGAACTATAATCTTGAAGGCAGGTAGACTGAGGTAGGCACAAAAGGTTATTCTTAATATTTAAAAAAACTTTCTTAGGTAGTAAAATGACAATTCTTTTATATCTTTGGCTATGTATACCTCAAGGAAAGAAAATGATTTATTAATTACATGGTTAGGTTTTGGTTTAATAGGTATTTAAAAAAATGCAAACTAACACTTTGGATAAATAAGTTTGAAAAGCTACATTGGAAATTAAATTAGTAAACCTTAACAGTACTCTGTGATCAAATAAACCTGGCATCTAACCAAATTTAGTCTTCATTATTTCTGAAGTTGTTTCCTCTGTTCAGCTAAATATTAGCAGAAGTAATAAATTTATATTATATAGAGCTTTATCATTTGTAAAACAATATTACCTACACCATCTAATTGAATCATTATGATGATCCTGGGACATAAGTTGTGCTCTTATATTAAGAGAAAATTGAGGTTTATAGAGGTTGTCACTTGCCAAATATCATACAGTTTATCAGTGAGGGCCTAAACTCCAGGCTTTCTGCGACCTAGCCTTCCTTTGTTTGCTCTTCTTTCTTCTCTTTCTACCTTATTTCTGTCTCATAGATCTTGCTACCAGTTAGGTGCTGAATAGACATCAAAATCTCTTGATAAGAGAATGTTTATTACTTATTATTAAATCAGTACACTTGTTGATGCTTCAGTTCCTGACCTAATTATTATTATTACTATTTTACTTTCCTTGTTTTAAGATGATATTCATTTTCTGATGCACATTTTCTATGGGTGTTAACCTAATGAATAAAAAATAAACTTATACTTTAATCTGTTCACCAACCCCCATGACATAAGTTTACCTATGTAACAACCTGCACATGTACCCTCCAACCTAAAATAAAAGATAAAAAATAATAATAAAAAATAAAGGTATACTTTAAAATTTTGCAAATAATGTTTTAAAAGGTTTTACAAATAATATGTTGAAATAATAACATCCCCTAATGAACAGAGAAGTAATCTGTCAAATAACCATTAGACTAAGACAAATCCTTCCATCACATAGTGTTAGTTATTCATCTATGGACGCTGAACAATGTGTTTGCTGATTTAGTAAGGCATAGGGAGTTAGAAAGAAGTAGGCCAAATAACTATTATAGCAACAATATTTACTGAAATCTGTAGAGTATTTTATATTGGTATAAATATTTTTTACTTAAGTATGGTTTTATATTAGATTTATTCTGTGTAGACAGCCAAAATCAGGGCATTTAAAGCTTCATTTAAAAATATTTTTATCAGTGACATAATAATACACCAAAATCCAGAAGAAATATGTTTAAATGTTAACATCGTTTTTTTTTTCTTTAGCACTTGCAGTGATTTATAACTCTTACTAAATTAGGTACTGCATATCTTTTTGTATAGTCGGTTGAGATAGAAGATTGCAGAAGTTTTAGCTTTTATGGTATCTTTTTTTCCTTTAATCTTTGTTTCTGATCAGTGAGCCAAGAGCTTCCTAATTGGATGGCAATAAATCAGTGCAAGAACTGACTTATCTTGACTCATTTTTCTAGCTCTGATACACACCAAACACGGGAGCAGGTTGAATTTTGGGGTCAAATAATATCAGAAACACACTTTAATCTTTTGGATCCAGTCCTAATTTTTAAAGAGCAAATTATAGCATATTGCTTTCTGAATCCATCATTATGGCCATGGGCTACTTTGACCTTTGTATCCCTATCTATCTGGGGCCTCTTATTTCTCTAGCTAGTTTTCCTCCTTTCCGATTTCACCATTCATCTTATTTTCCCTCAGAATTTCTTTTGGATCACAGTTCTCATTCTTAAGTTCTCCGTTAGCTCTCAGATCTCTTGCTCTGGTCTTCCTTACAGCAGGCAGTTTGTATTCTTTCCTGTCTTTTGTTGACACTCTGTATACAATACTGGTTAGGGTAGCCTCCTTGCTGTTGGTTATGTATGTGTTGTGAATGATAAAGTTTCCCTCATACTGTTCTGGGTAGCCATTGTAATTTGATTGATTTTGGTAAGGAGAGAGGAAAAAGAAAAAAACATTAGATTCTCTACATATAGTGTTTCTCAATTTTTAAAAACAGGAACATCTAAAATAGCTTCAGGTTAGAATCTGACACTTTAGCATTAGGCTACTGCTTTTTAATAGAAGACATAGCAAAAGTTTGTAGAGCATAATTTTGAAAGCATAACATCTTTAATCATAAATATTTTGGTTGTTTGTGAATATTTTATTTTTGGCTTCAAATTTCAGAATCCACAGCACTTTGCTTTGACAGAAAGCAGCTTTGTTTTACTGGTAACATCTCCCCCAGGGAGGTCACTACGTGCATCGTGTGATGAAATCTGGATTTTTGTCTTATAAGTTATTCCCAGGAGAGCATGAAACTTAAAAAAAATTTCTTGGTCAGGTTCCAGCCAAAAGCATATAGTATTTAATGAATAACTAATACAGATAATTAACAGATTAAGAGAATGTGTGAGCCCAAGCATGAACAGAGAAGTTGGGAGGGAAGGTATCAGCATAAAAAAAGTTGGAAATGAACAGGGCAACTGGAGCATGAATGAAATCAATTTAATTGTATGGATTTATATTTCTTTGGAAGTACATTCTTATTTATTTTTCTGTACGACCTAGGCTGTGTCTACATTAAGTAAAGAGTATCTGTGCCTCAGATGTCTGCCAGATAAGCTAGTTAGGTTTCTCCATAAAGAAAGCTATTGCTATATCTAACGGATGATTCAGTCTGTTCTTCCCTGCAAAAAGAATGTTGTCTTTGGTATCCAGGGCCTTAAAATGTCAGGCACAGTGATTTTCCAAGGGCCCAAGGAACACAGATGGAGGTGCTTCTCTGCCAAATTTTAGGGGAAGCAGAATTCAGCCTGATCATCCTGGGTCTTATTCTGTTCTCACATGGTTTAGAAGCTTGCAGGAGATTGATCGTTTGCCTTCATTTTTCCATTATATCTGGGAGAGATTTTAAGCTCAGCTGTTCAACCAGCATTTGGATAGCAGTACCTAAAAAGGCAGAAAGATAAAGATGGAGCCTAGTTCTCATGAACTTTTCCAAAACCAGTTGGCCCCCATGTTGTTTGGCACGTGACTGAAGTCTGCCTAGGACTGTTGATTTAACAGCAGGTAGGAAGCAAACAGTGGAGCTGGACAAAAAGAGCAGGAGCCTGAGTTGAAAATCACTTGCCATCTTCATGTTTATTAGTCCTGGTTCTCTTGGTCTGTGCCACGCTGACACCTGCCTGGTGTAAGCCAGAATTCAGGTTATGCGGGCTTTCTTTACTTGTGGGAAATGTCCACACTTGGTCTTGTTTTATCCCCAGAATCTTGCCCTTTGCTCCCTTTTGATAGCCCCTTTCCCAGACTTAGATTCTTAGCATCCTTGTGATCCATTTCCTCTCACCACTTTTTGTAATTATAGACTTTTTGTTACTCTAAGTAGTATAAATATGGTAGAAGTTTCAAATGTTAAAACACTCAGATTATTGCCAATTTTACTAGTATTAAGAACTTGAACTAAAAAGCTTTCGGCAATTCAAACAATAGGAAATACATGAGGAGTAGAGGAGATTTTGGAATCTGAGTTTTCCTGGTATCTTAAAAAAATACTTTTTTTTTTTAACACCCACTGCCCAATAATACCTTAGGAGCATACTGTTAGTGGGTTCTCAAATACCTCTATGTCTGAAAGTATGCATTGCAAAGATGGAAAAAGGTTTGCAGATTGTGTAGAACACTTGCAAGCCTCGAGAGTAATTAATAGTTTTGTGAATTGAAGGGGATTATATTTGCTTTAGAGTGTTAGAACAAGTGCCACTTGTAACTTTTCTGTGCTTTCCCTCGTTTGTTTTATTTTTCCAAAGTAGTTATCATAATTGTTAATACAGCCTTCAATCTAATGCCAGCAAAGCTTTTACAAATCTCCATAAAATGCCCCAGCATGTGGTTTCAATCAATGTGTAGGGATTTATGGATTTGACATAGGATGAAACTATCATGTATTATATGCAAGATATAATTCTTACCTTTGAAGATCTTAGATTCCTTGCAAGATGCTTAATATAAAAACACCAAGTAAAATTTAAAGATATATTTAATTAATACTTGAGATTCAGTTACCATAATAATTCTTTTTTTTAAATTTTATTATTATTACACTTTAAGTTTTAGGGTACATGTGCACAATGTGCAGGTTTGTTACATATGTATACATGTGCCATGTTGGTGTGCTGCACCCATTAACTCGCCATTTAACATTAGGTGTATCTCCTAATGCTATCCCTCCCCCCTACCCCCACCTCACAACAGTCCCCGGAGTGTGATGTTCCCCTTCCTGTGTCCATGTGTTCTCATTGTTCAATTCCCACCTGTAAGTGAGAACATGTGGTGTTTGGTTTTTTGTCCTTGCGATAGTTTGCTGAGAATGATGGTTTCCAGTTTCATCCATGTCCCTACAAAGGACATGAACTCATCATTTTTTATGGCTGCATAGTATTCCATGGTGTATATGTGCCACATTTTCTTAATCTAGTCTATCGTTGTTGGACATTTGGGTTGGTTCCAAGTCTTTGCTAGTGTGAATAGTGCCGCAATAAACTAATTAAATGAAAATATTCTTCTTAAATACAGCAGGATTTAATACATACATTAAAATATTGTGAATTAAAATGACATATTTTACATTTCTGTTTTAGGAATGAAAAATAACTACTTATAAATGTTACTTTTGTCCTTGTTATCTGTGGCTGACATCTCTATCCCCCTTTTATTGAAGATATAATTTTTATTTTATAAAACTATAGTGATCTTTAGAAATTATTAAGTTCTGATGATGAGGACCCTACAGAAGGGGAGGAAAGGCAGGGTGCTGACGGTCTTGCATTGGGGCAGATCCAAGGAATGGTCACCACACAGGTTGTGTTTAAGACTGGGCTGGATGTAGCACAATTAACCTTGCCAGGATAGATTATGCTTACAGGCGACCCCGCTGGAATGAGGCAGGCATTGAGATGATATGTGTGGTTCAATACAGTTGATGATATGGAGGGCACATTATAAAGATGTATAGTAACAGAAAAAATATAGGCTCATCATGGAGTTATAAGTGTTTTGATAGGCAAGGTAAAGTAATATCATGCAAGTACTTAGGATTCTAGGTAGATATGTAGGCTGGTAAAACAAGAGAAACCATTCAACTAATAGTAAGGTTTCAGGTACTAGAACAGAATTCAGGGCAAGGCTCTATTCCAGCAGGGACACTGGCCAGATGAAGGCAAAGTCTCAGTTTTTGAGACATACTTGCATTATGCATGTCACACACACACACACACACGCGCACACACACACACACACACACACACACAGACTTCAATGCAGAATTTAGGACTAAATCTGGTGGTCAGAATTGGGATGCAAGCACCTGAACTGGATTAGCAGCCAAGGAGACTTATGCTGTTTCTGTTTGAACCTAATTGTGGCCTAGAACTGTTAACAGTGTTCCTCCATGAGATCAGGATTGACCTAGACACTGAGCAGAGTTGAGTATTTACGTGCTTTTGCTTGTAGGGATAAGAGAGCTTGGGAATGGGTACGACTCCCCATGAAGGGGTGTCTTCTGCCTTGAGGATTCCCTTCAGATATGAAGGAGTTGCCACAATGGAGGCGGCCTTCTTTGAGACTTTCCATCCTGATCATTATTTGAAATACATTAATATACAGTATTAAGACCACATGGATAAATTAAATGCCTCTCAGAGATCCTTTATAGCTCTGGGATTCTGAAAATAAGCATTTCATAATAAAAAGAATGCTATATCATTTGCTCTTTTGTATTTTTGTATTTTAAGCAATATTGAAATCTTCTTTCAGAATTTACATCTGAATGAAAGTTTGCCTTAAAATGAAGTAGGATAATCTTTGAAAAAAATCTTCTAGGGTTGTGAGAAATCTTTATTAAAGCATAAACCTTTATGTAATCTTAAGCATAGCACAAAAACATGATGTTAATAAAAGCACTTAGATTCTATATTGTAATGTACCTATGGTTTATGTCTTGATGATTTTTTACTCTTTATTGAGGAGAGGAATAACTAAGTATACATGCAATTCAGATAGTTACTTCCAAATTCTGCCTTTAGCTAGATGACCAGTTAAAGTTGTTCACCTGACCAGAAAAGCCATTTTACTAACACATTTGTGGGAAAATATTTTATTTTGTCAGCAGTAAACTCTGATTACCTTTATGTGAATGGTTTCTTCAGCCACCTTATGCACAATGTCCTAGATAAGAGAAATATCTTTTAACTATTTCTGTAAAGTTACAAAGCTTTAGTTTCCGAAATCCACTTTCAGTACCTTCCTCACTTTAATAACTTTTTTCATGGAGTTCACCAGTCCACAGGAGGCCAGTTATAGTGCCATGCAAAGAATATGAGTTTTGGGGGCAATAGATGTGACTTTGAAAATTTTTCTTTTTTTCAAAGCTCTCTGATCTTGGGCAATTGACCTAACATTTCTGTGTTTTCTGACCGATGAAAGGTGGATAAGACACCTCCCTCAGAAGATTGTAGATATTACATAAGAAAACAGTTAAATCAATAACATAATGCCTGCAGGCTTATAATTTCACATAAAGATTAGTTTTTTCTCAGCTTTAGTTTCTGATATGAACAATATAGATACTGCCTACCTCATCAGATTGTTTTGAGAACAAATGATAAAAACGGTCTGAATAATAGGGTCTTGTTAGACATATAAGTGTTTGTTTATTATTAGTCTTTCTTGTTCACGGCTCAAGTGCTCAAAAATATTTTGAGATTTCCTAATCACATGGCCTGTTGAAGTTGTTCTTTTGACCAGAAAGGTCATTTTAGAAAAACAATAATTGTTTAGGAAGTTTCTGTGAAATTTTTACATGTCTCTCTTTATATTCAGTTTGACCTCTTCAGTCCTATGGTATAGCACTCCTCTCCCTTTAAACATGGCCTCTTAGTGTCATTCGTGGGTACTTCGTTTTGTTCCTGTAAATATTCGTGTTAGCTTTCTAGGGCTGCTGTCATGAAGTACCAGAAGTGGGGTGGCTGAAATAACAGAAATGTGTTGTTACACAGTTCTGGAGGCCAGAAGTTCAAAATCAAGGTGTTGCACAGCCATGTTCTCCCCGAAGCCTCTAGAGGAGAGTGCTTCCTTGGCTCTTCTAGCTCTAGCAATACTTGAGGTTCCTTGGCTTCTAGTTGCGTGACTGTCTTCTTCCTGTGTGTCTTCTGTTTGCATGTGTCTGTCTTTATGTCCAAATTTCCTCTTTCTATGAGGAAATAAGTCATATTGGATTAGGGCTCATACTAATAATCTCATTTTACCTTGATCACCTCTGTCCAGATTCTGTTTCCAAATAAGGTCAGATTCTGAGGTATTGGGGTTTAGGAGTTCAATATATTCTTTTTTGGGGGATGGGACACAATTCCACCTATAACAATTGGTATTCCCAAAGGTTCTGACCTCAGCCCCTTTTGGGTCTTGTCTTTCTCCCCAAGTAATCTTATCTAGTTGTTGACTTTAATAACAACTGTAGTGTAATGAAAAGAACATGGTGTTTGGAGTCAGACTGTCTTACATTGGACCCTGGCTATTTCACTTTTTGGTGAGTTTAGCAATGTAGACATCACAGATGTTTATTTATGCAGGTCTCAGAGTGGTATAATACACGTCAAATCCCCCAGTGTGTTCTCCCACAGCATTCTTAATTAAAATGAACATCTAGAAGCAACCCTGAGTAAAAGGAATCAGAAAAATCAACCGGAGGAATGCCACTCAAAGTGTGGTCCACAGATTTTCAGCATCTGCATCACCTAGGAGATTTTTGGATATGCAAATGCTTGGGCCTCACCTCAAGCTACTGAATCAGAATCTCTGGGAGTAGTGCTCATGTGTCTGTTCTCCAGGTGAATCGTATGCATGCTGCAGGTTGAGAAGTACTGAATTTGATCGGGTATCTGCTTTGGTGACAATGGTGGAGCTTGTAAGTTGATTGTGCAAGTGTATATGCATCTCAGGATTGTTCATGCAACAGTTAGAAGAGCCATCTCTCTTCTTTACCTTGAGTTCTTAGTAGTATTCTCAAACATACTTATGACAAAGGCAGCATTGATATTGAGGTGATGTAACATTAATTTCATCCAAGTTACCTTTAAAAGTCCTATTCTAAGCTCCATTTGGCAACTGATCTCTCTCAACATTGCTTAATGCCCTGCTCTCAACCATCAAGTTTCTGCTTTACAATTGCTTGTCCAGAGTGAGTAAGAACCCAGTGAAAAATTTTTTTGAGGAAATATGTTATGCATAGCAGCCTCTTATTATCCTCTCCAATGGGACAAGTACAACATAAATTATAATGATTTATTAGGAATGAAGAACCTATTTTACTGCCCTTACTCAGCGGTTTTCATGGAGTGCTCCAAGAATAGGAAAACATTTGTTATTTTTGGACAGGTTCAGAATAAATAAAATAGTGAATTAGTGTAAGGTGCATAGAGTTTACCATACCAAATTTTATATTTATGGAATTTGGATATCATTACAAACCAATGGATGAATGCTTTTGTACTTGCACATTGGTAATTCTGGGTCTACATTTCTTATTTTGCATTTTCCCTGCACTGACGTCTCAAATCCAGTGAGAGGGTCTAGAATTTTTTAGTGGGTCCCTTGTTGCAAGGACAGAAACTTTTACCCTGTTCTTGAAAATATGCAGACATCATCTGGGGCAGATGTTGCAAAGGAGCAATGCAGTAATGAGCTATCAGGTCAGCAAATGGGAGTATGAGGGAGAAGGCTATGTGAAGGGTTTGGGAGTCATCTAATATTTTTTCCTGAGAATTTTATGACTATCATGTATAACATGGCTTATTTTCATTTCTTTTAAAAATCAAGATGTACAGTGTACTCTTGGCGGAAAAAGTGGGTGAGAGGAACATGCATTTCTTTCCTGGGAACGTTGTATTGTTGTACCTTTTTGCATAGTATTTTTAAGTGATCAAATGAAGTGAAAGTCTTGGTATTTTGTTTTTTCCCTTTCTTTTTGTATGTCTAGGGGTTTTTCTTTAAAAAATTTTATTGCATACAGTCGTCTCTTGGTATCTGTGGGGCACTGACTCCAGGACTCCCCTTGCTTACCAAAGTATGTGGATGCTCAAGTTCCTTATGTAAAACTGTGTATAATTTGCATGTAACCTATGCATATCCTCCTGTAAAATTTAAATGATCACTAGATTACTTATAATATCTAATACAATGTAAATGCTATGTACATAGTTTTTATAGTTTGTATTTTTTATTGTAATGCTTTTCTTTTCTGAATATTTTCAGTCTGCAGTTGGTCGAGTTTGTGGATGCAGAGCCTGCAGACAAAGAAGGAAGATAGTGTATTTAAGGTTTACATGGTATTTTAATATACATATAGTGAAATAGTTATTATAGTCAAGAAAATTGACATATTCCACAGTTACCTTTTTTGTGTTAAGAGGATCTAAAATCTATTATTTTAGCAAAAATCTTGAATACAATATTATTAACTATAATTCTCTGTTGTACATCAAATCTCAAGACTTGTTAATCCTATACATCTGCTACTTTGTCTGTTTTGACCTACATCTCCCCATTTCCTCTCCACCCTGCCGCTGGTAACCACTGTTTTAATTTCTCTCTGTGTATTTGATTTTTATTTTTAGATTTCACATGTGAGATCATACAGTACAGAAGTCTTCTTACATACAAATGAAATGATAAAACTGATTAGATGTTCATGTGGATATGGATGTTTTTACTTATTTTTCTAAAATTTATTGAGTGTCTGCTATACAACTGGTTTGGGCATAAAGGTGACTAAGATTTGTTGTTTCCTCCAAAGAGATTTTGATTTATTAGGGGAGACTGTTAAATCATCTGTCAGGCGGTAAAATAATTTATGTTGTGACTTATATTTATCCCTGTCCAATTAATAATTATTGTATGACCATTACTAATTATTGCTCTGGTCTATAAAGTAGTTATTCTTAAGTTTTGGTGTGCATTGGAATTTGGTATGTAAGTTTTCTTGGAGATTTCATTAAAAGTACAGATGGTCTGCCCCTATCTCCGATGAGTTTTATTCCATAAGTCTGTAGTGGGTCGTGGGCATATGTATTTGTAAAGGGTAATGCAGATAATTTTGATGCCTACCAAAGTTCAGGGACCTCTGCTGCATGTGATTAGAAGCAGGCATTCTATTTACTTGTGGCATGAGTGGATTAAGAATTGTATGATTTTTTAAAAATCAGGAATTTGCCTGGAATTTTGAGCCAGAACTCAAGAGAGAGCAATTTAATCACAGTGTTAGCTGTTGAAGACTTAATCCTGTTCATGGATCAGAAGGATTCTTTTGGTATTATTCTTTCCTTCTAGTGTGCTTAAGGACATTGGATCTTGCTTCTTGGTTATTGGTTTGAATGAAACTCACCCTGCACAGATGGGCAATAGTTTTCGAGCACAGATGGAGAAGGAACAGTAAGTTCATGGGCAGAGCCCACACTTAGGAACAAGTAAGAGAAAAAGATGAAGGCTGGAGGTAGAGGCACTAAGCAAAATAAACATTTACCTGGTCATTATGGAAAATGTTCTATTTTTTCTTACTTTAAATAAGCAGGTACATAGCAAATGTTTTAGGAGCTCATCCAGGTTTACTTTATTTATTGCTATTAAATTACATAATAAATACCTTCCAAGCACTCATTAAAATAAAAATAACAATGCAGCAGAATTGGAATAGCAAGAGACCTCAGTGAGAAATTACATGTTTTTCCTAAAAAGCAGAAGGAACTGAGTTAACAAGGATGGAAGCAGTTGACTGATTTTTTGTTTTAGCCAGTAAAGATCTCAAGTTAGTACAGCCAGGAGACTTCTACTAAAAACAGAATTACTGCTTCTGGTGGTGCAACTTCTCTTTCAGTATTTGGTATCTGCTTTAGTTGTGCTATTTGATTTCCTAGTTTTGTGTTATGTCCTCAAAGGAGCATAATATATGTATATAATCATTGCTACATATTTTACATTGTAATAATTTCCATTTACAATTTATTCTCACCTTCTCCCTAATAAGCATATTAGAATTCTGACAATTCATCAGCAAAGGTTTTATTTAGCAATTGCTATGTAGAGTACTACTACCAGGCTGAATGGTGAACACAGATACACAAGAAGCCCTAAAGTCTAACTTCAGATAAATGAATGGACAATGGGGAAGTACATAACTAGTGGCCCTGTTCCCACTTCTGTCGAGGTAATTCAGAACATTTTGGGAACGGCTGACCTACCAACCTGCTTTCTCTTCTGTAGGCTTAGAGAGCATTTATTTATCTGGCAGCTGCAGCATTTTGCTCTTTTAATTAACCTCCTCTTGTCCTACCCAGATAGTTTTAAAAATCAATCACTTTCTTAAAATATTCAATGTTTTCTTATTGCTGGCAGAATAAAGGTCAAATTTATTAATATCACCTATAAGGCTGTATAGTAGTGGTTCTTAATCAGGTAAGATTTTGTCCTTAAGGGGACTTTTGGCAAAACCTGGAGTCATGTTTGGTTCTCACAACTGGGTATGGGAAACGGGTTCTATTGGCACCTAGTGGGTGGAGGTCAAGGATGCTGCTTAGCCTGCTACAGTATTCAGGACAGGTCACCAAAAGAAAGAATCATTGGCCGGGCGCGGTGGCTCACGCCTGTAATCCCAGCACTTTGGGAGGCCGAGACGGGCGGATCACGAGGTCAGGAGATCGAGACCATCCTGGCTAACACGGTGAAACCCCGTCTCTACTAAAAATACAAAAATTAGCCGGGCATGGTGGCGCGCGCCTGTAGTCCCAGCTACACCGGAGGCTGAGGCAGGAGAATGGCGTGAACCCGGGAGGCGGAGCTTGCAGTGAGTCGAGATCGCGCCACTGCACTCCAGCCTGGGCGACAGAGCGAAACTCCGCCTCAAAAAAAAAAAAAAAAAAAAAAAAAAGAAAGAATCATTGACCCCTAGCGTCAATAGCACTGAAGTTCGGAAACCTTGCCCTAGAGGGTCTGGCCCCTGCCTGCTTCACCAGCCTTATCTTTGGCTGTTTTCCCATTGCACTCTCCACTCCAGGCACACTAGCTTCCTTTCAGTTCTTTGAATAGCCTGTGTGGTTTTTTTTTTTAATTTTTTTTATTTTATGGCTTTTGTATTTGTGGCTCTCCCTATATCAACCCTCTTCCCACTTCTTTCATTTGCTGAGTAGGAACTTCAGAGCTCAGTGAATAGCACTCCTCAAAGCAGCCTCCCATACTTCTCCCACTGGGTTAGATTGCTTTCCCCTTAGAGCGCTATGTATTCCTGTCCTTGGACATTATTAACAATTCTAATTAAATAATTCATTGTGTAACTGGTTGTTTGTATCTTATCTTTCCCATTAGAATACAATTTTCAGGAGGGCAGGTCCTATTCACTGTGGTTCCCTCAGTGGCCAGCATAGTGCTTTGTGCTTGGTAGTCACTCAATAAATCTCTCTTCAATGAATCAGTCATCAAGTAAGATAATGTATCTTACAGTGATTTACAAAGAATTAGACCCATCAACTATTTTTGACACATAGAGGGGTGACCTCCCTCCTTTAAATTGATAAGGCATTTATTTGTAAACCAATATTTGGTATTAATCATATATAGTTCTATGCAGTAGTTATAGGCAAAACAGTATATGTCATGGCTTTTTGGATGTGGTTATTTTGATACAACAATATAATGTCACTCTGTTTTCAAATCACCATCTCTTGCTCTCTCACCCCTTTCACCTCAATTACATATAACTTTCAATTTCTACTGTATTTTTACATTGTTTGATTTTTAAAAATTTAATGAGCATTGCTTCTATATTAAGAAAGATGACTAAAAATTTAAAATTATATTGATGCTGAACTGGATTCTAAGATTGTATCATTGAATTTCCCAAACTATAATTTTACAGGAGTTTAATAGTATTAATATAATACATACATATTATTGACTATGGAGAAATCTGTGAGAAATTAAATTGAAGATTAATGGTGTAATTTGGAGTTGAGAATAAGGGATCATTTTATGATCCAAACATCCTGCTTGGCTCTCTGTCTAATATATACTCAGTCAAATATAGTTAGCATAATTAGGGAGCCAACACAAAGCAGAGGTGTTTGTCCTCTGGATTTTTCAAATAGAAAACAGACTGAATATCCTTATTAAAACGATTAATCTATTTATTATCCAAAACAAATTAGAATAAACATTACAGCTAAAGAGAGTAATAAGAAAATTTAAATTACAGGTCATTCTGTTTGAGTACTTTTATAGAGAATGGCTGAATCATTGGCCCTTTCCGAGGTAGGTAAAATCTAATAAACATTTGACTCCTATTCTTATGGTTTATCTGCCAGGCGGTACCTGACCTTCATCCTGTCCCTTACAGTGTGGGTTTGGCAAAGGGGGCTGGGCTCAAGGTGAACATATCTGCTGACATTGCTTGGTAATATAAAACACACGTGGTCTGTGTTTAGTTTTCCTGGAGTTAAAAGGCATCAAATCACCGCTTATCATGTCATGTACCCATTATATCCATTTACGTGTTAACTGGATGTGATGATCTCTAAATACATGAATTATGTCTTCCACTCTTTTTCCCCCAACCTCTTTCTCTCTTGTGCATATTATTCAGTTAATGCTTTTTGAATAAAGGGATTAGATTGAACCACATGAAATTGCCAAGATTCAGCCATTTTTGAACTACAAAAATTGCATTTTCATATGGTTCAGCTTAAAATAAATACAAACTTTGTATTCATTTTTTCATAAAAGTAATCTAATAGTGAAACAAAGTTGAAAGAGTTCTATGTGTACTTGGAGTAGGTACATAATGGTTCAAATAGATTTTTATAGGCTAACCAGAGAACATAGCTATAATTTAAACCAGCGATTCTGTAGGGAAAGGCATCTCAGGCTGAACACTCATATATGAGTATATAACATATTTGGTATATAACGTGTATATATATATATAACATGTTTATGGGTTGGTGACATACATCATGACACCTTGAAGAATTTTCTTCATATTGTGATAGAATAATTAATAGAAATTGATTTTCTAGTCATTTGATCTTGGACTAGCAATTAGGGATGGATAGAGAATTAGGTGATAATGTCAGTGTTGTTGGAAACTCTGCCCTCTTCTTGAGGCATTAACTCTCACTGGTGAAAGAAAATCTTTGTCTAGGGAGCAGAGTCTTTGGGATCTGATCAAATGTAGGAAAAATGTGCAATTACAAAAAGCAAACCTCCTTCCTAAGGGCCGATGTAGTCTGTGTCAGTGGTCTGCATTGAATGAAGGTCATTTTTAGTCATTATCTATTTCCTAATATTAGGGTTTTGGGAATTCCTTAGTTCATGGACATTTGACCCTCAGGAATATATGTATGTTCATGAAAAAGCCCCATAATGTGAGTGGGCACATGGTAGTGTTTCATAAGGTGACACAGGAAGGGTAATATTTCTGCTAAAGGGTGATGTAACCCACAATAATTCCAGCCTTTGAAAAGCAAGGGTAACAGCTTGAGTGTCATTCTGCTCCCTGGACAGGGTGGAATAACTTCCCAGGTGCTAGTCTGACATGGCTGTGTGGGTAGGCTGGCAGTTCATGTACGTGTTTCCATGCAGGGCAGATCCTTAGCTGGGGGAGAAGAAGAGGTTGCGGTTTGGATCAAAAATTTTTATTTACTCTTGGAATTCCCTGAGGGTAGAATAATAATAGTAATAAAATCCATGAAAAAATGTGAAGCATTGCTGAGTGGGAGGATATTCTTAGGTGAGAATGCTGTTTCCTTTTCTGATTTTAGTTTTTTTAGATAAGTAGAAAAATATGGGAAGCTTCACATACTCTTCTGTTTCTTTTTGTCTGATTCATATATGGTAAGAGAAGCTAACAACACTCTCGATGCCCATAAATATGAGTAGCTCCAAGCAGGTCTGCTGTTTTTGCCTTGTTTAAAAAGGAGCCACAGATTTTTTTTAATTAATGCATCAAGAAGTCTTATATGAGGGTTGTTTCTGGAAAAAAATGTATTCCTATGGAACTTAAACAAATAAATCAGACAGATAATGACATGATTACCAATGCTTTTCATGCCGGGGGTCTTGAAGCTGTGAACACTTCATACTAGTCTGAGTAGGAATAATACCAACATTATTATTATAGTTACAATTATTAGTACAAACATAATGTTTTTTATTCCTTATAACATTTCACATATATTTGATTTGCAAAACAGTCCTCAGAACTCTTGTCAGAGATATTGGCAAAGTTTGTTTACATCCTAATGTGCATGCCAATCAATTACAAGATGTATTACTGGATTTTAGCAGAGAAATTCTGGGTTGAATGAAATTGAGAAAGGTCATATTACTTAAATGAAGTCCTTTCCTGTACCCTTTCTCAGCTGATTTTCCTCCTCATAGCTATATCCTCCTGCTCCATATTTTAAACATTATGTTATTGTTAAAATTGCCAAGAGAGATGTTTGCAATTCATCATTCACCGTGATCTCTTGGACTTACACATGCTATACTTTTCCAGGTTGGTATTGTGCCATCAATAACTGCTTTTTAAGTGCACTTTTCAGCCAAATTTTCAATGTTATTTAAGTTATAAACCATGTTTCCCCAGTCTGATAATAGGAGGCAAGCAGGGCCTTGTTAAAATCTTTGCTAATGTTAAGAAGAAATAACGTTTTACAATATTTCTCATAATATACTAGCTAAATTTTCTTATCGGATAAACTAAATTGGTCTGGAAAAGTCATCCTGAAAATATTAGACTACTCTAAAACATAATTAAGACTAACAATAAAGTAGGCCACCATAAATATTCAAATTATGCTTCAGATGTTACAACATATATATCAACAGAGGTGGCACTGTTCTGGAACATGGAGGTCGTAGGGTTTTTGTTGAAAGGGAGAAATTCGTAGTGTAGTTGACTACTATAATTGTGATCCCCAAGTTCTCAAAGTGTATATATATACAGGTAAATGTCATTCTTTATACTTTTCTTTGACTTTGTCTGCCTTCAAGAGCCTCCTTGGCCCTACACCCTAAAACAGACAACTCAGCTCTTACTGTATTAGTCAGGGCTCTTTAGAGGGACAGAACTAATAGGATGTGTGTGTGTGTGTTTGTGTGTCTCTATGCATATATATATATAAAGGGGAGTTTATTAAGTATTAACTCACATGATCACGGGGTCCCACAATAGGCCGTCTGCAGGCTGAGGAGCAAAGAGAGCCAGTCTGATTCCCAAAAACTGAAGAACTTGGAGTCTTATGTTCCAGGGCAGGAAGCATCCAGCATGGGAGAAAGATGTAGGCTGGGAGGCTAGGCCAGTCTCTCTTTTCACATTTTTCTGCCTGCTTTATATTCTTTCTGCACTAGTAGTTTCTTAGATGGTGACCACCCAGATTAAGGATGGGTCTGCCTTTCCCAGCCCATTGACTCAGATGTTAATCTCCTTTGGGAACACCCTCACAGACACACCCAGGATCAATACTTTGCATCCTTCAATCCAATCAAATTGACACTCAGTATTAAACATCACACAGTCCACGACTCCTTTACCATGGAGCTTTAGGTACAGTCTAGAGTTATCATGGTCATTCTCTCTTTAATAAGTAAAAGTGGAAATAATAATAGTACCTACCATATAAGGGTTGTAGTGAGGAGCTGATGTGCCCTGAGATTAAGGCCACACCTCCTCTATAACTTCTGCGTGCATCATTAAGGGTGAAGAGGAAGCTCCAGAAACCCGTTACTCCTACTTCTGAAACCCAAAGCCTTACCTTTACCATTTGCTTTGAATTTATTGAGACAAATTTCATTGTGTCCTTAACCTCAAGTCAGTAACAACAACAACAACAAACCTCTGTTTCCCAGGTCCCACCCCATCATGTTCCATTCTCTCTATACTTTCTAGAGTCCATGGACCATTTTCAGCAAAGTCTTCTATAGTTTCAGATTTTTCTTGAAATATTCCTTTCACCTTCTTGCTCTGACAACTGGCTCTCCCTAAGGTTGCTGCTTTCACTGCAAGCCTGACAAGAGGTGGCTGTTTTTCCCACTTACAACCATACTTCATACCACTAGGCTTGGGAGTAGAATAGATGTCTTCCTTGTTTGTCATTGTGGTTTTCAGATCATGCTCTTGCCTTTCTCTTAAACTCCCTTACACTACTTTTGTTTCTTTTGCCTACCCTACCCTTGGGTCCTCTCTCCTCTTTACCTAGCAATCTTCTCTTGTGGCTTATTCTATTTCTCCCATATTAACATTATCTCAATTCGGGGCCATTTAAATATGTATATAGATGATCCTTCTTACACACTCCCAGTTCCTAGGATTCCACTTCTCCATGACCTTATCTTCCAACCTCAGTGAATTGCTTCCTCACTCATACCCAGACCTTATCAGTAATGGCAACCCCGTCTTCATCTCAGTTTCAGGCATTCTACTCTGACCACTATCTTTGGGTCCCCAAGGATGCCAGTGTGTCTTTGATCCTTTCTGAGCTTTTCCTCCTCAGCAGTGGCTGATAATAAGTTAGATTTTGTGCCTTTACGTTCCTAAAATACACTTGGGTGACTTCATGGAAGAGGTAGTTGTGATTATTCCTTATTTACATGAGGAGCCAGATGAGACCTCAATGGGAGGTAAATGAAGCTCTGAAAGCAGTGCCCTGTGTTAATTCTAAGATCGTTTTTCTTTCAGACATTGCTGTGGTAATGTTGCTATCCTTATCTTGACTCTCTAGAAACTTCTCTAGAGTCCTGCATGGGGTGTGTGTGTGTCTGCATGACAGAGAGAGAGAGAGAGAGAGAGAGAGAGAGATAGGAAGACATTTAATGTGGTTCTTCCGTGTGGGCATGATCATGAGGGCTGGAGTCAACTCTCCTCACCTGGGTTCATTGTTATTCTAGGGAGACCTTGACCTGTACTTAACTAATGAGGTGATGGTGATATAGAAGTACAGGGTGATTGCACTTTCCTTTGCCTTTATAATCCAAGTAATCCATGTTTTGGCTTTTTTAAAAAAGTAATTGTTTATAATGTCATTATGGCATGTTCTGCCATATTTTCTGATACTTAGCCATCTTATCACATCAGTTTAAGTTCCTCAGGCATGGGACATGGAAACTGTATACTGTGCTGTTTACTAGGGTTGGCAGCTCTGCAAGCAGACAACCTGCTAATTATTAGCTATGTGACCTTAGATGAGTTTGTTAACTTTTCAGAAACATAATTTTCTTATCAATAAAATGGTTCTGATAACACCTCCCTAACAAGCATAATATTAATGTTAAAAAGATAACATGTAGTTAAATCTGTCCAGCACATCAGACACATGCTAGGTGTTTCACAATTAATGGTTTTCTTCTTTCCGTCAAGTGAAACCCTGCTTCCACTGGGAGCTTCCCTTACAGATTATAAATCGTAACTGAATGCTTTGAGATAGCTTGCCTGATTTCATTTAGAATCAAAACAAAAGGATTTTTAAAACCAGTTAGTGAAAGTTAAAATGTCACCTAATTTTTAATTAAAAAATTAAATATGGTGAGGACATTTTCCGTTTTTAGTATTTAACATATTATTCAGTTAAAAAATCTCTTTATAAATTTTCTAATGCATATCTATTAGTTACATATTAAATACATGTATTTTAGCCTATACTTGAAAAAGTAAAAATAATTATGCTGTGGTAGCATACAGATAGTAAATGGCA
Source organism: Homo sapiens (assembly GCF_000001405.40). Classification (NCBI taxonomy): domain Eukaryota; kingdom Metazoa; phylum Chordata; class Mammalia; order Primates; family Hominidae; genus Homo; species Homo sapiens. The sequence continues at coordinate 62,028,919 of NC_000012.12, read as the reverse complement.
GATATTCCTATATTAGATGTGAAGGAGGGTTGAAGAGAAGCAAACAGGAACTGGGAAGTAGTTTGGACTATAGTTTGTCCTTTTGGGTGGTTGTACTGACTGTTATGGCAGATGTCTCTTTTTCTGACTAATAAAGTTGATTTTACTCACATTTATTCCTGGCTTCTACCTCACAACAGGTGGCCAGTCAGACTGCATTCGACTCTGCAACTGCTGGCTGTCAGTAGCTTTGAGAGCCTTCTGCTGTGATTAAAGCAATAGTTTAGAGGAAACTTAGGATAGTTATTTGAGTTTGTACAATTTGTGTGAACTTACTTGTAAGCTAAGATGGATTCTGGTGACTCTCACAATGCTTTTCTTTTGTGCTGTGTTGTTATGTTTGACCATGCACAACTCTAGAATTAGCCATGTAGTAAGCATTCAATAGCTGAGAGTTGAGAATTGTTTCATACATTTCTCTGCTTTGAGCCTTAGAGAAAAGAGTTCTTTCTCCAAGGCTTACTGGCTTCCTCTCCTGTAGACAGAGAGAAGTGCAAAGGATAAAGATGAGAGGAGGAAGTGGGAACTCACTGTGAAGGAGCCAAGAACTGTCTTTCTGTCACGGGTCTAGCTGGTTCTTGAGTCTAGGTACTAGTCTAGATAGACGAGGTTATTGATCCTAACTCAGCTTACCACAGGAGAGGGCCAGGCTAAATCCATAGAAAACAAGTTTTCACACTTGCCTTTGGATACATTCCTTGAGAACTTGTTATAGTACTAGGCTATTAGAGAGGTATTTTGAGAATTTTCTCTTACAACAAAAACACAAGAGACATTGTCTTCTTCTAACCATAATGTGGCCCCATGAAAATTGAACTCAACCAGTCTGACCCTGGAGCTTACCTCTATAGCAGATGAGTTAGGAAACCAAGACCTAGACTGGAGATTCAAAGTCCTTCAACATAGAAAACGAAGGCTAGTTGGATAACAGGGAACCAGGGTATTAGCCAACTGCATCTTAGAAATCTGGAGCTAATCTTGTGGTTCCCCGAAGGATTTGGTAGAGCAGAAGCAGCAAAACATGGCAATTAAACTAGTGAATTTTACAGGCAGATACCTGGATAAAGTCTCTGCTTTACTATTTTCTACCTATGAAAAATTGGGCAAATTAATGAATCCTTGTGTACTTTAGTTTCTCATCTCTAAAAGGGAAATATAATCTGCTGCACTGAAGATTTAGAATAAAAAAATACACTTTGAAGAGAGGCTGACATATGGCAAAGTGCCACAAAGGAGGTTCTGCTGAAGGAAGGGGGTACAACTTACTCTGTGTATCGTAGGACAACTTTGATGTTCTGTGCAAGAAAAAAATCATTAGACTTTTGGGATTCCAATGTGAAAGGTGCTACACAAATTTTAATATTATCAATCACAACATTAGCACACAAAAAAACTAGGAATGTTTTTTGCTTTGTTTGTTGCAACAAATTTCACCTTCTTAGAAATTTTTAAATTTTATGATTTCTTTTGAGAATAATTGAATCTTCTCTAGTAGCTTTTCTTTCCACAACTCCACTTTCCCATGATCAATACTCCAGTTTATTAATTTGTTTGACTGTGAATATTATGTTCTTAGTTCCTTTCCTTTTTCTAGGGCTATGCTAAAGGGCTGTATGCTGCATGTTAATTCTTTATCTTGCAATCACACAAGTGCATTTCAAAATAGTAACTTATATGCAAATCCTTGGTCCAGCATAGAACATTTTCATTTACATATTTTAAATTAGTTTGCTTTCAGTTAAATGACTTTGTCTAATTTTATACTTATAAATATCTGGCAGATGTTATTTAGCTAAATTTAAAAATTAGGAATAATTATTGTAGAAATAGTGCTTTTATATATGCCATTCTGTGACCCATGGGAGAGTCATTATTCAAAAAGAGAAGAGAATTCGCTGGGAAAAAATACGTCTTCGAGCTGTTGATTTTTAAAGGAAAGACCCTAAAATTATTATGAAATCAAATAAGTTAGGCCTATAATTTCAAGCTGTGTTCTGATTTATCTCATGCTGTTTAATATTGCCGCATAAGTGATACCAGCATGGTCAAGCGTTTAAATGCAAATTTACAATTCCAAATGCTTTCTTTTGTTGAAGCCATTTTGTTTAAACTCTAAATCCCCAAAATATTTATCATAATTTTGAGTATTTTTAGAAATGGAAACCTTTGCTAAAAATAGAAGATACAAAGAATAAACCAAATAATAGCATTATTCAGCAAATTCAAAACATAGACTGTCTCCCAGGCTCTGCAAACCAAAACAAAGCTGGACAGAATGAGCACTGTCTGCCAGCTGATAGAGGAATCAGAGCTGTTTGTGAGAAAAACAAGGAAGTGTACATCATGAAAGGTCAAGTTGAGCTGGAGTCGGAAAGAGAATCAGACCAAGAAGCAGATCTTCTTGTTCTAGTGACAAGAGATGTTTCCAGGTTTTGCCAAGAACCTGGAAGTTTAGAAGTTTGTATCAGCAAGAAAAAAGCAAATCCATCATGGGTTTGCCCTGTTGTGTCTTGTGGGGAATCCAAGCAGGGGCGCTTTAAGGGCAAACCTCAAAGGAACTTATGTTTTTCTTTCTGTCTTCTTTACGTGACTCTGACTGGATATCTATTCAGGTAAATCTCTGAAACAAGTGAGGAATGGAAACCACACCAGTGGAACACCTTAGCAACCTTTCCATTTCAACATTAGTGTATCAGAGGGTTAGAGAAAGACAATAAACTCATTTTAATTAATCCTTTTCATGGTTAATGTTTATGCTCATCTAAACAGGATGATGTGAAAGCTCTTCCAATTATATTTTAAGTAGGCTTCTTTTTACCCTTGGAATTTAAATTATTAACGATCCTCATTGATTGGGTTCCTGCATGTACTAAAATATATATGGTATAAAAAATGAACAGGGTTGGTTGTTTGCCATGTTAGTGTGTATTACCAGTTAATTTCGTCTTGACTACTTCTTTATTTTGGGTTCCTCTGCAGTACATATGGTAGGTGCTCAATATTTTTATTAAATATATTTTTTCCTTAGGTAAAAACTCTAGTATGCATTGTAATTAAGATGGGGCAAGCAATTTGCAAAAATCAGAGCTAGAATACAAAATTTGAATTGTCCTAATTTTTCTTATAAGACATCTTTTTCATTATTAGATGCCTTTAAAATGCAAGGCTTATCCTCTACTAAGTGTTACACAAAGCAAGTTAAAACAGAGTTTATTATTTTTACAATAGCAATTGTAAAACAATAGCCATCCAATGTTCTGACTAAATTTTACCCACTCTGCTTAAATATGAATGATAGATTTCATGCAGAAACTGTTTCATTTAAGTACAAACAGTCCATAATATTTAAAAAATCTATTTCCTACTGAGAGAAGGGCTGTCAAAGATTAGCTTTTCATTAGAAATCAGAATTTTTTCTCGTTCAAAAAGTTTCATTTATTTGCTTATTTTTTAATTTTTAAAATTTCAACATTTATTTTTGATTTGGGGGTACATGTGCAGTTTTGTTACCTGGGTAGATTGTATGATGCTAAGGTTTAGGGTATGGTTGATCCCATCACCCAGGTACTGAGCATAGTACCCAATAGTTAGTTTTTCAGCCCTTGTTTCCCTCTCTCCTTCCCTCCTCTAGTAGTACCCAGTTTCTATTGTTGCCATCTTTATGTCCATGAATACCCAATGTTTAGCTCCCACTTATAAGTGAAAACATGCATGAACATATGAGTATATGTGTCTTTTTGGTGGAATGATTTATTTTCTTTTGGATACAGAGAAATATACAGAGAATTAGGATTGCTGGGTTGAATAGTAGTTGTGTTTTAAGTTCTTTGAGAAATCAAACTACTTTCCACAATGGCTGAATTAATTTACATACCCACCAGTAGTGTATGTGTGTTCCCTTTTCTCTGCAGCCTTGCCAGCATTCTTTTTCTTGACTTTCTAATAGTCATTCTGACTGGTGTGAGATGGTATCTCATTGCGGTTTTGATTTACATTTCTCTGATGATTAGTGGTGTTGAGCATTTTTCATATGTTTGTAGTTTGCTTGAATGTCTTCTTTTGAGAAGTGTCTGTTCATGTCTTTTGCTCATTTTTTTAATGGGGTTATTTGGTTTCTGCTTGTTCAATTGTTTGAGTTTCTTACAGATTCTGGATATTAGATCTTTGTTGGATGTATAGTTTGCACATATTTTCTCCCATTATGAAGGTTGTTTACTCTGTTGATGGTTTCTTATACTGTGCAGAAGCTCTTTAGCTTAATTAGCATTGACTTGTCAATTTTTATTTTTGTTGCAATTGTTTTTGAAGACTTAGTCACAAATTCTTTCCCAAGGCCAATGTCCAAATTGGTGTTTTCTAAGTTTTATTCTAGGATTCTTAATAGTTTGAGATCCAAAATGGTTTCTCATATGGGACATTAACTTTGTCTAGCTGCAAAGCAAAACCAATCTGCAGGGATTGGGCTCTAACCAAACAATAGGCATTTTGGACATTATCACTAAATCATTTTAGAAGAAGGTATGAACAATAGGACCTATATCTCTATCCAGGCAACTATTCATCTAACTTTCCATGAGAGTTCATTTTCTATTAATATACTACAGTCAGGTTACTTATACGGTGGATTTTGGGGCACTCTATTTCCAATAGCATATATCAAGAATACACAGAAAATGAAAGAGAATGAATGCTGAGATCATGGAGCTGTTTACTGACTTTCCTGAATACCAGATTTTGTTGGGATGAGAGGGGAAAGAAATCTGCCTGATGCAGAAAATATCTCCAAATGGGAAGCATGCAAGAGAAATAGGAACAAAGAGTGTTTTCAAGCAGTAGAGGTAAGGCAACCGATTCCAATATTGAAAAACTTGCAATTAAATCAGATACAAAAAGAATCTTTCAAAGTTATCTAAACTTTCGACTTTTCACAATCTTAACAAATGCCTATTTAACTCTCCTATAAGTCTTCTAATAACATAACTGAGGATAAAGATGACGTGCAGAAGAAAAACATTGAATGAGAGAAAATTATATATGGGAAGTTTTTGGGGGAGATTTGTGTTTTTTTTCTGTACCTAATTTTTCTCCTTCCATTCGACAGCATGTCAAGTTCAGACTGTAAGGAGTAGATGCAGTAGTGAAGCTGTCCATCTCAGGTGAATTGAAAAAGTAAAGAACTACAAAATGCCATCATTCCCTCTCTGTGTTGATTTCTGGTGAAGCTCAGAGGTATGTTGCTGCTGTTGGAAATTTAGAGGAAATTCCAGATACACTTCAGTATCTTTTTAGTTACAAAATCATGATTTTAAGCTCATGGTTCATAAGTCTTGGTTTGTGAACCTTGTAGTTTGTGCAGTGCTCCAGTAAAACGGCAAATTCTTTGTTTTATCTGATTTTATCTAATTTTCCAATAAAGTTATTCAGCCTGTAAAGCATAGTATATCCTATATCCTAGATGTATATATGATTATTAAATTTAGATCTGAACTCAAAAGAAAGTTTATCTAACAGAAAAAATATTTAGATGTATAAAAAATTTCCTGCACCTTTTATAGCATAAATCAAGGCAAATGCCACATATCACAGAGGGAGGTCCACCTCTTGTCCACACAGTAGCTGTTCACCCTCCCCTCACTAAGCCCCTTTCCCTCCACTTCCAACCTAGTTACTCCAGGTAACAATCCATTGTTATTTCATTCATTTTGCTATTGGAAAACAGGCCGAAATACCAATCCTTGGCTCTCTATGAACCCGTGATTTCTGTCTTTCTTGGCTTCATTTTCATCACTAATGCTCATTGATTCTCTTTGTCTCTCACTGTCTTTTTCTCTCTCTTACCAGAACATCAACTCACAAAACTGCTTAGTAGGTAAATATTTTAATAAGAATTTCAAATATTAGATGTATCCAACAGTATAATCCTAGGCAGAGGGGGAAACAGTGACTGTGGTTCAGGTTTGTGATTGCTGGTATGGTTGCTCCCCTCATTCAGCCATGGGAACCCCTGGGAATGAGAACTACTTGCTGGTATACACTCATATCTTCCCAGCACAGTTACTGGCACATGATAGACACTCAGTCAATAATCGGAGTGGATAAACGAGTGATTATGTAACTATCTGTCTTGCTTGACGAAGGGAGTTAAAGTTTATGCTACAGCTGTTCAGTACATTTGCCTAAGAGCAGACAAGAATATGTGATTTGAGCACTAGAAAGGTTTTCATCCAGAAAAGGGTTAAATCTAATTACATTATTTTAAGTACCCAGTTCGACAAGAATTGCTTGCTCAGATTATATGAGTGAGGATTGAATGAATTAATACACTGAAGCACTTAGCAAGTTCCTGGCACATGGTAACACTCAAAAAGTACTAGCTATTATTGTTATTATTATTATTTTATTAAGAGAGAAAAAGTGAATGATTGCCTGACAGGAATGATAATTAATTCTTCTTAGAGGAAATAATCCTTACATCCCAGTGTTGTGTTTGCTATGGAAGAAAATGGCATTACATATAATTATATACATTTCTTCTAGGATCACCATTTTAAAATATAAAACTGATCATGTCATAGACCTTCTTAAAACCCATCAAAGGCTTGCCGTTGCCTTCAGTATGAAATTGGAAGTCTTTAGCAGGACATGTAAGGCTCTTCATCGCTTGGTCTCTAAATTTTATCTAATCCAGTTTTAGAAGCCTTTCCTTTACACCAACCAGGACAGAAATCATTATCTTAGCCACCAGAACACAGAATGTTCTTGGTGAGAAGGGCCAGTGGGTTGGGGAACTGACTGCTGCAGTTGAGAAGAGGTTTGGTTTTCCAGAGGGCAGTGTAGAGCTTTATGCTGATAAGGTGGCCGCTAGGGGTCTGTGCCATTGCCCAGGCAGAGTCTCTGCGTTACAAGCTCCTAGGAGGGCTTGCTGTGAGGAGGGCCTGCCATGGTGTGTTGCAATTCATCATGGAGAGTGGGGCCAAAGGCTGTGAGGTCATGGTGTCTGGGAAACTCCGAGGACGGAGGACTAAATCCATGAAGTTTTGTGGATGGCCTGATGATCCACAGCGGAGACCGTGTTAACTATTACATTGTCACTGCCATGTGCCATGTGTTGCTCAGACAGGGTGTGCTGGGCATCAAGGTGAAGATCATGCTGCCTTGGGACCCAACTGGTAAGACTGGCCCTAAGAAGCCCCTGCCTGACCACGTGAGCATCGTGGAACCCAAAGATGAGATACTGCACACCACCCCATCTCAGAACAGAAGGGTGGGAAGCCAGAACCGCCTGCCGTCACCCAGCCAGTCCCCACAGCGTAACAGGGTCTCCTTGGCAGCTGTATTCTGGAGTCTGGATGTTGTTCTGTAAAGATCTTTAATAAAATATTGTACAAAGACAGAAAAAAAAAAAAGAATGATGCAGTGGACTTTGGGGTCTTGGGGGAAAGGGTGGGAGGGGGTGAGGGATAAAAGACTACAAATTGGGTATAGTATATACTGCTCAGGTGATGGGTACACCAAAATCTCACAAATTGCCACTAAAGAACTTATTCATGTAACCAAACACGATCTGTTCCTCAAAAACCTTTGAAAATAAAAAAAATTAAAAAAAGAAGCCTTTCCTTATTTAGAGTCCTTTCCCACAATTTGGGCTATGTGTCCCAAGCATCTGCTAATCAAATATTATGAGATTACTTGTACCATAGTACTTATCATACTGAATTGTATAGATCTGTTTCTCTGTTCGTCTCCATAATTAGACCTCTTGTTTTCCCAGTATTTAGTATAGAAATTAGCAACCTTTTTCTGTTTTAGTAAGTGTTCTAGGATTTGCAGACCATACTGTCTCTATTGCAACTACTTATCTCTGCTACCATATCACAAAAGCAGCCATGGACAATAGGCAAAGGAGTGAATATAACTGAGTTCAAATAAAACTTTATTTAGGGGCACTAAAATTTAAATTTTATATAAACGTGTCGTGAAATATTATTCTTACTTTGATTGTTTTCATTCATTTAAAAATGTAAAAACTATTTTCAGTTTGTGGGCCATATAAAACCAGGCTACAGAAAAATTTTGGCCATTGTGATATCTGCCAATCCTGGCAGAGAAATGGTGCTCAATCAGTACATTTCAGTAAATGAGAAGTGAGTAAAGGGGTGTTTTCACTGAAATCATTTTCAAACACAAAGAGAAAACTTAAATGAGTAGCTGTTGCCTGTAGTATAAACTCCTTAGCATGAAATAGAATAGTCTTTACAGTTTGGTTTGTAGGTAGATAATTTTCACCTTCATCCTTATTATCTGACTCCCTGTCCATATCCCAGTGTTATCTGTGCTGCAACTCATTGACACAACTAATTGACATTCTCTGAAAACACCATGCCCATTTCTACCTTTGGGCTTTGTGTCTTACATTTTTCTTTACTTGGAATGTTCTTTCATTCTTTTTAAGTTTTCTTAGTGAGCTATTATTTGTCCCCTGATATTCAGCTCAAAACTACCTCCTTTGGAAGTGTAGGGTCGCCATTTTTTCCCAGTAGAAATGAAAGGATGGGGGCTGTAATGAGGGCATATTCCCTCTGTGTTTCTGTGGGGCATTGGTATGATAATACTAGTGTGGCAGTTTTCACGTTGTATTTTAATTCTTGTCTTTCTTGTGTTTCTCCTTCTTACTATGTTCTGAAGTCATTTTTATGTGCCTAGTACCAGTATAGAACTTGGCATTTGTAGTCATTTAGTATCAACTTAATAAAATGAAACATTTTCAGTTAAAGGTAAGTTCTCAATATCCTGTTGAGACGATTTGGAATCAGTTTAATCTATAATGATGAGACTGTCTTTCAATATTTATAGTGAGGTAGTCTGAATGATGAGACTGTCTTTCAATATTTATAGTGAGGTAGTCTGAATGTTGAGCATTGAAATGCATAAAACTAAAATTGAATAAAAATATATTAAGAAATTGAAAATAATTAAATTGGAAACTTAAGAATCAGAAGCATCATTTGTGGTTTAAAACATAAATTTTATTTTATTTTATTCTATTTTTTTAAATTTTTTTATTATACTTTAAGTTTTAGGGTACATGTGCACAACGTGCAGGTTTGTTACATATGTATACATGTGCCATGTTGGTGTGCTGCACCCATTAACTCGTCATTTAACATTAGGTATATCTCCTAATGCTATCCCCCTCCCTCCCCCCACCCCACAACAGTCCCCGGTGTGTGATGTTCCCCTTCCTGTGTCCATGTGTTCCCATTGTTGAATTCCCACCTGTGAGTGAGAACACGCGGTGTTTGGTTTTTTGTCCTTGTGATAGTTTGCTGAGAATGATGGTTTCCAGCTTCATCTATGTCCCTACAAAGGACATAAACTCATCATTTTTTATGGCTGCATAGTATTCCATGGTGTATATGTGCCACATTTTCTTAATCCAGTCTATCATTGTTGGACATTTGGGTCCAAGTCTTTGCTATTGTGAATAGTGCCACAATAAACATACATGTGCATGTGTCTTTATAGCAGCGTGATTTATAATCCTTTGGGTATATACCCAGTAATGGGATGGCTAGGTCAAATGGTATTTCTAGTTCTAGATCCCTGAGGAATCGCCACACTGACTTCCACAATGGCTGAACTAGTTTACAGTCCCACCAACAGTGTAAAAGTGTTCCTATTTCTCCACATCCTCTCCATCACCTGTTGTTTCCTGACTTTTTAATGATTGCCATTCTAACTGGTGTGAGATGGTATCTCATTGTGGTTTTGATTTGCGTTTCTCTGATGGCCAGTGATGATGAGCAATTTTTCATGTGTCTTTTGGCTGCATAAATGTCTTCTTTTGAGAAGTGTCTGTTCATATCCTTTGCCCACTTGTTGATGGGGTTGTTTGTTTTTTTCTTATAAATTTGTTTGAGTTCATTGTAGATTCTGGATATTAGCCCTTTGTCAGATGAGTAGAGAGCAAAAATTTTCTCCCATTTTGTAGGTTGCCTGTTCATTCTGATGGTAGTTTCTTTTGCTGTGCAGAAGCTCTTTAGTTTAATGAGATCCCATTTGTCAATTTTGGCTTTTGTTGCCATTGCTTTTGTTGTTTTAGACATGAAGTCCTTGCCCATGCCCATGTCCTGAATGGTATTGCCTAGGTTTTCTTCTAGGGTTTTTGTGGTTTTAGGTCTAACATTTAAGTCTTTAATCCATCTTGAATTAATTTTTGTATAAGGTGTAAGGAAGGGATCCAGTTTCAGCTTTCTCCATATGGCTAGCCAGTTTTCCCAGCACCATTTATTAAATAGGGAATCTTTTGTCCATTTCTTATTTTTGTGAGGTTTGTCAAAGATCAGATAGTTGTAGATACGTGGCAGATAGTTGTAGATATTTCTGAGGCCTCTGTTCTGCTCCATTGGTCTATATTAATTTTAAGTTTAGTTGAACTGACATTTCTAGATATATTAAAAAAATACTGTCTTTAAGCCTTTGCTTGATTTTGTGTGAATAAATGGTGATATCACTTAATCATATACATGGATTGCTATTCTTTCCTGGAAAGATGAAGGAGAATAATAATACTGGGGATTTCACAATGAAATGTAATGGGTTTTGACTAATGATTGTTATTCCAGTATGTTAACTGCTTTTAAAACTATAGTTTGATGGAGTTTACCTGGAGGGATGGGAAATATTTTATAATGCACATTAATTACAGTGTCCATGTTATCAATTCTCTCAAACATTTTATAAATGCTCAGTACTCATTTACTGCAGGAATGCCCAGTACCTTATATCATATCTCTCCCCATTTCCATGGGGAAATTCCCTGCATTCTCCCAAACTATAAGATTTTCAGCTGAGATCAATGTTCTGGGAAGATTTCTCCATAAATATCTTGGGAAATCTCACTAGGAATTGAAAGCACATTGCCATGGGAGATGAATAAGAAGCTTTCCCATTATTGATCATTTGTTTCCACTCATTCTGATAATTATAACAGACAGTATTGAGCTTGAATGGCAGTTTAGGTTGTCATTATAAACAGAATGCCTGAATATTGGCTGCTTGTTTTCTTTTATTGAGTGAATTGCATACTGATGATTGAAAATCAGCAAGTGTTCACTTGGTACAGCTGTTTATAAAAATATATGCTATATTGATGTGAAAAACAAGAGGAACCATACTTTAGTGAGATAACCTGGTATTTAACTTGTAGAAAGTTATATTTTTCAGGGAAAAAGTCATCTTGCAGTTCAAAACAGTGGTGGAGAATATAACAAAATACACTCCAGAATAAAAATATTTCACCACGTGGCCAACTCTTAGGTCTTGGTTAGTTGAGTTAATTTTAAGATAGAATATATTCTGTTATTAATTCCCTGGATTACTAACTCCTTAATGACCAAAATTGTGTCATATATTGGTGTGCGTATTGCAGTAGCTGCCACAGCATCTTGTATATAGCAAGAATACATATACTTGCTGAATTAAATTGCATTTACAAATAGTTCAGACTATTTATAACAAAATACGAATATCTAAAATGCTTTCTTGGAATAATTTTTCTAAATATGTGCCATTTTATAGACATTTAATTAAATAGTGGTATCAGTATTCATTCACTGAGAGTCTACAGTATCTTAAGCTATTTTTTTTTTACGCATTAACTCATGTAACTTTCAAAACAATGATATAAAGTTGGTATTAATCCTCCATCCCCTCAAGGAAACTGAGGCTCAGGGAGATTAAATAACTTGAGTTTATGTATGAAACATTAATAGTATTTACTTTATAGGGCTTGTGAAGATTAGCTGGGGTGGATTATGGACCAAACTTCCTGGTGCATGGTAAGCCCTCAGTAATTTAGCTATGTATTATCATTAAGATCATACAGCTAAAAAGTTATAGAGTTGGTATTAGATCACTGATCTGTCTCACTGCAGAGCTCACGCTCTTTTCTTCATTGCCTTCCAACTCCCCTGCTCTACATGTATGGCAGAAATAATTAGTCTTCCTATTATGAGCTCTCGAAGGGCAAAGGATGAGACTTTTTCTTTTGTCTCATCCTTTTGTCTCATCAGGGTACCAGGTACTTACTGGTACCCTGTACACACAATAATAAATGTTGTTGACAGTTTGACTGGCTTGGCGGTGACACTATTCTGGTTTTGCTATCGGTATGAATGATTGGTAGGATGGTTGATTCTGAGAAGGGCTCGGAGGAATGTTGTTGCAGTATGCCTTACATTTTATATTAGGAAAGGAGGTTTTCTCCTCAGTTGTATGCCACCTGCATCTTGATTCTAAATTTTCTTTCCCTGGTGCCTGTGGGAAGAAGGGTCTGAGGGCAGTTGGAGTGTTCAGACAGAGTTAACATTTTCCGATTAGCTTTTCCAGTATTTTCTGACTTAATCCTTAAGTCATTTCTGGCAGTTGTGTCCTTAGGATATTTTCAAAGTTAAGCTTTTTAACTTGAGGGGTAAAAATTTCTTTGTGTTTTGGAGGTGAGAGAATTAAAAAATAATTACTGAGTCTCACAGTCCTAGAGAGCTTTCCTGAAAAGAAATTTAAGTAAAAAATGAGCTGTCGGCATCCTTGAGGTTTCTCACTGGTCACATAATAATACATCATTTGTCAAATGTGGTTGTCTTCCTTCACTTGAAGTTCCTGCTGTTGGCAGTTTTTCTCCATATTTGTGCACGTGGAACTCAAAAACAAACCGAGGACCCAGAGTTCTGTACATGTGCATGGTAAATGACTACTACATTGTTTGAAATATAACTGCCATGTGTGACACAGTTCTTTTTGTAGTTTTCTTTATGGTGTTAAAATATACACAATATAAAATTTATCATTGTAACTATTTTTCAGTGTACAATTTGGTGGCATTACATCTATTAACGTTGTGCAACCATTACCATCATCCATCTCCAAAACTTTTTGTCTTCCCAAAGTAGAATTCTATACCCATTAAATACAAATCCCCATTCTCCTATCCCTCTAGCCCCTGGCAACCACCATTCTACTTTCTGCATTTATGAATTGGACCACTCATGTCTCAGCTTTATAACTCCATGATTTACTTGTTTAAATTGAGGCCTACCATCTTCTTTTTCCTTGCTGTAGTTGTTATCTGATGACTGGGATGGATGTCTCACTGCTGGATCTATGTGAGGATGTGAACTTAATGCAATTGTCTTGCAATAAATAGTGTACTTTGCTTCTCTATATAGTAACCTCTTAAATTTCATTATCACATCATGAGGGCAAGACTGTATCTACTCTGCTCACCACTATATCATCAGTGTCTGGTACATTGTTTGCACTTTGTAGAAAATCAATATATGTATTTATAGAATAAACAAATGCTGCTGATCTTTATCATTAAAAAATCCACTTAAAAACCATTTACTGAGATTTCCTACTATGTAGGAGATCAGCTAATTGAGGAACTCTTATTCTTCTCCTGTGACACTATCTCTAAAAATGAGTGTGGTGATATAAATCAAAGATTATAAGCATATGCACCTAAATCATTTATTCTTTAATTTATTCATCAAATATTTATTGTACCTGTTATGTTTTAGATGCTGGCTGTGCAATGGTGCACAAAATAGACATGATCCTTGGACTTACAGAGCCCTAGTTTAGTGAAGAACCCAAGCTATAAAAAGTGAACAAACAAATGATATATTAGTTGTAAATTATAAGAAGGAAAAAGATGGAATGCTACCAGAAAGATCAAGGATGGGGCAGACAAGTTTAAATTGCAGGAAGTTGGAGACATAGTAACTTTTCATATTTGTGAATAGCTGTTTTCTCATATAGGGGAGAAGAAGGCTCATTTGTAATACTAGAAGAGTTGCTAGGATAGACTTTTTTGGAAAACAGTTTTGGTTTAATTATAGAAGAATTTGCTAATAGAGAATATTAGAATTTGCTAATAGAAGAATTTGCCACGATGAAATGGATGGCTTTTTTTTTGGAGGTTGCCTGTCCTATCATTGAAGGTACTGGGCATAGCATTGTGGAGTTATGTGGCCCAGCATTGCAGGGTGGTTTCCAAATCTGGTTGGTCATAAGAATTATCAATTTATGTGGAAAAGTCTAGCACAATACTTGATATTTAATAGTTCTGTTTAATAAATGCTAGTTGAGTCTGACTTCAAGTTTCTTTATGGCCTGTTTAACTATGGCAGCCAAGAAGAAAATTACTGACAACTGAACATGATTTTATTTTTATTTTTTATTTTTTTGAGACAGAGTCTGGCCCTGTCACCTAGGCTGGAGTGCAGTGGCGCCATCTCTGCTCACTGCAGCCTCTGCCTTCCGGGGTTAAGCAATCCTTCTGCCTCAGCCCTCTGACTAGCTGGAACTGCAGGTATGCACCAATATGCCCGGCTAATTTTTGTATTTTTTTTTGTAGAGATGGGGCTTAACCATGTTGCCCAGGCTGGTCTTGATTTTCTGGGCACAAGCGATTCGCCCGCCTTGGCCTCCCAAAGTACCGGGATTACAGGCATGAGTCACTGCGCACAGCCAGAACATCATTTTGAAGTATTTTCAGCTCACAAACTCAAAATAAATTATGCAGCAACACTGGTTAAAATACTATCTTATTGGGTAGTAAATTTTGGTATCTTGCTGCCAAAGTTGGTCCACTAATGTGTTAAATTTACCCTGTATTCTTGAGGATGTAGCTTTATAATTCTTTGTATTTTATTGCCTGAAGTATAAAATTAAGGTTTTCGATGTCAGTAGAATGTTTTGATGTGTGTTTATATAGCCCAGTGGAATAATACATATTTTAAAGATTTTGTTAAATGCATTCCACAGTAGTTCACTAAGATATCAGTCAACAGTCAGATATCAAGTATTTAAGAAGTATCTAGCATGTCCCTGGCACTATTCATGGAAAGTGGGTCCAAGATAGTTAATTTCTCTTCTGCATATATTGATGAGGCCTATTAGGTAGACTTTGTAAGATAGAACCTGTTGCCATTATACCAATTGTTGTAAAAGTGCAATAGTATTTTGGCTTTTGATTGTGCTATATTTGAAGGTGACCTTAAATTATCGACTAACTTACAACTAGTTTGTTATATTTACACTTTGAATCTCCCAGTGTCTAATATTAGATGGTCAAGATTTGAAGCCTCAGTAGTTGAGTGAATAAGTTGTTATTAAATAGAGCAAAAAGAAATTTCATATTATTTCAGTTCATTAAATGATTCTGTACAACTTACAGTGCAGTTCATTACTCACACTGTGGTATTAGACTAGTAATAAGGGTGATTTTTCTAATAGAGTAACTCCAACAGAGCCACCATGCTGTGTGATGATGATGTGTGTAGTGTTTAATATCTGGGTGCAGTATTTGCCTGAAGGATTAGATACTGGAATTTTAGACTTACTATTAACTTAAGTCTCAAATGGCACCCATTAGCAGTGGGAAGTCTTCTTTCCTTTTTCTTGTGTGTTTATGAACACACCTACTTTTATAATATGTTAACCAGGAAAATTGTGTTCTACTTGATCCTGCATTAGTTCAAACCTGTTATGTGCTGTGATTAGAGATTTATGAGTGGGTACTGGCAGGCATTGATTTCTATTGTGCTGCCCTTATGGTAAATACCACAAATTTGTAAGCTACAAAGCTTAAATTTATCTCACTGAATTCCATGTAGTAAAATTCTATCTCATTTATAGTGTGATAGTCTAATCCTTCTTAAGCAGCCTATCCTGCTGAACTGATTTACTATTTTTTGTCCATAAACTACGAATGTTCAATAATAATAGGCTAAATTCACATGATGGCATCTCTAGATAATCTAAATGCTCCCCTTGTAATCTTTGTGCTTTAAACATGGGACTATGAATTCCTCTTGGGCGAGAAATTAATTTCCAGCATTTTAATAAGGAGAATATGTAAGTATGCATTGAGGCTCTGAACTGGGCAAATTTCAGGGCAATTTTGTCTGTAGCATGAGTGTGCTTCCATGATTTTCTGCAAACTACATTTCCCTCCAGTATTTAGATTTAAGTGATTTTTTAAACCTTGCAATAATCAGGAATATAGAATTTTATTTTTTTTCTTCTGAGTGTGTTATTTGTGGAATATTTAGTAGTATCATAGTACCAAAATACTGATTTGCTTTTTTATTGATAAGGTTAAATTTTGGGTGCTGTGTTTTAGATTGGATTATTTCCCATTACATTTTCAAATATTTTCTTCCATAGAGTACTTTTAGGAATAAGACAAAGTCTGAGATGGAATAGTTTGGATACAGTTTTACTCCTGTAGAGACTTTTTTACTATTGTGCTTTGAGGAAATTCAATACAAATGTAAGCAATGGAAGTTTGAAGGTGCTTATAAAAATAGGAAATGTCTCATCTTGACCATATGCACCTTTGTACCTTCACAAAGCATCTGCGGAGGTTAAAACAAATCAACAGTCTTTTTTTTTTTTTTTTAAATGCTGAAATATGAGAAAGATGATATACGTGTCTCCTATTGTCTTCAATAGGGCACATCACCTAAAGGAAAATAGAAGTGATAAAAATTAGAGTTTTATTACAGGCAAAATGTTTTGTTTTCTATATTTCCTTTATGAAAAAACAGATTTATTAAAGTTTTAATAATGTGACAGTCAGATAATTAACATTTATTGATGTTTCTCAATGCACCAGTGTATATGAGGTGGTTTGGAGTTCTTCTTATCACCACTAAATCACTTTTATTTAATCTCCACTGAATGTGACTAAAAATATTAAGCCTTAGAAATTACAGATTTCTACAGATTCTAGCAGTAATGTTCAGCATGTACTATGAAATGATTTAAGAACACTTGAAAATCAAGTACAAACAATTGTCAGTAGCGTATAAACACTATTAGGGATCTATTCTCATAGAATCCCTATTAGTGCTTATGATTTACTTAGCATGTGTGTGCTGAGAGGTCAACCAAATATTTTACAAATGTGAAGTCAGCTTTAGCTCTATTTTACAGATGAGGCAAACTGAGGTTTACAGAAGAGCTTAGTGCAGTTGCAGGGGATTTAACTCTGGTCTGTCTTATACAAGCCCACTGGCTACCTTATACTACAGTTTCTTTTCTTTTTTTTTTTTTTTTTTAGTATTTATTGATCATTCTTGGGTGTTTCTCAGAGAGGGGGATGTGGCAGGGTCATAGGATAATAGTGGAGAGAAGGTCAGCAGATAAACACATGAACATAGGTCTCTGGTTTTCCTAGGCAGAGGTCCCTGCGGCCTTCCACAGTGTTTGTGTCCCTGGGTACTTGAGATTAGGGAGTGGTGATGACTCTTAACTAGCATGCTGCCTTCAAGCATCTGTTTAACAAAGCACATCTTGCACCGCCCTTAATCCATTTAACCCTGAGTTGACACAGCACATGTTTCAGAGAGCATGGGGTTGGGGGTAAGGTTATAGATTAACAGCATCCCAAGGCAGAAGAATTTTTCTTAGTACAGAACAAAATTGTGTCTCCTATGTCTACTTCTTTCTACACAGACACAGTAACAATCTGATCTCTCTTTCTTTTCCCCACATTTCCCCCTTTTCCTTTCAACAAAACCGCCATCGTCATCATGGCCCGCTCTCGATGGTCACTGTCTCTTCTGAGCTGCTGGGTACACTTCCCAGACAGGGCGGCCTGGCAGAGGTGCTCCTCACTTCCCAGACGGGGCAGCCGGGCAGAGGCACTCCTCATTTCCCAGACGGGGCGGCCGGGCAGAGGCGCTCCTCACATCCCAGACGATGGGTGGCCGGGCAGAGGCGCTCCCCACCTCCCAGACGGGGCGGCTGGGCAGAGACGCCCCCCACCTCCCAGATGGGGTGGCCGGGCAGAGGCGCCCCCCACTTCCCAGACGGGGTGGCCGGGCAGAGGCGCCCCCCACCTCCCAGACGAAGGGCGGCCGGGCAGAGGCGCTCCCCACCTCCCAGACGAAGGGCGGCCGGGCAGAGGCGCTCCCCACCTCCCAGACGAAGGGCGGCCGGGCAGAGGCGCTCCCCACCTCCCAGACGAAGGGCTGCTGGGCAGAGGCGCTCCCCACCTCCCAGATGAAGGGTGGCCGGGCAGAGGCGCCCCTCACCTCCCAGACGGGGGGGCCGGGCAGAGACGCCCCTCACCTCCCAGACGGGGCGGCCGGGCAGAGGCGCCCACTTCCCAGACGGGGCAGCTGGGCAGAGGCGCTCCCCACCTCCCAGAGTAAGGGCGGCCGGGCAGAGGCGCTCCTCACCTCCCAGACAGGGCAGCCAGGCAGAGACGCTCTCCACTTCCCAGACGGGGTGGCGGCTGGGCAGAGACTGTAATCTTAGCACTTTGGGAGGCCAAGGCAGGCGGCTGGAAGGTGCAGGTTGCAGCGAGCTGAGATCACGCCACTGCACTCCAGCCTGGGCAACACTGAGCATTGAGTGAGCGAGACTCCGTCTGCAATCCCAGCACCCTGGGAGGCTGAGGTGGGCAGACCACTCGAGGTCAGGAGCCGGAGACCAGCCCGGTCAACAGGGCAAAACCCTGTCTCCTCCAAAAATACAAAAACCAGTCAGGCATGGCGGCGCGCTGGCAAACCCAGGCCAAGGCAGGAGAACCACGGGAGCCCGGGGCAGGGAGGCTGCAGCGAGCCGAGACCACGGCAGTACAATCCAGCCTCGGTAACAGAGGGAGACCAAATAAAGAAATGGGGGAGAGGGAGGGGGAGGGGGAGGGGGAGAGGGAGAGGGAGAGGGACTACAGTTTCAAATTAGTGTTTTTGTGTAGATATTTTGAATGTTGGAAAAGTAAACCTATAGTACAAAAATGTAAAAGCTAATGGAGAATGGTGTGTTTCTTAGGCACATTTAAATATGTTATGAGACTACCTCAATTGACCAGTCTCCTTTATTCTTTTCTGGCAGGGGAGTAGCTATTTGGGGGCAGTTTTCAAAGAATGTTGAATTATTTAAACACACAGTACTTTGTCACCAAGGCATTCCTATCAGTGTCTGAAGACGGAAAGGGAAGGAAGATGAGTTTATTCCATATGGTTGGATAATTATTATCATGGAAGAAAACATGGACTAGGAGTTCATATCTAAGAACTGCTCATTTTTTGACTTTGTATGTGTCACAAGTTTTCAGAATATTGGTTTCCTCATCTGCAAAACAAGGAATAGAATTCTCTGATTACTTTCTGTGAGTAATAAATGGATGGAATGACGTAATGTGTCACTTTGGATGTCTTAGTCACTTGAAATAATATTAGACTTTCACATAATTATATATTTTTTATATCTGATAAAGCCAAATTAGTGTTTCTGAATTGCTCGTGTCTAAATGCCTAGTGTCCTTTTGACTTTTCTTTGAGAGCGTTTCATAGTGGTAATGTTAAACACAAATCGGAAATCATCTGTGCCATGTTATATCTTCTGTCCGCTCTAAAGAGGTTGGGATTATGTATAATCTTCAAATTCCCAGCAGCTATTGGTTCCTGCTACATAGTAGACACTTAAGAAATGCTTTTTAAATGAATAAATGAATACATCTAAGAAAGTTGAGCTTTCTCTGCTGTTACTGGAACCAATATAAGAAGGATTAGTAAAAGAGAACATGATGATTTTATAAATAAGGGGACCTGCATCATCTTTTGGCCTTATGATGCCCCCCAAATTCACTTAACTGACTTTCAAATAATTTGTTTAAGCAGTGTGTTTTGCAAAATGCTATAAACACCTGAAATTATGTGTTTAATATGATGATTCTATGTGTGACCAGATACTGAAGTTCTCATTGCTCTGCTTTTGTTCTGAAAAAATGACTTACATGGGCTAAAAGATTCTCCCTCCTGTAATGTGTGTACATTTACAATAGGAAATTTTCACTGGTAAACATGATTAAGTTACAAAAATTTACTAGTTAGAAAAGTTCGTCATCTGAGATGATCCAAGTATGATTGCACAACAGTCCTCTTTCTATCAATTTCTGTCATTTGATTTTTCTCTATTCGACCCAACAATTTTCTTTCAAAGGTCAGTTCTCTCATCATGTGCAATAAGGGGCCTAAAATGTTGGCAATAAAATGGATAGTGTCAGGCATTTGTCAAAACACCAAATAACTGCAATCATCTTTCTTGTGTGTAATCCTGATGCATCCAGACAGACAGCAATGCCAGAAAGTCAGCTAGGAATATTTGGACATGTTACCAATTTCATTATTTTGCTTATTCCTTAGGGATTACAAGCATACCTAAAATGTGTTCATCTCAAAGATGGGTGTTATAGTAGTAATATTTTAAATAGAATATCATAGGTATTAGACTTAGAATTAGACTTAGAAGATGTTATGTTGTGCGATGATACTTTTAATAGAGTTTGGCAGTATCATAACAAAAAAATGGTAGGTACTAGCATATACTTACACATTTAAATTTTGTTTTCTTCCTGTTACTGCTTTACCTTTTCAGTTCTTGAAAAACATTATTCTATTATAATGTTAATTTTAAAAAGTATAGAAACTATGTGAAATATTTGATATTTAACCACTTAATCAACTCCAGTAATGTGATATTTTTATAGATTATTTATAGTTGCTGTATTTTATTTGTCTTAAAATACATGATCAAAAGGAAATGACAGTAACAAAGAAGAAAAAATATCTTACATGGTAGTGCAATGAATTATTTAAACATCCAATCAAACTTTTTTCATGGTGTTCCCAAATTCATTTAGTTGATTTGCTTATACTTTATTTCTTTGTAAAGAGTTATGAGGACCTTATGTTAAGTGAAATAAGCTAGACACAGAAGGACACATACCATATGATCTCACTCATATGTGGAATTTTAAAAGGCTGATCTCATAGAAGTAGAGAGGATAGTGGTTATCAGAGGCTGGGAAGGATAGAGGAATGGGGAAATGTTGGCAATTGGGTACAAAATTCCAATTAGGAGGAATAGGTTCTTATGTTCTTTTGGACAGTAGGCTTGACTATATTTAATGATAAAGTATTGTATATTTTAAAATAACTAGAAGAGAGAATTTTGAATGCTCTCGCCACAAAGAAATGATAAATGTTTGAGGTGATGGATTTGCTAATTACATTGATTTGATCATTATACAGTGTATACATGTATGTAAATATCACACTGTACCCCGTATTGTTATGTATCAATTTAAAAGAAAGTAAAACTTTAAA
The DNA here is from genome assembly GCF_000001405.40 of Homo sapiens. Taxonomy (NCBI): domain Eukaryota; kingdom Metazoa; phylum Chordata; class Mammalia; order Primates; family Hominidae; genus Homo; species Homo sapiens. Next base: position 62,007,692 of record NC_000012.12, on the reverse strand, counting down.
AAAAGTACACTTCTGAAAGTGTAGTACTAGCAATCAAAAGAAAGAAGATGGGGTCTGTTTTTTCAAGATGAGCTATCTTTATAAAATTACAGAATGGGGCCCTGGAAGTCATTAGATCACTCTCCCATTCAAAGCAGAAATTATCTCTGTAGTGTTCCTGATAAGTTCATTTACTTATCCATTCATCAAATATTTATGACCTACTATGAACTAGGTTCTCTTCCAGTCACTGTGAACAGAACAGTGAACCACATAAGTTAAGTCTCTGCTTCACAAAGCTTGCTTCCTCGTGGGAAGATACAGATTATAAATAAAACAAAATCACTTTGATAGTAACAAGTAATATATATTATGAAGATCAGGGTAAGAGGATGTGGTGATTTCGTATAGGGTAATAAAGGAAGGTCTTTTTGATGTTGGAACATTTATGCCCTAAATGAGCTGTAAGACGAGGCTGTGTGTCTATGTGTGTAAAGAACATTACAATCATAGGGGTCAGAAAATGCAAAAGCCCCTGGGAGATGACATGCTCAGCATGCTCCAGGAATAGGAAGCGGTCAGTGTGGCTGGAGCAGAAGGAGCATGGGGGCCAGGAAGAATGGTAGAGAGGTGGCCAGGTGACAGATCACACAGGACGCATCTTCATCACCCTTCCCAGAGTTTCCTTCAATCATGCTTCACAGGCAAGATTCATTTCTTAACACCTCATAAAAAGAAATATATAGTCCATTTAGTCTTATGAGATAAGAAATATTATAATAAGTTTATAGTTGTTAGTTTAAGTAACTTGCAGATGTCTGAAGCACACACTTGTAATGAACATTTGTGATGAGTTAGGGATCTGTCTCCCTTTTTTCCTTGCAAGGAGATATTAAAATGGTTGATGGGGGCTTACTAATGAATTGTGATAGAAAATGGGTTGGGGAGAAGATATATTGGTCACTGAATTTGGTGACTTCCATTTAAATGACAATGTCAGTGCTTGCAATTGATATTTGAAGCTGATAAACTATTGACAGTTTCCTCGGTAAAATATGGAAAAACATTGGGTGGCTCCATCCATCTGAGTATGATTTCCCTTTTCTCTTCCTAGTTGTAGCCTCTCTTAGACTTTAGTTAGTAGTAAAGCAAACATAAAATGCTGGAACAAATATAAATATTACTATTCAGTGCCTTGTAAATCTATTTTATCTCCCATTTTAAGTGTATATGATATTATATATAATTATGTTATTATAACATGATAGTTATTTCTAAATCAATCATTTGTAGGCTACTCTATTTCGGATCTTTAGATACATCTGCTATCCACGTGAAATTTATAGGAGCGCTTTGGTTTGAAGTATGACCATTTTCCTCTTCTTACCAGCAGAGGGCACGCTTCACAACCCTGTTTGCCTTTGTCAACAAAAAGCAGTGATGAAATAGGAAGGTTTAAAGACAAAAACAAAAACAAAACAAAACAAACCACTGATAAACTTTCAAATCTCATGTGCTTGGTTTACAAAACAAAAGTATCATCAAAATGGAAAGAAATTTAGGATCTAGTCAGTACTACCATCACCAGGGTAGATTTTATACTGTTCAAATCATCTAAGAGAGATTGAAGTAGTTTTAATAAATTGAGAGAAGAAAGAAATACAATAAAGCTGTGCTATGAGTCTTCATAGTATTATAAAAATGAAAATGTTGAAGTTTATTTTGCTTAATAGAGCTTGATAGGAAAATGATGAATTGTAAATTTTAATAAGTAGATGATTTGAGGGTAGATTAAGACTTATTTTTGGATTTTGCAGTTATTTCTTTCTCAGACATGTTTTTTCATTGGCAGATATACGAATCAGAAGGACATCGAACTTGAGTTGCATCACTTACTATTTGTGCAACTTAGGGCAAATGAACTGTCTACACCTCACTTTGCTTATCTGTAAAATCCATATAGTATTTTTGTGGATTAATGGAAAGAAAGCAGGATGACAGAGAGGGAACCTGCTTTCTAGTTTATCCCTATAACCTTAGAGAAAACATTGATCCTCTCTGGTGCTAATTTTCCTGCTCTCAGAATGAATAGTTTGAACTAGATTATCTATAATATGTGTGGTGTATAGTCAATGAAAGCACTTTCATGCTAAAATTTCATATTAAAGTTTCTAGTAAGCTAGAAAATGCTATATGCATGTAACTGAATTAAACATGCATTTCCTCTATTTTACATTAAATTATTTTCTATATGAATTTCCAGAAACATATCTGTATTCTGAAGTCACAAATAATCTATATTTAAGATCTCATTGGAAATGGAAGGAAGGAAGAAGCAAGGCTAAAGTGGAGACGATAGCAATAAAATTAGAACTTTTCTTCCATTCATTCATTTATTCATTTATATTGTGTATATATATGGTATATTGCATAATGTTTTGATATACACATACATAGTAAAGAAATGATTACTACAGTCAAGCAAATAAACACTGCCGTCACCTCACATAGTTATCTTTCTTTGGTGGTAACACCTAAACTCTACTCTTCTAGCAAATTTCTAGTATATGATACAATATTATTGACTATAGTCTTTATCTTACACATTAGCTTTCTATATTTAATCATCCTACATAACTGCAATTTTGAACTCTTTGACCTACATCTCTCCATGTAGTTTACCCCCCTCACCCCATCCCTGGTAACCACTGTTCTATTCTGTTTTTATGTATTTGACTTTAAAAACATTCCACAAATAAGTGAGATCATACATTATTTTTCTTTGTGTTTCTGGCTTATTTAATGTAGCGTGATGTTCTCTAGGTTCATCCATGTTGTTGCAAATGATGTAATTCCTTCATTTTTAAGGCTTATTAATATCTACTATGTATCTGTACCACATTTTCTTTATCCATTCACCCGTCGATAGACACTTATTTTGTTTTCATATCTCGACTATTATGAATAATGCTGCAATGAATATGGGAGCACTGATATCTATATGATACTCATTTCATTTCCTTTGGGTACATATCCAACAGAGGAAATTCTGGGTCATATAGTAGTTCTATATCTTGCCCATCCCGCTTATCTTAAAGACAATTTATACCCTATCACATTCCCCATCAAACTTGGAGACATTCATTTTTTTCCCTCTCTTTACTCATATCTGAGCAGAGACTAGATGCTTGTTCCTACTTTACAGTGCAGCTATTTTCAGCTCAAGTAACTTTTCTTCTTTTTAACACCTTTTTTGCTTCATCTCTCTTCTAGCCATTGCCTAGTAATATCAGAAACACCTTTCCAGCTCTCTCTTTATTTCATTTAAATGAGTTGAAAAGAATATAACCATATCAGAGCAGTGCTGGTGATCCACTTGTAACAGGGACAAAGAAAGCCATGCTTTGAAGTGAAAATAGACATAACAAATACCTCATTTCTTAAAACTTTAAAAGAGGCTTGAAGTTTCCTGCAGAATTAGCATAAAAGTTTTCATCTTTCTTCTCACTTTCTTTAATTATGTATGGCTGCTCTTAAGTGTTGGTATTTAAGATAAAATAATACCTTTATAATTTATTTATTTTGTATTTTTGCTTAATATTGTAATGATTTTAGTCACTGCTATTCATTTATAATATATAATATTTCAGATAACTATAAACCAAAAGTGATTTTATAGATGGACTTGTGGATCTACAATTAAGAATGTTTTTTCTGTATGGGAAGCAAATGTAGAGATTAACTTTTAGACGGTAACATATGAGTCAATTAGAAACGTTCTCCTTTTTTTGCATGCACTTCTTGTGAAAAATGGGAAATGAAAAATGTGAAAGTCTACTCAAGTCTGGTTCTGCTTCTTTTGAAATCCAGCAAGTCACACATAGAAATGTATTTATGTTTAAATTATGTAAACATATTTATTGTACATCTATATACTAGCCATTGCTCATGGTACTTGGAATATATAAGAGAACAAGACAGATTAAGATCTTTGTGCCTCATGGAGTCTAAATCCTAGTGGTGGTAGACAGGAGAGAAGCAATGAACACAATAAATAAACAAATTGTATAGTAGAGTAGACATTTAAAAGTGCAGTGGTAAAAAGAAAAATAGAGCAGGATATGAAGGATTGGGAGTACCAGGCTGAGGTGGATGGGTTGCAGTTTTAAATTGGATTTCAGAGTAAGCCACATTCAGAAGCTGAGATTTAAGCAAAATTTGAAGGCAAAGGAGGAAGTCAAGAGAGTATATCTAGGGTAAGAACATTCTAGGCAGAGGAAATAGTCAGTGCAAAGGCTCTGAGGTGGGAGCTTGTCTAATGGGATAGAGGAACAGTGAGGGGCCCAGTTTAACTTCCTGGATTGAGTTAGCAGATGAGAATAGGAGGGGAAATCAGACATAAGGGGGTGCGGTTCATGGCTGGCTTTGTAAGGCATTGCTTGGACTTTGGTTTTTCTCTGAGTGAGATGGAAGCCACTTGAGAGTATTGAATAGGTGAATGACAGGTCCATATTTACATTTAAAAGGATCCTTTTGGCTACCATGTTGACAATAGACTGTAGATGGAGAAAGATAGAAGCTGGGGAACCTGTTAGGAGACTAATGCAGTAATCCAGGTGAGAGATGATGGTGGTGAGAGATGATGGTGGTGAGAGGGGAAAGGAGTAAAGGATGTATGCAAGGGAGTAATTCCAATGACTGGCAATAGAATTTAATCTGAGTAAGAAGGGTAGAGAGGATGTCAGATGGGTGAAGGACATAAAAAATTGGTAGAATTAATGCTTTGCAAGAACTTGTGGGGTTTAAGCATTTTTAGAGTGAATTGATGTACTGGAAGGAATAAGGTAGAAAGATAGAAAGATGCAACCCAGGAGGTGGATGCATAAAATTTAAATTTTAGACGATTTATAGGTAACAACAAAATGAAGAATATGACTTGGGAATGTGAAGCTAGAATAGGGAGTATGATATGATTATTGGAAGAGAGAAATTCAGGAAGGGGCCAGAGTGTTGGAAGGACTATCTCTATGTGAATTGAAATAGCCAAAAATTAAGATAGGGGTTGTGTTTTAGAAAGTCATAGTAAACCAGGAGCTAAAATTGTCAAGCAATAAGTGGAAATGACACAGGTATCAGTAGACTATGTCAACAATGAGGGTTTGCGAGTGATGTAATCTGATGACATGAGAGTCTAAGCTAGGAAATTTTATGGAAGAGATGGGGAAAATAATCGGGAAGCTATCTTGAGAAGCAAAGAGTGCACCTCACTTGTAGCTAGGCCCATTACGCAAAAATGAGAGAAAGCCAATACTTGAGACACAAGGGAGGCAGGGTGCTCAGCGGGGAGCCAGGATTTCAGTTAGAGAAAGAACACTGAGGTTACATGGGGGCTATTTGTAAGGAAAGGAGAAACTAAAAAAGGTCTTTTATGATTCAAATATGTGTCTCACAGAAATTTTCCCTTTTTATTATTCCAAATAAATAAATCTAGAAATATTTATGGAATACATGCAATATACAGAGTACTATGTCCTAGGCTATATGAAAACGCAGTGAAACATAAGCCACTACAGGACCTAATTGCAGTGACCTTCCCCACCATATTATCACCAGTCTCTGAAGAGTTTTCTCATTGGTTGGACAAAGGGGACAAGCGATGTGGTTCCACAGAAGAGAGAGGCATAGGATGGTTAAGGTCCTCCAGGTTGGTGATCAAACCATCTGGCTTTTGTTTTTTGGTAACATTGTTTTGTTCATATTATCATGGGATCTTTGATTCCAAGTTTTATTTGTATTAAAACCTCTCTACAACATCATCACTTAACAGCAGCTAATTATAGTGCTGCATAATATCTTATTTTCATCTGTATGTTTACATAGTTTTTAATTAGCTGTAGTTATAATTTTTTGATTTACTTTTGATATATAATGTGAATCATTATATATTAGGGGTCCCCAACCCCTGGGCCACAGATGGGCATCTGTCTGTGGCCTGTTAGGAACTGGGCGACACAGCAGGGGGTGAGCAGCAGGAGGGCAAGTGAAGCTTCGTCTGTATTTTCAGCCGCTCCCCATTGCTTGCATTACCGCCTGAGCTCCACCGCCTGCCAGATCAGTGGCAGCATTAGATTCTCATAGGAGCACAAACCCTACTGTGATCTGCGCATGTGAGGGATCTAAGTTGTGCACTCCTTATGAGAATCTAATACCTGATGATTTGTCACTGTCTCCCATCACCCCAAGATGGGACCATCTAATTGCAGGAAAACAAGCTCAGGGCTTCCACTGATTCTACATTATGGTGAATTGTATAATTATTTTATTATATATTAATTACAATGTAATAATAATAGAAATAAAATGCACAATAAATGTAATGTGCTTGAATCATCCAAAACCACTCCCTGCTGCCTCAGTCCATGGAAAAATCGTCTTCCACAAAACCAGTCCCTCATGCCAAAAAGGTTGGGGACTGCTGCTATATATTGTGTTGCTGAATGGATAAAAGAGATCAGTTCAATACATTTATTTTAGAGATGAGAAGGAACAAAAAATTTTAGCAACTTAAATAACCTTGTAGCTAGTTCCAAGCAGCAGTGGAACCTCAAGGAAGTTCAGGGTTTTTGCTACAATGTTCTTTCCCCTGCCTTTTGTTATTTCTGTAGAATGTTAATAAATTACATTGATTCAATAGGCAGGGGGAAGAGAGCAGTGGAGCACAATGATATTGGTCCTGTGGCTTTTTACTTCTATAAATATTTTTATTGCTAGTACTCTAGAAGTTATTCTCATGTCCCTCTCCCACAGGTAATTACTATTCTGCATCCTATCACTATAGATCCATCCTACCTGCTTTGGACCTTTATATAAATGGAATCTTAGAGTATAAACTTATTTGAACCTTATTTCTTTTGCTTAACATGTTGGTGAGAATGATATGAAAGACAATACGTTATTTGCATTGCTGCATAGTATTCTATCATATGAATATACCACAATGTATTTATTATACCTTGGAAGAATATTTCTATTGTTCCAGCTTGGGGATATTCCACATAATACTGCTTTAAACACCTTTGTACATTTTTTTGTGTGTGCACATATTTATGCATGTTTAAATACATAGATATATCACTGTAGTATTGCTGTAGAGTTGCCATATAAACACATACCAGTAGTGAAATTGTTAGGTCATAGGGTGTGTATATGTACAGTTTTTGAAAATACTGTCAGACACTTTTCCAATACTGGTGTAACAACTTTGACTCCCTCCTGTAATGCATGAGAGGTCCATGTACTCCACATCCTTGCCAACATTTGGTATGGAATCTAGTTCACAGCTACCATGGCCGTATCAAGGTATTTGCCAACTACTATGTGCTGGAAAGTATGGCAGGGAATTAAGAAAAACATATGATGTGGTTTCTTTCTTTGAGCTCCTCTTAATATAGTTAGGATAATGAAAACCTCTGAAGAAAGTAAAGGACTACACAGGCAGTATGCATTAGAATGCTAATGTACAGGGTTAAACTAATAACAGCCACATTTATTAACTTTTTCCTGTGATTTAGTTTTAGTTGCTATATTTGGTTTTCTTTTAAAAAAGTATAAGTAATGGAAAATGACATTGATCTTAATGGAAAAATAAATGAGTAGTTAATCTAAGCATCTGATTTATTTTGGTGTGTCTCTGAAAATCATATTAATTTTTCATTTGTTTGTATCATCTTTGGAAATGTATGAAAATTTCTGAGAAAGCTCTCCTATATCAACAAGTAGGGAGGAAAAGAACCTATATGAGCCAAGATGCTACCTCTTTCCCACAGTCTCATAGGTTTGGAACAGGCTTTATCCATTAGTTAATGATAAATGTTATTCAGCCTATCTCTCTACTTTTCTGGTAAGAGGAGTTCAATCATTATTAGACAGCTCTAATTGCAGGATTTTAAAAATATCATAATAATTTGTGCCAGACACTGTGCTAAATGCTGATATGCAATGCCTCCTTTAATTTTCTCAACAATTCTGGGATATAGTACTAGTATTCGCTTCAGCATACGGATACAGAAACAGGCACAGGTGGATTAAATACTTGCTTGGGAGTTTCAAATTGTTCTCTACAGAACTCTGTTGATTAGCATGGAGCTGGGCACATGACAGGATTTCAGTCACCAGTTGATTTGTCAATTCACCAACAATGAATGAACGAATGGCCTAATCTTGAATTTTAGGAAGCCGTATCCACATATTTTCTCCATACTTCCCCTAGTTATGTAATCTTATGCAAGACTTTAAAACTCCCTGTCCTTTTGCTTTCTTATCTAGCAGATGTAGATATTAATACCTGACAAATCTTCTTAGTTGGATTTGTATGAGGTTAAGTTAGGATACTATTGAATGAAAGCCATTGTTTATAACAAAGTCAGCTAATTGTATTGTGCTGAGGCTATTGCATGAAGCGTATGGGACATGAGACCATTTCTGAAGAAGGGGCATGCTTTAGCTGAATGATATTTTGAATTTGTCATTCAGTTAGGTTGGGAACTACCCCCTAGAATTAAATAGAACTGTTTCCTCTCATATTAAGATCTTCTTATGGCCAGTATATTTTTCAGTCTTAAATGAAATCTCTAGAATAAGTAGTAAGGAAGTCTTGTATTTGAAACTAGATCTCGTTCATGCAGCTGAATAAAAACCCAGCTTCCTTGGCAAGATGCCCTATATTGTTACAGAGCAGGTTAGCACTCAACTGCTGCTACCAGAAGAAAATCCTCAGGATATGAGCTGCTGCCTGCAATACGGGAGGTGAATCTCTAATACTTCTAGGTGAGCTGTTTGGCAGGATCAGATGTTACTTGTGCCTTCCCTGCAGTTGGTAGAATTAGCTGTTGAGGAGAGATGTGTATTCCCAGCCCCTCCCTTGTTTTTCTTCAATTACATCCTCCACGTGTTTCTTCTATTTTTGTTTTTTCTTCTGAACCAAGCTACCATCTGTATAGTACATTACAAGGTGATATTTACAGTGGTTGAGAGTATGGAGCCAGACTTCATGGCTTTAAATTCTGGCTTCCAGCTGTGAGACCTTGGTCAAGACATTTAACTCCTTGGAGCTTCAGTTTCCCCATCTGTAAAATGGGAAAAATAATAGTATACACTTAATATAACTGTGACTATTAAATGCTTTTATATATGCATATCAGTTAGAAATGTTGGCCTTTAATATCTGAAATTTTGGTTAAAGAGGGGAAAGATACTTACCTGTGGTATAAAAAAGTATTGTTTGCATTTTTACGTCTAGGCTCAATCTTCATGAGAGCGCTATCTTTTTAAGATGAGGGTAAGGGGAGGAGTTAATATAAATGAACATGCAAAAGGTGTTTAAAAATAAAGTTTTCTGGAAATATTTTAAAAATATAATGCTATATTGCACTTATTTAAGAAATCTGTGAAGATGTAATTTTGTAGCTTCACTTGAAACCTGTTATTTCCCCTCATATTGATGTCCTGAATGACAGGAATGGGCAACTGCATTTTTAAGGAAAATTTCCACTCTCCTTTTACTTGCTCTGACTTATTCCTTAAATTCTTTCCTTATATTTGTTCTCATCAAATTCCTTGTGATTTTTTAATCTTTAGAGCAGTGTATCTAGGATTTTCTTTTCCCTCCTGACTGTGTAATTTACATCTGACCCATGATTTCCTGCAGATTGGAACTGAGGGGGATCGATCTAAGTTATTTTCTTAAAAATAGGTGCATAGAAATTAGTCTCCATTTTTCTTTGTAAATTGTAGGAATACTATGTCATATCTCAGGGCAGTTTTATACTTTGTTATTTTAAAAAACATTTAAAATTAACTTTGTTCAAATATGAACAGCTTTTTGTGAAAATGTTTATTTGAAAAAAAAAATCCAAAAAACAATGCTTAAGTGGAACTAACAGGTCCCTCCACTTTTTTTTAAACATGTAAAGTCATTGGAATGGTTTCTTCTTCCCTTCATCTTTCTCTGCTGTCATCTGTCTCCTGGATTGCTGTTTAGTGTTTCTCACTGATCTCCTTGGTTCCTCTCTTGCCCTCCCACAGTGAATTTGTCATATAATAGCTAGAATCATCTTACAGAAATGTAAATCCAATTTTGTCACCACCTCCCCTTTTCTTAACTCCCCAAATACTTCCTTTTACTTTTGGAATGAAATCTAACTTTTTTGTACCTTGGGCTGTAAGAGCCACTGGGCCTCTCTTTCCACTGTTGCCCCTGCTCATTTGACACTAGCTGTACTGCTTTCTTGCTCTTCCTTGACTGTACCAAGCTCATTACTAATAGCAGGTCTTTACCCTTGCAGTTCCCTTTGCCTCGGATTATTTCCCCCAGATATTCTCATGAATCACTTTATTCAGATCCTTGCTCAAATATCGCTTTTCTATAGAACCCTTCTCTGATCATAGTCTGTTGCCATCACTCATTATTTTACTTTTTTAAATTGCACTTACGACCACTTAATGGGTTATATATATATATATACACACACACACACACACACACACATATATACATATAGTCTAGTATGTATCTATATACACACACACATATACATATATACACTTTTTTATGTGTTTATTTGTTTATTATTTTTTGTTTCTTCCTGCTGGAATACAACCTCCAGAAAGGGTGGATTTTATGTCCACTGATATATTTCTAGAATCCAGAAGAGAGCCTAGATAATAGTGGATGATCAATATTTAATAAAGGAATGCATGAACTGTTGAATGAAATAGCTTGGCAAATGTGCAGACTAAGCAGGATTTATGGTCATCTGATCTGATTGACAGTATGCTATGCTTTGGATTCAGAAATTTTGTTTTTTCTTGGTAAGGTTATAAAAATAGAGAAATAGACTTTGGAAATTGCTTGAGACTTAGATCCCTCCCACCCCAAAGCGGAACCTGAGACAAGGGCTTTCATACAGGTAGCTTATTTGGGGAAGTGATGCCAGGGTACATAAGTGGAGTGCTTGGAAGAGAGAAAGAGGAGAAGAGTGAAAGCCTATTTGAGGTGCATTTTTGATCTGCTTACAACTGTGGGCAGCTGTGACTCAGTCCCACTGATCAAACTTTGAGAATTGGTGTATAGTACATTGGAGAATTGTACACCTGAGACACAGAAGACTGGAGTATTTATGCATCAGCTCCCATGTAGGCAAGAGTTGCAACAGTTGTTCACTCCCACCTCCTCCAACTTTGCACACACATTGAAATGACTGAGCGATTCTGCAGTGTCCCACTTGGCTGAGTGGAAGCCCCTGGTAGAAAGCTGAGGTGAAGGACTGCACCTGCTCACAGCTTGTTACTGAAACATCGGTTGGAGTAAAAAGGGTTGTGGGAGGATGGGAAATGGGTCACAGGAGGTTTCTGATACAGTGATCTTCACTGTTTCCTTTTAGTCATCTTAATCTGAATTAAATTGGTTCCTTAAACTCTTTAATGGCAGTGTGGAGGCATTTTTCTTTTTGATTATCTCCAGTACTTTGCACTGTATATAGCAAGTGTTGAATAAATACTTCTTTATTATTTGACTGCCTTATTAGCATTATCCTATAGTCATTTATTTTTATAGTACCCTTAAGGACTATAAAAACAAATAAAATGTGTGCTACTAAATATTTCTTATCAATACAATGTCAAAAGAAAAAAAAATCAACTAATGGATTAGCCAATTGTCTTTTTGTGGGGGAGGAGGGGGACAGAATTATTGGGACATGATTTACATACCATACAATTCACCCCAAATGTACAATTGAATGATTTTTGTATATTTACAGAATATACAAATGCTTATTTATTTGTTACAGAATAAATAAATGCTTATTTATTGATCACCACAATCAGTTTTAGAACATGTTTTATCAACCTCCAAGGAAACTTTATACTCTTTAGCAGTCACTCTCCATTTCTCTCATCTACCCTAAGCCGTAACAACTGCTCATCTACTTTTTGTCCCTTTTGATGTGCCTATTCTGAATACTTCATATAAATGGAATCACATACTATGTAATCAAATGTACCCTTAAATCTTGCACATAATTATCAATTCATTCAACATGTGTTTGCTGAGTACCCTATGAACCAGGCACAATGTTAGCCATGGAAAGACACAACATTGAAAAAGGTCGACCTGGTCCCAGGCTGTATTCTAATAGAGAAGACAGACGAAACAAATAAAAAATAAAAACCCAAAACAAACAAAAATAATTACTGAGAAGTGCTGTGATAAAACATAGTATACAATTAGAGAAAATGTAGTGAAGAAGACATTTGAAACGAATTGTGAGATCATGGTAAAAATCTCTAAGGAGGTGACATTGATGACTTTGAAGGAACTAGTCATGTGGAGATGGGAGAAGTACATTCTTGAACAGGGTATAGGAAGCGTAAAGGCTCTGATATGGGAAATAACTTAGGTTATTTGGGAAACTAAGGAAAGACTATTGTGTCTGAAGAATAATGAGCTAGGAGTGACAGTGGCATAAGATGACTGAAGTCTCATAGGAGAAAAGGGGAGATTATGTGTAGCCTTGGAGAACATTATAAGGAAGTTGGGTTTTATTCTGTGGATATGGGAAGCCTCTGAGAGTATGACACAGTAGACAGAAGTGGACTAATTTATGTTAATAGGAACACTCTTGTTGAGTGGCTAATTGGAGAAATATGAGACAGGCAGACAGTTAGGGGGCAGTTGCAGTGGACTAGGCTAGTAAAAAGGATGGTCTAGAATGGGATGGTGTCAGTGCAAATGCAGAGAAGTGAGCATGTTCAGGATGTATTTTAGAGTTTAGAGAGAAGAGCTGGCCCAGGCTCAAACCCTAAATAAAAATTCAGAGTTGAGATAGCAGAGAAAGAACCAGAAAAGAGGCTAAGAAAAAGTCTCCAGGCAAGTAAGAAGAAAGCTGTGAATACACAGATACGGAAACGAAGGGAGATTGAGTGGACAACTGTGTCAAAAGCTACTAGAATATAAAAAAATGAGGAAGGGAGAGTCCATTAAACTTGAAAAGATGGAGATCATTGGTGACTTTGACCAGAACAATTTTGAGGGAAAAATGATTAGAAATATGATTAGAATGGACTGAAGAATGGCATGAAAAAAATGGAGGTATTTTATTTAGAAACTCTTGAGAATTTAGCTATGAGGAACAGAATTAAATGAGGTCTTCCTCCTACCTTAAGGTGGGATATTTTGGAGCATATTTGAATGTTAATGAGAATTACTCAGGAGAGGGTGAGAGACTAGAGTTTCAGGAGAGAGGTCTTGAGAGAAGTCTTGAAAAGGCAACAGGAGGAAGGAGGTATCCAGAGCATGGCTGGAGACATTGAGTGTTAATAAGATAGTGATATTTTCTCAGTGTATCAAGAGAGAAGAAGGAAAAGCAGGCTTGAACAGATAGATGGGTTTGTCTGCATGAAGTTATGATGGTGACAGAGCTCCACTTTGGTGGCTTCCCTTTTCTCAGTGGAGATATGGACTCTGAAGGATGGTGACAATGTTAATGTTAAAGTGGGGGGTGGAAAAGGTTGAATGGGTCAAGTGAACATATCTGTGAAAGGGGACAAAGGATAGAGTAAATGTGTCATGTGCATAGAATATCTAATTGTATTACTTAAAAGCAAGCAAGAGTGTTAGTTACAAAGTTGTGGACCATTAGTATGTAGAGAGCAGGATCTGGTTGTGAGAGGTTTTCAGTGTCAGATTGAGAAGTCTAGCTTTCATCTATAGGTGGTAGTAGAGAGCTGTGCAGGGTGTTATGAGAGAGGGAGCACTATGAGGGAAGTACTGTTTAAGGAACATGAATCTTTCATCTGCCTTTTGGAGGGGGACAGAGAAGCAGCACTCAAGGCAAATAAACATCCCACGAACATGAACACTTTAGTCTCTGTGTTAGAAAATTAAAGATTATTTTCATTGTCTGTATTTAACAGTGACCGTTTGTGAAGAGTCCCCAATTTACACCATGAGGAAAATTAGGGATTAGCATGGACAGAAAGGAAAATCCTGATCTATGAGACTTTAGTCTGAGCAAATGGGCATCTACTCTTTGTGCTCTTATGGCCAATGACAGAAATTTCTGAATGGCAACACTAAAGTTTGTAGCTTTTGACACCTAGGTCAAAAGAACCTTGTGTTCTTTTACATATTTGTGTGTCTTCAAGGTAATACATCATTTAACCCTTGCTATGAACATTCTCAATCGCCACTAGATGAGACAGACATTTTAATGAAATAGGTTCTATAGTAAAGCCCCCAATTGTGTTTGGGTAGACCAACATACACATATACATTAGAAAATTACAGAAAAGCATGTACACTTGAGATTATTTTCATTCTTTATAAACTTTAAGAGCTTTAGTTCTGAGAATGGAGACATTGATAAAAATTGGAATGACTTATATGGATGAGTGGGAAGTCAATAAAGGAAATTAATGAGAAGCATTGATTTGTAGTTGACATCTGAGATTTAGAGTTAGAAGGAGGGCATTCTGGACATGGTAAGGACATCAGCCCAGTTTAGGGAACAGTAATGAGCGCAGAATGTTTAGTGAGCAGAGAGGCTTAATGAAAAGAGGACAGCCTCTGGTTAAAACTTCAGCGTGGCCAGTTTCTAGCTGTGTGATTTTGGACATGAAATGTAATCTTCCTGGGCTTCATTTTCTCATCTACATAATAAGAATAATGCTTGTCTTCAGAGTTTTCATGAAGGTTTGACATGATGCAGGCATCAGGCATGGCACTCAATGTGTAGGAGCTATTATTTGTGTACAATACAAAGAGATTAATCATTCAGTCTATTCTTTCAACAAACATAGGAAATCACAAGGCATTTTTCTTGATTTAGGGGATATAGCAGTTTATGAAACACCAAAATTTCTACTCTCATGGAGCTTGTCTTCTTGCATAGGGATGTTTTACAAGAAAAGGAAGAGTGGTATAGTTGGAGCAGAAAAAGGGGATTGGAGGAGGTGGTGAGTAGTGATGAATGAGGTTAAAGAGGAAGTAGCAGCCAGTTCAGTAGTGCCTTAGGTATATGGTGAAGATGTTGGGTTTGAGTCTCAGTGAAGTGGGAAACCATTTAGACATTTTGAGGGGAGCAGTGACACAGTTTGACTTATATCAAAGGCTCACTCTAGCTGCTATGTAGGAACAAACAGTAGGGAAAGCAGGGCAGAAGCAGGGATGTTCTTGCAAGAAGTCCAAGTGAGAGGCAAAGAGGGTTTAGGGAGTGGTGGAAGCTGTGAAAATTGGTTAGATGTATTTTCAACAAAGAGCTTATAGGCTTTACTATAAGCCTATGGATTGAAGCCTGTGGAGTGTGAGAGAAAGAGGGGAATCAGTAAAGATTCTTCTGAATGGAGTTTCCATTTGCTGAAATTAGGGATATGGTGGTAGTAGCAGGTATGGGAGAAATTATCAAACATTCTATAGGACACATTAGCTTTGAGGTTTTTATGGACTTCTAAATGGAACCAAATACTAGTAGTAGGTTATGTGTCTGGATTTCAGAAGGTAGGAATGATCTGCAAATACAAATTTGAGAGAAGTCTGCCCTTAGATAATTTTTTAAGACTGCATAATAGAGGAGATGAGCTAGGGGGTTTAGTAGAGAGACACCAGAGGTGTGAGGATCAAGACCTGAGTTATATGAACGTTTAGAGGGCAGGAAGATGAGAAAGAGCCAGCAAAGAAGACTGAAAGTGATACGGGAGAAGAACTGAAAACTGTTTTGCAGGCCAACATGAAGGAACTGTTTCAAAAGCAGGAAGTCATCAGTAATGTCAAATTCTGCTGAATAGATGAGTATAAGGAGCCTTGAGAAATGACAGTTGGGCTTGGCAATGTTAAAATCATTGGTGACCTTGACAGGAGCTGTTTTAGCGAGACTAGCAGGGAGTGAAACCCAATTAGAGAAAGTTCAAGAGAGAATAAAACAGGAAGTTCAGACAGTAAGCACAGAAAAATCTTTTAAGGAGTTTTGCTGTAAAAGTGAACAAAATAGAAAATAAGATCAAAAAAGTTTTTTTAAAAAAGATGGGAGATTTAGTGTGTATTTACGCTAATGGAAAAGAACCAACAGAGGGATAAATTGACTTAACTGAAATGTAGCATTCATATTAGAAGTTGTGAGAAATGTTTGGATAGTGTATGAAAATATAGCGATTTAAAAGCCAATAAATGACTTTAGACTGTTTATGGTAGATAAAATGAAGCCTTTGTAGATTTCTGAATAAGGAATGACATAAAAACCTACATATGTGCTTATAGTAACATTCACTGAATTGATTTATGATTTAATAATTTTTAAGCATCATTATTTCTAATAACCCCCTTAAATGTAAAAGAAAAGTATCTGCATGTTAAATAGCTCATCTTTAGGTAGACTTACAATGCACCGTATAACACTTACTTTATATGTGTTAGCTTATTTAATCCTCCCAACAATTCCAGAGGCTGAATACTATAATTGAGCACATTTTGACGGTAAGGAAACTGAGGCACAGATATTAAGCAACTTTTCCTAGGCAACAGCTATAAATGCTAGAGCAAGTAATTAAACCCAGACAACCTGGTTCCAGAAAAGAGCATAAAGTACCTTTTTCTATTGCTTCTCTCAGTTTATTGTCTTCTAAATTGTAACTTACTTTTAGCCCCATGCACAGTTAATTTATGGGGATTTACAAAAGGTCACTATTTTCCTCACCTAAATATTCTGCTTCTCCATTTCCATTCATTCTCCAAATTATATTTCACTTGTTATAGCTCACATATCTTATAATACTTTTCTCATTGTGCATAATTTACATATCATGTACCCACAAATTCCATTTATATACATATACACTCCTCCACGTGGTGATCAGATGCGGATTCAAGCAGTTAGAATGTTTTTGATAATAGTTGCTTCATAATTGCACAGTGCTTTATTGTTTGCTAAGCACTACCACATAAGTAATTTTGTTTAATTCTTACGACAACCCTGTGTGTTGGTCAGAATAGATATAAATATTGCCTTTTAACAAAAATTGGCACAGTGGGCCGGGCGCTCATGCCTGTAATCCCAGCACTTTGGGAGGCCGAGGCGGGTGGATCACGAGGTCAGGAGATCGAGACCATCCTGGCTAACATGGTGAAACCCCGTCTCTATTAAAAATGCAAAAAATTAGCCGGACGTGGTGGCGGGCACCTGTAGTCCCAGCTACTCGGGAGGCTGAGGCAGGAGAATGGTGTGAACCCGGGAGGCAGAGCTTGCAGTGAGCCGAGATAGCGCCACTGCACTCCAGCCTGGGCAAAAGAGCGAGACTCTGCCTCAAAAAAAAAAAAAAAAAAAATTGGCACAGTGTTTAGCTCAGAGTAGACACTTAATAAATAGTCTAATAAAAGAATAAACTAACAAATGGTCCATAGTTATAGTCACAGTTTGGAAGAACAGAACAGTAATAGAAAGCTGAGACTCCTGACTGCTAATCCATGGCTTTTTTCATTATACTGCAGCTGTCTTGAATTTTTTTTCCTTATTTTTTAAGTTCATTGGCTTCCAAGTACTAGCAGTTAAAGTATAATCAAAGTGGTGAGATGGAATTCTTTCCTTGCTGTATCTCAGATTTAGAGCTGGTTTTCAATTGGGGAGTTGTAGTGATGCCACAGGTAGCAGACATTTCTTTGGGTCAATATTCAATTAATGTCTCAGCAGATTGTTAATAGAGACTGAGTTGTAAGGAGTGCTGTTTTGGAGGTGAAATGGATGAAGAAAAGATGACTCTCCATTACTGAACTCATTAAAATACTGAGGGTGATTATTTACACATTTAAGGTGTGTTAGTTGTTCTGACTTGGGCAGGCTCCAGCATGGGTAATTGGTATCGTTTCCTCCACATATCCCTCTCTCTATTTATTTTAGCAGGCTATGAGGGCAATATGCTTTCTGACATCCTATTTTGGAGCACTTCTACACATTTGCTTCAAATGATTGGAAGCTTGCCAGATACACCTTTGAACCACATCTATTCTGGGAGTGGGGGAAGAAGTGGCAGCTTCTCATGTGCACCTTCTAAAACAAGCCGTGAGCGGGCCCTGGCTTCTCCCCTGTAAAGAGGGCAGTAACCATTCTTTCTGAATGGGGAAGGCAGTGGCAAGGGTGGTGCTGAGAGGTTTGGTAAGGAGTTAGAGAATGGGGAGCACATATTTTTATATTCCTTGTCAGCCAGGAATGATTTCACATAGCCAAGTCACTTAGAATGCGATGGACATTTGTCAATGTTTTGCTCTTTTAGGGTTGGGGGAGTAAGTGGGGGGGACCAGCTTTTCAATATGTCTTAGGCATAAACCTTTTTTGGGTAAGGAGGGATAACAGTTCATGTTTGTATAGGGCAGATGTTATTATTGTCCTTCTCTTCTATGGATCACTAGGCATTTTTCTACATCTTGGTGAGAGGACACATGCAACTCTATTTTAGAATTCCATGCTGCTGCACAAAATTGGGATCACAACCTTCAGGACCCATTTACAGCTAACCCATCTTGGTCAGGAGCATCAAGCTGCAGTGTTCCTTTAAATTTATCATGTTAAAGAGGTATGATCAATACAGCACACTATTAATGCATATCTGCCTTAAAATATTTTTCTGAGGAAAGGCACTTACATCATATACAATGTAAGAACAGCTGAAAATATATTTTCATTTTTGGTAAAACAAAATTGCTCTTGCTCACAAGAACCCTGTAGTCTGCCCATATATGGAGGTTGGATTGTTTCCATGAAACAAAGATGAAAATTGTATCCCTAAGTGTCAAAAGATAATCTTTATTCTGCTTGTTTGACATCAATTAAAAACTTAGGCTCCCACATCCTGTAGCACTCATCACAGAGCCCAAGCTTGCACAGACAGCCTCCTGCTGAAGTATGTTTGCAGGGGTACTGGAGAGTACAAGAGACACATCTCCGTTGTTGGGCCAAGTTGCATCACTAAACCTTAGTTTTCTGGTAGAATGTATTTGTGGAATGATAATTTAATTATATGTCCCTTTGATCAGAAGTCAAGCTGAGAAGCAGAATATTTCTTAAGCAAAATTGTAGTGCACATAGTAGGTGCTTTCAATAAACAGTGGCTGAATAAATGAGTGATTGAAGACATTATGTGCTCTGCTTCTTAAGGTCTTCCAAAGGAAGTATCATTTGAAAAACTCCTCCAACATTTTATTACCAGCAGAGTTTGTCTTTCTATATGAATTCACATACTGGTTTTGATTTCATTACTTCCTAAATGGCTTCTGATCCATTTTAATTATTAACTATTTTATGTATTTTAATATTATAAAATTTGGAATTCTCTAGATTCCAAATCTTGGGGCATTTTATAATACATTTAATCTGTTTTACTATCTACTGCTTGAAATGCTTTAAATTCTATTGGGAAGTGAAAAGGGAATATATTACATGGGAAAAGGAAACCGACAAGGCAATAATTTCCCCTAAACATCTCCCTCATGAGAAAGGCATCCTCCCATTGACACCCGTGAAGTAGGGTGCTAAGTTCTGTCTGGAGCTCAGATTGGGCCATGATAGCATTCCTGTGATAACTCTCAAAATGTGGGTATTGCCAGGAAAACCTTCCTCCTGGCTGTTATCCACTGTATCCATCAGCAGCACATATTTGTCTTCTGTGGAAGAGTATTAATTGAAGAATAATTCATTGTGGTGATAATTTATAATCTTCAATTTATTTTATGTGATTTAAGCCTCCAAGAAATTTATTGATTTTAATTTGCTTCAACAAACATTTGCTGAGAGCTTGAATTTAAGTTGGGCAATTTACAAGAACAGTAGATTTTCCCCTTGATCTTTTTGAGGACACTCTGTTATGGGGCAACATCCCGTAACATCCGTTCACTTCCTTCCACAAAAGAGACCTTTTGTAAGATGTTACCTTATTTAATTTACCAATTCTGCCAATTTGCTTTAGGTGAAAGAGCAGCCTGAATAATTTAAGTGCTTTTAGATTAGGTTATTTTTGGCTTAGATATTATTTGTGTTCTCGGAAGTACAATTTTTAACCTGTCAACCATTGTTTAGGAAGGGTGCAGACTTTTCTGGACTTGTGGTAGTTTGGCATCTTGCAGGGAATAATATTTCCATGGTAGTTTCTAACAAAGGCAATCATTAGTTTAAATAAGGGAAAACACAAATTGTACATGTTACTCCGGCTGTGGAATAATGGTACCCAGACCCAGAGAGAAGGACATTAGCACATTCGTTCAGTGATGAGTTGACCAGAACTGTTTATTTCTTTGTCTTGAGACTTGATGGATTACTGGTTTGAAAAGCAGGCAGAGATGTGTGGACATAGCACTCATTCTAACAGAAACCAGAGATACTTTTGTTCACCCTTTATTGCTTTTTTAATTCAGCTACATGTAAAGAGGATGCTGCAAGGAAGCACATTATGATTTATGAGTTGTGGAGCCTGCTGCACTAACAAGAATCTTAAGATTGTACTGCAAGCTTGTTTTCTTTAAATTTAGAAAAGAAAAATCAGTATTTTCTCTCCTCACAACACTGGATGCTTAAAACTACAGAACATTTTTTATTTTAGTGACCTTTTTATATTTGGAGGAGCGAATCAACTACATAAGATGAAAAGAAATAATTTATATGGTCTATTTAAAATAATTCCTCAAGATGTGAGCCAGCCGAAGTCCATTTTCTTGACCAAGAGAATAACTAGCAGATGGCAGCATTAGCACTGAAGAATGTGAGCCTCGGACATAGACGGTCTACTTGTCTTCTCCCCAATTTTGCTTCTGTCAAGTCCTATTTATATAATGTTATGTTCTTATGTAATTATTTCAAATTTGAATTATTTTAGTTTTCAAGCATATAAAACAGCATATGTACACACACACTCTTTTGAAATTCCATATAATACCTTTTGTTGCAACTTGACGCAATTAATCCTGTTAGAAGGGTAGGGTGAGTTTGATTATTGAACAGTTTAAGTGATTTTTTTTTTTTTTTAACTAAGTCTCATGGCCAGTAAATGATAGACTTTTTCTTAGAACTTAGATCGTTTGGACCGGGTGTGGTGGCTCATGCCTGTAATCCCAGCACTTTGGGAGGCCGAGATGAGTGGATTACTTGAGGCCAGGAGTTTGAGACCAGCCTGGCCAACATAGCGAAATCCCATTTCTACTAAAAATATAAAAATTAGCTGGGTGTGGTGGTGCATGCCTATAATACCAGCACTTTGGGAGGCTGAGGCAGGCAGATCACTTGAGGTCAGGAGTTCTAGACCAGCCTGGCCAGCATGGCAAAACCCCGTCTCTACTAAAAATACAAAAATTAGCTGGGTGTGGTGGTGCATGCCTGTAATCCCAGCTACTCGGAGGCTGAAGCAGGAGAATCACTTGAACCTGGGAGGCAGAGGCTGCAATGAGCCAAGATCATGCCATTGAACTCCAGCCTGGGCGAGTGAGTGAGTGAGACAAAAAAAAAAAAAAAAAAAAAAAAAAAAGAAGAGCTTAGATTGTCTATGTCTAGATTCTGTCACTCTTTCTACTTAGCAAATACACTGAACATAATACAAACAATAGTGGGGCACAGAGCTACTTAGCATGTGCTGTTTATTTCGAGGTCACCAGAGGAAGCTATTGTATACCATGAGCACCATGGTATCCAAGGGCAATGGTTGTGGGCTGAGGTAGCTGTGGAGCCTGGTGAAAATCTGAGTAGTCCAGAGCTATGATTACCAATGCCTGCCCCATTAAAAAATGAAGCATAACCAGGTGACATGTGGATCTGTATTTCACATCTAAATATAGCAATCAGAAAATCATTTTACATATCATAACACAACTTCTTAACCTTCAAAAGAAAAAGCAATCTCATTTGGTTGTGCTGAAAATCATAATTCCGTGGAAATAAATGCAATTTGATCCTTTGCCCTCATTCCAAAACAGGAGCAACAAACAGAAAGAGAAAGATGTTATCAGCAAGTTAGAGAAATTGGGAGAACTTCTGAAGTACAGGGAGCTGGTGACTTATTTCTTTTATTTTTAAATGAATTTTTGTGCTTTCATTCTAATATGTTAATATCGAACAGGGGAGAGTGTGACTCACAAGTAAATATCAGAAACTTGAGAATTTGACTTCTCACTGGAGATAATTTCCACTGAGACTTGAAAAATTACTCCCTAATAACTATACAGCATTCCTATAATGATTCAGTGTTATTACATAATAAGAGACTGTATGTGATAAACCAGTCTTTATTGTCTTCCTCCCCTCAAATGGTTAAGAGAAGACTCTGCTGTTTAATCGTTTGTCCTTTATGGCTCCCATGAGCGAAAGTATAAACAGGACAAAATATACTTCCAGTGAAAATTATTCGCAGCATATTTTTATGTTCTTTTTTCAAAAATCTTTAGGCCATATTAAGTAACTCAAAATAAGTCCAGCATGTCCAGCGTTTCCTTTAATCTTGGTGTATGAGTCCCTAAGCTCTCAGTGCAGGGATTATTTCTTTGGACTTCTCTTATGTCAGATATCATAGTCTGTCAACAGAAATGGAATGTGGCTTCTACAAAGTAAATTGTTTTATCAGCTCAACTTCACATTCAAAGCAACTTTTACCCTCTCCCCCTCTCTCAATTAAATTCTAGGACAGTATTTAAAACTTCAGTTCCTTTCACTTTCTTCAGGTGTAGTCAAAGAGAGTCTGGTATACAATAAAAATAGGATGTTTATTTCTATTCCAAAGCACAGGAACAGAAGCTTTATTTTCTAACTTGTTTGCAAATAGAACACTATCACAATTCTAACATGACTTGGTAGATATTACTTGCATTGTTAGGAAATAAGCATCATGACTTATTAAGGACAAGTTATATAACCACTGAAACATTTCCAGCTGTCCATTCTTGTACCCACTGTTAAACTGTACATGAGGGTATGTTCATGTGGAAATTTATGCACATTGATTACATTACTACTGTGATTATTTAATTAAAAATCTGAATAATATCCCATGTACAAAAAACATAATGGAAAATGTTCTTTAGAATAATACAAGTCTTCAAAGAGTCCTCATGGCTACCTCCTCTTTTGCAGCTTCTAATCTGAATGGGTCTCTGGAAAAAAAACCACAAAGGATTTCAAGATATGTGATGGAAAAAGGCAACTAACTCAGCCTTTGCAGTCCTCTGTTCACTAATGTTTTCCCTCAGCTGTTGCTAAATAATCAAGCCCCATCTTTTGTACAGTGTTCAGCATGGCAGGGTGGAAAGAGCTACGTGAATGACAAGACCGGGGTTCTCCTGCACATTCTACAGCTTACTCATCTGTATCCTTGCATGAATGTAAGCCCCATGAGGGCATGGACTGGGCTCTCTTGTTATTGGATCTTCAGCATCTATCACAATCTAAATTGATTTGTTCTACAAATATTTGAATACCTTCTTTGTGCTAGGCACTGTTCTACATACTGGGGATAGCTCAGTGAATACAATAACAAAATCCTTGCTTTTAGTGTGTCTACACTTTAGTGGGAAGATATACGTGGTGTTATGAAGGATAATATAGCAGTGTTAGAGGATACAGATTGTTGGTAAAATGAGTGCGTGTTTATATGAGTGTGTCAGGTACAGCTTTACATAGGGTGGTAGGAGAGAGCTCTCTTTACATTGATACTTGAACAAGGCCAGGGATGAGGTGAGAGAATGAGCGATGTGATCTATGGTGATAGTTCAGGGAAGACTGATTAGCAGGAGACTCTGGGATGCTTGGTGTAGTCAC
This sequence comes from Homo sapiens, assembly GCF_000001405.40. Lineage (NCBI taxonomy): Eukaryota > Metazoa > Chordata > Mammalia > Primates > Hominidae > Homo > Homo sapiens. The sequence continues at coordinate 61,983,879 of NC_000012.12, read as the reverse complement.
AGAACAGTAATTATAATAAATAAAAAGGACAATGAGTAAACCTGAAGTCATAGTGGTGTTAGTATTAGGACTTGAGACCATTAGCTTTATCTAAGAGTGGCTATTAAGCTCATTTTCAGCTCTGAGAAGGAAATTGCACCAACTTCTCTGATTCTTAAAGTGCTGGGGTTCTGGAATGATTTATAGAGTACTGATTAATAATGCCAGGGACTTTGGGAGGGCAAGGCAGGTGGATCACGAGGTCAAGAGATCGAGACCATCCTGGCCAACACAGTGAAACCCCGTCTGTACTAAAAATACAAAAACTATCTGGGCGTGGTGGCACGTGCCTGTAGTCCCAGCTGCTTGGGAGGCTGAGGCAGGAGAATCACTAGAACCAGGGAGGCAGAGGTTGCAGTGAGCCGAGATTGCACCACTGCACTCCAGCCTGGCTACAGATTGAGACTCTGTCCCAAAACAAAACAAAACAAAACAAAACAAAACAAAACAAAACAAACAGAATCCCAGGGACCTAGCACCTAGAATTCCACCCCTTCCTGGTTTATATTGTTTGGTGATAATAGTAGAAAGTGTTTCATTCTGTGAGTCACTGATACTGTAAATGGTACTGCTGTTTTTGCCCAAGGATATGATTTTGAATCCTATGGGTATAAAATGAGAGAGTGGATTTATGGAGATGTAGGATATTGTAAAGGAAAATAGGATGTTCCATAGAAAATATGTCATATTCCAGCACTGTATAGCTTTTTAGCTTCCAAATAGTCTATTCCATTGCTGAATCTTTTTAAACCATAGCATGTTTTATTTCCTACTATGCCCAAATTACATAGCAGCTGTTGACCTTGTGCTTTCTGAAATAAACCCTTTAAAAATAAAACAAAAAACTAAATTTTAATACAGTGTGGGTCCATGGGATGAAGAAGGGAATTAAAGAACTCTTAAATATATGAAAAGCATTTGGGTCAGAAGTTTTTAAAAAAGTAACTTTTTTTTTTTTTTTTTTGCCTTCCACTTGCTGGTGGGAATATAGTCATTCTGGAAGGCAATCTGGTAGCACTTAGTGAAATGAAGTTAACATATGTTTCATGACTACTCATCTCAGGCCTAGGTATACCCTACAGAAAATTCTCACAAAGGTAAATGAATATGTTTGAGGATGATCTTTCTCTCTTATCCATATATTTTGGTGTTGCTGGGAGAGGTACTTGAGAACTAAAGGATATATCTCCATACTGAGGGGACTGAGGAATTAAAATGTGAAAGATCCATGTTTAACATGGGACACTTAAAAGCAAAAAACTGGATATAAACAGAGCAACATGGATACATGTTAAGAACCTGGATAGGTATTAGGAACATGGTATGAGTTAAAAAAATTAAAAAGAAACAGTGAGCCACTGTGCCTGGCCAGGGATACATTTCTTTTCTTTTCTTTTTTTTAATTATACTTTAAGTTCTAGGGTACATGTGCACAACGTGCAGGTTTGATACATAGGTATACATGTGCCATGCTGGTGTGCTGCACCCATCAAGTCATCATTTACATTAGGTATTTCTCCTAATGCTATCTCTCCCCCAGACCCCCACCCCACGACAGGCCCTGGTGTGTGATGTTCCCTGCCCTGTGTCCAAGTGATCTGATTGTTCATTTCCCACCTATGAGTGAGAACATGAGGTGTTTGGTTTTCTGTCCTGTGATAGTTTGCTGAGAATGATGGTTTCCAGCTTCATCCACAACCCTGCAAAGGACATGAACTCATCCTTTTTTATGGCTGCAGAGTATTCCATGGTATATATGTGCCACATTTTCTTAATCCAGTCTATCATTGATGGACATTTGGGTTGGTTCCAAGTCTTTGCTATTGTGAATAGTGCCGCAGTGAACATACATGTGCATGTGTCTTTATACTAGCATGATTTATAATTATTTGGGTATATACCCAGTAATGGGATTGCTGGGTCAAATGGTAATTCTGGTTCTAGATCCTTGAGGAATAGCCACACTCTCTTCCACAATGGTTGAACTAATTTACACTCCCACCAACAGTGGGACATCCTCTCCAGCATCTGTTGTTTCATGACTTTTCAATGATTGCCATTCTAACTGGCATGAGATGGTATCTCATTGTGGTTTTGATTTGCATTTCTCTGATGACCAGTGATGATAAGCATTTTTTCATGTGTCTGTTGGCTACATAATTGTCTTCTTTTGAGAAGTGTCTGTTCACATCCTTTGCCCACTGTTTGATGGGACTGTTTGTTTTTTCTTGTAAATTTGTTTGAGTTCTTTGTAGATTCTGGATATTAGCCCTTTATCAGATGGGTAGATTGCAAGAATTTCCTCCCATTCTGTTGGTTCCCTGTTCACTGTGATGGTAGTTTCTTTTGCCATGCAGAAGCTCTTTAGTTTAATTAGATCCCATTTGTCTATTTTGGTTTTCACTGCCATTGCTTTTGTTGTTTTAGACATGAAGTCCTTGCCCATGCCTATGTCCTGAAAGGTGTTGCCTAGGTTTTCTTTTAGGGTTTTTATGGTTTTAGGTCTAACACTGAAGTCTTTAATCCATCTTGAATTAATTTTTGTATAAGGCGTAAGGAAGGGATGCAGTTTCAGCTTTCTACATATAGCTAGCCAGTTTCCCAGCACCATTTATTAAATAGGGAATCCTTTCCCCATTTCTTGTTTTTTTGTCAGGTTTGTCAAAGATCAGATGGTTGTAGATGTGCGGTGTTATTTCTGAGGCCTCTGTTCTGTTCCATTCATCTATATATCTATTTTGGTACAAGTACCATGCTGTTTTGGTTACTGTAGCCTTGTAGTGTAGTTTGAAGTCAGGTAGCATGATGCCTCCAGCTTTGTTCTTTTTGCTTAGGTTTGTCTTGGCAATGCAGGCTCTTTTTTGGTTCCATATGAAATTTAAAGTAGTTTTTTCCAATTCTGCGAAGAAAGTCATTGGTAGCTTGATGCAGATGGCATTGAATCTATAAATTACTTTGGGCAGTATGGCCATTTTCACGATATTGATCCTTCCTGTCCATGAGCATAGGATATTCTTCCATTTGTTTCTGTCCTGTTTTGTTTCGTTGAGCAGTGGTTTGTAGTTCTCCTTGAAGAGGTCCTTCACATCCCTTGTAAGTCGGATTCTTAGGTATTTTATTCTCTTTGTAGCAATTGTGAATGGGAGTTCACTCATGATTTGGCTCTCCGTTTGTCTGTTAATGGTGTATAGGAATGCTTGTGATTTTTGCACATTGATTTTGTATCCTGAGACTTTGCTGAAGTTGCTTATCAGCTTAAGGAGATTTTAGGCTGAGACGATGGGTTTTTCTAAATATACAATCATGTCATCTGCAAACAGGGACAATTTGACTTCCTCATTTCCTAATTGAATACCTTTATTTCTTTCTCTTGCCTGATTTCCCTAGCCAGAACTTCCAATACTTTGTTGAATAGGAGCGGTGAGAGAGGGCATCCTTGTCTTGTGCTGGTTTTCAAAGGGTATACTTCCAGTTTTTGTCCATTCAGTATGATATTGGCTGTGGGTTTGTCATAAATAGCTCTTATTATTTTGAGATACATTCATTCTATCAATACCTAGTTTATTGAGAGTTTTTAGCATGAAGCGCTGTTGAATTTTGTCGAGGGACTTTTCTGCATCTATTGAGATAATCATGTGGTTTTTGTCGTTGGTTCTGTTTATGTGATGGATTATGTTTATTGATTTGCATATGTTAAACCAGCCTTGCATGGCCAGGGATACATTTCTATGGGGGCGAAGTATCTGGAGTTATTCTAAACAGTTCATAAACATAAAATATATTTTAAAGGTAATTTATGTAAAAGAAAAGAATTTTCTGAATAAGCATTAGCTTATATCAGAATAAGTATATTTTAAGGTATAGTTTTATGGGACACAGCACTGGTAAATCTTGCCTATGAGATATGGGGTGGGAGAGGGACAAAGAGGGTGGTTAATTTTTCTTATTTATTTCCATGAAACTTCTTTTGCAGAGGCTTCCCTTCCAGTCTCGTTTGCCATATCTGCATCTTTCATTAACTGTTCTCCTTCTAGGCATCTTTACTGTAGTGATGGATCTGCCACTGGGGAGGGGGTGGTGCCGTGCTTCTACTTTTTGGCAGCAGTGTTGTTTCTCTTTAAGATTGGTTTTTCTTTTCTTCTTTATTTCCTCTTATTTTCTCTTTTCATTTCTTTTCTTAATTTCCTCCTTACTCACCTTCCTTTTTCAATTCTGATGATACTTTATCCAATTTAGGACATTTTCTGGGCAGTACTTCAGTGGGTTGCTAGAATATACTTTACCTCACTCCTTTCTCACTCTTCCTATACCCTGGGAAAGGATGAACTTATGCTACCAGCTTTAATTTCTGAAATGATGGTGCAGTAGATGAACTGCCATTTCACTAAACTTTTTCTATTTGTTCCATTTTTTATTCATATGATATAATATAGAACCCATAGCCTTTGAGATGTGCTTCTGTGGCCTGATTTTAAAACCTTCATTGAAGATCTTTTTCCCATATTTACCCAGGAAGGCAGTGATTCACTTTGCCATTCAGCAATTCCACTGAGTTATTGGCTCCTCAAAGGATAATTACTATTTATCTAATTATGTGGAAAGTGCTATGCAGTGGCAGGGTAATTAGACAATGTACTGCACAATTACAAAGTAACTGTAGTATTTGGGGGAGTTTGTTTGACCAGACTTTATTTTAGTGGTTATTATTGGATAGCAAAAGAGAGTAACATGACGTTATCTGCAGAAAAATGGCAAATGTCATTTAGTTTCACATTATAACCTATTATAGTTTAGCACTGAAGAAGCAATGCGTATTATTCCGTGAAAATGAATTTCACACAGTTTCCTGGTTACTGGAGAACTAGGCTCTTGGGTTTTCTGATTGGGAGACGGTCAGAAGTGTTCATTAAAGACATATTGATCACTCCATGTATGCCTACTTTGAAAAACAATGCAAATGTAGGCAACATTGGCAAGAATCGGCCATGATAGCTACTGCTCACTTGGGACTTCAATCCTTGCAGTTTCTTGAAGTATGATACATGAGCTACTGGCATCACTGGTGGGACTTTGAGCCTGGGAGGGGCTTCTTGTCAAATGTCAATTTCTTGCCTCCTGCTTCTCCAGGCGTTCTAATTCAGTAGGTCTTGGTTGAGGCCCTGAAATCTACATTTTATCCAGATGGATTCAAATGCTTTCAGGTGAATCCAAGTTATCTTCAATGCTGAGCACCACTGAGAACCAAGAGGAAATCCAGTTCTAATGTGTGCGGGCATGTGTAGAGACTTCGGGGCTGTTCTTCTGCATCCCCCGTGGTACTTCTGTCTGATGTAGGTGTATGTCAATCCTCCTTTCTTTCTCATGTAGGAACTGTTCCTCTCTTTTAAACTTTAAAATACATTTTCATTTTGAAAATTGTTATTAGAGTATTTGCTATAAAATATTGTGACATTAATTTGTCATATGTTTTGAAATATAGGGGGTGAGATATATGAAGTCTGATAAGAATATCAAATTCACCAAATTTATTTTAGAAGATATTTATATAGGATGTTAGGCCTTTTGGAAATTTCATTAAATTCTGCATTTAAAGTAAGAATTAATTTTATTGAGCAAATTACTCAGGTAGACTTAGTATTTTGTATACATTATCTCTTTTTAATCCACATAGTCTCCTACTGAGAGGGGTAATATTATTTTACATGGAAAAATGTGGCACAGAGAAGCTGAGTAACTTGCACAGAGTCATGTAGCTCATTAAATATTCATTGCTAAGTGAAACCTGGACAATGCTACTTCTGAGCATCTTCATCATGGTCACTATTGTAGCAATGTTTTCATTATTTTTATAAAAGGAATTCTTAATCTAAAAGAAGGCAAAACCCTAATCTACTGAAATCAGTGGAACGATTTCCTTTTTTTTTCTCTTTATTTCCTATCCTCTCCCCTTCACAATCAAAGGATATCTGAAAACTGATTAGAAGATGAGGGCACCACTGTGCTTGCATTGTGAGAGCCTGGCTGAAAGAAAGACTGATGTTCACAAAAGTGGCTGTTTTGCATTGATTTATCTTATGGTTGAGAAAGACAAAGTGTGAGAATGGTTTCATACTGTAGGAAGCTACAAAGACCTGTAGAATTAAATGAAAGCAAACAAGAGAAAGCTAGGCTTTAAAAAGAGTGGCAATTTTACTTCGCTGGTCTACCAACTATAAGACATACAAATACAATTTTATTCTTTATAGAGGCCAGGTATAGGGTTACAGAATGAATTTCACAAAAGAAGAGGTTTCAGTCAAATGGGCTTTCTGACAGTAGCACATTCATTGTCTGGGCTTAGCAATGGAAGCCATGACATTCAGTGCACACTTGGCAAACAAGGTCAAATAGGAAAGTCAAACAATAAGGTATCTTTGTTTCATATTTTGCTGGAGCACTTTATAATATTTCTAGTATGGATGTGAAAAGCATAGACTATCAGGAAAGGAGATAATTAATTTTAAAAGTGCTTATTTAATACTAGCAATTTGGAACCATTTTAAAATTTGGAGATGATGTATTTTATCCAAAGATCCTGCTAAATGGAAAATTGAAATGCTGATCACATCTACCGTTTAATGAGACTTAGGTCAAAAAGCATACTTGAGTCTTTCATTTGGGAGTAAAGTATATGTAGTTTATAATGCAAATTCATATGAAATGCTGCAATATGTTTTGTGCATTGAAAAGTTTTTAAATGACCCCATTTTCTCCTCAAGGATCTAGAACTAGAAATAACTTTTGACCCAGCCATCCCATTACTGGGTATATACCCAAAGGATTATAAATCATGCTACTACAAAGACACATGCACATGTATGTTTATTACGGCACTATTCACAATAGCAAAGACTTGGAACCAACCCAAATGTCCATCAATGATAGACTGGATTAAGAAAATGTGGCACATATACAACATGGAATACTATGCAGCCATAAAAAAGGATGAGTTCATGTCCTTTGCAGGGACATGGATGAAGCTGGAAACCATCATTCTGAGCAAACTATCGCAAGGACAGAAAACTAAACATGTTCTTACTCATAGGTGGGAATTGGACAATGAGAACACTTGGACAGAGGGTAGGGAACATCACACACCAGGGTCTGTCGTGGGGTAGGGAGAGGGATAGCATTAGGAGCTATACCTAATGTAAATGAGTTAATGGGTGCAGCACACCAACATGGCACATATATACATATGTAACAAACCTGCTGGTTGTGCACATGTACCCTAGAACTTAAAGTATAATAAAGAAATGAAAAAAAATTTTGGATTATAATAAACATTGCTGATTGGATTCAAAATAAATGCCTGTTTAGATGATTTGTGTGTGTTTGTTTTTATTTGTTAGGAGAGTTCATTATAAAATTGTTTTTTATGATTTTTATTTTTCCAATCATGTATTGTGAAATCCAGAAATATCAAAATACGTTGTTTAACAACTAATAATGGATATGTTTAATGAAAGGAGAACAAAACCTTAGGCTGCATTGGTGACAGGTTCTATCATGTTGGTAGGAGTGTCTTATAACAACTAAGTATATTGCCTTTTGATTGGGTAATTAATGAGTCCAACAGAGGCTCAGTGAAGAAAATGAAAAGGCAAAACATATCATGTTTGATTTTTCATCTATTAATGATTCTTTCTAGCTGGTGAAGAAAGAAAAGTGATTTTTTTTAAAGGTTTGCCTAAGATTAGGTTAGTTATGTAATTATATCGTTTGGTAAAGTGATTCCCTTTATTTTTTCATTCCAGCTTTATTGAGGTATGATGGACAAATAAAAACTGTATGTATTTAAGGTGTACCATGTGATGTATTGATATATGTACACATTGTGAAATGATTACCACAATCAAGCTAATTAATGTATCAATCACCTCACCTAGGGTCCCTCCTCCCCTCTGCTTTTTATGTGGTTGTAAGAACACTTGAGATCTACTCTGTTGGTAAATTTCCAGTGTATAATACATTGTTATTAACTTTAGTCACCTTGCCGTACATTAGGTTTCCAGAACTTATTAGTCTTTTAACTACAAGTTTGTACCCTTAACCAACAACCTCAAAGGGGATAATCATCAGATGGGTCCCTGTTGATGTTTTGGGTAAGATTACAATAAGTAGAATTGCACCTACCTCTGCATTAAAAGCTGTGGGGATAATTTAGAAGTGTTAATTGCAGCATTATTCACAATAGCCAGGCTATGGAAACAACCTAAGTGTCTGTCAACAGATGAGTAAATAAAGAAATTGGGATACACACACACACACACACACACACACACACGAATATTATTGAGCCTTAAAAAGGAGATCCAGTTATTTGTGACAAAATGGATGACCCTGAAAGACACTATGCTAAGTGAAATAAGCCAGACACAGAACACAGAAAGTAAAATACTGCATGATTTCACGTATATGTGGAATCTAAAAGAAAGTAGAATACATACAGAGAGTAGAATGGTGGTTACCAGAGGTTGGGTGGAAGTGAGGGAAGAAGGAATGGGGAGATGTAGGTCAAAGGGTACAAAGTTGCAGTTATATCTTATATCAGATGAATATGTCTAGATATCAGATGTATAGCATGAAGACTACATATTAATAATATTGTATACTTGAAATTTGCCAAGAGTAGACTTAATGTGCTATTAACACAAAACGTAACTATGTAAGATGATTATATATTAATTAGCTGGACTGTAGCAATCATTTCACTATGCATATGTGTATGAAAACATCACTTTGTGCACCTTAGATATATACAGTTAAAAAAAAATCTATTGGTTCATCTGGCTTCTACCCAGAGATTTCCAGTTGTAACAACTACTAAATCATCCCAAAGTAATTGGATAAATGGATGTTTCCCACTAACTTTGTCATATACTGTCAATTGGCAGGGCATGCCTAGCTGATACTTCGATGAACTCACCCTAGGAGATTGAGACGTAAGAGGCTTTTTACCAGGCAGTCAATTTACAAAAGTTAAAAAAGACCTTACTCTTCCCCCTCCTTTTTGTAGCACACAGATTTTTCTACCAAAGGAAACTGATTGATTAATAATTTAAATAGTAGTGTCCCTGAGAGTCTATAATCACATGTGCTGTGGAGACTGGATTACATTCTGCCTTGAGCATTGTACAGAAGCTCAGCTGCTCCTGGTGGCACTGCTGCTGCAACAGTGTAAATTGCACTTTTAATTTGTCTTCCCATCTGACAGCACATCTAATTATACTTTATAAAATCTGTTTTAAATGATACTTAAAACTTCCATTGAAATATATTTACATGAAAGTGAACATTTAATAAACACTTAAAAATTATAGCATCAAATCATCTTAATTCAACCACCCCTTCTGTTGTATTTGAAACATAATATACATTTTATTCATGCTGAACTAATTTTCAACAGGACCAAAAAGTGGCCAGAAACTACTGCTTAGAATTGGAATTAGAGATAAGAGATGACCTTTTCTTGCTTCAAAATTATTCAATCATTTAATCTACATATTTTGAGTATTTGGAAAACTTTTTCTATCAGTAATATTCTTTCTTTTTAAATTTTCTTAAACTTATACATTTGGCAAGAGTGATGAATAGAACAGGAATATATTTTATTATATAGAGATTGAAAGATTCAATTATACCTCTCTAAATGACAACAGGTTATATTTCTTCTTTTTGTCTTGCTTAGGCTTTTTCTGTCTCTGTCCTAATTTTCAATATTGTAGTTAACACAATAGCTGGTCTACTTACTAGAGTGTCATTACCTTTACATAACATAATACACATTCCTGTTCCTTCTTTTTTTGGAGAGTTTTAATAAGAATTTTTATTGCATCAATGAAGTTATTTTTCCAGACATCTAATGGTTTTAATAAGTATTACAAACCATTCTCTGGCTTAAAGCACTGGTTCTCAAACTTGGCTGCATTTTGGAACTTTAAAGAACAACAATGGTTGGCTCCCTGCTCACTTCCCCAAGGATTACAATTTAACCAGTCTTGGGTGTAGCCAGGGTCGGGGGATTTTCAGAATTTCCCAGGTGGTTCTGATATATAGCTAAGTCTGAGAACTGCTGCTCTCAAAGGCTAATCAGGTTTCCTTTAAGGAGTTCTATGTTAACACAGTAGTTTCCAACTTGTATGGACATTGGACTCACCTGGGGAGCTTCAAAAAAATAACAAGGTCTTTGCCTCACCCTAGGGGATTGAGATATAATTGTTCTGGGTGATAGCTTGGGATTTGAAATTTTTAAAAGATCTCACTTGATTCTGCTAATAATGTGAAGACAAATTTGGAAACTACTGTGTTAATCTATAATTAAGTAAATAAATATGAGCTAAAGAATTATTATAAGAACTAAATAAACTAAGTTGTAATGAAAACTAAAAAAAAAAAAAAAAAAATCTAAATAATATTTTCCAAGGAAATCAGAACTTACATATGTTTGCAACATGTAGTCATCCTTGGGGGATATGTACTTGATTAAAATATGATATGAAATGATTTTTTCAGCAGGACTGTTCACATTGTATAAGTGAGGGGATTAGGGCACTTGGAGCTCTTATCTTACAACATTTGTATGTGCACTTTTAATTTGCATTCACAGGTATGCTCCTGGGTAGAAGAAATAGACCCAAGTGACCTTTACTGCCAGTGCCTGTAATCTATTTTTGACAGGTGTATAAAAACATGCATTTACTTTAATGGGAGTTATGTGTCTGAAAAGGAAAAACATACTGTTCTTTTGTATAATTCACAGGAATATCTTTTTCTGGGATGCTAATATAGTAAGTGTTCTATTTTTCTGGTACTAGCATTTGAATAGGGTATGTAGGTAGGTGGGAAAATCGTTTCTAAAGTATCAGTTACTCAACTTAGATCACCAGTTTTTGTGGTGCAAAATGAGTGACCTGCTTTCTAATCATGGATTTGAACTATCTGTAATCCGCTTGACCCCAGTTTGATGTTACCTCTCACTTTTCCTGAGATATCTTTTGTATGCTTCTTTTCCCTTAGCAGATCATCCCATTGCCCCGTCTCTTTCCCCCAGATGACTTAGTGTTTCCAGTAATGATTATTTCCAATGACAAGTTTGTTCATAGGTACAAGTTATTTGATCTTTTAAAAAAGTCATGGTACTTGTTGTTCTCTTTCCAGTACAGATTCTTCATTCTGCCCAGTTATTTACTGCTTAGTCCTTTCCCCATTTCTAGCCTCCTTAAGTTACCCAGTCCTAATTCCTCTATACCATGCATATCATCAGTCAGGGTTTGGCCAAGAAAACACAACTCACTTTGTGAATTCCAGATGTGAAGATTTTAATGCAAGGCCTTAGGGCTCATAAAACTTTGGAAAGGTCAAGAGAGTGAAGTTATCACCACTTGGTTGTATCTCCTAAAGAAACTAATTTGGGATCTTCCCTTCTCAACTTTTCCATTTCTATAGGTAGTACTGATGTCTGGCCCAGCTACCTGGATCTTTTTTTTTTTTTTTAAGGTTCAACTTTATATTTATTTTAAGTATTTGGCAGTTTTGTCTCTTACATTTAGGCCAGTGATACATTTTGAGTTAAGTGTATGGTATAAAGTGAGGGTCCAGCTTCATTCTTTTACATGTGTATATTCAGTACAACAAACCTCCATGACAGGCTTACCTGTATAACAAACCTGCACATCCTGTGCATGTAGCCCTGAACTTAAAACTTAAAACAAAAGTTAAAAACAAACAAACAAACAAAAACCCCACAAAATCAAAAATCATTTATTCAAGAGACAATTCCTTCCCACATTGAATGGTCGTGGCATCCTTGTTGAAATCAATTTACAATGGCTGTTTAGATTTATTTCTGGACTCTCAATTCTGTTCCATTGGTCTGTAAGTTTATTGTTAAGCCAGTATCAATGCATTTTGATTACTGTAGATTTCTTTTATACTTTAAGTTCTAGGGTACATGTGCACAACGTGCAAGTTTGTTGCATATGTATACATGTGCCATGTTGGTTTGCTGCACCCATTAACTCGTCATTTACATTAGGTATTTCTCCTAACACTATCCCTCCCCCAGCCCCCTACCCCACAACATGCCATGGTGTGTATGTTTCCCTCCCAGTGTCCATGTGTTCTCATTGTTCAACTCCCACTTATGAGTGAGAACATGTGGTGTTTAGTTTTCTGTCCTTGTGAAATTTTGCTGAGAATGATGGTCTCCAGCTTCATCCATGTCCCTGCAAAGGACATGAACTCATCCTTTTTTATGGCTGCATAGTATTCCATGTTGTATATGTGCCACATTTTCTTTTTTTCTTTTTTTTATTATACTTTAAGTTTTAGGGTACGTGTGCACAACGTGCAGATTTGTTACATATGTATACATGTGCCATGTTGGTGTGCTGTACCCATTAACTCGTCATTTAACATTAGGTATATCTCCTAATGCTATGGATCATTATTAAATATAACTTCTGTTTCTCTATTAAGTTCTCTTACCATAAGAGCAATAACAAGACTTTGTGTGGATTCAAGAGTATTGTATAATTTACCACTGTCTCTCTGCCTGTCTTATTTCTATTTATCCTTCAAGACCCAGATAACATTTCCATTTTCTTTCCAGGAAGTCTTCCTTCATCACCCTTTCCTGTGTGATTTTCAAATGAGCATTCTATATTCATTGTCTTTGTGTCTTTGATTTCCACTCAATCCTTATTCTTCCCTGCTTTCCATACCCTCCCAGCTTCTTTCCACTTCTTCTTAGTTCAATAATGATCTATTTTGCTATATCTTATAACTTTTTTCTCAATCTTCATTGTTTAGAACTAATGAATCATAAGACGTTATGCATTATCCTCTCCTGTTTTAAATTCGTGAAATACAGATATTCCAGAAGAAATACTTTAGCCTTCTAGATTCTTTTTCTGTATAGAATTAGTCTTTGAGGACCAGGTATTTTTTTTTTTTCATTTCTTAAAATGCTTTTCGAATTTTTCTTTACCACTCTCAATGTGACCATTCTAGTCTAGGTGTCCATTGATGATTCTTGCACTAGCTTTTAAACTGGTGACTCTTGTTTCTATAACTACTTCTCGGTGATTATTTCTTGGTCTTTAATGCATGTTTGTTAACTAGTCAATTATCTAAAAACAGTTCTTCTGTTATATCATTTTCTCGAGAAGAACATAGTTTTTGTTATTACCAAACTCCTTTGACTGTTGCAAAAGCCTTCCAAATTGGGGTTTGATGTGCAATTTAATTTTTAAGATTATAACTTCTGAAAATTCTTTTGGCCAAAATGATTCATTTCTTGTGTCCCAGATGTGTTATCCCTGCTTTGTTTATTTAAGTCTTGCTTATCCTTTACAGCCAGTTTTATTCTTATCATATTTAACAATTATAGCTTCCGACATTGTATTTTTTCTTTTGTGGCCATTATTTCTAACAAGTCCAATATTTGGGGAACCAAAAAAATCAGATATGAATTTTACTAAGAAAATTAGATCCTTGTTAACAAATTTTACCCTGTGCAATTTTAGCCATTATCTGTTCTATCCTGATTTGATGATATCTACCAGTAATCTCCATTATCAATTAGCTAATTAATTTTTTGATTTCTTAGTTATTCTTTTTTGCTCTTAGTGTCAGGAATAAATAACAAGAATATTTTATTCAATTTATATATTTTAAAGAATGAAGACATGAATTTGGTATACAACTGGGTCAAAATGGCAGGGTAAAAATATCCTCAGAGTTGAAATGGCAGGGTCCAAACTTCTGCTTTGAGTCTAGGCCTCTTATTATGACTGTCAAGCTCCTTAATAGTCCAACCGTATTTCCTTTCTCATCCTTTCTCTGACTATGTAGCTTCACTTGCCGTTTGCTTTAGCCATATTGGATCTCTTGACATTCTCCAAAAATGTTGCAACTTTCTTTTTTGTATATCTCTGCCTTTGTTCTTACAGTTTCCTCTGTGTGGAATATTCTTTTGTCATCATCTTTGCCTTGTGAATTTGAACTCTTCAAGACCAAGTTCAAACGTGTATTGAGTTCTATGATCCTTCAATCTTAGTGAATATCTCCTTCTTTTGTATTATTATATCATTATTTTTGTACTTTAAAAAAATGTATTTACCACATATGTCACACATGTTTTCTCTATTAGACTATGAGTTCACTGGAGATCAGATATATGTTGTCATTTATTTTTTTACTTAGTACTATTAGGTCTTTCATTACAGATATTTAATGGATGTGTACCTCTTATGCATTGCCCTCTTACACAATGAGGAATATAAGATTTAGGCACTCAGACGAAGTCCTGTATTTTTATTTTTTCAGGCTGTATATTTTAAAAATAGTCTAATATTTTAAAATAGTTTAATGGTCAGAAACCGAGTCAGGATTCTTTTTAGTTATTTAATATGTCTCCAGACTTAGCCTGTGTTCAACTGTTGCTTTTTCATATTCTTTACAGAGTCTCACTAATGAATAATAGTCTTCAAGGATAGGAAGAGAAAAGTTTAGATTATTAAAACAATCGTTTTTTAACCTTAAAATTTGCTAGAATATGGATACATTTGTTTCTTAATCATAATAAATGTTTGTTGTTCAGTCATAAAGCATTTATTGATTACTTATGGTGGCATTATTGTGCTAGAAACACTAGAGTGCTCCAATGTCATAATGATATTTCTGACTTGAAGAACTTACAACGTATTCGAAAGGGAAAAACAGAACACTTGCTCAGTGTTTCCTGTGTGATAATCATTTATTTTGCATTTCATATACATTATTCCATTTAATAATCACAATCACATTATTTTATTGATGAAGAAATTGTGGCTTAAAGTGATCAGCAAACTCCTTCAGCATAACCTAGCTTATGAAGGGCAGAGAAAGAATATGAAATCAGTCAGTTTTACATGTTTGTAAAGCCAACAATCTGATTCCACCTTTATTAGAGATGATATCATCTATGGCAAAGTAAGAGTTCATAGAGTCATGAACTCTGGGGCAAGTTTCTACTTATCTTCTCTATCAGTTTCCTAATGTGATTGATTGGAATAATAATCCTCATATCAACTCAATTGAATAGCATTGTTTCAATGATTGACTAAGATAATGTGTGAAAAATGATTAGCACAGTGACTAGAACAGAGTAAGCTGTCAAAAAATGGAAGCTATTGTTATTTTTATTACTTAATCATAATACCCCTGAAAATATAGACAAGCAAAGCAGACCTGAATGTGTTCAAACAAACACAACAAGCCCAAAATGCTGAATGTGGGGCTTGAGGCAATGATGCTGAGATTGAAGCTTGTGTGTATGTCTCATGTTTTTGTATAATGCTTTAAAATGATCAAGCATATTTAATGCACATTCTTAAGTACAATGTAGGGACCTGAAGCCTGGGCTTATTATACTACAATTCATATGTAGAGTACTAATGGAGCTCCAAGAAAATGCTGTTCAGTTTTTCTCAGCTTGGAGAATGATTGAGAATACTGACAGGGTTTTAATGGAAGTGCTTGTAGAGCGGTATGGAAGATACGCTATGTAGGTAAAATAGCATGACAAAAGGCCCAGAAATAGGAATAAGCAGGTTGTATATAGAAAAAGAAAATAAGGTCAGACCAGCAGAAATGAAGTTTTTGAAATTTCATTGTCTATATATCTCACCATTTCTTTTCTACTGCTATCTAGAAGAGCATCTAATATCAGAAGGGGTCAGGGAATATGTTTTCAACCAGTTTGTAAATGATAGTAAAATGTGGTGATGTCTGCTAAATAATGAATACCCATTGAACCAAAAAGAAGACCTCATTAGCAAAGGTTGAACACCATAACATTACCAGGCCTGGACCCAGATTACAGAAATATGGGACTGCAGACCTGCTTATGTGCTTCCTTGCTTGTGTGTCTGTCCTATCTGGACTAACTCTAATCTTCTTTATTGGAGCATGGATGACAATGGTGAATAGATCAACTTTATATTTTTTCCCCATTCATTTTATGCAAAAACAGGAATTTCACAAATTTCGACTTATCAGTCTGTTTTATTCTGATTTCCTTTTTCAGTCCTCCTGCCACTAGGTTGATTTTCAAATTCAGAATGGAAATATTTGGTATTCTAAAAATGGATGCTTCTTTGAATGTTATTTTGAATGGTTCAAGGAGTCGGTTCAACTTTCACTTCAATTTCCAGCACCTTGCATTATTATAGATTGAATGAACAGTGCCAGCCTGCCAGTGCATTTTGATATAATGCACGTGTTGTGTGGACGTGTTTTATTCAAATGGACAAATGGATAGGACAAACAATGGGAGTGTAGCATGTTCTTTAGAATCAAATCATTTCACTAGGTGCATGATGAATGGCTATGAGATTCTCTTTAACTTACCCATTACATTTATATCTTGCATGTAAGGACTTTGACCTTGCTCTGCTATAGAATCTCTTTGGAACCAGGATGATTCCCAGCCTCTGTCATTACTTGGGAGCAAGCCAAGTCCTTAGGTTCCTCTCTGCAACCCCACTGAGCCTAGCACAGTGCTTACATTTAGCAGGTGATGAATCAGTATCTCTTGGTTGAATTAATTTTTGCCTGGTTACAGAAAAGTACAAGGCAAAGAATATGCACATAGAAAAAGATGCACTCAAATGTCACATCTTCGCTGAAGCCTGACCCACAAGCAAAGATCAGGACCCCCTGTAATATAGTCTCTCATCACTTCTTACCTTTAATTTAGAGCAATTAAAAATTTGTAATATAAATGTATTTTGCTCCAGGTCAACATGGATATTATTCTACACATCTACTGCTCTTATATAAACTTACTTAACATAATAGCATATACACATAGGAAAAGATGCATATAGAAAAGTGACCGTTTCATTGACTGGCAAAACACAAGGAATTTCACAATCATTCATGAAATCTCCCACAATGTTGTAAATGTGTCCATAGTTTGAAACACCTCAAAATTAGAAAGAAGGAAGAGAGAATTTGTATTAGCATAGCTGCAAGTGAGAGCAAAACACTCAATCTCCTTGAGATGGAATTACATCATGTAATGCACATCTGCTTTTTTCAGATGCTGCTGAGCTCAGCCCTTTTTCAATTTAATTGCATAAGTATTTATTGAATATTACTATTTGCTCAGCCACAGACTTGATGACATGGATGTTTTAAAAGATGATTAATGGCACCTCATACCCATAAGAATAAAAACAACAACAATAACAGAAAATAATGAGTGTTGGTGAATGGTATGGTTTGAATATGTCCTCTTCAAAATACAGATATTTAAACTTAATGCTCAATGTGGTAGTATTAAGAGGTGGGTCTTTAAGAGATGATTAGGCCATAAAGGCCCCTCCCTCATGGATGGGATTACAGCCCTTATAAAAGAGGTCCCCTGAAGCCTCAGCCCTCTTTCTCTTCCACCAGTGTTCCTTCCTCTGGAACATGCAGCAGCAGGGTGCCATCTTGCAAGTAGATAGCAGCCCTCACCAGACAACCAAACCTGCCAATGCCTTGATCTTAGACTTTTTAGCCTCCAGAACTGTGAGAAATAAATGTCTGTTCTTTATAAACTATCCAGTCTCAGCTACATTTTTTTATAGCAGCACAGAATGATGAGGACAGTGAAGATGAGGAGAAGTTGGAACACTTGTACTCTGTAGATGGGAAAGTAAAACGGTACAGACACTGTGGAAAATAGTATGGCAGTTCCTCAAAAAACTGGAAGCAGGGTCTTGAAGAGATAATTATACCCCCACGTTCACAGCGATGTTATTTAAAATACCCCAAAGGTGGAAACAACTCAAATGTCCATCAATGGATGGCAGGGTTCAAATTTTTTTTTCAGAAATTTCTAGGTCCATTATAGATTTTATTTAGCCTTTAACTCAGAGACAAATGTTTACTGAATGCAATTGAGTGTATTTTCTGATTAGGAGATTCAGCGGCTGCACAATGCCATGCCATTCTCAGCTTCTTAGAGTTGGAGCCACTGACTTGTTTGCAACCTCAGTCTTGTTCCTGCTTTACAAGTGTCATTTATGACTAGTCAAGTAGCAGTAATTATGTGATATTGTCAAAGTACTGTTGGAACTAGTCCATCCCTGCTAATTAGACTTCTTACTTGTTGCTGCTGAAATTCAGTCCCCTCCCAGAGTCTAGTGTTTAAAATGAACTTGCTGCCTTGCTTCTTGATTGAGTCCTTGATTGGTTATTCACCTAGCACATCACTTTTCTTTTAAGACAAGGACTCAATCTTGCCAGTTACCTTCTCCCAAGTGACTGCATACTCGCACAGATTCTTAAGTATGATATTTCCCCAAATATTCCGTGCTCTGCTAATCTCTTAGCCTATCAGGTTGCTATAACAAAATATCGTGGCTGGGTAGCTTATAAACAATAGAAGTTTATGTTTCACAGTTCTGGAGGCTGAGCAGTCCAAGATTGAGACACTGGCAGGTTTGGTTGTCTGGTGAGCACTCACATTCTGGTTCATAGATGATGCTTTTAGCTGTGTCCTCACATAGTGAAAAGGGCAAACAAGTTCCTCTGGGCCTCTTTTATAAGGTCACTAATCCCATCCATGAGGACTCTACCCTTGTGATCTAATCACCTCTCAAAGGCCCCCACCTTCTAATATCATTACCTTGGGGATTAGGATTTAAATTTCTAAGGAGTCACAAACATACATTTCATAGAAGCTAACCTTTTGGATTTGGGGGATACATTGATAATTGACCTTTGAACGTCTATTCTACCTTCTTGATGAGATCCTAAAAAATATGTACATCATGTGTGTAACCTGGTAGAGGAGGCATAGATTACTTTCCAATACAAATCAAATTGCAATGAATATCATGATAGTAGTGTGTAAATAAATAATTATTTAGTTACATTAAAAAAAGTTATTGGGGGATAGTAGGAATAAATTAGAAAAGGCTTCACATAGGAAGTTCACATGTCTTTTGGACTGGGTCCTGAAGGATGAATAGAATTTTGACATGTGGAGAAAAGAGGTGGTAGAGGAAGGAACATATGGCAGAAAGTACAAAATTAATAGTACCTCACACTGTGCCCTATAGTCAGAGCTCTTTAAATATTGATTTAATGAATGGATGGATGAATGAAGAAGAGTATGGAGTGAGGAAAAGGGAGGAATCAAAGATGATTTAATGTTGCCTGCTTGGCTGAGTATGTGGTGATGTCATATCGAGGGAGCCTGGGGCAGGGGCAGACTTGAGCAGGGTAGGGGAAGGGAGGGTCATTTGGTATAAGGTGGATTTGAAGTGCTTGGAACATTAAGTATAGGTCAGAACATTCTGACAGCCTTACTCAGAGAGCAGGTCATGGAGGGGAGATTTCTCACAGAGGAAAGACAGTAGAAGGAAGATAATTCAGGAGACTTTTATAAAAATCTAGGTTAAAACAATAGTCTAAATTAGGATATTAGGAATATATAGTGAGGAAGGAGTGATGTAATTTTCTAATAAAGAATTTCCTGTTCACTCTGATGATAGTTTCTTTTGCTGTGCAGAAACTCTTTAGTTCAATTAGATCTCATTTGTCAATTCTGGCTTTTGCTGCAACTGCTTTTGTTGTTTTAGTCATGAAGTCTTTGCCCATGCCTATGTCCTGAATGGTATTGCCTAGGTTTTCTTCTAGGGGTTTTATGGTTTTAGGTCTTACGTTTAAGTCTTTAATCCATCTTGAGTTAATTTTTGTATAAGGTGTAAGGAAGGGGTTGAGTTTTAGTTTTCTGCATATGGCTAGCCAGTTTTCCCAACACCATTTATTAAATAGGGAATCCTCATTGCTTGTTTTTTGCCAGGTTTGTCAAAGATCAGATGATTGTACATGTGTGGCATTATTTCTGAAGCCTCTGTTCTGTTCCATTGGTCTATATATCTGTTTTGGTACCAGTACCATGCTGTTTTGGTTATTGTATCCTTGTAGTATAGTTTGAAGTCAGGTAGCATGATGCCTCCAGCTTTGTTCTTTTTGGTTAGGATTGTCTTGGCTACAGGGGCTCTCTTTTGGTTTCATATGAAATATAAAGTAGTTTTTTCTAATTATGTGCAGAAAGTCAATGGTAGCTTGATGGGGATAGCATCGAATCTATAAATTACTTTGGGCAGTATGGCAATCTACAGAATGGGAGAAAATTTTTGCAATCCATCTGACAAAGGGCTAATATCCAGAATCTACAAAGAACTTAAACAAATTTACAAAAAAACCCTAAACAACCCCATCAAAAAGTGGGTGAAGGATATGAACAGACACTTCTCAAAAGAAGACATTTATGCAGCCAACAAACATATGAAAAAGAACTCATCATCACTGGCCATTAGAGAAATGCAAATCAAAACCACAATGAGATACCATCTAATGCCATTTTGAATGGCGATCATTCAAAAGTCAGGAAACGACAGATGATGGAGAGGATGTGGCGAAACAGGAATGCTTTTCAACCATTGTGGAAGATAGTGTGGCAATTCCTCAAGAATCCAGAACCAGAAATACTGGTTGACCCAGCAATCCTATTACTGGGTATATACCCAAAGGATTATAAATCATTCTACTATAAAGACACGTACATGTATGTTTATTGCAGCACTGTTCACAATAGCAAAGACATGGAACCAACCCAAATGACCATCAATGATAGACTGGATAAAGAAAATATGGCACATATACACCATGGAATACTATGCAGCCATAAAAAAGGATGAGTTCATGTCCTTTGCAGAGACATGGATAAAGCTGGAAACCATCATTCTCAGCAAACTAAGACGGGAACAGAAAAGCAAACACTGTATGTTCTCATTCATAAGTGAGAGTTGGACAGTGAGAACACATGGACACAGCCTGTTGGCTGGTGGGGGGCTAGGGGAGGGACAGCATTGGGAGAAATACCTAATGTAGATGATGGGTTGATGGGTGCAGCAAACCACCATGGCATGTGTATGTCTATGTAACAAACCTGCATGTTCTGCACATGTACCCCAGAACTTAAAGTACAATAATAAAAAAAATTTAATACAGATGAGACCGGGAACATATGTGTATAATTACATAAGTAATGCATGTTTTACATGAGCATAGAAAGAAATGTAAAAAGATATGCACAAAATTGACTTTTTTCATATACTCTTCTCTTTCTTGGCTTTGAAAAAATAATGTTCTCCTTTTTGAATTTGAAAAGAAAACTCCAATAAAATGTGTATATGTTTTAAAAAAAGAATTCCCATGAGGATGTAATCTAAAAACAATGAAACCTGAATATAGACTGCAGGTATTAATGACAAAAGCTTAAGCAAAAACCAAATAAGCAACAAGAAAAATCCATGATTCCAGTCCTCATCCACCATGATTTTATTTTTCAGAATTATAAGGTTGGTTATTTAGTTACATGCATTTGAGCACCATGGAGAGTAGATAGAGTATATCTGTAAGGAAAAGATGATGGGAACCAGCCTTTAATGTATAAAATAAGAAGTATTTAAGGAAGACAACTTGTTTTACTTGAGTTCTGCTTTGAATTGAAGCTGAGAAGCTGATACTTAAATAAATTACTTTTCAGGGATTTAGGTTAAAATATGAGAATAAACAGGAATTCCTGGAAGTTCTACATTAACTACAAAGCACATAATCTTTGACAATGAACAATGAATGAATGAAGAATAAATATGGCATTTTGTTGGCCTTAATGTAAATCAATATACGTAGTGAAAGTATTGTTGTAAATCAAGTGTTTACTATAAGCGAAGTTCAAATTATTCAATTCTAGTGAAGGGAAAAACCAAGCTTTCTGCTGATTAGAGGAAATAAGTACATGTTCTGAAATCAAAATGAAGTTAAATGCTATATCCTATTTGTGGAGAAAGTATTAGATCTGCCTATTTTAAGTAGGCAACAGGAAAGGACCAAATGAATTTCGGAAATCTTGCTAAACAAACCATTTGATGATACAGAAGAGATTGAAAGAAATGTGGAAAGGATGTTACCCTCCGGACAAACAAACAAACACAAGAACCAATCACATGGAGAACTTGAAATATTATTACCTTACTACATAGAGAAGGAGTAAAAGGAATAGCTTCAGGTCTGGAGTTGTAGGATCTGTTGTGAATTCCTGTTCGGCTATTTAGTTTTTCTGTGACCTTGGATGAGGTACTTATCCTCTTTAAGCTATAGCTTCTTAATCTTAAAATAAGGGGAGAAAGATGCTGCCTTATAGACATTAAATTTATATAAAAATACTATAGAATGTGAGGCATTATTTCAAGAAAGAAACTCCCAGTTAACAAAAATGAAGGTTTAACTCTAGAATACATTTTTGATTAGAAATCAGATAATTTAACCTGCAAAAATGACCACAGCTATGGAACTTTAAGACTTGGGCATATAGTACCTATCCATGTAAAAATTATAGACTTAAGTTGATAGTTGATATAGTTTGGGTTTGTGTCCCTTCCCAAATCTCATGTCCAAATTGTGATCCCCATTGTTGGAGTAGCGGTTGGGTAGGGGATGATTGGATCATGGGGGTGGATTTCCCCCCTTGTGTTCTTCTGCTAGTGAGTGAGTTCTCAGAGATCTGATGGTTTACAAGTGTGTGGCACCTCCCACCTTCTCTCTCTTTCCTCCTTCTCTGGCCATGTAAGATGTGCCTACTTTCCCTTCACCTTCTGCCATGATTGTACATTTCCTGAGGCCTCACCAGGAAACTTACAATCATGGCGGAAGGTAATGGGGAAGTAGGCACATATTCCTGTACAGCTTGCAGAACTGAGTCAATTAAGCCTCTTTTCTTTATAAATTACCTAGGCTCAGGTATTTCTTTATAGCAATGCAAGAACAGACTCATACAATAGCAAATACAGCAAGAAAATAAAAGTTCTATTTTTTTCTATTTTCATCAGGTTGTATAAGCTTATGAGATGTTATAAATGTTTAGTTTATGGCTGAAGCAAAGCAAATTTGAGAAAAGAAGATTTTTTTTTTTTTTGGTGAAATAGGACAAAGTGGCTAAACTTTAAAAAACAGACACAAGGATGATAAAAATGGTAGTATGATTTATTGAATCATACAATTGATTAAATAGCCAAACAGGGACTTATAATTGGAGGATGCAATGTATGATGATGTGGGTAACAGCAATGCTTATATGGGATGGGAAACCGAAGGACTAAATTGTAGTTGAATAATCACTCTCTGAGTTTCTCATAGTCTGTTTCTTCACTGAGAAATTAGAACAATGGTAAAGCATTTCTCACAGGATAATTTTGAAGACAAAATGAGTCACTATAAACTTAGTAAATAGTTAAACTCTGTGTGGCAAACATATTTAGCACCAAAATATGTCCAGCAGTGTTAGATATTGGGCATTCAATGATAATTAGACACAGTTTGTGTTTTTAAATAACATACAATGTAATGGGTTATTGTGATATATTGATGCCATTTAATATAGATGTGGGAAGAGTGAACTTGGAGCACAGAAGGACCACTGAACCCAGCGATATTTTCTAGAGAAAGACTTTAAGATAAAAATCATAATATAAAACAGCATATAGATTTTAGTTATTAAGATTTACACCCATAAAATGGTGAATGACAAGGAAATTATCAAGATATTTAAATATAAAGTTTAAAATGTGAAATCACAAATAAAAATCTTAAAAATTAAATCAAACTTCAGCACACACACCAGCCATGCTATTCTTTGATAAAAATGTGCTGCAAGCTAGTTCCGGTGGTATACACCTATAGTCCAAGCTACTCAGGACACAGAGGTGGAAGGACTGCTTTGAGCCCAGGTGTTCAAGACTGTAGTATGCTACGATCACATCTGTGAATAGCCACTGTGCTCCAGCCTGGGCAACACAGTGACACCCCTCTCTAAAAAAATAAAAAAAAATAGTGATGCAGTAGGACTTTTGATAAACTGCTAATATATGCAATCATTGCAAATGTTTAAATAAAAGATAAAGATATGTCTAGTTCAGTCTGAAAAAAATGTGGAAACAGAAATAATATGTAAAATCAGCTAAATTAATCCACATATTTGATATCTCAGAGTAGATGTTCTCTCTTTCCACCTCCACACAAAAGCATAATGGTTAATGTTAATATGCTGGACATACTTTATGGTCAATTCCAGTGACCATGTTGTTGCTCTACTTCTTTGCTCCTACTCAACAAAGCATATATCTAAGACATTTATAATTGAATAAAAACAGCTGATAGAATTAATAAGAAAATTTGGTGAGTTGGCCAGATATGGACTACATAACAAAAGGAATCAATAGATTTTCTTTACTCTAGCAAGAAATGCCTACAAACACTACCTTTAAAATATTGACAAAACTAAAATTCTTAGAACTAAATTTAAAAAGAAGAGTAGCAGACCTATACAAAGACCATGTGACATTTAATTAAAATACTCAAACAAAATTTGAATAAAGGATTAGGCATAGCATGCTCTTGGATGAGGGAGGCAATATTATGAAAATATCAACTTTCCCCAAATTAACATATATATTTAATGCCATTTTATTTAGAAATCCAACAAATTTTTTAATTGGGTGAAATTATAGTTTACATGGAAAAATAAATGTATGAGAACAGCCAATAAAAATGCAAGAAGGATGAATTAAAAGGAGGCTTTTAAAAAATATCAGGGCATACAATAAAGCCCCTCTAATCAAGTCAATACAAGAAAAGACGATTAGTAGAAGAGAATATGAAATAAAGAATATGATAAATATAATGAATTCATATTGGCAAATATAGCGGCTGCAATTTATTCTGGAAAAGAATAAAAATGGACCCCATCTTATACCATGTTCAAAAATAAATTTCAGGCAGACTGAAATATATGAAGAAAAATAAAAATCTGTAAATGTCTCAAAAATATGGTGGTTAGGAAATCTCCTTAGACTAATAGTCCGTTACCTATATAGAAAAAATAATGGGTTTTACTTAGTCAGTTAAGAATTGAAAACCTATGTATGAAAACCCATACCGAAAACAGAGTTGGTAAACACACAGAAGATCTGGAAAACACATGTAATAGTGATGGTTAATATCTATATAAACAAGAAAGTTGGCAAGACACAGACAAAGAGAAAAATAGACAAATGTTATGAATATATGATTCACAGAAGAGGAAGTACAAATGGCCAACAGACAAATAAAGAGATACTTAAATATATATGTAGGAAATGCAAATAAAAGTAAAAATGAGATATAACTTTATAAATACTAGAATAGCAGAAATTAAAAAAACTGGTAGCACAAATTATTGGTAGGAATACAGGGAAAAAGGTACTTATCTATTGTTGATATAAATGGACGCTTTCAAAAAGTCTCTAGAAAAATTTAGAAATGCAATGTTGTAAATTTATACCGTAGAATAAAAAAAGCATATACGTATAAGAAAACATTTATTATGGCATTTTTGTTCTGTCAAAAATCAGAAAAGAAGGCACTAGGGTATATCCATACTTTGGAATACTAGGCAGCTGTTAAAAAGCAAATGTTAGAGCTATACTGGATATCTTGGAGGGATTGTTATGAGGTATTATTGTGTGAGAGAAATGGAAGATTAATAATTTGGCTCAATTTTAATAAAACAATGAAAAGTAAATTCTGTATACATATCTGTACACAATATTTCTGTTCACATTTAGGTCTTTGTATGAGTATATGAGAAAATATGAGAGGAAACACACCAGGTTGCTAATGTAGGTTAACTGAGGAGCTGGGGTGAGATGCTATTGTAGATGGAGGTTGGAGGAGACAAGCAAAGAGTAAAGGTTGTGTCAATGGCTCCACATTTTCATCAATGTCCTAAGCTCTTTCTATTTGTCCATCATCTTTAGCATGGTTTTAGTCCCAATGATCACTATAGGGATGCATTGTGTCCAGGAAAGAAATAAGGGAAAGAGGCAGGCCTGCATCAGAAAGGTGAAAACTTTCTCCAAACTTTCCAGCAGACTTTCTCTTACATGTTGTTTTTCAAAACCATGCAACATGCTGCACTCACCTGCAGAGGAGATACGGACTTTTAGCTGAGTATAGAGTGGCAAACTCTCTCCTTGACCAACTTTCATCAGGCTCCTCTGAACGTCTTCTCTAATGGGCCTTGACCTTGTCCCCAGTCCTGTCTTTGGCCTGCTCAGTCCAATCTCAGCAAAGAATCCTGCTAAGTCAGTTTAGTGAGAATTCCCCCACTTTCGATACTTGATCAACTTTGATATCTAACCAAGTTCCTCATCCCCCACCTTTAATTTATGTCCTTGGCCTGACTTCAGAAGAATCCCTTTACCATTGATGACTCCTCTTAGTAACTTTCCATCCACTGACCCCTCACTCTGAAACTGGGCTACAATCCCCAGCTGTCTTTGCTGTATTCAGAGTTGAGCCCAATCTCTGTCCTATATTGCAATAGTCATGAATAAAGTCTTCCCTACTGTTTTAACAAGTGTCAGAACTTTTTCTTTGTCTATGGCTATTCTGGACAGAATTAGGGTTCTATTAGCTGAGAAGGAAAAAAGGGATGGGTAATGGAGAAGTAACTGTGTCTGTGACACCAAAGATCTCCTTATTCTAAAAGCTAGTCATTGCCATTTGAGAAGCAAATGCTGGCACAGGGCATAAATCCTTGTGAGCTCAGAACTTACATTTAACTGCCATCTCTGTCAGCGATACACCTGGGAACTCAGTGAAACAAAGCTTGTAAAACTTTCTACCTACATATTTTGTAGGAGTATTGTGAAGTTTTAATTAGCCAATAGTTATAAAGTCATTTGAAGATAGTCACTGCAAGCAGATAGTACTTTGGTAGATAATGTGTGAGTAATTTTACAAAACTTGGATAACTGTCAAGTAATTAAAGGCAAATACACTGTAGATGCAGTGATGTGACTTTTCTTAGTGTTCATCAGACGTTGACACACCCATTGAAGAAAGAGCAGATCTCATGCTGTTCTGAAATGGTTCTTGAAAAATTCTTATTCCTCTTTTAAAATCACTTTCACCATCTGCTGGTAAAAGAATTGAGAAGGCTGCCTGTGAACTTAGCAATTAAATGTGCTAATACAGTAGCAGGAGAAAATGATTGTCACACCTGTTTTTTTTTTTTTTTTAACAAAACAAAACAAAATTCTACTACCACTTTCACCCTCAAACCAAAAAAACACCATCTGTTTTTCTGTGAAAACAAAACTTCAGATTTTTAAAAGAAAAACAAACCCAACTACATTTTCAGATATTATTATGTGTACTGAAAATGTAGTCATTTTATAACTCTCTTAATTGTCAGAAAAATTAGGGTCTCTAAGCAAAGAATTATCAAATCAATATTATTCATTTTCTCTCCTATTTTTTGATTTTGAGAAGATGGAGGAAGGGGAGAAACATGGAAGTAAATGAGATGTTTTATTTTACTTTATCAGTGAAATTCTTTATCCACCAACAAAAGATAAGGATTATGTATTTTTCTCAACTTAAGATGTATTAGTATATGAAAATCAGCATGTATAAAGCCAATAAAGGAATGCATTGCTAAATAATTCTTTACAAAGAATCCACTAAAATAGAATGCAATAAAATGGAGTTTTTTGACTCTGCTATAGGATACTTGAAAATGTTTAGCAAATATAGAACGAAAGTGTTTGAAAAAAATCTAGCTAGTATGCATACATTTGTGGGAAACTAGAATCTAGCTTTCTGATCACTGTTATTCGTGTGTTATTGTCTGCCACTTAAATCTCATGCTCTTATCTTACAGAGGAATTATAATTGAGCCTAAATTTTAAAATTTGTACATACCATTGAGATATTTGTTTTAAAATCGCTAAGATTATAACACTTGAGACATTATGAGAGCTTCCTGGCCCCCCAAAAATTGTTACAAATAAAATCACCCTATGTACTTAACTTGTGGTTGAGTCATATCTTTCACTGTTATGTTCATTGTGAAAACCATGTACATTAAATTAAGACATTTGTGAGATTCATGGAGTTCTAGTTTTGCAATTTTTTTAAAAAAACATACCCCTCCTTGTGACTGTTGGGTTCTTGCACAGATTTAATTTTTAAAATTAAATATATATATATATATATATATATATATATATATATATTTTTTTTTTTTTTTTTTTTTTTTTTTTTTTTTGAGATGGAGTCTTGCTGTGTCGCCAGGCTGGAGTGCAGTGGCGTGATCTTAGCTCACTGCAACCTCCACCTCCCAGGTTCAAGCGATTTTCCTGTCTTAGCCTCCTGAGTAGCTGGGTCTACAGGTGCACGCCATCATGCCCAGCTAATTTTTGTATTTTTAATAGAGACGGGGTTTCACCATGTTGGCTAGGATGGTCTCGATCTCTTGACCTCTTAATCTGCCCTCCTCAGCCTCCCAAAGTGCTGGGATTACAGGCGTGAGCCACCATGCTCGGCCTACAATGTTTTAATTAAATAATTTTTCTAGCACCTATTCTGTGAAGGTAAACAGGATAATATGGTGCTTTAGTTTTTCTTCTAAATTGTATAGTTAACATTATGTGTGCCCCAAAGTTATGTTAACACCATCTCTAAATTAAGCAATAAATAGCAGCTAGTAAGTTTACAATCCAGATACTATTTTATTACTCTAACAATATGTGAAATTTAAGACTCAACATTTTTAGTAAAACTAATATTATTTCCAGATGATGTAGTCTACCATATCAAGACTTCAATATATTCTTTCTTGAGATGGTGATATATAAGAGTATTCAGGAAGGGTTATATTATCTTAGTACCTGGTAAGCTTCTAACAGTTATAAAATAAATGAAACTTCAGGTTAATAAATCTTTTCTGTTGTTTAATGATTTTGTGTAAGTCAATGAACCCTGAAATAGGACTTCCTATGAGAAAAAGTTCCCGAAGTCGAAGTATCTGTGTTAATGTAATAGCTAGAGACTTTTTTGTCTGTTCTAGTTTCAAATACTGAGGTTGCTTAGTATCACTCACATACATGAGTTTCTCATTTTGCACCAAATTGAGATTGAATTTAACATTGTAATAAGCAGCTCACAAAAATAAAATTAAGCATCATTTGGACAAAGTTACATGAAGGATTCTGATTACCTGCTGTGCCCACCTTACCCATGGAAGTATATTGTCTTGTCAGCTCAAGTCCACCCCAACAATATATCTGTAAGCAATAATACCAAATTTTGTGTGTGTGTGTGTGTGTTTTGTGTTTTAATTAGTAACTACACAGGTAAGAAAAATATTGAGAATAACCAAATCCATACTATGAATGAGATGACTCTTGTTTTTCAAGCAATTAACTTTAAATTATATTTTTATATTACAAATTCCAAATGCTACATAATAGCGTTCTACCCTCCCCTGAAAATAAATTAGTGTTTTCCCTAAAAATCTTGAGTGGATTAAAAAACACCGTGCTTTTATTATTTCCTATTACTAGCTCTGTAGTTGCCTTAAGTTCATGCTTTAACTTCAGCATCTGTTTCTAGAACTTTATTTCTATATAAATCCAAGTCAAATACTACATGTTCTTACTTGTAAGTGGGAGCTAAATGATGTGTACACACAGATGTAG
Organism: Homo sapiens; assembly: GCF_000001405.40. Lineage (NCBI taxonomy): Eukaryota > Metazoa > Chordata > Mammalia > Primates > Hominidae > Homo > Homo sapiens. Next base: position 61,954,168 of record NC_000012.12, on the reverse strand, counting down.
AGTGTGAAATGATAAACACTAGAGACTTGGAAGGGTGGGAGGTGGGGAGGAAGGTGAGGGATGAGAAATTACTTAATGGATTCAGTGTACGCTATTTGGGTGATGGCTACACTAAAAGTCCAGACTTCACCACTATGCAATATATCCATGTAACAAAACTGCACTTGTACGTCTTTAATTTCTACAAATAAGAAAAATAAAAAACAAATGCAAACATGAAAAAAATTCTAGGTAATGATAGAATTTCAAAGTATGTTCTTTCTTAATACGCTTTTCAAAAATGCCTGTGTAGTGCGGTGACTACACCGCACTATTAGCGAAATGTCCTATGTCTGTGTCTGATCTTGTCACACTTTGCTCAGTTCTCTGTGTTAGTGTGACATGTGACATGTGGTGCTGGGTTTCTCCAACCATGCCCTGGTGTTTTGGTGGATGAGGAGCTTCAAGGTTGGGGAAGATGCTGAGGCAGACTCCTCCAATTGTACAGCAATCATAAAACTCTTTGTCATGTCCTGTGTGTTACTATAAAGTATCTTCTTTACCGAGGCCACTGGTTAATAAGGATACACATTTTTTTTTTGTATAGGTTAAAATCCCACAAAAATGTAGCAAATAAATGATAATGCAAACTTTAAGAAATGTGAACTTCCCAGTGAGTGATTGACAGTAATTATGTCTCAAAGAAAAGCTGAATTATAGTGTGTTTTATTTTCCTTTATCCTACAATATAACTTCACTGCAATTACCCCATTTTTTGAGTTCCTCAATTATCTTCTTGACTTGGAAGTTGGTATTTACTTGCACCTATTTTGCAGTGGATTAGTATCTTTTGTATTTAACTTTTTTATTACAGAGACCTGTAATCCAAACAAAATAACCACCTTAAAAACACAGACTAGGTGGATGATAATACTACAAAGTTATGTTTTTGGGTTTTTTTTAAGGGGAGTGTCAGTTTTTTTCTTTGGAAAGTGCATAGTGCTCTCCCATGGCAATAGGTTCTCAGGACACTGAACTGGCTCAATGACTATTATTGCTTCTCTTCACCTCAAGAAGAACGTATTGATTCATGGAGGAAACGATAAACATAAGGAGGGGATGCAATGAAGAGATACTTTTATAGTCTTGCCTTGGATAATGTTTTCTGGCTTTTTACTGACTACTAAATTAAGTAGAAATCTAGCCAGACTTTGGTCTTGGTTCTCTGGGCTATTTTAATATAACATGTATTTTTATTTTTATAAAATATAAAAGAGGAGAAATGATCTAAAAAACTTGATCTTGGGTGCAAAAACACGTACTCGGTTCTTTATGTGACCATATATATAATCATACATATAATCACGTATTTAATTAGGGAGAATGCCTGATTCTGAGACATGTAAATGATACCTCTTAAATTCTTATTTATATAATACAATTTTCTATAGCTTTAGTTATGCAATTTTGAAGGTGATAGAATCCTAAAGATTAACCAATTGGAAAACTACGGTATAGATACATGAAGTTTATATATAAAGAGATAAAGACGTCAGTTGCTTTTTTCTTTTCTGTTAATAGTAGAGTGCAAGTACTGTGTTCTGAAGGTCTTTTTGTTTCCAATGGGCTTATCTGTGTTAGTTCTTGAAGTTTATCGCGTTGATCTGAGCAAGAAAAAATATTTAATTACTGGAAATTGAGGAAAGAATAAGTTAACTTGACTTACTATCAAAACTTGACCACAAGAACAGGGAATAAAAATATAAAAACTCTGAAAGGGGCATGCAAAGTGAATTGAAGATGAAAAAGTTTGATATAAACCTTCAGTATTTAATATTTTACATTTTATTAATCCTTTTGTCATTGAAAGTCTCATAGCTTCTTTATCATTACCTAATAGAGAAAAATAATTAAAGAAAACACTGAAATATTAATAGGTGGGACATTTTTACATCAGAGAGTCTGTGGTGTAAAATGGGCTGTGCAGATATCTGTCTTGGCTACATCTGTCTACCTTCCTTTCAGTCATCACCTAAACAGATGATAGAATTTGCAGAGACCTGGGACTATATATGTGTGCACACACATAAATAAAGAAGGCTGGGGAAATGTAGCAGTATAGATGAGAATTATTTTCTTTGGTAATTAGTTTTCCTCACCACTTAGCCATCAGTAACACTAGGAAGAAGTCAAGTTGCTACTCTGGGCTTGGCGATCTTTGGTAATTACATTGTTTAAAATGCTTCGTGTTTTCTTCTCAAGTGTATATTAGTTAAGATTTATTTAGCTTTTTTTTTTAATTAAGTGAATATTGCTCCTTACAGACAGCTCAGACTAAAGCCATAAACATTAAGATCAATCAGTTTACAAAATAGGTGTGCACAGTGATTAATTTGGTAGAGGTACCAAAGAAATTATGGCACATTGTTAGCTTTGTGTACTGGTTTCCTAATTTATTTTGAAATTTGTAGTGTATGCCTTAGTGTCATCCGGAGAAAGAAAAAATGATACACTATGTTTCCTTCAAACGCCATCTTTACTTTTCCTTTTTCTTCTATGCCCTTCATGTCCTTTCCTTCTATAGCTTTTGTTTTCCAGACATAGAGTTGCCAAGGCTTTCCTGTGTGGTTCTGACTTTTCCCCATCTTTACCATGACATTAATTTTCATCTTACATCCAATTACTGTTGCCTAATTTGAGCCAGGACATTTACACATATAGGTGCGCATTTATTGCAGGCATGTACATTACTCTTTGTTATTTTCAGGACTTGAAGATTTTTGGGTAAGAAAACAGTTCATGTTGGTGAAATTTCTTCTTCTTAAAACATCAGGCTTCTTTTATTGTAACCATTTTGTTTTACAAAATCTTTCAAAACATATTTGCCTGTAAAATCACAGAATTTAACTCTTCTTGGGAAGACCATTTGCGTAAGCATCACTCTTACAGCGTTATATGAAGCTGTTGGGGAAAAATCCACGTGTGAGACTGCTTTTTCCTGCGTCACATATCCTCCGTTGCTATTGAAGTTGGCGATGCTTCTGACTTTCTTTTTATTAGGTCTCACTTCTCAGTGAGTCTTTTTCTGAGATCTTTTTTCGTCTCTGGAACTACCAGCATCTAATTTGCAGCATTGGTCATTTAGGGCAAAAGTCAAGGCTAGGGAAAGCCAGGTGAATGTTTGCTAAATTGTATAGCCAATAAGAAGTCAATAGGCTCCAGTCCAAAGAAGACTCTACCTTTCCTATAAAGCATATGTGTGTCATAAAGAAGGTTGATGGTAGAGAGCTGGCTCAAAGCCTGCATCTGTTTAATAGCTGCATGCCATTTATTTATTTTTTGCTTTTAGATCCCCATTGACTGGCCATCTACTATCTACTGGTTATTATAATAGGTGCTGGGTGTAGAGCAGAGAAGAAACAGACTTAGACTTCGTGGAGCTACCAAACTAGTATGAGAAAGACATCCAGAAACAATAAAGTTATTATTTTAAAAACCAGAACAAATTATATATCTGATAAGGGTTTAATATCCAAAATACATGGAGAATTCTTACAACTCAACAACAACAAAAGATCAAATAACTCAATTAAAAATGGGCAAAGAACCTGAATAGGCATTTTTCTAAAGATGATATACAAATGGCCAATGAGCATATGAAAAAAATGCTTAACATCACTAATCGTCATAGGAATGAAAATCAAAACTATGAGATATTACCTCATATACATTAGGATGGCCACTATCAAAACAAACAGAAAATAAATGTTGGCAAGAATGTGGAGAATTCCAAACCCTTGTGCACTGTTAGTAGTGCTATAAAATGGTGCAGCAGCTACGGAAAATAGTATGGAGGTTCCTCCAAAAATTAAAAATAAAACTAACATATTATCCAGCAATTTTGTTTTTGGGTATAGACCTAAAATGATTGAAAGCAGAGATTTAAAGAGATATTTGCACACCCTTTTTCATAGCAATACTACATAAAACAGCCAAGACATGAAAACAACTCAAATGTCCATTCATGGATGAAATGACAAAAATGTGATATATATATGCAATGAAATATCATTCAGCCTTAAAAAGGAAGTACTTCCTGTCACATGTGACAACATGGATGAAACTTGAGGACATTATGCTAAGTGAAATAAGCCAGTCAGAATAAGACAAATGCTGTATGATTCCACTTATATGAAGTATCCAAAGTTGTTAAATTAATGGGACAGAAAGTAGAGAGTGATTACCAGGGACTAGAGAAAGAGGGGAAAATGGTGTTGTTGATTACTAGGTATGGAGTTTCGATTTTGCAAGATGAAAAAGTTTTGAAGATCTATGTCACAACAATGTGAATGTACTTAACACAACTGAATTGTACACTTAAAATGACTAAGATAGTAAATTTTATGTTTTCCTAGAATAAAAGTACATGAAATAAAACCAAAAACATATTAAAAAAATTATCCAGGAGTCTTAAGGTCTTTAGTGTTGTATTAGTCAGGGTTTTAGAAAAACAGAACCAGTGGGAGATATATATGATTTATTATAAGAAATGATTATGGAGGCTGAGACATCCCAAGGTATATAAAGAATGTGTGACTTGTAAGGAGGCTTGATGGTAGAGAGCTAGCTGGATCAAAGCCTGTGTCTGTCTACTTGACCGGCTGTATGACATTTATTTATTTCTTGCTTTTTTAATCCCCATTGACTGGCTGTCTGTTATCTACTGGTCATTATAATAGGTACTGGGTCTAGAGTAGCCTTCCTTCTGCAGTTGACAGGCTGGAGACCTGGGAGAGTTGATGGTGTGACTCCTGTCTGAGTCCAAAGGCCTGGGAATCAGGAGAGCCAGTGGTATAAGTTCCATTCTGAAAGCCAGCAAACTTGAAACCCAAGAAGAGCTGATGTTTCCGTTGGAGTCTGAAAGCAGGAAAAGATTGATGTTCCAGCTCACACAGTCAAGCAGAACATGTTCCCTCTTACTCATGGGAGGGTCAGCCTTTTTGTTCTATTCAGGTCTTCAACTGATTGGATGAGACCCATCCACAGTAGGGAGGACAATCTGCTTTACGGAGTCTATGGATTCAGATGTTAATTTCATTCAAAAACACTCTCACAGACTACACACAGAGTAATGCCTTACCAAATATCTGGCCACCCCATGGCCCTGTCAAGTTGACATGTAAAATTAACCATCACAAGTGCTAAGCAATAAATGATGGTAAAAAGATTGGGAGGACCTACTAAAATGGGAGAGTTAGAGATGATATTTAAGGTAGGTCAGGAGTGATGAGTAGTACTCAGCCATGGGGACAGGCAATCACCTGACTTCTGCTTAGCTCACACTATGGGTGTAATGGAGCATGGGCTCTAGAGCTAAGACGCTGAGGTGTCACTGTTGTTGTTATCACATAAAACATGTATATCATTTAAGGATTACAATGCAAACACCCAAATATCAACCACCTAAGTCAATAAATCATTTACAATACCCCGAAGCTCCCATGACTACAATACATTCTCTTTTCTTTAAGGAAAACCAGTATCCTGACATTTGTGTCATTTGCTTGCTTTTTTATAATCTATGTATATATTGCTAAATATACTTTGTTCTGCCAGTTTTGTGTGCTATATGCATGGAATCATTCTGAATATATTAGTCAATCTTTAAAGTGGCCTTCTATATCTCTAATTGTCTTATTTGCCTTATTTCCAACATCTCTTGGAGTGTCTCATTATTGCTCTCATATACTTCTATGAACAACATTTACCTCTAGTTGATTTCTCTTGGCTTACAGATTTGTAAATGTTTGTATTAGAATCCCTTTGCATTAAGGTCATGCTTACTTCAGATCTCAAATGTTAGGGACTACCTGAATTTTCATCTTGGCTTTGACATTTGTTAGCTGTGTAATCTTGTGAAAGTTACTTAACCTCTTTGCTCTGAGGAATGGCAATAATAGTAGAACCCATGCTTGGAGTTTGTGATGATGAAAGAAATTTAAAAAATCTTTAAAGTGCTTACCACAGTGCCTGCCAAATAACAGTGCTCAATAATTATTAAGTTTTTGTAACAGCAAAAGTTTCTTGTGTAGATTAAATGAAAGAAACTTTTCAAAGTGCCTGTCAGGCACATAGTAGGTCATTCTTAGTATTATTTATTTATTTTCCCCTTACTTCCAGATTCTGTGGCTTCTTTCCAGATGTTTGTGGTTTCTATAAGTCTGATAGCTTGATAAATGGGAGTTTCCATAAAGTATGCTTGTATATATCCTTATATATCTGTACTCCCATCTCACCTCTTTATTCTACAAGTTGTTTTGAGGCTTACTGTTTCAGGATTTGTGCTAAGCTCTTCAGATCCAAAACCAAATTGCACACCCTTGCTTCAGTGTAGGAAAGTCTTTTAGGGTACACAGACATATGAAGCATTGATGTATTACAGCTATCACTTACATATCGAGGAGATGAGAGCAACTTAACTTTCAGGGGCCAGAGAATTGACCTTCTTAGAGCATGTATTGTTGGAGTAGAACTTTGAAAGGATGGGTAGAAAATGGCCCAGTGAATTAGAGTGGGCTTTTCAACAAACTGACCGAATGAAGAGTGTATATGCTAATTTCCAAAGCAGAAACATCAGAACACATCATTAGTTTTCAGGTTTTGTGAGAAGCTTGAGATAAAACGAATGACAAAATTCTTTTTTATTTATTTATTTATTTATTTATTTTTTAAATTATACTTTAAGTTTTAGGGTACATGTGCACATTGTGCAGGTTAGTTACATATGTATACATGTGCCATGCTGGTGCGCTGCACCCACTAACTCGTCATCTAGCATTAGGTATATCTCCCAATGCTATCCCTCCCCCCTCCCACCTCCCCACCACAGTCCCCAGAGTGTGATATTCCCCTTCCTGTGTCCATGTGATCTCATTGTTCAATTCCCACCTATGAGTGAGAATATGCGGTGTTTGGTTTTTTGTCCTTGCGATAGTTTACTGAGAATGATGGTTTCTAATTTCATCCATGTCCCTACAAAGGACATGAACTCATCATTTTTTATGGCTGCATAGTATTCCATGGTGTATATGTGCCACATTTTCTTAATCCAGTCTATCATTGTTGGACATTTGGGTTGGTTCCAAGTCTTTGCTATTGTGAATAATGCCGCAATAAACATACATGTGCATGTGTCTTTATAGCAGCATGATTTATAGTCATTTGGGTATATACCCAGTAATGGGATGGCTGGGTCAAATGGTATTTCTAGTTCTAGATCCCTGAGGAATCACCACACTGACTTCCACAATGGTTGAACTAGTTTACAGTCCCACAACAGTGTAAAAGTGTTCCTATTTCTCCACATCCTCTCCAGCACCTGTTGTTTCCTGACTTTTTAATGATTGCCATTCTAACTGGTGTGAGATGATATCTCATAGTGGTTTTGATTTGCATTTCTCTGATGGCCAGTGATGATGAGCATTTTTTCATGTGTTTTTTGGCTGCATAAATGTCTTCTTTTGAGAAGTGTCTGTTCATGTCCTTCGCCCACTTTTTGATGGGGTTGTTTGTTTTTTTCTTGTAAATTTGTTTGAGTTCATTGTAGATTCTGGATATTAGCCCTTTGTCAGATGAGTAGGTTGCGAAAATTTTCTCCCATGTTGTAGGTTGCCTGTTCACTCTGATGGTAGTTTCTTTTGCTGTGCAGAAGCTCTTTAGTTTAATTAGATCCCATTTGTCAATTTTGGCTTTCGTTGCCATTGCTTTTGGTGTTTTGGACATGAAGTCCTTGCCCACGCCTATGTCCTGAATGGTAATGCCTAGGTTTTCTTCTAGGGTTTTTATGGTTTTAGGTCTAACGTTTAAATCTTTAATCCATCTTGAATTGATTTTTATATAAGATGTAAGGAAGGGATCCAGTTTCAGCTTTCTACATATGGCTAGCCAGTTTTCCCAGCACCATTTATTAAATAGGGAATCCTTTCCCCATTGCTTGTTTTTCTCAGGTTTGTCAAAGATCAGATAGTTGTAGGTAAGCGGCATTATTTCTGAGGGCTCTGTTCTGTTCCATTGATCTATATCTCTGTTTTGGTACCAGTACCATGCTGTTTTGGTTACTGTAGCCTTGTAGTATAGTTTGAAGTCAGGTAGTGTGATGCCTCCAGCTTTGTTCTTTTGGCTTAGGATTGACTTGGCGATGCGGGCTCTTTTTTGGTTCCATATGAACTTTAAAGTAGTTTTTTCCAATTCTGTGAAGAAAGTCATTGGTAGTTTGATGGGGATGGCATTGAATCTGTAAATTACCTTGGGCAGTATGGCCATTTTCACGATATTGATTCTTCCTACCCATGAGCATGAAATGTTCTTCCATTTGTTTGTATCCTCTTTTATTTCCTTGAGCAGTGGTTTGTAGTTCTCCTTGAAGAGGTCCTTCACATCCCTTGTAAGTTGGATTCCTAGGTATTTTATTCTGTTTGAAGCAATTGTGAATGGGAGTTCACTCATGATTTGGCTCTCTGTTTGTCTGTTGTTGGTGTATAGGAATGCTTGTGATTTTTGTACATTGATTTTGTATCCTGAGACTTTGCTGAAGTTGCTTATCAGCTTAAGGAGATTTTGGGCTGAGATGATGGGGTTTTCTAGATAAACAATCATGTCGTCTGCAAACAGGGACAATTTGACTTCCTCTTTTCCTAATTGAATACCCTTTATTTCCTTCTCCTGCCTGATTGCCCTGGCCAGAACTTCCAACACTATGTTGAATAGGAGCGGTGAGAGAGGGCATCCCTGTCTTGTGCCAGTTTTCAAAGGGAATGCTTCCAGTTTTTGCACATTCAGTATGATATTGGCTGTGGGTTTGTCATAGATAGCTCTTATTATTTTGAAATACGTCCCATCAATACCTAATTTATTGAGAGTTTTTAGCATGAAGGGTTGTTGAATTTTGTCAAAGGCTTTTTCTGCATCTATTGAGATGATCATGTGGTTTTTGTCTTTGGCTCTGTTTATATGCTGGATTACATTTATTGATTTGCATATATTGAACCAGCCTTGCATCCCAGGGATGAAGCCCACTTGATCATGGTGGATAAGCTTTTTGATGTGCTGCTGGATTCGGTTTGCCAGTATTTTATTGAGGATTTTTGCATCAGTGTTCATCAAGGATATTGGTCTAAAATTCTCTTTTTTGGTTGTGTCTCTGCCAGTCTTTGGTATCAGAATGATGCTGGCCTCATAAAATGAGTTAGGGAGGATTCCCTCTTTTTCTATTGATTGGAATAGTTTCAGAAGGAATGGTACCAGTTCCTCCTTGTACCTCTGGTAGAATTCGGCTGTGAATCCATCTGGTCCTGGACTCTTTTTGGTTGGTAAACTATTGATTATTGCCACAATTTCAGCTCCTGTTATTGGTCTATTCAGAGATTCAACTTCTTCCTGGTTTAGTCTTGGGAGAGTGTATGTGTCCAGGAATTTATCCATTTCTTCTAGATTTTCTAGTTTATTTGCATAGAGGTGTTTGTAGTATTCTCTGATGGTAGTTTGTATTTCTGTGGGATCGGTGGTGATATCCCCTTTATCATTTTTTATTGTGTCTATTTGATTCTTCTCTCTTTTTTTCTTTATTAGTCTTGCTAGCGGTCTATCAATTTTGTTGATCCTTTCAAAAAACCAGCTCCTGGATTCATTGATTTTTTGAAGGGTTTTTTGTGTCTCTATTTCCTTCAGTTCTGCTCTGATTTTAGTTATTTCTTGCCTTCTGCTAGCTTTTGAATGTGTTTGCTCTTGCTTTTCTAGTTCTTTTAATTGTGATGTTAGGGTGTCAATTTTGGATCTTTCCTGCTTTCTCTTGTGAGCATTTAGTGCTATAAATTTCCCTCTACACACTGCTTTGAATGTGTCCCAGAGAGTCTGGTATGTTGTGTCTTTGTTCTCGTTGGTTTCAAAGAACATCTTTATTTCTGCCTTCATTTCGTTATGTACCCAGTAGTCATTCAGGAGCAGGTTGTTCAGTTTCCAGGTAGTTGAGCGGCTTTGAGTGAGATTCTTAATCCTGAGTTCTAGTTTGATTGCACTGTGGTCTGAGAGATAGTTTGTTATAATTTCTGTTCTTTTACATTTGCTGAGGAGAGCTTTACTTCCAAGTATGTGGTCAATTTTGGAATAGGTGTGGTGTGGTGCTGAAAAAAATGTATATTCTGTTGATTTGGGGTGGAGAGTTCTGTAGATGTCTATTAGGTCCGCTTGGTGCAGAGCTGAGTTTAATTCCTGGGTATCCTTGTTGACTTTCTGTCTCGTTGATCTGTCTAATGTTGACAGTGGGGTGTTAAAGTCTCCCATTATTAATGTGTGGGAGTCTAAGTCTCTTTGTAGGTCACTCAGGACTTGCTTTATGAATCTGGGTGCTCCTGTATTGGGTGCATATATATTTAGGATAGTTAGCTCCTCTTGTTGAATTGATCCCTTTACCATTATGTAATGGCCTTCTTTGTCTCTTCTGATCTTTGTTGATTTAAAGTCTGTTTTATCAGAGACTCGGATTGCAATCCCTGCCTTTTTTTGTTTTCCATTGGCTTGGTAGATCTTCCTCCATCCTTTTATTTTGAGCCTATGTGTGTCTCTGCACGTGAGATGGGTTTCCTGAATACAGCACACTGATGGGTCTTGACTCTTTATCCAACTTGCCAGTCTGTGTCTTTTAATTGGAGCATTTAGTCCATTTACATTTAAAGTTAATATTGTTATGTGTGAATTTGATCCTGTCATTATGATGTTAGCTGGTGATTTTGCTCGTTAGTTGATGCAGTTTCTTCCTAGTCTCGATGATCTTTACATTTTGGCATGATTTTGCAGCGGCTGGTACCGGTTGTTCCTTTCCATGTTTAGTGCTTCCTTCAGGAGCTCTTTTAGGGCAGGCCTGGTGGTGACAAAATCTCTCAGCATTTGCTTGTCTGTAAAGGATTTTATTTCTCCTTCACTTATGAAGCTTAGTTTGGCTGGATATGAAATTCTGGGTTGAAAATTCTTTTCTTTAAGAATGTTGAATATTGGCCCCCACTCTCTTCTGGCTTGTAGGGTTTCTGCCGAGAGATCCGCTGTTAGTCTGATGGGCTTCCCTTTGAGGGTAACCCGACCTTTCTCTCTGGCTGCCCTTAACATTTTTTCCTTCATTTCAACTTTGGTGAATCTGACAATTATGTGTCTTGGAGTTGCTCTTCTCGAGGAGTATCTTTGTGGCGTTCTCTGTATTTCCTGAATCTGAACGTTGGCCTGCCTTGCTAGATTGGGGAAGTTCTCCTGGATAATATCCTGCAGAGTGTTTTCCAACTTGGTTCCATTCTCCACATCACTTTCAGGTACACCAATCAGACGTAGATTTGGTCTTTTCACATAGTCCCATATTTCTTGGAGGCTTTGCTCATTTCTTTTTATTCTTTTTTCTCTAAACTTCCCTTCTTGCTTCATTTCATTCATTTCATCTTCCATTGCTGATACCCTTTCTTCCAGTTGATCGCATTGGCTCCTGAGGCTTCTGCATTCTTCACGTAGTTCTCGAGCCTTGGTTTTCAGCTCCATCAGCTCCTTTAAGCACTTCTCTGTATTGGTTATTCTAGTTATACATTCTTCTAAATTTTTTTCAAAGTTTTCAACTTCTTTGCCTTTGGTTTGAATGTCCTCCCATAGCTCAGAGTAATTTGATCGTCTGAAGCCTTCTTCTCTCAGCTCGTCAAAATCATTCTCCATCCAGCTTTGTTCCATTGCTGGTGAGGAACTGCGTTCCTTTGGAGGAGGAGAGGCTCTCTGCGTTTTAGAGTTTCCAGTTTTTCTGTTCTGTTTTTTCCCCATCTTTGTGGTTTTATCTACTTTTGGTCTTTGATGATGGTGATGTACAGATGGGTTTTCGGTGTGGATGTCCTTTCTGTTTGTTAGTTTTCCTTCTAACAGACAGGACCCTCAGCTGCAGGTCTGTTGGAATACCCTGCCGTGTGAGGTGTCAGTGTGCCCCTGCTGGGGGGTGCCTCCCAGTTAGGCTGCTCGGGGGTCAGGGGTCAGGGACCCACTTGAGGAGGCAGTCTGCCCGTTCTCAGATCTCCAGCTGCGTGCTGGGAGAACCACTGCTCTCTTCAAGGCTTTCAGACAGGGACATTTAAGTCTTCAGAGGTTACTGCTGTCTTTTTGTTTGTCTGTGCCCTGCCCCCAGAGGTGGAGCCTACAGAGGCAGGCAGGCCTCCTTGAGCTGTGGTGGGCTCCACCCAGTTTGAGCTTCCAGGCTGCTTTGTTTACCTAATCAAGCCTGGGCAATGGCGGGCGCCCCTCCCCCAGCCTCGCTGCCGCCTTGCAGTTTGATCTCAGACTGCTGTGCTAGCAATCAGCGAGATTCCGTGGGCATAGGACCCTCCGAGCCAGGTGTGGGATATAGTCTCGTGGTGTGCCGTTTTTTAAGCCGGTCTGAAAAGCGCAATATTCGGGTGGGAGTGACCCCATTTTCCAGGTGCATCTGTCACCCCTTTCTTTGACTCGGAAAGGGAACTCCCTGACCCCTTGCGCTTCCCAGGTGAGGCAATGCCTCGCCCTGCTTCGGCTCACGCACGGTGCACGCACCCACTGGCCTGCGCCCACTGTCTGGCACTCCCTAGTGAGATGAACCCGGTACCTCAGATGGAAATGCAGAAATCACCCGTCTTCTGCTTCGCTCAAGCTGGGAGCTGTAGACTGGAGCTGTTCCTATTCGGCCATCTTGGCTCCTCCCCAACAAAATTCTTAATTTTGGCAAGATCTTGTTTTGCCTACCCTATTAATTCACTAGACCAGTACTTTCGAATAAAGTTATGTGAGCTAATGTGTAATTTTAAATTTTCTAGTAGCCACATTAGAAAATTAAAAAGAGTGCAGATTAATTCTAATGATATATTTTATGTATCTAACATATCGAAAATACTTTTTTACCATGTAGTCTATATAAAAGTTATTAGTAATATAAGTTTTTGTTTTGGTACTGTTTTCAAAATTTGGTGTGCTGTTTATGGTAACAATATATCTAGTTCAGAGTCTGGATTTTCATCACAAATATATGATCTGTATTTAAATTTTATAAAATTACAGTTAGAAAATAGATTTACATGCCCATATTGTTTAAAACATATATGAAAGTTTTGAAATAACTGAATCAGATATGTTTTAAAATTAAAATTAAAAATTAACTTTCTCATTCACACATGCTATATTTCAAGTATTCAGTAGCCACATATAGCTAGTGGCTCCTATCTTGGATAATCTAGTATTAAATTATTTTCCCCTTAAATAAATTACTACCGTTTCCCTCAATGCAGCCAAATGAAAAGCTCATAACCATAGTATTCTAGTGGCATTCAGCGGCATTCACTGTTCCTTTTGCCTAACTCCTTCTTCCTCCATTCTACACAACTTACTTGCTCACCTCTTCAGACCTTTCCTCAAGTGGCATTTACTGACCAGCATGCCCATTGCTAGCTTCACCTGCACCTCTGCGTAGATGAGAAAAGGATGCCCATTCTGGGGGTATCACTCTGCGGTTCACAGCTGGACAAGCAGGCAGGCTTTGGGTTGACTGCATCTAAAGATATCTGAGGCCCATTGTAATCTATGTGATTGTTACCTCTAAAGCCAGGTGCTTGGAGAGTTACCTGGAATCAGATTTGTGCAGAGTAAGGCCTCTCCCTCTAGGCAGTTTTCAGCCCTCACTGTCTTCCCCACCTGGGCACCTTTGTGTAGTGCCGAAATGTGTAATGTCATGTTGAAGCCCTGATGGCCACTCCTCCTACCTGCCAACACACGTTTCCTAATCCCTTTGCACTTTATTTTCTCCATACCACCATCTACCACCATCCAGGAGCTGAAAATGTGGGTCCCCTTGTTCACAAACTATTAAGAATTTCAAGATGGCAATAGCAGGGCATTAAACCAAGCACTGGGTGTCTGGGCTTGGGACCTTATGCAATTGCACACATTACATGTCTATGAAGCTGGCACTGCCACTATCTATTTGACTTAGTCTGTTTATTATCTATCTTCCCATACTATAAGGTAACCACAGTGGGGCCTGGGGCTTTTCTGTTCTGTTCTCTGTTATATTTGTAGCAGCCAGAACAGATTATTTGTTGAATGAATGAATATGCTAAGTACCAGGCTATTGGCTTTAAATACATTATCCAGAAAGCCAATTTTACATATGAGGAAGCTGAGTAAGACAACACTGTTAAATCTATTGTCATGTTTCTCTGTAGGTGGAAGCAGGTAAGCTGTTCTATTTTAAAGAAGGCAAAACTAAGGCTCAGTGTAATTGAGTAACTGCTCCAAGATTAGAGATTTCATTGCCAGGATATTGCTCTTTTTCTCTGGATCTTACTTTAGGCAATAACTTATTTTTGGCACTTGTGCTTTGAGTGGGTGAAAAGAAAAGTCACGTGAAGAGAGGCAGCCATCAAATGTATTGTCCTGTTTTCTTTCATTTGAAAATGCTCTTGATAATAACATTACATATTTTATGTGTATCATAAATTATCACATTTGCTCCACAAAACAAGCATATGAAGTAGACAGAGACTGTACTTTTTCCTACTTTATAGATGCGGAATTTGAAATCCAAATCAGGTAAGATCATGCAAGTAGTTAAGGGTAGAACTGCCAGAACTCAAGGTTTTTTTATTTTTATTTTTAATGTTGAATAACTTTATTAGAAAGTTTGACTAATTCCACATAGAGAAAAATGGATAGTATTTTTTGCCAATAAACCAAAGATACACATTGTATTCAAATACCAGAGGAAAAAATTAAATAGCAAGATTTTAGCCTTAATAATGTCATTAATTTCAAAAGAGTAGAAATCTAACCAGTCATATTTTCTAGGCAACTAAAATGACAATATAAATTAAGAGTAATATTGTAATCAACAAGTAACATCTAGCCACACACAAATCTCATTAATGTCTTTTTAAATTAATTTATGGATTAAATGGTAAATTCAAATTACTTTCCAGATACCATTGAAAAACTTAAATGCATCTACTATTCTTTGGCAGTTTAACTTCTAGTAGGGTGTGCCTGGACTCACAATGCTCAGTAACGATAGGTATACTTTTTTAAAAAGAATTCAGTAGCTTTTGGGGTACAAGTTGTTTTTGATTACATGGATGAATTATATAGTGGTGAAGTCTAAGATTTTGGTGCACCCGCCACCTGAGTAGTGTACATTGTACCCTATTTGTAGTTTTTTTTTTAATCCCTCACCCACCTCCCACCCTCCTCCTTCTGAGTCTCCAAAGTCCATTATGTCACTCTGTATGCCTTTGCATACCAAAAGCTGAGCTCCCACTTATAAGTGTAAGCATAAGGTATTTGGTTTTGCCTTCCTGAGTTACTTCACCTAGAATAATGGCCTCTAGCTCTATCCAAGTTGCTGCAAAAGACATTATTTCATTCTTTTTCATTGCTGAGTAGTATTCCACGATGTATATACATACCACATTTTCTTTATTCACTCATTGGTCAATGGGCACTTAGGTTGGTTCCATATCTTTGCAATTGTGAATTTTGATGCAATAAACATATGCATGCAGGTGTCTTTTTGATACAATGACTTTTCTTTGGGTAGATACCCAGGAGTGGGATTGCTGGATCAAATAGTAGATTTACTTTTAGTTCTTTAGAAATCTCTGATCCTCTCCCTCCTCTTATTCTCCACCCTCAAGTAGGCTCCAGTGTCTGTTGTTTCCCTCTCTGTGTACCTGGGTGACAAAATAATCTGTAAACCAAACCCCTGTGATGTGCAGTTTACCTGCATAACAAATCTGCAAATGTACCCTAGAATCTAAAATAAAGGTTTTAAAAAAAGAAGTCTCCATACTGTTTTCTAAGGAGGTTTTACTAATTTATGTTCCCACCAGCAATATATAAGTTTTCCCTTTTTTTTTTTTTTTTTTTTTACCATATCTATTGTGGTACAAGTTGTTGTTGATTACATGGATGAATTGTATAGTGGTGAAATCTTTTTGCCAACATCTATTGTATTTTATCTTTGCAATAATGGCCATTCATACAGGGTAAGGTGGTATCTCACTGTGGTTTTAATTTGTATTTCCCTGATGATTAGTGATGGTGAGCATTTATTCATATATTTATTGGCCACTTGCATATTTTCTTTTGAGAAATTCTATTCATGCCATTTGCCCACTTTTTGATGGGATTATTTGTTTTTTTTCTTGCTGATTTGTTTGAGTTCCTTGTAGATTCTGGATATCAATTCTTTGTCAGAGGCATAGTTTGTTAATATTCTTTCCCATTTTGTGGGTTGTTTACTCTGATGATTGTTTCTTTTGCTGTACAAAAGCTTTTTGTTTAATTAGGTCCCATTTATTTAGTTTTGTTTTTGTTACATTTGCTTTTGTGGTCTTAGTCATAAATTATTTGCTTAGGCCAACGTCCAGAAGAATTTTTTCTAAGTTTTCTTTTAGAATGTTTATGGTTTCGGGTCTGAGATTTAAGTCTTTGCTCCATCTTCAGTTGATTTTTGTATAAGGTGAAAGATAGGGATCCAGGTTCATTCTTCTACATGTGGCTATCCATTTTCCCAGCATCATTTATTAAATAGGGTGTGTCCTTTTGCCAATTTATGTTTTTGTATGCTTGGTCAAAGATCAGTTGTCTGTAGGTATTTGGCTTTTTTTCTGGGTTCTCTATTCTGTTGCACTAGTCTATGTGTCCACTTTTATACCAGTGTTATACTGTTTTGGTAACTGTAGCCTTGTAGTATAATTTGAAGTCAGGTAATGTGATGCCTCCAGATTTGTTCTTTTAGGTTAGGATTGCTTTGACTATTTGGGCTCTTTTTTGGTTCCATATGAATTTTAATGTTTTTTTCTAATTTTGTGAAAAATGATGTTGATATTTTGATAGGAATTGCACTTAGAATCTGTAGGTTGCTTTGAACAGTATGGTCATTTTCATGATATTTATTCTTCCAATTCATGAACCTGGGATGCATTTCCATTTGTTCGTGTCATATGATTTCTTTCAGCAGTGTTTTTTAGTTCCTTGTAGAGATCTTTCACCTTCTTTTTAAAGTATATTCCAAGATATTTTATTTTATTTGCAGCTATGGTAAAAAGGATTGAGTTATTGACTTGCTTCTCAGCTTGGTTATTGTTGGTGATAGCAGTGCTACTGATTTGTGTACTTTGATTTTTGTAACCTGAGACATTGTTTATTAAATCTAGTAGTCATTTGGAGGAGTCTTTAGGGTGTCCTAGGTATATGGTTATATCATTGGTGAACAGTGATAGTTTGATTTCCTATTTTCCAATTTGGATGCCCTTCATTTCTTTCTCTTGCATGGTTGCTCTGGCTAGGACTTCTAGTACTATGTTGAATAGAAGTGGTGAAAGTGGGCATCCTTGTCTTGTACCAATTCTCAGGGGAAATAGTTTCAACTTTTCTTTATTCAGTGTATTGGCTGTGGATTTTCATATAGGGCTTTTATAATTTTCAGGTATTTTCCATCTCTGCCTAGTTTGTTGAGGGTTTTTATTATAAAGGGATGCTGGATTTATTTATTTATTTATTTATTTATTTGTATTTTTATGTTTTTTTGAGACGGAGTCTCATTCTGTCACCCAGGCTGGAGTGCAGTGGCATGATCTCAGCTCACTGCAACCTTCATCTCCTGGGTTCAAGTGATTCTCCTGCCTCAGCCTCCTGTGTAGCTGGGACTACAGGTGCCCACCACCACACCTGGCTAAGTTTTGTATTTTTAGTTAGAGACAGGGTTTCACCATGTTGGTGAGGCTGGTCTCAAACTCCTGACCTCAGGTGATCCACCCACCTCAGCCTCCCAAAGTGCTGGGATTACAGGCATTAGCAACTGTGCCCGGCCAAGGGATGCTGGATTTTGTTGAATGCTTTTTCTGCATCTATTGAGATGATCATATGATTTTTGTTTTTAATTCTGTTTATGTGATGTATTGCATTTATTGACTTGCATATGTTAAGCCATTCCTGTATTCCTGAGATGAAACCCATTAGATCATAGTATATTATCTTTTTTATGTGTTATTGGTTTAGGCTAGCTAGTATTTTGATGAGGATATTGGACTGTGATTTTCTTTTTTCATTATGTCCTTTCCTGGTTTTGGTATCAGGGTGATGCTGGCTTCATAGAATGATTTAGGGAGGATTCTCTCTTTATTAATCTTTTAGGATAGTTTCAGTAGGATTGATATCAGTTCTTTTTTGTATGTCTGGAAGAATTCAGCTGTGAATTGCTCTGGTCCAGAGATCTTTTTGTTTGGTAAGTTTTTTTTTTAATTACTGATTCAATTTCAGAACTTACTATTGGCCTGTTCAGGTTTTCACTTTCTTCCTAGTTCAATCTTGGGGGCTTGTGTGTTTCCAGAAATTTATCTATTTCCTTTAGATTTTCTAATTTGTTTGTGTAGAGGTTAGAATTCAGATGTTTAAAATCTCTGTTTCTCTTTGTGTTTTGTTCAAAAGTTGATCTTTCAAAAAATGAGAAATATTCACTATTTTTCTATTCTATGTGATAAACATACTGAAGAATTTCATATTATTTTTTCTTAAAACTGTGATTCTTGTTAAGCTTGTATAAATTCCATAATGAAGGTAAGTATATACTGTACCAAGAATTAGAGTTGATGGTATATTGGATGGACTTTGAAATTGCTGTGGTGTAGCACATCAACTCTTGGTAAGATGTTTATAAACTTATAGCTATATGAATTGTTTCCTTGGTTCAAGGATTAAATGGCAATTTGGTCTAGTGGCTTTTGATGAATTATTGCACAGTAAAATTTTCCAAAGATATAGACAGTGGCTTATGATGAATTTCTATCAGTTGAGAAACAGATTGTGTTTCTGGGAAAGGTAGCTTGAAATATTTATTATCATTTTGGTGCTTGGGTTTCTTGCCATTTACTATTGAATACTTATTTTTGGAAAATGTAGTCAGAACCAGACATTCTAAAAATAAAATATACCATCATAGAATTAACATTCTTAGTGTAAGGATATATTAGTAAAGCCTAGCACTTTGCATATAGCACTTCACAGTTCTTTTTCTCATCCTGATTCAGTTGATGGTGCTGTACAGTCAATAATTAGTAATTTCATGTACTCGTGCCAGGCTTGGTCAATGCTTATAAACTCAGTCAAGTGAACCTACTTTTTAATAAATCATATCCGATCTGAGATATATGTGTTCTTCACTTTATACATTAAAAATATTTCTCAAAAAGTACTAACTGTGGAGTCATATATACTTTCAAGAAGTAGAGAATATTGCAAAATCAATCAATTTTATATATTTAGACTTTGGTCTATTTACTTATTCTTTTCCTGAGTTAGCCATTGGATTCACTATGTGATAAACATAGAGAGAGACAGTGTGAAAGGTCCTCTCTAGAGAAACTCACTCTGCTCAGTGTTTGAAACACAGCTTCTGAGATGCAGAAGAGCATCTCTTTCAAGTGTCATAGACAGCATGGAGAAACATCTGGAGAAGTTGAAGTCATTTTATCTTCTGCGTTTAAGCAGGGTTTTCCCAGGCAAACAATAATCTTGGTATGTGTTTGATGGTCCCAGAGTTTTTAAATATCAGAGTTCAGTTTAGCATAATAAAGAATTACAGGAAGGATCTTATCTTGATTTCAGTTGATGTTTGGACTCAACATTAATTCCTGGTGAGTTAGTTGTCGGCTTTCTCCCAGTACTTAACTTTAATTTGTGTCATTACTGGTGGTGAAGATTAGGCTTTATTTCCCAATTTTGAATTTCTGAGTTCTTCTGGAATTTTGTGATCCTGGGTCACTGTTAGCCCAGCTCCTGGGGACTTTGTGGGCAGACTAGGGGTGCTAGTATTCTCTTCTCTCTGATAAGTATTACCTT
Organism: Homo sapiens; assembly: GCF_000001405.40. NCBI lineage: Eukaryota > Metazoa > Chordata > Mammalia > Primates > Hominidae > Homo > Homo sapiens. The sequence continues at coordinate 61,934,257 of NC_000012.12, read as the reverse complement.
AGGCCACTCCCCTGGTTTCTGGTTAGGGAAGTTTTGGAGAACAGTATTTATCTGACAGTCTTGTGCTGTGCAGCAACAGGATTCAGGATAGTGAGTTTGTATGGATTTACTTGGGTCTCAAATATCTCTTTTATTTTTAGGTTTTGCGATATGTTGTATAAACTAGGAAAACAATTACACCTAAGATATACAACGAAAATGAGGCATTAGGCAGTTTCTGGCTGTGTGACTTTGGGGAAGTCACTTAACCTTTCTGAAATAAAATTCGATGCTAATTTATTTGTCAGAACTGCAACTCAAAGCAAGTGATGGAATTTAATCTACCTGTCCAGTTTTCTCCTTGCTGCTTTTACCACTTAACAGGGATACTTTTCTGTTAAATACCATCTATGTTGTGGAGTTTTAAAATGAGATTTAGAAACATTATGTCTATGTGCTTAGCACAATGCCTAGCTTATAAAGCCTTCAACAAAAGGTCATTATTGTTCTTACTATATCAATTACCATTACAACAGCTGCTCCTTAGATATATAAAGAGACAGGGTCTGTCTCTGTCACCCAGGCTGGAGTGCAGTGGTGTGATAATGGCTCACTGTAGCCTCAAACTCCTGGGCTCAAAAGATCCTTAGTCTCCTGTCGGCCTCAGCTTCCCATTAGCTGGGACTACAGGTGTGCACCACCACTCCTGGCTAATTTTTTAATTTTTTTGTAGAGATGGGGTCTTGCTATAATTGCCCAGGCTGGTTTCAAATTTGTGGTCTCAAGCAGTTTTCTTGCCTTTGCCTCCCAAAGTGCTGGGAATACAGGTGTGAGAGACTGTACCCATCCAGGAAACATATCTTTTAGCCCTGGTTTCGAGTTCTGCACCAGTAACTTTATTATGTTATCTTATTTAATCCTCATGACAAGCAAATGAGGTAGGTGTTTCCTATCCATTACATAAAGGTGGAAACTATATCTCATAGCTGTTAAAGATGTTTTTAAAGAATCTTTAACAGATTGAACTAGGATTTGAGCTCAGTCTGATTGATGGCAAATTCTGTGTTCCTTCCTTGATACTATGGAGGTTCAGAAATAAATCTAGAAATGAGACACATTCAGGTTTTCATACAAAGTTTCCTTCCTGATTCAGTACAAGAACCTCCTTTACCCTGAACTCCTTTGGTCTTTTTTCACTATGTAGATGTAGTTTGGGGGAAAACTGGATAATAACCTCAGCTGGGTCAATTCAATTTTCTGCTGGCTTTCATGTTGCCTTTAACCTAGCTTGGCTTTCTTAGTTCCGTACTTCCAGGAGACAGCAGCTGGATAAGCCTGCTAGGATCTAACAGCAGAGAGTCTACCATGCAGAATAATTTCCAATGGATCTTCCTAACATATTAAGGAATCAACTCTCTGCCAGGAAGAAGGCAGCTCTGGAAAGGTTAAGGGAGCTGGTTAGGTGCAGAAAGCCGGAAACTTGTGGAATAGCAAAGAAGTACTTTGCGGGCCTGTCCTGGGCCATTACAAGAGTTATGGGGCTGGGCGCGGTGGCTCACACCTGTAATCCCAGCACTTTGGGAGGTCGAGGAGGACAGATCACGAGGTCAAGAGTTCAAGACCAGCCTGGCAACATGGTGAAACCCCATCTTTACTAAAAATACAAAAATTAGCTGGGCGTGGTGGAGGGGGGTGCCTGTAATCCCAGCTACTTGGGAGGCTGAGGCAGGAGAATCACTTGAAACAGGAAGGCAGAGCTTGCAGTGAGCTGAGATAGCACCACTGCACTCCAGCCTGGATGAAACAGCAAAACTCTGCAGAGAGTTATGGGTGTGGATGATATTATGCCTCTCCTTGCTGTTTCACCTTCCACTTTTCACTTTTCACTTCTCGAGTGATTTCTTTTCTCAGTCTTGGGAGGCATCTATTTATCACTGTCACTGAAGGGTTACTACCTTAAAGTTTCTTTTCAAAATCTGAACACATTCAAAAAGGAATGTGCATCATCTCACCTTATCTTTTTGCCATAAATGGCACCAGTCAGCTGGAATCAATGGGCTGCATTTGTGGTGACGTTTTGGAGACTATTCTTCAAATAGGAAAATCTAAAATCTGGTTTTCTCCCTTTAAAATACCATTTGGCTGCTTTTCATTTATGAATACTAGTAATATACATTATTTTAGTAATTTGGAGGAGGAAATTAATTTTCTGATATAAAATTTAATTTTAAATGATTCAATGATTTATAATGTTATTTGATGTGGCTCAGGTGAAAAAGGTATGAGGCAAAGGGGGAAATTTATACTTAGGTATAAAATTTGTAAGGGATAAAAACATTGATGACGTAGAATTATCTTCAAATACATTTTTGTAGGCAGGTAAGAGCCCTGTATATAGAATTTTGATTATCTTTAGAACTATCCTGGCACATAGCTGATACAAAAATTGGTCTGCTGTATATTACTTTTTGTGTTCCAGAAGATTTCCCAAAGAAGATAATTAATCTGATAAAGTTGCTATATAAGCCCACAGCACATTTTAAAACAGAAGCCTTTGTAACATTACAAAATGGCAATGACCACCAGGGATGCATGGAACTAGAGTTAAACTGTACCTTCCAAACTAGAGATTAAAGTAGCTTATTGCCCTTCAGTTTTTGAAACTACTGGGAGAAGCAGAACAGATACAGGATTTTTTGTATTATATAGAGTTTCACAAAAGACCACAGGTAAGCTGCAATAAAAATTCCACGATAGGTGTGTGGTTTTCTCATTCACTGTTTCCGTAGAATATGCTTATTACAGAAAGACATTAAAAGGTATCCAATTTCACAGCAGCTGGCCAGTGCCAAGTGCTCACACAGCATAAGATCAGACACTGTGCCTTTTTTATTATATCTATTTGAATTGGAATATTACAATATTTTCATCTAAAATTATTTTCATGTGTCATATGAACCAAGGTACCTGAGATTTCCAATCTAATATAAGCATACAGCATGAGGTTTAATTTTTGGGTGCTCATAGCAGAGATTAATTATGAGTGCTGAAAGATAACACATGAAATGGATTAGAGTTTCCAATAATCCTAAAATTGAAAAAAGCAGGTAATACACTTTAATCACAGAATACCTTATGAAAAACTAAAATTATTTATGATTACGGTTCAACTGATGGTGGCATGAGAAGCAAGAACTTGAACAGCGCAATTTCTTTAGCTATATGGCATGTCATATAAGGAAATAAATGATCTCTCATCTGTCTGTCTAGTCATTTATTTTATGAAACCAACTATCACCAGGCTTGAATGGAAGACAACTTCTGACTGTATTTATAGAGATGTTGGCACCAAATTACTTCTGCCATGGATCCTCTTAGGATTTAACATCAAGGCTATCAAAGGAAGTGCTAATCCCGTGTGTACCATTGTGCCTCATGGCACCTGACAAATTGGATTACAGACATTGCTATTCATGGGAATTATTTATTCTCTTCCTCATGCAGAGTGATGTAAGAGGAAGACAAAAAATTCTGAAAATATGTTCCAAGGCCTTGAGGAACATGAATCTGGCGTGGAAGTAAGTCTGTTGGGATATTCACCGAGTCTAATGTCCTAAAGTAATATATAAATGGTTGCTCTATTAAATGGAGCAGTATAGAGCGTGATGATTAGAGTGATTAGGGTCAGCAGCTTTGAATCTAGCAGCTTGAATCTTGGCTTTTGCCCTTGTGTAGGTGTGAGGTTTCAGCTTTCTTGTCTGCAAAGCAAAGTGAAAAATAGTGTTTACTTTTAAGGTTGTTGTGAAGAGGAATGTGACAATCCATGTAAAGTTTTTAAGCACAGAGCCAACTACGAAGTGTTGAATGCATGTCTTCTACTATTATTGAAGTGGTTTCTTAGCATTCAGGAGTACAAAGATGTAAACTTCCTTATAATTTTTTATCTCAACTTAGTTTAGCTCTTAAAACTTCATTTGTGCTCTGGGAAACAAGGCTTAATCTTGCCAATTTATGGTTATGCAGTCCCTTTTGGTTTGAAACTTAAGTCTATTTTGTGTAAACAGATTCAAGGTTTCTCAATTGCCCTTCTCTTCCCGTTTTCTTTTTATTTATTTATTTTTTTATTATTATTAAAGTTCTAGGGTACATGTGCACAACGTGTAGGCTTGTTACATATGTATACATGTGCCATGTTGGTGTGCTGCGCCCATCAACTCGTCATTTAGCATTAGGTAGACCTCCTAATGCTATCCCTCCCCCCTACCCCCACCCCACAACAGTCCCCAGAGTGTGATGTTCCCCTTCCTGTGTCCATGTGTTGTCATTGTTCAATTCCCACCTATGAGTGAGAACATGCAGTGTTTGGCTTTTTGTCCTTGTGATAGTTTGCTGAGAATGATGGTTTCCAGCTTCATCCATGTCCCTACAAAGGACATGAACTCATCCTTTTTTATGGCTGCATAGTATTCCATGGTGTATATGTGCCACATTTTCTTAATCCAGGCTATCATTGTTGGACATTTGGGTTGGTTCCAAGTCTTTGCTATTGTGAATAGTGCCGCAATAAACATACATGTGCATGTGTCTTTATAGCAGCATGATTTATAATCCTTTGGGTATATACCCGGTAATGGGATGGCTGGGTCAAATGGTATTTCTAGTTCTAGATCCCTGAGGAATCGCCACATCGACTTCCACAATGGTTGAACTAGTTTACAGTCCCACCAACAGTGTAAAAACGTTCCTATTTCTCCCCATCCTCTCCAGCACCTGTTGTTTCCTGACTTTTTAATGATTGCCATTCTAACTGGTGTGAGATGGTATCTCATTGTGGTTTTGATTTGCATTTTTCTGATGGCCAGTGATGATGAGCATTTTTTCATGTGTCTTTTGGCTGCATAAATGTCTTCTTTTGAGAAGTGTCTGTTCATATCCTTCGCCCACTTGTTGATGGGGTTGTTTGTTTTTTTCTTGGGTATTGTGTTTTTAAAAAGACTCCCCAGGGAACATTTCTGCTGGCCAACACTGACAATCATTGCTGTAGAATATGTGTCCCTTCCTATCTAACACCAATCCCTCCACTTGTGCATTGGATCCTTTCTCCTTTTTTTTTTTTTTTAAATTATACTTTAAGTTTGGGGATACATGTGCAGAACGTGCAGGTTTGTTACATAGGTATACATGTGCTGTAGTGGTTTGCGGCACCCATCAACCCATTATTTACATTAGATATTTCTCCTAATGCTATTCCTTCCCTTGTTCCTCACCCCCCAACAGGCCTCAGTGTGTGATGTTCCCCTCCCTGTGTCCATGTGTTCTCATTGTTCAACTCCCACTTTTGAGTGAGAACATGTGATGTTTGGTTTTCTGTTCCTGTGTTAGTTTGCTGAGAATGATGATTTCCAGCTTCTTCCATGTCCCTGCAACAGACTCATGTTTTTTTTGGCTGCATAGCATTCTATGGTGTATATGTGTCACATTTTCATTATCCAGTCTATCATTGATGGCCATTTGGGTTGGTTTCAAGTCTTTGCTATTGTAAATAGTGCTGTAATAAACATACATGTGCATGTGTCTTTTTAGTAGAATGATTTATAATCCTTTGGGTATGTACCCAGTAATGGGATTGCTGGGTCAAGTGGTATTTCTGGTTCTAGATACTTGAGAAATTGCCACACTATCTTCCACAATGGTTGAACTAATTTACGTTCCCACAACAGTGTAAAAGCATTCTTATTTCTCCATATCCTCCCCAGCAGCTGTTGTTTCCTGACTTTTTAATGATCGCCATTCTAACTGGCATGAGATGGTATCTCATTGTGTTTTTGATTTGGATTTCTCTAATGACCACTGATGATGAGCTCTTTATCATACATTTTTTGGCCACATAAACGTCTTCTTTTGAGAAGTGTCTGCTCATATCTTTTGCCCACTTTTTGATAGGGTTGTTTATTTGTTTGTTTGTTTGTAAATTTGTTTAAGTTCCTTGTACATTCTGGCTATCAGCCCCTTGTCAGATGGATAGATTGCAAAAATTTTCTCCCATTCTGTAGGTTGCCTATACACTCTGATGATATTTTCTTTTGCTGTGCAGAAGCTCTTTAGTTTAATTAGATCCCATTCGTCAATTTTGGCTTCGTTGCCATTGATTTTGATGTTTTAGTCATGAAGTCTTTGGCCATGCCTATGTCGTGAATGGTATTGCCTAGGTTTTCTTCTAGGATTTTTATGGTTTTAGGTTTTATGTTTAAGTCTTGAATTCATCTTGAGTTAATTTTTGTATAAGGTATAAGGAAGGGGTCCAGTTTTAGTTTTCTGCATATGGCTAGCCAGTTTTCCCAACGCCATTTATTAAATAGGGAATGCTTTCCCCATTGCTTGTTTTTGTCAGGTTTGTCAAAGGTCAGATGGTTGTAGATGTGTGGTGTTATTTCTGAGGCCTCTGTTCTGTTTCATTGGTCTGTATATCTGTTTTGGTACCAGTACTATGCTGTTTTGGTTACTGTAGCCTTGTAGAATAGTTTGAAGTCAAGTGGCATGATGCCTCCAGCTTTGTTCTTTTTGGTTAGGATTGTCTTGGCTATACGGACTCTTTTTTGATTCCATATGAAATTTAAAGTAGTTCTTCTAATTCTGTGAAGAAAGTCAATGGTAGCTTGATGGGGATAGCATTGAATCTGTAAATTACTTTGGGTAGTAGGGCCATTTTCAAGATATTGATTCTTCCTATCCATGAGCATGGAATGTTTTCCCATTTGTTTGTGTCTTCTCTTATTTCCTTGAGCAGTTTTGTAGTTCTCCTTGATGGGGTCCTTCATATCCCTTGTAAGTTGTATTCCTAGGTATTTTATTCTCTTTGTAGCTATTGTGAATGGCAGTTTACTCATGATTTGGCTCTCTGTTTATCTGTTATTGCTGTATAGGAATGCTGTGATTTTTACACATTCATTTTGTATCCTGAGACTTTGCTGAAGTTGCTTATCAGCTTAAGGCGATTTTGGGCTGAGACGATGGGTTTTTCTAAATATACAATCATGTCATCTGCAAACAGAGACTATTTGACTTCCTCTCTTCCTATTTGAATACGCTTTATTTCTTTCTGTTGCCTGATTGCCCTGCCCAGAATTTCCAATACTGTGTAGAATAGGAGTGGTGAAAGAGGGCATCCTTGTCTTGTGCCTGTATTTTTTTTTTTTTTTTTTTTTTTTTCAGAGTCTCACTCTGTCACCAGGTTGGAGTATAGTGGTGCGATCTCGGCTTACTGCAACCTCCGCCCCCTGGGTTCAACCAATTCTCCTGCCTCAGCCTCCCGAGTAGCTGGGACTACAGGCATGTGCCACCATGCCCAGCTAATTTTGGTACTTTTTTAAAGTAGAGACAGGATTTCACCATGTTTGCCAGGATGGTCTTGATCTCTTGACCTTGTGATCCACCCGCCTCAGCCTCCTAAAGTGCTGGGATTACAGGCGTGAACCACTGCACCTGCCCTCTTGTGCCCATTTTCAAAGGGAATGCTTCCAGCTTTTGCCCATTCAGTATGATATTGGCTGTGGTTTTGTTATAAATAGCTCTTATTATTTTCAGATACATTCCATCAATACCTAATTTATTGAGAGTTTTTAGCATGAAGGAGTGTTGGATTTTATCGAAGGCCTTTTCTGCATCTATTGATATAATCCTGTGGTTTTTGTAATTGGTTCAATTTATGTAATGGATTCCATTTATTGATTTGCATATGTTGGACCAGCCTTGCATTCCAGGGATGAAGCTGAGTTGATCATGGTGGATAAGCTTTTTGATGTGCTACTGGATTTGGTTTGCCCGTATTTTATTGAGGATTTTTCACATTGATGTTCATCAGGGATATTGGCCTGAAATTTTCTTTATTTTGTTGTGTCTCTGCCAGGTTTTGGTATCAGGATGATACTGGCCTCATAAAATGAGTTACGGAGGAGTCCCTCTTTTTCTATTGTTTGGAATAGTTTCAGAAGGAATGGTACCAGCTCCTCTTTGTACCTCTGGTAGAATTTGGCTGTGAATCCATCTGGTCCTGGGCTTTTGTTGGTTGGTAGGCTATTAATTACTGCCTCAATTTCAGAACTTGTTTTTGGTCTATTCAGGGATTTGACTTGTTTAGTCTTGGAAGGGTATATGTGACCAGGAATTTATCCATTTCTTCTAGATTTTCTAGTTTATTTGTGTAGAGTTGTTTATAGTATTCTCTGATGGTAGTTTGTATTTCTGTGGGATCAGTGGTGGTATCCACTTTATCATTTTTTATTGTGTCTATTTGATTCTTCTCTTTTTTCTTCTTTATTAGTCTGGCTAGTGGTCTATATATTTTGTTAATCTTTTCAAAAAACCAGCTCCTGGATTCACTGATTTTTTGAAGGGCTTTTCGTGTCTGTATCTCCTTCAGTTCTGCTCTGATCTTAGTTATTTCTTGTCTTCTGCTAGCTTTTGAATTCGTTTGCTCTTCTTCTCTAGTTCTTTTAATTGTGATGTTAGGGTGTCGATTTTAGATCTTTCCTGCTTTCTTTTGTGGGCATTTAGTGTTATAAATTTCCCTCTACACACTACTTTAGCTGTGTCACAGAGATTCTGGTGTCAATTTCAGATCTTCCCTGCTTTCTCCTGTGGGCACTTAGTGCTATAAATTTCCCTCTAAACACTGCTTTATCTGGTACAGATTTAAGAGATTCTGGTTTCAGAGATTCTGGTACATTGTGTCTTTGTTCTCAATGGTTTCAAAGAACTTATTTATTTCTGCCTTAATTTCATTATTTACCCAGTAGTCATTCAGGAGTAGGTTGTTCAGTTTCCAAGTAGTTGTGCAGTTTTGAATGAGTTTTTAAATCCTGAGTTCTAATTTGATTGCACTGTGGTTTGGGAGACTGTTTGTTATGATTTCCATTCTTTTACATTTGCAGAGGAGTGTTTTACTTCCAATCATGTGGTCAATTTTATAATAAGTGCTATATGGTGCTGAGAAGAATGTATATTCTGTTGATTTGGGGTGGAGAGTTCTGTAGATGTCTATTAGGTCTGCTTGGTCCAGAGCTGAGTTCAAGTCCTGAATATTCTTGTTAATTTTACATCTTGTTGATCTGTCTAATATTGACAGTGGGGTGTTAATGTCTCCCACTATTATTGTGTGGGATTCTAAGTGTCTTTGTAGGTGTCTAAAGGTTGCTTTTTGAATATGGGTGCTCCTGTATTGGGTGCATATATATTTAGTATAGTTACGTCTTCTTGTTGCATTGGTTCCTTTACCATTAGATAATTCCCTTCTTTGTCTTTTTTGACCTTTCTTGGTTTAAAATCTGTTTCATCAGAGACTAGGATTGCACCCCGTGGGTTTTTTGCTTTCCATTTGTTTGGTAAATACTCCTCCATCCCATTATTTTGAGCCTATGTGTGTCTTTGCATGTGAGATGGGTCTCCTGAATACAGCACACTGACGGATCTTGACTCTATTGAATTTGCCAGTCTGTGTCTTTTAACTAGGGCATTTAGCCCATTTACTTTTGAGATTAATATTGTTATGTGTGAATTTGATCCTGTCATTATGATGGTAGCTGGTTATTTTACCCATTCGTTCATACACTTTCTTCATAGTGTCGATGGTCTTTACATTTTGGTATGTTTTTACAGTGGCTGGTACTGGTTTTTCCTTTACATATTTAGTACTTCCTTCAAGAACTCTTGTGAGGCAGGCCTGGTGGTGACAAAATCTCTCAGCATTTGCTTGCCTGTGAAGGATTTTATTTCTCTTTTGCTTATGAAGCTTAGTTTGACTGGATATGAAATTATGTGTTGAAAATTCTTTTCTTTAAGAATGTTGAATATTGGCCCCCACTCTCTTCTGGCTTGTAGGATTTCTGCAGAGAGATCTGCTGTTAGTCTGATGGGCTTCCCTTTGTGGGTAACCCGACCTTTCTCTCTGGCTGCCCTTAACATTTTTTTCTTCATTTCAACCTTGGAGAATCTGACGATTACGTGTCTTGGGGTTGCTCTCCTTGAGGAGTATCTTTGTGGTGTTCTCTGTATTTCCTGAATTTGAATGTTGGCCTGTCTTGCTAGGTTGGGGAAGTTCTCCTGGATAATATCTTGAAGTGCGTTTTCCAACTTGGTTCCTTTCTCCCTGTCACTTTCAGGTACACCAATGAAACGTAGGGTTGGTCTTTTCACATAGCCCCATATTTCTTGGAGGCTTTGTTCGTTCCTTTTCTTTTTTTTTTCTCTCTAATCTTGTCTTCATGTTTTATTTCATTATGTTGATCTTCAATCTCTGATATCCTTTCTTCTGCTTGATCAGTTTGGCTATTGATACTTGTGTATGTTTCATGAAGTTCTTGTGCTGTGTTTTTGAGCTCCATCAGGTCATCTATGTTCTCTAAATTGCTTATTCTAGTTAGCAGTTCCTGTAACCTTTTATCAAGGTTCTTAGCTTCCTTGCATTGGGTTAGAACATGCTCCTTTAGCTCGGAGGAGTTTGTTATTACCCACCTTCTGAAGCCTACTTCTGTCAGTTCGTCAAACTCATTCTCCATCCAGTTTTGTTCCCTTTCTGGTGAAGAGTTATGATCCTTTGGAGGAGAATAGGCATTCTGGGTTTTGGAATTCTCAGCCTTTTTGTGCTGACTTTTCTTCATCTTTGTAGATTTATCTACCTTTGGTCTTTGATGTTGGTGACCTTCAGATGGCATTTTTGTGTGGGCATCCTTTTTGTTGATGCTGATACTATTTTTGTTTGTTAGTTTTCCTTCTAGCAGTCAGGCACCTCTGCTGCAGGTCTGCTGGAGTTTGCTGGAGGTCCACTCCAGAGACTGTTTTCCTGGATATCACCAGCAGAGGCTGCAGAACAGCAAAGATTGCTACCTGTTCCTTCCTCTCGAACTTTCATCCCAGAGGGGGACCTGCCATATGCCAGCCAGAGCTCTCCTGCATGAGGTATTTGTTGACCCCTGCTGGGAGGTGTCTCCCAGTCAGGAAGTATGGGGATCAGGGACTCACTTGAGGAGGCAGTCTGTTGCTTAACAGATCTTCAGCTTTGTGCTGGGAGATCTACTGCTCTCTTTAGAGCCGACAGGCAGGAACATCTGCTGAAGCTGCACCTACAGCCGCCTCTTCCCCCAGGTGCTGTATCCCAGGGAGGTGAGAGTTTTATCTATATGCCCCTGACTGGGGCTGCTGCCTTTCTTTCAGAGATGCCCTGCCCAGAGAGGAGGAATCTAAAGAAGCAGTGTGGCTACAGTGGCTTTGCTGCATGGTGGGTTTTGCACCCTGTTTGAACTTCCTGGTGGCTTTGTTTACGCTGTCGGGGAAGATCCCCTACTGAAGCCTCGGGAATAGTAGATGCCCCTCTCCCCACCAAGCTCGAGCGTCCCAGGTTGACTTCAGATTGCTGTGTTGGCAGCGAGAATTTCAAGCCAGTGGATCTTAGCTTGCTGGGCTCCATGGGGGTGGATCTGCTGAGCTAGACCACTCAGCTCCCTGGCTTCATCTCCCTTTCCATGGGAGTGAATGGTTCTGTCTCTCTGGTGTTCCAGGTGCCACTGGGGTAAGAAAAGAAACTCCTGCAGCTAGCTAGGTGTCTGCCCAAATGGTCGCCCTGTTTTGTGCTTGAAACCCAGGGCCCTGGTGGTGTTGGCACCCAAGGGAATCTCCTGGTCTGCGGGTTGCAAAGACCATGGGAAAAGTAGTTTCTGGTCCGGATAGCACCGTCCCTCACAGCACAGTCCTTCACTGTTTCCCTTGGCTAGGGGAGGGGGTTCCCCGACCCCTTGCACTTCTTGGGTGAGGTGACCCTACCCTGCTCCTGCTCGCCCTCCATAGGCTGCACCCACTTTTTAACCAGTCCTAATGAGATGAACTGGGTACCTCAGTTGGAAATGCAGAAATCACCCACCTTCTGTGTTGGTCTCGCTGGGAGCTGCAGACCGGAGCTGTTCCTATTCAGCCATCTTGCCCAGCATTGGATCCTATTTCCTTTCACCCCGAGGAGATAACTTCAGTGACTCTGCCTTTTCCTTTCATCTTCAGTTATTTACTTTTTATTGGATCATTTTCAGTAGTATACAAACATGCATTGTTTCTTCAATTTTTTTAAAGTTCTTTTGACTGCTCCTTCCAACTGCTCCATTATTTTGCAGCACTTGCTCTCCTCTTCTACACAAAATCGAATCTGGTCTTTGTGGTACTTCTTCTCTAAACTTGCTCTTGTCAAGACGACTGAAACTTCTGCATTGCTAAATCGAACATTCAGTTCTTAGTCCTCATTTTACTTGATCTATTAACAGCATTTGAAATAGTTAATCACATACTTCTTTTTGATAAACTTTCTTTATTTGACTTGAAGGACACCACATTCTCAATTTTTGTACCACCTCGTTTTTGTCTCATTGTCATTTACTGGTTCCTCCTCTTTTCCCTCACATCTTAATGTTAGTGAGACCCTGAGTTCATTATTTATTCCTGTTGTCTTTTCTGTATACATTGATGCATAGTCATACTGTGTAGTTATATGCCTTTAAATAACATCAGTATGCAAACTAGTGTTTGTATTCAGATTATTTTCAATTCCTCATTTATGTATCCAGTTACTTTATTGAACAATTCTAATTGCAGAATTAATAGACAGCTCAAATCTGATGTGTACAAAATGGAAATCTTGATCCCACTGCACACAAAAAAACCCATACCAAATCATACCCCACCACACCACACCATACCCCACCACACCACACCAAACAACAAAAAGTCTCCTGTTTCAGCCATAGCCTTTTCCATTTCACACAGGGGCAATTCTATTCTTCCATTGCACAAACGCCAAAATTTTAAGGTCCTCCTTGAATCTTCTATTTCTTAAAAACAGAATTCAATCTATCAGGGAGTCTTCTTGCTCTACCTCACCTTACATCCTGTAAGTGGACACTTCTCATCACTTCCACTGCTACCACTCTGGCCTAAGCCAGCAATATCTCTTACCTGGGTTAGTTCATCGTCTCCTAAGTGGCTCACTTGCACTCTTCCTACCCCACAGAATATCTCAATGTACCTGGCAGGATGATTAATTAAAACCTAAGTCTTATCTTGTCATACTTCTGCTTTAACACTTCTGTGGTTCTCTTTGCCATTCAGAGTCAAAGCCAATTCCTCATAATGGCCAATCATTCCCATTATGTCTTGGCCTACCATTTTCTTTCTGATGTTGGTTCCCACTGCTTTTCTCTTCTGTTCTACTCCAGCCACACTGGCCTCTGAACCCACCAATCGCACTCTAACCTCTTGGCGTTTTCAGTGGTTCATCCAGGGAGAATTTTTTCCCAAATATTCGCTTGGGTACTCACTCATCTTCTTTAAGTCTGAATCTCTTCCATAAGGGCTTCTTTGACAACTCCCTACTTGTTCCTTTTTTTTTTCTCCCCAGAGCATCTTAGCATTACCATATGATATTCTATATAGTTTATTTATTATATTATTAGAAAATTGTACATTGTATGTAGCATAGGGGAGGAATTTTTTTTTCCATTACCCTCCTAGGTTGTTTGGCTAGGGATCTTGAAATTAAACTGACAGAAGGAAGGTTAACAAGCAAAAAACAGAGTTTATGAACATGCACAGCACACATACGTGTGCAAGAAACAGTGAAGACTTACTCAGAGAACTGGCTAGAACTTGTGTCTATATATCATCGTAACAAGGAACAATACATTTGTAGAAAAGTGACATGACAAAGGAAAAGGGTTTTAGGCTTTTAGAAGCAGCAAACTGTGGGAAGGTAAATATATGGGGCAAACTAATGGAAGATAAGGTTTATTTTAGTAAGGTTTGTTTGCTGATCCATTTGGTGCCAACTTTCCATCTTTTTCATGGCCTTAAAACTTCCCTGGGAGAGGAGATTTGTGGCAGTCCTCATTTCCCAGAAGTTTCAAGTTTCTGCTTTTAGTGAGATAAAGGATGCTCCAAGATGGCTTCTTTCTGCATCTATTAATTCTCATTTGCCTCTTTATGCCAAAGTGGAATATTTTGGGGTGGCATAAGCTGATCTCTTACAATAGTATACTTATTTATGATTTATTTAACTGTCAATTGAAGAAGTGAATATTCTTTCACAGTCACTGTCTCATTTACCATCTAAGTTAGTGCTGATTTGTTACATCAGTTATATTTATATTGACACTATAAATATTTTATTTGCAGTGTTTGATGTTTCAAGTACTTCAAAAATTGCCATTAGAGTCATTACTTTATTTTTAAAATTTGCATATAATAATTGCATATTGGTAATGAGACTGAGAAATTTTAGCTTCACATCAAGAAAGTGAAGTGAAAAATTTAAGATATTATACTGACGAGGCAAAAATGCATTTGCCTGAATTAGGCAATTGAATCAGAACTTACTGTTTTTGGTTGAGTGATTAACTATGATTCATTGCACCATTTTCTACTTCCTTCTTACTCTTATTAGAAATTTAGCTTCAGTGATTAAATGAGATAAATGTAGAAATTGACAATTATACAATTAAACTAAAAATACAGTGATACAATATAATAACAGATAATGAAATAAAACATAAGTATAAAATAAACGTATATAATATATAATAAAATATAAAATAGATATACAGTACAATAAAATACAATGATCAGGAAGATTGTATTGATGGTTGATCTGAGTGTTTCACACTAAGTTACCTTGGATCAGCTAGATAGATAGTGGCTTACAGGGCTCTGGATATAGACATGGAACTTAGGAGCCATGAACTTGGGTGTGTGTATTTTACCTAAATTGACTAATTTCCCAATCCTTGTACTATAAACTTCCACAAAATCACTGAAGCTTCCATCTGTGAAACAGATATTCAGAAAGAGAATTGGAAGGGTTTTCTAGGCAAAAAGAGTAACATATGAGAGGGACTAAGCAAGAGAAATGGCAGTGAGAATGCAGGGGGTAGTGGCCAGGGGCGGGAAGTTGGAACTGGAAAGGGTTGGATGTGAAAGACATAATGAATACTAAATTAGCAAGTCTTTTGGTTGATTCCTCTATGCTCTATTTCCAAAATATATATGATGAATTTTAAACAAAATCAGAAATAGGGGAAGGCCAAGAAGGAAAGGTTGTCATTAATGTAAATAATTCCTTGGGGGAAAGTTGAAATCAGTACATTGTAAAAATGAAAAACAAAAATAATTGCTACAATTACTTAACAGGCCACTGTTGGCAGTATGCTATATGCTTTACTTACACACACTTTCTTATTTAATCCTTGCAACAACCCAAAGAGATTGGAACTATGGTTCTCATCTCCATTTTACTAAAGAGGAAATACGGCTAGCACAGGCAAAGGCCAGGTATTAATTCAGGTCTTTCTGACACCAGAGCTTTTAAATATGGCACCAGTATTTCCCAAAGAACCTCAGAATTACCTGTTGCCCTTGCTAAATGTAAAGACTCCTGGGCCCTGCACCAGAGGCACTGAATTAGAATCTCCAAGGATGGAAGCCAACAGCCTGCATTTTAAATAAGCATGGTTCTTCATTTTGGAGGTTCCTCAAAAAAACTAAAAATAGAACTACCATATGATCCAGCAATCCCATTCCTAGGTATATACCCAAAATAAAGGTAGTCAATATATCAAAGAGACATCTGTACTGCCATGTTTATGGCAGCACTATTCACAATAGCCACAATTTGGAAACAACCTAAGTGTCCATCAACAGATGAGTAGATAAAGAAAATGTACACATACACAATGGAGTACCATTCAGTCATAAGAAATAATGAGATCCTGTCATTTGCAACAATGTAGATGGAACTGGAGGTCATTATGTCAAGAGAAATAAGCTAGGCATAGAAAGACAAACTTCACATTTTCTCACTTATTTGTGGTATCTAAAAATTAAAACAATTGAACTCATGGAAATAGAAGAATGGTTACCTGAGGCTGGGAAGGGTAGTTGGGGTGTGCGGGTGGGGAAAAGGGGGGATGGTTAATGAGAACAAAAAGTAGTTAAAAACAATAAATAAGACCTAGTATTTGTTAGGGAGGACTAGAGTAAATGATAATTTAATTGTTCATTTTAAGATAACTAAAAGAGTATGATTTGATTGTTTGAAACACAAAGAATAAATGCTTGAGGTGATGGATGTCCTGTTTACCCTCATGTGATTATTACATATTGCATGCCTGTATCAAAATATGTCATGTAACCCATGGATATATACATCCACTATGTACCCAGACAAATGAAAAAAAAAATAAATAAGCATGGTTCTTATACCCAACACATGAACATGTAACTTGAGAATCCCTAGCTATCCACTACTGCCTCTCTAGAACTTTATACATTCATAAGATTCACAGCGCTCCTGAATAAAGTCTCATTCTTTGTTTCCAGAACCTAATTACTGATTCTGTTTCATGGGGTTAGGCTCTGCCAGCCTGTTGGCCAAAGTACTTTTTTTACTATGTGGCTTCTTGGGCCATAAGATCTGTGGCTGATGTAGGAGTTGTGTGACTTTGGTAGACCTTTACCCAGGTAACATACATTCTCATTCTTTCTGCTTTCCTTCTAGTAGGAATAAGTGACCACGCTTCTTTAACAGGTAACATGAAAAAATGCACTGCCCTCAAATAGCCACCAACTCCTTCCCTTCAATATCCGCCTGCCAAGCTTCCTGATATGTCAGTTGAGAGAGCACAGGCTAATTATTGGGTGGGCACGGGAGGGGAAGTTATGAAGGGTGCAGAGTTCAATCAAATAAACGAAAGAAATGTGTAACTAATCAATGGAATGTGTTGCCTTGTGAGGTGGTAAGCCTCTCATCAGTGATCATAATCAAGCAGAGCCTAGATGCATAGTTGTTAGGAATACTACACAAAGAGCTGGATATAACTGTGAACTTATTATTAAAGGGAACTAAATATTTAATTTCTGACAGGTAAAAATTATGAAAAATTATTTTATATATGTCTTTCAAAATGCTATGTAGACTTGGATTCATAGGGACAGTTTTGTACTTTTTCTTAGTATTTTATTATTTCACAAATGCTTTCCTTTAAAAAACAAAAAAAGTTTCCCTGCTCAACAACTTCAGATCTGTGCTGTCAAGGCAGTCCTGCCAGGCTCTCCTGACAGTTATCCCTCTTGATCTTGAACAGTCATCTTCATTTCCCTCTCCTATCCTTGTATATTCAAATGGCAGGATTGGGGGCTGGGAGATCTCACATGACTCACTCTCCTTACCGTGTATGAGTTCTTACTACTCCCAGCTGGGCATTTAGGTTAATTAGACATGAATGACAATGATGTGAGTGAACTTATCATAGTTAATGTAGCTATTAAGAATACATTTCCATGAAGTATCTGTACATAATTTGGATAAGGAAGCATAAAACCTGAAATATATCCTTCCTTAATTATTTTTCAAGAAAAAAATGGAGAGCATGTTAGATTAATTTGATATTTTCACTGTGATTCTATCAGATGGGAATAAGATATTTATCTTGAATCTACACTCCAGATTAACTCTGACTCGTGGCTCAGGTATTTCTACTCAGAATTTTTTCTCTAAATAAAAGTGGGATGAAAGCAAAAGCCAAAGGTAGGTGAGTTACTAAGCCAAGAAATCAAACATGAAAAAGCAAAAGCATGGAATTGTAACCAAAAGGTGAAAAATCGTAACAGGCAATAGAGGGTCTGCAAATAAACTTTAAACAACTTCAAAGATTACTTAACAGTGATGTGTTAGTTTGGGGCAGTCAGATTAACGATGGAGAGTAAAAACATTAACAATAGAACAATGATGACCATTTATCAACCCTTTTCTGTATGTCGGTTACTGTACCAAGTACTATACATGCTCTGTCACATTTGATCCTCACAATCAACCGTCGAGGAGTGTAATGAAACATTCTGATCTCTATTATGTGGAAGTTTAGTTGAGGAAACATAGACTCAGAGAGGTTAATTAACTTGCAGAAAGTCAGCTGCAGTTTTAGAGCTTAGGTAGTAACACAGATCTATCAGACCCCAAGAATTATTTCTTAGCTCTTATTACATATATTCTCTTCTTAATTTTGTTTAGTCTTGGATCTCAAATTTCAAGAGGTACACAGACAACTGGAACCTATTGAAGAAAATAATGACCTCAGTGACAAAGGGCTTCATGACATTTCTTATGACGAAAGGCTGAAGATCCTAGGCTTGGCTTAGATCAATCAGGGACAAAGTAACCCATGTCCTCTAGTATTTGAAAATACCTTTTATGGATGGAAACTCTGACTTGATTTACATGGTGTGATGGTTGATTTTATGTGTCACACTGAGCTAGTTGGTAAAACATTGTTTCTGGGTATGTCTGTGAGGCTGTTTCTGGAAGAGATTAGAATTGGGATTGGTAGACTGAGTAAAGCAGACTCATGCTCACCAATGTGGATGGGCATCATCCAATCCATTGAGGACCTGGATAGAACAAAAAGGTGAAGGAAGGGCAGATGTGCTCTCTCTTCTTGAGCTGGGACATCCATCTCCTCAGACATCAGAGCTGCAGACTATCAGGCTTTCGGAGTCTGGGACTTAAACTTCCCCTCTCACAGTTCTCAGACCTTTGGCCTTGGACTGAGAGTTACACAATTGGCTTCCCTGCTTCTCAGGCCTTTGGACTCAGACTGAATTACAACACTAGTTCCTAGTTCTTCAGCTTTCAGATGACATATTGTGAGACCTCTTGGCCGCTATGACTGAGTAAGCCAATACTCATAATAAATCCCCGTTTTTAAATATCTCTCTATATAGCTTATTGGTTCAGTTTCTCTTGAGAACTTTGGCTAATACACATGGCTCAGAACCAGGATCTACTGGGAAAAAGAGTTTGTACCAATAAATTGGAGAAAGAGTGTTCCTTGTCATCAAAGGATTTCTGGAATATATGGGATGGCCCCTTGGTGGGGAGCTTGTAGAGATGATTGGATGAATATATGGATTACGTATTTTTGTGGATCCTTCCAAACCTTAAACTCTATTAATCGAAAGAGAATTGTAAAGAAAGTTACAAGTCATGTCTAGACTACGCCACATCACTTTCTTTCCTTTTATTTAATTTTTATTTTGAGATGGAGTCTCGCTCTGTTGCCCGGGCTGGAGAGCAGTGGCACGATCTTGGCTCACCACAACCTCCACCTCCTGGGTTCAAGCAATTCTCCTGCCTCAGCCTCCTGGGTAGCTAGGATTACAGGTGTCCACCACCAAGCCCAACTAATTTTTGTATTTTTAGTAGACAGAGTTTCACCATGTTGGCCAGCCTGGTCTTGAACTCCTGACCTCAGGTTATCTGCCTGCCTTAGCTTCCCAAAGTGCTGGGATTACAGGCAGGAGCCACTGTGCCCGGCCAACACATCATTCTCTTCTACTACATATATAAAATAAGTCTTTAGGTTTTTTTTAAGCCTATCTTTCCAATTAGAAAGGAAGCTATTTAGAGAATAAAAATCTTATCTGTCTAATTTTTTGTCAACTCCAGATGTCTTGCCTGGCACAAAACACAGCTGAAATGAGTGTGAAATGAATGAATAAATAATATGTAATAATTTTAGGATACAATTTTGAGGACGTAATGTCAGGTACTACTATCTAGCAATGAGAGTAATTTTTGGAACTCTCTTCTGAAGGAAAGTCTCCATGTCTAACATTTGCTGTTAGGTAGTTTTTATTCATTGATGGGCCAAGAGAGACTTTAACTGGAATAACACCAGTCATTTTAATTAGGTTTACAGTAACTCTTAGTTTCAAAAAACCAGGCTTTCTACAGAATGCATTTCCAACCTTATAGGCATTCAAGGTGATTGCCTGAACTTCCATACCATTCGACTTCTAAGCAAGCCACAGTGGGAGCAGTGTGGTGAAGGTGCAACCCATATTTTGGGTCTCTTCCTTTTTCTGGTGTGAGGCTAACTTTAGACCCTAAGTAGAAATTCATGATTAGATCCTGAGAGAAGGATGTTTCATGAAAAAATTATGATGTAAGTGAAGTTTGACTGTGATGCCTTCCTGGTTGAACTTTTAGCACTGTCCTCTCCTTATCCTGACTGAAATTCTACCCATGGATCTTCATCCTTAGGGCATCACCTACAAGTGTGGGGAGATAATATAGTGATTAGGGTGGATTTCCTGGTGTCCTCAAATCTAGTTTAACTCCAGCAAAGTTAAGCACCCTGGGTTAGGTCAATTGGGGTGGTGTCGGTATGGCAATATAGCTGGGGTTTTCCCCTTTAAGCCCTGTTTCTGTTACTTTATCACAAAACCGTTTCCAAAAATTCATATTCAACTGATTGTTTCTTTTGTCACCTTTATTCTGAATATAGCTAAACTGTAACCCTTGAAACTCAAGTGTTGTGATCTGTTGAAGGATTGTGAATATATCACACCCAGTGTCTCCTGTCGTCTGACTGTCCTGGAATCTTCTTCAGGCTGGGAATATTGCCTTTGAAGCATATGTTCTTCTTGGACCAGGTTGTGGGTTTCCTTCATGAAGGACATTAGCTCTCATTATTGCTGACCCCATTCATTTTCTCAGTAATTAAATTACCAAGAAAGCAAAGTTGCACAACAAATATTAATTAGGAATGTTAGAGATACTCGGAAGTCAGGAATCATGATCCCTATCTACTTGTTTCCTGTGATTCACACCCTCCTGGCTTCTAGCCTATAAAATAGAGAGGAACATGACCCATAGACTGAGGCCAGAATCATAGTCAGACTGTCAAAGTGCTATTGTAAATAACACAACTTGGAGTAAGTTTCTTCTCCAATATCAATTCCACTTTCCTTCTGTGTTATTAAAAGCTGTTGAATTTAAGTTACCTTCAGGGATTATTGGGTATCATAACACATATCCATAAAATATTTTGACAAATGTTAGAGGCTTTATGTTATACATGTCAGGTGAAGATGCAGATTCCTTGAGTCTTATAGGAAGGGCACTGTGTATAGTAATCAGGGCCATTTTATGGTCAATTTTCTTTCTAACACCTTCTTTCCCTCTGTATTCTTTTTTCTTAACACCTTCTTTCCCTATGTATTTATTTTCTGTTGTTTCTTAACTTAACTCTCATTTTAGTGAATTGAAAACCTATAGCCTCAAAACTGAGAGGGAAGATTTTTCTTGGTTACCCCATTGGCAATTATTGTAGAGTGTTTAAAAAAATTTCAAGTGTGATGTCTTTAGATAGATAAATAGGTAAATCATCTATTTACCATACTCATTACTACTCCTTATGGTTTTCACCAGACCTTCTTCTCTCATTTATATACCCAGTGTGGATTCTATACATTTTTAACTCTATGACCCAGACCTAGAGGGCTGCTGCTTTTCTGAGAAAAGATGAAACTTACAAGCTCTTACACAAGCTAACTAAGATCAGAATTGAAACCCCTGGCTTGTAATGAGGCCTATTTTAATGTTCTGTGAATTTTCTTTGATTCACCTGTGTTTTATCACAGTTGTTCACAAAATCTTTTTGAAGAGGCAAACAGTTTTTTAGCTTTACCAGGGGGAAGTGAACAGGAGTGTGTTTCCACTTTTGGATGCTGACACGATGGTGGCAGTGGTAAGCAAAGTGATTCCACTGAGAAAAGAGAAACGAGCAACAATGTCTGGGCATTTGGTTGGCTTTCTTCTCTCTCATGAATATTGTTTTTCTACTACTAAAACTTTGGAGGTTCTAAATTTTTTAAAAAATGATTCGTTATGACTTAACTTCTATTCTAGAATAGTGCTGACTGATGAAAAATATAAGATGAGCCACATATATTTGTATTTTCTAATAGGCATGTTTTAAAAATAAAATAGATGAAACTAATTTTCACAATGTATTTTATTTCACTCGATATATCTCCAATATTATAATTTCAACATGTGTCTCTAGTCACAACTCAAGTGTCAATATCCACATATAGCTAATAGTAACCACATTGAACAGCACAAATATAGAATGAGAACTGCATGCATTTTTCTATGTGTAAACTTCAGCATAAATAGCATGTTATAGATAAATGAGCACTTTGAATCCCCACCCTGGTTCTTATTAGCTGGGTCACATTAAGGATGTTACTTAACCTTGCTGAACCTTGGAATTCTCATGCATAAAATAGGGAATTAATAAATACACTACAGAGTTGTTCTGAAGTTTAAGTGACATAAAACATGTAAAGTGCTTAGCACACAGGCACTTGATAAATTGCAACTATCAGTATCATTAGGTTCCACTGGGAGTTTGGTAAAAATTTTAAGTTCTTCCTCAGTAAGGGATGGATGAGAACTGTTAGCTTAGGAGGATGATGCATCAGCTTCTGTTTGGCACTTGTTTGGTTCTTGTTCTCTACATCTTTTCTTGTGTTTCTGTTTTGCTTGTGTTTTGATTGCTCACTTCCTTCATCTGACCCTTGATTCTTGTTTCCTGGCTATTACTGTGATGTTTCACCTTCTCAAGCTCCTGGTGTCTCTCATTCAGATTCCCTGTAATCAATCCTGATTTCACCCTCAATTCTATTTGTGACTCTCTGTCCAGACCTGATGCTTCCTTTCCGCTTCTCTGGTACCAAACCTGGTTTTGTTTTTGCTCTGCCCCAGACAACAAACTAGGACAGAAAACTCTGCTTATTAAATGCATGAGAAGTATGAATTTTTATAAAGATTTGGGGTGATCTTCAGTGCCTGTTCCTCAGCCTGACAATGAATTCCTTGTGGAATTTAGCTTTGTAGCCTAGGTGAAACTAATTTAAAGTTTTGTGTGAGTTCAAAATGTCATAGTTTAACTTATACATGGAAAGAATTAAACACAAATTTAGCTTCATGTTCCATGGAAGTGGCTTGATACGGGAATAATGAGTGTAAGATAAATGACAGGTTTGTTGACTGGAATTTTCGAAGGATTGGGCCAATCCCAATTCTTATTTGCTTGAAATGTTGCCCAGATTCTGAAACTAGAGGGGTGAAGGGAAGGTAGGAGTACAGAGTAAAGAATCAGGGAAGGGATCCTCCTGCTGCTGAGTGATTATGAGTGCTAATTATGGTAAATTGCTATTTTTTTGGGGTAAAATGTAGAATCTAAACCCCAAAATGCTTTTCAATCTGATCTTAAATAATTGGCCTAGAAAGTGTAAGGTAAAGTGCATATGACTATTTTCTTCTGAAAATTGTGAGGACAAAATACCAATTAACACAACCTTCGTGAACATCTGTACATGATGTAACTCTTCAGCCATGCAGGGAACGAGCAGGCAAATTACTTCTTATTTTTGCCAGTCCTAAAAACAAAGAAACAGTCAAACATCTGATCTTTGAAATGAATGCCTCCTAAAATAGAGTTGTCCAAATCATTGGCAGTGTTAGAGCTTTGAAGAAACACAGATGGTTCGGAATTGCACAGGGTGAGTTTATCAGCAGTGATGGCAAAAGGGATACTAATTAATTAGAATAGGACTGGCTATTTATTGCTCTGCAGCAAGAAGTTTTGACCTTTAAGTAGTTTCAAGACCCAGAACAATTCCTGCCACTTTCATAGTTATGTGTGACCTGGGGCTAGCTCCTCCTTAGTTATTTTGACCAGCCTACAAAATCTTATTGTCACTTAAGGTTTCTCATGGTTGTGTTATACTTACCAATTAAAATGGGAGCTCCTTGATGGCAGGGCTGTTGTTTATACCACTTTAACTCCAGCCCTGACCAGTAGGTGCTTGTTGATTATGTTTATCTTGGAGTCAACCTCTGGGGAGAATGTTGGTCACTGAATTGAGAGGCTGGTAGAAAGTCACAGCCGTGCAGTCACCCAGCTTCTTCTGTTATTGGTTATGCTCAGCTAGCTGAACTTTGTGGAAGTCAGGAGGGAGTGTCTCATTCCATCAGTTTTTAGTTATTTCTTATAATTTAGTTATATCTTATAATTCATACTAAGAACATATGAATTATGTTCTTAACATTGAAATTGTACGATCAGTGCATAACATGGGAGAGCATCTCCTTCTACACTGTGGATTGTACCCCTAAAATCCATGAATTGTCTTGTTAGTTCATGCCTGTGTCCTGAGTAGCTGAAAGAGGGAGGTTAGATGGATTAGCATAACCTGCAGCCCCCAAAACACACACACACACACACACACACACACACACACAAACACACACACACACACAAGCACGCACACCATCTTACTACTCTCTTTTGGGGCCTTGTTTTTTGCATTGCATTGAAAGTTACATATACAGTTGAATTTTTGTAGTCAGGGATTTGTCTTACGTATTTTTGTCCTTTTGCATAGCCTCCTTTAATAATTATTAGTTAAATGTATGCCCCATCTGTACACATTTAAAAGGCAGTATGGTATTTGTTCCTTTTAGTAGCCTAGAAAATTTTTCCTTAAGCAGATTCTTCTCAGGGAATATTCCAAACTTTGATCACTCTCTTTAAAACCCTACTAAAACCTTCCAATTTAATTTTTCACAGGTTTGTGGTGCCTCTTAATTTGTGGAAAAACTAGAGGCCTTTAGATGTGACCACTCTCAATTCCTGGTTTCCCTATTCTAGAAACATTTAGTGAGTAATTTCCTATCCCTTTAGTGCTCTTTACTACATCTGCCACTGCCAGTTAGTTCCTTCCCACATGACTATCGCTACTGGCTGCCTTATCCTTACACTCTCCTAGCACATCTCACGACTCAGTCTTTGGTAGGCATCTTTTCCTTTGCTTCTCCTTAAATATTGGCATCTCTACAGAGATTGATTTTCTTTCACAGCTCTGCTATCACCATACTCTTTCCTGGCTGATAGCATCAGGATTCAGTCTTGACATTTTCCCATATGATGATAAGTTCCAAATGTGTATTTCCTAACCTAGATGTCTTCCCCTAGGTCCAGAGCCTTATATGCGATGTCCTGCTCGCCATCTTTGCCCCTGAGAAGAGTCTGTACCTTATTTATCTTTGTACCCCTAAGCAATATTAGGATGCTCCAAAATTTAATGGCTTTCCTCAAACTTTTGTTACTCACCTCCATTTTTACACATAAAATAATGGAACCTTGAAAATGTTGTGACTTCAAGGTCAAAATGCTTGTTATAGTTTATGAATTTGTGGCTGACTTCTCATCCTGTGCAGGGCCCTGGATGCCTTTCTCTCTAGATTTTCTGATATGTGAACATCCTTCACTGTGTCCATGGGATTACAAACTGTCATCTCTTGTAACTGTCCGACAGTGAAGTGCAGGCTCCTTCACGCAAAACTTGCTTCCTGAAATTGCACTACTGGATCACTCTAGGATGAAAAATTACACTTTAGGCAGGAGAATAAACTGATTTTGGGGAAAAGCTGATATCATTTTGGTTTAGTTTTGCTGAGAATACAACATTCTGATCATACAGTTAAATATTGGAATGGGAAAGACCATGGCATATTATATAGTTCTCCTGTCATTCTTAGATACAGGCAAAAACCATGTTTATGTTGCTCCATAAAGAGGTTTGCCTAAATTTACTCCGAATAGGTTCATGTTCTTTAATATTATATTTAGTGGACCATAATTTGGTATTATATTTTGGGTGTCTGGTTCTTGGCAGACTCAGTTTTGAGACATCTTAGCACTGCATATCACTAGGTTAGAAACTTTAAAAATCTATATTCTTTGTGTTTTTTTGAGCGTACCTGGAATCCGTATCTTTGTGTATTAGTCCGTTCTCATGCTGCTAATAAAGACATACCTGAGAGATGGGGTAATTTATAAAGGAAAGCAGATTAATAGACTTACAGTTACACATGGCTGGGGAGGCCTCATAATCACGGCTGCAGGTGAAGGAGGAGCAAAGTCATACATTGTCTTGCCTGTTGTCTTACATGGCAACAGGCAAGACAGTGTGTGCCGGGGAGTGCCCTTTTATAAAACCATCAGATTTCATGGCATTTATTCACTATCATGAGAAAAGCACCAGAAAGATCTGCCCCCATCATTTGATTACCTCCCACTGGGTCCCTCCCATGACACATGAGAATTATGAAAGCTATAATTCAAGATGAGATTTGGGTGGGGACACAAACCATATCATTTCACCCTGGCCCCTTCCAAATCTAATTTCCTCACATTTCAAAACCAATTATGCCTTCCCAACAGTCCCCCAAAGTCTTAATTCATTCCAGCATTAGCTCAAAAGTCCACAGTCCAAAGTCTCATCTGAGACAAGGCAGTCCCTTCTGCCTATGAGCCCATAAAATCAAAAGCCAAGTTGGTTACTTCCTAGATACAATGGGGTACAGACATTGGGTAATATACCCATTCCAAATAGCAGAAATGGCCAAAACAAAGGGCCTGCAGGCCTCATGCAAGCCCAAAATTCAATAGGGCAGTCATTAAAACTTAAAGTTCCAAAATGATCTCCTTTGAGTCCATGTCTCACATCCAGGGCACACCGATGCAAAAGGTGAGCTCCCATAGCCTTGGGCAGCTCCACCCTTGTGGCTTTGCAGGGTACATCCCCCGCTCCTGCCTGCTTTCATAGGTGTTGAGTGTCTGCAGCTTTTTCAGGTGCATGCTACAACTGTCGGTGGATACCATTATGCGGTCTGGAAGATGGTGGCCCTCTTCTCACAGATCCACAAGGCAGTGTCTCAGTGGGCACTCCGTGTGAGGGTTCCAACACCACATTTCTCTTCTACACTGCTTTAGCTAAGGTTCTCCATGAGGGCCCCACCCCTGCAGCAAACTTCTGCCTGGAGATCCAGGCATTTCCATACATCTTCTGAAATCTAGGTGGAGGTTCCCAAACCTCATTCTTAACTTCTCTGCACCAACAGGCCCAACACCACATGTAAGCTGCCAAGACTTGGGGCTTGCACCCTCTGAAGCAATGGCCTGAGCTGTACATTGACCCCTTTTAGCCATGGCTGAAGTTGAAGCAGCTGGGATGCAGGGCACCATGTCCTGAGGCTGCATAGAAGAGTAGGGCACTGGGCCCAGCCCACAGAATTATCTTTTTCTCCCAGGCCTCCAGTCCTGTGATGGGAGGGCCTGTGCAGAATGTCTCTGACATGTCCCGGAGACATTTTCCCCACTATCTTGGTGATTAACATTTGGCTCTTCATTGCTTATGCAAATCTGTTCAGCCAGCTAGAATTTCTCCACAGAAAATGGGTTTTTCTTTTCTATCACATCATCAGGCTACAAATTTTCCAAACTTTTATGCTCTGCGTCCCTTTTAAACCTAAGTGCCAATTCCAAACCATGTCTTTGTGAATACATAAAACTGAATGCTTTTAATGGCACTCAAGTCAGCTCTTGAATGCTTTGCTGCCTAGAAATTTCTTCTGCCAGATACCCTAAATCGTCTCTCTCAAGTTCAAACTTTCACAGATCTCTAGAGCAGGGGCAAAATTCTGCCAGTCTCTTTGCTAAAGCGTAGCAAGCATTACCTTTACTCCAGTTCCCAACAAGTTCCTCATCTCCATCTGATAACCACCTCAGCCTGGACTGCATTGTCCATATTGCTATCAGCATTTTGGTCAAAGCCATTCAACCAGTTTCCAGGAAGATCCAAACTTTCCCATATCTTCCTGGCTTCTGGGCCTTCCAAACTGTTCAAACCTCTGCCTGTTACCCAGTTCCAAAGTCACTTCCACATTTTCGGGTATCTTTACAGAAGCACCCCACTACCCAGTACCAATTTACTGTATTAGTCTGTTCTCATATTGTTAATAAAGACATACCCAAGACTGAGTAATTTATAAAGGAAAGGAAGTTTAAAGGACTCACAGTTCCACCTGGCTGGAGAGGTCTCACAATCATGGCAGAAGGCAAAGGAGGAACAAAGTCACGTCTTACATGGCAGCAGGCAAGAGAGCATATGCAGAGGAATTGCCCTTTATAAAACCATCAGATCTCGTGAGACTTATTCACTATCATGAGAACTGCACAGGAAAAACCCACCCCCATGATTCAGTTACCTCCCACTGGGTCCCTCCCATGACATTTGCGGATTATGGGAACTACAATTCAACATGAGATTTGGGTGGGGACACAGCCAAACCATATCACTTTGTAAAAGAGTTTATGACATCATCCTCATAACTTACCGAGTGTGATATTCTGCAGTGTGGTGGGCTACATGTGGCTCTTTTGTATTTGCTAATGAAGATTCAATATTTGGAATAGGTATACTTTTTCTTGACAATCCATTAAGGACCAATTTCATGTCTCTGAAGTTACTCTGAATTAGTATACTTTCTTTGTTAAAAGAGAGATTAAAGTAGTAAAGATGTATGTTAACAACATGATTACTGAGTTCAGGCTTTCTCCATGTATACTCAGATGAATTGTTAAAGTATTGAAAAGCAGAGAGCTCTGGGGCCTGTGTGTGAGTGTGTCTGTGTGCCTGGTGGCAATCAAGAGTTGTCAAAGGCATTTTGTTAGGGGATTTAATAAAATGAGTATTTGCCTTTTCAGTAATTTTCAAAGTTATTTTCTCCTGTGTATGAAAAAGAAATTCTGCATTATCCTTTGCTTTCATACATGAGGAGGACAAGAGCTTTTCCTTGATTGAAATCTCATTTGAGACTAATTGGATATGAGGATATTTTTTCTGGTGACCCCCACTGTCTTTGATATATGTAACAATGATCTATCTGGTGATATTGAGATTATCTGGTCATGCTAATTATGTACATTTATTTAGAACTTTGCAGTTTACACATTCATTTACAAAAAATATTAAACCTAATCCTCAATGCTAATGAAATAATATCAAGACCATTTTAACTTCTGAGGGGGTAAGCTAATAATTTATTTTATTTAATTTGAATCCTCATTGTTATTTATAACTCTCTAAATTAGAATCTTGATGTTAGGGTAATAGTAACATTGGGTTATTGAACTATAGTTTCAAAAGAACTGACAATTTACTGGTCTTTCTTTTGTGGTACTTAAGTTATTTCAAATAATTAGCACAATTAGAGGGCCTGGTAATGGCCTAGACTTTTGAACAGTAATCTCTTATGCTGTGAGAAGATAAGAAACTATCTTCTTAAGATAGTCATAAAATAGCTTTTTTACACCATAGGAGTATAATGTACTACTGAATTTGGCATAGTAATTCTCTACAAAATAGAATAATACTGTTTGGTCATATTCCTAGACATAACCAATTAATTATTATAAAGTAGAGATCCAGAAATCAAAAGGAGCAAAACCTTTTGAATGTCCAGTAGGTACTGAAGGTAAGCTTTCCTCTGACTGCTTTTTAGTATCTATTTTTTAATGGCAACCTGTTGAAGATACTATGTTTAAAAACATCTTCATTGGTAAAATCAACACAGTAGATTTTTGTAACATTTTATTGAATCAAAGACTTGAGGACAATGAAACATTTATTAACTAAACCTTTAGGCACACTGAAAATTTGCAAATAAACTGTTTTTTAGTATCATTCATTTTATGCCCAAATCAATAATTAGAGTATGATTTTTTTCCAGTGGGACCGAATGAGGGAAAGGGAATGAGTCTAAATTTTTCTCTCATATGTATACCGTAAGTTGCTAGGGGGAATCCCACATAGACCATTAGTTGAGAATTATAAAAACAGGTTATTTACTGAGTCTTTTCTTTTTGCTGAGTATGTTGCCTTCTTTACCTTGGTTGATCATCAATGGGATTAGTAGTATTATTCCCATTTTATTTAGGAGAAAACTAAAGCTGTAAACTGTTTGAAATCAAAGACCAAATCTTACTTTATTTTTAGAGCCCTAGCACCTACCACAGCACCTGGGAGAGTGGTTGCTCCAAGAATATTTCATGAAGGAAACATGTAATATGCTTAAGTACAAACTAGTAAAAGGCAGGGCTGCATTTTTGAATTTAAATCTAAAATCTTTACCTTCTCACTTTTCTACTCTGCCTCTTAAATACATGAGTTTTTGGGGAGTTTGTACCACTAGGGAAAAACCTGTAGTGTTTTTTGATCCAAGTGTCCAGATTCCATACTGGAGATTGTTTGTATTCAACCTGGTACGGTGGCTGCACAGTCTGAGGACCCATTGTGTGTGTTATATTTTTTAGAACACCACCACTAGCTGCTGGTGTGTATTGACTCTGATAAACATATTTTATGTTTATCAGATTAATAATGTAGTTGATACAGAAGGATGCTTTGAGGTTTCTACTTTTAACTTCTATAATATTGTGTCAGTTTCTTAGTGTCTGAAAAGAAGAGCTTTGAAGATACAGAAATCTTCAGTAATTTCAGATGATAGATCTTGAAAAGAATAGCAGGACTTGCCAAAAGCCAGGCATTTTTCTCAAACTACTTAGACTATTATTATTCCATTGTCTGGAAAGGCAGATAACTTAATGGGTGTAAATTACAATTGACTTTGTAAAGAAGAGGGTTTTACTCTTGAATTCTCTCAGAAGGAAAAATAGAAGTGAACTTTTTGACTTTGTGAGTGCAATTGCATTTTTGACTCACATACAGTAGTTGACATACAAAAAAACTGTAGAATTTTTAAGTGACTACTTCTTAAAATTAAAGAATAGCACGCAAATCAAGCAATTTATCCAATATTTTAAAATTTGACATGAAAATTAACAAAAACATGGCCTTGTTTTTTGGTGGTTATTTGGTATTAAGGAGAGGGGCTTTAAAAATTTATTTATCTAATAAATATTTATTGAGCCAGCCAGTGTTCTAGACTCAGTACATGGGAACACAGTGGTGAAGACGACAGAAAAGTTTTCTCTTACGGAACTTAGATGCTGGAGTCAGAAAATATACCAAAACATTTATAAATAAATTATTGATAGCAGTGTTCATTGTGGTAAAAATGAATTGAGTGCTGAAGTACACATAATTGGAAAGCCTCTCTAAAGAGATTAAACTTGAAGAGAGAAATGAAGAATGAGCAGTGTAATGGGCTTCAGAACTTGAGTTTGGCAGTTTCACAAAGGAAGTGAGGGAGGGGGAGAAGGATAGGTGGTCAAATGGGAGAGGCAGAATGAGGCCAGATCCCTAGTAGTCTATTAGGTTATGGTAAGGAGGTTGGGATTTTATTGTAAGTCATAGTACATTGGTACTACACTGTAATTTTTCAAGTGGGGCAGTGGTGAGATTTACACATGAAGTAGAAAATGGTGGCCCTGTATGTTATTAGTAGAAAGAATTGTGTGGTGAAGAATAGAAGCAGAGAGATCAGATAGGAGTTCATTGTTGAAGTGAAGGTCAGCGTTGGGCAAGAATAGAAGTGTAAAAAAGCGGATGGATTTAAAGAATATTTAAAATGATGGGATGACAGGTTGAAAATGGGAATGAGGGAAAGGGAGAAATCACAGGTGACTTATAAATTTTTGGCTAGGTTGGATGGTGGTGCAATGAAGAATGGGAGAGGGATCGTAGACAGGGTAGAAGGATGAAAATGCATCACTCTACTCAGGATATGTTAGGTTTGAGATGCCTGTTAGCTACCTAACTGGTGGTGCCAAATTGTCAATTGAATGTGCAGGTTTGGCACAGATAGGATATCAAGGCTGGAGAAAAATGTTGTGAATGAACAGTGAAGAGGTTGTATTAAAGACATGAGATCATCTGGGTCAAAATTGTAAACAGAGAAGGCTCTAACAGGGCCTGAGGTGCTGCAATAACCATCAGAGGTCAGCCGGAAGAGCAAATGCCAGCAAAACACCCTGACAGTGAGAGGCCAGTAAGGCAATAGGAGAGCCAAGATTGTGAGAGTGTTCAAAGCCTCACTCCCAGAAGAGAGGAAAGTGTTAAAAAATAAGGGTATGCTCAACTGTGTTCATGTTACAGAGAGGCCAGGAAGAGGCAGACAGCAAAGTTAACTCTAGCACAGGAGATAGTTTCTATGATATTTTTAAATCTGAGCATTGATTGTATGCCATCTCCAGCTTTGAACTGGTTGGAAATATGGAAAGAAGTCACGTATTGACATCTTATTTTAAAGTTAGTGACAGTTGTTCATCTTTTAGATGTAAAGCTGTTACAGAGATAATATATATTTCCTTGGTTTTATAGTTTGGCTAGAACTCTTCAATTACATCATTTTGTAGACAGCCTCGGTGTAACAGGTTACCAAGAGGCTGGATTCCTATAGTACCATACCAGAAAGATACAGGTTTTTTTTTTTTTTTTTTTTTTAACATTCCTGCACCATGATTACATCAATAGATTTTAATAAAATAGTTTAACTGGCAGAGGTTCAGAGATGGAAGTGGTATCCACAGGTATAGCTAGCTAAGTCCTATAAAGTCATAAAACTGTGTTTGATAGAAGTTATACTGCTATTCTAGTCATGTGCAATGAATAAGAAAAATTTGATGTGTATGCATGAAAATATTCAAAGAAACAGAACCCATTCTTAGAAATTATATAATGACAGATCAGAGGCAGGATGTATATCTATTTGTATTGTAATAACCAGTAACTGGCATGGTATACAATCAAAAATTGCCTCCCGATGTTGTGTGAGACAGATAATTAATGTAACAAACCTGTGTGGAGCCAAATGTTTGATTAGTGTGGTGCCTTCAATTCAACTCCTATAGTACTTCTTCTGATCTTACCTGAAAAAAATAATTTTTACAGGCCAAGTACTAATGCTTTCTTCAAATGGCTTCTGGAGAAAATAAGTTTTTGTTCCAGATATTGTTTATGTTGTGTGTCTTTTTTTTTGTTATAGAAGTACCATATATTTGTTTCATCAGAGTTGGAAAGTAACAATATAATTTATAGAATGTTTTTCAACTACAAAGTTGAAGAATAGGATTAAAATTATTGTTAAAAAGTGAAATTGGTCGGGGGAGGGGGGAGGGATAGCATTGGGAGATATACCTAATGCTAGATGACACATTAGTGGGTGCAGCGCACCAGCATGGCACATGTATACATATGTAACTAACCTGCACAATATGCACATGTACCCTAAAACTTAGAGTATAATAAAAAAAAAAAAAAAAAAAAAAAAAAAAAAGTGAAATTGAAGAGTTAAAACTTGGAAAGCAAATTAAGTTTGACATTAGAATAATTATTCTTAGAAAATATACAAAACACTATTGGGAAAAGATTATTAGTCAAGTGAACATATGTACAAATACATTTCCTAAAGATTGTTATAAAGACATATATTTGGTAAAGTTCATGGAAAAGTG
Source organism: Homo sapiens (assembly GCF_000001405.40). Taxonomy (NCBI): domain Eukaryota; kingdom Metazoa; phylum Chordata; class Mammalia; order Primates; family Hominidae; genus Homo; species Homo sapiens. The sequence continues at coordinate 61,901,081 of NC_000012.12, read as the reverse complement.
TCTAGCTTCTTAAAAGAGATTCCAACATACCTGTAATAAAGTAGACCAAAACAGGTAATCACAGACACAGCTCAAAACTCCACATGGATTGGCCAATTTAATGAAAAAAACTTGACATGATCTTGTTGATGGAAACAAAGAAATGATAATACTGTCTGCTTACTTGAAAAATTATTCACTGTTCAGAAATTAATAGATACCAATGAAAGTCATAGGTTAAAAACAAGCATCATTAAAAAACAAACATTAATCTTCAGCAACACTCAGGTAAATGCATAGTAAGGCCAAAAATGGATATCATTTTATACCCACTTGATATGGTTTGGCTATATCCCCACCCAAATCTCATCTTGAATTGTAGTTCTCATAATCCCCACATGTCATGGGAGGGATCTGATGGAAGGTAATTGAATCATGGGAGTGGTTCTCCCATGCTGTTCTCATGATAGTCACTGAGATCTGATGGGTTTATATGGGGCCTTTCCCCCTTTGCTCAGCACTTCTCCTTCCTGCTGCCATTGGAGGAAGGACGTGTTTGCTTTCCCCTCCAGTATGTTTGCAAGTTGCCTGAGGCCTCTCCAGCCATGCTTAACTGTAAGTCAATTAAATCTTTTTCCTTTATAAATTACCCAGTCTTGGGTATGCCTTTATTAGCAGCATGATAATGGACTGACACACCACTAGAATGCCACAGAAATATAAGCTTTTCTACATCAAGTGTTGGCAATGTGTGGAGTAATGGAAACTTACACATTGTTGCTGGTGGGGATGTAAATTAGGATAATCACTTTGGAAAACTATTTAGGCTTATCTTGTAAACATAAACACATGCATTCCCTATGACCAATAATTTTTTCTCATGCATAAGTCCTAGAAAAACTCTTACACATGTGAACCAAGAGATATGTATAGGAATACTTCTAGTTGTATTGTTCACAATGGCAAAAACCTGGAAATATGCCAAATATCCCTTGACAAGAAATGGATGTGTATACTTTGTTATATTCATACAATGGATTATACAACTGTGAAAATGAATGAAATACAACTGGATGCAACAACACAAACCCAGCTTCGAAATACAGTCTTCCCTTAGTATTCGAGGAGGATTGATTTTAGAATCTCCCACAGATGCTCAGGTGTCTGCTATAAAATGGCTGTAGTATTTGCCTATAACCTATGCAAATCATCTTGTGTACTATAAATCATCTCTAGATCACTTATAATACCTAATAGAATATGAACGCTACATAAATAGTTGTGATACTGTATTGTTTAGAGAATAATGACAAGCAAAAAAGTCTATACATTTTCAGTACAGGTGAAGTTTTTAATTTTTTGAATATTTTTGATCCACGGTTGGATGAATCCATGTGATATGGTTTGGCTCTGTGTCCCCACCCAAATCTCATCTTGAATTATAATTCCCATAATCCCTACATGTCAAGAAAGGCACCTGGTTAATGGTGATTGGATCATGGAGACAGATTCCCATGTTGTTCTCGTGATAGTGAGTGAATTCTCATGAGATCTGATGGTTTTATAAGTATTTGATAGTTTTTGTTTTCACCCTCTCTCCTCTCTCTTGCCTGCTGCCATGTAAGATGTGCCTGCTTCCCCTTCTGCCATGATAGTAAGTTTCCTGAGGCCTCCTCAGCCATGTGGAACTATAAGTCAATTAACCTTACTTTCTTTATAAATTACCCAGTCTCAGGCAGTTCTTTATATCAGGGTGAAAATGGACTAGTACAATAAATTGGTACCAAGAGTGGGGCACTGCTATAAAGATACTTGAAAATGTGGAAGTGACTTTGGAACTCTGTGTCCCCACAGAGTTGTCTGTCCCACACAGACAGAGGTTGGAACAGTTTGGGGGGCTCAGAAGAAGACAGGAAGATGTAGGAAAGATTGGAACTTCCTGGGGACCTGCTGAATGGTTTTGACCAAAATGCTGATAATGGTATGGACAATGAAGTCCAGGCTAAGGTGGTCTCAGATGGAGATGAAGAATTTCTTGGGAACTGGAGTAAAGGTGACTCTTGCTATGCTTTAGCAAAGAGACTGGTGCCATTTTGCCCCTGCCCTAGAGATCTGTGGAACTTTGAACTTGAATGAGATGACCTCAAATTAGAACTTATGTTTAAAAGGGAAGCAGAGCATAAAACGTTTGGAAAAAGGGGAGCAGAGAGCATAAAACGTTTGGAAAAGTTGCAGCCTGATGATGTAATAGAAAAGAAAAACCCATTTTCTAGGGAGAAATTCAAGCCACCTACAGAAATTTACATAAGTAATGAGGAGCTGAATGTTAATCATCAAGTCAATGGGGAACATGACTCCAGGGCATGTCAGAGACCTTCCCTGCAGGCCCTCCCATCACTGGCCTGTAGGGCTAGGAGGAAAAAATGGCTTCATGGGCAGGGCCCAGGGTCCCTCTGCTCTGTGCCTTGCATTCCAGCTATTTCAGTCTCAGCTGTGGCTAAAAGGGGCCAGGGTACCACTTGGAGTGTTGCTTCATGGGGTGGAAGCCCCAAGCCTTGGTGGCTTCCACATGATGTTAGTCCTGTGGGTTTACAGAAGTCAAGAATTGAGTTTTGGGAACCTCCGCATAGATTTCGGAGGATGTATGGAAATGCCTGGATGTCCAGGCAGATGTGTGCTGCAGGGGTGGAGCCCTCATGGAGAACCTCTGCTAGGGCAGTTCAGAAGGGAAATGTGGGGTTGGAGCCCCTACACAGAGTCCCCACTGGAGCACTGCCTAGTGGAGCTGTGAGAAGAGGGCCACTGTCCTCCAGAGCCCAGAATTGTAGATCCACTGACAACCCACACCATGCATCTGGAAAAGATGCAGACACTCAACACCAGCTGTGAAAGCAGCTGGGGGTGGTGGTTGGGTGGGGCTGTACCCTGCAAAGCCATGGGGTCAGAACTGCCCAAGGCCATGGGAGCCCACCTCTTGCATCAGTGTGACCTGGATGTGAGACATGGTTAGAAGAAGATTGTTTTGGAGCTTTAAGATGTGATGACTGTCCTGCTGGATTTTGGACTTGCTTGGGGCCTATAGCCCCTTGCTTTTGGACAATTTCTCCCATTTGGAATGAGAGCATTTATCCAATGCCTGCACCCCCATTGTATCTTGGAAGTAACTAACTTGCTTTTGATTTTACAGGCTTCTACGAGGAAGGGACTTGCCTTGTCTCAGATGAGACTTTTGACTTGGAGTTTTGGGTTAATGCTGAAATGAGTTAAGACTCTGGGAAACTGTTGGGAAGGCATGATAGGTTTTGAAATGAAAAAATATGTGAGACTTGGGAGAGGCCAGGGGCAGTATGCTATGGTTTGGCTCTGTGTCCCTACCCAAATTTCATCTCAAATTGTAATCCCCATATTCCCCATGTGTCAAGGGAGGGACCAGGTGGGAGGTGATTGGATCATGGGGAAAGTTTACCCTATGCTGTTCTTGTGATAGTGAGTGAGTTCTCATGAGATCTGATGATTTTATAAGTGTTGGACAGTTCCTCCTTCACACTCATTCCTCTCTCTCTCACCTGCTGCCATGTAAGACATGCCTGCTTCCCCTTCTGCTATGATAGTAAGTTTCCTGAGGCTTCCCAAGCCATGCTGCACTGTGAGTCAATTAAACTTCTTTTTTTTTATAAATTACTCAGTCTTGGGCAGTTCTTTATAGCAGTGTGAAAATGGACTACTATATCATGGTTGCGGAACCTACAGATATATCCTGTAAAATGTTGAGTGAAAAAAGCAAGTTTCAGGAAATTGCACATAGTATAATGTCATATTTATGAAGCTGAAACCAAACAAATTGAAATAATACATTCATTAAGGATGTACAGTCAGCATCATTTTGTCTCAAGGATTTGCACATCCACTCTACATGGGTCCTAAAATGAATCCCCTGCAGATAACAAGGGGTTTGTCTTTCAAGACCAATGGTAATGTTATTGTTATTAAATTGGTGATGGGTTTGGTAGGTAGTGGTTCATATTTGTCTTATTATTTTGCTTTCTAAATATACCTATGTTACTTATTTTATATGTATCAAATAATATGGAAAAGTAATATTGCATGAAATCAGTCATTTTTGAGATCATCTGGACCCTCAATAGAGATAAGATATTATCTAGATTATCATGTTATCAGATAACTTTTATATCCCCCATTTGCTATTTGTATCACAAATAGCTTGATGGCAGGCAAAAGAAAGGAAACATCATAAATAATGCAAGCAGTTACATCTGTTTTTAAAAATTTAGGTTCCAGGGTCTCTTAGAAATCAGAATATATATTTAGCATTTGGTTGACAATGTGACATGTTGTTCAGTGCCTGCTGAGCCCTCTTCTTTTTTCCTTTATTCAATTTTAGAAGTGTTGGCAAGATAAGAATAAAGTAAATCAAATAAATCATCTGCCAAAAGGCTCACATGTAAGGTACAGGCAAATAGTGCAGAACTACTGATTAAAACAAGCAGATTGAAATCCTTATAACCTAAAACTCTCTAAGCACAGAGAATGGCAAGGGAAGAGCTTCAAGCACTTGAAGTGGCCTAGTAATATCAGGAACAATGATGTGAACATGAATCTAAGTGCTTGCCAAGTGCTGTGTATTTAACTGAAGAGATAATTGTATGCAATCTATGGAATCCCTGGGTGGATGAAAAGTGTGGAGTTTGGTAGATTATTAAATATTTCGTAATGTTTTTTACATTCATGAAAGTGTAATATAATTAGATCTTGGCTTAATTTGTGCTTTTGACTGCCATTGCTAATTTTTTTCATTCCAGAATTTTATTAACTCTCAACCCCAGAGCCATTACTTTCCTTGTGAACCTCATACTTAGCTTTGGCTAAGTTTTAGGCTTTAAATAAAATAAAGAAATGAAACAAAAATAAAGAACTGGCTTTCCATTGCCTCATCGATGAGCATAGATTTTAGGTACCATCCTGCTGACCCATCACCCTTTGGTAGTTGTATTCCTTTTCTCCCCTCCCTTTACATCCTCTCCTCCTCCCTTCCCTCTCATTTCTCTCTCTCATTCTCCTCTGTCTTCTCTCTCACTAATTGCTTGATGGATTTGTAGTTTCATGAAATCCTTATTTACAGGGCAATCTGTTTTTGGGGGTGCTAACTTCTGTATATAACCAAATATTTGAAGAGTTGGTATAATCTGTTTTCTGACACGTATCTTTAGGATACTAGATTACTGGTTATATTTTACTTCTTACTAGGGTACCTAGGCATGGATGCCTTCATTTTTTCATTCACTCGTTCATCCAGTAAACACATATATTGAGTACCTACTATTTAGCTGTGTGGCATGGACTCCTGTGATACGAAGATGAGAATGACATATTTCCAGCCTCTAAAACGTTCACTCTCTGAAGAGATTGCCCCAGTTTATGATTTACAGGTGTGAATTGCCAAACATCTGAACTGTTAAGGTCTTCTGAAGTAAGCATGGACGTTATTCTTGGGAACATGGGTCTTTGTGAACTGTTCTCTCCAACTCTTTACCACACTGTATTTGTGCTTGCTTTGGAAACTTTGAGTAAATCTCAGGTATCAGTTTTTAAACTTAGCCATAAGAGCCTGGAGTATCATTGAGTTAATACTTGGGAGAACTGTTTCACTTTTTTAGTGTGTGAGTCGGTAGATTAGGGGAGGGGTAGTGTATGCTTTATGGGTGGTGAAAGGATGTAGAAGAAATAGGTTTTTCTTTAAGAAAAACCATGGAATTAAGACATTTGTCACCTACTTGTAGTTTTAGGAAGGGTAGCAGATTGTTTAAAATCTTGGCTATGTCTCATTTTTCTCAACTGATATAAAACATATATTTATGATTCTATTTTTATTGTCTGACTACATTTCATAGCTTACTCTCCTCATAGTCCTTCTGGACATCCATACATCCATCCGTGCTTCTATCCATGCATGTTTATTGGCTCACTGCTAGGTACCAGACCCTGAAAGTACATAACGCCCTTGGCTTATGTAAAAATGGAATGGAACTTCAATTTTGCTCTGTCTGTGTTCTTTGGGTTCATATAGGAAAATGAGATAAATACTATTCAAAAACAATGAAGGTGGAAAATATAAATGGTAGTAAACATGCTGAGAAAGAGGCCTGTTTAGCCTGGACAGTGTAAATCGATACATAACCACATGATAGTTTGTTTAATAATCAGGAGTTTTTCTGCATCCATATTTTATCAGTTCTAAAAGCAGTATCAGTTTGACTTCAAATGCAGGATATGGCTAAGAGACAAATTCCTTTAAATATTCAAAAGAATTTAAGATTGTTTTAGCTTTGAGCTTTGAGTTGAAAATTACAAGAACCATGTGGGCAATAATTATCCTTTAATAAACCAGGGAATTCTGTTTACCACACTATCACTCTTTTGTTAACAAGAACATTAAGTATAATGGGATAATTGTGTTCATGTATGAATATCACCAGGACTTCAGGTTAAGTGACAGATGACTGCATGACACTGAGAGAAATGTTTTAAAGATACTATATCTATTTTTAAACAATTGTCTTTACTGTTTGTCTTTGTGCTCCCCAAATGTAGCACTGTCTCTTTGCTGCTAATCTGCATTTATAACTGTATTAGTGAATACCTGATTTATATTTTGGAGTAGATCCAATGCAAATATCCACATTAATGCAACACATGCAAAGGTCAAGAGGTCCAAAGGTTGGTTCCCACAGCAACTGACCTTTGTTTCTCTGGAGTTTGGCAGTATTAACTTTCACTTTGTATTAGCAAAACTTTTATATTTAATGATGTACGTTATGGCACAGTGAAGAGAAATGTTATTTAGGAATGTCTAATTTGTATTTAGAAAAACCTCAACTTTGGTGTTGTAACTATTTTATACTTCCCATATTCATGAAAAATAAAGGGTTCATATAGGGAAACTAAGATAAATACTATTCAAAAGCAGTGAAGGTGGAAAATATAAATGGTAGTAAACATGCTGAGAAAGAGGCCTGTTTAGCCTGGACAGTGTAAATCGATGCATAACCACATGATAGTTTGTTTAATAATCAGGAGTTTTTCTGCATCCATATTTTATCAGTTCTAAAAGCAGTATCAGTTTGACTTGGGTTCATATAGGGAAACTAAGATAAATACTATTCATAAACAGTGAAGGTGGAAAATATAAATGGTAGTAAACTAGGAATGTAAAAGAGAACATGAATAATTTTTTTCCTAAGTGATTATCTAACATTCATTTAGCTATCAAAATGTCTTGAAACAACTAATTTTGAATATGTCTATATTTGTTTATGTGAGTATATAATAGCAGGGTAATTTTGCACAAACTAAAACATAGAAAATATTTGATTATAAGTGGAATATTTTTATGTACGTGTATCTTTGGAGTTGTTTATTAAATTTGAAACCAACAGACTCATATTCACTATGTTCTTTCTGTTAAAATGGAAGAGTTGTCTCCACTGCTATTCAAAGCCAACCCATCCATCATGGTCTGGATCTTATTCCCTCTCATGAGCTTTCGTCCTGCCATTCTCCCCTCTCACTCCTGAATCTTCCACTTCACCCTCTCTACCAGATCATTTCCATTTCACACACACATCGTCCTGTATCTCCCCAACCCTACGTGCTCCCATAGCTGCTACCCAGTTTTTGTTCTCCCTTTCATAGCAAAGCTTATTGGAAGAGGTTTCTATATTCATTGTATTCACTTCTTTATCTCTTTATCTCACTCCAGAGGGTCTTCTGTTCCTCCTACTTTCCTCCCACTTCACTGTAGCTGCTGTTTTCAAGGTCACCAAGCCTTGCTTGCATGCTGCCAAGTGTAATGGTTACTTGTTTAAGCTCATCCTATTCAACCCCTAAGCCATAGTCAAAACTTTGGACTCGGTTGAGCATTTCCTTCTTGGGATACCTTCTTTCTGTTAGTCTCTGTGAAACCATATTCTTCTGACTGGCACCTCCTTCTCAGTCTTCTCTGCTACCTCTTTTTTCCTCTGTTCCACCTTTAAAGTTAGGAGTGTTTTAGATCTTGGGTCTTCTCTATTTATAATCTCACTCAGAGTTACGATTGCCTAGATTGTTGGGAGATAAAAATATAGCATTTAAGTTAAATTTGAATTTCAGATTTTTTTTACTGCAAACATTTATATTTTATACATATACACATTTATTTATTTACTTATTCACTCTATAAACTATTAGGACATACTTTATTATTTAACAAGGTGGAGTCTCACTCTGTCACCTAGGCTGGAGTGCAGTGGAACGATCTTTTCTCACTGCAACCTCTGCTGCCTGGGTTCAAGTGATTCTCGTGCCTCAGCCTCCCAAGTAGCTGGGACTACAGGCATGTGCCACCATACCCAGGTAATACTGTTGTATTTTTAGTAGAGACGGAGTTTTTCCATGTTGGCCAGGCTGGTCTCAAACTCCTGACCTCAAGTGATCTGCCAGCCTCAGCCTCACAAAGTGCTGAGATTATAGGCATGAGCCACCATGCCCAGCCAGGACATACTTTAGTATAGGTATGTCCTATGCAATGTTTTGGACATACTTATATTAAATCATTGTTCACTGCTTTGGAAATTCAAACTTGACTGGATGTCTTATATTTTAGCTGGCACCCCTGCCCTGAGTGAGCTCATTTACATGCATGGCATTAAATAGTGTCTATGTGCTCTAGAAGTTAATTCTCCCTAAGCTTCAGGTTTGTGTTCCCAACTTCCTACGTAATATCTTGGACATCTGTCTTCTCAAACTTAATATGTTCCAAAGACAATTAACTCATTTCCACTTTCTCTCCATCGTAGTAATGACACCAATATTCATCTAGTTTTTTAAACCAAATATCTTGACTATGTCCTTGATTCCTGTCCTCTTTGCTACCCTCTCATCAAATCTCTGACCAAGTTCTAAGGTCTGTATATCCAAAGTATATCACACATATGTGTACTTTTCTTCCTCTCTACTGATAGCTTTGTAGGTCAGGCCATCATCATAACTTGCTTGGACTGTGGCCCGAGCATCCTAGATGTTCCCCCTACTTCTGCTACATTTACCCCCTACAAGTCTATGCAGCAGCACTTTTTAATGTGATCTTTAAAAAACGTAAATCAGATCATTTCAATTGCCTGGTTGTTTCAAAGCCCTCTCCACTTTCACTTTCCAGTGGCTTCCTACTGCACTTTGAATAAATCCCAGTTCTTTCTCATGGCCATCAGGCTTCTGTGGACTGACTTCTGCCAGGATCACTCTGCTGACTCATACATACTGCCCCTCCCACACTGCCTTCTCTCTATTTCACTATTTCTATTCCTTTTATTTTGCCCAGAATATGCTTATATGCTCCCCAACCTCCCTCCTCCTTCTCCTCCTCCTACTCTACCTTCTTTTTTCTTTTCTTTTCTTTTTTTGACAGAGTTTTTGCTCTTGTTGCCCAGGCTGGAGTGCAATGGCATGATCTCAGCTCACTGCAACCTCCGCCTCCCGGGTTCAAGCGATTCTCCTGCCTCAGCCTCCCTAGTAGCTGGGATTACAGGCATGCGCCACCACACCCAGCTAATTTTTTGTATTTTTAGTAGAGGCAAGGTTGCTCCATGTTGGTCAGGCTGGTCTTGAACTCCTGACTTCAGGGGATCCGCCCACCTCGGCCTCCCAAACTGTTGGGATTACAGGCATGAGCCACTGCGCGCAGCCCTTCTTTTTCTTCTGATTCTGATTCTTCTATTGATTCTGCTGCTTCTGCTGCTGCTGCTTCTACTGCTTCTGCTTCTCCTGCTTCTGCTGCCTCTGCTTCTGCTGCTGCTTTTCTTCTTCCTCACAGCTGGTTTATTTGGCTGAATCTTTCTCACCATCCTATCTAATGTTTTAGCCCCCCAAACACTGATCAATACTTAAAATTGTCACATTGGTTTATTTAGGTATTCATTTATTTTCTCCCTTCTGGAACATAAATTACATGATGGAAGGACTATGTTACTTCTGTTAATTACTTTATTTATAGCTCCAGAAATAGAACACAGTAGGTACTCAAAACATATTTCCTGACATTCGAATTGGTGATTTTCTAAAACAGATCTGTGCTACTATATAGCAAGAAAATTCCAGGATATAACCCCTTTTTGGATCAGAAAATAGATACAAAATGAAAATATTTCCACTGCCTTTTTTCTCCCACTGGCACTTATGCTACGATGTTGAGGAGGATACATGGGTGGAAAAACAGCAATCAGCACCAAGGAAAACACTGAAAATGGTTTCATCTGCTGGAGGGAGGTGACTCTGTCCCCGGGGAGAAGTCTGGCATATTATAGCCAGTCAGGATCCTGCAATGGATTGTCTTTCAAAGTCAAAATTTAACCTGTCAAGAGGTAGAGAAAATGATTTGTAGCCTGAAGAGATGGCAGATTAATATTTCTGAAAAACTGTGTGCTAAACCCCCTGTAGCTACTTATTTGTTCTACTATTAAGACCTCCCTCCCTCTGGTATAGGAAATGCTTTGCACAAAACAGCGCATTTGCTTTTTATATAGACATTTCCCTTGCCCCAAGATGGGGTTTCCCAGTGAGGTGTAACATTCATTAGCCCCTTTGGACAATGCAGCCTGCTGAAACAGACCTGTGTCTTTATCCCACAGCTGCATTTCAGAGTCAGAATGCACTGGGTGACTGGGGGAAGCTGTGATGTATGAAGCAGAAAGAAGATTGATTTTTCACAAGGTATCTTGTACCTGGAGTAATGAGAGTGGCAAATTACTTGCTCACTGAGCAGACATGACAGGAATGTCATAGAGTAAATTTATATTTATGCAAACACGGTGGGGTCACACAGGTGGGAATCCACAAAGTGACCTTATCTCTGGAAGATATCTCTTTAAATCACCAGTTTGCACTGGGAAGCCTACACTCAGCAAAGGCAGCAAAGGCTGCCTAAAAACCAAATCTTCTAATGAATAATGTAATGCTCATGGTACAGTAAGAAATAGGATAAATTGTGGTGCCATTTTAAAATGAGAGTCTTCAACTCACAGGCTATTTTTGGTGTTCATTTTGGATTTTGTGGCAGTGGAACATAAAATATCTACTTTAATAGAGTAAAAGAAATGGAGTGATTTATCCTAGTCATTGTGGGCCTTTAGAACCTCTCATTTGGTAATAGAAAAAGTCAGTGGTTGATGGGGAAGTGGATAATTTTTCTATGTGTAGGCAGTCCAATGCATAGAGAACTCACAAGTGTCTCAGAACATTTGGGGCAGACAAAACAATTTAAAAAGTCTCTAAATGACAGAAGGATATGGCAGTAGTATTCGGCAAAAACATTTCAAGATTCCCAACATAGCGGTTGGCGCAATTCACTTTAAAAAGCACTGCTGATGCTTTTAGCTGTAAACTATTAAAATAATATTAAAATAATAATTTTGTTCTATTAATGAATTTAAAAGTTTGCTGATTTTGGCAAGTAGTCTTGGATTTAGAACAATTCTTTCCTGCTTGATATCCATTTGTTGATTATTCATCACTCATTTTTTGAGAACCTAGTTTGTGTCTGGAACTACATTAAATGCAAGGTATAGAACAAAGAAACCAGCCAACTTCTCAGGGAGCTCATTCCTAGTAAGCCAGATTGTAAGGTAAAATACATCTAGAGAAAATGAACCCTGTTAAATCTAGTGGTGCAGACTGAGCCATAGGGAACAACGCAGAACAGATTCTAAGAGAGGTGTTATTTGCCCACGTTTGTCCCTTTTGATCTTTTCCTTTAGAATCTTGACTGCAATACTCAATAGGGTCAGCTTAGTCTAGATATCCATAAAAAATAATGGTGACATTCTTTAACTTGGTTCCTTATGAGACAACAGAAAGTACATAATGCTTTCGGTGTGTCATGGACCTTCCTAAGTGCATCATGTGTGTTAGCTAAATCAATAATCATGTTACTTCTATTGGGTAGAGTCCAGCATTATGTCCACTCTGTAGACGGGAGATGAATGGAGAAGGAGTTGTGGTAACTTTCCTAAGCTCACTCAGATAGTTAGCAATCAAGGCCAGCCCATTGCTGCTGGAAACACAGTCTCCAACCACTCCAGGGGAGTTTAGCCTCCAATGGAGAGGGGTAGCATTAAAAAAGCTTTTGTTGAAAATAACTGAGTCCACCTTTTGGAATAAGAAATAGGCTCTGAAATTTACCATGAAATAAACTAATATATGTTTATACTAGAGCAGAACTCAGGTATTCATTTCTGGGACCTTTTCACTAAGAATCTGGCAATTACCACATGTCAGTCCACTCTGAAATTCTCTTCTTTACATTGTTTTGATCCTCCTTTGTGTTCACACCTTTTTGCCTCCTACCTGTACATGTTGGATTGTTGCATCCTTGCTTGGGGACCCTAATTTTTATTCAAAAAGTATTTTTATCTACTTGATCTTTTAAACGCACCCTCTCACTGAATTTTTCAAAGAGTACATGCTTTTAAAGCTTTGCAAAATGTGAGTTGTTATCCTTGGAAACTTGTTATCCTTGTTTTGCCCACTTTCTGTGTTTGTAGGAGAATGTGGCTGTGATTGCTTCCTTCTGGTCTCAGTGTTTTGTGTTTTTCTCCATGTGGTCTCTTCTTTAAGGTACAGTTAAGATTTGAATTTACTTTCAGTGGGAAGGGTCCTGAGTATGACTAGAGCTAATGAGTTTCCCCCTTTGCCAGAAACATGGATCCTCCTGGCTCTAATCACTTAGGGACATTCTGGTTTCATCATAGCATCTTCCTGACCATTGTGTAGGCTACACTTATAAAAGCAATTAGCAGCATGATTTATAGTCCTTTGGGTATATACCCAGTAATGGGATGGCTGGGTCAAATGGTATTTCTAGTTCTAGATCCCTGAGGAATCGCCACATTGACTTCCACAATGGTTGAACTAGTTTACAGTCCCACCAACAGTGTAAAAGTGTTCCTGTTTCTCCACATCCTCTCCAGCACCTGTTGTTTCCTGACTTTTTAATGATTGCCATTCTAACTGGTGTGAGATGGTATCTCATTGTGGTTTTGATTTGCATTTCTCTGATGGCCAGTGATGGTGAGCATTTTTTCATGTGTTTTTTGGCTGCATAAATGTCTTCTTTTGAGAAGTGTCTGTTCATGTCCTTCTATAAAGATACATGCACACGTATGTTTATTGCAGTATTATTCACAATAGCAAAGACTTGGAACCAACCCAAATGTCCAACAACGATAGACTGGATTAAGAAAATGTGGCACATATACACCATGGAATACTATGCAGCCATAAAAAATGATGAGTTCATGTCCTTTGTAGGGACATGGATGAAATTGGAAATCATCATTCTCAGTAAACTATCGCAAGAACAAAAAACCAAACACTGCATATTCTCACTCTTAGGTGGGAATTGAACAATGAGATCACATGGACACAGGAAGGGGAACATCACACTCTGGGGACTGTTGTGGGGTGGGGGGAGGGGGGAGGGATAGCAATGGGAGATATACCTAATGCTAGATGACGAGTTAGTGGGTGCAGCACACCAGCATGGCACATGTATACGTATGTAACTAACCTGCACAATGTGCACATGTACCCTAAAACTTAAAGTATAATAAAAAAAAAAAGCAATTAGCTCACACTTGTGTTTTCTGTATGTCAGGCATGATTCTAAGGGCTTTATCTGTCTTAACTAATTTTGTAATAAGGCTAACCCTACTAGGTAGGAAGCAATATTTTCTACATTTAACAGATAAAAAACTTCAATGTAGGTAATAAGCTGTCAAGGTAGACATAGTACTCCAGACTTCCCTGCCAGTTACTGATGTATTGGAGTCAAATTCAGCTTGTCCTGGGGAGGGGCAGAGAAGTCTTCTTGAAAGAATTAACAGTGAATTTCAATATGGGACTGATTTCCCTACTTGGTCTTCTCTGTGATTCTTATTATTTTTTAGATATGGCAGCCTGCCTAGTTAATCCACATCTATTAGTTGAGCATTTATTATGAGCAGGTCCTGCTCTAAGCACTTTATATATTTTAACACATTTCATCCTCAAAGCCTTTTGAGAAAGCATTATGATTTTCCTTATTTCATAGTTGAATAAATTGAGGCACTCGTTAATTTTGCCCAATGGCCCAAAGTTGGTAAATGTCAAAGCTGGGGTTTGAGTCCAGGAAGTCTGGTTCCCAAGTTTCCCACTATTCAGTACTATCATTACATCGTCAATTATAAGTTGGTTATAATTATAGCTGAATTATGCCAATAGCCCCCCAATTCATGAACCATACTATTTCATCCTTAAGTGCCTGTAAGAGGTAACAGTATAAGACAACAAAAGTCAAAAACCAATCCTTTTGTTAATGTACATCCTTTCAATTAGACTGTAAGCCCTTAGTGATCAACTCCAGCAAGTGGACACAGATGTGGACCACTGGGACCCACACGAGAACTTGCCACTCTGCGGACCCAGTGCTGGAATCAGGCCTAACTTGTGTTCTCAGGATCCATTCTGGTAGGCAAAGCGTGACATTTAGGGATAAGGCAAAAGCAATACAGCCCAGAGTATTCTTATGGAGGGCAGGAGGGATACAAGTGGGAAATCAGTGTGAAGAAACGTTGTCTGGAGGTAGCAAAGAGCAGGACTAAGTTTCAGGAGCAGCATTCCATGGGGCAGTGGCAGTGGGGGCAGGGGGGTGGTAGCGAGAACAAAGTGAGGTCTTTTACAGGTACCCAAGAAAAGGAGTCAGGCCTGGGAAAATGGTAGAAGCTCAATTTCCAGAACTGGGGCAACACATTAGAGCCAGACTGACCAGTGTGATGTAACTCCCATGGTAATGGGTCAGGTCTCCTTAAATTTTTTATTCTGAATTTTAGGTATGAACCTAATGACAAGAGGGAGGTCTGAGCCTAAAAGAGGAGAAGAAAGCTCTGGCTTTGGTAAAAATGCTTTCTTCTGTGCAAAGGGAGGCCTTACCCAAAGCATAGCCTATTAACCAATTATTTGACATAACTATGGGGATTATTTCCAGAGTTGAGTGCGTGCCATTGATTGTACACTCTATTTTCCTTTCTGATTGGTTCTTGTGATGGAGTGAAGATAGTACCCTTAGACATGCTGTCTAATGTGCACAGGAATAAAAAACCTGGAAGGAGAAGAGAATCATTTTTTCTCCTATTCCATCTTTCTTGGAGGATCTGTCATAGTATTCTCTTTAATCAGAAAGTGGAATGAAGCCTGTTCAGCCATGATGTAACACCGACACTCACGTCACTGGCGTGAATGGAGGAAAAGAGCAATGCTTATAAGTTCTAATAGCAGAGAACTTCAAATTATTTCTGTTTACCATTGGGGACAATTATGTAGTTTTCCAGCATACCATTGCCTTCTGAATTATATTTTAATGCAGTGATCAGTTTTCATTCTTCACACAGAAAGAGTTAGTCCAGAATCAGGCAAACAGCAAAGGTGAACTGAGGTGGAGGACACATGCTCCCCAGATGGTCCACAAATTGGATAGTGTCCCAAAGTAGATTAAAACTTAATTGTATTATCATCTACATTTGATGTTTGTACAGTGTGGTGTCAGCAGATGGTGTCAAGGGTTCTGTGAACTTGATTATTTTTATACAATTCTCAGTATGGAAAGTGTGGGACTATGTTAGATAAATGAAAAAGGAATGAAGCTGCCCTGCACCCTGGCACTATGTCATTCTTCTCCCTTTGTGCAAAAGAGCAACTATTGTGAATGCCAAGAACTCCTTCTCTACTCTTTTATCTGACGCATAGCATGCCCACTAGTATTGCTGTAGGATGATATGCTAGAAGGAACAAGAGATTTGTAATCAGAGGACCTGGATATGGGTCTTAAAGCTGTCCCTTTTGGGTGTGCTCTGACTGAGCAAGTCACTTCATCCCTCTGAGCCTCAGTTTTCTTATTTTTATAATACAGGGAAAAACATCTTACTCACTGTATTGAATTATGACTGTGAAAATATTTCATCCATTTGAAAGAGGTTTGTAAAAATAAGAAACTCTAAATTTAGATGCTTCCTACAGTAGAAACAAAGAAGTTTATTTAGCAAGTATTGTCTTACTTCAGTTAAGAAATTTGGCTGAATTTTAATAATGGAATGGAGTGAAAAACTCATAAAAGAAGGCAGGCTTCCACATTTGAAATGCTTTTGTTTTTCTTATTTTATTTAGCTTAGATATTAATTATCTTTTAGCTTCTTTTTTCTTTTTCTCTCCCTCAAATTATTCTTCATTTTATTGTAACCCTCATCATAGTACAAACATATTGCATAGTAGTTTTAAGACACAGTGCAAATTGGTAGCCTAGAGAACATATTTTTGTCATGCTTTCTTTTGTATTTATATGGAGTACCATAGTGATTCATAAATGTATAGTGAAGGTCTTTCTGAAACAAATTATAAACTCTGTACTTTATTGATACAAATCTTTCCATTTAGCATCTCTAGTTTTTAAGATAGCTGGATTAACGATAAATTCTGAGAAATGCAATGCACCTAATATTGAGAGAGGCATTCACCGGTGTCCTACTAAAAAAGAGCGACTACAAATAATCATCAAAGAGTTTCTTTCTATTTATGTTAACTGGAAATGGTAGTGGTGTCATATGAGCTACTGTCAAATATATTACCCAAAGAGCTCGTTGATGGGCTTTCTTTGGAGATGTTTGATCATCAAATGATGCAAAGGGTTTGTATAGATTTTACATGTTTAGGCTGATGTCCTTTGCAGTCCCCCAGTGCCTCGCTGGTACCTACTACATTAAGGGAAAACACTTCCATGTCGCCGTCAGCATTCTAAATATTCTGGGTCAGCGCCATCGTTTCAAGCTTACCTCTTATTCCTCCGCTTAATACACTTTAGCGTGGAGCCAAATGAGATTACTTGCCATTCATACTCTTTGCATGTTCTAAATTCTGTGTCTTTCCCCAGCCTGCTCTTTTGGCTTGACATTACTTTCTTCATATCTCTCTATATTAAAATCTTACCAATATGTTAAGGTTTAGTTCAACTATTTCCTACTTCAGATCAGGGTTCAACATTTATTGAGGACCTACTTAGTGTAAGAAATAGAGTACTTCACATATGTTATCTAATGCAACAATCAAAACTGTGGAGTAACTGGTATTCAGAAAAATCTGTTCATTCAGTCATGAGTTTTTCCAACTCAAGGATTTGAGAAGGTCAGAATATTGGTAGTTTTCTATTTTTTTATTTCATAGATGGAAAAACTGAGTTAAAGTAATTTGCTTCAGTTCATAGAACCTGATTTGGGTGAATACATCATTAGACTCAAACTTGGAGTTTTGACTACTGGTCTGGTGCTTTGCATTATTGGTCAAAATTTCATGAAGTCACCTTTTGACTCCTTAAATTTGGTATCTCTTTCTAAGCCACTATAATCCCTTCTTCAATATTCATACATCATTCTCTTACTTGCATGAGCTCACAAATCTTTTATTCCTTTATTACAAGTCCTTTGAAGGAAGCAAGAAACTGGGGCTTGCTGACCTATCCCTTATAGTGTCCACTGTGGGGCCTTGCATAAAATAAGAACTTCGTAATAGCTGTTTTGGATGAATATACCATGTTTCCACAAATCAAACTTTGAGTAAGCAGCCGCATTTTCCTTATGTTTGCATGATTGCAAGTGTGTCTGTGGTGACTAATAATTACTATATTCCAATGACACATGTGTAGTAAATAATGCCTTTACTCTGTGGTTTCAGGCTAAGTGCCTCTTTGAATTTAATTAAGGTAATGCCATTATATTCTTTTCTTTATGAAAATTAATGAAAAACAATACATTATCACAAACTTGTAATCTACTTACTAGCTGAAAGATGAATTTTTTTTGTTTACTATGTTATCATCAAACCCCAAATTAAAAATTTACAACTGTAATCAGATTATGGGCTCCATGTGTGCAGGCAGGGACCTTGTCATTTTCACAGCTATATTGCCAGTGTTTAAAGTAACAGTAGATGTTTAATAACGTTTGTTAAATGATCAGTTAGGTTGTAGTTTCCTTGGAGGATGAACCTTTGGCTTTGTAGATAATATATTTTTAAGATTAAAACTTGAGAGACACTTTTTTAATCCTTGCAACAACCTTGTGAGGTAGTTAAGGCAAGTCATATTACCTTTATTGTACAAAATGATCAACTGAGGCTCAGAGGAATTAAAGGATTCCAGAAATCATCTACCTAAACAGGTGACCAAGTCTTGAATCCAAGTATTCTTACTCCAAATCCTGCATTCTTTCTGTGTTATGTAGTAGGTAGAATATATAAATATAGCATAGAGTATTCACAAGGAAATAAAGTGAGGCGGTTTTTTAAGGTGCTTTCTGGAAAGTTATATGTAATAAATTGGAGTGAATTTGACATTTGAAAGACGATACCAAGAAAGAAGCAATGGTACTGATCTTGGTGAAAGAGTCTGAATTTGAGCCAGTTCTGAATTGTCTTTTAAGCCTTACAGTAACAGAAAAACTAAGCACAGCCATTTTATTCTCCTTTTACCTCCATTTCTCAGCTTATGTGAACCATAAGCTATTTAAGTCTTCAGAATTTTACCAAAGTATTCTAAATATCCTTTTGTACTCTATTTTCCCCCCAATCAACTGAGAAAACCAGCTGACTTCTTTGGTATTTTTATACCTTGTGCTTTATTGTTTTCCTCCAGTGTTTTTCTCCCGACGCCAAAGTGCAGATGCTGTGATTGCTACTTCTAGCTCAAGACATCTGTTTTTCAGTAGGTCCTTTTCTTTCTTTCATTCCCAATTATAATCTTTATGTGCCACTGCTAAAGTGTAGAGTAGAAACATCAGATCCTGTCCTTTCAAGAATAAATACTCTGTTTTTAGCCTGTGTTTTAGCCTCTGGATTCTCCCATGGAAGGCAGTTTTTAAGTTGGATTAGTACATTAAACGTCTTCAAATCTAAGGACTTTAAAGCACTCTTATAAGCACAGTTATTTCATATAATGGCACTCATTTGAAGTCCATAGGTCTAGGCAAAATTTTCAATGTGGGTAAATAAGAAGCACAGAGAAGATAACCAAGATTTTTTTTTTGTATTCATATGTTCCCTTCTTGCTTTTTTTTTTCTGATTCAAGTCAGAGTTTACACAGTCCATGAGTAGAAAGTGCTACCTACTCAGAAATAAGATGGCTTCGAACTGAAGCCACACCCTGGTGGCCCCCAGGCTGTATTTGACATGCAGAATGTTCTTTAAAATGAGATTAATTGATAACATTTAAAAATGATGAATTTCAGATATGATTCTGGATTTCTGGCTCCTGAAGGGAAAAGGGAGGGTGGGGGTGGTATGAGGCTCTCCTTCCCATGTGTCCTCAATGGGCTGAAGCAGAAAGTTTCCTGGAGGTGAATTGGACAGTGAGATGATTGAGCCCTCACTTCACTGACTGGGCTGTATGGCTCCTACCAGCCCCATCATATATTTGTAGTCAGTTTTTTCTGTACAGTCATAGGCTGCATACAATGTTTTGGCCAATGATGAACTGTCCGTACAATAGTGGTCCCATAAGATTTAATATGCTATTTTTACTGCACCTTTTCTATGTAATTAGATATGCTCAGACACACAAGTACCATTGTGTTACAGTTGCCTACAAGTTTGTGACCTAGGAGCAATAGATTATCCTAAATAGCCTAGGTGTGTAGTAGGCTGTACCATATGGGTTTGTGTCAGTACACTCTATGAGGTTCACACATTAAAATTGCCCAATGATGCATTTCTCAGAATGTATCCTGATTACTGAGCAATGCATAACTGTATATATAATATTATATTGGCAAATAATCAGCTAAATTTATTTCTAGCCATGTGTAATTCCTCTCTTGTTTAGCATTTAAAACAAACCCATGGCCAAGGCATCTTTTTTCATAGGCCCAGAAAAAAAAATTTAGTAGGAATTATTTTAACATATTCTATTTTATATTATGGA
This sequence comes from Homo sapiens, assembly GCF_000001405.40. NCBI lineage: Eukaryota > Metazoa > Chordata > Mammalia > Primates > Hominidae > Homo > Homo sapiens. The sequence goes on along the minus strand of NC_000012.12, from coordinate 61,881,057 downwards.
AATATGACATTAGAATTGTTTTCATTATCAAACTCTTTTTTCTTTTTGATAGTTGGCAGAGCTAGCTGAGGGTTTATTTTGGAAAAAAAAATGAATTGTTTTGTAGCTGGAGGTATGGGGAAGGGGGGTCCCCCGGCAGTAAACTCCCGCCGCGGGTGGGCTGAGGGCTAGGGCTGAGTCTCAGGTGGGTCTCCTGTTCCCTGTGCTCCCCTGCACAGTGGCCTCTCTCATGGGCTCTGGGGCAGCTGCAGGGGGGAGTAGGGTGGGAGGGGCTGCCATGGCAGTTCACTCAGGCAGGACGTCAGAGGACTCAGACACAAGCTTCCCATCGCGGGTCTCGATCTTCACAACCATAGCCCTGGTGGAGCTGGTATGGCTGAAGTAGCTGGAGCCTGCAACAGAGCCAAAGCTAGAGCTCAGGCCATAGCTGAGGAGGGGGGCTTGTGAGGCCCCCATAGGCCGAGCTCAGCCCTCCTGCGTAGCCACTGGTGGTCTTTGAGTAGATACTCATGTTCTGCATCCTAGACTCTTGCCAGCTCTCTTCACCCTCCAGCAGCTTCTTGTAGGTGGCAGTCTTGATGTCCAGGGCCAGCTTGACATTCATCAGCTCCTGGTATACACGCAGCTGCTGTGCCATGTCCTGCTTGGCCCACTGCAGGGCGGCCTCCAGCTCCAACAGCTTGGTGTTGGCATCCTTAATGGCCAGCTCCCTGCGCTTCTCGGCATCTGTGATGGTGGCCTCCAGGGAAGCCCTCTGGCCTTTGAGGCCCTTGATCTCAGCCTGGAGCCAGCTGACATTCTGGTTCATCTCGGAGATGTCAGTCTTTGTACACCTCAGGTTATCCCCGTGCTTCCTGGCCAGCATCTGCAGGTCCTCATACTTGATCTGGTACATGCTGTCAGCCTTAGCCCAGCTGCAGTTGGCGATCTCCTTATACTGGGCCTTGACCTCAGTGATGATGTTGTCCATGTCCAGGGAGTGGCTGCTGTCTATGGACAGCACCACAGACGTGTCCGAGATCAGGGACTGCAGCTCCCAGATCTCCTCTTCATGCAGCTGCCTGAGGAAGTTGATCTCATCAGTCAGCCCTTCCAGGTGAGACTCCAGCTCTACCTTGTTCTTGTAAGCTTCATCCACATCCTTCTCGATGAGGACAAATTCATTCTCCATCTCTGTATGCTTATTGATCTCATCATGGTACTTCTTCTTGAAGTCCTCCACCAGCTCCTGCATGTTGCCAAGCTCTGCCTCCAGCTTCAGCTTCTCCTGGCCCAGAGTCTCCAGCTGCCACCTAAGGTTGTTGATGTAGCTCTGGAACATGTTGTCCATGTTGCTCTGAGCCATCTTCTGCTGCTGCAGGAGGCTCCACTTGGCCTCCAGCATCCTGTTCTGCTGCTCCAGGAACCGTACCTTGTCGATGAAGGAGGCAAACTTGTTTTGAATGTCTTGATCTGCTCCTTCTCCTGGGTGTGCAGAACCTGGCCTGGATGTTGGGGTCCACCTCCAGGTTAAGGGGCCTCAGCAGGCTCTGGTTGACCATGACAGCAGTGATCCCTCCAATACCGCTGGCCCCGCCAAAGCCTCCACCCAGGCCACCCTGGAAGCTGCTGCTGCCCACTCGGGAGAAGCTTGAGGAGCTGATGGGGGCACCGGGACCACTCGTGTAGGAAGCGGCTGCTGAAGGCCCGGGGGCCAGAGGTGGATACCTTGTAGGACTTCTGGATCACCTTGATGGACATGGTGGAGGCAGGAGTGGAAGCAGGTGGGCCCCAACCAGGCGGAGATTCGAGAAGGAGTGGAGAAGCTGCTGCTTCTTCATTATCAGACTTTTAATGGAAAGAACTTTGGGCCTGAAGCTGGAAGAATGTTTTAAACATTTTTTTGAGACAGGGTCTTGGCTCTGTTGCCCAGGCTGGAGTGTAGTGGTGCCATCACGTTTCCCTGCAGCCTCCAACTTCTGTCCTTATGTGATCCTCATGCTTCAGCCTTCCAAAGCGTTGAGCCACAGCATGAACCACTGTGCCTGGTGGATAACTGGTTTTGAGTTCTGGCTGTGCTAATTACTAACTTTGACTTTGAACAAGTCACTTACCTTCTTTAAGCCTGCTCCCTCATCTCTGCAAGAGGGGTGATTCCATCTGCCAGCCTCATGATCATGTGAACCAAGGATGGTCACAGATGTAAAAGTTCTTAGTATACCATATGGCACTATGCAAAAGTAAGATACTTTGTGGGGAAATAGAACTATACTGTATGGTTTGTCAAGGAGCTTAGCTTCTATTTACAGATACAAGACTTACATATAATATAAACAACAATTGAAAGTATTCTACTGCCTACAAGAGGTAGAGACATTAAATGTTATTGGGCATAAGAAAATGTGTGTGATCATGCAGAGCAACCAAGCTCAAAATTAAAAGGACATATGTAGTGTTTCTTCCATCTATTTATTTATTCAACAAATATTTATTCTGCACACACTCTGTGATAAGAAACATAAATGCTGGAAATAAAGTAGTGAAATAGAAGGCATAGGTTTGTGCTCTTATAGTAGATTGTATTCTAGTAGGGGAAGAGAGAGACAATAAACAAGTAAGCAAATAGGTTAATACTATTTCAAATACTGTTCAGTGCCACGAAGAAAATAAATGTAGGTTATATGGTAGAGCCAATGAGCAGAGCTGTTCCCATTACGACTCTTGCCATTTTATCTGTTTTTCTTCATTTTTATTGTTGTAAAATAGACATAACATAAAGTTTACCATTGTAGCCATTTTTTGTACAATTCAGCAGCATTAAGTACATTCACAATGTTGTACATTACCACTTATCTATTCCAGAACTCTTTTAAAAGTCATCCTGTACAAAAACTCCATATTCATTAAATAGTAACTCTCTATTTCTCCCTCCCTTCAGCTCCTGGTAATCTCTATTCTACTTTCTGTCTCAACGAATTTGACTATTCTAGGTATCTCTCATGTAAGTAGGACCACACAGTATTTGTACTTTTGTGTCTGGCTTATTTCACTTAACATGTTTCCAAATTCATCTATGTTGTAATTTCTTTTTAAGGCTGAATAATATTCCACTGTGTGTGTATATATATGTATATGTATGTGTGTGTGTGTGTGTATATATATATATATATATATAAAAATCACAATTTGTTTATCCATTCACCCTATTACCTAATTTAGTATGATTTGGTAATAAGTCTAATTTATACACTACTATACAGTTTACAGAGTACTCTCATGTCCATTGTACATTGCAAGAAGAGTGTTAACTCAGGGATTACTGGTTAAATTCTTGCTAAACTGTAGTGATATCTGGTACTTGTTTTGTGTAGTATTATATCTGATGTGTCCTGAATCCTTCTTCCTAGCAATTGAAGTAATGGGATACAAATTGAGAAGAAATAAGGTCAGTAGGTTTTAAGCCAATATGAAATGACGATGGCTGTAGTTTGGACTAGTTCTTCATATCCCCATAATGTAGGGCTTTCCTCAGGGTGTTCTTTGGAGAATTTTTTGAAAATAGACCCAGGTAATAGGCTTCCACCACCACCTTGGGGCATAATTTCACAATAGAATACATCTCACCAGTGGGAAAATTTCTCACGATTGCACATTTAACCACTTGACTGCTGCTTTGCCATATGATTGCATACTGCAGGAAAATACCTGCATCATGACTGAGGAAACCAAATTCATCCATAAGGAAAATGTTAGGGGTGGAACAAAGCGGCTGATGGCAAATAGAAGTTAGAGTAGTGTGTATTATGTGACCAATTTTATTCATAAAGGGAAAGAGTAAAAAAGTGAGATTCTAAAAGCTACTGAAATCTTATTGCAAAAAGAGCAAGTCAGAAAGCAATATGTTATAGAGGCTTACTGTAGACTGAGGTTTGTAGCACAGAGTGGTTGCTGCTTTGATTCTTAATCAGTTGAGTTCTCAGTTGCTTAAGCTGTTAGCTGAAAGCTGAGTATGGTACTTTGTTATATTAAAATCTGGTAATGTTCTACCTTTCCCTCAAAGACAGCTCGTTAAAGTATATGAAGTAATGTACAACTATCAAACACATATAAGGAGTGTGAATAGAATGTAGTTATAAAAGTGTGTGGGTCCCAGCATCGCTGTCTCTTTCATTGTGACGTTGCTGTGCTCAGGGATTTAACGCTAGTGCACATAATTGTCCAAAAATTTTGCTTAAACTATTATTCTCAGAGAGAAGTGTGAATTCAAGTGAAGTTGATTAAACAGTCTATTCTTGGACTCTTTTCTTTTGGCTTCTTTTGAGAACATAGAATAGCATTCTTTTTGACACATAACTACTATCTTTTTTTTTTAATGGTTTGTTTGCTTTTGTAATTTTTGATGGTATGGTTGAAATATGTTGATGTTGGTGCTTTAGAAGGGATGGTTATATGAGCAGAGGCCTTCGGATATGCAACTTTAGCTCTTCAGTTCACCTACCTTTGAGAACAATCTGTGTTGAGGAGGAGGTTCCATGTTTTAATGGTTTGCTGGTTAAGCTGTTTTGCTCTCTTGAATGCGTGCTGTTAACTAGCTAGTGCTGGCTGGCATATTGACCATACTGGATGGTTAAATGCATAAAATGGAGAATCCTTCATATATGTAGGTGTTACTATGGTGAGAATAAATGTTCTTGGACCACAAACTTTATCCTAACAAAGAACTCTTAAAGATTGTTTTCGTTGTTCTCACTCACTTTTTCACTCCTTTGCCAGCATGCAGGAGAAAGAGCTGAGGTGAAGTGGATTTCTTCTGTGCCTCATTTCCCAAGAGAACAGGTACACCAGAACTAAAGGAATGAAAGTCTTAACTAGTCCCAATGATAATAGACTGAAGAAATATTTAGAACTGGTTCCATTACCATAGCTTATTTGCATTGATAAAAGCCTTATTATTTGCATTATAAAAGTCTTATTAAAAAAGAAAGAAAATGTTTTATTATGAATATTATATACAGAATTAGATATTATGTGCAGAGCTATCTCTCTTTTTACCATATATAATCACAAAATTAAATATAAGGCTTATGATTTAGCCATCTATAAAAGGCTACATATAATTGGAATTTTCCTTTCTTATTCTATATAATGGTCCTCCACCTAGCAGTTGTGAAATGTAGTCATCTCCAGATCATGCAGGAGTGGAAGCTTTGTGAATTGTTTACAGATCTACAAGTCAACTGCTTGTCTCCTACCACCTGTTTCAATTCATAGTGTGACATAGTGCCATTGTGTTAAAACGGTAGGAGAAGGTAATCCAATTTTTTCTAATTGTTACTACTTTTGTCTGAAGTTTTTGTAGGAGCAGAGGGCAAATATAAAACAAGGTTTAGTGTTGTCTAGATCTCAATTATCCAGCCCTGTCCTTTACAAACATCATCATGATTTGGTGGACACATACATTTCATATTAAATTGCAAAAATTAGATTTATTTTCAATTTAGTAGCTCTAACATATTTTATATTTTAGCTTTGTTAGACTCAAATTTTTGATGGCTTATTTTTTGATATAATATATATCTTGTTACAGTGGTTCAGTATGAAATCTCACTTTTGGTCATACTATATAACCGTACCTTATTTTCCTTAATCTTTTTCTTTGGGAAAAACAGATTTGGACCCTGGAGGAGATAGATAATACTATAAAACAATAAGCAATTGATAAGGAGAGGAGCACTGAATAAAAAACAGAAATGCAGAGAAAGAAAGTAGTTTAGGGTTAAGACTGAAGTGGAAAGAGATACAAAATTTAAATATTATGGATGCACCCTCCTCAAACTATCTACAGTCACTGAGAAAAGAGTAAAATGCCTCAACAGGGCACGTGAGAATGAAAGACATACCTTTAGCTTTCGTTACATACATTACAATATTATATGTAATAATATTTGTACATTCTTTATGTGTGCATTGAGACTCGATGTTAAGTAAAGTTGACAAATTTATTTAACTATTATTTGTTGGAATCCAGGATCACATTTGGTTTTTCTGACTTATAAGCCCATGCTCTGAGAGAAGGACCTTTGAAGAAACAGTAACACCTCTGATTTTTCACATCTTTCTTTAAGTTCAAACTCTCCCGTGATTTCTTGTTTACTCTAATGGCATTCCTGTTCGAAAAAAAAAATAGACAACATTCCCATTTTATAGACAGAAAGGAGGGCAAGTGATTCACTTGTAATAATAGATGCATGGTGATGTAGCTTAGCCTTGATCATTTCAGGTGTCTTTCTAGGGCTCTGAAAAATCGTAAATGATTGCTTTATTTTTGCCTTACAGCATTGTCTTCTGTTTTGGATGTTAGAGCTTGGCACATTGGAATATTGTGTTTCTGGAGAAATCATTTAAATGATAATACATTTCTATTCCATATCATTTCAATCTGTGGGTGGTAAAGGTATTTGCACAAATCCAACAATTTGACTATACATGGCTAGGCATAAAGCAATAGTGCTCCTGAATTTTTGTGCCCACCAGAATTGCAGTATTGTGGGGAAATGAATGAAAGTATAAAATTTGGGTGAAGGAAGCAGATAATTGTGGTTCTTAAATGAGGCTTGTGTTTGTTGCCAGAAAATCCTTAGAAACCAATGCAGCTTTCTTGGGTAAATCTCCAGGGTTGACTTCTTTACTGAACAGAATTAAGAGCTGGATTCATTACAAAACACTGATACATCAAACTTAATGAGCATTTTAAAACAAGTGTTTCAGTTCAGACAAAGTTTAGAAACCGATTAAAGTTTCAAAGTCTGTGTTTTGAAGTTGTCTAAGAAAATATGACCTAGTTAGGCTAATCATATGACTAGCTTGTAAAAATACAACTCTATAAATTTTTGATTATAACTTACAATATAGGAAATGTAAATACTAGTTCTTCAATAGGAAAGTTCTGACACACATAATGTGCCTAGTGAATGTGGCTTAAAATGCCATCATGTGATAATACTTGATATATGATATGAAGTGAAAAGAAAAACTGTAGTAATTAAAATGATTAAAATCAACCACCTCAGTTTCTGGATGATATAACACACAACATACATGATTATATGTATGAGTTACATTATTATCTCCTAATTTGTTACTGTATACCCTTTATATATACAACTTACATGAGTCTCTTGTGCTTTAATATCCATATATACCTATTTAATCTCTATGAATACCGATGGCACCATCCACCTCAAAGACAATTGCTATTTCAGTAATAACTTGGATATTCTATATTCAGGCATAGTGTCATAAAATTCTAGTCAGGTTAGACATGATTTTGGATAAAAGCAACAGTGTAGTCAAACTTGTAGCTCTCGATGCCCTATTTAGTAGGTTATTTGTATTAATCTATTAGTAAGAACAAAGAATGGTTTAGTTTTGGAGGATACATTTAATTTCTATAAAAATAAGGAAACTAAAGGAATAATAACAATAATAGTTTATACTTGTAGAATGCTTTACATTTACAAAACTGTTACTTATTTTTTGACCTCATTTGAAAATTAACTTTCATAATCTACGCTCACTTTGGTATCTTTAACTCCTCCCTTTCTTTTGGCTCTGTTGACTTGTTTAAATCTCTCTAGCCACCACTCCATCTTTACTTTCCTTCTCTGCATGTTTCTTGAAAGAGCAGCACACCAGCATGGCACATGTATACATATGTAACTAACCTGCACATTGTGCACATGTACCCTAAAACTTAAAGTATAATAATAATAATAAAAATTAATAAATAAAACTTGTGCAACCTCAAAAAAAAGAGTAATCTAGTCTTTGTTTCCATTTCCTCATCTCCCACTCATTCTTCTCACTTCTATTGCTCCACCAATATGTACTGTTCTTCACATCTCCATTTCTAGTTGTTAATATAAAAGAAGTAATAAAACTTCTCCATTAAAAAACTCACATCTTTTATTCTGATTATATAATACACCTATTTCTTCATTCTACATCTCTTGATGTTCCATGATCCAGGTGATGTTCTATGTGCTAGAGCAGTGACTTACAGGCAGGATCTCTGCTCTCATGGAAATTACATTTTAATGGGAAGAAGGAGAAAATAGACACTTATACAAATGTATAAAATAGTGAATAGAATAATTTTAGATTAGAATAAATAGAGAAAATGCTACAGGCTATTTGGAGAGAGAGAGAGAGAGAGAAACTGCAGGGTGGGTCTCTCTGGACTCTGGAGGGCAGGATGGTCATAATAATCTCTGTGAAGGTGATTATGAAAAGCAGACCACTACACAAAGACAGGTGGGAGAACCTTCATGGCAGAATTAACGTTTAGGGTAAGGTCTAGATTTAGCTTGGCAGAGGGGATAGTGGGAGAGCCAGTGTGCTTGAAGCGTAGGGAACCTGGGGTACAGGGATGTGAAATGAAGTCAGAGTGGTTGAGAGGGAAGATGATGTTGGTTTTTTTCTCCAGTAAGAGATTTATATTTTATTCTAATTTCAATGAATAGGTAAATTCCGGGATTTTAAGCAAGGTATAAGGCCAGTGGGGCAATGTGATTTGATTTACATTTTATAATGATCATTCTGGTTCCTATGAGGAGAAGGGGCACGTGACTAATCCACCGCGCATTCTACCCTAAGGGCGAATTTTTTTCGAGATTTGTCTGTTAAGGTCCATGCCATTGTAACTAGTTAACACCAAGTTTGTCCGGTATTTAGATCAATGTAAAGAATTTTCCTAAAAAGACTTAAAAAAATATTCCCTTATGTGATCTCTATTTCCACAGAAGTGTCTTAGGCTCAAGGGGAGGTCAGGTGGTTGGATTCTAAGCCTCCACTTTTATCTTTTTTATACATCTCCTTTATACTATCTCCTTTATTCCCCCCCTTTTTCCTTCCAGGTTTTTGTTTATAGACCAGTTAAACTTACTTTCTGTTTTCATGGGGAAATGATTTTTCTCATAGCATAACAGTTTTTTATTTCTTGCTTTTAACAATTAAATGGAGTGCGGTGGCGCAGTATGAGCTCACTGCAAGCTCTACCTCCCGGGTTCGTGCCATTCTCCTGCCTCAGCCTCCCGAGTAGCTAGGACTACAGGCGCCCGCCACCACGCCTGGCTAATTTTTGGTATTTTTAGTAGAGACAGGGTTTCACTGTGTTAGCCAGGATGGTCTCGATCTCCTGACCTTGTGATCCACCCACCTCGGCCTCCCAAAGTGCTGGGATTACAGGCATGAACAACCGCATCTGGCCAATTAAATGTACTTTTAACATTAGTGGGATGAGAAGCGTTTCAAATAATCCAAAAGTCTAAAGTTCCGTGTACATAAGTGAAATATGTAACAGAAGAGAAGAGTGGGAGAAAGTCCAGGAGATTTAATCGTCAGTCCTCCACTTCGACAACTTTTCACTTCAACATCCTTCACTGCCAGGGTTACCATTTCTCAGTTTCCTCTTTTCCCTTGTGCTCCTTGCAAGCTGCTGCTGCCTGGGAGCGATTTCAAGGTTTCCTCCTCTATGTGTATTTTCCTTTAGTTTCCAGTTTCTTTTCACTGTTTTTGCTTTTTGCAAAATTCACTTAAATTTTGCCGTTTTCACAAATGAATGTGGCAGTTCTTTTTTCTTTTTGTGTTGGAGCCAGGACCACATTCAGTATTTCTGTGCTGGGAAATTTTATACTGAGACCTGGTGGTTAGCAAATAGAGAAAGAAGGCAATGTCCCTCCTTTTGTGCTGTCCTGCAAGGTAAAGAAGAAATGTACATTCAGCTTTTTTTCCTTTAGGTGTTTTTCTCTGGTATTGCCCCTTTGTCAAAAATCCTTGATCACTCTATTATGTTTCACTTTGTTCAAACTTGATTGTTATTTAAAAATCAGAATAAAACACATTGAAGATTGGATTTCATTTTTCTCTTTTCCTTCTCAGTTTGCTCTGTCTTGTTGCATGCCCCCCCGACTCTTTTTCACTTCCTGTTTGTCATCTAGAGAGATGACACACACTTCCTTCCTCTCATGTTAACCACTATGCAATATATTTGTCTGTAAGGCACCACCAACATTCAATAAGTACTTATTTACCAGCTATTAAGCTGGACTTTGGATGAATCCTACAGATTCACAAATGTATGGGGCACAGTTGCTGTCTTTAGGAATCTTATATGAGAATAATGGTTGAATATAAGTAGGTGGATTATAATATGGTATGGCAAGTGGCTGTTGTGCAGAATGAAGGGCACTCAACACGGTCTTGGGCAAATCCTATAGGAGGAATTCTAACCTGCCCTTCTACTAGTGAGTAGAAGTTACCCATTTTGAAGAGTAGGTGGGAATGGAGGGAATAGCTAACATATTTCAGGTGGCATGGTGGGTAAGATTTAGCTGGAAGTCATTGGAGAAATTTTCTAGGGTTAAAAATAGACTGTGAGTGTGTGTGGAGAAAAAGATGGGACAAAATGACATAAAATGAGATTAGAGACATAAAGAAAGGATCAAAGCTTAAAAAAATATTCTGCTGAAGGATTTTCATACCCTACTAAGAATGATGGCCTTCTGTTCTGAACAGAGAAGGGAATCATGTTAAGGTTTTAACCAAGTATGTTTCATGCTCATAAAGACATATTTGGCCATAGCATAGAGAATGCATTACATTTAGTCAACAAAATTTATCAGGCACTTACTAAATACTGCAAATATAGTTGTGAAAAAGACAGACATAGGAGGGCAATTTGGTGGCAGATGTCCAGTTAGGATGCTGTGGCCAGTGAGAAAGTTTGGTGGTCTGTATTGCAGTGTTGCAGTAGTAATAGGTATACAAATATACATTTGAGAGATATTCTGGAGGTAGTATTGACGGAACATGGTAATTAACTGGACAGGAGTGACGATGTTACGAAAAGAAGAAAATACCAGTCCTTACAGCCTTCCAAATGTTGACCTGCATTCTCCTTTCTTTCTTTACTTTGACAGCCTGGCAACTTTGTGGGTGCTTCTGTTTCCATATGTCTAGTTATCAGTTTGACCATCTGTCAGTTCTGTCATCCCATTGGGTGGGTGTACAATGGTATGGAAAAATGATGGGTCATTGCCCTTGTAGCAGAGGCCATGTGCTAAGGAGAAGCTATTATCAAGAATTATGCTAAGCAGCTCTTCCTGTCAGATGAGTTTTGCTGTTCATTCTGTTATATGATATGCAGTACAATAATGTTGCAGGGATTAGATGCAGAGGGGAGTCAGGATGGTTGAAAAAATGTAGAAAAAAAGAGAAGATTCTTAAAACAAATAGTAGGAGTGCTGAGAGAGGAAACAAAGGCAATAGAACGGAAGATTTAAAATGACATTTGGTTTACTGAGAATAAGTTCCAAACCAGGTTATTGTTATAGCTCAATATTTCTCTAAGAGGCTTCCTGAGGACACTAGTGTGCTCTGTTACACTGTGGAGGAGGTTCTTGGAAAATGTTTCTAAAAGGCATATTTGGCAATATGCCTCTTGTTAAAAAAATCTAGTTAAATTGGTTGAACTCACAATGTTACAAATATATATCCCCCCTTTATTTTTCACGAATACTTTAATAACAGTCTGTGGAACTGGTGCCTCACAGAGTGAATTTAGGAAAATGCTAGTCTGACTGAGTAATGATTACAGTAATGGCTAGCGTTTATTGAGCATTTATTATTTGCTATGCATAGTGTTAAACCTTTTACACAGACTATTTCATTTAATCTTCATACCAACAACACTGTTAGGTACATATTATTATCTTCGTCTTACTGACAATGAAAATAATCTGAATTATTAAGTAATTTGTTCAAAGTCACATAGTCAGCAGGAAGCCTGGTTTTAAACCCCAACAGTCTGATCTAAAAGCTCAAATACCTATCTTCTTGTATGTTATCTTTGACATGTCATGAGGCTAAGGTCCACAGAGAGTTTACAGCTGTTGGTGCTACTGAAACTCCCTTCAATCATCTCACGAATGGACAAGCCTCCCAAACACTTAAGGATCAAACATATACAAATGACTCACTATTCTCTAATATCATAGCCATTGAATCCTTAGTACATGTTTGTCAGTGGGCCAGGAATTTCACATACATTATCCTATGCTACAGTAGAAGACAGTGCAGCAGGAGATCCAGAAATTTGCAGAGGAAACTGAAGCAGGAGACCCAAAAAAAGTAAAGTCAGGTAAAGGCCAAATAATTAGAAGCCATTAAAGTTTGGACTCAAACCCCGGCATTCTGACTTAGAAGTTCATGTTTTTATTCTTAAAATATTGCCATCTAAACATTTGAAGTAATCCCTATAACCTCCTCAAGCTAAGAAATGTTAACATATATCTGTATTAAAATACATAATATATAATTTATTTTTTCATGCATTTAGTCATACATGAAAAAATGTCAAGGACTCCTCTTTGAAATTGTATAGCCACCTGTTCTACCTTTGAGTCACATTTTTGGAGATAGAATGTTTTGGAGGTAAAAATGTACAAAAAAGGGTAACCTAGAAAATACAAGAGGAAAAGGAATCAGGCTACATCAGGAAGTGACCCCAGGAAATTGCTTTAAAAGCAGGGCAGGCAAGAATCTTCAGGTCAAGCACAGTGGAGTTCAGTATAGGATCTGAATCGGAAAGTCACAGGGTGACAGACATATATTTAATCGCCCTCATAAATAAATGGAGATGGACTTGATTTCATATCAGTTTTGCTTATCCCCCAGTGATTAATGCAAGAATTTTAGAATTAGACAATTCTGGGTTTGTATTTTTACTCTGTCATTAAATGTGGCCCAGGCAAATATCCAAATTTCCTCATCTACAAAATGGGGATGGATATACCTACAGGCCAAATTTGTTCTTCAGAACAAATGAAAGAATGCTGTAGAAAGTGCTGGAGAAAGTAAGTTCTGAACTTTTATTATAGGTAGCTATTATTTTGTTATAACATTTTTTGCTTTTTCTAGTTTTATGAGTTCAATATGAAAATGTTGATTTGGTATTTTTCATTCTGCTTTTTCATTTTTCTCCTACCTCTGGGAACTTACATCAAGGTGGAGTCCAACAATATTGTGTCACCTGTAGTGGAGTTGTGCACATTAGGAGGATCAGGTTACTTTGCAGTAAGAAATGTATATAACCAGGTGATTTTTAAAAAGCACATTAGGAATAATAGATTTGAAGTGACCATATTCTGTGCAGGAATTCATCTAAGCAATTCTATATAAACTGTTACACTGTCCATTTGACTTGGCAATTGTTAGGAAAAAAGTAAAATAATAAGGCATTTATTTAAAGATTATCCAAATGACCATGCCTTGGGTTTTGTTAATAAACTAAATCTATGTTTATATGGAGAGAAATATGATAATATTTCCAAACTGATTTAGGCTGTGGTTAAGTGGATGAAGACTGAGGCAGGGCTTTGCTTATTTCTTGCATCATATCAAGGTACTTTGGAAAACCTTTATTTTCTCTGATCATCGTTTGTATACAGTGAACAGCATTTTAAATACAAGAAATACAGTTTTCAGAAGTTGAAGGGGTTAAAGTATAGTGGAAGGCTTTACATGTAGCACAATCATAAGGGAAAAGCTATGAATTTGCATACTTATGATTTTTATTATTTTTTTATTTGCAGGATGAGTAAGAGATACTTACAGAAAGCAACAAAAGGAAAACTGCTAATAATAATATTTATTGTAACCTTGTGGGGGAAAGTTGTATCCAGTGCAAACCATCATAAAGGTAAGCTTTTCTGTTTTTTTTTTCAACTAAATGTGGATGATGACTACCCTTAACACAGACTGTTATGTTTTGCCTCCACTGGTCTGTTAAATTTTACTAGGTATAGATTCTCCCCCTGGCAGTTTTCTTTAAGTAATAATGCAGTGTTATCTTTAAGATGGCTTTGATAGAGAAAGATGATATTTTCAGGACTAATGCCATTTCTGTAAATAGTGTTCAAAGAATATGGAAATAGAACTCTACCTTTCCTTCAATTTTTACCTAATGCTAAATGATGAGTTAATGAGTGAAGCACACCAACATGACACATGTATACATACGTAACAAACCTGCACGTTGTGCACATGTACCCTAAAACTTAAAGTATAATAAAATAAAATAAAATTTACCCTGGCTTTTAAAGGAAAAAAAAATAAAAAAATAAAATAAAATAAAAATTGAGTTGGTATATAATAAAGATAAGTTTCAGATTGCACTTATCCTGGTAAAGAAAGTGTCTGTAATGATATGTATCTCAATAATATGTCTATATGTAAATTTTCTTTCAATGTTTTTTGTGGGTCATGATTCTTTATGTCAGAGGACCACTTTGACCACCACTTGGACACTGCCCAGTATTCAGCAGGCTCAATTCTGCCACTGAACAGAGTGAGAATATTTGCTCTATACATATGTGTTAAGCTTGACAACTCACAATTACATTCTTTCTGCCCTCTTTCTTGGCCATAAGACTCAATATAATGAACAACTACTTTTTCCATGGGGCTATTTCTGAACTGTCCCTATTATAATTAAGTATTCATAACCTGAGAAATCAATTTAGATTTTTCTGTAAAATATGATTTTATAATTTAGTTCTCTGCCCACTATAAAGTCTAGAGACTAACAACTAAGTTTCTCATTCTATTTTTGGGAGAAGGGGGAATTAAGACTGGTTTGAATTCTGTAACACTTAAATTAGTTACACATGTCCGTTTAATTAGCATTACATGGAACATTAACACCAGGGAGAGAAAAGACATGGTGTGTGGGACTGACACTTATAAGACTAATCTCTTCCCCCTGTATTTAAAATCAAAAAGGGACATCTTGCAAAATAAAATTTTATGAAGAGTTTCTTCATATTTCGTTATCCTGTTTTCTACCCACAGTATGTTTTCGTGTGTGTGAATATATATATTCATATATTTTTTCTTCTCCTTTTCTTTAATACAGCACACTGATCCACAAATCAGACTTTAAATTCTCTTTAATATTTTTATCAGTGTAAAATTAAAAAGATGATGAGGAGGACATTCCCTGTGGTCTCAAATTGGCAGCAACCAACAAGACCAAAGAACGAAGTAGTATTAAATACTCATCTTTTAAAGAGCTGCAATCCAGTAGGGCCAAGCCCTGCCGTGGACTTAACAAGAAAACACTCCCCATCCTCATTATTCTGTTGGTCACCTTAGTGCCCCTTCCCAGCTTATGAAAGAAGAATTGGAGGAGTGGGGGATCATAGAAATTGTGGGCTTCAGCCTAGCACAGCAAGTGTTCATGATAAAGATACTTTCCCCTGTCCAAAGCCAAATGATGGGGTCTCTTAGAGAATCACTCATAAAGACTGCTCACACTGTATATTGCATACTATTGTTAAAGCTACTTTAAGACATTTAAATAGTGTTATGTTCTATGCTAACTCTGAAACTAAGATCTTTTCTTTTTGCCAAGAAAATAGTCCTTGAACATAATAAATTACACATCGTGTCAGAAAACTCAAATGGTCAGAGCTGGTACATTACAGAAGATAGAGTTTTTTTGTGGTTTTGCTTTTCCCTTTCCACACTGCCACCAATATTTTGGATGAAGATTTTATGAAAGTTTTCTCCCCTCCTCCATCTTTCTTCCTTTTGTTCTTTTTTCTTTCTTTTCTTTTTATTTTCTGTACAAAATATCCTTTTTGTTTTGAGCTATTTTACACATAAAATAATAAGGGTTGTGTATATGTAAGTTGTAGCGCATGTTCATAAAATGATTACTAGTGTGCTCACCATCCAAGAAAGGCTGGGCTGCTATCTCCCTAGGTACAAAGCCCAGACTTTGGAGACCCCTTTGGTGTATCTGACCTGTGGAAGGATATAGTTACATTCTAAATGGTTAAGGTAAGAACCTAGGATCCTTTCCACCTCATTTCAAAGGAGCAAAAGATTTTTCTTTCCTTTCAGGAGGGGGAGGGGAATGGTTGTCTCTCTTCTATATATAAATGAAAAGAATCCATTGTTCACTGTCAGTCATCTATGGAATGTTTGGCTACCAATGTGGGACATTTGGCTTGGCTTTCATCAGGGTTAAGGCTTAGGGCAAGGCAGGCCAGTTCACTTTCTATTTATTGTGAATTAATTAGTAAGATATCAGTTTCTGACCCAGAACACCTTGGTGAGCATTCAAGATAAAAATAATACAGATGAATATTAGAAACTCAACAGCACTAAAGAGCATTACAGATGTCAACTCATTTAATCTCTTAACCATCTATGTGGTACTTTTTTTTTTTTTTTTTTTTTTGAGACGGAGTCTCACTCTGTCGCCTAGGCTAGAGTGCAGTGGCGTGATCTCAGCTCACTGAAAGCTCCGCCTCCCGGGTTCACGCCATTCTCGTGCCTCAGTCTCCCGAATAGCTGGGACTACAGGTGCCCACCACCACGCCCGACTAATTTTTTGTATTTTTAGTAGAGACGGGGTTTCACCGTGTTAGCCAGGATGGTCTCGATCTCCTGACCTCGTGATCCGCCCGCCTCGGCCTCCCAAAGTGCTGGGAATCTGCAAGCTTTTGATAGCTTTTTGTTTTCACTCATGTTTTTGGGTTTCTCTTTTTATATCTTACTACATATATAGTTATAGAAATATATGGTGTGTATATATAGAAATATATATATACACACCATATATTTCTATATGGTATATATAGGTATATATATATAGAAATATATACCATATATTTCTATATATTTCTATCTGATGATCCTATTTTATGCAATTTTATGTTTTCCTCCTGGTGACTTTCACTCATGGTAATTTATTTATTTTAGGGCTTCTGACTTTTAAGAAAAATTTTGTGAGCTGATGTTCATCAGAATTGTATTTGTAAGAATTTTAAAGGCCTGTCATTATAATGTATTATTTCAGAGGCAATTTGCGTATGACATGAGTCTTAGGCAGGGTTTTTTGGAAGCGGAGCCAAGTCAGGAATTCTTGTTTACGTGATTTATTGAAAGAGTGCTCTCAGGAGAATGAGAGCAAGTGAAGCAGGCTAGAGCAGGAGATAAAAACTAAGCACAAATAGAGTCTCAGCTGGAGAATCGCCCAGTCTGCTCCTATGGGGAATCTCCGAGGCATGAATTGCTCCACAGAGATGGTCCCTCCTTGAGGCAAGATAGATGGCCTCGTCTACCCTTGTGTCCATTGGCCATTAGCTACTGGCCTGTTCCCCATGGCAAGGAGTGGCCTCTCTGGGGAAGTGGCTCATCTTTAGCAGAAGGTAAGTCTCTAAAGAAGGGGGCACCTGTGAACTGTGATCACAGAACATTCACAGCAAGTGGAGGAAAGGTGCACAGCCCTGAAAGATTTTGGTAGTGTATCAGCAGCTACGTTCTACTGCAGTCTACTCCTCACAGCCCTCAGATCCACCTGCTTCTCACTGAAGGTCAATCCATCCAGGCAAAGCTTATTCAGGATTTTGGTTGGTCAGAATTTCCAAGAAGACTTACTTGAAGAGGAATAGTAAGAGTCCCACTAATGCAGTTGGTGCTCATGGTCTGTCCACCCTACCCCCAGCCATTCTAGATTTTCCTCTCTTTTTGCTAGCACTTCTACTCATGTAGGAGGCTTTCCTAATGTTTTACTAAGAGTTCTGAGCCCTGGGTTACCATTCTCTTGCTGCTGTACTTATACATTGGTAGTTATAACTGGGCACAGGAATGCCACAAGATGCCCCTGTGGATCATCTGTATACCTAATATATTCCTCTCTGCCTCTAGTGCACAGCGGCTGTCTTCTTCCTCATGGTCATCAGGGACCTTTACATTTACCCCATCAACATTGAACTCCTTTTCTCTCTCTCTCTGGTCTATCAGTGTAAGGAGCACAGACTGATTGATGATCAGGCAACAGCTGTAGCTCTGTGTTTAGTGTCACTGCTACTGTTTCCTCTGGTAAACGTATCCCCTTTCTGGGATATGCTAGACCCAGAGCATAGTAAATTGGTCATTTCAGTTGGATATTTCTCATGGAAAAGTTGCTTGTTTACTTAATGATTGTTGAGTAGCTACATTAAGGCCTGAGAATATAGCAGGTACAGAAAAGAGACAAACATCTTTGTTTTCATGGAATGTTTATTCTAGAAGTGGAAAAATAGGTAATAAGAAAAATACATAAAATGGGATGTTTTATGATATAAATGCTCTGGAAAATATATGAAGGAAGAAAGCATATAGGAAGTATTCAGGAGGGAATATAATTTTTAAATAGCCCTTTGGGTAAGATCTAAAGTTTCCAGTAGAGTCAGCCAGTGGAGTATTCAGGGAAAGGATGCTCCAGGCAAAGCAGCAATAGGTATGAATGCTTTCAAGCATGCCATAGAGAATTAGAAATAGCAAGGAGGATGGTGTGCATAGAGAGAATATTTAAGGGAGAGAGTGGTAGATAGGTCATTATGGAACAAGTAAATGTAGAAGATGAAAGAACCAAATAAATAAATACCTCTACCGAAATACAAGTACAATAATATCCTGCTCTTAAGAGCCACCAATGGATAACTGTATTACTCCGTTTTCTGAACATGATGTAGGAACACTGTAGAAATCCAGAATATTTGGATTTGAAAAAATGGGTATCTAAAAATCAGAAATTGTTGTCATCTTCTTAATAAAACCTCTGTGCTTTGAGAACTAACAGTCCCTTACATACAAACAAATAAGTTTACTGCTCAAACTGCCATGGAAAGATTCTGCCCTGAATTCTTACAATTATATTGAGCTGGGCATTTTGGAAGGGATTAAGTCAGAGTATTGTGACAGCCAGTCAGAATGAGCAGTGTTTCCCCCTTGGAAGCAATTACATTAGGTGCAGCTTCTGATATTGGGGATCAGAGAGCAAACATTTTAGTTTAGGATTCCAAGTTCCCAACAGAAAAATATAGTCCTTAATCTTAGGAGGCTAATATGTTTTCTTGTCTTTTCTTTCCTTACCCATCACATCCAAACTAGATTTCTGGAGAATGAGTCATCATTGGGTTTGGGGTTTGGAAAAGAATTTTTATTTTGTTTGAAAAAGATACACACAGGTGAGTTATACCCACGAAAAAAAGGAGCCTAAAAAAGTTAGTTTGATTAGCCAAGGTTGAATATATGTTATCTTCATTGTAATACAAGCTAATTACTGGTCTGAGTGAGAACTTTTGATTGAATGGATCTTTTTCAAAGAAAAACAAAATTTTTTAAATTTTATTTTATTTTTAATTGATATGTGATAATTGTACTTATTTACGGTGTACAGTGTGATGTTTCATTATGTGTATACAGTACGGTAATAACCAAATTTTAAAGATGATTTTTAGTTCAAAGCCTGGGAGACATAGCCATAAATTTTTCTGGACAGATCTTCATTTGTTTGTTGATTCATTTGATAGTTTATTCATTTATCCAACCAACTATCCGTGAAATATATGGGGAGTGTCTGTTAAGTGTTGGGCTTTAAGTCAAATTCTGGAGATATGAAAGTGAGCAGGCTGGGCACAATGGCTTACTCCTATAATCCCAGCACTTTGGGAAGCGGAGATGAAAGGATCACTTGAAGCCAGGAGTTTGATACCAGCCTGGACAACAAAGCGAGAGCCCATTTCTAAGAAAAATGATTAAAAAAAATTATCCAGGTGCGCTGGCCTGTGCCTGTAGTCCCAGCTACTCGGGAGGCTGAGGCGGGAGGACTGCTTTCAAGATTGCAGTGAGCTAGGATCATGCCATTGCACTCCAGCCTGAGTGACAGAGCCAGGCCCTTTCTCTTAAAAAAAAAAAAAAAAAAAAAGGCGAGGCCAGGCACAGTGGCCTATGCCTGTAATCCCAGCACTTAGGGAGGCGGAAGCCGGTGGATCACTTAAGGCCAGGATTTCAAGACCAGCCTGGGCAACATGGCGAAATCTCATCTCTACTAAAAAATAAAAAAATTAGCCAGGCATGGTGGCATGTGCCTCTAATCCCAGCTTCTCCAGAGGTTGAGGTGGAAGAATGGCTTGAACCCAGGAGGCAGAGGTTGCAGTGAGACAAGATTGTACCACTGCACTCCAGCCTGAGCGATGGAGGGAGACTCTGTCAAAGAAAACAAAACAGAAGTGAGCAAAACAGACATGACTCATGTCCTAGCGGCACTTACAGTATGTTGAAGGAGAAAAACATTAATCAGATAATAACACAAATAGTTAATTACAAATGGTATTAAAGTGCTGTGAAGATAAAATTTCAGGTTAAGAGTATATAAACTGTAAAATGGATAGGGTACAGTTTCAGGGAAGACTTTGCTAGGGAGGAGACATTGGAGCTGAGATCTGAATGAAGACAGAGGAAGGGCTAGACATCCAGGCAAGAGCAGCAGCCTATGCCAAGCTACTGAGACATGAAACAAAGAATTCACTGGAGCTGAAATAAGATTGCTGTGACTGGAGAGCAGAGAGCAAAGAGCAAAGAGCAAAGAGGATGGTGATGCACAGTTAGCCTGGGGAGGTGGCTGGGACAGATCTTTTGGGGAAATATTCAGAATGCTGATTTTCTTACAGTTTAAATTGTTTGATCCAATTTAGCCTAGGATATTAGAAGGATCTCTTGGGCTGGCTTGCAGCTATTAGGATGTACACCAAAGTTTAAGAGCACTGATTTATAATTCATAGTGTTTTTCTTGTTGATAAAAACAATTGGATTAATGTCCTAAGAGAAAGAAAAATAGCTAGAACATAAACTGACTGTATTCTGGACTTTTAATGACACATTTTTATTATGTATTTCATTGAATTTTCAAAGTAATATATATTTATTTGAGAAACTTTGGAAAGAAAGAAAAATACCCAGAAGAGAAATCAAGTTACCCATAATTTTTCCATGCAGAAATTATTAAACAACATTTGGACATCTTTTCATCTGGTTTAATTCATAAACATGTTATACATATTTGAGAGCATGCTGTTCATTAATTATTTTATGTATTCATACATTTATTGACAAAGACTAGTTGTGAGAGATTATGTTACTCTGAGTTAGCGATTCTGTTTTAAACCATGCAGGCAGAGTTGCTAGTTTCTAAGAGTTATGCTTTCATAACCTGATTCTTTTCTCTTTTTTATGTTAAAATGTTTCATGCTTATATCATAGTAAATAAAACACCTACATATTATGAAAAATAAACATAAAGCAAATTAGTGTGCAATTATCAACCAGGACAGTAATTAGAATGTCGTCAGCCCCTCAGAGTCGCTGAATACAACCCCTCTTCCCACAGAGGTATCTCTTTCCCAACTTCTTATTTTTGAACAATAGAGTATTGCTTTTTCTGGGCGGGGCGTGGTGGCTTATGCCTGTAATCCCAGCACTTTGGGAGACCGAGGCGGGCGGATCACGAGGTCAGGAGTTTGAGACCAGCCTGGCCAATACGGCGAAACCCTGTCTCTACTAAAAATACAAAGATTAGCTGGGCATGGTGGCGCATGCCTGTAGTCCCAGCTACTCGGGAGGCTGAGGCAGAAGAATCGCTTGAGCCCTGTAGGCGGAGGTTGCAGTGAGCCGAGATCACGCCACTGCACTCCAGCCTGGGCGACAGAGCGAGACTCCATCTCAAAATCAAAAACAAAAACAAAAACAAAATATTGCTTTGTCTGGTGATATGGTTTGGCTCTGTGTCCCCACCCAAACATTACCTTGAATTGGGTGGGGATAATCCCCACGTGTCAATGGTGGGAGCAGATGGAAGTAATTGGATCATGGGGCGGTTTCCCGCATGCTTTTCTGGTGGTAATGAGTGAGTCTCACGAGATCTGATGGTTTTATAAGTGTCTGGAATTTCCCCTGCTGGCACTCACTCCGTCCTGGTCCTGCCGCCCTGTGAAGAAGGTGCCTGCTTCTCTTTTGCCTTGGGCCATGATTTTAAGTTTCCTGAGGCCTTCCTAACCATGCTTAACTGTGAGTCAATTAAACCTCTTTCCTTTATAAATTACCCAGTCTTGGGCAGTTCTTTATAGCAGTATGAAAATGGACTAATATATCTGGTTTTTAATGTTGTAAAAATGTAATTCTACTATAGGCATTTAAAAAATGTGATTTGCTTCTTACTGTCAATGTTTTTCTCTTGAGATTCATCCATATTGTGATATAGCATTTCATGTAATAGTATACATTACATTAATATACTGAGATGTATTTATCTCTTTCACTGTTGATGGATGTTTGGGTCACTCTGGTTGTTGGTTGTTATTGACAATGCTGCTGTGGACATCACTATACATTTGTTTTGGTTCACACTTACAAAATTCCTCCAGGATATATTTTTAGAAGTAGAATTTCATGGGTCATATGATAAACACTTAGTCAATTTTACAGCTTTTTTTTTTCACTTAGCAGTAAATAACGAGTATTTACATGTATCTAAAAATATCCAGAAACATATATTGTATTGGGGCATGGAAAAACATATAAATGCAACCTAAGTTTCTTAACAAAATTCCCATTTTTAGAGTTCTTGGAGACTTTTTATTTGTTAATACTAATATAAAAAGCTTTGTGTAATAATTTTTGTTCTAGATCCTTGAGGAATTGCCACACACATGTACCCTAGAACTTAAAAGTATAATAATAATAAAAAATAATTTTTGTTCACATGTAATAATATTTTTTTCAATATTTAGTACAAATGAGAATTTTGGGTATCAAAAAGAATGAAATGGTTAGGTGTGTCATTCAACATCCAGTCAGGAAAATTGCAATCGTGGTAGGGCAGTTTAAAACAGGAAATTGGTGACAAAAGTGTTGAATGGGCTGGAAAAGAAATAAGGAAGCATGATAGTATCACCAGACACTTGTAGCTTCAGAAAGCTGTTCCTGCCCCTACAGGTGGAAGAGCAAGGAGCAACACAATGTTTCACAGGGCTCGTGATTGTGCACACTGCAGGGTCTGCCAAAGCCCTCCTGTGATTTAGGAATGACTTCCATGGCCACTGAGCAGGAAACCAGGAACCAATTCTCTCATGATGCTACAAGAGCTGCCTGAGAGGCTGAATGCTTCCAACACTGCTAGACTCTCTGCTAATGCTGTTAAAGCCCATGGGCATCCATAGTACCCTACCTTACCACTTCTGAAGCCAGAAGCAGGAAAAAAATAGATGGCTTCTTTCTTCCCTGGGTCTCTTTTTTTTCCCCTGGGTCTTTCTTAACGAAAGTGCCATCTTCCAAGAAGCAGACTCCAAGATAGAATTCAACACACCAGAAATTTATGGGTAGAAACACCTTTGATATAAAGAGAGGAGGTGCAGGAGAAGGAGGGGGTGAACCTTCAGACTATGAGGGTCTGACACCCATGAAAGAAGAGAAGGAAGGAAGGAGGACTGAGTAGGAAGAGCCTAGAACTTCAGAATCGTTTTGAAAAAGTCTTGTTCAGGCCAATTGGGAATCCCTGAGAAAAGGTTGCCTTTAGAATCTAACCAGAAGCCAGCTGGCAGAGCAGCCTGGGAAATCTTATCTAAGCTTCCAGCTCCCTTCAATACAGAGAGGGATATAGAAAGCTAAATGTTTTAGAAGAAAATGACAAATATTTGCCACAAGAATATTTCTACATATTGTCTAATTACTTTTGATTTCCTTGCAGAAGTATATAAAGCTTCCCCTCTCACCACTCTGAAAATACTGGCTGGCTACTAATTTAAAAAAAATTAAATTGAATATCCTTATTAAATGAGAAGGTCTAGACATAGTGTCTTATTTATATTTTAATTTATACTTTTGAATACTAATAAATGGATAAAGTTAATTTTGAAGTATTTTCGTTTCTATTATTTGGATAATTTATCAATTTATTTGCCAACTCAATGTTTCTATTATTAATTTGAGACTCTTATATAACTCTTAAAGCTTGGTTACATTTGTATATTTTCAGTTATATCCTTTTCAAATGTAATGTTTAAAACAATGTTTTTATATTTTAGAATATAAAATATAAACTATTGTTGGAGAAAATTGAAAAATATAGAAAAATGTAAAGCAGAAACTTTAAAATACCTGTAATTCTACTACACATACACCATTATTAACTCTCAAATACTGTTCATATTAAGACTATACTGTATTTATAGATTTGTGTCTTACTTTCTCACTTTTTGTGAGCATTTCTTTACATTTCCTTTGAAAATTATTTAACCATACCATATTATTAAGTGTTTGAGCTATTTCCTTTCATTTTTAGTAAAAATAATGCTGTAATAAACATTCACATATATAACTGTTTTTCCCCATATCTGTTTATTTACTTAGTCTAGATTTGTAGTACGGGAATTACTAGGTCAAATGACTCAAATTCTAAAATGTTACTATGTTTTGACAATGACACTTTTAATTATAAAAATGATTTGTACTCAGGATATTTAGAAAGTATAAAATAGCACTAACAAAAATGATCTAGACTAGATTCATAGAATGTTAATTTATTAACATTTATACATGTTAAAATGTATGCATTTTGATATATGTTGTCAAATTGTAAACCTCTCAATTTATGTTCTCATTAGCAGAGAATGAGTGCCTGTATTTATAAGCCCTTACCAACACTGAGATTTATTATTCTATTTAATCTTTTCCAATTTCATCCTCTTTTAAGTTGTGATTTTTTATTACTAAAGATGATAAGTAAAACTTCTATTGGTTTATTGACCATTAATATTTTTTAATCATCTTTTCATATATTTTATTCATTGTATTAGTAGACACTGTTTTTATTATGGCTTTATAAGAGCTCTTTATAAATAATTAACAGTCAGTAGTTTAAATTTTACATTCAGTCAATTAGCATATAGTATAGTAGCACAGTTTCAGAGACACAGACAATTTGAATTTTAATCCAGGTTTATCTCTTTACTAGCTGTAGGTAATTTTTTTTGAGGGGAGGGGGATGGCAATATTGATACTTTTAAGATAGTTTCTTTACCCTTGAATTCAAAAAATAAACATGCATATCTATCAATAGATAGATCAATATTAAAAGACATATAACCCATCTCTAGATAGATATCTAGATAGACATGGGTTTTGTGTCTTTGTGTCTTTTAATATTGAGTGAAACCTTTCAAACTTAGGTTTCCACTTTCTAATAAAATCTTACTTTTATTTTGTCTTTGATGCTTTTATCTTTTTGGTGTTATTTCTTCCCAGGAGCATTTAGTATCTAAGTTGGATCATTATTTTCTGTTCTCTGTATCAGGCAAGCTGTTTCTCATTTTTGATAATGCTTTTTCACGTTGCCTTTCTCATATATTAAGTTGACTCTCCTCAATGATAAGCCATTTCTGTAATTTGATTCTAACCTTTATTTCTACTAATGTGATTTTTAAAATAATTCTGAAGCATCCAGTAGAGTGCACGATACAGAAATTTAAAAATATATATTTATTTTTACTTCAAAACTCTTTTGCCTATAGTCATAATACAGAAAAAAATAGCTAAATGATAATATATTATTAGATGAAATATAAATATACATGTTAAATAAAGAGCATATTTTAAGTGCATTTCATAGAAAGCTAACTGTCTCCTTTCTCCCACCCCTGTTGTTCTGGATCAAAATTTGAATTCAGCTTCCTTAATAGTTTAAGATTCTTCTGCAGAGCTTAATAGACAAGCCCATGTATGAAACAGGGTGGCTACAGTCAGGACATGTAAAAGTAGTAGCCTAGTACAGGTTGTAGATGTCCCACAGGAATGTGGCTATAGAGAATAAAATACTTGGCATTTTATGTTTCCAAGCTCATTAAGACATACTTCCAGCTCTTAAGAGTAGGTGAATGCAACATACTTTGCTATGGCTGAAATGAGTGTTCTCAGCTGAGTCAGGCAGAATATCTCAGGGGAAAATAACTGGAGAGAAAGCAAAAATGTCATCAGCTTATTGCCAAGACAAACTGAGACAAGAATCTGAGCCAGATTCACCTAAGCATCTCTTTTAGGCTAAAAAGGCAGTACAAGGATGGCAGGCATTTGTTAAAGAACAGTCCTCAATGTGTCTGCCCTGTGAGTCACTGCTCTGGTCTGGATTGGTTTTCCTCTGCATCTGGTGTACATACTTCATCCTGGGATCTCTCTTCACTATCATCCTGACAATTACCTTTTCCCATCTCTTACATATGATGATACATTTCCAGGGTCTGATATATCTTCATTGTTTTTTAGTTTACTGTTTCATTTTGGTGAAGCATATCATTTAGCTGTTTCTTGAGGAAAAACATAAGTAAGAAATTTATTTTTTAAAACCTTGCTTTTCTAAATATATCTTTATTATACCCTCATATTTAAATGATAGTTTGGCTGGGTATGGAATTCTATGGAGGGAATAATTACCTGTAGAATATTGAAGATATTTCTCCATTATTTTCTCACTGTACTGTTGCTGCTATAAAAGTCTAAGATGATTCTTATTTATAATCTTTATCCTTTGATTGTGACCTTTTTCCCTCCTCCCTCTCTTTTCTGCTTGACTCTGTTCTGTAATTTTAAAATGATGTATATCTTGGTGAAGATCCATTATGAACTGCTGAGCTGTGCATTTTTGGACCCTTTTATCTGGCAATTCATATCCTCCAGTTGTGAAAATATGTATTGAATTATTTGAGGATCTTCCCCCCTCTCTGTTTCTGGATGTCCTATTGTTAGGCTGTTTGATCTCCTAAACTTGTCTTCTAGCAGTGCTGTTTCCTCTCCTGCCTTCATCTGTATCTTTCTGCTATAATTTTTTGGGGGGAGATTTCTTTATTTACCAAACCTGTGTGAAATTTTGTATCTTCTTATTGTACTTTTAATTTCTAAGTGCTCTTCATTTTTGTTTTTTGAATATTCTCATGTCCTCCATTTAAAATTATTTTTTATTGCATAGTCTCTCCTTCTAAGATTTTGTGCTGACTTTGCTATTTTGGCTTCTGTCTTCTATACTAGAAGCTTTCCTCAAATAATTGATAATTCCAAACTGTCTACTCTGAAATCTCTTGTAAAAACTGAGACTCAATGTAGAATGATGCAGTAGGGCTCTTGTTGGAGAACCACTAGTGTTAATACATTTAGGTTTTCTCTTTTGGACTGTTCAGGTTCTTTACATAAGAAGCTTACTTCTTGGCTTAAGTTGTTGGAGAGCTGAGGGGTGAAAGCAGTTAGGGTGGGAGTGTGTTACAAGTTCAGCATTCTGTAGCTTATTCAGTTCTCTTGTTTTCAGTACAGTGCCTACATACCCTCTACTCTGTCTTGTGTTTCCCAGTTCAGAGGATAACTCTGTGTCTCTTAAAAAACAAAACAAAAAAACCCTCCAATCAAACAAAAAACTTCCAACCTGCTACCAGGTTGGTGGAAGGGCAGCCACACACTGATGTGGAATGATGGATAGTAACTAGAGATGTAATTGCCTCTCAGACAGCTTTCAGAAATGCTCCCACTTATAGCCCTCACTCCTTCCAGGATGGACGTGATGCTTCCAGTTTTGCCATCCTTATGATAATTCTGTGTTACCAGTCTAGAGATTCTGCTTTCTTGAGTCCAGTAAGTTAGTTCCAAGGTTTTGTTGCCATTTCCTCCTACTTAAATCCATTTTTTTAATCCGCCATCAAAAATTAAAACACTAATAGTGTTTTTAATTTAGCTGTTTTAAATTTTTTTTATACTCTTCCTCATCTTGTCACTCTCTGTCTTATTTCCACATATCTCTTTTCCAACTTCATATTTTTACTTCACCCTCTATTGTAGCTCATCCCTAAACATTAAATTGATCAGGTCCATGTTTCCTGAACTATATGAAAGTACAAAGCAGATGCTTTGTAAACTTTATTTTTGCCTCTTGTATTTTTAATTATGTCCAGATTTCTTAATGTATGACTGACAAATAAAAATTGCATATATTTAGGGTATACAATGTAATGTTTTGATATATGTATACATTATGAAATGATTACCACAAGCTGATTAACCTATTCATCACCTCACATGGTTACCATTTTTGTGTATGGTAAGCACACTTGAGAGCTACTCTCTTAACAAATTTCAAGTATAAAATACATTGCTAACTATAGTTGCTATCCTGTATGTTAGATCTGCAGTACTTATTCTTCCTACAGCTAAAGGTTTGTACCCTTTGACCAGTATTTCTTTTTTCTCACACTCTTGTAGTATACTTTTAAGTAATGTTATGCTATTGCTTTTAGAATACTGTATCTTCCTCTCATTTAACAATATCTTTCTACAAGCCTTCATTTTGATTTTTCTTCCTATTTTTCTCATCGTTTTCTATTATTTGTCCCAAACTGGGTGGGTGGGACTTGAATTTTCCCTCCTCGTGTATATCCTGTTGGAATCCTGCTCTCAGAATATAAATTGTACATTCTAAAGCTGTAGCTAGTTCCACTGGGGAACTACTACTCTGACTGATTTCTTCTTAGTATTTATGGGAGTTGATTTGACAGGCACCAAACATGTGCATTTAATTTTGGACTTGATAGAGCTTCCTTTCCAGGTTCTCAGGATATTCCTACCCCTGGATCTTGCTGCTGTGAAGTCAAAGAATAATGGCATTATCCTTCTGGCTTTCTGTTTGACCTCTCAGAGCAGCTGCTGTTTAATTCTGAAGGTTCAGAAAGCATTCTCAGCCACATTTTTTCCTATCCACAGCTCACTCGCTCTGTTCCCTGTTGTGCAAGCCAGTCTTTGGGATCATCTCTGACACCTTTCTTGCCATCCAGTCAATTGTGAAATCCAGTTCCTTTTAACTCCTAGTTATCTCTCACATTTGACCATCATCCTCCATCTCTATAGCCTTTATTTTCTCTGAACTATTGCAATTCTTTTTTTTTTTTTTTTGAGACGAAGTTTCGCTCTTGTTGCCCAGGCTGGAGTGCAATGGCACGACCTCAGCTCACCGCAACCTCTGCTTCTGGGTTCAAGCGATTCTCCTGCCTCAGCCTCTTGAGTAGCTGGGATTACAGACACTTGCCACAACGCCAGGCTAATTTTGTATTTTCAGTAGAGACAGGGTTTCTCCATGTTGGTCAGGCTGGTCTCGAACTCCTGACCTCAGGTGCTCTGCCCCCCTCGGCCTCCCAAATTGCTGGGATTACAGGCGTGAGCCACCGTGCCCGGCTTGTCTTTTATCCAAAATGTCCTGACTCTTATCCATTGTCGACCCAGGTGCTAAAGTGAACTTTTAAAAATAAACGTTTGATAATTTTATTTCTCTACTTAGAACATGTTTTTTTTTTTTTTTTTTTTTTTTTTTTTTTTTTTTTTTTTTTTGAGATGGAGTCTCGCTCTGTCGCCCAGGCTGGAGTGCGGTGGCACAATCTCGGTTCACTGCAAGCACCGCCTCCCAGGTTCATGCCATTCTCCTGCCTCAGCCTCCGGAGTTGCTGGGACTATAGGCCCCCGCCGCCACGCCCAGCTAATTTTTTATATATTTAGTAGAGACAGGTTTCACCGTGTTAGCCAGGATGGTCTCGATTTCCTGACCTCGTGATCCACCCGCCTCGGCCTCCCAAAGTGCTGGGATTGCAGGCGTGAGCCACCGCGCCCGGCCAGAACTCTTAAATTTAAAACTTGTAACATGGATGACAAAGCCCTGCATGATTTGTGCCTGTTCCCTCCTTTGGGCAGCTTCTCCCTTACTCAGAATGATCCAGAGCTTCTTTTTGGCAATTTCTTGAAGGCACTATGCCCCTTTATGCCACATTCCCCTCTGTGTGCTTTTCGGGTTTTATTGCTTTATTTGTCCATCTAACTTCAGGCCATTATTCATGACTATTATCTCCCCTAGAAATCCTTTATTATCCCTCTAGGTTAGTTTCCCTGTTATATGGTCCCATGGCCCCTTGCACTCTTTACATCTCATCACAATTGTAACTAATTGAATATTTGTATAATTATTTGTTAATGTTTATTTTTCTCACTTAACTGTAAGCTCTCTGAGGTTAGATTCATGTCTTTCATGTTCAACATCTGCTGTTCCTAACAGTGTCTAGAATAAATATAATTATGATATGGTCTTTTCCTTTAAATATGCTGAAGTTTAGATTTCATATTTCAAAATGTTGAATAGAAGTTACAGAAGAATTTAAGAAATCAATCATGATAGCAGATATCTTTGTTTTTTCTATTTTAAGTTGATAGCGCTGGTGTTCCAGCATTAAGAATAATGTTGACTTTTGAAAAGTCTCTACCATTATATTGAAGAAATGTCATCTCTCTATATTTTCATTTAAAGGTTTAGATTTTCTTTCTAGTTTTTAATATATTTGAGGGTGAGGTATTGCATACTTTAAAATTTCGTCTATGAAATGAATAATCTTTCACTGTAATTCCTCTCTCATGTTTGTTTATACTAGATGATTCAAGAATTTTAAAAAATAAAATCTCAAAGCCAAACCAGTCTACCATGAGGAGAATAAATCTTCCTATTTCAGAAAATAAAAGATAGATTTCCTGGTGTTGGTGGGTTTATAGTCACTGAATGAAGTTATACCATTATTGCATAGTTGTATGCCTTAAAAAGAGCTGAAAACAATAAAGCATTTATTCTTTTTTGATCATGCACAATTCATTAATTGAAAAGTATTTGTTTCCAGGTATTTAGTGGATACTGTACAGATAACAAGCATTCCATAATATAAAATATAATGGATAATAATATGTTAGATAATATATTTAGATAAGATAATATATTTAACATATTACAATGACTGATCATCCCCTTAAAGGAAGTAAAAAAAATTATTGAATTATTTAACTTAGAGTAGCTTGCTAATGCTTACTTACTTAGAGAAGTGCTTGTCAATCTTTTTTTTCAATTTTGCCCTCTGAGGAGCTTCTTTAGACTTTTTTTTCCTAACTGATCCCTCTCCCTTAAAATTTTAATACCACAGGTATACTATATATTGGTTTATGTGCTGTATGTATATCTGTGATTTATACAGAGTAAGATTTTTTCACCTTTTATGAACCAGTTCTCACCCTTTTGGGGGATGCTATCACCCCTGTTGAAAATGCATGACCTAGAGTTAGTCAGTTCTTGTAATTATGACAGCAATTTCATAGTGCTATTTTTTGTCATTAATGATAATTTGTAAAAGTCCTAATAGCGTATAGATTCAACAGATCTTAAGGACTTGGAGGAACTAATATAATAACTAGATCAACAATCTATGTGTTAAAGAATTCACATAGCAAAATATTTGAGGGAAAAGTTATTTTGTATATCTTATAATTTCCTTTATCCAGATGTTTTTCACAAGCATCGTGTAAAAAAGAAAGGTGAGACCGTCTAAAGTACCTAAATTTTTGTTCAGTCACACTAGGCTTTTAGTCTTGGCTCTGTGAACGCCTTCCTTATCAAGTCACTAAAACGTACTGTTTGACAATTCTCATAATAATATGACCACTGGAAAATAATTTAAGTGTCTCCTGTAGTTTCTAGTTTTCCACATTTAGTTTCTTTTCTATATCACTAATATGTTGAGTATCTGTGTAATAGAAAGTTATGTACTTAGTGATTTAAGTCTAGCCATGATATTTGGATATTATGAAAATAAATAAGCAAGATACTAGGCTGGGAATTAAATTTACCAAGCAAAATGAGTGCTTAGATGATCACTCATGGTGAACATGTCTACTTCCCTAAATAAATAGTTTGTAAGTTCATTATGAGTACAGAAGACTACATTTGTAGAATAAACAGATTCAAAGACTAGGAGAAAATTTAAAGTCAGAAGTGTTTAGGGTTTGAGCTGAATGCACTTGGGTGAAACATATTACCTCTGAACATTTTAGTTTATCTGTAAAATAGGAATAATAGATGCTCTTTTTTCTGCACTGGATTGGTATAAAGACCTAAAATGAAAATGCATATGAAAATTCTTTGAAAGTACCTACCATGGCCGGGCGCAGTGACTCATGCCTGTAATTCCAGCACTCTGGAAGGCCGAGGAGGGTGGATCGCCTGAGGTCAGGAGTTCATGAGCAGCCTGGCCAACATGGTGAAACCCTGTCTCTACTAACAAATACAAAAAATTAGCCAGCCGTTGTGGCGGGTGCCTGTAATCCCAGCTACTCAGGAGGCTGAGGCAGGAGAATTGCTTGAACCTGCTAGGTGGAGGTTGCAGTGAGCTGAGAACGTGCCACTGCACTCCAGCCTGGGTGACAGAGCAAGACTCCATTAAAAAAAAAAAAAGTACCTACCATAAATATCTTACCAAAGTAATATCTTACCAATGTAACATATTATTGTTTCTGCTATATGCAAATTTTTAATTTTACTGATAATACTATTATAAATATTGAAACTTATTTTTTTTTTTTTGCTGGCCATGTTTTATTTGTCCTTTTTCTTCAAACAGGATAACTGAAGATACAGTGTTCAATAAAATAGATGAAACAAATTCTAAGAGACTGTGATGCCACACGCTATGTTTAACTTAATTTTATTCATGATTGCCTTGGGATGGGGAATAGTTCATTCAGTAAAAACATACAGTAAAAACAAAATATCTTATGTACAACTTTTAAACTGCAATAATAATGTACCATAATTACTTCCATGCACACAAGTCTAGCATTCACTTTTTATTTTTAAATAAGTACAATTAAGACTTTTAGGAGCATTTTATAATAAGGTCATTCCTAATTAATTTTTATTTGTAGATAGATCAAGCACCTCCAAAATACAAATTCCTATACACAGTGAGCACATTATTTAAAATGAACACTTAATAAACTTTTAAAGACATTTCTTGGGAAAGAAAATTAAAGTATGGGTCATACTGGGGAGTTGTTTTGCTCTTTTGAAATGTGATATCATACATATAATAACCAGCTCCGATTTATTTGCCCATACATGCAATTCATCTGCGTTTGCAAATGTGTATCTGTAGGAGTATTTTGAGGAATCTCAGTGTCACCTGTTAGTAGAAAAAAAGTGAGCTGTTTTATAATGAGTTTTGAAGTTATAGCTAACTCACTGGAAGGTTAATATCGAGAAAATCCATCAATTGAATTAATTGTTTCTGATTTGAAACAAACTGGATTGGCGTTATACAGAGAAATGAAAATCAACTGTAGATAAAACTGACAAGCCCACTAATAGAGAATTCAGGAAGAAAACATGTTGGCATGCCCTTTTAATCAGTTATTGGGTTATTTGTATAGTAGTTATAGCCTATGTATTATTTTCTAACTCTGCAAATGTCATATCTCAAAACAGATGTTACTTAAATAAAAGCACCCTTACTGCTGGTCTTTTTTTCCTGACAAAGACACGCAGCTCTAACACTGTTATGAAACACTGTGGCAAAAACTGCTCATGCTCTGCAGACTTTTGGGTCAAAGATAGGTGATGCACTTTGCTTTAAATTTTTTTTCCTTTCCTAAAATTTTTGTTAGACAAACTTTTGTAAGAAAGTTCATTTTAATTGAAGAAAATTCACTCCTTTTAGGTTAATCATGTTGACATGCAAATAATTATATCCTAACGTAATTCTCTCACGCATTTTTCATGTAATGCGTTTCTCAAAGTAATGTATACATGTCCAAAATTGAGGACAGTTAAATTTCAGAAGTAATATAAAATTCTTATGGGTTTCTTTTCTTCCAAACATTTTATTTCCCAGTAATTTATTTATCATTCATTCATTCAACAAATATGTATTGAGCATTTATTTGTACCAGATACTACTTAAGTACCAAGAGACTATGAAAATGAATAGATTATTATGCTGTCAAGGAACTCCTCAACTAAGAAAAAACACTTTAGTTTAATAAAATTGTGAACACAGTGAGTATTTAATAAACTCTTATCTATTCGCAGAGAGGGACAAAATGTGTGCATGTGTATAATCACAACAGCAGAAGAGATAATACAGAAAAGTTCTTCTTAACGTTGAACAAAAAAGTAAAATTACTAGGAAGTGAGTAAATATGTGTCAGCCTGAGTGGGTCGATGAAAGTAAGAGATAGTTGCTGTGTAGCGGGTAAGTAAAAGACTTGTGTGGGAAGGAAAGTGTAGTTGGTTGGAGGGCAGCTAAGAGAAGAATGAGGAACCTGTGTGGGAAGTAAGGAGGAAAGGAAGACTGCAAGCTATGATCACAAAGTCGCTTGTTTGATGAAATACTCCTGGGAGATGAACTCAAGTTTTCACTTTCTCTGGAGTAATAGCATGGATTTTGAAACTGCAGACCTTTTACCACACTAATGTCACAGTTATTGAAATCGCTTTGTATTTTTTGGTAGAGGAAATTAAATACCTCTACCAAAATGTGACTATTATTTTCAGAGCTATCATTGGGTGGACAGTTGTTCGTGGATGCAATTAGAGTTTTAGTTTAATCAAGAATTAAGTTTTTATTTTAATTGAAATAATGTTTAAGTTATGTAAGCAAAGACAATAGTTATAATCAAGTTAACCTTTATTTTATGGAAGCATTTAAAAATGGTAAAGGTTTTCTTACTTGAATCTATCTTGGGATTGTGGTCTTATTTTATCAGAGTATAAGTTTCCTAAATAAATGATAAACTTTTCCCTTTCCCTAAATAAGTCATAAACAAGAAATTGTCTTGTTAGTGAGAATGCTGTATCACTTTGGTAGAAGTACTAGAATGATTATCACTCATCTTACACAGGTATTTTTGAATTTTAAATCTAATCATTTAGAAAATCCTGTTGACTCTTTGTTTGCTCAGAAAAGAAAGAGCCCAACATCTTAATACCTTGAAGAAGGTGTGCTGAGGAATATGGGCTGTCCAGTCACAACAACAATATTTTTGATGCATTAGTAAATATAGAAAAAAGTCTATCCGTCTGGTATACCAGACATACAGTGACAGCACCTATGAAGATGCTCTAGGATATTGCTATTGATCAGTTCTAGAATCCCTATTTTTTCAAGATCAACTTTTGTTGCTCTTTAGCTAAAGTTTCATATTTCAAAGTGGGTCTGGATTCCCAATCTTGGCTCAAAATATAGTATTTTTATTTCAAAACATAGACCAATAGGACTTTCAATACCATTGTGCAAAGCTGAATAAAAGCTTATTTTATAAAATGAATTCTGTGGCTAAACACAACTATTCCCTTGTAGTGTTAGTGAAGGAATTATGGTCTTATAAAATGGGATTAGGAAACCATTTTTATATTCTATCAGGAATATTTTGGACTCCTTCCATATGGTATGTTTGGACACTTTATATTCTTGTAGAACCTTATTTTGTGGATCATTTATATGAGTGTTAGTAACAAAACACTTTAGACTTTGGAGTTATCAAATAATTGCTTATGCCTCTAGACACATTGGGGAACATTAAAATATGTGGCTGTAAGTCCAAATGCTAAGATAGTCTCTTTGGAAAATGGATAATCACCCCAGAAGAATACTAAACTACCATGCTTACCTCTAGGGGATTAAAAAAATGTCTCAAATCTGAACTTCTCTCAAAGACCTAATACCAACTCTTCATAGGGAAAATTTCTGTGTTAAAGATCTTGTTAAGAAACCAAAGTTTGATCCTGAAGCCACAATCGTCCATGATGCAATGTTTCAAGGTAACTGTGTCACTTGTCCTGGTGCCACAAGGCAATGAGAAGACTTGGCTTGGTGTGTTGGAGACCAGAACTTGGGGGTGACCAAACACTTGGGTATATTTAGAGTCTCTGTATACTTTTCCTTTTTTTTTCTTAGAGACTGTGTCTCTGATTGAGTAAATTAAAACAGGGGAACCTCATTAAAGCTATTAAGAATAATTTAAAGTTCAATAGTCTTCTTGGATGGCCTGTGTCATAATAAAGAAAAGCTTATATTTTTGCCAGTACTACAACTGCTACGGGCATGATTAGGCTGGAGCCTTCTCAAGCACCAGAGATTTATAATGCCAACTCAACTAATTGCCTTGGAAACTTCTTGGAGTTTTTCATTTGACTTTATTATATTTATGAAATACCTTTGTTGTTTGTTCTCTGCTAACTTTTTCCCCAGGAACCCACAGTTACCAGTTCAAGCAGACCATTTCATCATGTTAAATCTCTTGTGACCTAGGCATCTTTCTGTAGGTGGTCCTGAACTCAACATGATGGTAAATTTCCTTGAATTTTGGATAGTTGCTTTGCATTATATTCACATATATATATATACACACACACAATGTCTATATTCTTTAAGTTCTGTGATACTGCCAGATGAGTGTTTTCAAGGCAGACAACAACATACCATCTATGGTTGGGAAAACAGCTAGTGATGCCTCACAAACAAAGATGATTTTCTAGAAACTAATAATGAATTCTCACATGGCTGATAATTGTTCATGAGCCACGCATCTTAGCCTATTTATTGCTTCTCCTGTAACTGTGCTGTGATATTTTATTGAAGCACAGTGACTTCCTATTTTAGCAGAACAAAATTGTTATTTCTGTTTACTTTCATTTCAAATTAGATCATAATGGAAATCTTTGAGTGTAATGAGCTTTAAAACCTAATTCCTATAAAAATGATCCATTTTAGCCTAAATAACTAAGACCTTAATCTTGGCAATATTAATTTCTGTATCTCAAAGAATTAATAATCATTTGAAAATATGTAGAAAAGCTTTTCTCGTGTACTGTTGCAATAATAATAAAACAAACTTTTTATTCTATTTTGACAAATGACTCCGTACACATGATTCAGTTCTGAGTATTGAAATATTGAATTTATACTTGAACAGATTTCAGTCTTGCTGAAAGTGCCTGGAAATAGTTTTCAGAAAGCCTCTTAGAAATATGTCAATCTTATTCAAAGTGGAGATGTTTGCCACTTAATGTCAAAGTCTTAAGCTCAAGGCTGAAATATTTCTTTATTGGCTAAAATGTTGAAATAGTTTAATGTGGGATTCTCATTGGGTCTCATTTGCCTGTTCCAGGGCAGAAATTATTAAATGAATAATGAAAAAGTACAAGTTTACAAAACTGTCATCTTTTAAAATACCACCTCTCTCAATAATCTAGGTTTGTACATAAATTATTAAACATTTTTATGATTACCTCTTATAAGCCAGGTGTGCATAATTTTCTTAATGCTGTACATTTTCTCTTTCCAAGTAACCATATTGACTCAGTTTCAGGACTGAACAAACACTTGGAAGCTATGTGCTCTAAGCCCTAATAAATGCATGACTCCCCTTTACAATGCTCCTGACCAGTCTTCAGCTGAATGTGTTAACACAGCTTGCTACTTCACAAGTTCACCTACATTTTTTGAGAGATCAAATTGTTCAAACTTGTTGGAAAGTTCTGTTTCACATCTTTATAAATTTGTTTACGTATTTATGTGTGTATATATGAATCTACTTCCAAACTTGAAGGTAACATCTGGCACATAATTTCAATCAATTGAAAATGGAGAGCAAGGCTTATATGACTATTTCTTCTATGTAATGGACATTTAAATATTTGCAGACTCTCATCTTCTCATCTTTGAGATCTCTTTTTTCCAGGCTTCACATCCCCAACTCTTTCAATTAATCATCAAAAACAGACTTTTCCCATTATGACCCTTTGAAAACTTACTCTGTGTATTACAGATTACTATCCTAAGTATGGACTATCCAAAGCAAAGTAAAATGGTAAATAGTGTTCCGAATTTTTCCTGTTGTTTTTTCTGTGGTTGTTTGGTCAGCCTCATTTTTTGTTTCTCTTAAATGCAGTTTTTTTTCCAATATCTGGAGTCCCACTGCTTCCCTAGCAGTACACCAGCTTTGTTTTAAGAACAGAGTGTGGCAGAGCCGTTCAGCAAACTCGGAAATAATTTCTTTATCTGGCTCAGGGGTCCCAGATCTCTAGTTTTATATAGAAAGGACCATCTGAAATAACTTTTCATGATTGCCCTCTTTTTCCCCATATGCTTTTAGGGAGGTAAATTTGTTTTAAAGTTTGTCTCAATTCTCCTGCCTAAAGGCCTACTGAACATTTTCTGAGACCCAAGGTAGCTATTCCCTTAGTCTCTCTCTCCATACGGTGATTCATCTCAACTTCCCCTCTGCATGTCGGGTTTCTTCTTCCTTGTGTGGGCCAGCTTTGTGTCTCCATGAATATGCCCACCCATCTTCTCTTAAGCATATACAGTGATCAGTTGCAGTCATACACTAAATCTGAGACGTGAATTTCAATATTAAGTAAAGATTTCTCAGAGAGAGGATTTGATTGCCCTACTAAATGTGGTTTAAGTTTACATGTGACATGTACAGAGCATTTCAAAGAGAAAGATGTCTACTTCAATGTTAAATAGCTCTTGGTTTTATCCCAGTGTTTCGGTCTGTGGTTACTCTTTTGTATTTTTCATTTTTTATTAAATTAAAATGCCATCAAATATTTAGGGCTTTTCATGCCTTTGAGATTTTTAAAAGAGTAAGTATCATTGGATTTGTTCTGATCTAGAATGTATGCTTTAGTTTGATTTCTAGGAAGTATTTTAATGAGTTCACTGGACTTTGACATGAGAATCTTTTAAATGGGATCATTATAAAAACTCACAAACCTGAATAAACTTAGGTTCTTAACTTTGCTTCTTATTCTCCATACAGATTTAGACAATTCATTGCTTGGAATTTGAAAATGTCAGACATTTCAAAGGATTTGTACCTGACATTTTCAAGGACAACAGAGTTCAACTTAAAAAAAAAATAAAAAAACATGCTGATCTGAAATAGCATCTGCCTTTAGAACAAGGGCGCTTAGTTGCACTTGATATTAGCCATTTGACCTTCCTAATATAAAGGGCAAGTTCTGTCATGTGGGGGAAGCTGTTTAATTGAGCAAACTATACCATATACCATATTTTTGTTCTCTTCTTTCTTCTCCTATTTTTTCCCGTGTGCATAATAAACCTATTTATGTGGCTGAGAAGACTCATGATCTAGTGTTAAACGTGGCTGTTTTCTATACCGCTTTGAATCTTGAGCGAAAAAAAAATGTCCTTATGGAGACAGTGCCATTAGAATCCCCTCGTATTTTTCTTATAGAGTAATATTTTTCTGATACTGACTAGTCATTAAGTGGAGTGGCAAGGAACTCCAATCATGACGGTTTGTCTGGGCTCTATTTGGTCTTCCATCTTTCTCCATCTTCTTTCTTGACCAATTTGAATACACCATTTATCAGACAGTTGACCTTTAAACTTTGTTTTATGGACACATAATAATTGTACATATTTATGTGATACAATGTGATGTTTTGATACACTATGTAAAAATCAAATCAGGGTTTTCAGCATATTATTCACCTCATACATGTGTCTTTGTTGCGATGAGAACATTAAAAATTCCCTTTTCTATTTTGAAATATATAATACAATGCAATTCCTATCAAAATACCAATGACATTCTTCCCAGAAATTTAAAAAAATCCTGAAATTTGTATGAAAACACAAAAGTCTCCAAATATTCCAAGAAATTCCAGGCAAAAAGAACAAACCTGGAGGCATTGCACTATCTGATTTCAAAATATACTGCAAAGCTATAGTAACCAAAACAGCATGGTATTGGCATAAAAACAGACGTATAGACCAATAGAATGGAGATCCCAGGAATTAATGCACATGTTTACAGCCTATTGATTTTTAACAGAGGTGTCAAGAACACACAATAGAGAAAGACCAGTCTCTTCAATAAATGGTACCTGGTTAACTTTGTATCCTTCAATTGTTTGAACTGGCCTTATGTGAAATGTACTGGTTTGAGACAGGTTATTCCCAAATACCT
Source organism: Homo sapiens (assembly GCF_000001405.40). Taxonomy (NCBI): domain Eukaryota; kingdom Metazoa; phylum Chordata; class Mammalia; order Primates; family Hominidae; genus Homo; species Homo sapiens. The sequence goes on along the minus strand of NC_000012.12, from coordinate 61,841,301 downwards.
TATTTTGAGGCAGGGGTGAGTAGAAGTCCCATTTTCACTGTTATTCAAGTTTTGAATGAAAGGAGAAAGACTTTGACATAATATAATACAGCTGTCCTGCCAGGGTTGTGCTCATTGTGATTGCACATTGTCCATGGTGGATATAGTGTTCATAGACTACATTTATACTGAGATTCACCTACTGGTACAAGCAGACCATTGTCCGGCCTCTTGCTAGTATTGCCTCCTGCTCCAGCAGGACACATGGATGAACATAGTGTCCTGTGTGTAGTAAAGACTCTATGTCTTTGATGAATTCATTTGAATAGGCTTTGTGCCAGTATTAGGTTTCTTTTACAACTGGGATCTTGACACTTTTATGTTGATGGTTGACCTTGCTTTACCTTGGTTTCAGGTACTGCTATAATTTTTGGCATCTAACTGTTGGTCTTGACTTTACTTAAATTCTAAATTTCCCTCATGACCCTCTTATTGGTCTCCCAAATATCTACCTGTCTACCACCATCCTCACTTTCCCACTGTGTTGAAGAGAAATTGAATTCAACCCCTCTAGAAAAGCAGCAGACCATTGTTTTCGTTGTTCCTTTAATAGGCTGGTCATGAAAACAGTAAACTCTTGATTTAACTGGAGGTCTTTAATATCCAGAGAGTGAAAGAGCTATATCTGAGATTTTTGGGCTGGCTCATTTATTCTGCCATCTCTCAAGCAGTTCCCTGGTTGAGACTATATTCCTAGAATCTGTGTGGCATATTGTCTATTCTCTGGTTGAAGAGTATATCATTGAAAATTAACATGTACATAAAATTAAAAGAAGATTTGTCAAGAAACAATGGAGGTGGATATTTAATATATAAGCTGCCTTATAACAAAAGTGAGTTTAAGAAGTTTTAAAATATAATAATTTGCTTCCTTGTGTCAGTCAAACTGACTGGTTGTGAAACATGCCAAATAAGATTATCACTGATTTATCACACTCTCGATATAAATATCCAGGCACAGTGAAATACAGAACTGAGGCACGTCAGGCACATAATATAAAAATAGACTTGAAGCATATTAAGTCAGAATTAACCTAAAAATGCCACTGCTTCCCACTTCATAATACACCAAGACACAACTCTACTCTATTAACTTGACTCCTGAAGCACTGGATTCAGTTTTGAATAACTGCCCCTCTAAAGACAGCAAGGACCTACTGCTCCAACCGTATCTCCTAGCCTTGGCCTTTTGTGGGCTCTCTGCTCCAGACATCCTGAGAAGCTGAGCTCCATGGACATTCCGTACACTCTCGTGGCTCCAGATCTTTGCATATGAGGCTCCTTCTGTCTGAAATCTTTTCCTCATGTCTATGTCAACTTTGCCTGGCTAATTTTTTCTCAGTATTCTTATATTGACTCTGATCCTTCTCTTATGCCTTATTTTTTTAATTTAAACTTTTATTTTAGGTTCAGGGGGTACATGTAGAGATTTTTTACTTGGGTATATTGCGTTTGGACTTCTAATGATCCCTTTGCCCAAGTAGTGAACATAGTACCTGATAGGTAGTTTTCAACTCTTTCATCCTTCCTTCCAGTGTTATTGTTCTTTGTGTCTGTGTGTACCAAATGTTTAGCTCCCATTTGTAAGTGAGAACATGCTGTATTTGGTTTTCTGTTTCTGCATTAATATGCCTAGAATAATGGCTTCTAGATGCACTCCTGTTCCTGCAAAGGACCTGATTTCATATTTTCAGGCTGCCTAGTATTCCATCGTGTGTATGTACCACATTTTCTTTATCCAATCCACTGTTGATGGGCACCTAGATTGATTCCCTGTCTTTGCTATCGTGAGTAGTGTTATGATAAACATGCAAGGGCATGTGTGTTTTTTCAGTAGAACAATGTATTATCCTTTGAGTATATGCCCAGTAATGGAATTGCTGGATCAAATGGTAGTTCTATTTTTAGTTCTTGGAGAACTCTCCAAATTGCTTTCTTCCTTCTTATGTAGCAACTGAGACATTTCTCCACTAGAGAAATAGCCTTCCTAATAGCCTGAGACTGGGTTGGATATTCCTTCTTTGTCTGCCCACTGAAAAACAAGTTCATCTGCATCTTTGCATCTCAGCACGTAGAGCATTGCTGTTTACATCTTTCTTGCCCATCTTCCTCACCAGACTGTAAGTTCCTGGAGAACAAAAAATTGTCTGCTTTAGTGTCCCAGAGGCATAGCCAAGTTTTAATATCTGAGAAAGCAAGTCTGAGGAAATACTCCACCGTTTGCGCACTTTCTATTCATGTCTAATAGTCCTGCATTATTTCTTTTTCCCCCTAAGGCAGGGTTTCTCAACCTTGGCACTATTGATATTTGGGGCCAGATAACTTTTTGTTGGAGGGAGATTTTGGTAGCATCCCTGGTTTCAACCAATTAGATGCCAGCAGCCACCTACTCTAGTTGTGAAAAACAAAAATTATTTGAAAATTATTGAAAAACATACCTTTTAATAACGTTTTCTGGAAAGTCAAATGTTTATTCTTTCTTCTGCTGCCCCTCACTCCACTCTACTTCTGCAAGACCTGGCATACAATAGGTGCTCAAAAATATTTGTCGAACTTTTAATAAATGCCTGGAAAGAGCACATTTTTCAATCATTGAGTTGCCTTTGTTTGTTTGTTTGCTTCTCTTTGTGCTTCAGTAGGATGAATATGAAAATTGCTCCTAGGCTAAATCCCAAATCCTGTACATGCGCAAAAGGCCCCACATGATCCTAGCTCTCCCTGCCTGACTACTTCATCTTGGATGATTTTTCTTTCCATCCCGAAGGATTCTTTCAGTGTCTTCTGTCTGCTTTTAGCCTTGACATACATTGTCTTCTCTGTCTGGAATGTGATTCTTCCCTTTTGCCTGCTTATGTGAGTAAGCATGCTTTGGGTTGAGAGTTACAGAAACTCATATTCAATTAGCTTTGGGAAAAGCGGGATTTATTGGAAGCAAATTCCAGTATTTCACATAACTGTATTAAGGGCAGGAGTGATCCAGGCCTTGGATCAACTGGAACAAGAACTGAAATGCTGCCTGGATTCCCCTTCTGTCTATGCCTTTATCTCCATGCCTCTCTGATATCAATTTTATTTTTTCCTCCTGCAATTTCCTTCCTCACATTCAGAGAACAGATCCATAGGAATGTGCAGAGTCTACTTCCTACATTGACTGTTCTACCACCAGAAAGGCATTGATTCTCTTCTCTTAGATTTAGTCCCCTAAAATGTCTCACCTTGGATCAAATGCCCATGCCCACATTAATCAACTCTGTCTGGGAGCTGAGTTCACATAAAATAGATGTGGCAGCATAGAATTTTCAATGAGTTCTGTGAGCCACACTGCCAACTCAAATGTCTATTCTACTGGCTCATTATTTCCCATCCTTCAGTGCTCAGCTCTAATATAATTTTCTTAAAGAACCCTAATTACAAGCTTTTGTAGCACTTTGCACTTCTTCATAATGCTTATTAAAATTATAATCACTTTTCATTGGTATAATTTGTTCGCCATCTCTTCCCCGCACTCCTACCCCACCCCCTGCTAGAATGTAAGTTTCAGGAACGCAGCAGCTATATTTCTCTTGTTCTGTGTGATCTTCAGCACTGAACACCAAGTCTCAGTAAGAGTGGGTATCTGATTAGTAATTATTGAAGAAGGCCTGAATGTATGGACCCAGTCACAAAATTTCAAACAGCAGTTCAGATATATAAGTGATATGTTTGAGATGAAGTTCAAAGATTCAAAATGATTTAATTTAAGGGAATATTAATAGATCTTATATAATACACATGCTGTCTACACCAAGGGCATGTCTGTCATATGTAAATACTGCCAATAAGATAGTTATATATTAGAAGTGCTTTTTACCTGTAGATTAAGAGTTATGATGTCTCTAAAGAACAACATTCATTTTTATTCTTGTAAGGAGAGGTGTTAAAGAGTGGAGAAGGAATCGCATATGGAAATAACAAAGGTGCACCACATAATTTTTGATTTTTACAAACTCAGAGAAAGAGCATAAAAGAAAAGAAAATAAAAACAAATAAATGTGGTTTTCATATAGAATTTTTGATTCTATTGCCATCAATACATTGCAATCCCCATCAAATTTGTTGGTTGTTATATAAGTCACAAGACATAGACAAGTTTAGAAAAGAAAGATATGGAGTGTTGGATCTGATTATATAAAAATAAAAATTAAAAACTTTCTGAAGTTTTAATGTGAAAATTAAAAAACTTTCTAAATTTTAATGTAAAAATTAAAAACTTTGGTCACTTAAAAAACATTATAAATAAAATTAAAATGGTAGAAATAGGCTTCAAAAGTATTTATGACAGATAATAAAATAATAGCCTTCATATGTTAAAAATCTTTTTCAAATCAATAAGGAATAAAGGTCAGCAGGGAATTCACAAAGAAATACAAATTCTCAATAAACATGTAAACACTGGTTCAATTTCACTATTAATTTCCTAAAAGTATATTATAACAATGATATATATGTATTTGTGTGTGTGTGTGTATATATATATATATATATATATATCAAATTGGCAACAATTCTAAATACTAAGTGCTAGCTATTTTATGGCAAAAAGAGATATATAATGCTTTCAAATAAGCTGTTTTGAACTGCTTTCAAAGAAGCAGTTTGGAACTATTTTATAAGAGCTTTGATTTTGTTAAGGAATAAGTTACTCAGTGTAATTGAGATTAGCAGTGATTAGTTAGTCCCCAGGTGGCTTTAAGAAGGAAATTGTAAAATTTAAAACACACACAAAATATATGAATTCACCCAACTGTTATGGAAGGCTAAGGCCTTTTGTCTGAGATGGGCCCTTTGAATAGAGTTTATAATGTATCCTCTAAATTTCCAAGTTGGGATTCAAGAATCTAAGACACTTGCAGAATAATCTGAATGCAGATTCTTTAGCAGATTCTTTACACTCACCATTTTAAAAATCTTTTATATTTTTTCACTCACATCTAACTCTTCAGAAATCTATTTTTAGTAACTTGTCTTTGTTGACTCTTACTCAAGCATTTCACATTCAAATAGCATCAGTTTTTATATAGTTAATTATGTGATCACAGTAACATGTACAACTGATATAAATAGGTTTGGGGGCACATAAAACTTTTTCTCGGTAACTACACAATTTAACCAGTAGGAGCAAGTAGTTAACCAACCAAGAGTATGTGGTGTTGGGGGAATCCATTAGTCTAAGGCTAGGACTGGAGGACATTAGATATTCCAGAATTGTATAATTGTAAGTTGATTAAGGGAACTTCTACTGTATTTACCATTATTTCCATACTTAAGATGATAAGGGCAATTGTGTAATTACTATATCCCCTGCTGAACTGAAGGCTGCTTAAGTGTGGGTGCTGTCTCTTATCCATGGCTGTATTTCCAGGGTTTAAAATAGAGTCTAACACAAAATAGGTACGAAACAAATATTTATTGAATGAAGGAAGGAACAAAATGTTTGCACCATTTTATTCAGTAATATTTTACTTTAGAAATCTACATGGGGAAAAATTCGACCTATGTATGTCCAAGATCTATGTTTAAGGATATTTACTCAAAGTTCTTTATGACAGTTTAAAAATAGCAATATGATTGTTCATTGAAGCAAAAATAGCAATCGATTTGTAATAGTAAAACTCATTACAACAATACAAAAAAATTAATCATGGTCATGTGTGGAAAAGTATTATAAAATCATTAAAAACCCTAGTCTTCCCAAATGTTAAAATTATCTTTTTCAAACTACCTATTGGGTACTACTATGTTCACTATCTGAGTGATGGGATCAGTGGCAGCCCAAACCTCAGCATCAGTTAATATACTCATGTAGCAAACCTGCAAATGCACCCCTTGAATCTAAAGTAAAAAAATAAGCCAGGCCCCCCAAAATATCTTTTTCAAAGAACATGGAAAGTGCTCAAAATTTGGTATTAATTTTTGTAAGTATAGTAAAAATTATCTATAGCATTATCCCAAATTTGAAAGTGAGTATCGTTATTTATATCTACATATATCAAATGCTGGAAAGAATAGCATTACTGTTAGCAGTAATCCTCTGGGTTGTGTATGATTTTTATTTTCTTGCCTCCAAATTTTATGTATTATTTTATAGTCAGAAGAAGAAAGGAAAGTTTAAAATCGAAATGTTTTTTTCCCCTCAGGCAATGAGTGGAAATTGATTAGCATTTAGTTAGAAGAGCAGAAAGCAGTCCAGACAGAGCAGCTGAGACAACAAAAGCAATTCTGGAGTATCATAGTCACAGAGGAAGAAAAATTAAGAAAATGACAGAAAAAAGAACATGTTCCAAGAATTAAGTTTGAAGTGACAAAAACCATGAAAGATATAAATTATATAATTTAAGGTAAAGAATAATTGGTGTGGCTTCAATAAGTTATGCAATATTATCAATTTTATCAAATAAGAAATGATATTAAAGATAAATGGTTGTCATTTAATCAAGAAAAATAATCCAGTCCAATAATAAAATCAACTGTTGATAGGATTCTAGCTAGATATGTCTTACAGTTTTTTTCCCACTTATTTTTATCTGCAAGGTTGTCACTGTTTGAAGTTATCTAATTAGGATAGTCTCCCATGAGTTGACATCTTTCCCAGGAAGGGACCTGGGAAAGCATGTGTTGACCCTTTAGCAAAACATTGTACAAAGTTTCATACACTAGGTCAGTACTCTGCTGTATGGAGACTTATAACCTGCAGGTGTTCTCTATTGGAAATGGAGCTGCAGACTGGCCTGAAGGAACTATCAGGCTTCCAGATTTCCCTCGGTAGAAGCCAAAGTCACTGGGTCAGGCTAAGTTCAATATTGTGAATCAGTGGAGTTATTCATAGCAGAAATAAGAGCCGATATGCAGGTAAGGAATCCAACAGCAAGTGGCAACAGCAGACAGCCTGATGCTATTGATCTTTCTGACTTCCTGCTTATGCGGCCAGATTTTTATTTCTCCTGAGTGGGAAGAAGTAGGAGATCCCTATAAGCTGAATGCATGTCCACAACTGGGCCCAAGAGCAAAACGGTGGAGATTGGGGCAGAAGCTATGTCTAAACTTTGTTGATTTATGGTGCTTGTGAGGATTAAGTGACCTAGTGTATATAAAAGCATTTAGATAAGTGCCTGGTACATGGAATAAACACAATGTAAGCAATAGTTGTTACTACTATTGTCATGGATCTTGAAGGAAAAGTAGAATTTTGATGGGATCAGGAGGTATAGTGATTCTATCCTTTGTTTAGAGACCAACCTTGGCTTGAACCATGCAGGAAATTTACTAATAATAGAGCATCTCCAGGCTCTATACCAGCTCTTGGAGTTGGGCTTGATTATGTGTGTTTTAAAACTCCCTAAATTATTCTGATGCACAGTCAGGTTTGAGATAATCAAATCTGGGGCTATAGATGGAGTACAAAAGCATAATGAAATGAAGGGAATGAGGATGTTTATGGCATCTTTGAATAGGGAATCACCCTTGTTTATCTGGGTGGGCAAGAGAGTTCTTATAGACAACAAAAGCAATTACTGAGGATTATAGTCACAGAGGAAGAAAAATTAAGAAAATGACAGAAAAACGATCATGTTCCAAGAATTAAATTTGAAGCAACTAGAACCATGATAGAAGTTACACGATTTAAGTTGAAGAATAATTAGTGTGGCTTAAATAAATTATATATTATCAATATTATTGAATAGAGAATAACAGAGAAATGGCTGTCATTTAATTAAGAAAAAATAAGAATCCAGTCAAATGATAAAATCAACTGAGAGAGCAAGAACTGAGAGTTCTTACACCATAGATGGAGATAAATTCATAAAGATAGTTTGGGGCTACTCTATAAGTGATCTTGGGGCTTTGTTAGTTGACTCTACTGACTAGGCCATAGATATTCATTGAAGATTGAATGGGGACAAAGAGTGATATGTTTGGACTCGAGAATCAGGAATATAAATTTGAATGTTTCTGGGGGAAGGAGGTGGGGAAAATAATGATGCTTTGTCTCACTTTAAATTCATGGTTCTGGTTCATGACATGTTATTTCCATTCATATTTCTTTGGCTTCATCTAGTGGAATAGTTTTTACCAAACTGAGAAGTGTATTTCTTATGGCCTAAAAGGAGAGGAGAACTGGAGAATCATATATATAATATATATATATTTATATATGTATATATATTTATTTATACATTATATATTTATAAATTTATATATTATATATATTTATATATTATATAATGTCTCCCACATCAGTCCCTACAATGACACATTGTAGATGCTCAACAAAGATGTATTGAGTGAATTGACGAATAAATCAAGTGATAATTTAAATCCTAGTATTGGATGAGCTGGTCAAGAGAGAATGGCAGGGAAGAGAGCTGAGGAAGTGATCTCTACAAACACCTTCTTTTAAGAGTTTGCTAGAGGAAATGAGAAATCCAATAAGGATTTTTACTTAAAAAAGATTATGATAGGAAGAGAATCATAAGTCCTATGTCATGAATGTAATATTTAGACAGAGTTTTAAAGAGTGCTTGCAAGGTTGAAGAGGATGAAACATGAGTCAAGGACACTGGATATGGCCAGCAGTAGGGCTGTTAATGTTCTGGTGTAACATTCCTGCATTACAAACCACCTTAAACTTAGTGGCAAAAGCACAACCATTTTATTATGTTAATGAATTATTTCAATCAGGAATTTGGACAAAGCCTAGTGGGGGTGGCTTGTTTGGGGTCTCAGCTGGGAACACTTTATTGGCTTGGAGTGACTTGAATGACTGCCTGGAATCATCTGAAGGTCGTTCACATGTCTAGTGCCTGGTCTGGCATAGCTTGAAGTCTGGGTTCAGCTGGGAGTATGGACCAGGGCACCTGCAAGTGATTTCTCTTCTGGCTTGGGTTCACCACAACGTGGTGGCAGGGTTGTTTCTTAGAGAAAGTGTCCAGAGGGAACATCTGGCAGGTGAGCTTTGCAAGGGAAGCAGGTAAACGTTGCATGGCCGTTCCTGATTTAGTCTAGGAAATCCATACAGTGCTATTCTGCGGCTTTATGGTGTTGGGTACAAGTGAGTTACTAAGGGCAGCACTGATCTAAGAAAGGGTAATTAGGCTTAAGGGGAGGAAAGTTAGTGTCTGTCTCTTGATTGAGTGGCAAGATCACATTGAAGAAGAGCAAGCGTGAAGGAAGATTTCATTGCTACCATCTTTGAAATTACAAGTTGCCATAATTGGTAAATTTTGATAAAATTATTTATATATTTTTCTTCAAGAAGTTTGATGACAAAAGAAAGAAAATAGATGGAATGAATTAGATTTAGAACGGAATATTTCAGACCGCTCATTTCCAAAGGGGATCATCACACACCGGGGCCTGTCGTGGGGTAGCGGGAGGGGAGAGGGATAGCATTAGGAGATATACCTAATGTAAACGATGAGTTAATGGGTGCAGCACACCAACATGGCACATGTATACATATGTAACAAACCTGCACGTTGTGCACATGTACCCTAGAACTTAAAGTGTAATAAAAAATAAAAAAAATTAAAAATTAAAACAAGCTAAAGAGTTTAATCGAAGAGTTTTAGTGACCTGCACAAGGCACACAATTTGGGGGAAAGCCAGTCTTCCAGAAAAACAGTATTTTTAATGCTTCACACTTTCTGTTGTTTCATTACAAAAGGCTGAAATTCCATAGGAGTGAGGTGATCTAGAACCCACTGTGCTTAGGGTAAAGGAGAAGAAAATTGGTGGATTCAGGGCCCTTTGTCTCTGCTTCAATCAAAGTAGCTTTGATTTGATCAGTTTTATATATTGGGGTTAGATATAGGATTTTATTTTAAGAAAGAATTTTACTACTCAAGAAGTTGAAAATAATAGAGTAAATGTTCTCAGAGTTTCCATCTCTTTCCAACTTTCCGTGTTTCTATTATTTTAATTTCCTGTATGGTCCATAAACTGTTAATGACAGCAATTTCAAAGATTAAAGGCATAGGCACCAAGGAAGAAGAAAGTGAAAATTACTCATTTTTGCAAATCTTTACATACCAAGCATTGAGCTAAGGTCCTTATATATGTGATCCAATTAAATCCTTACACTGCTGCAAAGTAGATGTTACTATCCATGACAGAAACTGAAGGCTCAAATAATTTAAATCATTTGTCTAGGGTGACCCACTAATTCAAAACTAAATTGTTAGTCTACAAAGACAATGTTCTGACAAAATGGAGTTCAAAAACTTTTAAAAGTAAAATCTAGAAAAAATATGTATTTATTGGAATTGATATGAATAAAATGCTTGTTTAGTTGTAAAAATTCTGATATGTTTGGTAAAGTTTCACTAAATACATATTTGGCCCGCTGTTAAAAAAAATATTCAGCTGAACCAAGGCCGAAGTGAAATATCTTCATCGTAGAATTAAATTCTGAGGTATGGGAATGAATCTAAAATTTGATAAGATTTTTAGTTAATATTAAATTTCATTATTACAATATCAAGTACTCAAAGTTTATTTTATTTTATTGGTATAAATTTAAGTGGCAAGAAGCCCATAAGTCTGGGCATTTAGTGCAACCATCACTCGAATAGTATACATTGTATTCATTAAGTAATTTCTCATCTCCCATTCCCCCATCTCATTCCCATTTTTCTGAGTCTCCCATGACTATTATTTCCCCTCTATGCCCATGTGTACACGTTATTTAGCTTCCACTTATAAGTCAGAACATGTGGTTTTGGTGTTTCTGTGTGAGTTATTTCACTTAAGATAATGGCCTCCAGTTATATCCTTATTGCTGCAAAAGACATGATTTTATTCTTTTTATGGCAGACTAGTATTCCATTGTGTGTGTATCATACATATATGTATATATGTATGTATATGTATATATATGTGTGTATGTATACATATATATAGCATTTATAACATTTATTGATATATGATATAAAAGATATGGAATAAACCTGTGTTGATCAGTGGATGACTAGATACATAAAATGTTATATATACATATATAATATATACATATACATATACATACCATATACATATATATATAGCATTTATCCAATCATTCATTGGATCCATTGGATCATAACATTTATCCAATCATCCAGTCAACCATTGGTAGATACAGGTGGGTTCCATATCTTTGCTATTATGAGTAGTGCTGTGATAAATATACCAGTACAAGTATTTTTTTATACAAAGTTTACATTGTTGACATTATAGCACAGGAACAATAACTTCTCTGCATTCTTATTGTCTACAATGTTCTTGAAGACATGCTATTGCATTGTTTGTGATATAAAATAATTGCTTACTGTCCACTAAATAGATGGAGGAGGGAGATATTTTGAGGTAGGACATTTTTCTCTTAAGGCTTCTTTTTGTACTTTGTGTTCTTTATATTTAGGCTAAAGATGATTTGAAATAAAGATTTTTAAATCTTATCAATGCTTATAAAGTAAATAATCCTACAGAGATTAGCATTATGACATTACTTCTATTATTCTAACTTAATTACTATTTATATTTTATAAATATTTTTGGCACAAAAGATAAAGATATTTTAAAAATTTATCTAGCTGATATGTTTTTTCTTGATATTTATTAAATTCATATGCTGTCATATATTTAACTTTTTGGCTGTTTTAAATCATTTTCTGATGTGAAATTAACACCTTTCACTATTAAATATAAATTATTGTGGCATTTTACTCTTAGAAAAGTAAATTTGCATTAGTGAAAAATAATTGTTCAATATATAAAGTATATAAGATTTTCTCCAAGTTACCTATTCATGTATTAACAATTGATGCAAGTGATTTGCTGTTTTTATTTTATTTTTGTTCATATTGTGATAAGAAATGATGATAATCTATCCATTACATGATCATTAATCATATACGAGTTCAATAATGCCTGATACGGCATTAAAATAGAATTTTAACTGTTCAAGCTTCTCAAATCCATGGCTAACACTCAAACCTAAAAGCAGATTTAGGCTTAAAATCAAGGTTGGAGCCAAACTTCAGTGCAGTACTATAAAATATCTACCTTCTTATATTCTTATAAGTGTCCAATAGACAGCTCAGGAGCCAAATGTGTCCTGAGACTTTTGTAGTTTTAAATATAATTACTTAATACTCACAAATATCTTACTAATGTGACATTTAAATAAATTCAATTTGAAATTATAATTGGGAAAATAAACTAGAACATTATTAATTTATTCAAGAATATATTGGTATTCAGGTCATACTGTCTATGTGGAGTCATCAGATGGCTATTCAAAAGTTTACATATTACTCAGAGCTCAGTGGAATCACTGCTAATTCTCTAATTAAAGTTTTAAAATTTAATGCTGAAAGCTACTGTTGGTGAAGGCCAAGAGATTTGATTAAAATCAATTTGATTCGTTAAATTTATTGAATGCAGCTCTAAAAAATTCTTGAACTATGTATTTGGTGACTTCATGAAAAGATAGTAAATGATCTGATTAAAAGCAACTTGATAACAAATGTATTGGTCAAGATAACAGTTTGATTCAAAAATTGGTCAAAAATAATGTAAATAAATTTTTTCTCCCAAATATTGGTAATCTTGGTAAAACCATATTTCATTTTATAGTCCATCAGTTACTAATGCCAAGTGTATTACTGTGTACACTTAGAAAGTTGGCCCTACTATACATTCTCCCATTTTCATAGGTTCATATTATTTTTAAAATTCAAATAGACCACACTTTATTACCATGACTAATGAGTATTTAATGTGGCCTACACACATGTGGATTTATGACCATGTGTTGAGGCAACAATTATTGATTAGGAAATGGAATCTGAAGAAAGACTAAATGGGCATTTTAGTTATAGAATTCTTTTGTTTTACGATTCTTGAATTTGTAACAAAACAGCAAGTAACAAAATGGTCGTTTTGGTCATCAGAAAATAATTGACTTTATTTCAGTGATATTTGCTGTGTTATCAGATTATTGAGTTAAAGAAAAATGTATTCAATTTCCTCCTTCCTCTCTCACATGTAGAATACATGATACACTAAAAAGGATTGATCAAATGCTGCTGAAGGGAAATTGAAATGTTAGGTAGGCTGAGTACACAGGTTGTTTAAAATGAGATCATTGAACTTTCTGTTGCCATTACTAACCTGGTAAATAAAACAATGCATTGTGGCAAATGTTACTGAGGTCAAAAACATTCTCACATTTAATAGAAATAATTAATATCCATCTTCATTAATGTCTTTATTTTTAAAAGTGAGAAGTAGATGAAATGGATCATCTTTTGAAGTAGTGACTTCTGTTATTGGAAGGCATTCAAGCAAGGACTAAAGAGTCATTTTTTGAACACATGGAGGATTTATGCACTATCTAGAAATTCAAACTTCCCCAAAGAATGTTCCACAGAGCAGTAGTTACAAAGTAGGTTAATCTATACTGTTTTAAAAATGTTTCTATGGTCTATTGATAGGAAAATAAAATGTTAAATATTTCCCTCTATTTTAGGACTATTCATATATTTATATGCTAATATGCATTGTGACTCTTCACGAAGAGAATGAATTTTAGCTGTTTTCTAAACATGTTTTACTTTATTGCCATTTATTTATATCTCCTTTATTCATGACTACTGATGACTACTGCTTATTCAGTTAAATACACATCAGGGAACGCCAGACTAAATGTTACAAAAAACCCTTTTCCGGCTCTGAGATGATTTGAATATAATGCATCTTTTCAAAGTAGAACTAAAAATTTGAAAGGAAGATAAAATTAAAATGATATCTAGGAACAAGTAATGGTAGAGAACCTCCTGTTTCCTCAGTAATATACACTAGCTTTTTGGAATCACATGGCTATAAGTTCAGCAACATGACTTAAGATCCAAAGTAATACTTCTTTAAACAAGACAGAAGGTTATTGCTTTCTCATAAAATTCTAGAATGATACTAGTGCTCTGCTGCAAGAATTCAAGTGTGAAGAATTCTCTCTTGTTGCTCAAGCCCCTTAGTGTGATCTCCTCATCTCCATCATCCCAGATGGCAAAAATGCAGGGGAAGGAGAAGGTAAACTGCTTCCTTTTAAGGGCACAACCCACATCAGACTTCTATTGGCATCACTTTGACCAAAACTGAATCATATATCTACCTGCAATTGCAAAGGAATGGGCTTGGTGTATTGTAAGTGGTTATATGCCCAGCTAAAGATTGGGAAGTTCTATTATTATAGAAGGAGGGCATGCATAGTAGAGAACAACCTGCAGTCCTTGCTGTATAGGTCATTTTGTCAGTGTAATTTTTTTCTGATATTTGTAATGAAATATTGCCTCTAGAAATTAAAGCAGTATTTCTTTACTGATCTTCTGTCATTTTCTTACATATATATCATAAAACCCAAGAAAAAAGTACAAAATGTTAATAGTAGCTCTAAATGAGAGAAAGTGAGAGAGAGAGAGAGAGAGACAGAGTTCAGAGAGTATGAATAAATGAGAGGAACACAGGCTGGGCCATGCATAATGCATCTTGCTGTGAGTCAAATCTGAGGATTACACTTTGCATTTAAGGTGAGATACTCTGGTCACTGGGAAATTAGTATCTCCTGAGCCAAAAAGCCCATATGACACATTGGCATTCAAATATTCATAAATTATTTGCTTTGTGGTGGTATTAACACTTTATATTTTTGAATGACATAGATTCTAAGCTGATAACTGTTCCCCAATTTTCTTTTATTTCAACAGTTTTTGTCATTCTGCATTTCTCAGATTTCATGTTTCTTTTAAGCATTTATTAAGCAATCACTTTGCCAGCTATTTTACATCAATTTTCTCACATATAGAATTTCAAATTTACAAATACACACACACACACACACACACACAGATGAACTAATTAGAAGTTTTGAACATCCTCTCTGCATAGAACTTTGTTAAATGCTCTGGAAATATTTTTTTAAAGGGTAGTACTGTCAGGTTGTGTGCTACACGTACTCTGAAAATGGAAACTGCAGAAAACAAGAAAATTTTCTAAAACAAAAGCAAATTATAGGACTAGTGGGCATGGTGTTATGTGCTTGTTGGCAGCTCACACTCATCATCAGAAATAACTCACTTTTCATAACTGAAAACATAGGTGTTATAATCCTGCTTCTAGTTGTCATTGCTTCAACTCAGGGTACTGTATTAAGAAATGGAAAGTATGTCAGAAAATTGCTCAAAGGATATATATAAAATAACTTTTGATTTTTTTGAACTTTCATCAGTTGTTTCATTCATCACAGTTTTGGTTATGTTCCATTTTTACAGATCCAATGACTTAAATAGGGATAGGAGGTCTTTTTTATTCCATTAATTTTCCCTAAGAGAAAAGAGATGTGCTATATTCAAAGGGGCATGTGTGCCAAAAATAATGAAATTATATTTAAAATTTGTGCTTTATCTTTTTCTATGGCGTCTTTCAAAAAACATTTCTTTTCACATTTTGAAAATACTTAGACTAGAGCTCCTCTTTTGACTTGTAGTAAGACGGTGCTGCACCCTGAAAAGCATTAGAAACACCCATCTCCCTTTAATTTTTCTTAGGTTGTCATTCAAGATCCTTGTTGCTTTGTCGTTTGACTCCATTTTTTCTACTAACCTACTTTTTTACCCATCATAAACCCAACACTCATCTGAAAGTGCAGTTTTAGCGGTTTCCTTATTGCCAAATATTCTTGATCTTATTGCCCTTACCTTTCTCCTCCTCAAATACCCTGTTTCACTAGCCCTTTAAATCCAATGTGTATCACACCCAGCTATTTTCTCCCCACAAACCAATACTGCCTCTTAACCCTCCTAATGTTGTTAATGATAATTCTATTCCCTTTAATCCAGGTTTTAAACTTCAAAGTCGTTTCTGTTTCTCTCTATCAACTGTCTCACACAATCAGTTGCTGTGCTTATTCTAGGGTCCACATCCGCAGTGTCTTCATTTTCTGTTTGGATCCTCCTTTCCATTCCAGCCTAGTTCAGGCCCTCATTATTTTTTAATTGACACTATGTTCTGTACTTTTGCTTTTTCCAATAAACCATGATGGCTTTCAAGCCCAAATCACTTGTTCTCTGAATATGCCCATCATTCTTACCTTTAAGTTTCTCCAATAAAATATTCTCCTCCATGTATCTGGTTATTGAGATATTACCCATCCATAAGAGTCAATATTATTCCCATGGGAATTTATCTGAAACCATTTAATACAAACATCATAGATGGGCTCATATAGGCAATTTCACTTTGATGCATTGCATTTATTTTCTTCTGTTCTGAAACTGTGATCCTTTAAGACATACAGTATTACAAACAATTTAAACTCTTGCATTGACAACACATTCACAAAACTTAGTGCGACAAAGTTATAATTTTTCTTGGGGCAGTAACCATGTCTTATTTATCTCTGAATCCCCCAGAGCACTTTCTGCAGTTTTTATAAAACAGGAGTACATCAAATATATAGTGAATAAATAAATGAATTTAAGACTTCTTACTATAAGTATTGGTAAACTCTAGATGCAAGGAATGGCCAAAGAACCAGCCAGTTTCTTTTAGCATAAATTCTTTATTCATTATCTAAGATGTGCTTTATTTCAGTATTCTGAGACAATAAAACATTATGACTTTTTTTGGAAATAAAATAGATATATCTACAATTATTTTGCTAAAGGAGATAAAAATGGGTCAGTATGATTTTTACTGCCTAAGTGTATGGCACTAATACATACTCTATACAAAATGTGGGAATGAAGAGACCAACATTACCTTCACAGCTATATTAGTTACCTATTGCCATATAGCAACTTACCATAATTTTAGCAGCTTAAACAACACACATTTATTATCTCATGGTTTCTGTGGGTCAGGAGTCCAGGTATGGCATTGCTGGATTCAATGCTTCAGGGTCTTACCAGTCTGCAACTCACATGTTGGCTGGGTCTGCAGTCTCATCAGAGGCTCAACTGGGTAAGAATTTGTTTCTAAGCTCATTCATGTTATTGGCAGAATTTATTTCCTTGAAGTGGTAGGACTGAGATTTCTCTCAGCTCCTGGAGGTTACTATCAGTTCCTGTAGTGTCCATTTCTACTTGCTTCGTCACAGCTGACAAGGGAGAATCTAAAGCTAGTTTGTTAGCAAGACAGTATTATATAACATAGCATGAATTGTGAAGTGACATCCTGTCACTTTTGCTGTTTTCTGCTGACTATTATCAAATCACCGGTCTCACACTCACACTCAAAAAGAGGGCATTCTATAAGACTATAGACACCAGGTGTTGGTGTTGGGTATCTTAGGGGCTTACCTAAAGTCTCCCCACAAAGACTTTTGGTGTGTGGTTCCTATTTGATCATGCGTGAGTCTTATCTCAGATTCTGGTGTGAGTATTATTCTATGGGCACTCTCCTCCCATTTTCCTTAAACATTCATGTCTGAATTCTCACTGATAGGATATAGACATTAAAGAACATGGTGGGTTTGGAGGGGGAAGGAAGGCTACATTTATTTGCTGGTTGTTTCAAGGGCTGAAACTATGGCAGAGTTCATACTAAGATTCCTAACAAGGAGTTACACCAATGCAGAATGCGATGACCAGGACAGGACCTGGCCTGCTATGTGGTACAACTACTTATTTTACTGATTTGCAAACAGCAATGCCGAGACGGAGTAACTTGCCCAGGATTGAAGGGGTATTTGTGGCCTACCTGGAGACCCTGAGCTCTTAGCAAAGTTAATGGGTGCCTGTAATTTATTCAGCTAAATATAGTATACTGACATTGGCTTTGATCCAAAGATGCAGGTTTTGGAATTTTTTTTTACAACATTTAAAATTGATATCACAGAGTAAACGTTAGGGCTGGGTGCGGTGGCTCGTGGCTGTAATTCCAGCATTTTGGGAGGCCAAGGTGGGAGGACTGCTTGAGGCCAGGAGTTTCAGGCTGCAGTGAGCTATGATCATGCCACTGCACTCCAGCCTGGACAACAGAGTGAGACCCTATTTCAAAAAAAAGAAAACAGAAACAGAGTAAATTATAATGATATTTTACTTATTTTGGTGTATGAAGAATAAAACTAAAAGATTCTTTTAAAAAGTTTCTAAATGAGATTTTTTAATGTATATGCTAGCCATTAATTTATTTATAGAGAATAAAAAAATAACTAAAAGAGTATTTCCTATGTTTGATAAAACTCTGTAGAGAATGCATATGGAATGAATGAGCAGTCAAAATAATCAATCATGAAGACATGAAACACTTTTAAAATAAACCTTGGCTAGAGGCTTGACTCTTTTTCCTTTCCTGGTTGAGGTCTACTTCTTAAAGAATATGTTAGTATTTCTTTCAACATGAATCACTCATTCATTTACTTATTTACATATTGATACATGTGATATTATGCATATACTGTATATTAGACAGTATGCTGGCACCAAAAATACAAAAGTCAAGGCTTAGTTTTAAGTATTTCCTAGTCTCTGGAAAGCAGGAAACATAAACAAAAACCATCATATTATGTTCTAGGAGCATGGTTATATAAACTAACTCTGGAACAAATCCATGGGAAAAAAATAATTCCTGTGTCTGAAGAGATGGGGACACCTTCAGAGGAAGTGACATTTAACACCAGGAAGGTGCACAGTGAATGAACATTTTCTCTACTTACTGTTTTCTTAGTTTGGTAGCAATTTTACTTTCTATGCATTTTGATACTTCACAGTTGCGTTTCTATTCTGACAGAATATTTAGGTGATTTTGAACTTTTAGTAGATTGGAATAGGAGCAGGACTGAAAGCAACATCATTTGTTTCCTTTACTACTGGATACTGCTCCAAATTTTATGCTATTTAAAATGTCATAGAAAATGGACATATGCATTGATGAGTGTCAAAATAGATGATTTATTTTGAACCTGCGGTGCTCAGGTTACAAGATTTAGACGTGAGAGAACTACTTCTCAATATTTTGAATTCATGTTCTTTCATCTTCAGTGAAGAGAAAAATGAGTATTTTTTAACCTATAGTAGCCACAGATTGAATTAGTACATAAATTAATTGTATCTTTTAATGTAAATGAACCCTTCAGAATCAATGAGAAAAATAACATTTGCAAAATATATTCAAAAATAGACTTTCCATGATGCCTATCATAACATTTCTTGCATTTCTGGCTTTATATTATAATTGGTTTTCTGTCTTAGCTCATATTTAAATTAATTAATTCAATACTTAAACTGTAATTATCTAAAAAGTGGGGCTAATTATTTCAGTTTACTCCAGAAGTAGATTGTAAAACTCAAAGGTGATAATGCCTAGGAAAATGACTTATAAACTAAAAACTCTACAGGAATAAAATGCATTTAAAATTTGGCAAACTGTCTGAAGCATTCTCATTTCTTAAGTTTTTGGAACAAGTTTTGAGGCACAGCAGAAATTTTTTAAAAACATTTTTCTGTAAACTTAAATTCCATAAAGTCAATTATACATTGTTACAATTAATGTTCTCTTGAAGATGTGCTGGATAGAGGATAAATATGTTTTTATTAGAGTTCTTACTTGCAAATTCATGTTAATATGAGTCATAGTCCAAATGATGCAGAGACAGTTTCCTAGGACAGCTCTGAAATAGCTCTTGTTTCTAAGGGTCTGTCTGTCTCTTTACCACTTCCTCCCTCTCTTCCTTCCCTGCTTATTTTCTTTTTCCCTTTTTTGCTTGCAATCCAGTTTATTAAAAGATAACACTCAGTAGGCTGTCTAAAGATGAAAACTCCTACTTAGGTTCTGGAAGAGAACTTTTATTTAATTGTAGGTGTGTCTTGGTTTTCTAACCTCTTCCTAGATTAGCTATGAAAAGGAACCAATAAAAATAGATGCCATGTGGTAAAAATGTGAGAATTTTCAAATCATTAACCTATATTACAAATACTTAATCATCAGTATGAAGTATTTTACCTTTTAACTAGAGGAAGTAAGTTATGTACAGCAATTAGTGTAGATGGTAATAAGATGTTTCAGCACCCTCCAAATAATTGTGTGTGTGTGTGTGTGTGTGTGTGTGTGTGTGTGTACCCCTATCAAATGAAGTGTCAACACTATAGGTAGGTAGTTTTTAGAAAAGAGTAAAAAGGAGCTAATTATTGAATGAATGCCTAATGTGTGCAAACAAGAAAAAAAGCTTCCACTCCCACCAACAATTAGGGAAGGTACAGACATCCTCTCAAAGTTTGGTGAATAAATACATCTGTCCATTGATTATGGATACACCTGTCCAATGTAATCAAATATTTTCAAAACAAAGAATAAGAATCTCCATATACTTATTTCTTTGTTAAAACAATTGTATAGAACATTAGTGTTAGAATTGCAGTTTATCTAGTCACACTTCTTCATTTAACATATGAAATCCTAAGAGGTCAGGTGAGTTTTACAGTATTCTAGCTGGGGAAAAAAGCTTGTACTGAAATTCATATCCTTTTTCCAGTAGAGTTCTTTTCACTTTGTTTTTTCATTTATTTATCCAGTCATCAAATACTCAATGAGTGCCTTGTTTAGCAGGGCTGAAACAAAAGGTAGTATAATTAAGATCGAATTATCTTTTTTTATTTCTTTTTTTCCTCTTCCTTCCTTTTTTTCCTTCCTTTCTTTCTCCTTCCTTTCTTTCTCCTCCTTCTCTTCTTTTTATATTCCTTACTCTGAGAGATATTATTCTGAATATTGGGAATTCCTAAAAAGAGAGTGAGGCAGATAGATAGTTACATACGTACCACACTATTACTGCTTATTAGAGTTAAGTAAAAATCAGAGAGGACATGAATGTAGACATTGTAGTGAACATCAACTTATATTTACCACATTATTTTGGATATGTTGAGACAGATTTAGGGTTGGAACACAATACAATGTTAATTATTGTTTTCCTGTTATTTCAACTACCTCTCCCTTCCATCCCCACACCACCATTTTATAAACTTGTCTTGTTAATGTAAATGACATAGATTCACCATCACTACATCACCATTGATCTATAATGTCATGAAATCTTTGATGTACTGAGGAGTATTGGTAACTGTTGGGGTGGGACAAACTGATGTAAATGCAGTTTTCTTTAAGAATTCACAATGACTATAAAGACTTGTGGAAACATATTAAAAAATGTTTCTGGATAAGGTAGAGTGGCTCCTTTCAAGATCAGCTAAACGTTTAACAAAATTTAGAGACTAAAATTTCATTATTATTCTACAAACTTGTCCATGGATTTTGAAAAGAAAAATAACAATGACTTTGGAACTTAAAACTGTTGAGGGGAGAGTTTTTCTCCCCAGATGTTGGTAAATTTATGAAATTAATAAAATTGCATGGGAATGGGCACTGAAAAATGCCTTCCAGGACATTTGTCATATTCTCAGTATCAATTCATGAAATGGAAACCAGAAGTTGTTTCTGTAGTCATTATGTAATAGATAGTAAACATGCATTTTTGGCAAATGAATAGTTAGCAAATTAGGCATCTGGATGCAGTGGAATTTTGGATTCTTAATTGCATAATTCACCCTTGAACACCTGCCAGAGGAAAAACGAGCAAAGATAATATAGAATCTGAGGAAAAATATAAGCTGATAAATAGGGAATGATAATGCAGTATCTAACAAGTTTTTGACTTCACATCCTAGCCTGTTTTCCACAATTAATACTATTTCTGTAATTATCCAGAGATATTTAGATTTGCATAAGAGGTATTCTAAGGATATGGAATTCAGCTGATTATAAGATATTACATTTGCTTATCTTCACATTTTATCATTGGAAAGACTTTTTAAAAGTGAGAAATTCAGTGCATGCTATGAACTGCTTTGGATATGATTATAGGAATTAAAAATACATTCTTTGAAGTAATGCTGTTTCTGGGTAGTCACGATTTTTATAGTACATTTAGAAGTAAGTATCAGATTTTGAAAACATTTAACTATCAATTTATCAATGCTACCTTCTCTGTTTCTCTCTTTAAGTCAAATTATTATTTCTTAGTGCTCTACACAAACCTACTCCATCCTATTGTTCTATTTTTACTAGACAAGTAAATATAAACATCAACAGTAGGTGATATATACTAAACATATTCACAATAAAATATGGAAGGGAATCTAATTAATCAGTAATAATGGCTGGATGGGGACTAGGTTAGGAAGTCATGATCGGGTCTAGAGGTAATGTGCAACAATGGAAGAAGCAAGTGTTTGAATCGCCTTACAGCCTTTTATAAAATATGGAAATTTAAGTTTTACTCTCTGAGTCTCAGTCTTTTCATTGGTAGCCATAAGCATAATAGCATTATTGTAGGGAATTAAATGAATTAAACTGCTTATGGGCATTTCAATAAAATAAAAGTTGACATACAACAAAATTATAGCTTCCTTGCTACTCAGTCTCTCACTATACAAGCATTTTGAATAGAGTCTTTGGATATTAAAGTTAGAATGCAGCTTATTAAGACTATCATGTGTTCCTTTGGGTTTTGTGAGTTGGAACTATCTCAGGGACCCCAGTAAGGAAGAGTGATGCTGCATCACGTGGGAGAGCTCCAGAGTTCCATTACCACCTGCCTCAGAGTGGTGCTCCATTGGAGGGCTTTGCTCTATACATGGGTATACAATAGCACTTGAAGGATCCTAGTGTGTGTGTGTGTGTGTGTGTGTGTGTGTGTGTGTATTTTTTTGAGACAGGGTCTCGATCTGTCACCTAGGCTGTAGGGAATCTCAGTATTTAACAAAAGTTTAAAATCCACTAATTGTAGTCCATTTCATCCCAATTTTACTGATGAGAAGATTGAGGACCTGAGAAGTTATGTTACTTATCCCAAGCAAATAATTATTGTGGCACATTTACCTATTCAGTGTAGGTTAAAAAAAATAAGCACTGAAGTGAACAATTTTTATAGAATGGGGTTTGACAGATTCTATTTGATAAAGAAAAAGACAGACGTGACAATATAGAACAGACAGAATGAGTTGAAGATTTAATGAAGAGTAAGGAGGGTAAAGAGAAAGTCGAGGCTTTAGAAAAATGATCCAAGTCGATCAGCTGAAAGTCCCAATAGAGGGAGATGTGGATTCTGTTCTCCCGGTGAGGATGGCAGGCATCCTGCTCTGAATTATGAGGAGGAATGATACAGCTGATGTTGGACACTGGGGAGAGTCTGCTTTGGCTAGTTGGCAGCCTTGGGTGTTGCTGAAGGATGATGGAAGCAAGGAGTGAAGGTAACTGAATAGCAGAGGCTCCCTAGAGCCATCCCTGTGATTTAAAGTTTCTGAGAATGAGGTTTGGAGCACTTGGGGAAAAAAAATGCCTGAAGGTAGGTAGAGGTTGGTTGAGGAGACCACTGAATTGTGTCAATATGTCATTTTGAGGTAGCTGATTTATGTTTATTTTGGCCATTTTTACATATCACTGTTATTGCTTTTTGCTAAAATTCACTCATTGTGGCCTTTTTATGGCTGCTCTGTGCAGCACTAATCTGCATCAGAATTGGGAAGAGATATGGCATCTGTCTTTAAGACCCAGGGCGTACCTAGCTGCCACTTAACACAAAAAGAACCTCTTTAAAACACTAACTTTAAGATAACCTTTGGAGTTGAAAAAATAAAAAGCTCTCTCTTGGGAGAAAAAATTCTTGTCTAGGAATTGATCATGTATGTGTAAGATTTCCAGTAAGTCAAAGCCATATAAGTTCCTTATCATATAGTCTATATCTCTATGGCATATTTTGACACTTAAATATTATCCTAATAATAATTAGGATGTATTATTTTAATATGTATTAGTTTCACTATAATAATAATAACTATGATTATTATTCTTTTTGCTTTGTGACAGACTAGGCCTTGTCACATGAAGGTAGGTTAGGAAAATATGTTTATTTTTATTTACAGATTAGGAAATAAATACATAGAAGTTAAGTTACTTGTGAAGATTCCCCATCTGATTACACACAAGGGTAGGTTTAACAATCTTGTCTTCTTAATATAAGCCCACTTTCCAGTCACTATATCAGGATGTCCTCATGTAGCATATAAGATAGCAGTACATGTCATGCTGCTTCATATATTGCCATCTCAATTACTGTGCTTATGTGTAGTCTCTTCAAATAGACTGCGAGCTATGGAAGTAGCAACAAAATTCTTTTATTTCTTTTGGGCTTCCAACCTGGTAGACAGTAAATACTTATTATTTACTTACAATTTCTCAAAGGCATACTATTACAATATATATAATAATCTGGCTGTCTTAGTGCCAGACCCTATGCATACAAAAAAAGTTAGACAATATCTTTGTCCTCCAAGTGTTCAGTCAGATGTGAGAAGGACAATAAATCCAGCAATAAGTATGGCTGCCTCCTTGTCATTCAAGTCTCAGCTTAAATACCTCCTCAATAAAGACTTCTCTGACTCCCAGTCTAAGGATGCTTCTTTACCCTAAACTCTAATACATCTTGTCAATTTCTGAAAAATAACTTATCCCAATGCTCTACTTAAAATAGCCCTAGGAACGCTTAAATACTGTTGGTGGGAGTGTAAATTAGTTCAACCATTGTTGAAAGCAGTATGGTGATGCCTCAAAGAGCTGAAAGCAGAACTACCATTTGACCCAGCAATTCCATTACTGGGTATATACTCAGGGGAATATAAATTATTCTACAATAAAGACACATGCATGCAAATGTTCATTGCAGCACTATTCAAAACAGCAAAGACATGGAATCAACCTAAATGCCCATCAATGACAGCTGGATAAAGAAAATGTGGTACATATACACCATGGAATACTATGCAGCCATAAAAAGAAAAAGATCATGTCTTTTGCAGGAACATGGATGGAGCTGGAGTCTATTATCCTTAGCAAACTAGCACAGGAACAGAAAACCAAATATTGCATGTTTCCACTTACAAGTGGGAGCTAATGATGAGAACTCATGAATACAAAGAAGGGAGCAACAGACACTGGGGTCTACTTGATGGTGGAGGGTGAGAGGAGGGAGAGGAGCAGGAAAAGACAACTATTGGGAACTAGGTTTAATACCTGAGTATGAAATAATCTGTACAACAAACCCCCATGACATGAGTTTACCTATGTATCAGATGTTCACATGCACCCTCAAGCCTAAAAGTTTAAAAATAAAATTAATAAAATAGCTCTGAGACCCACACCATCTTTTTTTTATTTTCCCTATAGTGCTTCTCCCTTCCTATATTATAATTTATCCCCTTGGTTTATTATCTATCTCCTTCCACTAGAATAGAAGCTCCATGAGAACAGCGACAATTTTGTCTTGTTCACTGTTGTATGCCCAGCTTTTAGAAAAGCAGATGCACAATAAACATTTAGTGCATAGAGAAAAAATTTTATCTAGCCTCTAGCTGTAAATGCCATCTAAATACTGCGATTCTCAAATTCTGTCTCTCAAATTCATGTCTCCAACTCTTACCTTTATATTGAGCCCCCAATAAATAGATTCAATTGCCTACTTTTTTTTTTTTTTTAGACGGAGTCTTGCTCTGTCTCCCAGGCTGGAGTGCAGTGGCACGATCTCGGCTCACTGCAAGCTCCACCTCCTGGGTTCACGCCATTCTCCCGCCTCAGCCTCCCGAGTAGCTGAGACTACAGGTGCCCACCACCATGCCCAGCTAATTTTTTGTATTTTTAGTAGAGACGGGGTTTCACCATTCACAGGATGGTCTCGATCACCTGACCTCGTGATCCGCCCAGCTCGGCCTCCCAAAGTGCTGGGATTACAGGCGTGAGCCACCACGCCCAGCCTCAATTGCCTACTTTTTATTTCCTTTTGAATGTCTAATAGGCATCTGAAACTTAACACTTTCAAAACATAATTCTTGATTTTCTTTTTTCCTCCCATGCCAAACTGGTTTACTCTACAATCTACCCAGTTTAATAAATGTTTTCATTATCTACCTACCTGTTCAAGTTAAAATTTATAGATCCAATCCAATGCCTATCTTCCTAGAAAATATATAGTAGATATATGTCCTCCTCTCTACTATTTCTGCCATGACTACTCTACTCCATGAAATAGTAACATATTTCACCTGAATTACTTAATGCAAAACTCTTCTGTATTTTCTATTGCTGCTGTAACAAATTACCACACACTAGGTGACTTAGAACAACACAAGTTAATTATCTTACATTTCTGAAGGTCAGAGATTCAAAATGAATTGGGCTGCAATCAAGATGTTAGCAGGGCTTTGTTCCTTCTGGAGGCTCTAGGGAAAAATCTATTTGTCCTTTTTAGCTTTTAGAAGCCACTGACATTACTTGGCTTGTGGCTTCACCCTTCATCTTCAAAGCCAGCAGCATAGCATCTTTCAATCTCTTTCTCTGCTTCCACTGTCATATTGCCTTTTCGGACTCTGACCCTCCTATTTTGCTCTTATAAGAGTCCTTGTGATTACATTGGACCCACTGAGATAATCCAGAATAATCTTCCATCTCAAGATCCTTTGCTGAAAAATATCTGCAAAGTCCCTTTTGGCATGTGAGGTAACATACTCACAGGTCCTTGGAATCACAGTGAGGAAATCTTTATAGGCAAGGGGTACTATTCTGTGTACCCCACCTTCTAAATGTGTTTCTTGCTCCTACTCTTGCCCTTTTCTAAACTGTTCTTCCTCAAGCAGCCCATACAGCCTTTTAAAAACCTGAATCAGATCTTGACCAGATTCAGAGAGAGTTTAACCACACCGTTCCCTGGTTAAGATCCTTCAATGTCTGCCCATTTAACTTAGAATAAATCTCAACTCCTTAAGTTGGTTCACAAGGCCCTGAATCATGGGGCTCCTGTTACCTCCACAACTTCGTCTTGCCCCATTCCCTAGCTTGCTCACTATAGCTCTCTAGTTAGTTTTCTTTATGTTGATTAAATATACCAATACCTTCCCTCACCATGAGGCCTAGCACTTTTTACTCCCTCTGGCACAAATGCTCTTCTTCAAATTTCTCAGCTGGCTGCCTCTTTCCCCATTTCTCTTGGTGAAGCTCTTTGGCTCTCTACTGCAAAAGAGATATTATTACTGCATTTATTTCCCTTATTGAAATAGTCACAACTGCAATGATTCTGCTTATTGTTTGCATACAGTGTGTGCCTTTTCTCGAATGTAAACTTCTGTAGGACAGATTGCTCAACTGTTACTATATTGATGTGCTCCGATATTTAGCACAAGGCCTGGATTTGTTGGTGTATTGCAAATGAATGTCTCAATAATAATAAAAGTAACTCCTATTGAGAGTGTATTATATACTTTATGTGATTTAATTTGTCTAAGCTTCACAACAGTATGAGATAGGTACATTTCTTACCTGCATTTTGTAGATGAAAAGACTGAGACACCAAAAAGTAAAATAATTTTCTCAGAGTCACAGCTAGTAAGTAAAACCAGAATTTAACTCAGGAAGTATGACTGTAGAGTCCATATTCTTAATTTCTATATTACACTAGTAGTTTCAGCCAGTAAAATTGGTGTTGATGGAAATAAACATGAAGAATATATAGTTTTAGCTTGGAGGAGGAATGTTAAAAATACAAATCAATAATTAAAATACTTGTACAAATTGCAGGCTAATATTCACCATACTTTTGTTATTGGGAAAATCTTTTAGAAAGGAAAAAATCCTAAAAGAGAGAATTGGTAGATTTGCTTATCTGAATATTGAGAGATCTTGTATGACAGAAATGCCAAAAATTAATTTAGAGGCAAATGGCTAAGATGTTTTGCAGTATATATGACAGAAAAAAGTTAATATTCTTACTATATAGATTAAGTCTTCAAAAAATAAGTAAGAAAAAGATACATAATTTTATAAGCAGCAGATACATGAGTAGGCAATTCACTAGGAAGACATACTATGAAAAGTATGGAAAAAGCTCAACTTACTACTGATAATCCAAGGAGTGCAAATTAAAGCAATGAGATTATTTTTGAACATAAAATTGTCAAAGTTTAAAAATGGGCTATTTGTCATATAATGATAGTAAACATAAATACAATCTAATTTTCTAGTAATCGGGCATTTTTAGATATATTATGATCTAGCCAATTGATGGAATGCTACACAATCATGATGATGATAGAGTTTAAACAGTGGGTTACACAACTTTAAGTATTGTTTGAAACTATTTTTGCAAAGCATTTTTTGTTTATATTTTCAAGGGAAAATTAGGGAAGGAGATAATAGCAAACAAGAGGATATTTTTTATTTTATATTTACCTGTATTTTCTGAACTGTCTTCAGTAAACATTTATTGAAAAGAAAAGTTGGCTGGGCGTGGTGGCTCATGCCTGTAATCCCAGCATTTTGAGAGGCTGAGGTGGGTGGATCACCTGAGGTCAGCAGTTCAAGACCAGCCTGACCAACATGGTAAAACCCTGTCCCTACTAAAAATACAAAAGTTATCCGGGCGTGGCAGGGGGCGCCTGTAATCCCAGCTACTCATGAGGCTGAGGTAGGAGAATCACTTGAATCCTGGAGTCAGAGGTTGTAGTGAGCTAAGATTGTGCCACTGCGCTCCAGCCTGGGTTACAGAGTGAGACTCTGTGTCCAAAAAAAAAAAAAAAAGATGGGAACATATATAATTTTATTGTTCATGTTCGGGGGATGTCATGTTTGGGGGTCTTAGGTTGTCCTAGGTCACTAGCTTCCTCAGGAGTGAGTTCTCCTGTTTAGTCCTATTCACGTCAATGATGAATCTCAGACACCATCTGACCCTGAAGCAGTTTATTCTGGCAGTACTTTTACAAGGCAGATGTTGGGAGCAGAGCAATGGCATGGGCCAGATACAATCAGGACATCAGATGGCCATCTGACTGGGAGGGTCTTGACTTGGAGACACCATTCCCAGAGTTTAAGGGATCTTTCCCCCTTTCTTATTATGTCTTCAGTCCAGGTCAGTTACTAGGAGTTTCCTTCAGAGGGAGTTTAAGTTATTCTTGTAAGAGTAAGCTTTGTTTTAAGGTTTCTAGGAATTGCATCTGTGCTGAGGTGGTCTTGTCTCCTGGAAACTCCCAGGCCAGGTTGCATCATGCTGCTAAGTGTCACATAGTTTTGGCCCCATGAGATTTTTGAGTAGGCCTTCTCACTATCATTAATCACATAGCCACAATACATCTCTTACAATATACCACATAGGGGAAAGAGGATAGGGCTTTTCAGTCTCATTATAAACTAGTTCAATCTATACTTGATCATTAGATTTATCTACCTAGTGTATAACTCTGCTAATGACTTCTGTTATCTGCTTCATAAAGTCAAAACCTTAGCTTGATATTCAAGATCCACAATCAACTGATCCCAAATTGTCTTTCTACCTCTTTGTTAATCCGTTTCCTGTTCTTGATTATAGATATTTATGTGTCCACTTGAAAGGGCTTTTAATTGCTTCTGCCTATTGAATTCTACCCATTCAGGCAGGGCCAATATTAATTGTAATTTTCTACGAAGAGTATGCTCTGACTCCCTGCTAAAAGTGACCCTTTTCACCTAAAGTCTCACAATACTCTGCAATATTATAGGATACTTACTATATACAGATATATAGTGGTTATTTTTGTATATGGCTCATGTTCCCAACTAGATTTTAATATGCTTGTGTCATAGTTCATGTCCTTTACGTATTTCTATTTCCCACAGTCTTTGAATGTCATCATGCCTTGCAAATAAAAACTTCCTAATTTAATGAACCGTGAACTTACAAGTTTGCCGTTCTCTTGCTGGTTTCTTAATAGTTTCTTTAATTCACTAATCACACAATAATCTTCCAATATATGGAGTATTTTAAATCCCTTCTCTGCCAACTAATACTATATAATCTTGGGCAACTTAATATCTCTGTGCTTTATATTCTTCAACTGTAGGGCTTTTCTGAATTAAATGTGATAATACATGAAGAATTGAACATTGTAAGCACTCAATAAATGTTAGCCAAATTATAAAAATAATGCTCATATGCATTATTACTACTAATAACTAATATTTGTGTGTTACTCTGTGGACATTGCCGTTTAAAAACTTCCCTTTTTAAGGAACGCTTATTTTTATTTAGATATAAGTTATATAACATTAATATAGTTTTTCTTTACTGTGTAGTGATTTGTCTACATGTATTAATTAAGATTACTCTAGCTTCTGTAAAGAAAAAAAAAATCATCAATTCTCGATAGATTAACCCAATGTAAACAGTTTATTCCCACCCACTTGGCAGTGGCAGGAATGGTGGTAGGTTGGTCTCAGTTCTACCTGATCTTCAAAAACACAAATTGACTGAACTCTTTTTTCTTCCACACATGATTTATAAGGTCACCTTGGGCAAGTACTTCCAACTGCCAAAATGGGAGGAAGAAAGAGATCACTGAGGATTGTACAGCAGATTCTTATGACCCAAGCCTGGAAGTGCAACACTTCACTTTTACCTTTATTCTACTGGCCTGAAATTAATCACATGACCCCACCAAGACACAAGGGAAGCTGGGAAATGTAGTCTCTATCTGGGCAGCTGCTTTCTAGCAACAACTCTCAAACATGGAAAAGACTATAAATCTTTGCGAGATAGATAGCTATTTCTGCCACATTATTTAAACTTTATTAATACTTGGATGTTATTACAGCAGTCACCTTTAAGTAATAGAAATCATTGTGTAAAACAATAAGTCTGATCTGCCCTCAATTGCCAGCACTGCTTTTCCTCATATTGTCTTCTTTATTTAAGGCTACATTTAATCTCTTTAAGTGTACTTAATAAGTGGAAATATCTATACTTAAAAACACAAGAGTCATGATCTAAAGTTACAGATATTCCTTAAAAAAAAAAAACAAAGTAATGGCTAAGCCTTCTTAAAAACAATTTTCCCCCATTAGAGAAAGAGTATAACTCATTTTAGGAAGCTGGGTTTAAGTTTGATATATCAAAAACCATAGAGGCAGAATTTCTTAAAATGTTGGGCATGGTTTATTTTGAAGAAAAATGTTATGGTATGCATTTATCAGTATTTGGGAAAACTGTAAATTATACAGGAATAGTAACAGGAAACTTGTATTTATTTTTACACAAGGGAAGACTTCATTCAGATGGCAAAGATCATGAGAGAAGGAAATGTGGTTCCCAAAAGGACTTTAACAACTCCTATGATTCCCTGGCAGATGTGGAGGGGTGGTCAGCTATGTCTTCAGAAAACATTGTGGGGTTAGGAAGTTGCCTAATTAGAAATTAGAAATCACCACCTGGAAATGTTGGCACATTGATGGTCTCAAACACATCACTGTGCATGGAGGTATTGAGATTTCCCTTTCGATGTTAGGGGTGGCTGTTAAAGCTGAGAAGGACTTGATTCTTCATATTGAAGACAACAGGGTGAAGTAGGTTCACAAGGAAACTTTAGAATAAGCTTTTCTACCCTCAACCATAAGTAAAAATTGGTTTTCCCTTATAGTAAAAAAACTAAGACATAAAGTCTGGAAGAAAACCCAGTAGTATCATTAGTCAAAATGTAGGGGTAATGCTTTTTTTTAAATTAAAAATGCTCTAAATCATGATTCTTTTGGAATCATGGATTAGTTAATAATCAGTGCCTGTTCTGTTCTTTCAGTAAAGAGCTATGTATGACATATTTTTATTATGACAAATGCCCTAAGACTTGGTCAACTACTTCTGAACCACATCTGGTGGAAAGAACAATCTCAGCAGGAAGGTAACTTAGTGAAAAAGTAAAGTTCAAAACTCAAGAATAATAACTAACATTTATTGATACTCACTATTTTTAAAACAGTTTATTTATTTTCCCAATTAAACTTACACAATAAGTACTGTTTTAATGTCATCCTAAATATAAGGAAGATGCTTTATAACTATTTTAAATATGAGAAAACTGAGGTTCATAATGGCTCAATAATTTTGCCTGAGGTTAGCTAATCAGTGAGTATTAAGGCTGTGATATGATCCAGGAAGCCTGACTTTAGAGATTGCACGTTGAACCCTATGCTTTCTGCTCATTTATAGGCATTGTTTTATGCACACACGTGCACATGCACGCACACACACTTTCAAGCTATGTGCTTTCACATACTTCAAACTTGGGTGTCATCTGTGACTCATCTATTTCTAGACTTAGAAAAAAAAGTCTATTTCTAGACTTAGAAATGGTGGTTATGGACAATAGATGAGTCACATTCGCTTAGGTGTTATTACAGCAGTCACCTTTATGTAATAGATGTAATAGATAATACATTTAATAATACAATTTAGATAACACAATTAGTAACAGATTTGATATAGTTGTTAATTCATTTGTGCCTGCATTTAATAAACATTTGCTGATTCCGTATGCGCTGCAGGCACTGTGCAAAGATATAAGGCTACTGTGACAACATTGATCTCGTTAATTCCAGTCTTTCCCTTCTGTAACCCATCTTGCATTACTACTTTCAGACCAAGTCCTTCAATGTTACTTTCATCCTGAAAAGCTAAGCTTTTCTGTCTAAACTTAAAGGCTTTTAAAAACATGGACCCAACCGTAACTTCCTGCTAAACTACATGACTTTTTTCTCATTTCTACCTCCATTTTCCTCACACCTTGTTTTGCTCATCAGCTTATCTAAATCCTAATCATATTTTAAGGTTAGTTTTCCCATGGAGTTACTACAGGTATT
This sequence comes from Homo sapiens, assembly GCF_000001405.40. Taxonomy (NCBI): domain Eukaryota; kingdom Metazoa; phylum Chordata; class Mammalia; order Primates; family Hominidae; genus Homo; species Homo sapiens. The sequence goes on along the minus strand of NC_000012.12, from coordinate 61,808,487 downwards.
TTCTATGAGGTGGGGGATGTACCACATACACACATGTACAATTATGTACTGTATTAGTCCATTTTCATGCTGCTGATAAAGACATACCCGAGACTGGGAAATTTACAAAGAAAAAAGGTTTATTGGACTTACAGAAAAGAGGTTTATTGACCATTTGGTGCGGAGGCCTCATAATCATGGCAGAAGGTGAAAGGCATGTCTCACATGGTGGCAGACAAGAGAAGAGAGCTTGTGCAGGGAAACTCACCCTTATAATATCATCAGATCTCATGAGACTCATTCACTGTCACAAGAACAGCATGGGAAAGACCTGCCTCCATGATTCAATTACCTTTCACTGGGTCCCTCCCACAACGTGGGAATTCAAGATGAGATTTCAGTGGGAACACAGACAAACCATATCATTCTGCCCCTGGCCCCTTCCAAGTCTCACATCCTTTTTCATTTGAAAACCAATCTTGCCTTCCCAATAGTCCTCCAAAGTCTTAACTAATTTCAGCATTAACTCAGATATCCATAGTCCAAGTTCTCATCTGAGACAAGGCAAGTCCCTTCTGCCTATGAGCCTGTAAAATCAAAAGCAAGTTAGTTACTTCCTAGATACAATGGGGTTACAGGCATTGGGTAAATATAGCCATTCCAAATGTGAGAAATTGGCCAAAACAAAGGGGCTACAGGCCCCATGCAAGTCCGAAATCCAGTGGGGCGGTCAAATCTTAAAGCTCCAAAATGATCTCCTTTGACTCCATGTCTCATATCCAGGTCACGCCGATGCAAGAGGTGGGTTCCCATGGTCTTGGGAAGCTCCACTCCTGTGGCTTTGCAAGGTACAGCCTCCTTCCTGGCTGCTTTCATGGGCTAGTGTTGAGTGTCTGTGACTTTTCCAGGTGCACAGTGCAAGTTATCAGTGGATCTACCATTCTAGGGTATGGAGGATGGTGGCCCTCATCTCACAGCTCCATTAGGTGGTGCCCCAGTAGGGACTCTGTGTGGGGGTTCTGACCTCATGTTTCCCTCCCACACTGCCCTAGCAGAGGTTCTCCATAAGAGCCCCAGCCCAGCAGTAAACCTCTGCCTGGACATCCAGGCACTTCCGTACATCTTCTGAAATCTAGGCAGAGGTTCCCAAACTTCAATTCTTGACGTCTGTGCATTCTCAGGCTCAACACCACATGGAAGTTGCCAAGGCTTGAGGCTTGCACCCTCTGAAACCATGGCCTGAGCTTTACATTGGCGCATTTCAGCCACGGCTGGAGCAGCTGGGACACAGTACACCAAGTCCCTAGGCTGCACACAGCATGAGGAACCTGGGCCCAGCCCACAAAACCACTTTTTCCTCCTAGACCTCCTGGCCTGTAATGGGAGGTCCTGCTATGAAGACGTCTGACATGCCCTGGAGATATTTTCGCCATTGTTTTGGGGATTAACATTTGGCTCCTTGTTACTTATGGAAATTTCTGCAGCTGGCTTGAATTTCTCCTCAGAGAATGGGATTTTCTTTTCTATCGCATTATCAGGCTACAAATTTTGCAAACTTTTATGCTCTGCTTCCCTTATAAAACTGAATGCCTTTAACAGCACCCAAGTCACCTCTTGAAGGCTTTGCTGCTTAGCATTTTCTTCCACCAGTTACCCTAAATCATCTCTCTCAAGTTCAAAGTTCCACAAATCTCTAGGGCAGGGGCAAAATGCCACCAGTCCCTTTGCTAAAACATAACAAGCATCACCTTTGCTCCAGTTCCCAACAAGTTCCTCATCTCCATCTGAGACCACCTCAGCCTGGACTTTATTGTCTATATTGCTATCAGCATTTTGGACAAAGCCATTCAACAAGTCTCTAGGAAGTTCCAAACTTTCCCACATTTTTCTGTCTTCTTCTGACCCCTCCAAACAATTCTACCCCGTGCTGTTACCCAGTTCCAAAGTCACTTCCACATTTTTGGGTATCTGTTCAGCAGTGCCCCACTCTACCGGTATCAATTTATGGTATTAGTCTGTTTTCACACTGCTGATAAAGACATACCCAAGACTGGGAAATTTATAAAGAAAGACTTGGACTTACAGTTCCGTGTGGTTGGAGAGCCCTCTCAATCATGCAAGAAGGTGAAAGGCACATATTACATGGAGGCAGACAAGAGAAGAGAGCTTGTGCAGGGAAACTCCCCCTTAAAATACATCAGATCTCGTGAGACTCATTAGTTATCACAAGAAGAGTATGGGAAAGACCTGACCCCATGATTCAGTTACCTTTCACTGGGTGCCTCCCACAACACCTGGGAATTCAAGATGAGATTTCAGTGGGGACATAGCCAAACAATATCATATGCAATTTTTCTAACTGGTATACATTTATATAAGCATATAAAATACAAAAGTAAAAATCATACATGTCCTCTGCAAAGACACAACACAATGTGGGGAAGACTAGTTATGTTCTTTACCCTCTCCATCCCTCACACTCAAGTAACAAATCTTAATAGTTTGTTGTTACCTTCCATTATTTTCTCTCTGTGTTTTGATTGTAGGGACTAAGGTGAGATATGTTTGTAGTTAGTGTTATGTGTTTCTGAGTCACATAATAAACAATTTGATTTATTAGTTTAATTTGTTAATTTCATCAAGATGAAACCATCAGAAATTTAGGGTGAAATCTTATCATCTCAGCTCAGGGCTCTAGGAATAGAATATCATCATATTAAGATGTATTAGTGAGTTCCAGTTATTGATATCTCTATATTCTTAGAAGTTACAATTAAATAAGTTGCCATTTCCACATTAATCTACTAAATATAGGTCCTGTTTCTGCAGGTATATATTCATTCTGGAAATTCAAAAGAGGATTGTTTGGGGCATCTTGAGGAACATACCCTGCACAAAGGAATTACTTAACACAGCCATGGTGTTACTATGATCATATCTGCCACTATATTAATTAGTGTTACCAGAGTTTAACATTTGGGCAATGGACAATGAATCTTTTGAAAACATTTACTTGGCAAAAATTCAAAATGTACTTTAAGTGCATTTTTGTTTACAATGAAAAATATAAATATATTGTAAATATAGTATGGCATGATGTTAATATTTATTGAAATTTGGGCTTTTGAATTTAAAAAAATTGGATCACGAATGAGGTAATGTACAGAATCTCACTGGTGTGTGGCACAGGTCTTAATTGCTATCAGGTACCAGTTTGTAGAAGTGCCAACTGCTAATATATTTTGAAAAATAACAATTTAGGGAGTAAATATTGTGCCATGTATTAGAAAGCATTTCTTCAGATGTCATTTATTTTAAACATAATTATTAAATAATCCTAAAAAATTTGATTATAATATATGTTATATTTATTACTTGTAAATACCAGACATATACCCTTTTCTAGACAGATAAAATAGAGTTGTTAACTTTGGGCTAGGAATACTGTTAACATTCATACTGTATACTAATTATGGTTTTAAGCTTGTTGTTCATTATGAATAAGTATAGCAAAGCTTGCTTTGCTGTTTTAGAGTATGTTTGATTATTTTTATGTAGAAGTATAAATACTATAGAAATGGTATAGGTGACTTTCCAGATACCATTGGAATTCTGAAATTTTCTTATTTTGGGTCATGATTCTCTTGATTATGAGGTGTGTATGTTAGGTAAATTACCTAACTTCTGTGTGCCTTACTTTCCTCATTTGAAAAGTAGTAATAATAGCAGGTATAGCTGTAAAGGGTTAATGTCAGGTTTAAATGAGATAATGGGTATAAAGTGCTTAAAATAATGGGAGCCAGAAAGTGCTTCAAAGGTGTTAGAATTTATTCCAGGTAATAATTCCACAGAGTGCTGTAGAAACTTGTTTCATAGAAACTTAACTGGACTCAACAGTGTTGATAAACTGTATGCATGTCACCCAGAATCATTGTAATACAAAATGAAGTTCCTAACTCAATTGTCTGCTTTGAACTTTACCTAATCCATTTCCTGGGTGCATTAGCACATACTTGTCTGTCAGTAGGAGCTAGTTGAAGTACTCTTATTTTGCCTTTCTCTTGAAGATGATCAAGGAGAGAGTGCTTGCTGAGCTAATTCAAGTCTCCTTGAATTTGAATTGCTGAGAAAGCAGCATAAACCAGAATGTCTTCATTTATGGCAAGTTCTTGACATATATGTTTATAATGAGTGACATATATTTAAAGATAGACATAATAATGTTAACAACAGTAATAGTGAAATGGACACTAATGTCAATTGCTTGTTAAATTTTGAAGACTTATAAAAGAGAAATATGAGCCTTGAAGTTCTTTTAAAGTATAGGAAGCCATTATATTATTGTCTTGACTTGAATGAGAACTGTGAACTGATACTCCAGGTCTCACAAGAATCTACACTGTCTGTTGAAGATAAGAATTTTGACTAGGAATCTTTGAACAAATGCACTGAATTAAGTACTATTTCTCTCCTCAGTCTGCTGAGTAATAATAATGGGATTAATAATGCTTTTCATGTAGGCTTACTATGAATGTTAAAGGCATTAACATATGTAAGATGAGTAAACACTTGGCACATATGGAGTGATATATAAATTATAGCTATTGTCATTTTTTTAAAATTATACTTTAAGTTTTAGGGTACATGTGCACAACGTGCAGGTTAGTTACATATGTATACATGTGCCATTTTATTATGAAGTATGTACTATATTTTTGTTATTTCAGTGATGTATAATAGCAAAGTTCTCAATAATTCATTTAACTAGCCATAGAAGAAGTTATTATGCTTCTGACTTTAGAAAATAATAAAAATATTAATTTAAATAAATCAATGAACTATAGTTATCTAATAGCATGTTGGATACAATTTTAGAGAAAATGATGTTTATGTTCAAGTATTATGTCAGCATAAGGGAGTCTGTTAATATATATGCTAAAGGGGGATTTAGACTATTTTTAATCCATAAGCTGTACAATTATTGTTGTAGTATATTGCTCTTAATCATAGAAACTTCTTGTTTAGTGTATATAGAAGGAATAGAGCATCAGTGCTTAAAGCTGAGAACAAAGTTGGTTAGAGAATCTGGATAAAATCTATCTACCCTAAATGAAACCAGACATTGTTTTGTGTAACTAGAGAGTTAATTTTATAACATTGCCATCAATGATTTCTCTTTTACATTTTCTATTCTATTGCATGGTACACTTAGAATTCCAAGGCAGCTTTTCCCTAGTCAGAGAGTTTGAACTAATAGTACTTTGGCTTTCAAGCAGAAACAGCAGGCATGCTCACTAGTAAGTATTGCCAGTCATTTAATATATCTTTTATTTTTCTAAATTTGTCTTATTTATCCTTTGTATTCCTTGGATAAAGTATTGGTCAGATCTATGCTCCACAGGAACAAAATATTAAACACCTATTTTGTTTATGCTATTCATTCTTTAAAAACAGAACAGTTTTTTCCCATTGTCTAGAAACTGTTATTAAGAGACAGCTAGGAGTTTTAAATTATATTGCTTGCAGTATTGAACAATGCACCCATGGAGCTCTCTGACACTAAAAATAACCAACCCAGTGAATTCCTCTGAGGATTCCTTTTTTTCTAAGTAATTTTTTCTTTTTGTTACCATATAATAATTGCACATATTTATGGAATATAGAGTGATATTCCAATACATATATACAATGTGTAATGATCAAATAAAAGTAATTATTATATTCATTGCCTCAAACATTTATCCTGTCTTTCTGTTGGGAACATTCAAAATCCTCTCTTCTAGCTATTTGAAAATGTACAATAGCTTATTGTTAACTAAAGTCACCCTACTGTGTTGTTGATCTAGCTGTAGTAATTTTGTATCTGTTGCCTAACCTCTTCTTATCATCACCTCCCCTCTACCCTTCCCAGTCTCTTGATAACCACAGTTCTACTCTCCACTTCTATGCCCTCAACACTTTTTGCTCCCTCATATGAGTGAGAACATGCAGTATTTATCCTTCTGTGCCTGACTTATTTCACTTAACATGTCTTCCAGGCTCATCCATGTGCCTGTGAATGACAGAATTTCTTTCTTTTTGTGGCTGTATAATATTCCATTGCATATATGGACCATATTTTCTTTATCCATTCACCCATTGATGGACATTTATGTTGATTCCATATCTTGGCTTTTGTGCATAGTGCTGCAATAAACATGGGGGTGCATATATCTCTTTGATATACTGATTTTCTTTCCTTTGGATGAATACCCAACAGAGGGATTGCTGGATCATATGGTAGCTCTATTTTCAGTTTTTTGGGGAACCTTCATACTGTTTTCAATAGTGGCTATACTTTTTACATTCCCACCAGTGATGTGTAAGAGTTCCCTTTCTCTACATTGTCACCAGCAATTAGTTTTTGTTTTCTTGATAATACCCATTATAACCAGGGTGACATGAAATCTCACTGTGGTTTTGACTTGCATTTCTCTGATGATTAATGATATTGAGCTTTTAAAAGTATACTTGTTGGCTATTTGTATGTCTTCTTTTGAGAAAGATCCATTCAGATCCTTTGCCCATTTTTAAGTTGGTTTATTTGTTTTTTGTTGTTGTAGAGTTGTTTGAGGTCCTTGCATATTCTGGATATTAGACCCTTGTTGGATGAATAGTTTGCAAATATTTTCTCCCATTCTATAGGTTATCTCATCATTCTATTGATTGTTTCTTTTGCTGTGTAGAGCCATTTTAGTTTGATATAGTTCCATTTGTCTATTTTTGCTTATGTTGCCTGTGGTTTTGAAGTCTTACCCATAAAATCTTTGGCTCAACCAATGTCCTTAAGCATTACCCCGATGCTTTCTTCTAGTAGTTTTAAAGCTTCATGGCTTACATTTAAGTCTTTAATCCACACTGAGTAGATTTTTGTATGTGGTGAGAGATAGGGGTTTGGTTTCATTTTTCTGCATATAAGACACTTAATTTTCCCAGATCCATTTATTGAAGAGAGTGTTCTTTCTTCATTTATGTTCTTGGTGCTTTTGTCAAAAATAAACTGGCAGTAAATATGTGAATTATTTCTGGATTCTCTGTTCTTTGTGTCTGTTTTTATACCAGTACTATGCTGTTTCGGTTACTATATAGCTTTGCAGTATATTTTGAAGTCATGTAATGTGATGCCTTCAGCTTTGTTCTTTTTGCTCAGGATTGCTTTGGATACTTGGTCTCTTTTGTGGTTCCATACAAATTTTAGAATAATTTTCTTTTATTTCTGCAAATAATGACATTAATATTTTGATAAGGATTGCATTGAATCTGTAGATTGCTATGGGTAGTACTGACATTTTAACAATATTAATTCTTCCAATTCATGAACATGGGATATCTTCTATTTATTTGTGTCATCTTTCATTTCTTTTATAGTTTTCTGTAGTGTTCACTGCAGAGTCCACCTCCTGGGTTAAATTTATTCCTAGGTAGTTTCTTGTAGCTATTGTAAAATGAGATTCCTCTTAGACATTCTTTACAACTGACATGTACTACAGTGATCTTTGAAGTGTTTGCAGTATCTTACTCTAGAAGAATGATAAATGGCATCTCATTATCTTTTTTCTCTTTGCCCCATGTGGAGACTATTTTTGATCCTATGACTTATAAATATTCTCTTGAAGGTCAGCAAAGGACTTTTCTCCATAAAGGTCCTCCTTAGCTTTCTGAAACATTTGACATAGTTGTCTACCTTCTATCTTCTCCTTAGCTTTCTGAAGCATTTGACATAGTTGCCTACCTATCTCCTTCTCCAAGCTATCTCCCATTTATTTCTGTACCTGGTATTATCCTGCTTCTCTTCTATCTAAACATTCCTTCTTTTTGCTGCTTTTGCTCCTTTTTTGCTAAAATTCTGAGCTCTATTATTGCTAATGACCTCCATACTTTTGAAACATCATAGATTTCACTGTTGTAGCAAATCACTTCCTGATTCTTTTCATAGGCCAATTTCCTGAGTATTTGCTCCATATTTTCAGGTGTTTCTCCTTCAGTATTGGGCCCTGAACACTAATTCAATTGTTCAAATAAATCTCTTTCTTGTTTTTCTGATTTCCATTATTGAATCAAGTTTTCTTACCTTCAGTTTCCCTTTAATAAATGTAAATTGCATCAAGCTGTCAAATTTATTTTCTGAAAGCAAGGTCCCAAATATAAATTCTTCCTTCAGGAACTTTTAAACTTGAAAATAGAGTTCTCAGCCAAGAATATTACCAACTTCCTAAGGTTGTGGTGAAGATTAAAAGTGGTATTGTACATAAAAGTGATTAACATTATATCTGGCACATAGATAGTGGATATATTATTCATTACTATGACTAATTATATTATCTCTTGATCACTAATTTTATTACTTCAAATATTTTTGTCTTTTAAGTGTCATTTCAACTAATTATATAATATCTTGTTAGTTATTAGTCATATAAAAATGTCCGTTATTCATTTACCATTCCAAATGACAGTGTTTGTGGACAATGTGATTTACTTGATTTTATTCAAAGAAATGGGAGGATTAATACTCTCCCAGAAGGAGAAAGAACTTGATCAGAACACCAGTGACTTCTGTGTTTGCCCAAATTCCACCACTTGGATAAAGAATTTACCTTCTGGATCCTTAGTTTGTCACCGTTATTTTTTATTTTATTTTATTTTATTTTGAGACGGAGTCTTGCTCTGTCGCCCAGGCTGGAGTGCAGTGGCGCAATCTCGGCTCACTGCAAGCTCCGCCTCCCGGGTTCATGCCATTCTTCTGCCTCAGCCTCCCGAGTAGCTGGGACTACAGGCGCCAGCCACCACGCCCGGCTAATTTTTTGTATTTTTAGTAGAGACGAGGTTTCACCGTGTTAGCCAGGATGGTCTCGATTTCCTGACTTCGTGATCCGCCCGCCTCGGCCTCCCAAAGTGCTGGGGTTACAGGCGTGAGCCACCGTGTCTGGCCAGTTTGTCACCTTTAAATGTATATATGAATATATTTTCTGATTGCTTATAGGGTTATGGTGAGACTTCGATAGTAGTCTTATCTTAAGAGGGGATTTGTTCTTTGCCCTTTTGGAAGGGCTCTAACTTTCGTCTTAGCACTCTCCCCTCTCATCATTTTTATCAAACATGATCTCAAGATAGGATCAAGATGCTTAAGAACAAAGTCTAAATGGTTAATAACACTTATAGTGTGACTTCTTCTCAAAAGTGGAAAAAATACACTGCTAAGAAGTGAACTATAAACAGCACATTATTATTTTTGTGAGAAGAGAAAGAGAACCAAACATATGCTATGAGTAATATAAACAGACTCTGTGATACTGTTCTTCATCCACATGTTATTATTATCTGTTCTATGAGTTTAAAAGTAAAAACTACATTTTAATCACAAAAGTTGATAATAAAGCATATATGCATATTTGATACTAGTCATTAGAAGCCCAGTAGAGCTGAGGATAAAGGAAGCTATATTTTCTAATGCTTCTGTTTCTTTGCTAAAAGCTATTCTAAGATGTGCTGCTTCTTGCTGAGTTCAAACTATTGGCACTTGGCCCAGTGAAGGAAAAATAGAGAATTAAAATTGTTGGCATTTAGTGTTTCCTCTGAAAGATTATGTAATCAATTATCTTAGATAACATTCTATAGAACATTTTTAGTATCTCATGTAGCTTAGTAGATTTCTTTATCACTGGTCTTTAATATATTTCTACAAGATGTTTAACAATGTAATATGTAAGTATGAGAGAACTTTGCATTTTGATAGTTGTCCTATTGTACTCTCATTACTTGTCCAGCTTCACCTTTCCTTCACTTCACATGTGTTTTTATTGTCCTATTTCTTAGAAACATTATGCATTAAAAATGAACCACAGAAACCAAGAGTTGCCAAGTTCATAGACACAGAAAGTAGAATGGGGGTTGTCAGGGACTGGAGGAAGAGGGAAATGGGGAGTTATTGTTTAGCAGGTATGGAGTTTCAGTTAGGGAAAATGAAGAAGTGCTGGAGATAGATGGTGATGATGGCTGTACAACACTGTGAATGCACTTAATGCCACTGAAGTGTACACTAAAAATGGTAAATTTTATGTGTAACTTACGCATATACCTATGTAACAAATCTGCACGTCCTGCACATGTATTCCAGAACTTAAAGTATAATAAATAAAAAATAAATAAAATAAAGTCCAGGTGGCCCTGGAATCAGCAGAGACTCATACACACAAAAAAAAGACCAAATAGTTAAGAGAAATGATTTTGTAATTATAGGTCATGATGCATTAGCTGATCATGAAAGCAATTTAATAGCAAATTAATAGATCATGATCAGCATGTAAACCAAAAAAAAGAATAATAAAACATATGAATACATTGTTCATAATGTGAATGGTACTAAAACTTCTGTTTCATTATAATTTAGCCAATCAGCATCTATATGGTGGTTATATAGTCGTATGTGGTTGATACCTTGTTCTTTTTGGTTAATGCCCTATTCTAATAGATTCATGCCCATTACACAGTGGTTATTAAATATTTTGAAAATCATTTCTATATGAGTAGACACTGTATATGATATAAAATGTATTTCTTACTGTGCTTGAATTTCAAAAATTTAAAGACAAAAATTTCATACAGGAGAAAGTCTAATATAGACTGACAGCAAACTCTTGCATGGCAAATCTAAGGAACCAGCGTCTAGCTTGTGCCTAGTTTTAACTGCAGCATTAGCAATAAAGTTCTGTCTGTCCCCATGGCCATGGAAAGGGTCTCTTCCCTTTGTGGAAGATGAGATCAACAATTCAGAGAAACGTTCTCACCAGTGCCGAAGCACTGATTGAATAAAATGAGTCTATAAACCAAGGAGGCTGAATTCAGATGGCTGAAAATTGGCCAGGTCTTAGAGTTTCTACATGGAGGACTCCATCTGTGGTTTTATATTTTTTTTTTCAGACTTTTGTGCCCAGCTGATCTAGGCCAATTTGCTGTGTAATTCTTCCAAACCATTTCCTCACTCAGCAGCTATAAATCCATCCAACTTCCATTGCAGCTCATGGGCAGTATCCCGGGACTGTTTGGGGCTTAATTTCACTGGCTCATTAGTGCAAAGCTCCCTAGAGAATGCTTACATTTTTACTTTTTCTGGATTTTTTTTCTCCAAAGGAGCAGAAGTCTTCCTTCACAGATGCTGTTACTGGTAGCTGGCAGTGAGCTGATGGATGATTTTTCTTTTTCTTTTGGCACTGTGAGGTAGGGCATGCTCAGCATTGTTACTGTGGTAAACTATTCATTAGCCTCACTTTTAAAGGCTACTAGTGATGCTATTGGTGTGTGATGCTACGTAAACTCTGTTAACCATTCTACAACCAATTGGACTAAATAGGCTAATTGCTCAGTGAAATCAGCTCTTCCAGTGTAGCTAGTCTGACATCTGTGTGGTAAATACTTACCAAGATTTACTCTTGTGAATTTACAGCTGTTCTCTCTGTAACTAATAGACTGATTGAGAGAGTTTTGTAACAGCTGTTTGAGAGAGGTATAATGAGGTATGACCTCTTCACATGTACTTCTTGCTAGTTGTTAGATGTTTTTCTGCCTTTATATTTATGTTAAACTATACAGTCAGTAAATTTCAGGTTAACCATGACTCCATGCCATTTCTTATAATCTAGGAACACAAGGATGCTTCTCAAAGTTGATCAGCACTAAATTTAAGATAAATTGAAGGAAGGCACTATTTTCTCATCTATTAAGCACAAAGACAAATAGCTGGACTTAAAACTGCTAAACACTCAAGACTTTTCAAATCAAAGCACAATTTTAATAGTAATTTTCAAATTTCATTTCTGCTTTATTTTTCTCCATTTAAGAAATTATTTTCTTAGATCATGAGAATTAATGTTATAACTTTTTCTCCTTGTTTTCTTCTTTTTCAAAAATTCCTCCTCCCTACTCTTCCCAGTCACCCTAGTTCCCAATTCACGGGCAACCATTGATTTGTTATTACACATTGATCAGTTATTGTAGATAATGTTGCATTTTTTAAAAGAATTTCATGCAAATGGAAAAATACAATATACACTCTGAATCTGTCCTCTTTCACTTAGAATAATTATTTGAGAAACATCCATGTTGTTGCTAATATAAATAGTTCATTTTCATTTCTCAGTGGTATTATATTGTATAGTTATGCCAAAATTTGTTTATCTATTTACCTGTGGATGGCCATTTGGGTTATTTCCAGTTTTGAGTTAAAATGTGTATGTGCATGTAGATCTATCTATCATCTCTCTAGCAATCATCTATCTAATCTGGTATAAACATTAACTAGTCTGTCTAGAAATATGTTTTCATTTCTTTTGGGAAAATTGCTAGGAGGAGAATGATTGTATCATATGGTAGGTTTATGCTTAGTGCTTTAAGAAACTGCCAAACAGCTTTTCAAAGTGGTTGTTCTATTTCATATTCCCACTAGGAGAGTATGAGACTTCTAGTTTTTCTTTTTCCTTCATAGTATCACTGTCACTAACACTTGGTGTAGTAAGTGTTTTTAATTTTGGCGTTTCTAATAGGTATGTTGAAAGTCAATTGTCCATATATGTGTGGATCTATTTATTAATTCCTTATTTTGTTCCACTTATCTATTTATCTATCTTCATGTCAGTACTGTAAGTCTTGATTATTCTAGCTCTATAAAAAATCTTATTTTATTTTTCTTTTTCTTTTTATTTATTTATTTTTTTGCATTTTTTAGTTTATTTTGCTTAGTTTTTTTTTTAAATTACACTTTAAGTTCTAGGGTACATGTTCACAACATGCAGGTTTGTTACATATGTATACATGTGCCATGTTGGTGTGCTGCACCCATTAACTCGTCATTTACATTAGGTATATCTCCCAATGCTATGCCTCCCTCCTCCCCCACCCAACAGGCCCTGGTGTGTGTTGTTCCCCTTCCTGTGTCCAAGCGTTCTCATTGTTCAGTTCCCACCTATGAGTGAGAACATGTGGTGTTTGGTTTTTTGTCCTTGCGATAGTTTGCTGAGAATGATGGTTTCCAGCTTCATCCATGTCCCTACAAAGGACATGAACTCATCCTTTTTTATGGCTGCATAGTATTCCATGGTGTATATATGCCACATTTTCTTAATCCAGTCTATCATTGATGGACATTTGGGTTGGTTCCAAGTCTTAGCTATTGTGAATAGTGCCGCAATAAACATACGTGTGCATGTGTCTTTATAGCAGCATGATTTATAATCCTTTGGGTATATACCCAGTAATGGGATGGCCGGGTCAAATGGTATTTCTAGTTCTAGATCCTTTAGGAATTGCCACACTCTCTTCCACAATGGTTGAACTAGTTTACAGTCCCACCAACAGTGTAAAAGTGTTCCTATTTCTCCACATCCTCTCCAGCACCTGTTGTTTCCTGACTTTTTAATGATCACCATTCTAACTGGCGTGAGATGGTATCTCATTGTGGTTTTGATTTGCATTTCTCTGATGGCCAGTGATGATGAGCATTTTTTCATGTGTCTGTTGGCTGCATAAATGTCTTCTTTTGAGAAGTGTCTGTTCATATCCTTCGCCCACTTTTTATTGGGGTTGTTTGTTTTTTTCTTGTAAATATGTTTGATTTCTTTGTAGATTCTGGATATTAGCCCTTTGTCAGATGAGTAGATTGCAAAAATTTTTTCCCATTGTGTGGGTTGCCTGTTCACTCTGATGGTGGTTTCTTTTGCTGTGCAGAAGCTCTTTAGTTGAATTAGATCCCATTTGTCAATTTTTGGGGGCATTTTATGTCCTTTGCATTTCTGTAGGACTTTTAGTGGCTGCTTATAATATTCTACAACATTGCTGCTGGGCTTTTGGTGTCAGTTAGGATTACAATGGACCTAAAGATAAATACACGGTGAATCGAAATCATAATATTAAGTATTCTAACCCTTGAACAAAATATATCTATTCATTGATTTAGATCTTAATTTCTTTTATCAATGTTTTATAATTTTCAGTGTGAAGATCTTACACATCTTTTCTCAGGTTTACTCCTAAAGTATTTCATATTTTGTGATGCTACTCTAAATTATACATTTTTAAAATTTCAATTTGTAAACATTGATTTCTTATATATAGATATACAAATGATTTTTATGTTAATAGTAAACTCAATTAATTCTAATATCTTTTTGTAGATTGCTTATGGTTTTCTACATAGGTGATCATGCTGTCAGCAAATATTTCTTCCTTTCCAATCTGGATACTTTATAAAAAGAAATAATTCTTTATCTTGCCTGACTGAACTAGTTAGAACTACCAGTAAAATGTTGAATACAGGTGGTGGGAGTGGACTTCTTTGTCTTGTTCCTGATTTTAGAAAAAAATGTTCAGTCTCTCAGGATTATGTATGATAGTTGTAGATTTTCCATAGATATGCTTCATCAAGTTTAGGAAGTTGTTTTCTATACCTAGTTTGCTGAGAGCTTATTTTTTAGAGTCATGAATAGATATTGTATTTTGTCAAAAGTTTGTGTTGAATTTATTCAGCTCATTAGATATGTTTTTCAGTTATTACTTTATTTTTCAAATATTAAACTAGTAAACCCCAACTTGGTCACTTTGTGTTATCGTTTTTATGTATTGTTGGATTTATTTTGCTAATAAAACTTCTTGCATCTATGTTTATGTGGGATATTTTCCCATGGTTTCTTTTCTTACAATGTGTTTTGTTTTTATTATCAGGATAACGCTAGCTTCACAGAGTGAGTTGAGACATAGTCATACCTCTTCAGTTTTTTGAAAGGGTTTTCATAGAATTGGTATAATTTCTTCCTTAAATGCTTGGTAGAATTAGCAAATAAAGCCAACTGGGCCTAGAATTCTCATAGTGGGAAGGTTGTTAACTAAAAATTCAATTTATTTGATAGATATGAGCTATTTGAGTTATCCAATTCTTCTTGAGTGAGGTTTAGTAGTTTATGTTTTTAAAAGAATTTACCCATTTCACCTAAATTGCTCAAATTATTGGCACAACTTTTTAATTTTTTCCCTTTTATTATCTATAAAATCTGTAGTACCATCACTTTTAAAATTTTTCTTATGGAGTTTTTTTTTTCTTCTAACATTTGTTCTTGATCACTTTGAGTAGAAGTTTATGAATTTTATTGAATTTTTCAAAGAATCATATTTTGGTTTTATTGATATTCTCTATTGTTTTTCTATTTTGTAGTTCACCAACTTTAATTCTAATCTTTATTATTGCCTCTTTGTCCTTACTTTAGGTATAATTTTCCCCTTTTTACAGTTTCTTAAGATGAAAGCTGAGGTCATTGTTTTGAGATCTTTATTCTTTTATAATATAGATGCTTAGTGCTATAAGGTGCCTACCATCCCTCACATTTGATTAGTTTTATTTTTGTTTTCATTTAAAAATTTAGTTAAAAACAAGTTTTAATTTCCCTTTCTATAACGTATTTCACTCGAGTAATTTAGAACTGGCCCAGAATATAGTATAGTTTGGTAAATGTTCTGTGCACTAAACAAATGTATATTTGACTGGTAATTTTCTCTAAATTTCAATTAGGTCAAGCTTATTGATAATGTTGTGCAAATTTTCTATATTCTTACTATTTTTTTCTACTTTTTAAGTCAGTTATTTAAAGATAGAGGTGTTTAATCTCTGAATATAATAGTGATTTTATCTTTCCTTCTAGTTATTTTTTTTCTCTTAAAGTTCTGTTATTATGCATAATGCTTAAGACTTATTCTCTGTTCATGAGCTGACCACTTTGTCCCTGCTAGTATTTTTTATTTTCATCTCTGTTAATATTATTTGCACTGAAATAAACATTGTGTGAAAATAATATACTCACATCAGTTTTCTATGTTTAGTGTTTGCATGGTATGTTTTTTCTATCATTTTAACCTATTTGTGTCTTCATATTTATAGTTAATTTCTTTTAAAAAATTTTAATGACACAAAATAATTGTACTTATGGGGCACAATGATATGTTTCAATGCATATATACATTGTGTAATGATCAAATCATAGTAATTAGCAAATCTGTCACCTCAAACATTTATCATCTCTGTGGTGGCCACATTTAAAATAATCTTTTCTAGCTATTTTGAGATATACAGTACCTTACTGTTAACTGTAGTCAATCTACTGTGCAATAAAACACCAGGGCTTATTTTTCCTTTCTAATTGTAACTTTGTATCCATTGACTCACCTCTCTCCATCTCATCCTTTTCCCTGTCCTTTACATCCCATCCTTTTCCCTATCCTTCACAGTCTCAGGTAATCATGGTTCACTATTCACTACTTCTGTAAGATCAACTTCTTAAGGTTCCATATATGAGTGAGATTATGTAGTATTTTTCCTTTTGTATCTAACTTGTTTCACTTAACACAGTTGTCTTCAGTATTATCCATGTTGTTGCAAATGAAAACAAATTATTTTTTCTGGCCAAGTAGTATTTCATTGTTTTTATATGTACCATATTTTCTTTATTCATTCATTACTGGATACTTAGGTTGATTTCATATCTTGGATATTGTGAATAGTGCTGCAAGAAACATTGTGGTGCAGATATCTCTTCAACATACTGATTTCATTTTCTACAGATAGGTACCCAGTAGTTGGATTACTGGATCATATAGTAGTTCTATTCTTAATTTTTTGAGGAACTCCCAAAATGTTTTCCACAATGACTATACTAATTTACATACCCACAAACAGTACATGTTTTCCCTTTTCTCCACATCCTCACCAACACTTCTTATCTTTTGTCTGTTTGATAACAGCCATTTAACTGGAGTGAGTTGATATCTCACTGTGGTTTTAATTTTCATTTCCCTGTTGATTAGTGATGTTGAGCATTTTTCATGTACTTTTGGTCATTTGTATGTTTTAATTTTTTAAAGAAATGTCTATTCAGGTCTTTTGCCCACTTTTATTGGATTATTTTTGTTGTTGTTATTGGGTTGAGTGCCTTAGATATTCTAGATATTTACCCCTTGTCAGATGTATAGTTGCAAGTATTTTCTCCCTTTCTGTATGGTTTCTCTTCACTCTGCTGATTGTTTCCATTGCTATGCTGAAGCTTTTTTGTATGCTGAAGGTTTTGAAGTTTGATGTAATCCCATTTCTTTGTTTTTGCTTTTGTTGCCTGTGCTTTTTAGGTCTTATAAAAAAATTCTTGCCCAGTCCAATGTCAAGAAGTATTTTCTCTCTGTTTTCTTCTAGCAGTTTTATAGTTTCAGGTCTCATATTTAAGTCTTTAATCCATTTTCAGTTGAGTTTTGTATATGCCAAAAGATACATGTCCAGTTTCATTCTCCTACAACTGGATATACAAATTACCCAGCACCATCTATTGATGAGACAGTCTTTTCCCTAATATTTGTTCTTGGGACCGTTGTCGAAAATCAGTGCTGATGTGTGTATTTATTTCTGGGCTTGCTCTTCCGTTCCATTGGTCTATGTGTTTCTTTTCATGTCAGTACCATCCTATTTTGGCTACTATCGTGTTGTTGTATATTTTGAAATCAGGTAATATGATGCCTCTAGGTTTTCCCCTCTTAGTATTGGTGTGGCTATTCAGGGTCTTTTGTGGTTTCATTCAAATTTTAGTATTTTTTTCTTATTTCTATAAATAACACCGTTAGTATTTTAATAGAAATTGCACTAAATCTATAGATTGCTTTGGGTAGTATGAGCATTTTAGAAATATTAATTCTTCAAGTTCATGAACAAGAAATGTCTATCAGATTATTCGTGTACTTCTCAGTTGCTTTCATCTGCATTTTATAGTTTTCAGTGTAGAGATCTTTCACCTCCTTGGTTAAATTTACTCCTAGGTATCTTGCTTTTTGGTAGCTATTGTAAAAGTGATTGTTTTCTTCATTTTTTTCAGATAATTCACTACTAATGCATAAAAACACTACTGATTTTTAGCTGTTAAGTTTGTATGCTGCAGTTTTACTAAACTTGTTTATTAGTTCTAAGAGATTTTTGGTGTAGTCTTTAGGATTTTCTATACATAAGACTATAGCCTCTGCAAACAGAAACACTTTGACTTTCTTCTTTCTGATTTGGATAAGTTTTATTGATTTCTGTTGCCTCATTACTCTGGCTAGGACTTCCAGTACAGTTGAATAGAAGTTGTTTAAATGAGCACACTTCTCTCGTTCCAGATGTTAAAGAAAAAGTGTTTAGCTTTTCTCCATTTAGTATGATGTTAGCTGTGGGTTTGCCATATATGGCCTTTATTGTGTTGTGGTAGTACCTTTATACCTAATTTTGGGGATTTTTTTTTTTATCATGAAGGGATGTTGAATTTTGTTAAATACTTTTCCTGTACCTATGGAAATTGTCATATTGTTTTGTCCTTCTTTCTGTTAATTTGAGGTACCACATTTATTGGATTTTTGTATGTTAGACAATTCTTGCTTCACTGGAATGAATCATATTTGGTCATGGTCAATGATCTTTATCATGTGCTATTGAATTCAGTTTGCTAGTATCTTGTTGAGAATTTTTTGCATCTATGTTCACTCAGGGATATTGGCCTGTAGTTTTCCTTTTTGTTGCATCCTTGTATAGTTTTGATATCAGGGCAATGCTGGCCTTGCAGAATGGGTTTGGAAATATTCCCTCTTCTTTCATTTTTGGAATAGTTTAAGATGAGTTGGTATTACTTCCTTAAATGTTTGGCAGGATTTAGCAGTGAAACCACCAAGTCTTTGGCTTTTTTAAATGCTGTTATATCCCTGTAATAGATGCTATAATTATTTTTATTTTTTTAATTATACTTTAAGTTCTGGGATACATGCACAGAATGTGCAGGTTTATTACATAGGTATACATGTGCCATGGTGGTTTGCTGCACCCATCAACCCATTATCTACATTAGGTATTTCTCCTAATGCTATCCCTCTCTTAGCCCCCAGCCTCCTGACAGGCCCCAGTGTGTGATGTTCCCCTCCCTGTGTCTGTGTGTTCTCATTGCTCAGCTCCCACTTATGAGAGAGAACATGCAGTGTTTGGTTTTCTGTTTATGTGTTAGTTTGACAAAAACAAGCAATGGGGAAAGGATTCCCTATTTAATAAATGGTGTTGGGAAAACTGGCTAGCCATGTGCAGAAAACTGAAACTGGATCCCTTCCTTGTGCCTTATACAAAAATTAACTCAAGATGAAATAAAGACTTAAATGTAAGACCTAAAACTGTAAAATCCCTAGAAGTAAACCTAGGCAATACCATTCAGGACATAGGCATGGGCAAAGACTTCATGACTAAAACACCAAAAGCAATGGCAACAAAAGTCAAAATTGACAAATGGGATCTAACTAAACTAAAGAGCTTCTGCATAGGAAAAGAAACTATCATCAGAGTGAACAGGCAGCCTACAGAATGGGAGAAAATTTTTGCAATCTGTCCATCTGACAAGGGCTAATATCCAGAATCTACAAGGAACTTAAACAAGTTTACAAGAAAAAAATGACCCCATCAAAATGTGGGCGAAGATAAACGCTTCTCAAAAGAAGACATTTATGTGGCCAATAAACATATGGCTTTTGTTAATAGAAAAAAACTTTTAGTACTGATAGATTCAGTTATTTTACTTGTTATTGGTTTGTTCAGATTTTATATTTTTTCCTGTTTCAATCTTGATAGTTTTGTGTGTCCAGGAATTTATTCATTTCTTCTAGATTATTAGTTTGTTGGCATGTAATTGTTCATAGCAGTTTCTCATGATCCTTTATATTTCAGTTGTGTCAGTTTTATCATTTTCCCTCTCTGCATTTATTTTACTCTTCATTTTTTCTTAGTCTTGATAGAGATTTATCAAAATTTTGTTTATCTTTTTAAAAACCCAGTTCTTTATTCCGTTGATGTTTTGTATGGGTTTTCTAGGCTCTATATCATTTGTTTCTGCTCTAATCTTTATTATTCCTTTTTTAGCTTTATACTATTGTGATCAGAAAAGATATTTGATATGATCTCTGTCTTCTTAAATTTATTAAGATTTATTTTGTGGCCTAACATATGTTATATTCAAGAGAATGTACCATTTACAGTTGAGAAAAATGTGTATTCTGCAGCTGTTGAATGAAATGTTCTATAAATATCTATTAGGTTAATTTGAGCTTGAGTGCAGTTTAAATTCAGTGTTTCTTTGTTGATGTTTTTGGTCTGGATAACCCATCCATTGCTGAATAGGGAGTGTTGACATAACCTGTTATTATTGTGTTGCAGTCTGTCTCTCCATTTAGATTTAATGATATTTCCTCTCTATATTTGGGTGGTCCAGCACTGGATGCATATATATTTATAATTGTTATATTCTCTTGCTGAATAGATATTTCTATCATTATATAATGACATTTTTTGTTCCTTTTTACACTTTTTGACTTGGAGTCTATTTTATCTGCTGCAACTATAGTTACTCCTACTTGCTTTTGATTTTCATTTGCATGTAATATCTTTTTCCATCCCTTCACTCTCAGTCTTTTTGCATTCTTATAGGTGAAGTGAGTCTTTTATAAGCAGCACACAGTTGAGTCTTGTTTTTTATCCATTTGACCGCTCTATATCTTTTAACTGGATAATTTAACTGTTTAGATTCAAGTTATTATTGCTAGGTAAGAACTTACTCCAGCCATTTTGTTAATTATTTTCTGGTGGCTTTGTAGCTCCCATGTTCTTTTATTCCTCTCTTATTGTTTGCCTTTGTGGTTTGGTGATTTTCTGTTATGGTAAGCTTTGGGTCTTTCCTTTTTCTTATTTGTGTGTCTGTTGGTATGTCTATTTTTGTGGTTACCATGAAACTAAGATTTAAAAATTGTGGTTATAACAGACTACTTTAAGCTTATAACAGTGTAACTTTGGTCACAGAAAAGTACTCTAGACTTTCGTCCTCCTCTTCACAATTTACATTTTTGTTGCTTTAATTTACATCTATATATATTTTGTGTTCCTTAACAACTAATTGTAGCTGCAGTTATTTTTAACCACTTTGATATTTAACCTTTATGCTAGTGGTATGAAAGATTTACATAGCACCTTTAGAGTATTGGAGTATTCTGAGTTTGAATATAAACTTACGTCTACTACTGAGTTTTATACTTTCATATGTTTTTATGATAGTAATTATTGTTCTTGGCTTTGAGTTGCAGCATTCCCTTAAGCATTTCTTGTAAGATCAGTCTGGTGGTGAAGAAGACCAGCTTTTGCTGGTCAGGGAAGGGCATTATTCTCTTTCATTTATGAAGGATAGCTTTGTTGAGTATAATATTCTTGGCTAACAGGTTTTTTTTTTCTTTCAGTATTTTAAATGTGTCATCCCATTTTCTCCTGACCTGCAAGGTTTATAGTTGGTTTCTTAAAGAGTAAATAGTTGGGTTCTGCTGTTTCATCTAATCTTTTCATCTCTTTTAATGGGAGTATTTAGACTTTGATTTAATGTGATTACTTATGCGGTTAAGTTTAAATCACTAATCTCGCTATTTGTTTTCTATTAGTCCCATTTGTTCTTTATTCATTTCCCTTCTTTTTTCTGAGTTCTTTTGGATTGAGTAAATTTTATAATTTCATTGTATCATCTTATTTGGCTTGTTAGCTATAACTTTTTATTATTATAGTGGATGATTGAGTATATAGTGCACATCTATAACTTTCAAGTAAATAATTACCTTCTATTAATATTATACTCTTTCACGTATAGTATTAAAACCTTATAATAGTATACTTCCTTTTCTCCAATACATTGGAGAATATAATACATTGATCCTATCTAGTGTATTGTTTCATTACATACATTGTAGTTTTCATCCCTAGGTGTTCAACCTTGGTTGTTTTTATATTTTTGACTTTTCTGTTTAACATGTTCAATTTATCTTTCCTAGCACCTTTTAAATACATGGGATATGGGCACAATAACTGATTTAATGTCTTTGTTTACTAATGCTAATGTGTGTGAATTCTGGATCAATTTCAATTTTTAAATTTATTTTCATTATAGGACTTTTTTTGTACCTCTGTGCGTGGCTGGTCATTTTTGAGTGGATGACAGACTTTTAGATTTTACCTTTTTTGACTGCTTGGTATTTTTGAATTTTAAATGTTGTCAAACTTTGTTCTGGGACACAGGTTACTTGGAAATGGTTTTATTTTTTCTAAGTCTTGCTTTTCAGGTAAGTAAGGCAGGACCATAGCAGAATTTAGTCAAGAACTAATTATCCCCTACTCCTGAGGTAAGAGCTTTCTGAGTACAGTACAAGTCCTTATGCATGGTAAGATTTCCTAGTCTGGCTTTTGAAACCAGACACTTTTCCAAGTCCCACGTGATCTGTGGCTTCTGTTTCTTTTAATCTTTGTGGATGTTTCTTTCCCTTTGATTGGATAGTTTCCTCATAAGCAAATGCTGATTAGTACTCTGCTGAATACTCCTGCCCTCTCTCTATGCAGCTTCTCGTCTCCAGTAATCTCTGTGAACTCTAGCTGATTTTGTCTCCCAAGACTCACAGCTCTATCTCCTCAACTCAGAGTCAGCTAGGCTCCATATGGTTCCCCCTCCCTAATTTTTTTTAAGTTTCATACTGTGTTTGTGATTTTCATGTGGGCTTAAACTCTTCCTAGATTGGTAATTACAGTCATGAATCACTTAACAATGAGGATACATTTTGAGAAATGTGTCATTAGCTGATTTTGTCATGTGAACATCATAGAGCATGCTTATGGTCATATATATAAGACATTAATTTTTTTTTGCCTGTCTCAGATTCAACATGTAGGAGTCAATAAGTAATATGTTTGTTCACATACTGAAGTGCAGAGAGATACTCCAAATTCTTCCAGAAAGTTCAAGGCAGGATAGGTATCTGCAGAGTTCATAAAGTCATAAGAGGTGCACCTTCAATATTTATAGTTATTATTTCATTGCCAACAAGTAGAAATAATCTGGCCATTGCTTCCATGGAAAAACTACCCTCTAGTACAATGTGATATCATGTTCAATTACTGTGATTCCTTATGAGTCAGAAAATAAAGTGACCCTCAGATTAAGATATGGAAACAACTTAGGTGTCTAACAATGGATGAATGAATAAAGAAAATGTGACACACACACACAAACACACACACACACACACACACACACACACACACACACACAAGAATACTATTCAGCCATAAAGGAATAAACTCCTGTCATTTGTAGCAACATGTATGGAACTGGAGGACATTACGTTACATGAAATCAGCCAGGAACGGAAAGTTAAACACTGAATGTTCTCACTCATATATGGAAGCTAAAAAAAGTTGATCTTATAGAAGTAACATGTAGAACAGAGAATACTAGAGTCTGGGAAGGGCAGGAGGGAAGGAGGGAATAGGGAGAGATTTGTTAAAGGATACACAATTATAGATAGATAGGAATAAATTCTAATGTTCTACAGCATTGAAGGATGATTATAGTTAACAATAATATATTATATAGTTTCAAATAGCTAGAAGGAGGATATTGAATATTCCCAACCTACAAAAGAGATAAATGTCCAGGGTGATGGATACACTAATAACTCTGATCTGACCACAGTACATTGTATGTATGGAAACATCACTATGTGTTCCATAAATATATACAATTATTATATGTCAATTAAAAAAGAAAAGAAAATGAAGAGGAAAAGAGAGAAAAGAAAATAATTAAAAATTAGAGAATTTAAAAAGACTAAATATGTAAAACTTCCCTTTTATGTAACGTAAATTTGAAATAAACTTTTTTTTTTTGAAAAATGGGAGGGAGATATCACAAGATACATCAAAACTCCTACTTAGTTTAATTAGAACTAATGACAAATTTCTACCTTTGTTGTTTTTTAATAAAAAGTCTTGAGCACTCCAAATTTGTCTCTAAAATATTTTCTTACCTTTTACTGGACTGTGAGAAATTTTCTTCCCAAACTTTCTTTCTCAAACTGTGGATCAGTACCATTAAAAGAGAACGAAGAAACCCAACCCTTTAAACTTGAAGCAGAAGAGGGCTGTGCTCACTTCTGATCTGAGCCACTCTGAGGACGAGAGATGGATTATGCCTCACACCTTCTTGAGGGGTCATCTTTTACATCACCTCTCTTGATGTGTTTGGCAGTACTATGCTCCCAGATACTGAACCATGCTTCTAACAATAAAACAACTTCTCAGACCCTACTCTGTCACCCTAACTTCAAATGATTTAAAGTGGGAGGCAGTCTCCTGGGTCTCTCACTCAACCCTCTCTCATTATTTAGCTCCCTATCTTTTTGTAAAGAGGGGTCTTATTTCTAACTATCCAAAATAATTAGATTATATCCTTTCTTCTTCCAGTATTTCCCCTCCCTTTTCCAGAGATGGCCTCAGTCTCACAGGAGAAAACATAGCTCCCCAAACCTTGGGGACAAAATATAGGTTATGCTATTTTCATAAAGTAGCCATGCTGTTTTTATGCCTCCTATTTCTATTTAATCTTCCACTTATACATCATCTGATGTTGATTGTGCTGAGTTTATTAAGTAAAAATATCAATGTGTTTCTCTCTTCTGACTAAATAAGCTATTAGTAAAAGCCTTGAAATGGAAGATTAGGCTACATAAATATTTGAAGAGCATGCTGCTTATCCTTCTTAATAGAATTAAATTTTCTCAAGAAATATCAATATAGGACACTGACTTCTATAGTTTGCAGTAGAGTTGTTGATTTTTTCTTAGGATGTAAGAATTTCAATGAGTTAAATTTAAAATAATTTTAAATACTAACTACCCATTGCCTCACCTGTATAAAGGGCAGGTTTTCTTGCTCACTATCCTTTTCTGAAGTGCTTTTCTATTAATAAAGTAAGTAACATTGTGTCTGGGATAAGAAATAAAGAATACTTTGTTAGCTTCCTATCTGGCATATCTGTAGTGTTCATTAATTTCAATTCCATAAACACTTATTGAACATGTACTCTGTGCCAAATTCAAGAAATTCCTATCCTAGTAGAGGAAGCCAATTCGTACAATAGAGTTTGATAACTGCCCAAGTACACGAGTGGTAAAGAAGAGAAATTGTCATAAGCTCTTAATTTTATTACCAGAAATAAAGTTGATTCTGTCCTGTATAATTAGACATGTGAAGTCAAAGTCTATTCGTATGAAGTTTTCTTAACCAAAACAAGGAAGCATTATTCAACAATTCTGTGTAAAATGAATACTAATTTTTATATTCCTTGCAATATTCCTTTATAGCTTTGTTTTTTTCTATTTCTGATTGATCTTTTGTGGGCTCCAAGCACTTTAAACTTTCTTGCCTGGGGCTGTCCATCAGGTAGTTAATTATCTGTAAGCAGTGTTTTATGTAGCTAGTTTTCAAACAACTTATTGACCCTTTGATGTAAAAGTATGTTGAAAACTAAGTATGTAAAGTATGTTAGCATAAATTTTCCAAGAATAAATGTTTTCCTCAAGCTTTAAGATTAAATTTTGGAACCTCCTGGAAAAAAATGATAAATGTCAGTTGTGCTCTTTATTATCAGGAAATTAATGTGCTTTTTGGAATTTTCCTAGGGGAAACAGTTTTAAAGTCTTTACTAAATATTTTAACAAAACAGAAAATAATTATATCTGCTTCACCTAGCTTATAAATACTGCATTACCTATAATGTCAACTTTAGTTAAAACTTCTCCTAAACAGTGCCTGAATTAGAAAGGAACTTGAAACCTGGTGAACTAATAAAAGGATGGAAAAAGTCCTTGCAAATTTATTTTTTGGGGCCTATAATTTAACCTTTGTCAATGAAAAGAGTCAAACTCTGTAAAATATTTGAAGAGATTTATTCTGAAACAATTATGAGTGAACAATGGCTCATGACATAGCCCTTAAGATCCTGAGAACATAAGTCCAAAGTGGACAGGGTGCAGCTTGGTTTTGTATAACATGTGTAAAAAACATTTTGGGGAGACAAAAGACATCAATCGATACAGGTAAGATGTACTTTGGTTCAGTCCAGAAAGGTGGCACAACTGGAAGTCATGGGCAGATTCAAAGATTTTCTGATTGGAATTGGTTGAAAGAATTATTATCAATAGAAAGGAATGCCTGGTTACAATAAGGGGTTGTGGGGACCAAGATTTTATCATGTAGGAAGCCTCCAAGTAGCAGGCTTCAGAGAGAATAGATTGTAAATGTTTCTTATCAAACATAGTCTTTATCAGTAATTCCAAAGGGAGGCGGGTATAACGAACCATGTTTGGCTCCCCTCTTCTCATCATGGCCTGAACTCATTTTTGAGGTTAACTTTGGAATGCTCAGCTGTGAGGAGGGGCCCATTTAGATGGTTGAGGGACATTAGAATTTCGTTTATATTTTATACCTTCGGGATCAAATAGTTTCATGGAAATATATACATCTTTAGTAGGCATGTATTCCACCGTTCCTCCTAGTCTCAAATCCCACTGTTTTCTAAGGGAGACTCTGAGATCAGAAGTCACAGGAAAAAAAATTGAAACATGTAAAAGAGTTTTGTGAATTTTATTCATTGGTGAATGACATGAAATCTCATACATTTCAATTTTTACTTTTTCCCCCGGCAACCATCCCTAAACAAAAGTAAAAATTACTGCTTTTTGATTCTTAATTGTAATTGCTGTTATTTTGGCTTAGTTATTTTGTTGGTTATGTGTTATTTAGTAAAATCTCTTGATTTTTTGGTACCAGTTTATAATTGCATTATAATATTTTTTCTGTAAGATTCATTAAAAACTTTAAGACATATTTTTATCGTGTATTTCTAACATTCTTATCACTGTGGGCTTTGTTTTTCATGAGGGATTGTTAGTCTTTTGCTTTGCCTGAGGCCATGGTACACACACATACACACACAAACACACATGCACACACTAATTTGATGCACATTATAGAAAGGAAAATGGAATGCATATTATAAAAAGGAAAATGGAAAAGCAATGTCAGATTTCAAGTACGGTGATATGCTAAAGTCTAAGCTGCTTTACAAGAAGTAAAATATGTTTAATAAAACAAACATCTTCACTAATCAAGCCAAGTGTGCTGCCTGTGTTTGCAGCTGCATGTCAAACATACCTCAGATTCCACTTCTTTTAATCTTAGCCCAGTTGGAGGTAGATGAGGCAGAACCTAGGCAAAGTGGTAAATCCTGTGAAATTTGTCTATACCCTCATTCTCCTGCCTTTTATTCTCCTCCACATTCCCTCTCCTGGCTCTTCTATCCTTCTCAGGCTTCCTGCTCCCCAGTCCAAATAGGAAGGGATCTTACAATGACCCATTTATACCTGCTGATTGACTGATTATGCTGTCACTGAGATGCCTTCACACTGAAGCTTTACCTCAACCAGCCTTTTATCTCTGATTGTAGGAGAGGCTTTTTCCTTTTTAGAAAAACTTAATTTCCCTTGTGAGCTGGTGAGGGATTATTTTTAGATAGTTAGATGGGAGGAAGCTCTCAGGAGCTTCTGAAATTACAGTTGTCTGACTCGAGCAAATTTGATTTAGATTTTATGATGTTTTGAGCTGTCCAAGCAGTTGATCTACAACCAGTCCCTATAAAGAAAAATTGCACTGGATACTTGTTAAAAATGGCAAGGAAGACTTTATTTAAGACCGTTGCAATATAAGTGAAGACTATTGCCATAGAGGAGAGAAATTGAACCCAACTCTGGTGACATAAAGAACAGGAGAATTTTTAAACACTGGAAGGAGCGAGTGAGAAAGTACTGAAGGACTTTAGCAGGGAGATTGGTGAATGTGACTGGGCCATCTGTATTTGCTAATCATTGTTTATCAAAGTTAGGCTCCTACCCTCCCACAGAGACAGCAACAGGGCCCTGTCTTTCTTGATTAAATGTCAAAGGGATATATGGCTCCAGGGCCCTTGAGAAAGATATTCATGGCTTGTAAAACTGGCAAGAGACTGGGAGAAGATTTATATTAATACAAAGGGGCAAATAAAGAATTTACAAGTTTTCTAAAGTAAATGCTGTAAGAAAGGAGATGTCAGTGGCCTAGAGTCAGAAAAATTCTGTACAAAGTTAAGCCAGGCAGAGGGGCATGTTAAGGTCTTCTTGGTCACCTGCCTTCCACACTGCTTTCTTTTTATACCTCCATGCTGTCTACTCTGCTAAAGAACCTTAAGGTTTCTGGTTCTTACTGATTTGATTGAAGTTGACTTGGTGTCCTTGCACTATTAGTTTCTTCCGCATGTGATATGTGTCCTGTCATAGCACATGTACACCTGTTGGCATTTATCCTGCTTCACTACCTGTGTGCTCTTACTCCTGATTTTAATCTGCTTCCTGCCCTCTCTTCCATATGTCCTGTGACTTGGAATCACATATATTATCTTCTGGGATATTTGACATTGTTTTCATTTGCATCTAATGATTTTCATATTTAATATTATAACTCTTGTTATCTGATGTCCTCAAACACATCTCTAAGCCCAATATGACTTACACTTCTGGTTAGAAAGTTTTGCCTAAAATCACTGTAGCATCTGGCTGCAGTCTCTTCATTAATAGAGATATTATATTGGGGATTAATATTTATAGTCATAAAAAGGGAAAAGAACAGATCCAGTAAGAAGACACCATAGATTCAGCAATTTTGCTTCCTGAGAGTGAGGGCTAGTGGCCACCTGCAGCATACCTGGGCAAGTCTCAAGCCCTGCCCAGCATATACTATCGCAGCTTTTCAGAGAAAGAGAATGTCACTGAATGTTCATAGTAGAAAATCTTTATTCTCACATGGGAAAATCTCCTCCCTACCAATTGATTTTAGTCTTTTCTATGATTTATCCCCACTAGGAGAGTTCATAGAACATAATTTATAGCAGCACATGTTCAAAAACCTGGGTATTTGGCTTAGAATAAGATCATAGTTAGCAAAGGTAGGCTTTAGCAGAACACTTCAGGGTGAGCATAGGCTGTGGTGGTTGTAAAATATGTTCCAATTTGCACTAAGGCAGCTCCAGTTAACACCTATTTTTTCAGAATAATTATTAATAGCATGCCCTTTTACTCTCAAATGGGTTTTGATTTGGAAGATAAATTATAGGGTCACTTTAGCTTTGCCACTCTAAGTTCTGATTCTTTCTGAGGGGTTTCTACCAGTGCATAGTGTGGGTGTTTCTCCTCATTCTACTTAGCTTTCAGAGGTGCAATTATTGGATTAAACTCTCTTTGGATTCTCTGTCTCTCACACACACACATCACTACCTCCAAAGGAAAAATGTACTTCTCAGACTATCTTTTAAGCATAATTTAAGAAGAAAAACGTTCCTTTAAATGCAACATAATATGCAAAAATACCTGCCCACAGTGAACACACAGCTTTACATTATGATGATAAATGTGGTTTGTTTTCCAGCAGGGCTTATTGCCTTATGTTTTCAAAAACAGAGATTTGGTGGTGACCTTTTATTTACAGAAAGATTGACCAAAGCTTTGAAAACGTAACTTGTTTTTACTTTGCCTTTTCAACAGGGCACATTTTAAGCAAGGTATCCTTTCCCACTAGTCTCTATAAGCAAGGATAACTGGTAAAGTAATTTGTTTTTCTTTCTTGTTCTAGAGCACATTCCCAGAAGCAGATGGGGGCTAGATGGTGATGGAGGGCAGGTATTTTCAAGTTAAAAGTAAACATTGGTATTCACATTTCCCAAAAGAAGAAATAGAAGTTTATAGGAATTACATAATTTGTTCAAGAGCACAGCTAATAAGTGAGAGAGCCGGAGCTCAAACCCAGGTCGACATAACTTCATAGCCTGTTTCCTGGATCAGTCTCCTATACAGTTTTCAAGCTATGTCATAATTTGTTCAGTGTTTGTCTTTTCCCTGAGGGCAGGACATTTGTCTTTCCTTTGTCTAGCCTACCATGGGCATCTAATAAATAGTAAATGAGTGATGAGTAAAGTCATGCATGAGAGGGAGAGGGAATGAGAATGAGAGCTAGGGTGAGAGGGAGGTGTGGTATGGAATCTGAAAGGCAGCATCATGACTGGTGGCAAGCGTTTGTCAGTAGTAGATGTTCACAGGGAGTCACTAGAACTCTCACTGAGTCCCAGGTGAGAAGCCAGATGGATATAATGAAGTAATAAGCTCAAGAGTTGGGGGGTGGGGATGGTAGCAGAATGGTTTGAAAGTTTTTCTTGGCAGCTTCCTTGCCCCTTAGGCTCGAGAGATAGTACAAGACAGTAGTCAAGGAATGAGCTTTGAATCCAGTTAATCCTTAGGGTGAGCCCTTGCAACAATCTCCAAAAGTAAAGAGGGAACCACTTTACATTCAGGATCTCATTTCATCCTTAGAACACTTTTGTTAAGTAGATACTGCTATTCCCTTTTTAACACTGAGTCACCTGAGACTTTTTAGTGAAATAACTTGCGCAAGGTCATTCACAATAGGAAAGATTTCCTGTTTGGGTCTATTTGACCCTAAAGAATGAGCTCCCAGTTATCCCTTTTCCTCAGGAGGCATTTGTGAGACTGCTGCTACTACCAAGGTAAGAAGTTACCATCAACCTCACCCTTTCTCTCACTGTCACTGAGTCATTGATGACACTACCTCCTACCTCTCCACAGGGGTTAAAAGAAAAGTTATTTCTATCAAAAGCAAATATTTACAGAGTACTTACTGAACCCAGATACTGTAGCAGGTGCTTTATATGTATTAATTAAATTCTTACAACAAGGTTATGAGATATTTTTCTCTGATTTTTCTCATTTTACAAGTGAGAAAATTAAGGCACCGAGAGGTTAAGTAACCTTGGCAAAGGTTACCCAGCAAATAAGTGGTAGAGCTAAAATTTGAGTGCAAGTAGTCTGACTCTAGAATCTATGTTCTCAATTACTATGCCCCTATTTATGTGTTCTATTGACTCTTAGGTAAGAAAAGGTAAGTTGCTGAGGACTAGATCCATAAGTTAACTTTACTTAAAACCATTGACATCTGTTGTACCTATTATCCTGAAGATTGCTTTCACAAGGATAATAGGATAATTGGACTCTCCCTGAATTTATAATAATGATAATAATAATAGCCAGTTATCACTGAGTACTGTCAACATGCCAGAAACAGTGTTAAGAGCTTTCCCTACCTTATCTTGTTTAATCCTCCCGATAATACTGCAAAACAGGATTATTATTCTTGATTTGCAGATGAGGAAACTGAAGCTTACATGTAAGTACCTTGCTCAAAGCCACACAGTTGGCATCTGTCTGATTTCCTGTTGTAACCACTAGTTGCTCTGCTGCTTCCCCCCAGAAGGCTGCCTTAGTCTTTGATTCATTAATTGGTTTTGCTGGATGTTGGCCATTTTACCTGGCCCAGGAGGGCATGTTACTCTGCATGTTCACTTTCAGGAGACAAAGGCAAATTACCAAAAGAACAAACTAACACCAGGGATCTTTTCAAGAAAATTAATTCCTGGAATGCCGCTTGCTCAGTATCCACTTACTAACTACATTTCACACTATGTCTTACGTTTTTTCCCCTGCATAAAGCTACACTTACAACACACTCCAGGACCAAATGCTTCTAATTATGGACAAGATTAACACTGAGAAGTTAAAGAATATTTAAGAGATATTACTTATTCTTTAGAAAAATTATATTAGAGAAATTTCAATATAGGGTTTAGATAGTATACATACCACGGTTAAACATATCCACATGTAAACAAAACAGAAATATATAAATATCTTTATGTTTATTAAAATTGAACATAGAAATTTAGAAATTTAGAACCAGAAGGGAGCTTAGACATCATCTAGTTTAGATCAGAAAACTAAATGAGGCCACTTTTGCTGATATGACTTGGCTAGCTTTCAGGCATCTCACAAAATTCAGATTAAGCATCATCTTTATGAATTATTTCCTAATCCCCATTCTCATGCCTGTCTGTCACTGAGGAGACCTGACCCCTCCTTCTTTCTTTATCCTAGTATAGTCTGTGGCTGTGACTATTTGCATCATGGCTCTTAATCACTTTATGTTCGTTGACTTTTATGCGGTCCAGAGGTCTTTTTTTTTAACATCTATTATGCATGAATTCATAGGGAAGGGGTTTCAGCAGCCCAGGCTCCTTTCCGTTGGTTCTCACAAAGTGTGTTTCTCCAGATGGAGCAGGATGGTGCTTCAGGTGAACCTAGGTACCTTTATTTCTCTTTGGTTTCCTTCTTTTTCTGGTCATTTTCCTTCACATGTTTCAGGAAGCTATTTCAGCTCTTAAACTGCTTAATATGCTCAATACACACATTAATTCTTTTGGCAAGAATCATGCCCTTAAATTGTCTGTTTACAATAATGCCAACAGCATGCTAGGTAACATTGTAGACTCTTCCAGTTTTGCCATGGTAGCATTAGTGGGGCATTTCTTTTTACAGTACCCATTCCCTTATGTCTACAATATCACCTTTCTTATAGATTCGCATGTGTGTGGTCAAAGGAACAACTCCATGTTTTCTAAAAGGGCTAGGAAACATACATCAGGTGTCTCTCCTCTTTCCATTGGTGTTTGTCGTTTTGGCATATTACTGAAGTATGGAAGTTCCTGCCAAAGGGAGACTTCATTTTTCTAAGAGTAGTTTTAGGCTCACAACAAAATTAAAAGGAAGGTACTGAGACTTTCGGCTTACCTCTACATTCACACATCGTCACCCCAATTTAATAGCTTACATTAGGATTAACTTTGGTTTTGTACATTCTATGGATTTAGGCAAATGTACAATGACATGTATCCACTATTATAGTGTCGTATAGACTATTTTCACTGCCCTAAAAATCCTGTGTTCTGCTTATTCATCCCTCCCTTTCCCCTACTCCCTGATAATCACTGATCTTCATAGTTTCTCCTTTTCCAGAAAAGCATATAGTTGGAATTATACAGTATGTAACCTTTTCAGATTGGGCTTCTTTCACTTAGTTACACACATTTAAGTTTTCTCCATGTCTTTTCATGGCTTGATAGCTCATTTTTTTTAGCTTGAATAATATTCCATTGTCTGTATGTACCACAGTTTATCTATTCATCTGTTGAAGGATATCTTCTTTGCTGCCAAGTCTTGGCAATTTAGCTGCTATAAATATCCATGTGCATGTTTTTGGGTCAATATAAGTTTTCAACCCCTTTGGGTAAGTACCAAAGAGCACTATTGCTGGATTATATGTTTAGAGTATCTTTAATTTTGTATGAAACTACCGTATTGTCTTACAGAGGGGCTGTACAATTTTACATTCCCCACTAGCAATGAATGAGAGTTCTTGTTGCTCCACATCCTTGCCAGAATTTGATATTCTGAATTTTGGTCATTCTAAGAGGTGTATAGTGATATCTCATTTCAGTTTGCATTTATCTGATGACACATGATTTGGAGCATCTTTTCACAGGCTTATTTGCCACCTACATATATTTTCTCGTGATGTGTTTGCTAAATGGTTTGGCTCCTTTTTAAACTTGAGTTGTGTTCTTATTGTTGAGTTTTAAGAGTCCTTTGTATATTTTTGATAACAATCCTTTTTCAGATATATCTTTTACAACATTTTCACCCAGTCTGTGGTTGTCATTTGATTCTCTTGACAATGTCTTTATTTTCAAAGACCAATTTTAATTTATTTTTTTAATTTTTATTTTTTATTTCAATAGGTTTATGCAGAACAGGAGGTGTTTGGTTACATGGATAAGATCTTTAGTGGTGATTTCGGTGCATCCATCACCAGAGGAGTGTACACTGTACCCAATATATAATCATTTATCCCTCACCATCCTCCCACTCTTTCCCCCGAATCCCTGAAGTCCATTTTATCATTCTTATGCCCTTGTGTCCTCATAACTTAGCTTCCACTTATAAGTGAGAACATACAATATTTGGTTTTCCATTCCTGAGTTACTTCACTTTAAATAATAGTCTCCAATTCCATCCAGGTTGCTGTGAATGTAATCATTTCATTCATTTTTATAGCTGAGTAGTATTCCATGGTATATATATTTTCTTTATTCACTTATTGATTGATGGGCATTTGGGCTGTTTCCATATTTTTGCAGCTAAAAATTGTGCTGCTATAAACATGCATGTGCACGTATCTTTTTTGTATAATGACTTCTTTTCATCTGGATAGATACCAGGAGTAAGATTGCTAGATCAAATGGTAGATCTAATTTTAATTCTTTAAGGAGTATCCACACTGTTTTCTATAGTGGTTATACTAGTTTACATTTCCACTAGCAGTGTAAAAGTGTTCCCTTTTCACCACATTCAGGCCAACATATATTATTTTTTGATTTTTGGATTATGTTCATTCTACTCGGTTTTGATTTGCATTTGCCTGATAATTAGTGATATTGAGCATTTTTTCATATTTTTATTGGTCATTTGTATATCTTGTTTTGTGAATTGTCTATTCATGCCCCTAGCCGACTTTTTGATGGGATTGTTTGTTTCTTGCTGATTTGTTTGAATTCCTTGTAGACTCTGGATATTAGTCCTTTGAGGGATGCATAGTTTGTGAATATTTTCTCCCACTCTGTGGGTTGTCTGTCAACTCTGCAGATTATTACTTTTGCTGTACAGAAGCTTTTTAGTTTAATTAAGTCCCATATATTTATCTTTCTTTTGTTGCATTTAATTTTGGTTCTTGGTCATGAACGCTTTGCCTAAGCCAATGTCTAGAAGGGTTTTTCCAATGTTTTCTTCTAGAATTTTTATGGTTTCAAATCTTAGGTTTAAGTCTTTGACTCATCTTGAGTTAATTTTTGTATAAGGTGAGAGATGAGGATCCAGTTTCATTCTACATGTGGCTTGCCAATTATCCTAGCACCATTTGTTGAAAAGGGTGTCCTCTCTCCACTTTATGTTTTCGTTTGCTTTCTCAAAGATCACTTGACTCTATGTATTTGGGTTTATTTCTTGGTTGTCTATTATGTTCCATTGGTCTATGTGCCTATTTTTATGCCAGTACCATGATGTTTTGGTGACTATAGCCTTATAGTATAGTTTGAAGTTGGATAATATGATGGCTCCAGATTTGTTCCTTTTGCTTAGTCTTGCTTTGGCTGTGTGGGCCCTTTTTTGGTTCTACATGAATTTTAGGATTGTTTTTTCTACTTCTGTGAAGAATGCTGGTGGTAATTTGATGGGAATTGCATTGAATTTGTGAATTGCATTTGGCAGTATGATTATTTTTACAATATTGATTCTACCCATTCATGAGCATGGGATATGTTCTCATTTGTTTACATCATCTATGATTTCTTTCAGCAGTGTTTTGTAGTTTTCCTTGTAGAGGTCTTTCATGTCCTTGGTTAGATATATTCCCAAGTATTTTATTTTTTCTGCAGCTATCATAAAATGAGTTGAGTTCTTGATTTGATTCTCAGCTTGGTCACTGTTGGTGTATAGCAGTGCTACTGATTTGTGTACATTAATTTTGTACCCTGAAACTTTACTGAATTTATCAGTCCTAGGAGCTTTCTGGGTGAGTCTTTAGGATTTTCTAGGTATATGATTATATTATCAGCACACAGAGACAGTTTGACTTCCTCTTCACCCATTTGAATCCCCTTTATTCCTTTCTCTTGTCTGAGTGATCTGGCTATGACTTCCAGTACTATGTTGAATAGAAGTGGTGAACGTGGGAATCCTTTTCTTGTTCCAGTTCTCAGGGGGAGTGCTTTCAACTTTTCCCCGTTCAGTATAATACTGACTATGGGTTTGTCATAGATGGCTTTTATTACCTTAATATATGTCCCTCCTATGCTGATTTTGCTGAGGGTTTTAATCATAAAGGATGCCAGATTTTGTCAAATGCTTTTTCTGAATCTATTGCGATGATTATGTTATTTTTGTTTTTAATTCTTTATGCGCTGTAATGCATTTATTGACTTGCATATGTTAAACCATCCCTGCATCCCTGGTATGAAACCCACTTGATCATGGTGTATTATCTTTTTGATAATGCTGTTGGATTCAGTTAGATTTTTGCATCTGTATTCATCAGGGACATTGGTCTGTAGTTTTCTTTTTTAGTTATGTCCTTTCCTGGTTTTGGCTTTAGGGTGATACTGGCTTCATGGGATGATTTAGGGAGAATTCCCTCTTTTTCTATGTTTTGGAATAGTGTGAATAGGGTTAGTACTAGTTCTTCTTTGAATGTCTGATAGAATTCAACTGTGAATTTATCTGATCCTGGACTTGTTTTTTCTTGGCAATTTTTTATTACCATTTCAATATCACTGCTTGTTATTGCTCTGTTTAGAGTTTCTATTTCTTCCTGGTTTAATCTAGAGGGTTGCATATTTTCAGAAATTTATCCATCTCCTCTAGATTTTCTAGTATGTGAACATGAAGGTGTTTATAGTATCCTTAAGTGATCTTTTGTATTTCTGTGGTATCAGTTGTACTTTCTCCCTTTTTGTTTCTAATTGAGCTTATTTGGATCTTCTCTCTTCTTTTCCTATTTAATCTTGTTAATGGTCTATCAATTTTGTTTATCTTTTCAAAGAAACATATTTTTGTTTCATTTATCTGTTTTTTTTTTTGTTTCAATTTCATTTAGTTCTGGTCTAACCTTTGTTATTTTTTTTTTCTTCTGTTGGGTTTGGTTTTGGTTTGTTCTTTTTTCTCTAGTTCCTTGAGGTGTGACCTTAGATTGCTTATTTGTGCTCTTTCAGACTTTTTGATGTAGGCATTCAATGCTACAAACTTTTTTCATAGAACTGCTTGTGCTGTATCCCAGAGGTTTTGCTAGGTTGTGTCACTATTATTGTTCAGTTCAAGTAATTTTTAAAATTTCAATTTTGGTTTCATTGTTGACTCAACAATCATTCAGGGGCAAATTATTTAATTTCCATGTATTTGCATAATTTTGAGGGTTTTGTTGGAGTTGCTTTCCAGTTTTATTTCACTGTGGTCAGAGAGAGTACTTGATATAATTTCAATTTTCTTAAGTTTATTGAGACTTGTTTTGTGGACTATCATATTGTCTATCTTGGAGAATCTTTTATGTGCTGATGAATAGAATGTATATTCTTCAGTTTTTGGGTAGAGTGTTCTGTAAATATCTGTTAAGTCCATTTGTTCTAGGGTATAGTTTAAGTCCATTGTTTCTTTCTTGGCTTTCTGTCTTGATGACCTGTCTAGTGCTGTCAGTGGAGTATTGAAGTCCCCCACTATTATCATGCTTATGCCTAGTAGTAATTGTTTTATAAATTTGGGATCTCCAGTGTTAGGTGCATATATATTTAGGATTATGATAGTTTCATGTTGGACTAGTCTTTTTTCTCATTATATGATGTCCTTCTTTGTCTTTTTAAACATTTGTTGATTTACAGTCGGTTTTGTCTGATGTAAGAATAACTACTCCTCTTCACTTTTGGTGTCCATTTGCATGGAATATCTTTTTCTACTCCTTTACCTTAAGTTTATGTGTGTCCTTATGTGTTAGATGAGTCTCTTGAAGACTGCAGATACTTGGTTGGTGAATTCTTATCCATTCTGCCATTCTGCATCCTTTAAGTGGAACATTTAGGCCATTTATATTCAACATTAGTATTGAAAAGTGAGGTACTCTTCTATTCACTGTACTAGTTATTGCTTTGATACCTTGGGTTTCTTTTTTCCATTTCATTATTGTTTTGTAGGTTCTGTGAAATTATGCTTTAAGGAGATTCTATTTTGGTGTATTTTGAGGATATATTTGAAGATTTCTAATTCCTTTTAGCAGTTCTTGTAATGTTGACTTGGTAGTGGCAAATTCTCTTAGCATTTGTTTGTCTGAAAAAGACTATATGTTTTCTTCATTTATGAAGCTTAGTTTCACTGGATACAAAATTCTTGGCTGATTAGTTTTGTTGTTTAAGGAGGCTAAAGATAGGACCCCAATCCCTTCTAGCTTGTATAGCTTCTGTTGAGAAATCTGCTGTTAATCTGATTGGTTTTGCTTTACAGGTTACCTGATGCTTTTCCCTCACAGCTCTTATGATTCTTTCCTTTGTCTTGGCTTTGGATAACCTGATGACTATGTAACTAGGTGGTGATCTTTTTGCAATGAATTTCCCAGGTGTACTTTGAGCTTCTTGTATTTGGATGTCTAGATCTCTAGCAAGGCCAGGGAAGATTTCCCCTATTATTTTCTCAAATATGTTTTCCAAACTTTGAAATTTCTTTTCTTCCTTGGGAACATGAATTATTCTTAGGTTTGATTAACATAATTCCAAACTTCTTGGAGGCTTTATTAATTTTTTTATTCTTTTTTCTTTGTTTTTGTCTGATTAGGTTGATTTGAAAGCCTTGTCTTTGAGCTCTGAAATTCTTTCTTCTACTTCTTCAATTCTATTGCTGAGATTTTCCAGTGTATTTTGCATTTCTCTAATTGTGTCCTTCCTTCCCAGAAGTTCTGATTGTTTTTTGTTTATGCCATATATTTCTTTAGAGATTTTCTCGTTCATATCCTGTATCATTTTTTTGATTTTTTAAAGTTGATATTCACCTTTCTCTGGTGCCTCCTTGAGTAGCTTAATAATTGACCTTTTGAATTCTTTTTCTGGCAATCCAGATATTTCATCTTAGTTTGAATTCATTGTTGGTGAGCTACTGTGATCTTTTGGGGGTGCTAATGAACCTTGTTTTGTCATATTTTCAGAACTGTTTTTCTGATTTCTTCTCATTTGGATAGACTGTCAGAGGGAAGATCTGAGACTCAGGGGCTGCTGATCAGATTTTTTGTTCCCATGTGGTGCTCCCTTAATTATGGTGCTCTCCCCCTTCTCCTAGGGATGGGGCTTCCTGAGAGCTGAACTGCAGTGATTGTTATTTCTCTTCCTGGTCTAGCCACCCATTGGAGCTACTGGGCTCCAGGCAAGTACTGGGGGGTGTCTTCAAAGAGTCCTGTGATGTGATCTGTCTTCAGGTCTCTCATCTGTGAATATCAGCACTTGCTGTGGTGGAAGTAGCAGGGGAGTAAAGTGGACTCTGTGAGTGTCCTTTGTTGTAGTTTTTTTTAATGCAATGGTTTTGTGTTGGTTGGCCTCCAGCTAAGAGGTGGTGCTTTCAAGAGAGCATCAGCTGTGGTAGTGCAGGGAGGTTACAGGCTTGCACTAGTGTTGCCTGGATAAGTATTCAGATTTCTCAGGCAGTAGGAAGAGCTTTGGAGCCCCCCAGTAATTATGTCCACTGTCTTTGACTACCGGGGTGGGTAGAGAAAGACCATCAGGTGGAGGTAGGGTTAGGTATGTCTGAGCTCAGACCCTCCTTTGGTGGGTCTTACTGCAGCTGCTTTGGGGGATAAGGATATAGTTCTCAGGCTGATGGAGTTATGTTCCCAGGGGAATTATGGCTGCCTCTGCTGCTTCATACCAGGGAAGTGGGGAAGTGGGGGAAAGCTGGCAGTGACAGGCCTCAGCCAGCTTCCATGCAGCCTGAAGAACAATTTCACTCCCACCATGCCCCACCAACAGCACAGAGTTCATTTCAAGGCAGCCAGTGAGCAGGGGTGAGAAGGTGCCCCAGGATACAAGCCTCCCTGCTGAGAAAGCAGGCAGGGCTTTCAGGCTTCACATCTCCCCATTTGCTGCAGTTTCTGTGCTTCTATGTGCACTCCCCATTTGTCCCCTCCCCCAGATTCTGTCTAGGAAACTTCATGTTCAGTCAAAATTGTTACAAAATTCAGCTGGAAGTTTCCTTCTCCTTGTGGTCTTTCTCCAATTCCACTGGCAGACCTCCCCAAGGACCCCTGTGAGACAAAATCAGGAATGCCTTCCCTGGGGACCGAGAGTGCCCACAGCACTCTTCCAGCTGCTTCCTCTACTCTTATATTTCACTTTGCTCTCTAAATTCATCTCAGCTCCAGGTAAGGTCAAATCCTTCTCCCATGATCTGGACCTTCAGATTCACCAGTGAGGATGTTTGTTTGGAGGTGGACCTTCCCCCTCACACTTTGGTTACTCACAGTTTTTTTGGCCATCTCACGAAACCTACAGTGGCAAGCCACTTTTTTCAAAGGGTCTGTGAATTCTCTCAGCTTTCCTGGTATGTCCCTGCGGTAGTTCTTGGAGCAAGAGTTCACAGTATGAGTCTCCACAAGCTGCTCTGTCCATCCGAGTGGGAGCTGCCTAGTCCTACCTACTATTAGTTCTACCTACTTTTCACCATTTTTTTTGACTGACAGTGTCTTTTGCAGAGCAGAAATTTCCAATTTTACTATTAATGAAGTTCAGCTTATCTATTCTTTCTTTCATGGATAATTTATTTTAGTTTTTGTGTGCCTGGTTCTCTCCCTCTACTGCTTTCTAGGTTTTTTAAAAGTAGAGATGGTTTGGATTTATATTTCCAGGAGAGATAGCACAATGCCTGTTGAGGGAATCTTCAATGTGTGAATGACTAGGCAGTGATCTCATGGTTAGTAGTGAAATACAAATGAAAGCACAGGTTTCTTGACTTGCTGACAAGTGGTTCTCCTAATACATTTTTACTGCTTCTCTATTTTAATTTGAGTTTCACATCATAAGTGAATTTTAAAGTCATTTTTAAGAGGACATTTTCAGAAGATGTCAACAACAATGAAAAGCTTAGTTGAGATGACAGTGTAAAATTGCTAGTGAATGGGTAGTTCAGAATATAAGTTTTCAAAGAGCTATTAGCTTTTTTTTTCTAAAAACTAAAAAAAAAATGAGCTTCATCCTTGTCCTCTTTAATAATTTGACTAAGGATTTATATCCTTTTAATCTAGAGTGACACTCAGAACCTGGATGTTCCTTACTGAAATTGCTGAAGTGTAGAGAAAAGATAACCTAAATTTGCTTTTCATGTCAATCACTGGGAACAAAGCAAACCTTCCGTGTGTGAGAAAAGATTTTGTTGGATTGTAGTTGGAAGGCAAAGATTTTGTTCATTCTTAAATAATACTGATTTCCTCTGTTTATAGGGCTCTTGCTGGCTTCAAAGCATACCACATATGTGAAAAAAAAACCTCTTAGCATACAGAAGGGTATGGAATTATAAATCTGCAAAATTAGATACAGGAAACAGTAAAAGTTCATCCTTGCAGGGAATAATCACTTCTTAATATTAAATGACTTAATGCCTCTCTTCATCTAAATTTTTTACATATCACACTGTACAATACATTTTTGGAGTTGGAAAGAAATCTAGAGATTCTTCTAATTTTATAGTTGAGGAAACTAAAGTCCAAATAAGTAAAGTGCTTTCTGAAATAATATTCCTGACCAGTTAGGACCAAAATCAAGATATCCTAGGTCAGAGTCCAATGCCACATTGCTTCTCTGATGAGCAG
This sequence comes from Homo sapiens, assembly GCF_000001405.40. Lineage (NCBI taxonomy): Eukaryota > Metazoa > Chordata > Mammalia > Primates > Hominidae > Homo > Homo sapiens. The sequence goes on along the minus strand of NC_000012.12, from coordinate 61,767,158 downwards.
GCTTTCATTGATTATGTCATAAGTTTCTTCTATAATATAACAATATAAACATGCTTTTAGCTGATGTCACTTTTTTCTTTACTACGATATTAAATGCCCTACCATCATATATCACCAACTTTATCCCACAGATGATAAATTGTGACTTAGTGAGATTAACTGATTTGTCAAAGATGAAACCATCAGTTTGTGTCAGTGCAAGTTCTAGAAGCCAGAGCTTCTTACCTCCCCATCCAGGGTTTATCTCTCCTAAAACTGTACTTGGCTCTCCATTAGAAAAAAAGTTAAGCACACATACACACATATTCACAAAGAGACAATGTCAAATGTTTTTACAATTTCCAATAAGTTTATCTAAGCCTGGACTGGAAAAAAAATGTTAAATTTACTGTTTTTATTTCTTTCTTTTGAGAACCCTTGTAGTAAACCATTCATTTATTCATTTGTTCTTCAATTATTTTAATTTTCTATTTTGGCTCTCAAACTGTGTCTCAAGCTGGATATTCATAGATTAAAAGCCATAGATTTGGTCCACAAAATTTAGTAGGGGAAACAGAGATATAAAAAGTAAATATAAAAGACAATTACACGCGTTACAGAGATAAGTAAGAAATTGTTAATCAGAGCAGGGAATGGTTCAGTCTACCTAACGGGCTAAGTAACAGCTTCCTAGAGTAGAGGATGTGATGCTCTAAATCTTGAAAGATTAAAAGAGGGCAAGGAATCAAGAAACAGGGAGATGGACTTGGCAAAGACAAAGAGATGTGAAGGTATGCTTTGTATAAGACTCTGATAATAGTTTATGTGCCTTCAGTGTAGGATGCAACACATGTGCACAGGAAAGTGAAGCTAGAGAAGACGAATGTAGGCTGAGGGAAGGATGCTTTTGCAATGCCTGGAGTTTGAATTATTGTATAAAAAATGAAGAGCCACAAATGATTCTATATTGCAGAATTACTTTTAGAAGGATCTTCCATGGTAGTATGTGTGTGTTTATGTGTGTATAGGGAAGTAAGCTAACAAGTAGGGAAATAAGTCACAGGCTCTTGTGGTTTTGCAAGAAAGAAATGTTAAGGATGCCTAAGCTAAATCAGTAGAAGTGAAGTTGTAGGGAAGAGAGGAAAATCAAAAGGGTTTACAAAAGGCAGACTTACAGGGATTTGGTGACCAAAGAAATGAGGGGTGGAGGAGTTAATGGAACTGACAGTGAACTAACTAGAAATTAAGAGAAGTGAGTTCTAGTTAGCTATCTCCTCCTCTCTAGCTCTGTGATATAGAATTAGGATTATGTTTTCTCATCACCAGTTCCCTTTTTACAAAATGGCAAGTTTGGACTTTATTTTTAAGTCTCTAAAAAAATCTATGATTATCTCTTAGATATCTGCATTACATAAATATATACAAGGGTCTGGTTTAGATGTTATTACTCTCCATAATAATTATAGCTAACACTAAGTTTAAGCATCTTTATGAAGGTTAGCTCAATTTACCCTCATTATAGCACTTAATGGTAGGTAATATCACAATTCCTATTTCACCTATGAATAGCTGATGCTTACAGAGATAAAACAATTTTCTCAAATTATATATTTCCGTTCTCTGCTCTTTCTACTTCCTATGTCATTTCCCTTAAGAAGCACTTGAGCTGCACCCAACTCCTTCCTAAGTCCATTACTAGGAATATCATTATTACTAGGAATATTAGTTAAGCTAAGGCTTGCTACTATAACAGATATACATCAAAATCATTGGCTTAACATAGCCTATGATTACATTGGCTTAACATAGCCTAAATGTATTTCTTGCTTATGTGAAATCCAGCTGGTAGTAGGGGTGGGTCTCTCCTCTACATAGTCATTCAGAGACTCAGGTTTATGGTAGCTCTGCAATCTTCTACACATGGTTTCCAAGGTCACTCTTGGCACTAACATCTACCTGAAAGGAGAAGAGAGAGAGTGGGTGATGGAGTGGGAGGTTTTTATAAGCCTGGACTTGAAAAAGCATAACTTACTTCTGCCCACATTCTTTGTGTCACTGCCTATATCTAACTGCAAGGAAGACTGGAAAATAGCCTAGCTGTGAAGCCAGGAGGAAAGAAAAAGGTTTGATGCATAGGAAAGCACTTTCTTCTAAAGCTGGGACTTGAACCTAGACCATCTGACTTCAGAATCCTCAGCCAATCCACTGTCCTATATTACTATTTGAACTAGATCTCTCTCGTGGAATTGACCATAATCAAGCTGTTTTGTACATAAAGAAGTGTGGGTGCGGATTGACTTTATAGTGAATATTATACTGTGCAGTTAAGACTTATAACTTCATACAGATAAGAAATATATCTAAACTACAAATTTCATAAACTCCTCAGTTTCTCACTAAGTTTAGGGACTAAAATGAAGTTAATTTGTTTTAGTTTGAAGGGGTTAAAAATCTGTAATATTTAGATTTTCATTTTCTGAAAGGTTTAAAAGATTGTCTTCATTTTAATGAAACCTAATCATTTTACAAATTCATTAAACTTTTGAATTGGGAGAAATCTCTAAGTCTAAATTAACTCCAAATCTAGTCTGATTTCTTCATTTTACAGATAAGGAAAGAGATCCAGAGACCTAAATGCCTTACTCCAAGTCACACTCTTCAGGGACAAACAACTACACATGAGAGCCCCAATCCTGAATCTGTCTTTTCAACACTCTTTCTCCCATTGGGTCATTCCCTCAGAAAGCACTTGGTCTGCACTACACTCCTTCCTAGGAATGCTTATAGGAATAATCTTAATCATAAAAGAACAATGTGATTCCTACAATGCTTGGGAATTGGGGATGTTCTATTTCTTTACAGTTTTGTATAATTTAAGATTAATCAGAAAATTTTCTTTTCAAACTTTGCCATTAAAAATCTATCTATCTATCTATCTATCTATCTATCAATCAATCATCTAATCTAAAATGGACCATTTCTCCTTTATTGTAATTGTAAATGGACTTAGGGTCATCATTTGAAGTATCAGTTTTCAGTATGAGGTAAATGTAGGAGGTGTGACTGTTAGATTATGTTTCCTGGATCCTACTTAGAAGGTAGGAATTTGTCTTTTTCCTTTTAAAAATGAAGGTGGAGAATACTTCTGGCTGATAATGAGCTTTTGTTAATTATAGCTTTAATTTAAACAAGGAAATCATTTAGTCAGCACAGTTTTGGATCAAGGAACAGAGACATCATCAAGTTACCTCACGAAAAAAAAGGGGGCCAATTGAAACATATTCTGGAAAATGTTTTCAGGAATTCAGAAAAAAACAGGAAAATCTGCAGAAGGGCATACACCAAGGCAGCTCATGGACCACCTGCTCCCTTCTCTCTGACCTCTCTTTGCTGCTGTGCTTGGTTCCCTTTCCTGATTGCTTCCTCCGAGCTCCATCCCTCTTTACCGTGAGGCATGCGCGAAGCTTTCTGTGGGTTACCTGACTCCTGATACCAGACATACTTTTGGCTCATGTGTCAATTTCCATGTGTCTGTTCTGCAGCTTTTACTTTAAATTTCTGAAGAGATGGATTTCAGTGGTCTCGTACCTCTTTTCCAGAACAGGCCTTACAAGCAGAAGTTGCTGGACAGTGTATAAAGGGTCCACTTATTCCTTTAGATACACCTTTCTTAACATCGACTGTCATTTAAAATGTGGGTGGGAAGATATTCATGATTGAGGTGAGAGGCAAAGAATCTAAGCATTATCCCATGAGTGAATCTCCCTTTGTTTTGTCGCTTTCTCTTAAAAGAGACTGGGGGACATTCTCTGGTTGAGAATTTGCTTTTGTTAATAGAGACCATACTGTTAAATTGAAATTTTATGGATATTATCCTTTCTTTAGTGGCAATCTTTTCCCACCCCAAAATTTCATTTTCTTTTTTCCATATAAAAGTGGAACAGTTTTAAAAAACAGAATTTGTAAACATGTCATCGGCACTTGGTTGTTTCCTCCTGATCATCCTGACTTCATAAATTATGAGAACTTTTGAAATTTCATTGAGCTATTTAAATTACTATTTCTGTTAATTAGATTGCTTCAGCATGAAAGTCTAAAAAATATGAGCTATTTTCCCATTCTAATGAATTAAAGTGAGAAATTAGCTGTCTCAGAAAGTTTTGTTTCAGCACATTTTTTCAATTTAAAGTGATTTACAGCAACCTAAATCCACTAACTAGCTCGCATTTCAGTTGCCTATTGGTGCATGTAGGTGATGCTTTATTTCTGCTTAGAAGGTACAATATAGATTCTCCAGGGAGCTAGTCAGGCTGGGTAAACTATTAAATAGGAGTATATAGAGACAAACAAAATTTCATAATCAATGAGACAAATCAGAATGCAAATAAGAACTGAAATCTAGTGTAGAGGAAACCAAGTAGGAACAAATTCACAACTTGACGCTAAATTTACTCTCTTTTGTAGATTTGATGTCAGATTGATTTTTTTATAGGCATCTCAAGTCAACACAATTAACTGTATGTGTATGTATATATATATATATATAAAAAATGAAATTAGAACTTCTATAGAATGTAGATAACTTCCCCTAACAGCCACTTCTTTGCAGCTTATATGCATATTGCATTACTTTGATATTCGTTAATTACACTAATCATAAAAATAAAGGTAATTAACATTTAAGTAATATATAATTTAAAGGCAGCTTCACACACATTATCTCATTTGGTCTTCATAAAGACTCTAGAAAGCCATTTTAGAGGTGAACAAACCAATTCTTTGGAAAAGGAATAAACTTGCTTTAGAGTTTATTCACATATAGTATAGGTCAAGCTAAGCTCTTTCAAGGTTATCAAGCACTATGTGTAAGGACAGTGATACACTTACTGCATTCCTCCACATAATCTGGAATTGGAGTCTGCTGCATGTGTTTAGAACTTCAGGAAGGCATAGAAAGGTCTTTCTTGCATAGAAAGGTCTGTTCTCACACTGCTAGAAAGAAATACCTGAGACTGGGTAATTTATAAAGAAAAGAGGTTTAATTGGCTCATGGTTCTACAGGATGTACAGCAAGCATGATGCTGGCTACCTGCTAGGCTTCTGGGGAGGCTGCAGGAAACTTACAATCAATCATGGTAGTAGGCAAAGGGGGAGTGAGACATCTCACATGCCCAGAGCAGGAGGAAGAGAGAGCAAGAGGGGAGGTGCTACACACTTCTAAATAACCAAATTTCTTTCACAAGAACAGGACTAGGGGGATGGTGCTAATCCATTAGGAACTGCCCCATGATCCAATCACCTTCCACCAGGACCCATCTTCAGCATTGGGGATTACATTTCAGCATGGGATTTGAGTGGGGACACAGATATAAACCATATCAGGCATTATAAGATAATGGTCAAGATCATGATTTCTGGAAGTAAGTTATCTGGATTCTTATCTCTAATTTTGTTTCTTACTCAGTATTTTATCTTGGCCAACTTACATTTCTGTGTCTCTTAACATTTCTGTGTCCCTTGCAAATTGGAGGTATAGTTTCCTTGTCAGTGGTTATTGCATTGATAAAATGAAATAATGCTCATCACACAATAAATATTCAGTCAATGTTAGCAATCACCATTATTTCATAAATGGTTTATGGAGTGTATAAATTATTTTCACATATAGAATGTAATATACATAAGTTAGTGCTCATATTAAGCTATGGCCAGTAACTACTATTTAAGGTGAATAATTTGCATAAATATTATTCTACTGTGAACCCATATTTTCATACCCATGTATTTATGGTTGGTTCACAAGTGATCAATCAGATGTGACCATATTATGTATATATAATGCAATGAATATTATTATGTATAATTTTTAAAAATCTATGCCTGTATAAGTCAAATGTCATTTAATTTGATTTTCTTTTTTATGAATAAGTTTCTTTCACTACATCAAAAAAGCAGCTTGAAGCAGAGGTTTTGGTAAAATGCCTATGGGACTTCGTTTCAAAATATACCAGTCATAATAGCTTCAGAAAATATTTAGAAATCTAAGATATGATTTAAGAGGCAGTATCCTAAGGCCGTGTTTCTGGGGTACCATAGAGCCAAAGGTCCTATTGTTGAAATGAGACATAAGGGCCATAACCTTGGAAGGCAGAAATTAGAGCTGGGTAAGACTTTGTATCCCTGTTTCATGAGAATTTAATGAAATCTATATGTCTATGCTGTCATTTCACAAAAAAGTAGGAGGGAATACTTTGTGTTTATGCATCACGTCCATGGAGGAAAAATTTCAGAATTTTTTTTTTTTTTTTGGTGACTTGGGAATTGTGACATGAATAAAATTGTTTGTTCTTTTTCATTTAAATCTTCTCCGGGGGTCTTGCATCATTTTAATATGATACTAACTGATCTTCTGTGAAGCCTATTTTGTTAATTTGGAAAGCACTAATATTCAATTAGGTTAGTTTATCACAAGCTCTGTCTGAATCTGTGTAGAGAATTCTAGTAACTGCTTGAATTTCCTCCCGTCTCATTAACCTTTTAAAGAAAAACCACAGGAATTAGTTTTATCTTTTTAAATTGCTTGTTTACCATTTATTAAACACATACCACATACTGAGCAGTTTACATGAAAAATTAGTCTTTGTCTACAAGAATTTGGTTATCATAACAAGACTTTAAGATATACAGCAGACAAATAAGAAAACTAAACGTATGCATACATATTTCATGTTCAAATCCTGCTAGGCTAATTTCCTTCTTTGAAGTATCTCACTTCACTTGACATATTTACTGGCGCATATATATATATATATATTTTGATATTTTTCCTACCAATGCCAATGCCTTCAAAGTTTTTGAGCACAAGATTATCTATCTATCATCTATCTATCATCTATTTCATTTATATATTTAGCTATCTGTATCTATCATCTATTCTATTTTTAAAAGGTTACCTCTCTTCTCTTCCCCATAAAAAGTTTTACACCTTCAGTTTTAATAAGAAGGACAAAGGCTGAGAGAGGTTTTTACAAAGTTCATTTCTCACCAGGAAACTACCACATGTTTCTACATTTTGTTCATAGGCAGTGAAAAAAAAAAAAAAAAGCACTGGGCAGGAAAGCCCTGCATCTATCAGGCTACCATTTGTCCCTTCCTGGTCAACTTTACTATTAATCTCCTAACATCTAGCATCATGCTCTCTGAAGGAGGGCATACCTCTCTTTCCCTACTCTCCATTGTGCCCTGTGATCATCATTTCACTTCCTTTCTCTTCCAAGAAGAAAGAGGCACACTTTCTTCACCAGAGCTCTGGCATGCCAAACTTACCCAATGTCATTATCCCATTATAGAATAGTTTCTCAGAACCCCTCACATTATAGAAATATTTAAATATTTTATTTTTCATCTTGACTCTGCATTGACTCAAATAAGCTAGGATGACTTGGGCTTTGGGATATCATGCTTCCCTGACTTATTCTCCGACTAATACATTTGGAAAGTGTACCCTCCTGAACAATCTGAGAAGCAGTGAAAGTATTACCTTGTAGTTATAGTAGGCTGAGTTGGTCGCAGTAACAAAGAACATCCTAATTTTAGAGGTTTATAACAACATGGCTTTGTTTCTCACTCATATGCCCATCATGATCGGTGGTGAGTCGGTTCCATGTCTCTTCAGTTGGGGATTCAGATTGATGTGGCCTCCGCTATCAACAACATAATTCGTTGCTCTGGCTGGTGGGGAGAAACATGCTGAATTACACAGTAGCTCTTAAAGCTTCCATATAGAATTGATATTAGTTTCTCCTCATAAGTGGCCCATATTACTTTAACTTTCATTTCACTAGACAAAGCACGTCATGCCCTTATATCTAAATTAAATGGAGTGGTGAAGTACAGTACAACCTTCGTCCAGAAGGGAGAGAACCAGACATATTTGGTCAACAGGACTAGTGAATGCCACAGTTACTTTGTCCTCTTATTTATTTAGTCAGGCAAAATAGAAATAAATTTTGATTTTGTATGGAAATGGAAAACAGATGAGTTTTCACTTCTCCTTTCTTTTTCAACATATAATAAAATCTCCTTGAAATACAGAAGGAAGCTGGCCTTGGTGCTAGAATGGTGCCTCTTTTCTCAGAGGAGAGATCAGGGGAAACTCACCATGTGCTCCTGGCTGTTATAGGACCATGAAAGAGAACAGAGCCCTAGCCACCATAATGTTCTCCCAGAAGCTATCTCACCTTAGTGATCTGCCTACTGATGTCACTATCTGAAGAAGCCCTAATCATCTTTCCCTGGCTTCCATTCAGAGATTTAGAGGAGTAATCTCATCATGACTCACATCCCTGGTTCCCTAAATCACTCTCAGAAGTCCAAGCATCCCCAGAAATCTATCATCTTAGAGATGTTTATCTCCACTCTGCTCTGCAGTCTCACTCCATCTCCCATTCTGCTGTGTTCTCTGCAATTCACAGTGTGCATCAGCTAACTCCCTGCCTGGTATTCCTACCACTCTTTCCTGGTAAATTCACTCTTTCTTAGGTATCTATTTCAGACCCTCTTTTTTTCTTCTCCAAGGGCTGCCATATTTCTTAGGAAAAATAGATGAAATCAGGTAAGAAACTACCTTATCTTCTCACCACCGAATCCACTCACATCTACCTGACTCTGTACCTACATATCCCACCTTCCTCTTGTTAAAATGGATTGTGTCCTCACACAAATCTAATGTCAACCCTCCAGGGGCCCTGGATCACAATTTACTTTTCTTTCTTAAGAACATTCTTTGTTAATGATCTATTTTCTCTCCTGTGTTGTCATTTTCCCTCTCTACTAGATCACTCCAGCAAACAAGCATCCTTTTAAAGCATCCGTTTAAAAAAATTCCCTTGACCCCATGATTCATTCCAGCTCTTGCTTCATTTCCTTTCTCCCTTCCCAGAAAAACTCCTTGAAAGACTTTTTATAACTATAACAACCTTACCTTTCCTTCTCTACTAAACTTACTTCAATAATGCTTTTATTTTTTTCATGCCACTAACATGATTTTTACCAAGATCAAATGTTAACAGCAATAGAAATAGCTAACACTTACAGAAGTGCCTGCTACGGGGAGGCAGTGTCCTAAACACTTTATACATGACTCATTTAATCCTCAGTTAATCCTATGAAGATTGTGCTATTAATATCCCTCTTTTAGACATGAGAAAAACTCAGCTGCCCATGCATAATAGATAACGTACCAAGATCAAGTAGTTACTAGAAGGAACTTAGATTCGAATCCAGGTACTCGGACTTTGGAGTCTATACTCTTGGCCACTACACTGTATTACTTTTTAAATGGACAATTATTTCTCTTCTTTTAATTGGACCTTTCAACAGCATTTGACATAGATGATCAATCTCTCCTTTTTGAAACCTTTTATTCTTTTGTCTTCTATTTCTTCATTCCTTCACACACACATTTCTTTATCTTTTTCCTTTTGTGCAGCTCCTTATCGGTCTTCTTGCTGTCTTCCCATTCCAGATCTAGATTTTAGACTGTTCTTTTTTCTTCTTTTTCTATTGGTGAAACCTTTTCCGTGGTAATCTTGTTCAGTCCATGGCTTTACATACCATCTGTAGGCTTAGATCACTCAAGACGGCCTCTGTAGCCCAAATATCTCCCCTAAGCTTTATTTTATAAATGTTGTTGCTTGATTTCCATCTCTGCATTGGTATCTTTTAAGCTTAACATGGCCCCAACAGAAGTACAGATATACTAACCTCATCCATCTTCTGACAAATTCCTCTTTCCTAGGCCTTCTCTATCCATCAGAACTATCAACTTCTCATTGCTCAGTCCAAGCTTAGGGGTAATTCTTGATTCTTCTTTCCCTCATGACGCACATTCTACCCACTGGTAAATCAAATCAACTCTACACTGAAATATATCCAAGCTGCTACTTCTCCCCATCTCTGCTGTTGTTAATCTAGTCTAAGTCTCATCCTTGATCACAGAGACTCCTACACCTCTTCATAACTGGTCTCCACTCTTGCCTTCTTCATCCCAATCTCTAAAGAGCAGCATGAGTAAAATTCTAATAGATAGATGATGTAATACTATTTCTACCCAAAGATTTCCCATGCAGGAAGAATAAAATCCAATCTCCTTACCATAGTGTACCAGCCTTTCCATGATCTGCTTATGTTTCTGATACATTGCCCTCAAACTTTCAATTGTTTAGCCACACTCCAGCCACCCTGGCCATCTTTGCTGCCCTGGGGATATACCACACTTCCCCCTACTTCATGACCTTGTTATTTGCTGCTCTAATATTTGTTCCTCCTTTCTTAGATCTTCATATTAGAGACTTCCTTCTCATTATTCAGCTCATGATTCGGATTATCTCCTCAAAGAGAGATGTTTCCTGTGACACTTGAAAAAATATGCATTCCCTTCCTACAAAATTACTCTGAATCATGTTACTCTACTCTACTCTACTGTATTTTCTTCAAGGAGCTTAAAAATCTAACATTGCCTTAATTATTACCGTGGGTGCTTATTATTTGTTTTCTCCTCAGAAACATAAGCTCTTTGAGGGCAGGAACAGATTGTGTCCCTTATTCATTGCTGTGTTTCCAGTACTCAAGACCATGGCTGATGTGTGGTATTCACTCGCTTAAAATGTGACCTAATAAAGAAATGTAGAGAAGGCAGAATATTAACGTGTATAATGTAATATAAACCATTTGGCAAATTAAAACAAATGGACTCATTCTTAGCTAAGAAAATATTCACCCAGAGCACGAGAAGATAGGGACAGAAGTCTGCCTCTTATTTTTTTGCTTTCATAGAGATAGATTTGTGTTTGAATCAAACACAGAAAACATTCCAATTTATATCTACAGTGGCAGAAATGGTATCTGCCTCTTGAAGGTTCTATTGAGGATTATATGTCAAAGCTGTATGTTACACTTGAGTTTCTTGGTCTCACACAGAAGGATAAGAGGTAGGAAATATGTGTGATTTGCTCTGTCTTAGAAAAATCTGAGCGAACTACTTAGCCTGACTTATTGCACATTGGTTTCACTCATCTTCAATGGGAAGATTAATATAAATGTATGATGTGCCGATCTCATTTGCAATGGGTCTCCTTATGTTTATGCCATTAAACAACTTAAGATCTCCTGCTTTTCCATTGTAATATCTGTTTTTATAACAATTACACTTTTAAAATTACTGAAAGCATAATCTTTTAACAAATGTTTGATTTTAAGCTGTTTTTAATTTTAGCAGGCAAAAGTTTTATCTTTTCACAGTAGGATTACTATTTGAAGAAGAAATGCTGAAAAAAAATAATGAAGACAAACTAGAATCTTATCATAATATGATGAGTAAGGTCCAAAATTTTCATTAATCCAACACACTTAGTGTCCTTATTCAAGGTTGACAAAATGAATATGGAAGCCTGACAGCTTATTGGACTGGGTTTACAGGCAATTGGCTGCCAGATACGAATTATCCAAGTTCATGGTACCATTTGGTGACAGTTGCCCTCTCAGGCAAAATTGAAAGGAATGACTCTGGCTTCTGGGACTGGTTGGATCTTCCAGAAAAATGGTGGCAATTTCAAGAATCACTGGATTTGTTCATTTTCAGGGAAACTGAGCAGAAGAATACTGAGCATGTGGGTGCCCACTGTCTGCCTCCACTTCCTGCCTAGTCCTCTTACTCTCCCCTAGAAGAACACAAGCTTTATCAGCAACCACCCACTTTGAGAATGGGGCTGGCCTCAGTCCCATTGCAGGGTACCTAGGCCAGAGGTTTATTTTACTTTGATTAATGCATTGAACAAAAAGGCATTAAAAAGTCATATGCAAATAAATGTTTTTGATGACGGCACATACTGCTTCTGTATCAGACTTTTAACAGCTTATTCTAATCTAGTCACTAATTGTTCCTGCTTTACCAAGCATTCACTGACAGAAATGTTCCTACCACATTTAGAAAAGAAATCAAATCTGCATTATGGAGTTAGCATCATTGTATTTCTCGTTTCATGCCTGGTGGACCCCTTATAGAGCTATATTTAATGTACTGCTAATTAAAAAGAAGGGTGGGGGGAAGTGTCCAAAGCTTTCTCAATGTTGTCTTATCTTTTTTGTTTGTGCAGCTCACCATGTTAAAACGGGAACTTGTGAGGTGGTGGCACTCCACAGATGCTGTAATAAGAACAAGATAGAAGAACGGTCACAAACAGTCAAGTGCTCCTGCTTCCCTGGGCAGGTGGCAGGCACCACGCGAGCTGCTCCATCATGTGTGGATGGTGTGACTTCTTCCATTCCTTATTGTAACAGCACAGCCAAGGATGGCTTAGAACTAGAACCCCACTATAATGCTCTCAATGGGAGGTCAATCCTGGGTGAACATACTACAAATACCATGATAAGTTGAAACTAGAATATTTGGGTGGCATTTTGAAATCTAAAATCCTCTGGAAAGAGGTCTAAAATATTATGCAGTTCTGTTACAAAAGGCATTATAATGAGGTTCCATTAAATTAATGTGCATCTTATTTTGATACCATGAAATGTTGATTTCTCGGTGGATGGTGGGAGGTGGATTATGTGTAAATTAATTGGAAAAGGAAAGATGAAAATGGATGATTTAATATTATGGGTTCTTAAACCCATGGATATTCTTAAGAATTAAAAAAAATAGCACCATGTATATGAGTGAACATTTAGTTGTGGATAGAATTAACATAAAATATCAACTTTTATGATGATGCAATAATATATTAATTTTTTTCCTTGAGGGTTCACCTAATTATAGTAGGACATAAATCTTTATATGCATTTATTTAGTTGATGTTACCATAAATAGTAATTTGTTAAGTGCTCATATTACTATAATATATTGCTTGTGATGAGGTTATAGCACACAGTTAAAAAAATTATGATAACTCTGATAAACACCCTCCTGATAACCATCTTATTCATGGGAATATTATATTGATTATAAAGTGTTGACTCTAAAAACTGGTCATAGGTCCATTTTCTTATATATTTATATAAATTGGTGCATATACACATTTGCATAGTTTATTTTCAATATCTTAGCTTTCATGAAGTCTATTTTCACATGAAAATCCTGTAATATTGTGTCTATAGTTAACTATACTGCATTCTACACTTACAATTTTATTAAGTGGATAGATCTCATGTTAAGTGTTCTCATTACAATAAAATAAAAAATGTTTTAAAGAAAATTATTTTAGTTAGAAAATCTTGAAAGGTTTTGTCCTTTTGAACAAAAAGAAAGGCATACCTCAAATACCTGTATTCCCACTGGTAGGAAAAATTAGTGGCTTTTGTTCCTCTTTAAAGGTGAACAAGAGAAATAAGTCCCAAGAAAAAAATGTTGAGTCAATTTTTTTTCTCTCTTATAGCTTCAATAGTGGAACAGAAATGGTGGTGCCATATGCAGCCATGTCTAGAGGGAGAAGAATGTAAAGTTCTTCCGGATCGGAAAGGATGGAGCTGTTCCTCTGGGAATAAAGTCAAAACAACTAGGGTAAGTGGACAGCAAGCTTGGGAAAACAGAATGTCTCTGAATTAATAGAGAACGGAGCTTGTGCAGTAACCAATTTAAGTGGCAATTGTGGAATGGAAGAGTATAGTTTTGCAAGATATGTTTTCCCCATTTTTTTCTTAGTTCGCTTTTTTCATAAAACATTTTTATTTCACTCAGAACAACATCTTCCATAGAGTACCATCAACTGTCATATTATCTGATCAATAAACACTGTTTGCTCCTTCATAAAATACTGAGGGTAATGTGAACCTCCTTTCCCCACTGAGGATGCATGTTAAATTCTGGGAGGGTGACCCCAATCCTTTATTTTTCTAATGTATAGTAATCTAAATAAATTCTGAAAACATTATTTTATATATTACTTTTAATACAGTTTTTTAACTGAGATTCTTTTAGTTTTATGAAAGTAATTATTTTGATCTCCCTGATATCTGAATCATTAAATAGTTTTCTAGTGGTTAAGATTTACAATTATTGTAATGGGCTACTAGGAAGAGTTTCAGATTCTCAAGATCAATACAAAAAGAATATTCTTAAGACACTGATGTATTTCAGCTTTGTAATTACTGACCTCTCGGTGATGGTAGAGAACTGAAAAATAGCTTTGTTCTTTGATTTCCTAATTTGCCACATGGGTATTCCAGACTGGCAGAATTTGAATTCTTTTCTTTATAGAATTAGCAAAGGAAGGTTTTGTTTTGTTTTGCTTTTAGGAAAAGCATACTATAAATTAGAGTTGAATATTTGAAGAATAGAACAGAGTAATGGTATAAATTGATGTTTTATAAAAAGTAACATAAAAGTAGAGACTGGCTAATTTACAATACTACTTGATATAGCAGACTTTTAAACCTTGTCCAGACATATACAAGAGGCTTATTTTATGATCTCATCTAGATATGTAATTTAGTCTGCCAAGTAATATATTTAATACATTGACTGATCAGACATACACAGAAGTGACTAAGTTTCAAATGGCATGAATAAAAACATATTTCATGAAATTTTTCTTGACTCTAACCTGTTAGCTAAGTGTCACACCTTTTCAAAACCCATTGGATGCATGATCAATTAGTTAGGATAATTATATTATTCAGTGAGCTAGCACATGATATAATCCGTATTAATTTGTTAAAAACATTCTGGCAATGTAAATTTTCCTTATAAGCTATTTATACCATGAAAATATTTTCCCTAGCACTATTAATTCTCAGTCCAAAAACAGGACTTAAGGAAATTCATTAACGTTTTGAGATTCTGAAACAAATTTTTAAAATTGTGAGCTCTTGACAACCAAATTCTTTGTTTTTATTACTTCAGTGAACAAGGGGAAGCTATTATTTATTGTATACTTAAAACATATGCCATACACTGAACAAAATGCTTTACATGAGTTAGCTCACTTAATCTTCCTAATAGCCCAGTGGAGAAGATAGTGTTATTATCTCCTTTTACAGATGAGTAAACCAAAACTTCCAAATGTTATGTAACTTCCCAAGGACATATAGCTAATTAATTAGGAAGCCAGGTTTCAAAACATGTAGTTCCATTCCAAAACCCAATCTTTTAACCTGTACTTTGTACTAATAATTTAACTTATTCTTAAGCAATAATGGTAAAAATATCGTATAGTTCTTTTCTTAAGAGGTCGACCTTTAAAAATATCTCTAACTTTCTGGATCATTGAAATGAAAAGGTCAAGACCATGCAGTCTAAATTCTCATGGAAAAAAAAAAATTTGGAAGTGCTGTTTTACTCCCTTTTGGCCTGTTGACCATATTCTCAATGACCCAAATTTAAAATGGAGTGTCTGCTTCACAAATTCTTCCAAATGTAATGAAACAAGGTGGATGAGAGACTGAGAACTCATGAGTAGGGAAAATCACATCTACATCCTATAATTTGTTTTAGTTATAAGACATTATCCTCTATATAGAGGATAGCACTTTCTATTTTTCTTTAATCTCTTTTGTCCCAAAGAATAGCTGGTAATGGAGGACCTTATTTAAGACATTATAGAGGGTTTTCATACAACAGTAGGTGTTTAGATTTAGTTTCTTTTAAGATACCCTCTATTTCTAAGAGTCTGTCACTCCCATTTTGAAAAGAAAAATCATCATATATAAGAGGAGAGAGAAAGACTTGAAAGAAGGAGCTTCTTGAGTACAACCAAAGTAAATTCTTATCCTTTTATTCTTTCACAAGAAAAATGCTGCTTGTGAAAATGGAGCTACTTAGACATTTTCAACCAAAGGAACACTATGGCATTCCAAATAGAAAGGCAAAAATGTGCAATTTAGTTTGGCCCACCAAACAATTTGGGCAAATTTCCCTGGTGCTACAAATGAAGCAAAAAGTTTTCAAGGTCATCAGGCTATTATTGCTCAGCCATCTCCACTGAAATAGTGAAAAGATTGGAGGCGATAAGAAAAATTCTTAAAATAGCTCTAGGCATGTGTTACTTTGCCCACAGTGGAAGTGTTGGATAGAGGAAATGTTGAATAGAGGCAGATAGAAGAAGTGTTTCCATCATGCATAAATAGCACTACTTTTGAAAACAAATTTGAGTCATTATTTTAATCATTGGTATTACTGTCCATATGTCTGTTTTCAATAATGTGGTTGTGATCACCATGAGCCAAAAAGCCATTGAACTCCTGATTTGGCAGGTCCCAGCCACAATTGGAAAGGCCAGAAGTTATGTAGGAATAGGTTACAAAATAACTCAAGAGCTGTCTCAGCCAAAAGCTATTTGCTTTGCTTATGCAAGATATGTTGGTCTTATGGGATTATCACTGCAAGCAAAATGGCTTGAGAAATAATTAAAATATGCAATAATGTACACTCTCCCTTATAATGGCCCATAGCCAATCTGGAGTGCTTGGGTAAGCCTGTTAAATAAATAGCAGTCAGCCAGAAATAGTAATAAGGCTTGCATGGCCTCAGCAGAGATGAGTGGCACCTTCCCGAATTGACTACAAATCAGGGTCTGAGTGATTTTTCCACTTAAGACTAATTTTGAGCCTATATTGTACTTACTACAAATGTGAATTATACTCTTCTTCTGTTTTTCTATCGGATTCTGGAATTTTTTTGGTTCTGACCCATTTCCTATTGGTGCTAACAGGGGGAAAAGGTAAAGAATAGACAGTCATTTTTGGAACTTGAGTGTTTTGTTGCATACCTGTTCTTCACACACCCAAGCATTTAATTTGGAAAGAGTGGAAGATGCAACAGTTGTTTCCCAAACCCCATTTCTCAGTCTAAAGGTGGAAAATTTATGACTTTCTGTGACATCTATAACCGTCTCTTTTATTACTTTTAAGATCTCCTAAGTTAAACAGAAGGAAAGGAAAAGTCATTCAAGCCTTTTGATTTCAAACTCACTTTCAAAGACAAATAAAGAACTTTTCAAAGGGTCATTAATAAAAGAATCATCTTTCCAGTGTGAAAGAGTGCATAATTATAAGCTAATTATACAACACAAAAGTAACAGGGGGGAAAGATGCTGCAGAGCTTGTAAAATATAAGAAAAGAAAATATTTAACATGGTTGAAATCATCGGAAAAAAACAGACTGTGATTCTGTGTGTGTGTGTGTGTGTGTGGGGTGTTTTGATATTCTTTCTTCGTGGAAGATCTAAAGGAAATAATATTCTGTTTTTAGGATTTATAGTCCTTGCCTAATGGTATGGACACCAAGCTACAAAATACAGTGGTCAGTGCAGTTTTTAATGTTGATTCTTACCTAAGGATCAGGTTAGAGAAACTTGGTCTCTTACCTAACTTCGTATTATATAAGACTTTACATTGTTTTTAGGAAGATTACCTTTATGAATCATATGTCCCAGGTCTATTGACTTTTCATATACTTAAGAAGAAATTTTCTGGCTAATTTTTAACTAATTGAAATCTTTCACTTTATGCATTTATTTAAAGTGGCTTGAGCAGATAAGAGCTCTGTAATTTTTAAATGTTCCTTCAAATATAAGTTGATTTTAAAGGTATGCATTATGATATTATTTTATTGTATAATGCAATGAAAATCAAAATATATTAAGAATTTCCTATGCAGCACATTTTATATTAATAGTACTCATATTAGAATTAAAACAACAAAAGCAAATACAGAAGCATTTACTTAGCTCTTACTGTGATCTGGGCACTCTGCTGAGTACATTGCAGGTATTATCTTATTCAATTTACCCAACCATAGTAGATACTAAAGAGAATGCATGGCTTGATCCAAGCCCACAAGGAGTATGCCATTGAATGGAGGAATGAGTAGTGTACAGTTATGTTATTCTTTTCTTTTTTTCTCCTTTTTTTGAGACAAAGTCTTACTCTGCTGCTCAGGCTGGAGTGCAGTGGCACAGTCTTAGCTCACTGCAACCTCCACCTCTTGAGTTCAAGCGATTCTCATGCCTTAGCCTCCCAAGTAGCTAGGATTACTGGCATGCCCCACCACACCCAGCTATTTTTTTTTTTTTTTATTTTTAGTAACAACGGGGTTTTGCTGTGCTGCCCAGGCTGGTCTCTGACTCCTGGCCTCAAGTGATCCGCCCACCTTGGACTCCCAAAGTGCTGAGATTACAGGTGTGAGCGACCACACCCAACCACATTATTCTTTCCTTTACCCATATGCAGTCTATTGACAACAAACACTGGAATCAGTGGTAAATATAAGTTAAGAGTAATATTGTAACAATAGAATAGCATAAGAATGAGGAAGTTGTGCTAGATTCAATTTCAAATTTCTCTAACCAAGGTTTATTCTTGGGTTCCATGTGACAAGAAGATTTCTAACTTCCTTTCCAGCTACATTTAAATGACAGTAATAACTGAAAATCTCAGAAGATAGATAAGTATTAGGTTTTTAATCCTTTCACTGTAAGGAAGAAAAGAAATAGCATCTTGTGATGCTTTGCTGATTAAAGCCTCAGGTTGTACTCTTCCATTTGGATTTCATACCAAATCTCAGTGACTCTGCTCTGCTGGTGGATCTAAACAGTGTCCAGGGGTGCTAATTCAGACCCATGGGAAATGATGTACACAGCAAGAGGAAAAAAGTTCATTTCCTTACCTTAAGGTGGTGCAATTCGTGTAAATTCTTCAATCATCATGCTCTCTCTAGCCTTGCAAATTTAAGTACAGGTTTAGAATAGTGTGGTTCTTTCTTGATCAGCTCTTTCTTAACAGACACATCCCCATTCATTTGTCTTCATCTCACTTCCAGTCAGGCCCTAAATTACATTCTGGTCCACAGCACAGACTGTAATGACCTTTAGCGTTTTTCTAATTATTTTAATGCAACTCACAGTAAGAAATACATCTTACTTAGTGATCTACTACACACACAACATGCATATGCACACTCATGTATGCTACATTAAAATTAAGGTTGCATTATAATGTTTTGATTTTATTATCTTCCCTCCCTCTCTCCCTCCCTCCCTTCCTCCTTTCCTTCCTTCTGATGATCTCAACCTCATAAATTGCTGTTATCACCTGTTTATGTGTTGCAACCTGTAGATTGAAAAACACTGCTTTAGGAAGTGGTATTTGACTGTTTCCTATGTCCAATTCATAGAACTGATAGCCGCTGCTAACTTGAAGAGAAACAAACTACTGAATGAAGAGCTTTCAAAACAACTTACCTTCCACATTTTAATTTTAAATATTTTTATGCAACATTTTTGGGCTAAAAATTTCTTTTTTTTTTCTTTTTTATTATTATTATACTTTTAAGTTTTAGGGTACATGTGCACAATGTGCAGGTTAGTTACATATGTATACACGTGCCATGCTGGTGTGCTGCACCCACTAACTCGTCATCTAGCATTAGGTATATCTCCCAGTGCTATCCCTCCCCGCTCCCCCCACCCCACAACAGTCCCCAGAGTGTGATATTCCCCTTCCTGTGTCCATGTGATCTCATTGTTCAATTCCCACCTATGAGTGAGAATATGCGGTGTTTGGTTTTTTGTTCTTGCCATAGTTTACTGAGAATGATGATTTCCAGTTTCATCCATGTCCCTACAAAGGACATGAACTCATCATTTTTTATGGCTGCATAGTATTCCATGGTGTATATGTGCCACATTTTCTTAATCCAGTCTATCATTGTTGGACATTTGGGTTGGTTCCAAGTCTTTGCTATCGTGAATAATGCCGCAATAAACATACGTGTGCATGTGTCTTTATAGCAGCATGATTTATAATCCTTTGGGTATATACCCAGTAATGGGATAGCTGGGTCAAATGGTATTTCCAGTTATAGATCCCTGAGGAATCGCCACACTGACTTCCACAATGGTTGAACTAGTTTACAGTCCCACCAACAGTGTAAAAGTGTTCCTATTTCTCCACATCCTCTCCAGCACCTGTTGTTTCCTGACTTTTTAATGATCGCCATTCTAACTGGTGTGAGATGGTATCTCATTGTGGTCTTGATTTGCATTTCTCTGATGGCCAGTGATGAGCACTTTTTCATGTGTTTTTTGGCTGCATAAATGTCTTCTTTTGAGAAGTGTCTGTTCATATCCTTTGCCCACTTTTTGATGGGGTTGTTTGTTTTTTTCTTGTAAATTTGTTTGAGCTCATTGTAGATTCTGGATATTAGCCCTTTGTCAGATGAGTAGGTGGTGAAAATTTTCTCCCATTTTGTAGGTTGCCTGTTCACTCTGATGGTAGTTTCTTTTGCTGTGCAGAAGCTCTTCAAAAGACTTTGTGAAATACAGATTTTGTGAGAAAGAATATGTATGCTGTATTCAAAAAGTCTTTATTGCCTCCTATTGTCAGATTCTATTCTGAATTCTGGTCAGAGCACTGAAAACAAAACAAAACAAAACAAACTGGATGAAAATCCCTGCCTTCATCAGGCCTGTAATCTAATAGGGTATATTCATCTTTTTATTGCTGCCATAGCAAATTACCACAAATTTAATGACTTAATACAATATCCAGTAATTATCTTTAGGTCAGATGTCCAGGCACAGTGTAGCTCAGGTGGGTCTCTGCTCTGGGTTTCACAAGACTGAAATTAAGGGATATGTTTCACCTTTTCACAACAGGGCTTTGTTTCTTTCCAGAGACTTTGGGGAGAATCCACTTCCAAGCTCATTCAGGCTATTGTTAGAATTTGTTTGTTTGCAAATGTAGGACTGAGGTGACTGTTTCTTTGTGTATTAGTTCATTCTCACACTGCTATGAAGAAATACCTGAGACTGGGTAATTTATAAAGGAAGGAGGGTTAATTGACTCACAGTTCCACATTGCTGGGGAGGCCTCAGGAAACTTACAATCATGGCACAAGGCAAAGGAAAAGCAGGTACCTTCTTCACAGGGCGGCAGGATGGAGTGAGTGCAAGCAAGGGAAATGCCAGATGCTTATAAAACCATCAGATCTCATGAGACTCACTCACTATCATGAGAACAGCATGGGGGAAACTAGCCTCATGATCCACTTACCTCTACCTGGCCTCACCCTTGACATGTGGGGATTATAGGGATTACAATTCAAGGTGAGATTTTGGGTGGGGACACAACTAAACCATATTACCAAGGTAGCCATCATCAGGAGGCTCTCTGGCCTTATTCAGGGTGCCTGTCATTCTAATCATATTTCCTCCTTCACCTCAAACCAGCAATGGCATGTTGAGTCTGTCTCATGCTCTGAAGCTCTTTGACTTCCCCTTCCCCCATCTGTTCCCTTTCTTCCTCTTCCACTGCATTTCTCTTGTGGGCTCTTTTGGCTTTCTCTGCCTTTTCGGGGTACAGATGATTACATTGTGTCCTCCTAGATAGTCCAGGGTAATCTCCCTCTCTTAACATCAGCTGATTAGCAACCATAATTACATCTGCAGAATCTCTGTATAGCAGTGCTTAGATTAGTGTTTGTTTGAATAATCAAGGGATGAAAATCTCGGGAGTATATCTTTGGAATTCTGCATACCACATGGGAGGATACAAAAAAATAAACAAAATAAGTAAGTAAATATATAGTATGTTGGATGTTGATAGATGCCATGGGAAGAAAATTAAGCAGGGAAGGGAAGTGGGGAGTGTTGCTGAGCAAGGGAGTTTGCATAGTTGATTGAGGTCTTGGGAGGTGAGGGCATGAGCTACATGGCTAAATGGAGGACAAGCTATCCAGGCAGAGGGAAGAAGTGAAAGTACCTGAGATGAGAGCTTTGCTGGGCAAATCATATTCAAGGGGTAGAAATGATGCTTGTGGCTGGAGTGGAGTGAACTAGGGCAAGTGGTAGAATTAAGGTTAGAAAGGCAACATGAGTAATGTCACAACTGACTTAAACTTTTGTCCTAAACAAATAGAATGAGGGATTTGCCATTATGTGAGATGGAGAGAACTGTGGGAAGAGCAAGTTTTATGTTTTACATTAATAACTACTAAATTTAGGTCGTTTAACTTAATGAAAAACTAAATATGGTATAACACCTTAAATTTGATATTTCTGAAGAAGAGTAGGTAGACTTTTTTCTATAGTAATGAGAGATTCAGAAACTAAGTGATATTTATATTAAATAATATTTAAACTCAAATGATATGGAGATGTGAAACATAACACTTAAGGGAGCATGTAGTCACTATACTAATGTTAAGTTTTAAAGAGATTTGGACAAAATGGATTAATATATTAAGGCAATCTTTTTCTTTAATTAGATATTGAGTTCAAGGTAGACAGGACACTAAGCTAGGTGTCCATGAAGTAGCATTAGTAAAAGTAACATTTTTAGACTAGGTGCAGAGGTTTCCAGCACTCTGGGAAGCTGAGGTGGGAGGTGGGAGGATTGCTTGAGGCCAAGAGTTAAAGACCAACATGGGCAACATAGTGAGACCCAGTCTGTAAAAAACAAAAATTAGGCAGATGTGGTGGCATTCACCTGTACCCCCAGCTACTTGGAAGGCTGAGGCAGGAAAGTTGCTTGATCCTAGGAGGTTGAGGCTGCAGTAAGCCATGATTGTGCCACTGAACTCTAGCCTAGACAACAGAATGAGACTCTGTCTCAAAAGAAAGTAACATTTTAAACCTGATATTTTAAATTTAAGAGCTGATTACTTAATTAAATATAATTTAATAGGGCCAAGAGTGTCTACCTTGGTATTTGTTTAAAGAGTTATTGAAAAATAATGCAAAAAAATATATCATCCGGCTCTATGTCCAAAACTTGGCCTGTATTTTTGTAATTGAAATGAGAAATGGGCGATATATGTGTGCTTTTAAGTTCCTCTAAGATGTAGATGCTTCTGCAATATTTGAGCCAGGTGTTAATCTGTAGATGTTACTCCAAATGTTGTGCTTATAATCTTACAGTTAATTGTGAATGTTCACATATTGTAATAGGACCAGTTTGAGCACCATAGAATTTCATTTACAACTGCAAGGTACATCTTTAGGCGACTGCTTCTGTTCTATGAACTAAGTGGCGAGAGCAATATTTCTGTCTCTTACCTGAGGGCTGATAGATAAAATTCTGTCAGGGCTTTATATCTAATGTTTAAGACCTTGATATTTGTTTAAAGGTAAGCATTCCTGGGAGAGGCAACACTTTTACCTGGTTTTGGTTACTAAAATGGCTTAATAAAAGAAAAATGGCACCTCGTAGGACTTGGGGAATAGAAAGGTATGTTCAAGAAGCCATAGTTAGTGGTGCTTCTGTGCTTTTTTCCTCTACTGTGAGTGGCAAACCTCCTATTAAAAAATATGGATAATCTTTCCTATGTACGTTCTCCCATGGCTCTTTCCCTCCTGTGTCCATCACACGTTTTATGTGAAATTTAACTCTTGTAATCAATGACTTCAGATCCAATTTTATTTTCTTACTCTGGAGAGTGGGGTGAAGATGCAGCTGAGAAATAACACATAATGTTCCCACAAGTTCAGGATTTCTAGCTCCCTGCAAGGCTGTTCAGGACTTGTCACTTCACCTGTGAGTAGTGGAGAGTTGTTTGTGAAGTGCA
The DNA here is from genome assembly GCF_000001405.40 of Homo sapiens. Lineage (NCBI taxonomy): Eukaryota > Metazoa > Chordata > Mammalia > Primates > Hominidae > Homo > Homo sapiens. The sequence continues at coordinate 61,743,619 of NC_000012.12, read as the reverse complement.
CCTAATATAAAGGGTGGTGTTGAGCTTTACTTTAGAGTGATCAGACCTCATCTGGATGTGGTCAAGAAAGTCCTGGATACCAACTTTTAATGGGGTAGAAGAAAAGAGGCAAATGTAAAGGATTTTGTGGAGATTTACCTCAGGGAATTAAAGCACTAGGAGCAATATGCGTTAAATTATTTGATGATATAGCATGTGAAAGAAAAAAATGTAGATTTGTTCTGTGTGACTACAAGGAATACAACTAAGGCTATAGTAATAACTTTCTCAGTGTCAACTCTAGATGACATTGAATGGGCTGCCTTAAGAAACAGTAATTTCCTCATTTTAGGATGGCATATATTTGTGACTTTTAAGGGATGAACAGAAATTCGCAGAGTTGTCTACATCAAGCTATCAAAACAAAAAACAGCTTATATGAAGGCATGACGGAATAGAAGATCATATCTTACTCATGGAATTGAAACCATTTCATGGGGTAACAATGTGTGTGAGGGGAAGTATGTAATGAGGAATCCCTGTGAGGGGAATCATGGCAGGTTGAGTTTGTATCATGATGGGCTTTTAAATACCATGTTAAAAGATTTGGATTTTTTCTCCATGCAGTGGTGAATCATCGAAGAACCTTAATCAAGCAGGAGAGGAGAAGGGTCTGATTTATACTTCATAATGTCTATTTGGCTGCAATGGGTCAACAGAATTGAAGGAGGTATGAGTTAATGGGCCTGAAGTAAGGTAGGGAGGTGATGGTAGTGTGGGTGCAGAGGGAAGGGAATTGATAGGGCTTGGTAATTAATTGAACATGAAAAGTAAATGAAAGGAAAAATTCAGACTCACATACTTCTTACATATTTCTTGCTTGACTTATTGTTGCAATAGTAATTGCTAATGAGACTATGAGGTAGAGATATCTGGAGGATAATTTGATATATAGCTCTAGAGGTCAAGATAGAAATCTGGAAATTATTATTCCCTAGGTGGTATTGAAATAGTTAATCAAGAATGCTCTCTCAAAAGAAATGCATAGAAAAAGAAGAGCGTCAAAGACATTTTAACAACTAATGTGGAAGAAAGTACCTGTAAGGAACAAAAAGTGTAGACAGAGAAATAGACAGAAAACCAAGAAAGACCAGAGTCTGGGGGAATGCAGAAATAGAGTTCCAGGGATCCAGGGCTTTCAATTGATACAAGGATATGGAACCTACAGACAGGTTATGTGGCTTTATGTCTCTTTCTGAATGTGGGATTTACAAGAAATACTGAGTTCTTGTCCATTAGATGAACATTACTTGTTTTATTATAATCCTAAAACTTGCCTGCTAGTTGGATGATGTCATTGTTAACACATTGTAAACACTGCAGAATATACATCCATTTAAAACAGAATGCACTGTTTAAAGTACTTTAAAAATAAGAATAAATATGGGCTGGGCACAGTGGCTCATGCCTGTAATCCCAGCACTTTGGGAGGCAGAAGCAGACGGATCTCTTGAGGCCAGATGTTCGAGACCAGCCAGGCCAACATGGTGAAACCCAATCTCTACTAAAAATGCAAAAATTAGCCAGGTATGGTGGCACATGCTTGCAGTCCCGGCCTCGGGAGGCTGAGGCATGAGAATTGCTTGAACCCAGGAGGTGGAGGCTACAGTGAGCTGAGATTTCACCATCGCACTCCAACCTGGGTGACAGAGTGAGACTCTGTCTAAAAGAATAAATATGAATCTCCTTAGCAGAATTAACAAACTCTGTTTAAAGGAAGCTTGTCTGTTCATTCATTCATTCACTCTGTGAAGATAAATCGAATGTACTCTATGTGGGTATGTGCCAGACATTGTGCTAGATTTTGGGGATTCAGATTTTTTAAAAATTATGACTCTTTGCTGTCCAAGAGTTCACAAGTTCACAGTCAATTGGATAGAAAGTCAGTAAATCATTGTCATGTACAGAAGTGGCAGGACAGAAGTTTGTGTAAGTGCCACGAAAGCACATTGGCAGTTTAATATTGCATGGCCCATAACTCTTCTAACACTCAATGATACCAGATTGTGATGCCATTCAAGGGCAATTTACCTATAATTTGTCTCCTTAGTATATAGCAACTAAATGCAATCTAACAGAATCTAAATATTATATTCCATGATGTCAAGATTGAACTGAATTTTTTTCTTGCCTTTATATCTGTATAGTACTATCATAATAGAACAAAATTCAATAAAATGCTTTCTCAACTAGACTATCTTCATACACATATATATGTGTGTGTGTGTATGCATGTAAATATATATACACACACATGCAAGAGAGATGGAGACACATACACACACACACACACACTCACACACACACACAGAGCAGAGAGAGAGGAGAGACAGGGGAAGGGAGATAATTTGCATATAAAAAATTGGGGCTACACTAATAACTCTAATTAAATTGAAAATAATTTAAGATTCCCACGAGCGAATAAGAATATTGGAACCTGATACCATTGCACATATTTTTAATGTTTTAAGCTGATAAAACACTTTAAAAATTTTGAAGTAATGTATATTAGTTTTAGCAAAATCAGCCATTCAGTTGAAATGTGATCTAAGATATAAAACTCAAATTGCCAAATTAAAACAAAAAATAATACATATAGCTTATACTAAGCCATAGAATTCTATTTATTATAATGTTTAATATTGAACTTGTTTAACATGAGTTATTTAGCTGTTAAATATATGCTTTGCTCTCATGGTTCAGTATTATGGCATTTTTTTTTTTCCTATTAAGTAGCAATGTTGGCTTCCCATGATTTATGGTAGGATTAGCCTAAAGTCAATAAAGGATTATTTTGTTGAGGTTCTGCTTACCATTGGCTATTTTACCTTTATATTTTATTGCTTATTCTCTTCTGGTGACAAACTTTTTTTTTGCATCTAAAAAATTTGCTTATTTATATAAATTTAAGTGCTACAAGTGAGTTTTTTTACATGAGTATTTCAAATAATGATGAAGTCTGGGCTTTTAGTGTAATCATTTTCTGAATAATGTACATTGTACCTATTAAGCCACTTTTCATCCTTCACTCCCCTCCCACCTTCCCATCCTTCTGAGTCTCCAGTGTCTATTTTTTTATTTGTTTTTAGACTTTTTTTTTTTAGACTTTAAGTTGTGGGATACATGTGCAGAACGTGCAGGTTTGTACATAGGTATACACGTGCCACGGTGGTTTGCTGCACCCATTAACCCATCATCTACATTAGGTATTTCTCCTAATGCTCTCCCACCCCTTGCCTCCCAACTCTGACAGGCTCCGGTGTGTGATATTCCCCCCCACCCCTGTGTCCATGTGTTCTCATTGTTCAACTCCCACTTATGAGTGAGAACATGTGGTGTTTTGGTTTTCTGTTCCTGTGTTTGCTGAGAATGATGGGACAAACATATTTTACACTTACATTGCATTTTCTGTTCTCTTCTTGGTCCTGTTAAAAGAAAACTGGTGAGGGCAGGGAGAAGGATGGTAGAGAGACAGAGAAAGAGAAAGAGAAACTGGGTAATATCAGGCAGTGTAAATTTATTTTCAAAGAATGCTTGCAAATTGAATGCAATCTTTGCTTTGCAACTTTAAAATACTCTATATTTGAAAAGGCTGTTTGAGTAATTGTGAGGAGAGTTGATTTGGTCAGCCTGTTTCTAAGATTCATATACTGAGATGCATTTATTCTATCTTGAAAGAAATCAAATTGAATATTCTCAGACACATTGGCCGACAGTCAGGATAATCTAAACAACTATCATGATTAGAAATCTCAACCCCCAACTTCAATTACAACATATGATTGATTTGTGAGATTACCGAAGGCAAATGTCTGGCCAGACAGTCCAACTATTGTTTGAGATTAAATTTCACAAATGAAATCAACTTGTTGAGAGCACTCTGCCTCCAGATTATAGCTTTGAGGACTTCTTAGATGGGTTTTAAGTGAATTCCCTTATGAATAAGGGAAATTATGATAAAAGCTGTTAATGGTAACTTTAAAATAATTCACGTTGTACCTACGTAATGGTCTAAGGAGATCCTATTCAGTAAAACTGTTTCACATCACTATATGATACTGAAGGTAAAGATAAATATTCATAACATGAAACAAAATTGTTTATATAAGTTGATTAAAAATGTCTACAGATCATAATAGAATTATTTTCTGTAGTACTGTTGATGTCTCACTAAGGGTTTAGCCTTTCTGAGGTTACTGAAATTAGTGACAGATGGAGACATTGTCAAGGTGTATCAGGTAATTTTTGATTCTCCATTTCACCCACCATAACCATTTGAGGTAACTGTGCAATGTTACCTCAACATTGCACAGTTTACAGAGCACTGCTGGTGCCTTCAAGGATGGCATAATGATTAAGAACCCAGTCTCTGGAATCATTACTTGAGTTCATATCCCAACTGCCATGTATTAGCTGGTGGTCTTGGGAAAGTTACTTTACATCAATACTCCTCAGTTTCCACATCTGGGAGATGATGACAATAATATATCTGCCACATAGATTTCTCACATGGATTAAATTAGTTTATATATGTAACACACTTAAAACAGTTTCTGGCCAAGTATAAGGGCTATATGTGCTTGTTAACTAAAACAGATAAGCAAGTTGTTAATAGGCTAATAAAATGGGCCAGTTTTCTCATAACTCAAATATTAACATTATTATTCCACAGCAGTCAGTCTTGTTAAAGAAATACTAATGTGGAAATAACTCAAAACTTCCTCTACTATCTCTATTCATACTTAAACTAGGGCTTTGAAGAGAAAGCACAAATTCATTGGAGGTTGGTCTGTCTCTTTTAGAATAGCCACAAAATTTCATCCTAGAAAGAAACCATAGAACTGTACTAAATGGATTTCAGTGCTTGAGAACAGTCTCCACCTGGCCTCAGACATGGGGCCATTCTAGTTATTTACCATAGGTGGGTCAGGTGGGGACTGTTGGACTACACAATTGTAAAGGTGCTCTACCCAGGATATGCTGCAAGAGCAGAAATGTTTTTTCTTATTTATAGCCATCAGACATTGGGTTTTCAGCAACATCTCTTATGGACTTATCAGGCCTACCAGGTGAAGGAGACAATTCTTCTTTTTCTGACAATCACAATTATTGACATTTATTCAACTAGTATTTCTATGTCCAGTGGTATAATTCAAAGATAGCCTCATATGCATGCACAAATCTTTTACGTTTAAAAATGCTTTGTTAACTGGAGAGGGAGGAGTATTAGCCTGGGTTTATGAGCTAGGTTTGTGTGTGTGTGTGTGTGTGTGTGTGTGTGTGTGTGTGTTTTCATTTTCATTTTAAGTTTTTGTAGTTGTTTGCCTGTTGCAATTTTAGATGAGGTTAGCCTGGAGTGGTTGTTGCAGCAGGAAAGACTTGTTTATTGAATGCTGAGTCACCCTTGCCCATTTTGCTATTACTAATATAACGTTAATGTTCTTACTAAATCACAAAACACCAAGTAGAAACTGATGCAGAAAGTGTTTATAGATATTCAGCAATTAGCAGAGGCCAATAATTCCTATTAATGGAATAACCAATAAAACCTAAGTGATTTTTGGACCTCAGTACATTTTAACCAAAATATGTTACAATATGTAAGTTTTTGCTCTTAGGAGATGTTATGTACGTAGCATACATTCTTTATAATTTGTCTTGACTCTAGTATAATCTCAAAAATAGAGCAAGCTTTGTTCTATGCTTTGTGAAGGATAATGATAGTATTAAAGAGCTAGAAATACATTTGTGCTTACTGCCTTATTTATTAAATAATTAGATTTCATATTTTGTAGCAGGAATAGAATAATGATAATTTTAAGCAAATAAATTTATTTTAAAAATACTTATTTCAAAATATGTTTTGAAAATGTTTAAAAGTTGCTGTTTATTATATTCTTGCTGGAGGCATAATTGCACTTAACCTTCATAGCAGTGTAATAAGATATGGATTGTCTTCATTTATAGGTAAGGAAACTAAGTTTTTTTTTTTAGTGAAATAACAGGGCCACACAATTAATAAATATTTAAGTGAGCATAATCCCAAGACTAGATGATGTTCTTAACCCCATGCTCTTAACCACTATGTTATATGTATTACCCATCTGATTCTCTGAAAATCTATATTCATCATTGTCTTTCTCATCACTATTACTATTAGATAAACATTCAGTATGTGTAGGACACATTCCATTTTAGTCAAATTTTAATTATTCATGGTAAAGAAGTGAAAAAAAGTTAGGAGAAATTGAAAAAGATATGCAATTTTCATGTTTCAATTTTAGGCAAAATCAGAAAATTTTCATTATAATATAATTTTTCTTTAAAATGTAATAGAAAAAAACTTAAAAAATCTCGTTGGTAAACTGAAGAGCACACTAGGTAATATAAAATCCCAATATTGCAGTGTTTTAAAATAGACCTAGATTTTTTTAGATGCCTATTTGACCTCCTTGTTATAACAACTCTTTTATCTCAAAGGTAGTAGTGTGTGCCATCACTTTAATGTGATTCTCAGAGTTCAGGACCCTGGACTACAATACTAACTGACAATATTATAGTCAGTCTTTCACATTACTATCTCTATGTCTCATCTTTATGATGGGAAAGTTGAAGAAATTAGTGCAGTGCTATATCTATATATACCTCTTCAATGCCAAACTTTAACATTTATTAGCAACTTGATGTGATTTAGTGGATTTCAGAAATGTTTTATGCTTCAAGGAATCCTCTTTTTTGCCTATCACAATGGCTGAAATTCTTGCATTAGAGAGTCATTCATTCACAGCCTGAAGACTTTACATCTAGGAGTTATTTGTTAAAAGTAAATTTCCATTATAAGAATAATTACTCTATGTGGGTGATGATATAATTTATTGTCCATAGTAGGACATATTTCCAGGATAAACTCAACAGGAATTCAGGACAACGGGGTAAATCAGAGCTATCCCAAGCAAAATGGAAAATGTAATCATTCCAATTGTAAGTAACAATTAGCTAATGTCTATTTTAAGTATTAGATGAAAGCAAGTTTAGAAAGAAGACAGTCTAAGCATGATTGCAATGCAGAAGTACTATGCAGGCAGAAAAATACCAATAATAAATTTCAATTATTAATTTTATGAATGACTCATCAATACCAAATTCATCAGTAAAGTTGAATCCACATAACTTGACTTTCAGTTTTAGTAATAGATCAGGTGATATCGTTAAGTTTCTCCTCCCCTCATCCCATAAAAGAAAACTGAAGAACTTAACAAAATATAAGATGATATGTTTGGAGGCATTGGAAAGCCAACAAGAAAGTGAAGAGTTACTTGTCCAGAATTTAGGAAGGATGAAGACTAACAGAGATTAGTCGGCTCTTGGAAATCACTTAACCCATGGAGGCAATTATCAACATTAGAGGAGTGGCTCAGTGGATAAAAGTGCATTGACGACCTTGCAGAACCCAGCAGACTCTGCCATAGTAAGCCAGGGATTGCTGAGAAGGGGAGCCCTGGTAAATCTCTCTTATTTCCTATTATAAACCCAAAGTGCTACACCCCAGGAGGAAGAGGGAATTAAAAGTAGAACAGCCCTCACAGGGCTCAGTCTGAATCACTTTAATACCTGAAATTAGATTGAGGTGAGCAGATATGTTTAAGGCATGCTTGGCAAAAGCAAATGTAATTCTTCTCTGGAAAGATTATGGCCCCAGTCTCACAATCACTCCACAAATAATTTTGCAAATATATTCAGCATACAATGAAAAATAACCAGGCAAACATGAAGATAAGGCAATGTAAACAAAAACAAAATAATATACAATAGTGAATTATTAAGCTGCAGAACTGCTGCACTAAGACAAACATTAAAAAATTTGTGAAAGAATGTGTAATTTCCAAGTCAACTAAAAAAAATGGACTAATAAAAACTATACAAAAGAAGGCAAAAGAGGAGGGAAAATAAATCTAGAACAGGTGGAATAAATAGAAGTTACTCAATAATGGTAGCTGCAACTCAGATATATGAGTGATTATATCAAATGATAATGGGGTAAATAATTCAATTAAAAAGCAAATAAATAATGTTTAGAATGATGAATATGCTAATCACCCTGAATTGATCTTTATGTAATGTATATATGCATGGAAACATCACACTGTATCACATAAATATGTACAATTATTATGTGTCAATTATGAATAAAATAAACTTTTTAAGAAAGGCAAATACAAAGATTGCCAATCTGGATCAAAAGATCAAAACACAAGTATATGCTGTTTAACAGAAATACATCCAAACTATAAGAATTAAGAAAAATGGAAAATAAGACAATAATGGGAAAGATATACACTATGCAAATATCAATACCAAAGAATTTGCAGCAAATACTATTGCTAAAGAAGGATATTTTCTAATTATAAAAGGCCTAATTCCTCAGGAGGAAACCACATAAATGACTTCCTGCTTGTGTTAGTGCCTGCCTACTACTTCTATTTTCACAAGAATTGGTTAACTCTAATTAAGTTCTAACTAACACTTATTAAGTCCTCACTATGGCCAAACAACTCCAAGAACTTTATACATACTAGCTCATTTAATTCTTACAACCACCCCATAAGAAAGACTTGATTATTATCATCCTTTTACAGTTGAGGAGATTGAGACATAAAGAGGTTGTCAACTCATAAAAATAGTGAGTATACTGGTATTTGGCACAGGGAAAGAAGGGGTGATGAAGGGGAAAATAATATAAAGGTAGTTATTACCACTGAACTGTACACTTACAAATGGTAAAGATGGTAAATTCTATATGTATATATTTCTTTATTTAAAAAAAATAAAAAGAGGTTGCCCAAGTTACATTGTGAGTAAGCAGTGGAACTGGGATCAAACCCAGGCTATATAGCCTCCAAGTCATGAAAATAAATATTTGACTAGGAAGAGCCTAACTGAACCAAATAATTTTTGGCTTTGTCTCTGCTGCACATTTCAAACAAGTTTGCCATAAATGGGATAGGGCCTAATACATTCCTTTCTCTGTGCTTCAAATATTAGTTTAGTTTTTTTTATTTTATTATTATTATACTTTAAGTTTTAGGGTACATGTGCACAATGTGCAGGTTAGTTACATATGTATACATGTGCCATGCTGGTGTGCTGCACCCATTAACTCGTCATTTAGTATTAGGTATATCTCCTAATGCTATCCCTCCCCCCTCCCCCGACCCCACAACCGTCCCCAGAGTGTGATGTTCCCCTTCCCATGTCCATGTGTTTTCAATGTTCAATTCCCACCTATGAGTGAGAACATGCGGTATTTGGTTTTTTGTCCTTGCGATAGTTTACTGAGAATGATGATTTCCAATTGTCCCTGTTTGCAGATGACATGATTGTGTATCTAGAAAACCCCATTATCTCAGCCCAAAATCTCCTTAAGCTGATAAGCAACTTCAGCAAAGTCTCAGGATACAAAATCAATGTACAAAAATCACAAGCATTCTTATACACCAATAACAGACAAACAGAGAGCCAAATCATGAGTGAACTCCCATTCACAATTGCTTCAAAGAGAATAAAATACCTAGGAATCCAACTTACAAGGGATGTGAAGGACCTCTTCAAGGAGAACTACAAACCACTGCTCAAGGAAATAAAAGAGGATACAAACAAATGGAAGAACATTCCATGCTCATGGGTAGGAAGAATCAATATCATGAAAATGGCCATACTGCCCAAGGTAATTTATAGATTCAATGCCATCCCCATCAAGCTACCAATGCCTTTCTTCACAGAATTGGAAAAAGCTACTTTAAAGTTCGTATGGAACCAAAAAAGAGCCAGCATCGCCAAGTCAATCCTAAGCCAAAAGAACAAAGCTGGAGGCATCATGCTACCTGACTTCAAACTATACTACAAGGCTACAGTAACCAAAACAGCATGGTACTGGTACCAAAACAGAGATATAGATCAATGGAACAGAACAGAGCCCTCAGAAATAACGCCGCATATCTACAACTATCTGATCTTTGACAAACCTGACAAAAACAAGCAATGGGGAAAGGATTCCCTATTTAATAAATGGTGCTGGGAAAACTGGCTAGCCATATGTAGAAAGCTGAAACTGGATCCCTTCCTTACATCTTATACAAAAATTAATTCAAGATGGATTAAAGACTTAAACGTTAGACCTAAAACCATAAAAACCCTAGAAGAAAACCTGGGCATTACCATTCAGGACATAGGCATGGGCAAGGACTTCATGTCTAAAACACCAAAAGCAATGGCAACAAAAGGCAAAATTGACAAATGGGATCTAATTAAACTAAAGAGCTTCTGCACAGCAAAAGAAACTACCATCAGAGTGAACAGGTAACCTACAAAATGGGAGAAAATTTTCACAACCTACTCATCTGACAGAGGGCTAATATCCAGAATCTACAATGAACTCAAACACATTTACAAGAAAAAAACAAACAACCCCATCAAAAAGTGGGCGAAGGACATGTTAGTTCAGATTTTTATCTATTTCTTTCTTTCAGAACCCCCTAAAAGCCAAGACATGGCATGTTTTCTCATGACTGAGCTCAATTTCTCTTGGATTTCATTAACCCAAGAGCAGCTGAATAGATTGAGTGTATAAGAGATGGGGGTATGCCTTCAAAGATTTCCTCATGGACAGACTTCTTGTTCTAGATTGGTTTTCTATACTAAGGAATATTTCAATATAGCTAAAATTTAAGTGAATATAAACCATGCATTCAGGAATTTTCTCCCATCAGTCAGCTGAAAACATTTAGCAGGAAAATCTTCTGTTGCTTAACACATGCACGCACGCACGCACACACACACACACACACACAAAAAATCACTTGCTCACTCCACCTTGTCTCTCCCCAAAACATTGCAAACCATCACCATCTGAACCTCCTTGTCTCTCCCCAAAACATTGCTAACTATCACCATCTGAACAGAAGGAACAGAACACTGGCCTCCAGGACTTATAAATAGAGGTCTGCATTGTCTCTCATGCCCATCCAACCTCTATTCAGTTTCAATTCCAAGCATGAGGCTTTCTGAGGGAGGAAGTTACAAAGTCATGTGTGTTACCGGAAACTTCATTGCATTTCTTTTTAGTGTGACTCCATGACAGCAAGGACCATGTCTGCTTTTGCCTACGGTTTAGCCTTAGTAAATAACGTGGTAGCACAGTAAGATTCATTGAATAATTCATTGAGTTATTCATCGAATAAACAAGGAAGTAAACAGACAAATGAACAAACCTGTGATCTCATCTCCTACTACTTTCTTCCTTGCTTATTTCACTGACACCACACCACCCTTTTGTACTTTTTTCATCTCAGATATTCTGCAGATGCTGTTACCTCTGCCTAAAATGCTCTTTTCCCAGCTACCCACTTGACTGGCTCTCTTATCTCCATATGCTCTTACTGAAACCTCACTTTCTCAGCAAGTCTTCCTCATCTACATCAATTAAAATTGTACATCCCTGTCTCAAAAGTCCCTCTCTTTCTCTCGACTTAATTCTTCTCTTGGCAGGGCCTAAAATACATTAAAATTTTATGTATTATGTCTGTTGTTTGCCTGCCTCTGTAGATAGTTCCACAGAGGAGTGATTTTTATCTTTTTCTTCACACCTAGGATAGTGCCTCCCACTTAGTACATGCTCAATAAATATTAGCTAAATGAAGAAATAGAAGAACCTAGAACACATAACCTGTTTCACTGGTTTTGAAGCCCAAAACTAAGAATCTTTTCCCCAGACTATTTCTTCCTGCTTCCCTGCATCTTTGGGAAGTTTCACTTAATTTTTCTGAGGTTCCGTGTCCTCAACTGTAAACTGGGGATAATGATAATTAGTAACAAAGACTAATAATATTAATAGCAGTAAATCATAAATGGGGACTATCTCACAGAATAATTCTCGGGGTTTTACAAAAGAACATGGAAGTTTATTAAGTTGTCTACTGATGCAACAATTATGATCTGAGAGGCGGAAGTAAAAGAAGAATGAGCAGGGTTTCAGGATTCCTTGAGTAACAGAATGAGCAGCAGTTTTAACCAAAACCCAATTTTTTGGTCCTAGTCTAAGCCAAAAAATGTGTTGTACTTCTGCTAAGCAAAAATTAACTGCTGGAAAATGGCAGATAGGAGGTAGGACTAACTTGCAGCTCCCACTTGGACACACAGAACAGCGTGTGGAGACTAACATTGTAAACTTTTGCTTCAAGAACCACCACAGGAACGTACCAGAAAAAACAAAAGAATTCACAAGATGTAGCTTGTTGCCAGTAAACTCCATAAGACAGACAAAAAACTCAGTACCCAAGTTTGGAGGGGTAAAGTCCATCTTGTTCACTGGGGAAACTGAAAAACCAGATGATGGGAGAAGGATTTAACCTCACCTAGAGCTGAAACAAATTTAGAGAACAGAGCAAGATACGAAAGTAGAAGAAGCAGTGGGAAGAACCCTGGAGGTACTCCCAGTCCCCAGGGAAGCCATTTCTGACTTTATCTCACAGGGGTCCTTGGGGAAGGCAGTCAATGGAATTGGGGAAGGGCCACAAGGGGAAGGAGACTTCCAGTTGAACTTTGTAATAATTTCAACTGAGTGCTAATTTCCTGGGCAGAATCCTATGGTGGGGGTGCAAATTGGAAGTGCAGATATGAGCACAGAAGGCACAACAGACAGGGAGGGGCAAAGCCTGAAATCCCTGCCTGCTTTCTCAGAGGGAAGGCTTGTAGCCTGGGACAAGATCTCAGCCCTGTACACTGAAGGCCTGGATGTAAATTTGGCTCTGTTGGCTGTTGGGGGAGCATGGCAGGAATGAGACTGGCCTGTTGACTGTGTAGGTGTTGGGTGATGCTTGTCACTGCCAACTTTCCCCACTTACCTGGTGACCTGTATGAAGCAGCAGAGGCAGCCATAATCCCCTTGTAACATGAATCGATTGGCCTGAGAACCACATCCCCATACCACACAGTGGCTGCAGCAAGCCCTGCCCATGGAGAGTCTGAGATCAGACACACCTAACCCTGCACCCACTTGATGGTCTTTCTCTACCTACCCTGGTAGGCAAAGACAAAAGACGTAAGCTTGTAGGAGCTCTACGGCCCCACCCATTGCCTGAGAAACCCAATACTTATTCAGGAGACCTGAGGGCAAGCTTCTGTCTCCCCTGTACTACTGCAGCTGATATTCTCTTGAAACCACCACCTCCTTGCTGGATGCCAACTAACTCAAGATATTATAACAACTTAGAACAACCCTGCTCCGAGGAAGAAAAATACACCAGCTAATTCCACTGCCTATAACATCCTGGCTAACCAGAGGTCCTGAGTCTGTCCATGTGACAGCTTCACTGCTAGCATAATCAGTGTTCAGAAAAACCAGTGCACTAAAGAAAACTGCAGTGAAGGACCCCACAGAATTTAATTCACTCCCTTGCTACATCCACCACAGCAGGTGCTGGTATCCATGGCTGGGAGACCTGAAGACAGATCACATCACAGTACTCCTTGCAGACACTATCCAATACTGGTCCAGAGCGCAGTAGCTCTGCTGGATGGCTAGATCCAGAAGAGCAATAACAGTCACTGCAGTCTTTCTCTCAGGAAGTCCTATCCCTAGGAGAAGGGGAAGAGTGCCACATCGAGGGATCACCCCATGGGATAAAAAATCTGAACAACAGCCCTTGAGTCCCAGATCTTTCCTCTGACATAGTATACCCAAATGAGAAGGAACCAGAAAAAATAATTCTGGTAATATGACAAAATAAGGTTCCATAACACCCTCAAAATATCACACTGTCTCAACAGCAAGGGATCCAAATCAAGAAGAAATCTCTGAATTGCCAGAAAAAGAATTCAGAAGGTCAATTATTAAGCTACTTTAGGAGACACCAGAGAAAGGTGAAAACAAACTTAAAGAAATTTAAAAAATAATACAGAATATGAATGAAAAATCACCAGAGAAATAGATATCATAAATAAAAAACAATCACAACTTCTGGAAATGAAAGATGCACTTAGAAAAATGCAAAATACACTGGAAAGTATCAACAATAGAATTGAACAAGTAGAAGAAAGAAATTCAGGGCTCCAAGACAAGGCTTTCAAATTAACTCAATCTGACAAAAACAAAGAAAAAAATTTAAAAAATTAATAGAGCCTCCAAGAAGTTTGAGATTATGTTAAACGACCAAACCTAAGAATAATTGGTGTTCCCAAGGAAGAAATCTAAAACTTTAGAAAACTTATTTGATAAAATAATTGAGGAAAATTTTCATGGTCTTGCTAGAGATCTAGATATCCAAATACAAGAACCTCAGAAAAAAAGTGGGAAATTCATAGCAAAAAGATTATTGCCTAGTCACATAGTCATCAGGTTATCTAAAATCAAGATGAAAGAAGCCATCTTAAGAGCTGTGAAGCAAAAGCATCAGGTAACTTACCAGATTAACATCAGATTTCTCAGCAGAAACTATACAAGCTAGAAGAGATTGGGGTGCTATTTTTAGCCTTCTTAAATGAAAAAAAAAATCAGCCAAGAATTTTGTATTCAGTGAAACTAAGCTTCATAAATGAAGGAAAGATAAAGCATTTTTTAGACAAACAAATGCTGAGAGAATTTGCTACTACCAAGCCAATACTATAAGATTGTTAAAAGAAATTCTAAATCTTGACACAAAACCTTGAATTACACCAAAATAGAAACTTTTTAAAGCATAAATCTTACAGGGACTATAAAACAATAATACAATGAAAAAAAAATCAAGGTATTGGGACACCAACTAGCATGATGAATAGAATAGTACCTCACATCTCAATAATATTCGCATTGAATGTATATGGCCTAAATGTTAAATATTCCACTTCAAATATGCAGAATGGCAGAATGGATAGAAGTCACCAACCAAGTATCTGCTGTCTTCAAGAGACTCACCTAACACATAAGGACTTACATAAACTTAAGGCAAAGGGGTGGAAAAAGATATTCCAGGCAAATGGACACCAAAAGCAAGCAGAAATAGCTATTCTTATATCAGACAAAACAGACTTTAAAGCAACAACAATTAAAAAAAGGAGGAAGAAGGACATTATATAGTGATAAAAAGACTAGTCCAACAGAGAAAGATCACAGTCTTAAATGTGTATGCACCTAATGCTGGAGATCCCAAATTTATTAAACAATTACTGCTAGACCTAAGAAATGAGACAGACAGCCACACAATAATAGTGGAAGACTTCAATACTCCACTGACAGCACTAGACAGGTCATTAAGACAGAAAGTCAACAAAAAAACAATGGACTTAAACTATACCCCAGAACAAATGGACTTAACAGATATTTACAGAACATTCTATCCAAAAACTGCACAATATACATTCTATTCATCAGCATATGGAGCATTCTCCAAGATAGACCATATGATAGGCCACAAAACAAGTCTCAATAAATTTAAGAAAATCAAAATATATCAAGTACTCTCTCTGACCACAGTGGAATAAAACTGCACATCGACTGAAAAAAAAAAAAAAAACAACCCTCAAAAGTATGCAAATACATGGAAATTAAGTAATCCGCTCCTGAATGATTCATGTTGGGTCAACAATGAAATCCAGATGGAAATTTAAAAATTGTTTGAACTGAATGATAATAGTGACACAACCTATCAAAACCACTGGGATACAGCAAATGTAGTGCTAAGAGGAAAGTTCATGTCATTGAATGCCTACATTAAAAAGTCTGAAAGAGCATGAATAGACAATCTAAGGTCACACCATAAGTATTTAGAGAAAAAAGAACAAACCAAACCCATACCCAGCAGAAGAAAAGAAATAACAAAGATCAGAACTAAATGAAAGTGTAACTAAACCATACAAAAGTTAAGTGAAACAAAAAGCTGATTCTTTGAAAAGATAAACAAAATTGATACACCATTAGCAAGATTAACCAACAAAAGAAAAGAGAAGATCCAAATAAGCTCAATTAGAAACAAAATGGGAGATATTATAACTGATATCACAGAAATGCAAAAGATCATCCAAGGCTACTATGAACACCTTTATGCACAGAAACTAGAAGACCTAGAGGAGATAGATAAATTCATGGAAATATACAACCCTCCTAGATTAAGCCAGAAAGAAATAGAAACTCTAAACAGACCAATAACAAGCAGCAAGTTTGAAATGGTAATAAAAAAAATTGTCAAAAAAAAAAGGTCCAGGACCAGATGGATTCACAGCTGAATTTATAAAACAAAGAAGAATTGGTACCAATTCTACAGAAACTATTCCAAAAGGTACAGAAAGAGAGAATCCTCCCTAAATCATTCTATCAAGCCAGTATCACCTTAATTTCAAAACCAGATAACATAAAAAAAGAAAACTACAGTTCAATATCCTTGATGAACATAGATGCAAAAATTCTCAATAAATTACTAGCTAATTGAATCCAACAGCTTATCAGTAAGATAATCCACCATGATCAAGTGTGCTTCATACCAGGGATTCAGGGATGGCTTAACATATGGAAGTCAATAAATGTGATACATCACATAAAGAGAATTAAAAACAAAAATCACATAATCATCTCAATAGTCTCAGAAAAAGCATTTGACAAAATCTATCATCACTTTATGATTAAAACCCTCAGCAAAATTAGTATAGAAGGGACATACCTTAAGATAATAAAAGCCATTCATGACAAACCCACAGCCAACATTATACTGAACAGGGAGGAGTTGAAAGCATTCTTCCCCCTGAGAACTGGAACAAGACAAGGATGTCCACTTTCACCACTTTTATTCAACATAGTCCTAGCCAGAGCAATCAGATAAGAAAAAGAAATAAAGGACATCCAAATAGGTAAAGATAAAGTCAAACTGTCACTGTTCACTGGTGATATGATTGGATACCTAGAAAACCCTAAGGACTCATCCAAAAAGCTCCTAGATCTGAAAATGAACTCAGTAAAGTTTCAGGATACAAAATCAATGTACACAAATCAGTAGCACTGCTATACACCAATAGTGACCAAGCTGAGAATCCAATCAAGAACTTGACTACTTTTACAATAGCTGCACAAAAAATAAAATACCTAGGAGTACACCTAACCAAGGAGGTGAAAACCCTCCACAAGGAAAGCTACAAAACACTGCTGAAAGAAATCATAGACGACACTAACAAATAGAAACTCATCTCATGCTCATGGATGGGTAGAATCAATATTGTGAAAATAAGCATACCGCCAAAAGCAATCTACAAATTCAATGCATTCCCATCTAAATACCACCATCATTCTTCATATAACTAGAAGAAAAAAATCCTAAAATTCATATGGAACCAAAAAAGAGCCCACCAATTAGAGATAAAACATATAGAAAAAAGTTATTCTACTCTTAAAACATTCAATGGGTATATATCAAATTAAAAAAAGAGTCCCTGAAAACATTTCTATATTTTAGAACAATGTAAAGAAAATGGAGGATTAGAAATGTGTAAATGATGTTATTTCCCCACGTGTGACTTGCTTTTTCTAAAAAAAAAAAAAGAAAAAAGAAACTCTTCTCAGATTTTTGTGCACCCATTACCCAAAGAGTGTACACTATACCCACTGTGTAGTCTTTTATACCTCACCCCTCACCAACCCTTCTCCCCAAATCCCCAAAGTTTATTGTATCATTCTTATGCCTTTGTGTCTGCATAGCTTAGCTTTCACTGATAAGTGAGAACATACGATGTGTGGTTTTCCATTCCTGAGTTACTTCACTTAGAATAATGGCCTCCAACTCCATCCAGGTTACTTGCTTTGCCAAAGCAAGACTAAGCAAAAGCAACAAATTTGGAGGCCTCACATTTTCTGAACTTCAAACTATACTATAAGGCTATAGTCACCAAAGCAGCATGGTACTGGTATAAAAATAGGCACAAAGACCAATGGAACAGAATACAGAACCCAGAAATGAAGCAAAATACTTATAGCTAAATGATCTTTGACAAAGCAAACAAAAGCATAAAGTGGGGAAAGGACACCCTATTCAACAAATGGTGCTGGGATAACTGGCAAGCCACATGCAGAAGAATGAAGCTGGATCCTCATCTCCCACCTTATAAAAAAATCAACCCAAGATGGATCAAAGGCTTAAATGTTAGACATGAAACCATAAAAATTCTAGAAGACAACATCAGAAAAACTCTTATAGACACCAGCTTATGCAAAGAATTCACGACAAAGAACCCAAAAGCAAATGTGGCAAAAACAAAGATAAATTGATGGGACTTAATTGAAATAAAAAGCTTCTACACAGCAAAAGTAATAATCAGCAGAGTAAACAGACAACCCACAGAGTGGGAGACAATACTTGCAAACTATGCATCCAACAAAAAACTATATCCAGAATCTACAAAGGAACTCAAATCATCAAGAAACAAATAATCCCATCAAAAAGTGGGCTAAGGACATAAATAGATAAAAAAGAAAGATATACAAATTGCCAACAAACATAAAAACATGCTCAACCTCACTAATTATCAGGAAAATGCAAATCAAAACCACAATGGAATGGCCATAATTTAAAAGATCAAAAAATAATAGACATTGGTATGGATGTGGTGAAAATAGAACACTTACACTGCTGGGGGGAATGTAAACTAGTACAACCACTATGCAAAACAGTGTGGAGATTCCATAAGAACTAAAAGTAGATGTACAATTTGATCCAGCAATCTCACTACTGGGTGTATATACATATACACCCATCTGGTGTATACACACACACACACACACACACACACACACACACACACACACACACACACATAGACATACCATGGAATACTACTCAGCCATGAAAAGAAATGAAATAATTTCTTTCACAGTAACCTGGATGGAGGCCATTATTCTAAGTGAAGTAACTCAGGAATGGAAAACCAAACATTGTATGTTCTCACTTATAAGTGAAAGCTAAGCTGTGCAGACACAAAGGCATAGGAATGATACAATAAACTTTGGGGACTCGGGGAGAAGGGATGGTGAGGGGTGAGGTATAAAAGACTACACATTGGGTATAGTGTACACTCTTCAGGGGATGAGTGTACAAAAATCTCAGAAATCACAACTAAAGCACTTATCCACATAACCAAAAACCACCTGTTCCCCCAAAAGTATTGAAATGGAAGGAAGGAAGAAAGGAAGGAAGGAGAGAGGAGAGGGAGAGGGAGAGGAAGAAAGAAAGAAAGAAAGAAAAAGAGAAAAGAACACCAAAAAATATAAAATGTGTCTTCTCTTTGTTCATGCAGTTCCACATTCAGAAACTATTATGAGGGGGAAACCCCAAATCAAAGTATCAACAATAAAAAATAAAAATCATGCCACATACATGCTTTAAAAATACTAGTCTCCAGATTTGATAGGAAAAATAAAGCAGGAGAGAGGTCAGCCATCCTGAACTGTAATATATACAGTACATAATTCTGTTTGTGTGCATGCACATAAGTGATTGCATGCACAATATTATTTTGGGGCAATGGTGAACCAATCATTGTGCTATTTGTTTACTGTGTTCTATTACAGGAAATTTGATGCTATTTCATTTGCACCACCATATCTGATGTCAAGTGAGCATGTAATTCCTTGGTGTAGGGTAATTGTCTCATGAAATATTTCATGAGAAGAATTTCCTGACAGTGTTAAGCAGCTGTATGGAAATTACTCAGGAGATAGGTGTATTTTTTTAAGGGATAGCTTCTAACTGAAATATTAACTGTAATGAATATGCCAGCATTAACCTTGATGCATTCATTTGGACATTTTCCACATCCCAAGTGATTAGTCTAATACCAATTAGAGCATCACAGATTGCTATTATCTACTTGCATCATTATTTTCATGAATTAATTTTGTTTTTAAAATCAGACCTTTTCCAAGTGAGAATAAATTTAAATATCTGAGGTGAAAATGTGAAGCTGAATGTCAGGACCCATGTGTATCTATAATTTCAGATGCTGAAACTGCAGAATCATAGGGATAATCCTAGAAAAATTAAAGATTGAGGAACTGACCCTTTGGGTCACCTAATCACCCCCCTTGCTGTTTACAGAGAATCCAAATATCGATTCTAGCTTTCCTTCTTCTGAAATTACTTATCGCCTTTTTCCTTATATTAATTCATTCACGTGTTCATTTATTTATTCATCTCTCCATGCATCCATTGTTTCAATCTTTCATTTAATAAATATTAGGCATCATTTATGTGCCTGATATGCTGCTTAGCACTGAC
Organism: Homo sapiens; assembly: GCF_000001405.40. NCBI lineage: Eukaryota > Metazoa > Chordata > Mammalia > Primates > Hominidae > Homo > Homo sapiens. The sequence continues at coordinate 61,723,292 of NC_000012.12, read as the reverse complement.
GAAACAAAATGTATGCTAATATTCTTTTTCTCCAATACCTCGTATTTTAGTGAGAGAAACAGATTAATAATCATAATATGATGAAATATGTTTTATAATAGAACTATGACAAAGTGCTGATCGGATAAATCATGAAGTGGCCACATTTCTTCTGGGATTTGAAACAAGTGTATTTTAGGCAAAGCTAAAACAAACACAAAGATCAGGGGACATGAATGGGCACATCAAGTCCTAGGATTAAGTAGGCATGACTAGAGTGGTGCATGCATGTTTTGTGGAGACATTGGGAAGAAGGGGAGATGAATCTGGGTGTTTGGGGTCTAATCATGAAGGATGTTATATATCATAAATAAGTTTATGTTTCTTCCTGTAATAGGATAGTATTATAGATTTTTCTTTTCAGGATGATGGTGGCAAAGAGGAGGAGGAACAGCAGGGAACAAGACAAGTCAGGGCATTATTGCAATTATACACACCAGGTGGAATAAAGAGTGTAGTAGTGGGACCAAGAGTAGGAAATAGATTAGAAAGATGATTAGAAACTGATTAGAGATAAGACATATAGGAAAAAGTTATTCTACTCTTAAAGTGTTCAATGGGTATATATGAAATTTTTAAAAAGTCCCTGAAAACATTTCTATGTTTTTGAACGACATAAAGAAAATGGAGGATTGGAAATGTGTAGATGATGTATTTCTCCATATGCGACTCGCTTTTTCTTAAAAACAGAAAAACAAAAAACTGAAACTCTCCTAAATTTTCTCAGTCTTTATCATTTATCTTCAACTACATGTGTCCACTGCAGGTCATAACACTGACCCACTTCACAACTGTGTTGGCTTTGATATATCTAAATAAAGGCATCTAGACTCGACTCTGGCCAGAATACAAAAGTTCCACTCTTCCTCAAACCATCATTTAAATCTTACATTTTCTGGTTTAGGAGGGAGAGGCCAGGATTAGCAGTGATAAGAAAACAGGGGCCTGTTCTAATTACTCAATAACACAAATATTTTCAAAATTAGAAAATATATTTTTCTTCTAATTACATGATTAGTCTTTTTTCTTGCTATTAGTTTTAACTATTCCAACCTCTCAAATTTATGTAGAAAGTGCTTTACTTTACTTTTAACTTATACAACCAAAACCCCTCTATTGTCGGAGCCTAAATTACTATTAATAGCCAATTTACATACGATTTATTATTTATTATTGTTACTCATATTTTCCTCTCAACTACTGAATTATTCTTCAAATATTTGAAATTCAAATAGTATGTTTTGATATCGCTGGAGTACTTTGGAAAAGGGAGTATAAATAAAACTTTTTTTTTTTTTGAGAGAGAGTCTCACTCTTGTCACCCAGGCTGGAGTGCAATGGCATGATCTTGGCTCACTGCAACCTCTGCCTCCCAGGTTCAAGCGATTTTCCTGCCCCAGCCTCCAGAGTAGCTGGGATCAGGCAACCGCCACCACCCCCAGCTAATTTTTTGTACTTTTAGTAGAGATGGGGTTTCACCATGTTGGTCAGGCTGGTCTCGAACTCCTGACCTCAGGTGATCCACCCGCGTTGGCCTCCCAAAGTGTTGGGATAACAGGCATGAGCCACTGCACCTGGCCAATAAAACTTTTAAACATCTATCTATATCTATAAAATATCATAAGTTACAACTGAAATATGTCATGAATCTCATTCTGACTGTTAATGAGGATTACATAATTAATAATGATTAGAGAGCAACAAAGTTGGCTTGAAAAATGAATGCCGCCCAGGGGTGACTAGATCCATATGTTGGTTAAGTGACTTGGTTCCATTTATCACCCTTAAAGTGTGTATGGTTCAAATTCCTGCCTCAGCAAATTATAAATTACTCTAGGCATGGATGATCAGGCAAGGCTATGAATGGTTAAGATCACAAATATTTTATCTTTGAATTATAATTTATTATTACTACCTAATATTGTTTCTACAGTTATTTTACACTTTGCGCTTAGATGACTATGTCTTGATTTCTGTCCACTTTCTTCCTTGCTTTTAATGAACTTTTTTCTTAGGTTTGTGCAGAATGCTCCCCAAATACTCACAAGAAATGCTTACTGTCCTTTTTTTTTAAATTTCTTGTAAAAACTGTTTATTTTAGTCCCATTTAAAGGTGTGTGTCTCTTTGAAATTAAAAAATGATGTACTAAGATTATATAATCTTCTAAGAGAGATACAAACCTATCCCCACTGTGAGCTTTTTTGGAGGTAAAGGACATTATTGTCTTGTTGTCCCTTTATGCTTGTTGTAATGTCCCCTTTCTCCCAGGTTTGCTTTCTGTAATAATCTGTTAAACAGTGGAGTGCCTGACATGTGTTTGTTCCTTAGGCAAACGTGTAAAACTCTTCAAGTTCGAATGGAGAAGTAGAAAGAGAAGGTTTCTGCTGTGCCTGATGACAATTTTTGATTTCTCCACACTCAAAAAAGTTTTGGCTCCATGTTGGAGCACTAGTTGTGGCGAATCCTAGTGTTGGTCGGATTCTAAGGAAGGGACAGAAGTTTCATTGAGAAGTAAAGATTCAAAACAACTCCAGAAATGAGCTCCCGTCTTGGTTTAAAGCAGCAGGTGTGTACATGGTGCTAACAGGATTAACTGTGACCTATTCTTTCTTGTGGTTACCATTAGCATTTAAGTGCCCCTGATTTCAGAGGGGACAATGAACTTGGTACAGCTTTAGGGAGTCAGAGGGCAAAGAACTGCCTCAGTGGTCAGTAAAGAAAGGCATTGGATTATTGTTATTAAAAAGTAGAGAGAGGCATCATTCTTTAAACTGATGTGAGGCCCGTACACTGAATAAATAATTGGCCACAAAGAGCCATTATGTTATGTCACCTACAATGGCTCTGCAGTATTGTTTTCCCCAAAATAGGAAATGGATACTACAAAAATCTGGGTGTATTCTTGGACTTCTGTTAGTGTTCAAAGTGCTATTATTTGGAAATAAGCATGAAAAGTACTGAGCCATCAGACTTTCACTTAATCTCCATAAACCAAATAAAGGCTGCATTCTTACCTAATGGTCCATTCTTTATATATTTAAATTGCCCCATAATTGAATATTATTTCATACCTGCATCTAAGCATTATAAATAATTAGATTTAAGCATTTATATTTTGACACACTTTGGAAATTCAAGATTACTGAACTATGATGGTTGTTATCAGAAAAGTCCAAAAAGAATTACATCTAGGAAACTGAAAAAAGAAAAAAAAAAGCAAAAGCACCCAACATGTTAAACATCGCCATCTGTGTTGCCCTATCCTTCAGAAAATGGATTTTAGTTTGAAATTTACAGAAGGGGATTTTTAAAATAAAAGATTTACCACATATAGAATGATCATCTCTTAATTCTATGGAAGATGATAGGGATGGAGCGGAGAGAATGCTCCATCTCCATGTGCTGCTTCTGGCATGTTCTCACAAACTTCTGGTACTGCTTTTGTCCTTTCACAGGTTACATCAAGTCCTTTTAAGTGACAGCAACATATTCTTCATTCAGACAGGTGTGTAACCGCCCTAAGGGTTCTTCTTGCCCGCTGCACAAACAAAATCAATTCATAGAGACCATGGCATTGCAATAAATAATTTAATTGATCAGAGGCCAGCCATGCCACACAGGAGATGAAGCTGTTACTCAAATCAAGCTCTCTGATAATCTGGGGGCTAGGGTTTTTCAAAGATAGTTTGAGGGAAGGGCTAGGAGTGGCTAGGGAATGATTGCTTGCTACTGTTGGTTGGGGATGCAGTCATATAGGTGTGGGAAATGGTCCTCCTGTGGGCTGAATTGCTTGGGACCAGGTGGAGCCATTGGTGTCAGGCATGCAAAAACCCTGAAAAGATATCTCAAAAGACCCATATTAGGTTCTACAACAGTGATGTTATCTGTAGGAGTAATTGGAGAATTTGCATCCATTGTGACATCTAGAACAATGGCTGGCAATTGTTTATGTCTATGCCTTAGCAGAATTCAGGCTCCTCTATCCTCCTACCCTGGTGATCTTTCCTTAGCTTTACAAAGGCGGTTGAGTTTTGGGGAAAGGCTACTATTACTTAAACTATAAACTGAATGTCTTCCAAAGTTAGCTTGGCTTAAACCCAGAAATAATTAAGATCAGGTTGAATGCCAAAGGCAAGATAGGGTTTGGCTAGATTAGATCCCCCCCAACTGCCATAATTTTCTTCCTGATACAGTTTTTGCAAAGGTGGTTTCAGTATCTCAAGGAAAGGTTGTCCCTAAGAGCCATTTGTGTTTGTAACACAAACCAACAAAGAAGTTAATAGAAAATGCTCTCTAGGCTGCGAAAAGGAATTTCTTCCAAGTTTCATATCTTCTTCACCCCTAACTCCAACTATCTTAAACTCATTTTTTAAAGTACAATTTTTAAAGCTTCTGTAGTGAGACTGGTGATTCTTGACCAGATTGAAACTTATAAAGTAAAGCTTTCTGGCAGAAAGGGGATAAAAACTATCAATTCAAATTACTCTTCTACAAATGAAAGCCTAGTCTAAAAAAATGAACTTAATATCAAATTTAGCAGGTAAAGTACCTTTGAATTGAGTTCAGAATTTCAACTGTCTGTAAAAATGTATGAACTATGCTGGCATATAGAATAAATATCTTAAAAAGCCTGCTAAGATTTCCTTGAGGCATTTAAAATAATTGTTTTCCTGACTTAAGGATTTTTTGAATGTCTTCAAGAGATTTCTACTTATTCCATATGCTGTTGACTTTCACCATTATCTTAATTTTGTGTGTGTGATTCTGCACCTGAAACAAACACAGTGTGTGTGTGTTGGGGTACCAAGAGAAGGGGAAGCAAAGTCTTGTCTTAACAAATGTTTTTTAAAGTGTCAAAGGAATTTATTAGCTACTTAAAAATCAGAAAATGCTTTGTTTTGCTAGCATTGAATGTCATCCAGAGAGAAACGGCTGATCTGCTTCTGAGTGGATGAATGTGCATAAATGGCAACGCAAACAGTCATCTACTTCCATGAGTCACATAGAATAGTTCATGGCAGGCACACTGTACAGCTTTCAAAGTTCCAAGAAACAGCGCAGGTCCATCTGTTCAAAAGATTCATTTCCAGTCAAGATCTTCATTTGCACAGCATAGGAAGCTGAAAGCCATTGACAGATGTTGTATATGTGGTAGGAGCTCACTAGTTCTGCATTCTGATATAATGATTAGGCCTTTTAGAAAATGAAGTCTTCAAAGTGGTTATACCACTGAAGAATTTAGGCCATCAAAACGACATTTTATCCCATTTAGAAGTAGTGTTTCTTAAGAAAGGTCATAGTAGTTGGAGGCAAGAAGTGAGTCAGAAGCTCACTGACTCCAACCAATGTGCTTGGTAGATAAAAACTCAAGTTTCAGGTATTTTTTTAAGTGACTTATCCAGAGTTCTAGAACCAGCAGGTAGAAACACTGGTATAAAACCCTGGTCTCCTGATTTGCAGAATGAGGCTGTCCCATTCAGGCATATCTGGTATTCTGTTTCTTTCCAGAAGTCTAGAAAGATTATATGCCAAGTCTGGAGACTCACACTGATTTACACCTAAATATAATCAGTTAGCTACAGAAATGCTGTTGTTTGAAATTACTCTTTCCACTCACCCAAGGCTGTTAAATTTTTCAAGAATTTATAAAATAGATAACTGAGTATAGTTCAAGGTCCTTTAGTGGAAATGTTGATCCTAGCTGAAGTATTAAACATATCTCAAAGTGTTAAAATAAATGTTCAGGCCAATCTAGCAAAAGCAGTTCTTTGGAGGTAAAACTAAGCTGTGGTATGAAAATACAATGGTTTTCAGGTCTCTAGGAGTCACCTCCATCATCATGAAAGTAAAATATAGGCTTAATTTTCACATAGATGAGTATATTTATAAAAGTGATTCATATGTCATTGTCTTATAGTGCCTTACCTTACCTGAAAGTTGTCTGGTCAGCTTGCTCATGCGTGAATATCCCAGACCAATAGGTGTCTTTCATTTCGTAATACCTCATTGCATGAGGTGCTTTAAGATATGACAAGTGCATTCACATATAGTTACGACCAATGTAATGGCAGCTTTTCTCAAGCTTAAATGAGAAAACCTGCTACTGCAGAGTAATGATGTTTTAATTGCGCATTTAGCACACAAAAAGTGAAGCAAGAGCTTATTTCATGTATGTGTAAGAGCTACATTAAAAAAATACATTTGCAGTGAAGTAGCAATTATATTCAAAGAAAGGAAGAGTTCATTCAAATCAGCACTTAGAATGATGAAGGTATTCTATTCCCCCTTTTACCTTTATCGAATAAGTTAAATTTATTGTAATGTTAGTTTGAAATTGTGCCTATTTGTGATGTTATTAAGCAGCCATCTTAAAAGGATTGACCATGCACTGCATTTAATCCTTCTGCCTCCTCTTAGAAGTATTACCACATTTTCTTGTCTTCCAGTTGTTTAACTAAAGAGTGCTCATCAGTCCAAAAATAAATGTTCATCTAATAACATGGATATTTTAGTGAAAATTTAACTTTTTAAAATGAAATTGACTGCAATGTTCATAATGCATTTTCACTTCTATTGTTCATAATGCATTTTCACTTCTATTATATAAATATTGTTTAATAGTTCCTCATAACATGATTTTAATGAACATATTGGAGAAAAGAATTTTTTTTAAATTAAGCTAATATCATATAAGATTTACATTGATGCTGTGGAGATTTGGCAGTGATTTCACAAATATGTTGTAGACTAGCAAATGGAACAACTGAAATTTAAAAAAATCTGGGATATAGGGTAGAACTCAAAGAAAAATAATAGAGGAACCATCAATAAAGAATAGGGAAATTTGCAAATCTGCATTTTTTTGGCATAATAATATCCCATTTATTTTTTAAGTGTAGATAAACTGAAGTGCCAACTTCCTAAATATGTATCCTTTCTGCAAAGTCTGATGGTAGCTGGTTTATTAGAAAGACAAAGAGTTAGAAAAAAATGGAATTCTGTATCAGAGAAGACTAGTAACATATGTGCAGAAACAATCAGAGGCAAAACCTGGGAATTTAATACATTGGATGGCCAAAAATTTACACATATCTGAATAATAATAGTTAATACTTCTTTAGCACTCATTAGGTTCCTCATACTGTTTTAAGCATGTAACCTATTAACTCATTTACTTCTCAGCTCAGACAATCTATGATGCAGATGCTAATAGTATTTCTGTTTTACCCAGTAAATCATCAGCAGAACTGAGCATTGAAAACAGGCAGCCTACCTTCATGGAACATCAAAGTCGTGCTTCATTTTTTTCTTAATTTTTATTTTTACAATTTTTTTTTTTAGACAGTCTCATTGTGTCATCCAGGCTGGAGTGCATTGGCAAGATCATAGCTCACTATAGACATGACCTCTTGGGCTCAAGCAATCCTCCCTGTAGCCTCCTGAGTAGCTGGGACTAGAGGTGTGCACCATCACGACTGGCTAATTTTTAATTTTTTTTTTTTTTGTAGAGTCTTGAGGGGTCTTGCCATGTTGCCCGGGCTGGTCTCAAACTCCTGGCCTCAGGCAATCCTCCTGCTTCAGCCCCTTAAAGCACTGGGATTGGCTGGGCGCGGTGGCTCATGCCTGTAAACCTAGCACTTTGGGAAGCCGAGGTGGGCGGATAACGAGGTCGAGAGATTGAGACCATCCTGGCTAACATGGTGAAACTCCATTTCTACTAAAAAAAATACAAAAAAATTAGCTGGGCGTGGTGGTGGGTGCCTGTGGTCCCAGCTACTCGGGAGGCTGAGGCAGGAGAATGGCATGAACCCAGGAGGCAGAGCTTGCAGTGAGCCGAGATAGCACTACTGCACTCCAGCCTGGGTGACAGAACGAGACTCCATCTCAAAAAAAATAAAATAAAATAAAAATAAATAGATTAATTAAAGCATTGGGATTACAGGCCTGAACCACCACACCTGGCCAGTGCTTCATTTTTAATATGTGACTTTTATTATTAACATAACAAGATTATGAAAAGAAATAATTGCAAGATGAATCACTATAAGCAACAGAAAATTAAGTCAATATTTTTAGAGAAATAAGAAGTAATACCGCCCTCCAATAGGTATCCTATGTATCACCTTTTGTATCTTGTTTGAGAATTTCTACTTCTACCACCTACTAATATTTAAAAGCCATTTAATGGGACAAGCACTTTGTCTGGATTATCTGATTTAATCACAATAGCGTATTACACACAGGGAGGCCAAGGGTCAGCTAGTTTAAATAATTTATTCAACCCCATAGTGTTAGAAAGTGATAAGGCAAGGATCTGAACCTGGGCAGTCTGCCGAACAAAGCCTGAGCTATTTGTCGTTATGCCTCTCACCATAATATGTTACCTCCTGCGGATAACCTAGTCAGCAGGACTTGAACAGGGGGAACAAGGAATTTTAGGCTTCAATATAATGATTGTAAGAATTTTAAGATTTAAGAATTTTATAAAAGGACAGAATAGATTATTGAATTTCCTTCCAACTTTGTAATTTAACTTGAAGATTGGCAGAGGAAATTTCACAATACTCAAACAATAAAATGGAAACTGTATAAATAATTGAGTTCACCTAATTTCAAATTTAACTAATACCATATATGTCATTAACCAGGTTTTATTTTCTCAATTTAAATTGTTGAACAGACTTAAAGACATGATTTTAGCATGAGTTGTTTAGAAATCTAATCAGGGCCCTATAATTGTTTTGTTGGCCTGTGATAAGTGGGTGCCTTGATCTTAAATAATTACTACTTTTTGCTTAATGTTACCAGATTAGCATCTTCATCCTGGTTGATTGCTACCAGGGTAGCGTCCTGCTTGTGACAGAAAAGCTATTATTATTTCTGCATTTTATATGTGTTCAGCAGCCCAGTAGTTTCACTTACCAAACTGGCTGGTGTGCAGCACACACAAATAAGATTTGCGTAAAAAAGAACAGCTATGTAAAATATTGCCTTTGGAAAGGCAAATTTACTGAGATAGTGATTATAGCGCATGAAGCTCAAGGCATAACCATAACAATCATAGGGCCATTTCTCTCCCTCATGCAGTATTTTATATCTATTGCCCTCAGAACAAGAAGATAGTGTGCATTCATGGTAGCAAATGCTATCTCCCATCCTGTAAAACTGATTTTATTGCAACCTCCTGCTTTTAGTTACTGAAAACTTGCCAAAAATCTTCCTTAGAAGGTATAACTTAGTACTTGGCCTCTTCCAAAAAATACAGTTTGAATGAAAGAGTATTATTTAAGTTGTAAAAATATGGCAATGCTTAATTTGATATATTAACGATTCCTTATACTTTTTAAAATGTTGGATTGTATAAATATTGCTTAAGCAAATCTTGCATATCAGGGTGTTCCAGTTTAGGGTCTACAAAAGGTAAAATGACATTTAAAATATGTTTCCCCCCCAGCATGCCAGAATTTAAACTTGGGTCACTCATATTTATTTAAAATAAGCATACAAATCATAAAAGGTTGATATTTTTGTTTAATTTTAGGTAATAATTTCATTTGCAAATAGTATTTGGACCTTGCATAGTAAACTTTTTCAACTGGTGATAATGTACCTATATTTAGAATCATTTTCCTATACATTTTTAAACCTTTGGTTTTCCCATCTTGTTTAGTGCAAACCCTGAGGTTGTCAGGGAGGGTGCTGGTAGATATTTATACATGTTCATCCTTATTTTGTGTTGAAAAGGATGAGTCATTAGTTAGGCTTTAATTCCTTCAATGCAGTTCTCTAAACTTTCATGAATGTCTGTTAGTATTGTTCAAAGAAAAACTTTAGCCGAATTAAATTGAGCAAAGAACAATTTGTGAATCATGCAGTCTCCCAAGCAAGAGTAGGCTCAGAGACTCCAGCACAGACACGTTGTGGAAGATTTATAGACGGAAAAAGGAAAGTGACATAGAGAAAACGGAAGTGAGGTATAGAAACAGCCAGATTGGTTACAGCTCAGCATCTGCCTCATTTGAACACAGTTTGAACAGTTGGCCACCTTTGATTGGCCAAAACTCGGTGATTGGTGTAAGAGTGGGCTACATTGTGTTTACACCTCCATTTAGGTTACAGTTTATGATGTACAGAGAAACCTTTAGGCTGAACTTAAAATATGTAAGGAGGAAGCTTTAGGCTAAATTTAATAGTGTGATTCTTTCATTCTACTTTTAGTGGCTCTCTTGTTAAAGATTTATACATTCAAAAGCAAAAAAATCCCTCCTAAAATCCAGACCTTTTATTTTTATAGTTGGTCAGGGTTGACAAAGCTAGGTGTTAAATAACATTATAATACTTGATCTTCATGGCAATACTGCCATTCTGGCCTAAATACAGAGCTCTTGATGCCGAATCACCATGTGTCCTCTTGGTCAAAATCAAATAATCAAAAAAAAAAAATCAAGTATTAGATTGTATACTTTCATCTAATATTAGAAATGATTTATACCATATTCTTCATCTCATATGCTAGGATATTTTTAAAATTAGTAATCCAGGAATATTGTGTAAAACTTAGGTGTGAGAATAGGTTGCTTTAATTATGCTGTAATCCATGTGTGTTTAGACAATTACTTCTTTTAGTCATGTTTAAGTTTTGTTTCTCTAGCAATTATGTTAGCTGATAGAAAGATATCATCATGAAAATGGATGTTTATGATGTTTTTGAGGATATGGGTTATATCCTTATTTATATGTGTTTGTATGTTTATGTGTGTGTATATATCTATGTTTTTTCTCTACAGAAATGGAGAAAAAAATTGTTTTAGTTTTATAAGCCTTTTGTATTATACTTTTAATTTAGATGTCTATTTTCAAAATTATATGAGAGCAAAGTTTTAATATGTAAATAGCTGAGAGGATCATTTCTCAACTTTATATAAACTAGTAGAGTCAAATATTTAGCTTGAAATGAAGATATAGGAATGCATCTATTATACTCACTAATAGATTACTTAGAACCTGAGCTTGAAGTGGATCAAGAGGACGTGTCACTTGCTATCATAGAGTCATGGCACCACATTTATGCAGTTCATTTCCGCCATGTTTCTCCATTTGGCTACACTGAGCAACAGCAGAGGCTAAACCATTTATTCTCTCTCAATTTCCTCTCTCTCTCTTTCTCTCTCAATTTCCTCTCTCCATCTTTTACACACACACATATAGCTTCCCCTCTCTTTTCTTGTCTTTTCAGCATTAGTTTTGAAAATATGGTCCACATTCATACTCAATTTGGGAGCCCTTCACAGAAATTGTATATGATGACTCCTGAATGGCAGGCAGATTGATAGTTGATAATTGATAATGAGATCAATGCTATGCCTAAGATATCTCCTGCTCCCAGAATCTCAAAGATTCAGTAGGCTCTTCATGTGTTTCCAACCCTCCATCCTTGGCACAACTTCTTCCATGGTTCTGTGCATGGGAGTAAAACACTTCAAATATGCAGGCAAAGAACTCCTTCCTTGGGAGTGCTAGCAGACCACTGAGACAGAAATGAGATGACTGTCTCCATGCATGAAAACACTTTTTTGCCTTTTGTACCATCTCCCTTTGGTAGTATAATTTGAGACTAGCCATAGCAAAGTCTAGAACTAGCTTATTATTTTGTTTAATATATTCATTTTTTACATAATTGATCAGAAAACAATGAAACCAAACAGACTTTTGTAATGTTTTTCAAAGGACAAGTAACAATGTCACTTAATAGAATAAAATCAAAATTTTGACAATAATTTTTTAAAATCACTTTTTGTTTTAGCCATTCCTAGAAAAGAACTGTTAGGTAACTCTCTAAATACCCTGCCTGATATTAGAATAGAATTAGAAATTTATTAACACAGCAGAAATCGAGATATTTCTGCTGTGTTGGTAATCTCTTCTCCTCTCCCCTCTTTCTCCCTCTATCCTCTCTCTCTCTCAAAATCTCTTTTCCTCTCCCCTCCTTCTCCCTCTCTCTTCTTCTCCCTCTCCCTGTGTGTTTTCCTCTGTATCTATGCATACGTAGATATGTATGTATATATGTATCAGGTATTCTATCTGTTTATTATTCTTTTTTCCTGTACACAAATGGTCTTTGGACTTTAGTAGGTGTGAAGTTAGTATGAATGTTTTTAGTGATACTTAAAATAGCATTAATAGTATATTCCAATCAATTTTATGAAAATTTTGGGGCACCTTTAACATTTGGTACAACATTTTTCTATTCCTTATTGTTTCTTTCCTCAGATATTTTTGTCCCCCATAAACAGATTTTTTTCAAATATAATTTTTCAAATATAATTTTTCAAATATAATTGACTCAAATAAACCCTCAATTTTTAAACTATTTCAAAAATGAACTTTATGGAACCAATCCCCAAGGGCTTTTTGAGAATATGATGTGACTGTGTTGCTGGGGACAAAGGTCTTTCTTCACTGAGGCCTAGTATGATGTGTTTGTGATATTTGGGTTATGGCTACCAAGCCTGTGCAAAAAAACAAGGATTCCAGAATCACTCTCTGGGTGTGAGAGGGATATTGTTGTCACCAGTTGGGATAATTCTAGTCACAGTTATATTCACTTGGATAATTGTGCAAATGGCTTTAAAAATATTGTGAGATGATAATGAGAAAAAAAGTATATTTTTATATGATGGAAATACCTGCATCTGTTAGTCCTTTAAAATTAAGTAATGCATTTGATATAGCAAACACCAGCATTTTGAGTTATCTATTAATTTTTAATTGTGTTTAGTTTTAAGATTATCGGTATGTTATGAAATGTTGACTATATTTTCTCCTTCCTTTGTAGGTAACCCATTAACCCAGGAGAAATCAAGTGATCCTCAAGGCTGATGACATTGAACATGCGCATAGAAACTTAACTCAACTCCTGAGGTGATCTTGAAGATTTTTATACCACTTGAAAGAGGCGCTCAATAGTCTATTTCCAAGGGATTTCATGGCCTCTTCTTGAAATCAAGACTTTTTAAAAGTCAGACATGAACTTGCATGTCATGAAGATTTCAGCAGATTTGAACTGTGTTCAACTTGTAAATTGTTAAAAGAATTTGAAGTCACTGTCTGAGGAGCTGGTGAAGAGTTGTTTTTTTCAGGGTGATGTTAGAGACAGTCACCTTTTGAGTTATTGGCTCCAGATGTGACTACTTTTCTTGTTTCTGCAAGCTGTATCCCAAGTGCACTGTCCTTCTGTCCTGGATGTGTTCCTGGGTCCTATGTTCATTTGCTAGTGGGACTACACATGGCTTTAATGACATTTCCTTTGAGAACTTTTCCTCTGGCATGGTGTAGACTGAGACAATTTTATTTATATCCTAATCTTGGAGCTCAGAAAGCCTACATGTTTTAACATCTTAAAGTTGCTTTTGTTAAAGGAATGGAAATATATATCCATTGGTAATAATGTTGGCAAGTAATAGTTATCTGAATAAATCAATCATATAAGAATGTATAGACAAGCTGACATATTTCCCTAAGGCTAACAACACCCTGCTGAAGCTCTTTGTCAAATAGGTAGTAGTTAGAACTGGATTGCCATTTTCATTATATAATACTTTGTACCTCTAGAGCACTCTCCCTTTCTGTTTTTTTTTAAGTGAGCTTTTCTTTAATTTTTTATGTTTACTTATTCCCTTCACAGAAATCAGCAGTGAGCAGTCAAGTTAATGGGTAGCCTTCAGTTTCAAAAAAATTGACAGGGATGCATGTGAGTTTCTGATTTCTTAGCTTGAACATTATTCACTTAGATTTCTTCCAGTATTTTTTAAAAAACTGTCCTATCTCATTTTAAAAGACTTTCTTTTGCTTGATCCCAATGACTGTTTGAATGCTTATATATTTGTTCAATCTGTTGATAGAAAAAATTGTTCATTTTCCTCAGTCTCAAATTTATAAATATTTGCTTACAGTTTTCCTATTCAAACAATTTGTTAGGCCAATATTTTGTGACATTTTTGTAGCGATTTTAACGTTTATGGTTTTGGTTCTACAGGAAAGTCATAAATATTTAAAGGCCTTAAACATGTATGTACTTTTTTTTTCTAAGTTATAGAATGTATAATTTTGTACTACATTTATTTTGTTTCATTTGTGATATGAAGGGAGAGAAGAAAGAAAAGTGCATAGCCATTCTGTAACAATATTGTGTAAACCTATAGTTTGAAGGAATGCAAGGAGAAGGATTTCTGTGTTTTACTCATTTTAGGCTGTTCAGAAGATGCTTCAAAAATTGTCCTGTTAGAATTTCCATCATGGAAGGTGGTATGGAAGAAGGTATGGAAATACTTTGTATTCTAAAAACTCACTGACGTGGTCAGTTAGACATACGTTGGTTTCCAGGATAGAGGCCCATATATCCTGGGGAGCTTTGGTCTATTAGTTTGTGACAATATTCAAAGGCCAAAACACTACTCAGACACTTTCCTGGGAAGAGCAACTAAAAATGTAAAATTGGTTAAAAATAAAATCTGAAAAGTATGTATCTCACATTGAACTAAAATCCACTGTCTCATAAGTTCATGGAATGAAATGGCTTTCTGCCTCCATTTTAATCATGCATAAAATGAATTAGATGGCTTTGAGTGGATTTTCACAATGGCTCAAGACTATATGAAATTATAAAAAAAAAGTTGCCCTGGGGTTTCTGCATCAATTAGAATATCATTAATTTCTTTGTAACCAAGTGAAAAACTATACTTTTTGGAAATTATGAATTTGTCCTAGGTTTGTTTGAGATTTGAAATTATACATCATGCTTCTCATTTTTTAAACTATGTTCTTTAAATCAACACTGGAAACTCTGTATTATATACAAGTGTAATACATGCATATAATAGAAAAAAAACATGGAATTTCAAATATACTAACTAGATTATCCCCAGTAGATTAATGTTGTGACTATTCAGAAAAGGTGAATAAAATTGGGATATAAAATGGACTCTCTTTCATAAATTACATATATAGATCTGTTTTCTGTGTTTTATTTTAAAAGCATTTCAGTTATTATCCAGGGAAACCTCTGAATTCCTGGGGAAGATGACATAAATTCTTCAATCTTTTTTTTTAAAATAAAGATCCATGGCAAATCTTGCCATTTACACAAGGTTCCAATATATGAATGCTTCTTTGCTAGGATACAATTGAAATAGATATACTTAACACTTACGCTACTTGCCCATCTTGACTATGAGTACCACTGGCATAATTTGCTAGCAATATGTAAAATTCATTTTATGAAAATTGTTAAAGATAATGATCTCTTTATCTTTCAAAATATGTATGAAAATATTAAAATCACAAATATGACTATAATTTAACTTTTAAAGTTTTTTTAAAACTTTTTATTTTTAAAGATTAAGACTCACAGGAAGCTACAAAAAATAGCACAGAGGGTTTCTTTGAAAACTTTACCCATGTTACCCAGTGATAACATTTTACAAAACCATATAACATTGTCAAAACCAGGAAATCGACATTGGTATAATGCTATTAACTCAATAGAGACCTAATTCAGATCTCACTAGTTTTCACATGAACTCTGTGTGTGTGTGTGTGTGTGTGTGTGTGTAATCCTTTTACAATTGGTGTCCATCCATTGTAATATGCTGGAACATGGATGAGATTACAGTGTGAGACTATGGGCCAATGAGTGACTGATTTGTGATAATTCTTTTAAAGTCCTCTATTTTTGGAATAATATCCTATAGTTTTATTTTACTTTATTTTTTATACACTCTTGTTGCCTTAACACAATAGAAACTTCCAGTTTTAACATCAGAGTGTACTATATGTGATTTCAAATATGCTGTTGTTTTTAACGGGTAGGAAGAGATCTGAGAATCTGCATCTGATTAAAATAAAAAGAAATTTTGATTTTATTCTTTATTTCCCATAACAATACTTGCACCATTTACAACCAATGCTATACAATTCGACTGTGACTTTCGATAATAATCACTAATAGCATAGTAATTAATTGAGTGATTAAATGAGACTTGATCTTTTCCAAGTTTTGATCATTTTCTCAATTCATAGATAATGTATCCATATGAAAGGGCGATGCAAAGAAACAAAGAAATCAAATTGTATTTGTTCCTTATCCAGCCCTTTCTCACTTTGACCCACTAATTTAATGGGGAGAATTAGGATGACACTGGACACTCTGCTTGGAGAAAGTGAAAAGTTTGGAGAGACATATACTGAGTATCTTCTGTCCCTGCTACCCACATAGAGAACTCATGGTAGAATGTTATTATTTCTATCAAAGTAAGGGTCTTTCTTTTTTCCTTCCTACCTTAATTCCCCTCCCTCCACCCCTCCCTCCCTCCCCCCTCCCCTCCCATCCCCTCCCTTTGCTCCCTCCCCTACCCCACTCTCCCCCCTTCCTCCCTCCCTCCCTTCTTCCCTCCCTTCCTTCCTTCCTTCCTTCCTTCCTTCCTTCCTTCCTTCCTTCCTTCCTTCCTGTCCTTGTTTTGTATATATAATGCTTTGGGAAGAAAACATTGAAATAAATATATTTAGATTTCTTGGAGATTTCTTTCTCATTGCTTTAACTTGCACTGTGTGAGATTGGGAAAAGTAGTATAGACATTACAATTATTTGGCAATTAACTGACAATAATTGAATTCCTACTAGACACAAGCATGTTTGACTAGATTGAATTTTGGGGTTAGCTGAAGCTTAGTCTTAAAAATGGTCTTTCAAATTATTTCAGAAGATATTTTCTCCATGCCCCTGTTTTTATGGCACTATGCTAACCAATGGGAAAGTGGGTACATAGATTTATGAACATTTCGTATTTATTTTGATTTTTTATATTTGTTTTTCTCCAATATATTGCAAGTTACTAAATGGTATGCACTTTACCTTAAGCATTTTCCTGGATGGGCTTGTTATGCAAAGCAATTGAATTTTATTCTAGAAGTTATGTGAACATGGCAGGGCAGTGCATGTTCCGTAAAGCTGTGTTTTACAGATTTTAGCAAAAATGTATTTGAAAGTCTTAAAGAAGAGAGGTTGTGGGCATGCAAAGAAATTAGAAAGTATTAAAGTAATCTAGGAGAGAGTTGTTGAGAGTCTGAGTTTGGACTATATGACTGACAAAAATGTGAAACTATGACTCTCAAGCCTGGTTGCAATTTCAATTACTTGAGAAGCCTTAGAAAACGTCCATCCCCAACTAACTTTCTGAGATTCTCTAAATCGGTCCGGGATTAGGGTCTGTGCATAGGCATTTCTAAAACAGTTCCCCAGGTGATTCTAGCATGCATCCAGAATTAAGAGCCTCTAATGAAGGTTTTTGCAAAGGTTGAAATGAGATGGGTGAAATGATGGGTGAAATGATTGGTGAATGAAAGGAAGACGAGGAAGAAAACTACAGGAGGTCCTGAGCCTACTAAAATGGAAAAACAGAAATTCAGCTAAACATGAGAGAAAAACTTGGAGGTAAAGCAGGGTGAGGGGCAGGTGGCAAAAACAATGAGTTCATTTTTTAAGTCTATTGAGTTTAAAGTGCCAATGAAACATTTAGACAGATCATGTTAGATAAGGACTGAACAGGTTTTATTGGATTTGTAATTAGAGATTATTGTTGGCCTTGGAAAGAGCAGTTTCAATGGAATGCTTGTAGAATTGAGATTTCAGTGGGTTGGGGAGTGAATAAAAAATTTGAAAGTGGAACTAGCATATATAGACTTCTTTTTCAATGGGAAGTGAAAAAGAAAAGTAAGGTAGTGGCTATGCCAATGAAGCAGAATGAAAAAGGAATGTAATTTTCTTAATACAAGAGAAATAACAGTATTTTGTATCTATGCTGCAATATGAGGCAGGGAAAGAGAGAGGTAAAAAGTGTAGGAGTAAAACACAGTAATCCATGAAGGAAGGAGTATCCATATTTAGACGGAAAGCAACACATAATGTATGCAGAGTAAGGAAGAAGTTCCATAGTAAATCTTACGGGGTTATAACAGGGAAGAAGCACTTGGAGTTAGGCCTTTGGTGACCTTCAACAGAGCAGTGTTGGTAGTATGATAGCTCATGAGTCAAAGAGCAATCATCAGAGTAATGATTAGCACATGGGTGATTAACAGTTTGTGCCTGAGCTACTGAGATTTAGTTAAGTTTTAGCTCCAAGATCATAAACAGATAAATGAGAAAAAATTAAGTTCAGCATCCTTATTTATTTGTAAAATGGAAATGCTTTCACTGTCTACCTTATAGGATTGTTGTGAAGATTCAATGAGTTAATACATTCAAGGAGCTTAGCACAGAATCTAATGGTAACTATTTGTTAAATGGTGGTTCTTTCATTGCAGAAGATATGACAGTTCTGTTTGCTCTTCAATTGCATAAGAATCATGTTGATGGAAAATAATAGATTCATATCATATATGACATAAAAGCGTCTGGGCCAGCTGGTACATGTACTAAATAAGAGAGAAATGTGTGCAGCTGTTATATTTAAATCACCTTTTTTTTAGAATTGTGTGGCTGAAAGGAAAGCAAATGAGTAACCTTAGTGGCAGACTAAGTGAAAATATTTTTTCTGGCAGGAGAGGCCAGAAGAATTTATTGGCCAAGGGCAAACAGTCAGTGGAGAAAGAGAAATTGATTTAAAAAAGGAATAGATCAACATCCTGGAGGAAGAATAGGTGAGGATGGGAATATTAAATGGAAGTGTTAGTGTGAGAAAGGAATATATACTTCTGTTCAATGAGATAAATGAACAAGGATGAGAGAAGCTAGAGAGAAATTCAAAAGTGGGGCCAAGGGAAGTAATGTTTAAAGGCCTCTGGGCTGAGAGAATGACATACACAGGTCTTCAGAAGACAGGATTTATCTATTCGGTTTACAAGGGATGGACTTGGGTTTTCTGCTCTTCCTAATGAGAGCAGAAAATATCAGAAACAAACTTTGGTGATTCTAGACATTGAGAGCCCAAAAGATAGTAAAGGCACAATATAGAGCATTTAATGGGTAGAGATGTGTCACTGTCCATCAGTGTTGCAATCTGGACAGAGCAGGGGTGAAAATGAATAGCTGGCATCATCTTTGTATGAAGATAGGCAAGATTTAAAAAATGGCTAGCCTCTTTTGAGTACTTAACTCTGACACAAGTTCTTTCTATATATTTTACATATATTATTTAATTTACTGTTACTTGAGACAGGCAATATTGTTATTACCATTTTGTAATAAGAAAATTGGGGCATAGAAAGGATAGGTAATTTCCCTAGTGTCATATAGTCAGTAGCAGAGCCAAGACTTTAACATCCATAGTGGTAAATAGTAGGGAGTTAGTATACATGACATTGAAAGGGTATAGCCTGACTCGGAGGGCAAGTAAAATAGATTAATGTTTATGAATCTAGGGAGGGGTAGAGATTAGAAATAGCTTTGAAAATGGAGAGCAGTTTTAACAGGGAAGGGTAATAAGGGAGAGAGATCCATTAATTCATTAACAAATATTTTTGTGTTTCTACTCTGCACCAAAACTGTTTTAGGTGCTGTGAATAAAATATAAGTAGTAAGTTTTACCTTCTTTTCAAATGATAACCCTTCTGGGAGGGGTAATAAACTGAGTTTTTAGCAACTTAGCTTAAGAATCCAGAAAAATTCCATGAAGCACTGGAGCTGCATGGCAGCACTGGAGAGAGAATTGGCTGAAAGTAAAATGGGGAGATTTTGAAGAATAGGGAGGAACATGCTCCAAAAAGAAGCTTACTGTTTTGATAAGGGTAGATCATATTGATAATTATGAACTTCAGTAATGCCTGAGTATTTTTCAGAAGACAGACTTCAATCGGTTTGTATTCTAAGGGTTTATGTTTGATTTTCAACTGGAAGTACAATTTTCTGTCTTTGTGTTTACCCATAATGCATCAGGGAAGATTTGTTAGGGTGTTATAGCAGTTATCTACTGCTATGCAACATGCCACCCCAAAACATGATGGCATAAAACAATAAGCATCTATGATTGCTCCCAAGTCTGCGGGTCAGCTGGGAGGGTCTGCTGGTCTTGGCTGGACTCACTCCCATATCTATTGGTATCTGTGGTTTTGCAGGCAGTTCTGCTGAGGTTGTCTAGATTTTCTCAAATGTATTGAGAGTATCTGGCTGAAAACTGGTCTAGGATGGTCTTACTGGAACAACTTGGCTTGAGAACCAAGTGGTGTCTGATCCTCCAGCAAGCTAGTATGGCTTGTTCTCATAGCAAAAGCAGGGTTCTGAGAAAATGAGTATCGGGAGGCCCGGGTTCAGAACTGGCACACCATTACTTTGGCCACATTCTTTCTTTTAAAGCAGGGCCAGCTCATATCCCTGAAGTGGAGAGACTCCGCTTCTTGATGGAAGTTGCTGCAAGGTCACATTGCAAGGTTAGATATTGAAAAAGACGAAGAATTGGGTCTTTTTTTTTTTTTTTTTCCAATCACTTACCAGTAGTGATTTTATGCTAGTTTCATTCCCTTTAAATACAAAATTTGCTTTTTTATCTGAAAAATGTTCTCAGGCCCATGTGATTTTTACATACAACAATTTAAAATTCTTTCATAGCTCCTCATTGTAAACCTCATAGGAAACCTATACTCTGTATCAAACGTAAATGGCATTCCATTAGCTGGCCTCTGTCCACTTCTTCATATACACTGTGCCTGTGCTACTAACCCATCACACCCAAGTTCCTTTGTACAGTTCTTTAAATGCACCGTTCTCCTACAAACCTCTCATTTGTCTCTGAGGTTGGACTTTACTCCTTCTTCCCCTGGCCTTTCCCTATTCATATACTTAAATTTAAATTATCAAAATCTCTTGACTAATTAATATTTCCACCATAATATTAAGTGTGTGAACATTGAGATGTTATTACAAGATTACTGTTGGTGCGATTGTTTTGAAGGAAAGTTTTCCCAAAGCCAAACTCCCCAAAGGGACTTAAATCAGGGTTCAACAAAGAGTAAGTGATATTAAATATTTAATCTTAATATATATACATATATGTGTATATATATGTGTGTGTGTATATATATATGTGTATATATATATGTGTGTGTATACATATATATATGAGACTGACATTTTATAGTTTGAATTGAAAATATTTTACATGGATTTAAAGTTGCCAATGAGGTGATTATCTGGAACCCATTTTCAAATCCTCTTTTTTTTGTGAAATGATTTGAGACACAGAAAAATACCCCATAGCTTTCCTTCACAGTGCCTGCCTCTGCCAAGTCTCTCCTGACCCCCATAGACAGACTTAGCTGCCACACTCCTGTTGCTTTCCTTTGTAATTGCTTATATGTTTGCTGTCTTTCTAACTTCTGCAAGCCTAATCTCTTCCTCTCAGTTATCTTGTTGTGTAATAGTGCCTGGGATGCAGCAAGCAACCAAGACATTGCTTATTAAAGGAATCATTGCAGGATTTAATATATACTACATAGACACACTTGGTAGTATCTGAGTTTGATTTTTGTTGATTGAGTAACTTATCCTTACGTAGAGATGCTGAATATCAGCTGTTAGAGAATAGTCTGGCAAATGGAACACGATTGTGATTGTGATTTGATGGGCAAATGTCGTGTTAATCTTTTTGTTTTCTGGCTGATAGTTAAATCTCTAGTACTGTACATCAAAAGTGTCACAGCTAAGCAATCTGAGGGATTAAATGACTCCTCATAATTTCTGTGTTGTTAAATAGCAGAAGGATATTATCTAATCACTGTTGTCAGTGTATGCTGGTGAACTCTTATGGAAAACATTTTCTTTTCTACTTTGAAAGCATTAGGAAACACACTCAAATTACATTTTAAAATGTTGTTTTCTGGAGTACACAAACAATCTATTTCAGTGCTATTTCACTGTCAGTCATTTCAAGTATTTTACTATAAACGCCCCAGTAGTGGTCACCTTTTATATTCAGGGCTTGTGTGTGTGTGTGAATTGCTTCTGTGATAACTCTTACAAAATTAATTTTTGAATTATTTGCTGTTTTGTCATGACAGCTACATATGTATGTTGTCGTTATGTCTGAACACTAATAGATGCTTAAGATTTTGTTGGCTTAATTATTTCTGATAGCATTTCTAATGATACTATGTAAAACTCATATAACCCTCTACATTTTACCTCTGGCTAAACATTAGGCCTCCTTTTCTTGTCTCGTGTTTCCCATTAAGTTTTCAAAAGCTAAAAAGGCCCATTTTCTCTTTTAAATGACTCATTATTGGAAACAGTTTCAAAGAGAACTGTGTAGCAGTTAAGAAAGGAAAGGTATGAGATATCTCTTACTGTCTCTTACAGGTTTATTCAGCAAGAATACTTGACTTTCTGTCTCTTACAGGTTTACTCAGAAAGAATACTTGAAAATAGATTACACATAATTACTTCACAAGGAGCTTTTTAAAATCCAATTACAAGATTTCTAATTTAAGTGAAAAAATGGGAAAAAAATAAGCTCCAGTCTCACTTAAATCCATTGTGCTATTTTGCAGAATATCAAGTCCATCTTGGGAGTTTAACTGTGGGAGGACTTTGTAATAGCACTGTCTCCCTATAACAGGATTCCACAGATAGCATTATGATGAGACTCCTGTATGTGTTCATTTAATTTCAGGGGTTGCTGCACTAAACAATAAACCAAATTTGAGAGCCTGAATCCGGATGTATCTTGTCAGTTTCTTTCCCAGTCAGTTCAATCAAATGTCATTCTATTCAATTGAATATACACAGGGTGAATTTCAAGTAAGAGAAAATTTAACTTGAGTGACAGATTTTCTCTAAAAGTTGCTTTTGTTTGATTTCATCTTTTTTTCCTTTCTTTACTGTGAAACCACACAATGAAATGGAAATCAGGATGTCGATTCTGTTGCTGCTGCAGCTTTCTGCTTCTGACTTAGGCTTTTGCATGAGTAAAAGTAGTTGCTTCATATATTCCTCATGTGGATGTGCAGGATGTGCCCTGTACAAAAATCCAGGAAGCACTGTTTACAGAGACCATTATGTGCATGACTACAACTAGAGTTTTATGTTGCCCATCTTGGATGACTGTAAACAGAAGACCGCTGAGCTTCCTCAATTTGAAAGAGGTATTTTCTTCCTGCTTTCTTTCAAAGGAATGCAAAGAATGAGAATGACAGAAGTTTTGATTTGTGATTTAGGCACTATCTGAAGGCACTTTAGGGAATGTGAGCCCTGAACTGATACATTGTGACCCTAGGTACAGAAATTACTTAAATTCTCTGGGCCTTAGTTTTCTGATCTGTGAAATATAAATAATAATATCTGTTCTATTGATGCAGGATTTTTTGCTCCTCAGCTCAGCTAAATCTGGGTTCTTGTCTCACAACGAGGAAAAATTACGCACATGGACACACTAAAAGGTAAGGAGGACAAATTTTATTAAGCAAAAGGAAAGCTCCCAACAAAGAGAGGGGTCCTGCATGTAAGTTTTCACCTCACAAATTGAATACCAGGCCACTACATGCAAGCTGAAGAGGCCAGCCTCCTCCCCTGCCTAAGGAACGATGGTGGCTCCACCTCATTCTTCCAGTGGGCATGCGGGCCATTAGTCTGAGCCACTGCACATTGACTGATTTCCCTTACTGCACATGTGTTAAGGGATGGAATTTTTCACTGTGGGCATGTTTAGGCAAGCCCCCTGTGCACAATGACATCAGTGGGTTGGAGGTTCTCCGGGGACCCTTCCCTATTTGTTTAGGCATTTGGCTATCTCCTGCCTCTATCATTCCCTCCTCTAAAGAAGTACATTTAATTACCATTAGAATAAAGATAAGGAAAAGGAGGAAGACTGATCTTGACCACTTGCTGCTGACAAGGGGCACTGTTTTGAGAAAATGGCAGTCAGATGTCCCTCAGAGGCCTATCTAAGGATCGCTGGTAAAAATGGGCCATCATTTGAAGCTCTGGTTGCATTTGGAGTTCAATGGCCTGTAGGCAAGAAGAGACAAAATAAGTTATTAGAAGACAGGGATCAAAACTAAATAAGGATGGGGGTAAGGACAGCTAAGAAATCTAGAGGATGCCTACACGGCCAGATAACTGGTAGCTATAGTTATACCTACTAAGATTTGGGTGCATGGAGCTTGGCTTTGGCTAGTTCCCTTGGTCCTATTTTCCCAAACAAAGAAACCTCTGGGTTATGGGCACCCTATTTATTCCTATCACCTGGCAGGATTTGTAGGATAATTGCCCAGAACTAGAATATTGATCCAATTTTTATATTACCCATCCCTTTTTTTTCTTTCGAGCTGCAGACAGAGATAGCTAGTTGGTTCACAGGAATAAGCAGGGTTAGTATAAAATGTAGGCAAAAAAAAACAACAACTAATGGGTCTAGAATTTAATGACAAATGTATGACAAGTTTTGACACATAATTTCTCTTTCTCCAGTCCTCATTTTTGTTAAAAACAAATCATAGTAGGACTGAGTTGTTTGCAAAATAAACTTTAGTCTTATACTTGGCCTTATTATTTGCATAAAGTGCATCAAGAATAATTATTTTTATATAGGCTTTTAAAATTCACTTTGATAAAACTCTATTCCACAAGGAATCTCATATAGGACTTTTTAAAGCTGAGCCCAACCATGGGTTTGTACCCTCAAATACTATGAGTTGGGTGAATTCCTCTCTTCTTGAAGTCCCAAGAACATGGGCTTCCTGGTCCTGTTAGAAAGTGGCATTCTTTACCCACCACAGGTTAGGAACTCTGTACAGGGACTGTGTAGACAGGGTATGAGGCCAGTTTTCCCAAGGGGCTTTTATCAGCTCTGCAAGTCAAACTTGATTCCTTAAAATGAAGCATACCCTTCCAGTCAAGGCCTTGGTAAAACAACCAGTTTCTCCAATTGCATCCTGTTGCAAAAGAAAATTGACTCTTATTGCACTAATACAAACAATCATATTGCTATAAGTGAAGAATACTCAAAGATAGTCTACAAATTCTAGAGGAATCAGGCAGAGAGACAAACATGCTCCAAATTTTGTTCACAGAGTATACCTTACTCAATTATTAAAGACTGTAAATAGCTCAACATAAAAATTTCCTTCACTCTGAAAAACAAAACAAGAATCAGCAATGTTTTAAGCAAAAGTTAAAAAAAGATTACTTCAGCTTTCTATTAATTCCATCCATTTCATTAACTGTTATTCTGCTTGATATTCACGAACATTTCAGCTCTTCATGAGTCCTGTACGTTTTTTCTTTATTCCAAAGCCACAATCTCCAAAGTTATCAGAAACCTGCATTTGAGAGCACCTGTCAAAGTTCTATAGATGATTATAAACTATCTTTTGAAGAGAATTAAAACAAGATAAGAATTATCCACAAATAACAAAATGTCCAGAGTAGTTACAGTTAGAAACACAATTGACAAAGGAATTTGTTTTTTTCCTGTGGTTTACAACAACTTAACAACCTTAATTATGATTGATAGCATATACTCAGACATGAGAGTTTTAGAAATTCCATATAACTTTGAAACATACATAATATTATTCACTAAAATATAATCTGAAGATTAAAAATCATTTTGGCAATCCCACATACCTAAACATCTCAGCTAATCCTGTTTGTTTCTCTTCTGGATGCTCTAGGGGCCCTCTATATCATTCAAAACTAGGGGTCAGGAAACACAACCTTGAAACTGAGGTTTGATTTTGGGAAGCCTGTTAAATATGTTAGAGGTTTAAAACTCTAGATATTATGAAATATAATTCCAGATTACCATGTTATTTATTTTGCCAAAATGATGACTCAGAAATTTTAAAACGAGGCCAAAAACCTTTACTCATTAAGAGAGAAGACAGCTTTTCAAACAATTTGTCTCCTGTCTTCTTTTTTGTTTTCCTTGGCAGTCTATCTGCAAGGCGAATGAAAAATTTTCATTATCCTTTACTATTACATGCAAATCTTGTACAAGGGAGAGAAAGCCAAATTTCAATAATAAACGTATTAGTTTATTATTAATGTCAACCCCAACTTTTTTATGAAACCTTATAGAAAATTCTATCTAATCTTAACCAATTTGACCATGAGATAAGATTCTTATAAACATTTTCTAACCCTTTATAAATTTTTGTGAAAGAGCAAATCAGTGCTCTAAGAAAAACCTGCTGTGCTTTTATTCCAATGTTCAGTTCACAGAAAAATAATATCCTTTTAACTTTAGCCAATGTCCATACAGAATTTCTTTTTACAAGATTAATTTTTTAGAAACCTTCCACAACTTGTTTAAACTTTTACTTTTATCTTACATAATTCAACACAAACTTTTGACCCTAGGCAAAAATTTACATTTCTATGCCTTTGTATAATCTTTTACTAAAAAACACATTTTAATTTTCTTACACACCTTGCATGTAAATCTATTTTCAGTGGTCTCAATTACACGTTATAAGGTACCTCTTAACAATTTTTAATTTTAATGTAAAATCTAGTAAGTTGTTTTAATTATGCACTATGTATTAATAAGGTTTGACTCCTACAACCATCGTTAATGGTGTGGTTAATTCCATATGTCCCCAAGCCTTACCAAGTTGTAAGGTAGGCAAGTCGAACAGTTCTCAAAGACCAAAGAAGCAGTTTACAATCTTAAAACATCTAGCAAACCTAGTACCTGACTTGCATAATTTAGACCACCTATTTACATTTTAATGACATCTGTGTTTTGCCAATAATCTTTAAGGCTTTTTATTTCTCAAACATTAAAGTCACATGAACTGAAAGGCATTACAGCTTTTACTTTTCCTTCAAAAAAGTGTTTTTCTTTAAGCCAATTAATTAGAGCTCTTTTTTTATAGACATCACACACAACACATATATAACTACACAAACAGAAGAAGATCCAGTAGTTATAATATTTTTCATTTGCCAGTTTTTTAATTGGTTTATTGGCCTCTGGGTGGGGCCCTTTAAGAGCAGGGCTAGGAAAACACGTAGTTTCTAGCGCCTAATAAACAGGTATAGCTGGAAGATAAAAGCAGATTTTGAGAGGGACCTATTCACCTCTAACTCCCGGAGTTCAATAAAGAAAATAGACATTTCTCCCAAAATGGAATATGTGGTACCTTTTTTGGTTTTCCCAAGGAGTCTCAGGCCATCAGAAATTACCTTAGGGCCTCTCATGGGTGCATTAGGAGTGGCAAGACAAGGTGGAGAAAAGTAATTCAGTCGACTGAGGAAAAAAAAAAAAAAACTTTTTCCAGCAAAACAAAACCCAAGAAGAGAAACATAAAACATAAAGGTCTTTAAGTTATACCCATAATCTGGATATCCACTTTTAATTAAATTGAGCATTCTTTAAGAAAATCCTTTTAAATCCCTTATTATCTGACTTTAGCCATGCCAAGTTGCCAATATTTTTGGCTTTTGAACTTTATCAAAAGTAACCTCAAGTGACACCAACAAGCCTCAATTAAGACATGTGATGCACACCAGATTGGCTACAGCTTAAGGCCAACCTCATAAATCCTTTTTCATTAATCAAAACTTAACAGAGAATATAAACAATGATCCTTATCATTCCTTTTACTAGTTTGCACAAGAAGAGTGGTCAAAATTCTAACTGGTTAAAAAAAAAAAAAAAAAAAAGAAACTTTCATCCTTTTGCCAGCATGTCAGTCTTCTGGGTTTCCTTCCCCAGAGCTCAATTTTAAGCCAACCAGTTTAAGGTTTGGGAAGTTAACTTTTCTCAGTGTGAAGGATGCATCCAAGGGGAGTGTCCTGTAGTACGGGGACACAATTACCATCTGTAAAGAGAGGACAGAGGAGGAAAAAGGAAAAAAGAAGGTGTTTCTTTTCAAAGGAGCCCCAGGTGTTCAGGGTGCATTCAAAAGGGATAAAGACCGAAGATGAATGGCCACTCATCTAGAAAGAGGGGAGCAAGGTGTCCCTAGTTCCTTTCTCTTCCTAGAAAATACCAGGGTTCATGAGGGAAAGAAGGAAAAAACCCTCTTTTCTTCTTCTGTCCTTATATCCCCAAGTCCCAGTGACCTTGACAGGGTGCCACCCATGGGTGCCAATGCAGCTTTCACCCATGCTAACAGGGAGCCTAGTGGGTGGGATTATCCATTTTGACTCATGCGCTGACTTTGTCCCTGCTGTCAGTAGCCTTTGAGTTCCCTGCACTTCATTTGAGCCATGGTTACTAACATGACGTCTATCCATGAAACAGGAGGCTTGGCTTAATTGGCAAGAATTAGTCATGCTCACCTGCACTGTGCCTTTTAACCTTCATTGTCTTCTGCCTCTGGATCCCTCAGATCCAGTTTTCTTTCCTAGGGCTTTGACCCAAAGCTTGGAATTGAGTTTGTGAAAAAAGAACTTCCCCGGGGTGTGCATGGACTCAAGTCCCAGATGTCCCTCACCAGACTGGCTGTTGCCTCCTTATCAATAAGCCAAATGCTGAGGTGAAGCTGTGGGATTGGGTCCTTCTCAAACAAGGAAGAGAAAAATGGTGTCCTGTGAATTGGGGTCCTGGTCTAATAAGACATCTTTCAAGAGAAATTCTCTAGCATAAAAGTTAACTCCTGACAGGGTGGAGAAATAAAAACAGCTTAAGTGCTGGTGGAGAAGATGCCTGGGGGAATATCCTCTTATTCCTACACAAATGAGTTTCTCCAACAGGTGGAGAAACTTTTAATTGCTATCCAACCGAATTGAACCCCTCAGCCAGGGGATAGGGGATGGGAAGACTCCATGAATGCATGGTGGGGGAACATGGGCCAGCTGGCTGCATGGAGCCCAGCCCAGGGCCATCCTGGGTCCCAGACAGTGGCTGTGGCTCAGTCCTGCCCTGTGTGGCCATTGGGTGCCACACACACATGTGGTAGACATGGCCATGCTCCCCAGCTGGGAGGGAGGGTGGGGTGGGGAGCTGCCAGCCACCCATCTGTCATGCAAGCATGCCTGTGGCCATTGTCTCACAACCAAGAAAAACTAGGTACATGGACACATTGAAAGGTGAGGAAGGCAGGATTTATTAAGTGAAAGGAAAGCTAACAAAAAAGAAAGGGGTCCTGCATGCAGGTTTCCACCTCACAAATTGAATACCAGGCAAGGTGAAGAGGCCAGGCTCCTCCCCTGAATAAGGAGTGAATTCCCACCCCATTCTTCCAGTGTGTATGTGGGTCCTTAGTCTGAGCCACTTCACATTGATTTATTTCCCTTACTGCACATATGTTAAGGGATGGAATTTTGTACCACAGGCATGTTTAGGCAAGTCCCCTGTGCATAATGACCTGGGTGTGTTGGAAGTTCTCTGGGGACCCTTCCCTGTTTGCCTAAGCATTTGGCTGTCTCCTGCTTCATCACTATCTACCACCACGGACTATTATAAAGATTAAGTGAAAGATTGGTTGGTTTTCTGCAAAGTTAAAATGCTAGACAAATGTGTTCTAACATTATTACCATTATTACAATGTGCCAGAGAAGACACACAGCTCTTGATGCTCTTTGTGAAATCTGCGTCATATTTTCTATCAGTGAGAGCTATTAAGCTTTGACATTACATTGTTAATTGAAACAAGGTTACACTATACTGTGGCTCTTACAAGTTTTTAATATTATAATAATTATGGACACATTTTCTTTTAAACATTCATAGGTATGAGTAAATATTATAGGTTTATGACACTTTTATGCTATTCTAAGCATTGAATCAGATTATATTTGATCTTTCATTCCCAATTATAAATGAAACTGGCTTTCTTCAAAAGACCAGCTGTAAGTCACTTAGCAGTCTTATTTTAATTAAATATTTACTTCACAAGCATTTATTTGGAGATGTCATGTATGATTTTAAGTTGTCTACAAATTTTAACTCATTTAATCCTCATAGAACTTCATGAAGTAGGTACTCTTACTATCTGCATTTTACTGATGGGGAAATTGAAGCAATCAGCAGTTAAGCAATTTGCACAGGTCCTACAGCTAGTAAATGGTGAAGGAAGATTCAAATCCCTAACATTTGGCTAGAGTCTTGCTCATGGGTAGTAACTTGATATCAGTCATGGAGTTTCCTACAGCTCTGTATAGGAAAATGCTGTAAACCCTGTGAGCAATATGCAATGATGCCTGTAATTTCCTAGGTCATTTGATTTGAATGCTGTACAAATAAGGCCAAGGTTAAAGGCCAGATTCTCAGGAGGAAATTTGTATGTAGATCAATGCTGTTTATTTATCCGGATCATGACTCCTATGGACTAGAAAAAAAATAAAAGAAGAAATGAGCAATATCCAACACTATAAGTGGATTACCATGTGCTCCTTAATGCTGACTGGAAGTCATCTTCGCATATTTGCACAGCGATGATAACACACATGATGTTTTCACAAGCCCAGGTTCTTTCACATCGAACTCATTATTCCTAAATAAATGTTCCCACCTACTATTATTAGTAGGTAAAATCTTCATATAATTTGAACAGACTATCATATGGAGGTTTACATGTCTTTTGTTTAAAGTAAGTGGCTTAGTCATGCTTCACTGTAGCTGTGTTAACACTGTGGTCAAAGAAATTCTATGTTTCTCAGAATTATTGTGTAACCCAGACATAGATACACCAACTCTTTGTATAAATTATTCTTTCAATCTTTGAAATGGGAACTATCTTTGTTATCCGTGATCTACATTAACCATGATTCCTCAATGATTATCATTCAAGTGCTAATTATCATTTGGTGCTGTCATCTATGAGTTCTTTCATTAATTCTCAGAGATAATTTATGTGAAATGGAGATATAAATTCATTAAATAATCTCCTTTCTCATACATATGCATCTGATACCTAATTTTTTCTGTGACTTACACTTCTTTTGTAAAGGAGTAATACTTTTTGAGAGAGCAGATAGAAGTGAAAAAGAAATTTTAAAAGGGTATTGTACAGTAAGATGCACCTACTATAATATCAGAAACTTAATTTATTTAATTTCATTTTATACTTTCTAAATTCATGTGGGAATATGCATAATCATTGTGAATTTACAGGGAAAATTGATTCGGGTATATAAGTAACTATCTCAGGGCTACAAAATGTATACAAAAAAAGCTGAATGTCAAATCTAAGGCTTCTCAAACTCCAAAGTACTTGTACAGTACTTTCTGTTATGTTTTGCAGTTTGCCTTCAACCACCTAACAGCATAATATTACAGCACCTAGCCCAAACATGGGGATTTTGGTTTGCTTTTAAAAGAAAGTAAAGAGATTAGTTTTACTAAAACTTTCCATGTCTCAGTTTATGACTTTCAGTTAATATTTATACAAAACTATACAAATCTACATTTAAAATGCTATGGTCTTTTGTACATTTTTTTACAGTAATTGGCGCTCATTATAGAGCTCTCTGTGTAGTCACATCAATATTTTTAGGTAAACTCTTCTTCAGTTTCAATTGCTTAGTCATTCTTGAACCAACTTTCTTTTAGCCTATAGGAATCCACTGATATCTTTGACTAAGGATTCCCAGAAATAAGCTTTGATCCACTCCAAAACAGAATTGAATCTTTTGCTATATCCAGAACTAATCCACTCAGGATTTCTTTGGAATGGAGAAAATGTGAGAGTTTACTAGAATTTTGAGGGTTGCTTTCACTTAGAATAACAGTTATTGAGGTAAAAGAAACTTATAATGTTTGGCCAGTGGTAATTTATTTCAATATATTTTGCTTATTTCATGGAGGCTATCCTTGAAAGACAAACTATTATTGATGACAAGCTGAGGCCTTTTATTTCCCTGGATTCTTTTATTATAGGTGCAGTGAGGCATATGGCACACACAAGATTCTAACCTGAGTTCTGTTATCATTTCAGTTAGATCCTTAATAATATTTTATACAGTAAGCGTATGCAGTAAAATATATTAACATGTTCTAATCACAGATTCATATCAAGTATAAATAATTAAAATTAGATTTGTAGTTAACTTGTTCACTTTTAGGAAATCTATACATATGTAAATATTGCTTGATCCAAAATAATAATTACAGATTTTCTCTTCCCTTTTTAGACTTTCTCTCTAAGTAATGTCATCCATGCTGATGACTCCCCAAATGTGTATCTTCAGCCCTGATCTTGCCCTTGAATGCCAATTACATTACTCCAACAACCTACTTGACATCTCCACTCAGATGTCTAACACAATATGGACAAAATAGAACTTTTGATTCTGTCTCAACCTCCAAGCCTTCTTTCAGTTTCCACTAATTTTGTAAATATAATCAACATATGCTCAGGTTTTCATGTTAAAAACTTAGAATCATCTTTGATTCTGTTCTTCTTTTCTTACCTGCACATCAAATTCATCAGCAAGTATTATTAACTCTATAGCTCCAAATACTCTGCATTTAGTTTTCCCTATTTCCTTTCCTGTCACCTCAGTCCTATTCACCATAATCTCCTACCTATACAAATGAAAAAGTTTCTTAACTAATCAGCCTATTCCTATTCCTACCCTCCATTCTCCAGACAATAGTCAGAATGGATTTTTCAAAATATAAATCAACCTTTCAACAAATGGTCTTGGGGCATTTGGATATTCATAGGCAAAACAGACAAACAGAAAATCTTAACCTAAACTTTCCACTTATACAAAAGCTAACTCAAAACAGATTATGGACTTAAATGTAAGATGTAAAACTGTAAAGCTTTTAGAAAACTATGGAAGAAAATATTTGGGATATAATTGCAGGCACATACTTTTTCGACTTGAGACTAAAACATGATTCATAAAAGGAAAAAATGCTAACTTGGACCTCATCAAAGTTAAAAACCTTTGCTTTGTGAAAGACTATATGAAAAGGTTGAAAAGACAGGCTACAAACTTGGAGAAAATATTTTTAAACCACATATCCAATAAAGAACTAATGTCTAGCATATATAAAGAATTCTCAAAAACCAACAGTTAAAAACCAAGCAATTCAAGTAGAAAATGGACAGAAGACGCATGAATAAATATTTCACTGAGTAGAATATAAATATGGCAAATAAGTGCATGAAAGCATGTTCAAAATCATTAGCCACTAGGGAAATGCAAAACAAAAAACAATGAGATATTACTACAAAACAATTAATATGGCTAAAATGAAAAGTAGTTGCCTAATTTACATTCCCAACAGTGTAAACATGTTCCTATTTCTCTGCAAGCTTGCTAACATTTGTTATTTCTTGACTTCTTAATAATCGCCATTCCGCATGGGGTGAAATGGTATCTCATTGTAATTTTGATTTGCATTTCTCTAATGATCAGTGATGTTGAGCTTTTTTTCATATGTTTGTTGGCTGCATGAATGTCTTCTTTTGAGAAGTGTCTGTTCATGTCCTTTGCCCACTTTTTAATGTTTATTTTCTTATAAATTTGCTCAAGTTCCTTGTAGATTCTGAATATTAGACCTTTGTCAGATGGATAGATTGCAAAAGTTTTCTCCCATTCTGTAGGTTGTCTGTTCTTTCTGATGATAGCTTCTTTTGCTGTGTAGAAGCTCTTTAGTTTAATTAGATCCCATTTGTCAATTTTCATTTCTGTTGCAATTGCTTTTGGGATTTCATCATAAAATCTTTGCCTGTGCCTATGTCCTATATACCTGAATGATGTTGCCTAGATTTTTTTCTAGGGTTTTTATAGTTTTGGATTTTACATTAAAGTCTTTAATTCATCTTGAGTTAATTTTTGTGTATGGTGTAAGGAAAGGTGTAAGGAAAGGGTCCAATTTCACTTTTCTGCATATGACAAGCCAGTTCTCCCAGCACCACTTATTAAATAGGGAATCCTTTCCCCCGTTTTTTTGGTCAGGTTTGTCGAAGATCAGATGATTGTAGGTGTGCTGTATCATTTCTGAGATCTCTATTCTTTTCCATTGGTCTATGTGTCTGTTTTTGTAAAAATACCATGCTGTTTTGGTTACTGTAGCCTAGTAGTTAAAGTCAGGTAGCATGATGCCTCCAGCTTTGTTATTTTTGCTTAAGATTGTCTTGGCTATACAGGCTTTTTTCTTTTGGTTTCATATGAATTTAAAAAGAGTTTCTTCTAATTCTGTGAAGAATGTCAATGGTACTTCACTGGAAATAGCATTGAATCTATAAATTACTTTGGGCAGTATAGTCATTTTCATGGTATTGATTCTTCCTCTCCATGAGCATGGACTGTTTTGTTTGTGTCCTTTCTTATTTCCTTGAGCAGTGGTTTGTAGTTCACCTTGAAGAGGTCCTCCACTTCCTGTGTTAGCTGTATTCCTAGGTATTTTATTCTTTTCATAGCAATTGTTAATGGGAGTTCATTCATTGTGGAAGACAATGTGGTTGTTCCTCAAAGATTTGGAACTGAATATATCATTTGACCCAGCAGTCCCATTACTAGGTACATACCCGAAGGAATATAAATCATTCTATTCTAAAGATATGTGCACGTTCATTGTAGCAATATTCACAGTAGCAAAGACATGGAATCAACCCAAATTCAGTCATTAATGGTAGACTGGATTTAAAAATGTACATATACACCATGGACTACTACACAACCATAAAAGGGAACAAGATCATATCCTTTGCAGGGACATGGATGAAGCTGGAAGACATTATCCTCAGCAAAACTAATGCAGGAACAGAAAAACAAACACCTCATGTTCTCACTTGTAAGAGGGAGCTGAATAATGAGAACACATGGACACATGGAGGGAACAATACACACTGGGGCCTATTGCAGGAGGGTGTGGGTGTGGGAGAGAATCAGGAAAAATAGCTAATGCATTCTGGGTTTAATACCTAGGTGATAGGTTTATAGGTACAGCAAACCACCATGGTACACATTTACCTATGTAACAAACCTGCACATCCTGCACATGCACCCCAGAACTTAAAATTTAAAAAAATAAACAAAAATAGTGGCAATACCAAATGAAGACTGTATCAATTCTGTTACTGTCATAAATGCCTAAGTCCAAACTGGGTACCGGCATGTAGTTAAATAAGTAAATGTATATACTAGTAGGCAGCACTGAACAATGTATGGTGGAAGGAATTATTGACTTGTTCTGTCTAGGAGTGTCCTCAATATATTTGTGAATGGGTAAATTGATGAGTAGATACATGTCTGTAGGTGGAATGCAGAATAAATTACAGTTGCACAATCATTACGTCTAAGGATCAGGAAGGATAAAGGGGATGAAGAATCACATCTCACTATATTACATCTCTCTACTACCTTGTCTCAAAAGTGTTATGGTGTCCTTCCTTGAATGGAGAAGAAGCAGAACTATAGATTGGTAACTGTCTTATTGAAAAAAGCTTATCTGGCAAAACCTCACAAGAATTCAGAGGAGCACACAACACTCAGAAACACAAGAGAGCTTTATAAATGAAGGAAAGCTAAATGCACTGGATGCAAAAGTCCTAATGACTCCTTTCATAGACTCGTGGAATTAAGCTTAGGGGCAGAGAAATATTCACTATGGAATGAACAATAGAATGTATGTATCAAATTCTGACAGAAATTTTGCCTTGTTTATCATTATCACTGTCAACTCAAAGCCTGACATTTACGCCAGATAACTCAGTCGAAGTTGCAGTCAGGGATGATGATTTTTCTAGCCTCTGCTGCCAAGTATTCCTGCTGTTTTGCCTAGAAATCATGGCAAAGGGACTAGAAAACAGTTTCCATATGCCACAGTTGCTTGAATTATTCCTCAGATTCTCTTGTCATTTTTCATACGTAGGAACTCATTAGACACCTAGCGGAAGAACATATGGAGGGGAACAATGATGCTATTGGTAGAAAATGCTATATAATAGACACTATATTTATATTCTATAAAGTTCTTGCTGTAAACAGCTTACTAGAAACAGCAAAGGCTTCTTTTCCATGCATTAGGGAGTGACGTAATTATCACTGTCTTAGACACAAACGCAACATATTCTCTATTGAAACAATACATTTACTTGCCTCCTGGACAGGAGGGTTGTCATCTCTAATGATTTTTTTCCAATAAGAGTCTAGTCAGTGAGTTTCATAATTCAGAAATCATAATTCTTCTGCAGAAGAGAGGATGCTGCTGAATTTCCTGTAGCTATGACCTCCCTCAGTGGAAGAATTCTTACTTTAAAAAGACAAGTGTCTAGCTTAGCAGTTCAGAGCTTGCAATCTGCAATCAGAAAGACCTGGGTTCCAGTTTAGATCCACTGCTTGGTACAAGTTATTAATGGTCTCTAAGTACCAATTTCTTCATCTTTAAAATAAGGCCAATGACATCAAATTCAGCAGTTGCGAGAATTTAGCAAAATAATTAAAGTCAGGCAGGTTCTGATAGGTAAGTTGTTATCATCCTCATTATTATTATTGGGCAGTTTCACAAACAATACATTTATTTTAAAAGTACTTTTGTTCTACTAGGATAAAAGGTAAAATAAGGGGATATTCAGATAATGGAAACTTTTATTTCTTCACCAAAATTAAAATCACCAGAGAAAACAGGTATATATCCAGGTTCAAATCAGTTAAACTAAAAGCGTTGAAATTTAATTCAATTTTTCTTGTTACTGAGGGTTTGCTCTCTACTACTTGTGAGATTTTTAATATATTATTGTCATCTAATTGTATAATATTTTGATATACTATTGTCATTGTCATCTATATATAAAAACTGACAGGAATATTTATGTATTATTTACATAATATTTATATAATATTTCCGTCTGTTATTTCACCAGGAGATGTTTCTTTTGTGTATCTTGCTGTTTTGGTAGTCACCTGTTTGCAGTGGCACCATTGGTAAGGAAGACCTGTTCTGAAGTGTAATACAAGAGCCCGTTTGGTTTTGAGTTCTATTATTTAAAGTCCTTGGCTTTCTCTCTGTCACCAATGTTAATGGAAAGTTTTCTGTAAGAACAGTAAATTCATTTGAGATATGATGACAGGGAAAGAATCCAGATTCAAAAACCAAGCATTCATGTAATTTTTGTTTAGATAGAGTCTTGCTCTGTCGCCAGACTGGAGTGCAGTGGTGCAATCTTGGCTCACTGCAACCTCTGCCTCCTGGGTTCAAGCAATTCTCCTGCCTCAGCCTCCTGAGTAGCTGAGACTACAGGCATGCACCACCACTCCCAGCTAATTTTTGTATTTTTAGTAGAGATGGGGTTTCACCATGTTGGCCAGGCTGGTCTCACACTCCTGACCTTGTTATTCACCTGCCTCGGCCTCCCAAAGTGGTGGGATTACAGGCGTGAGCCACCGTGCCTGGCCAACTGTTTATAATATTTAATAGATCTGCAAATACTAAAATTGCAAGGACAAACTGTACCTTTAACTCACACTGGGCTTCTTCTAGGGTACCAGTGGACTGGATAATAAGTTTTCTTTTCTTTTTTTAGAATCTATCTTCAAGAAGCTGAGAAAGCAGAAACCTGGGAATTAATGGATTCAGTATTATAAATGTAAGTCTGGATAAGAAGGGATGTGAAAAATAATTTTCTATGATTGTATGCTTTGATCAGATTATCTGGGCATTTACCACCTTTCCACTTTTGTAAAGCTTTGTAGGGACAAGTCATAAGCAATTATGCCAGAAGACAAAACTCATTTTGTTTCCTTTCCTGTGGAACAGGTTGAAACGATAATTGCTTCTGGTGTCTTACCATGTAGATGAGTCTTGATAATTTGAGGAAATCGGATTTTTCTATTTGTCAATCTAGTCTATGCAAAAATATGTATACTACAGTAGACCTAAACATTAACCTGGAGTTTTAAATCAATCCAATAGTAAACTGATAATCATGATATTTGTTATGTAGAGACAAGGCAATCGAAAGTGACACAGGGGCTACTTCATCAGGGACCATAAGTCCAGAGAAAGAATGTCATCTAAAGAAAGATAGTTAAACAGTCATCAGTGGCTTTATTTACACATGCCAAGTAAAATAGAGAATTTAATTAATGATTCAAATAGTTGAAGCTAAGAAGAAGCTTATTGCATCTTTTGCTTTTCTGGTATACATTGGCTTGATAAAGACAATGAAATAATTGTGTAGAATACAAGAAACTGAACATTGCTTAGCTGAGAATAAAGGAATTTATAATTTTGTAATATTGAGGTCAAACAATGCTGAAGGCTGATTTTTATGTTAAATAACTTTTTTCTATAAAAGAGTAGTTGTACTTAAAATTTATAGCATTGCTTATGGAACCAAAAAAGATAATACAGAGGGGAAAATGTCAGGATATCCATTGGCTCTATTATAGTATAGCAGCTTATAGCTGTTTTATGGATTTATTGTAATAGTTTTAAAAGGTCACTGAAATATGAAGACAATTGTCAGGCTTGGCTCTTTAAGAATTTGCTTTCAGCAAAGTATATCAATGCTTATGTTGATGGAACTTCCAGGTTCAACCCTAGGCTGATGGTTACATCCATACTTATTCAATTTTTTTACCCTTTTACTCTGATCTGGTTTGGGATAAAACCCCAGTTCAGTCTGGGACTGGCCCTGCCAGTATCCTGCCCAGACATAGCCCCTCCACAAGGCACAATAAGGCCCAGGAAACAATATACTTCATTTTCGAAAGGAAATTCTGGTTTCATTTTTGTTACATCCTATCCTGGCTTTGTTATCAGGGTGATACTGGCTTCACAGTCAGAGAGGATTCTCTCTTATCTCTTGGAGTAGTTTTAGTTTAATTGATAGCAATTCTTCTTTGAATATCTGGTGGGATTTAGCTGTGAATACATCTGGCCATGGGCTTTTGTTTTTGTTGGCCTTTTTTTTTTCATGACTTATTTTATCTCACTGTTTGTTATAGATGTTTTCAGGATTTCTATGTCTTCCTGATGCAAGCAAAGGAGCATTGTGTGTTTCCAGGAATTTATCCATTTCTTCTATATTTCCCAGTTTGTGTGTGGAGAGGTGTTCACAGTGGTCTCGAATGATCTTTTGTATTTCTGTGGTGTCAGTTGTAATGTCACCATTTTCGTTTCTATTGGAGTTTATTTGAATCTTCCCTCTTTTTTAGTTTAGTTAATCTATTAATAGATAGCGGTCTATTAGTTTCATTTATATTTTCAAAGAACCAACTTTTGTGGCATGGATCTTTTGTATTTTTTTCCTTCTGTTTCATTTCATTCTACTCTTATCTTTGTTATTTCTTTTTTTTCTGCTAGCTTTGGGTTTTGTTTGTTCTTGTTTCTCTAGTTCCTTGAGGTGTGATGTTCCTTGATTTGTGATCTTTCAGACTTTTAGATGTAGGTATTTAGTGCTATAATCTTTCTTCTTAGAGCTGCTTTTGCTGTATCTCAGAGGTTTTGATTACTTGTGTCACTATTATCATTCATTTTGAATAATTTTTAAATTTCTATATTGATTTTAATGTTAACTCAAAAGTCATTCAGGAGCAGACTGTTTAATTTCCATATATTTGTAGTTTTTGGGGTTCCTTTTGGAGTTTATTTCTAGTTTCATTCCACAGTGCTCTAAGAAGATACTGGGTGTGATTTTGATTTTTAAAAATTTATTGGGATATGCCTTGTGGCATATCATATAATCTATCTTTGAGAATGTTCCATGTGTTAATGAGAAGAATGCATATTCTGCAGTCCTTGGGTAGAATGTTCTGTAATTATCTGTTAGGTCCATTTATTCTAGAGTGCAGATTAAGTCCAGTGTTTTCAGTTTATTGACTTTCTGCCTTGATGATCTGTCTAGTGCTTTCTGTGCAGTGTTGAAGTCCCCCACTATTGTTGTGTTACTATATATCACTTTTCTTAGGTCAAGTAGTAACTGTTTTATGAATCTGGGAGCTCCAGAGATAGCTGCAAATATATTTAGAATTGTAATATCTTCTTGTTGGATTGATCCTTTTATCATTACATAATGACCTTCTTTGTCATTGTTTCTGCTGTCACTTTAAAGTCTGTATTATCTGATATAGAATAGCTATTCCTGCTCACTTTTGGGTTCCATTTGCATAAAATATCTTTTTCCGCCCTTTTGCCTTGAGTCTAAAAGAATCCTTATGTGTTAGGTGAGTCTCTTGAAGACAGCAGATATTTACTTTGTGATTTTTTTTAATCCATTTTGCTAAAGACTTAAATATATGACCTGAAAACGTAAAAATTCTAAAAGAAAAGCTTTTCTGGACATTGGCCTAGGCAAATAATTTATGACTAAGACTCCAAATGCAAATGCAACAAAAATAAAACTAAATAAATGGGACTTGATTAAACTAAAAACTTCTGTAAAGTAAAAGAAATAATTATCAGAGTAAACAGACAACCCACAGAATGGGAAAAAATATTTGCAAAGTATTTATGCCATAAAGGACTAATATTCAGACTCTAGAAGGAACTCAACCCAATCAGCAAGAAAAAAGCAAATTATTCCATTAAAAAGTGGGCAGATGACATGATTAGTCATTTCTCAAAAGATCTACAAATGGCCAAAAATCATGAAAAAGTGCTCAATATCACTAATCATCAGGGAAATGCAAATTAAAACCTGAACGAGATACCATCTTACCCCAGCCAGATTGGTCATTATCGGAAAGTCAAAAGTAATAGATGTTGGTGTGGATGTGGTGAAAAGAGAACACTTATACATCAGTGGTGGGAATGTAAATTAGTACAACTTCTATGGAAAATGGTATGGAAATTTCTCAGAGCACTAAAAGTAGATCTACCATTTAATCCAGCAATCCTGCTATTGGATATCTACCCAGAAGAAAAAAAGTCATTCTATCAAAAAGACACTTGCACATATATGCTTATCACAGCACAATTCATAATTGCAAAGATATGGAACTAACCTAAGTGTGCATTAACTGACGAGTGGTTAAGAAAATGTGGTATATATACAGTATCCTATGCAGCCATAAAAATAATGAAATGATGTCTTTTGCAGCAACTTGGATGGAGCTGGAGACCATTATTCTAAGTGAAGTAACTCAGAAATAGAAAACCAAACACCATATGTTCTCACTTTTAAGTGGGAGCTAAGCTATGGGTATGCGAAGGCATACAGAACGGTATAATGGACACTGGAGAGTCAAAAGCAGCCGACTTGGAGGGGATGAGGAATAATATTGGGTATGATGCACACTGTTCAGGTGAGGGATGCACCAAATTCTGTGGCTTAATCACTATGCAATTCATCCATGTAGTTAAAAACCACTTATACCGTAACAGCAAATGAAATTACAAAAAAGAAATCCTCATTTCAAAAAAGTTCTCTTATATTTTCTTCATAAGTATGCTTGTATGTGTCACACTATGCCACATTATTTTTAATTTGGTAAATAAAATCACCACTGATATATACCGGTAAATAAATATTTAAACTTCAGAAACCACAAATATATATAAATAGAACACAGGCAAATTTAAAAATTTCATCTCTTGATTTTCCAGTAGGTGGTTCTGGATTTTTCAGTGCTATGGCTAGAGGCTTATGACATTAACTTTGTTTTTATTGTATTTTAAATGAAGGAAAAGAGTAGTAAGTCTAAATGGTAAGATGTTAAAAAAAAATCCTATTAACCCAACATGTGAGGATCTGTGAATGTGTGTGTTTCTAAAATTAGAGAGAAACTATAAGCTTCCTATGCATAGGCAATAAGCTATTGGGAAGAACTGTTTTGGACAGGGATTCCTAGCTGAAAAATCAGGTGTTACTGGAAATTCCAATGACAGGTGAGCAGTGCTGTATAAGTCTGTTCTCATGGTGCTAATACAGATGTACCTGAGACTGGGTAATTTAAAAAGGAAAGAGGTTTAACGGATTCATATTTCCACATGGCTTGGGAGGCCTCATTATCATGGTGGAAGGCAAAAGAGAAGCAAAGGCATGACTTACATGCCGGCAGACAAGAAGGCTTGTGCAGGGGAACTCCCGTTTATGAAACCGTTGGCTCTCCTGAGACTTACTCACTATCCTGAGAACAGCACAGGAATGACCCGCCCCCATGATTCAATTACCTCCCATTGGGTCCCTCCCACTACATGTGGGAATTACGGGAGCTACAATTCAAGAAGAGATTTGGGTGGGGACACAGCCAAATCATATCAATTCCCTTCTGTGTCACCTGTCACAAAGATGACTTAGCTTGTATCTAGAGTCCGTGTGTGGGATTTCAGATATTCCCTACTTGCCTGGCACCTGAATTTACTAAAAGGGTCTCTATTGCATCCATCAAAACAAGTTACTCTGTTACTATTCCATGAAGCAACTCTGTTTGCCTAGTGAGGTGTCACAAGGCATATTCCTAATCACTTCACCTCAGCACCTTTTTTCATATTTCTTTCACTTCCAGAAAAATTTTATACAACAACTAAATAGCTCTTGAACTTCGACTTTGAGGCACGCCAAAGTTTAACTTAATTTTAAAGCAATAATCACCACATCATTGAAAGTGTGATGGGAAATGTTAATGCATCAAAGCAGGAACACATTACATTTCATTACATTTAGGAAAAGTCTGTTTGCTAGGCAATAAACATTAAGACTGAGAGTTCTAATTTTTTACAAAAAGCGCTCTAATTTTCTTTGTTGGATCATGCAGTATTTCTCACATGGGATTTAAATGTCAATAGCATTGAGGTGGCAGTTTAATTTCTGTTCAAATCATTAAAATGAAGTCTTTGCCCCAACTAAAAATTATAAAATATTCTACATTTTTGTGACTCAAAGTGATCTAAAAATTAACTTCACTTTATATAAAGTGAAGTGCTGTCATTTCCTGGAGTGGGCAAAAAATAATAAGGACAATATTTAAAAATGTAATAGTTATGCCAAATTGCACTTTAATAAAATTACGTGTTTAATTCAGGAAAAAAATCCCGCTCCAGTAATCTGTATATTAAAGAGGCATCATTATTTTCTAAGTTTCTTGGCCTTTATTTATGTTTATCTAATGTCTATTTTGGATAGCAGAACTTCCCAGATATACCAGATTGCCTAATTAAATGGTTTTATAATACCTATTATAAGATATTAAAAAATAACAACAACAAA
Source organism: Homo sapiens (assembly GCF_000001405.40). NCBI lineage: Eukaryota > Metazoa > Chordata > Mammalia > Primates > Hominidae > Homo > Homo sapiens. The sequence goes on along the minus strand of NC_000012.12, from coordinate 61,680,205 downwards.
GCAAAACCTAAACCCTGAAGAATTCCTAGAAATTATACTAAAGGTCAATAGCAAACACCTCACCTATTTTTTTATTTTAGCCACATTCTTTTGTAAAAGTTCCCAGAGTGACATCAATAATCTGCATAATGTAGAGAAACTATGATTTCTTTTTTCTTTATTTTCAAAAGTATGTTTTATTGTAATAGAGTATTAAAATCTCCAAAAAGAGTTTCTTTGATTTGTCTCAATGCTGGAATATTATTTAAATATATTTTGTTTGGTGAATAGATATAAACTTGTTCAACTCATTCACAGTAAAAGCTCTGGTGCCTTAAGCTGCTTTTCCCAGTTACAGGACTGTCAAGGTGACTTCTCTTTCTGTTTCAATTGCTCAGCTTTGCCATCATTTAACCATTACAGTGATGGAAGGCTTGCACTACACTTATTTATGTAGGGTGACATTTCAGGAGAGAGAAACCTCCCCCATTGAGTGTGGAAGGAAATGTTAAGTAATGGATACAAAAAAGATGCCATAAAATAATGAAATGAACAGATTACATTTTGAAAGAAGATTTGGAAATCACGAAATGTCAATTATTCCTGATAAGTGGTGAATCATTACCAGTGACTGTTCTGTGCTTAGCTTGCTTTCCGCCATTTTGTCTGAGGCACTAGTTAGAGACTCTAGTTTTTGCTTTGTAAGCTGGTGACATTTTTCCTCATGCCCTTGAAAATAAGCAAGTAATGGAGCCTTTTAGATCTGTTTTTGCATGGCGTTTAACTTGAAATACAATAGAGGTAGAGATGACATTTGGAATGGGCTAATATATTTTGTTAAATGGCACTTTCAATAAGCTCTATAAGCGTCATTACCAGTTTCCCAGGCATAGGGAGTCTCAGATGTTTTGACCATCAGTCACCGCTGAAACATACAGGAAAACATAATCTTGAAATGCTTTAGAAGTGTACATATTTACTATCAATTTAAATACTAATGAAAGACATTCAGATTGTAGACCTGTGAAGAGACTGCAGCAATATTTTACAATAATTTATAACAATGGTCAAGATTGTTCTTAAACCCAGGGTCAATCAGAGTGTAAACAACAGTAAATAACTGTCAAATGCTTTTTGGCTGCTTACCGTGTGCCAGGTACTGTGCTAAGTGCTTTCTGCATATCCTCTCTTTTAATCCTCAAATCATACTATAAAATATGCACAATATCCCTTTTACAGATGAGAAAACTGAGCCCTAAACTGTTTAAATAACTTGGCTGGATTCAAAACTAGCAAGTAGTGGGTACATACTGGCCTGTCTGCAAAGCCTTTATTTTTAACCAGAATATAAGGGGTTTGCTATGCTCTTTTCCTCACTGTGTTCTTCTACTTAACATAAGAAATACTGATATACAAATAAAACTGTGCTAGAAGACATTGATTTTTATAGGTATAAAGGAGCAGTTTCTTGCCAGTGAAATGAACTTAAAATCCTAAGAAATACTGATAGAAGTGTCTTTTAAAATGGTGCTGTCCTGTTTCTATACAGCATTCCAAAGATGCTGCCACTGCTCACAGGTCAGAAGAGTTATACAGTCATTATATATATATATATACACATATATTTAGAATAACCTATTCTCTTTATTTGTATGTTGCTGAGATCAATGTGATGGGAAACTAAGAGAGTAGTACCTGGATTCTTATGACTTTCAAATGATCTAGTTCAAAAGAGTCATGTTAAACATGCTCTTTGAACTCTGCTTTTGGATATATTGCCATAAGATTAATATTATATTCCCTCTTTTCCCAGATCAGGAAATCCTGAGAGTTGTCATGAAACCCTCTGCCACATTTCCAATATTTTATTAGTAGGGAAATAGTGAAAATGAATGGATCTGACAGACACAAGCAATTGAGAGTATGGCCTGTAAGTATGTGTTCATGAAAAAACATCCGTTACCAGTCATTGCACAAACTAGATCAAATGAATTACATAATATTTATAAAACTATTAATAAATGACAATCATCCCTCCAAACATTCTCCAACCATCTATTTCTCTCAAACCAAAAATAAAATGTATTTTTATTTATGTGTAGCCCTCCTATTAAATTCAATTATACTATCTATATACCAAGTTCTGCTTTCTACTTCTTCCAGTGGAATGTTAGCAGAAATGAAAAGTCCTTTGGACTGGGCTTTAACAGTCTTTTTCATGCCCTCTATCTCTTTTTCACTGGTATTTCTGGCTGGAAACTCACTTGTGCAATGCCCAGAGGGTAGTAGAGCTGTTCTTCTAACCTGAACCCTAGACAGCTTGAAGGAATGGAGCCTGCACACCAGTCTTTTTAGAAGTAAACTTCTATCTTATTTGAACCATTGCTTTCTGGATATCTTTGCAATAGCAATTTGGTATACCTTCCTCACTTGAAAATTAGAGCCATATTTAATTTAGATTACATATGTTAAATGCCTCTATCCTCATCTTTGTATGTACAATATGGAGTTTGGTTGTTTTTTTAATCCTGCTGTCTGTTGCAAACAAGCCTGGTTACCACACTGATGTGATCATTTACTTGTGTCAGCCTTGTTATCCGAGGTACTAATAGTTTTATGCTGTCTGTCTGTAATTGTCTGTACAATTCAGATATTAAAGATGTGGAGTTTTCATCAGCTATATTTATATAGCACTAGCCTATATTTTCCTGTTTGCTACTGCACAGATCCATGTGATCCTTGAATCAAGGTAGCTTCATTCTCTTCAAATGTTCATTTAGTCTCCTGCAGTGAATGCCACTTGTCATTTCTCTCTAGGCTTTGGTGGGATTGGCATGTGAAGATAACAGGATCTTGTGTTATTGGCTACTCTGGCATGGAGGTGTAGTGAGCTAATAACTTTGACTGAGTCTTGTGAAAAATGCTATCCTCTCATTACTCATACCTCATACTATTTTTACTTTTTTGCTGCACTATTATATTTTCTAATTATTAGGTTTATGGTACATATTTGATTATAGATATTTTGGTTCTCTTTTTCCTTTAAATCTTTTCCAAAAGATGTAATTTATCCATACCCAAGAAAAAAAGGAACCTATGTGACACAAATTAACAAGGTTTTGCATGTTTTTATTTAGTATGTAATTATTTTTCCAAAATAATGACAAAATCAGAATGGTTTTTGTAAAGTTTCTGATCATAAACATAGAAAAAAAATAAAGGTTATGAACTCCAAATTAGTGATAGCCTTTTGTTTATTTTAAAATGCAGCAATTTTCTTTACACCTTTCCAATTTCATGTCCTTTAAAATTAGAAAGAAAAAAAATCCACTGAACATCATGCAATTAGAAGTGCCATTAGGAAAGGGGTCAATGGATTGGCTGGAGAAAGCTGGAAGCTTGAAATGACTGTCTACAAGGTGATCAAGAACACAGCACCTGGATGAAGGGAGGAGCAAGAGGAAAGGTGGTGACAGTAAGCAAGGAGAGGTGAGTCAATGCTTTAGGAATGTCAGACTACTCAATATGAGAATCATGGCTTTGAGGCATCAGCTGAAAGAGGCCAATGGGAGCAGGATGGTCTCAGAAGAGAGGAAAATAAACTCATGGAGATCAGTATTCAGTTTGAGGGATGTGCACTTCCTCTGCAGGAAGGTTGGTTGGGACAATTCTGGTGTACTAAGCCCTACTAGACTTGCTCACAGACACTTTGCAGGAAAACTAGGGCAAGTGAAAAAATGGCACTTCTTTACAGATGTACCACTGAGTGGACATTTTAATTTACTATAATTCCAAGTAAAACTCTACAGTACCGTTAGTTTTATTTGTTAGTTTGTTTTCATTCCAGATAACCTCCAGAGTTCTTGCAGGTTGGATTATGGAGACGAAAAGTTTAGGTATACCAGTCAGCCAACTCAGTATCAGACAAGGCCATGTTTACGTTTTCCTCCAGGTCTCATTGCTCTAAGCCCCCACCTATTACATAGTCAAAAAAAAAAAAAAAAATCACCCTTTTCCTTGGTTTATTCGTCCGATTTTTTATCCAAACCTTAAAGATACTCATCAACCTAGGAATGTGTTTCTCACCTGGAGGTCTGTGGTAAACTTGGGATGAAAATCACAAATATCTTAGTTGGCCAGAGGCAGTGCTGCCGCAATCAAGGGGATTCACTTGCCTGAGGAGTCACTGTGTCTGTGGGGAAGACAGGGCTCTGATGCTAGTAGAAAAAGCAGAAGTCTGTGGCTTCTGCTGCAAGTTACATGCCCAGGTTTAGTGAGGTAGAAAAGAGAATGATCCTGCTTTCATTTCGCCAAGGGATGTACTGCCGCACCCCCTGGGGCCAACAGTGGTGTTATGTCCGTTTGGGGATTTTGCCCTTGGTGTTTCCACAAAATTTGCAGAAGGTGTCACGGAGACTAGACCAGCATGGATTCCACTGTCAGTGCAAGTCCTGCTGGAGTCTAACTGTATCCTACAAACACACTTTGGTCTTGGGATTGCAGCTACATCATTAGTCCAGGCTATTTTATGGTGTTCCCTCTCAGGAGCACTGGTGTTCCTTTTGAAGTTACGTTTCAATGGGATTGTTGTAATGCATCAGAAATATTTTTATGTTACTACACTTCAGAGAATGTCCTTTTTTACCGCGAACCTATTCACCTTCCCAGGAAGTATATATGAGTACTTGCAAATGGGAACTTTCAAAGATGAGGATTACCCAACTCCACGTATGATCATCCAAGATCTCAATAAACATTGTCCAGAGATGGATGTTGAGAATGTTAAAAACAATAGCATTTTGGCCCATAGTATAAATAGGAAATTATAATGTTCTGTTATTCTAAATAACTTAGGAATTTGAGAGAGAATACACAAAAACGGGCGTAATAAAACCTGGCAATTTGGGTTTCTTGTTCTGGTAATAACCATCATATCTGTGTCATCAATAGGCATATATGAAATGCCCTTTGAGCTGGACATTATGTTGAGTGCAGTATGGAGTGAGATAAAGATTCATCTAAAGCATTGAAAACTTTGCTAAAACAATATTTTGGGGGATAACATTTGCTGAAAACTGTATTTCTTATCTTCTCTCTTCTTACCTTTGTATTTCATTCCATATTCTTGTTATTACTCAAAGTGTTAATTCTTAATCTCCTTAGAGACCTTTCCATGACTTTGCTGGGACTAGGTATAGAACAACTAAAAAGGAACACATTAAATTCAGCCATTAATTAAGGGTGCTATAGGACACAATTTAGAATCATGGACAATTTACAAACTTGTGTGTGAATTAGTACTACCATACTGTATTTCAAAAGGTTACAGATAAAGTAAAGTTGTTCTTCTCAGGGAAATCTACATATGGGTACTTAGGATGAAAAAAAAGGAGAAGATAGAGTTTATGCTTTCAAAGAATAAAAAAAGGTAAGTGAAGGCAAATATCAATGACATTTGAATTGAGATTGAGAAGACTGCTGCTATAATTTCTATGGCTCATGCAGTTGCAGTTTTGAAATAAAGCATTCAAAACTTTGCTAAATGAGATTGCTCATTTCCGTATTGAATAGGCAAAAGATAATACCTGCTATAAAATGAGATGTAGCTCATTTTACCAAGACCCCCTGGAAAATAGCCTCTCTCACTGTTCACTACTCCTTCAGGATGACAGTGTCATTACGGAGAGATTTCTAGTAGCCAAAATTTTGTTCTTTCCTTTACAGAGTATTAGGGATTATAAAACATTAGAATTGCATACTGTTCATGGTAGAATCTTTGGAGAAGAAATACCAAATATTTAGAATAGTGGAGGTCTTTTTTCCTCTCAATAGTTTAAAAAAATGAGAATGTATATGTAGTGTCTATAGTTAACTGGACTAAATTAGTAAGCTGGGAAGTAACATGTGAAAAACATGAGCTCTTTTGAAAAAAAAGACTTTCACATCAAACAAACTAAGCAAAATATTTTGGCCAATAATATATTATTTATAGGTTTTATAAAAAATAAAAAGACAAAAACCCTTTGTGTTCAAGCTAGAGCTAACTTAACTGAATTGTGTTATTTGTGAGTGAAACTTATCACTGGTGTTTCATCCTACCTGTGTCTTCTTTCTCTGAGGTCTAATGCTCTTGCTCATGCCATCGGTTACCCACTTCTGCCCTTCCAAAATAGTATTTTATGCTCTATTTATCCTTTTAATTTTGCCTTCCTCCTTCAGCCCTCCATTCAAATCTACTCTTAGTTATCAGAGTGGAAGAGAGTGGGATAAATCTGTTACATATCTATGCCTACACTATGGTATGACTGACATGTAGCTTTAAATGTTCTTCAGAAGTATTTGTATAACCTACAAAAATAATCTCTACTGTGGAAAACGACACCGTCTTAGAGCACTTGGACTGCTATAACCTATGCCTTCAACTGGGTAATTAATAAAAAACATAAATTTATTGATCGTAGTTCGGAAGGCTGGAAAGTCCAAGATCACAGTGGCAACAGATTTGGTGTCTAGTGAGGGCTCTCTGCTTCATAGACAGCATCTTGTTGTTATGTCATCCAAGGGTGAAATGGGGTGATATGGTTTGGCTGTGTCCCCACTCAAATCTTGAATTGCAGTTCCCATAATCCCCGTGTGTTTGGAGAGAGAGCTGGCTGGAGATAATTGAATCATGGGGGCAGTTTCCCCCATGCTATTCTTGTGATAGTAAGTTCTCATGAGATCTTATGCTTATATAAGGGGTGAGATCTCATGCTTACATAAAGGGCTTCCCCCTTTGCTTGGTTCTCACACTTCTTCTTCCTGCCATCATGTGAAGAAGGACATGTTTGCTCCCCCTTCCACCATGATCATAAGTTTCCCGAGGACTTCTCAGCCATGCAGAACTGTCAGTCAATTAAATCTCTTTCCTTTATAAATTATCCAATCTTGGGCAATTCGTTTTTTTTTTCTTTTTTCTTTTTTTATTTTATTATTATTATACTTTAAGTTTTAGGATACATGTGCACAATGTGCAGGTTAGTTACATATGTATACATGTGCCATGCTTGTGGGCTGCACCCATTAACTCATCATTTAGCATTAGGTATATCTCCTAATGCTATCCCTCCCCACTGCCCCCACCCCACAACAGTCCCCAGAGTGTGATGTTCCCCTTCCTGTGTCTATGTGTTCTCATTGTTCAATTCCCATCTATGAGTGAGAACATGCGGTGTTTGGTTTTTTGTCCTTGCGATAGTTTACTGAGAATGATGATTTCCAATTTCATCCATGTCCCTACAAAGGACATGAACTCATCATTTTTTATGGCTGCATAGTATTCCATGGTGTATATGTGCCACATTTTCTTAATCCAGTCTATCATTGTTGGACATTTGGGTGGGTTCCAAGTCTTTGCTATTGTGAATAATGCTGCAATAAACATACGTGTGCATGTGTCTTTATAGCAGCATGATTTATAGTCCTTTGGGTATATACCCAGTAATGGGGTGGCTGGATCAAATGGTATTTCTAGTTCTAGATCCCTGAGGAATCGCCACACTGACTTCCACAATGGTTGAACTAGTTTACAGTCCCACCAACAATGTAAAAGTGTTCCTATTTCTCCACATCCTCTCCAGCACCTGTTGTTTCCTGACTTTTTAATGATTGCCATTCTAACTGGTGTGAGATGGTATCTCATTGTGGTTTTGATTTGCATTTCTCTGATGGCCAGTGATGGTGAGCATTTTTTCATGTGTTTTTTGGCTGCATAAATGTCTTCTTTTGAGAAGTGTCTGTTCATGTCCTTCCCCCACTTTTTGATGGGGATGTTTGTTTTTTCTTGTAAATTTGTTTGAGTTCATTGTAGATTCTGGATATTAGCCCTTTGTCAGATGAGTAGGTTGTGAAAATTTTCTCCCATTTTGTAGGTTGCCTGTTGACTCTGATGATAGTTTCTTTTGCTGTGCAGAAGCTCTTTAGTTTAATGAGATCCCATTTGTCAATTTTGGCTTTTGTTGCCATTGCTTTTGGTGTTTTAGACATGAAGTCCTTGTTGGGCAATTCTTTAGAGCAGCGATTCTTTAGAGCAGTGATATGGTTTGGCTGTGTCCCCACCCAAATCTCATCTTGAATTGTTGTTGCCATAAATCCCCTGTGTCATGTGACAGACCTGGTGGGAGGTAATTGAGTCATGGGGGTGGTGACTCTCATGCTGTTCTCGTGATAGTGAGTGAGTCCTCACGAGATCTGATGGTTTTATAAGGGACTTTACTCCTTTGCTTGGCGCTTCTCCTTCCTACCACCGTGTGTAGGAGGATATGTTTGCATCCCCCTTCTGCTATGATTATGAGTTTCCTGAGGCCTCCCCAGCCATGCTGAACTGTGGGTCCATTAAACCTTTTTCCTTTATACATTACCCAGTCTCAGGTATGTCTTTATTAGTAGCATTAGAACAGACTAATACAGTAAATTGGTAATGCAGATAGTGGTGTGCTGCTCTAAGGATATCAAAAAATGTGGAAGTGACTTTGGAATGGGGTAACAGGCAGAGGTTAAAACAGTTTAGAGGGGTCAGAAGAAGAGAGGAAAATGTAGGAAAGTTTGGAACTTCTTAGAAACTTAGAGGGCTCAGAAAACAGAAATATATGGAAAAATTTGGAACTTCCTAGAGATTTGTTGAATGGCTTTTACCAAAATGCTGATGGTGATATGGACAATGAAGTCGACGCTGAGGTGGTCTCAGATGGGGATGTGGAAATTCTTTGGAACTGGAGTAAAGGTCACTCTTGCTATGCAAAGAGACTGGCAGCATTTTGCCCCTGCCCCAGAGATCTGTTGGAGTTTGAACTTGAGAGAGATGATTTAGGGTATCTGGCGGAAGAAATTCCAAGTGGCAAAGTATTCAAGAGGAAGCAGACCATAAAAGTTTGGAAAATTTGCAGCTTGACTATGCAAAAGAAAAGAAAAACCTATTTTCTGGGAAGAAATTCATGCCAGCTGCAGAAATTTGCATACGTAATGAGGAGCTGAATGTTAATTACAAAAACAATGGGGAAAATGTCTCCAGGGCATTTCAGAGACCTTTACGACACCCCCTCTCATCAAAGGCTTTGAGGCCTAGGAGGGAAAAATGATTTTGTGGGCTGGGCCCAGGAACCCCCTGCTCTGTGCAGCCTCAAGACATGGAGCCCTGAGTTCCAGCTGCTTCAGCTCCAGCCATGGCTAAAGGGGTCAAGGTACAGCTCAGGCCGTTGCATCAGAGGGTGCAAGCCTTAAGCCTTGGAGGCTTACATGTGGTGTTGGGCCTGTGGGTGCACAGAAGTCATTAATTGATGTTGAGGAACCTCTGCCTAGATTTCAGAGGATGTGTGGAAATACCTGGATGTCCAGGCAGAAGTCTGCTGCAGAGCTGAAGCCCTCATGGAGACCCTCTGCTAGGGCAGTGTGGAAGGGAAAGGTGGGGTTGGAGGCTCCACAGAGAGTCCCCACTGGGGCACTGCCTAGTGGAGCTGTGAGAAGAGGCCCACTCTCCTCCAGGTCCCAGAATGTTATATCCACCAACAGCTTGCACCATGTCCCTGAAAAAGCCACAGACACTCAACAACAGCCATGAAAGCAGCCAGGGGGAGGGCTGTACCCTGCAAAGCGACAAGGGCAGAGCTGACCAAGGCCATAAGGGTCCACTTCTTTCATCAGCGTGACCTGAATGTAAGAAATGGAGTTAAAGGAGATCTTTTTGGAACTTTATGGTTTAATGACTGTCCTATTAGATTTTGGATTTGCATGGGGGCTGTAGCCCCTTGGTTTTGGCCAATTTCTCCTATTTGTAATGGACGTATTTACCCAATTTACCCATTGTATCTAGGAAGTAACTAACTTGCTTTTGATTTTACAGGCTCATAGGTCAAAGGCACTTGCCTTGTTGCAGATAAGACTTTGAACTTGTACTTTTGGGTTAATTTGGGGGACTGTTGGAAAGGCATGATTGTGTTTTAAAATGGGAGTACATGAGATTTGGGAATTGCCAGGGGTTGAATGATATGGTTTTGCTGTGTCCCCACCCAAATCTCATCTTGAATTTTAGTTCTCATAATCCCCACATGTCATAGGAGGGACCAGGTGGGGATAATTGAATCATGAATGAAGTTACCCTCATGCTGTTCTCATGGTAGTGAGTTCTCATGAAATCTGGTGGTTTTATAAAGGGCTCTCCCACCCTTAACTTGGCACTTCTCTTTCCTGCCACCATGTAAAGAAGGACATGTTTGCTTCCACTTCTGTCATGATTATAAGTTTCCTGAGGCTTCTCCAGCCATGCTGAACTGTGAATCAATTAAACCTCTTTCCTTATTAATTACCCAGTCTCAGGTATGTGTTTATTAGCAGCATGAGAACAGACTAATATATAGCATGAGAATGGACTAATACAGGGGGTCAGCAAAGGAGCAAACAAGCCTCTCCAGGACTTCTTTATAATGGCACTAATTTTACTCACAGGACTCTGCCCTTGTGATCTTGAAAGAAATAATAATATTTTATCCCAAAATATACTACTTTGACATATTTCAAGATGGCTGTTCAGAGGACATGCAAACAGAAGTAGCCCTGCTAAACTGCCTTTTGAGGGGGAGATTTGCATCTGTAGAGAATCTGCATTGATGCAGCCAGGCTTTCTCTGAAAGCCTCCCTCATCTGGATCTAGGGAAGTTTAACTGAGAGTCTGACACCTTTAAAAGTCTGATGTAAACATTTACCATCTATTTTCTCTCAGGGCTGTGAGACTTCATTCACCTCTCAAGACAACTTTTGCCAGCCAGACACACAAGACCACCTTCGCTAGTTAGGCCTCCTCTTCTTCTCTTTTTATAACCTTCTTTGTCACTATTACCTGTTTTGCATGATCTAAGTCCCCATTCTTTCTGTAACCTCAAGATGGTATATGAGCTTCTGAACTTCAAGTGGTGAGGGTGTGGGGTGAGGAAAGTGAGGTAATCATTCTATGATTCTTTCTCATGTGCATGTTAATAAATTTGTATGCCATGTTACTGATTCATTTCCTTTTGTGAACTGACTTTTCAGCAAACCTTCAGAGGGCTAAGGGGAAGCCCTTCACCCCTACAGTTTTGGCACTGTGAACAGGATCTCATCAAAGCTGCTCTGCTTTTCAGGGAGCCACAGTGAAAGAAACCCAGGACCTGACAAGCCAACAGAAAGGTAAGAATTTTTACCAGCCAGGCTCCTGGTCTCTCTTCCTGTGGAATTTGACTGAGCTGACGCTAAAAACCCACTATTTGTCTCTCTTTTTCTCTGCAAAGTTCTGATTAATAGGAGAAAAAAATTTGTGTGAGTAGTCTTGGGTATAGCAATGCTGGTATATTTTATGGTATAAATATTCATATTGTTTGATTCCTATCATACCCAAAACAGACTATGTTGGTTAATACTGAGTGTCAACTTAATTGGATTGAAGGATGAAAAGGGTTGTTCCTGGGTGTATCTGTGAGGGTATTGCCAAAAGAGATTAACATTTGAGTCACTGAATTGGGAAATGCAGAACCACCCTCAATCTGGATAGGCACAATCTAATCAGTTGCCAGTGCAGCTAGAATAAAAGCAGGCAAAGAAATGTGGAAAGACTAGACTGGCTTAGTCTTTTGGCCTACATCTTTCCCCCATGCTGGATACTTCCTGCCCTCAAAAATTGGACTCCAAGTTCTTCAGCTTTTCGGCTCTTGAACCTTCAACCACAGACTGAAGGCTGCACTGTTGGCTTCCCTATTTTTGAGATTTTGGGACTCGGACTGTATTCCTTGCTCCTCAGCTTGCAGAGGGCCTTTTGTGGGTCCTCACCTTGTGATTGTGTGAGTCAATACTCCTTAATAAACTCTCCTTTATGTATACATGTATCCTATTAGTTCTGTTCCTCTAGAGAACCTTGACTAATACACAGTATTTTCCTTTGTTTTTCCATGTTGTTCTGTCATAAAAGGGATATTATAGGGTAAAACACAGGCCTAAAACCACTATAATCCCATTGCTCAAGCTGGCCCTGCAGACCAGTCAGTTTTGCCATTCTGATCAGAATGGTATATAAAATTTGCTGTCTGTCCCCAAAATAAAAACTGGATGAGTTTCCCCTCTTGTCTTGTTTTATGTCTTTGAGGGCTTGACTTTTGACACAGTGGGAACACTCTGGCTCTGCACCATCTAGGGGGAGGGGAATGATTTTTGGGTCACATCTGGTGGCCAATCTGAAAAGATTAGGAATCCAAGACACATAAGATTCTATGCAACACACTCTTTGTTCTGAATGTGTCATGCTCTCAGGGGAGCTTGTCTTAAGACATTCCATTCCCACGAACTTTTGTCATCTCAACTCTTGTAGCCTTGTTAGTCCAGGAAATGTTTAATCCCAGGAGGGCCTAGCTGGTGTCATGGATTGACAGATCTATGATGAGCAGCACCCACAAACTTGTGGGTAACCAGGCCCTGTACACATAAACACCATCCTTAACCATCAGTGGCAACAAGAGACTTTTGCTATCTTAACCTATTCTTTGAAGCAAAAGTTCTGGAGAGAGATCTTTGGGATTGCCTCTCCTATGCCTTCTCCAAAAAACATCAATTTAGTCTTATTCTAAACCTATAAAATTACACCCTGAGCTTTCTATGAAGTTGCCACTGGGTTGAGTCACCGTTGGAATAAGTACACTATTGGAAATTCTAATCATTAGTGGATCATTTACATTAGACAGACTACTAAATTACAAAAAAAAGTTTTTAGAGATCTCTCATTTTAAAAAATTGTTTTATTTATTTGTATTTATGGAGACATCAAATTAATAGAAAAACATATAATAGTGTCATGATAGAAAATCTTTTGACTAAATTAAAATGCTAAAATCTACCTGACCTAAAACAAAGTTAAAATTCTTTATATGCTCAGACTGCCTGCTTTAGACCCCACACAGAACTGACAATGAAAGCTGCCCTACCTTGTAATCTAGAAGATACAATTCTGTTCCATCACTATGGCCTGGATTCAATTCCCAGTTAAAGAGCCAGACCCCTTTCATTTGATATTTTCTGACTTTTGCCTTTTGGGAGGACCCATTTATTGTTGGGAAGAGGAACGTTGGTAAAAATAATAAGGTTCAAAAGCCAGTAATATCAGGGATATCAACTATTTATCCCGGCTAAAATCTGATACTTAGAGACTTTTTAAAAGTTTTTTTAAAGTGCTCCTTTGTCAGAAGTCATATTAATTAGAAGCTGATATTCAAGGTCTTTCTGATTTTGGATCTGTTTTTGAATTTTTTTTTCAGTTGTCTGAACCCCTTTTTAAGATTATGTAATTTGTCCCTCTGTTTTCTGTTTTTTTTTTAATTTCCCCCCCATTTATTTCTACTCCTTGCCTCTCCTTCCTCTTTGCCATCTTTGATACCACATGAAGAAATCTAGAAGAGACTTCTAACAACCCTGAAATACCTAGAAGAAAATAGAAAAAGACACCACACACACTGATTCTGGGGTCTTCTCTCTTCTTCCTAGTGGATCCTGAAAATCTACTTTGCCCTCGTTTACAGCTTTGCTCTCTTTTGCATTGAATCACCTGATCTCTTTGGCTTTTGGGAGTACCAGGAGTTACTTTGTACTATAAGAGGAAACCTTTGTATGTGCAATGGCTGGTGGGTTACTGGCTATAGTTTCAGAGGTGGCTGACAGTGGTTGCAATAAATAGTTATTACTGAAAGGGGATATGCACTTCTTGGCACCTTAGATAAGAAATGGATGCTTTGAACACTTGAAATATATGGGAGTGCTCACCACCAATGTATAAGACTCCCATGGGCGACGAGCTAATCATAGTGGGCTGACTGGCATTGGGTCATGCACCAACTTTGTGGGGGATCTCTTTTTAGTGAGGTATACTGTGGGAACATTGCACGGCCTAATCTCATGCATGGTGTTTTCCTCTTTGTGGGGACCTAGAATCCAGTGTAAAAATAAAATCTTTAATTTATGTGGATCTGGGTATTCTACCTTCCAGTTGTGCCTGCTTTTTATATATTAAATATTAGGCCCTAGAAACTGCAAATGCTTGGTTGACTGTATTCATTAATGGACTCTGCCTTGAGCTCAGGTATGCAGTTAGAAAACAGACTAAATTAAAAGCCATCTATCTAACTAGATTGCTCTCCAAAATATGACTTTCTGGTATTCAGCTGGTTATTTTGAAAAGGTTTTAAAATTTTCTCTAGAGTCACTTGTCTGTTTTTGTGTAAAATCCTGTGATTAATTTCTATGATTTTATGTTACCTTGGCATCCATTTTTAATCTCCCTCTAACAAATCCAAACTCCTTCTTAAAAAATTTTATTTTTTTCTGTGTCTTGATAAAGAAATTTGCTACTCTTTTCTTCTCTAAAACTTGGTGAGTGCGTGGGCCATATGAGACAGATAAACTTTAATCTTTTCTATTTACAAAAGCAAAATCTAAATCCAACTGCCCTTTTAAACGAGTAAGTTTTACCTGCCTCCTGGATAAAATTTTAAAATAAAAGTTATAAGTTTTTTTGTGTTTCTCTGTATTTTTATGTATATATGTGTATACATATCATACACATCTGTTTGTATATTATCTGCATGATATCAAATTAACTTGTAAGTATATGAGTACTCATAGATTAAGTAAATAATCTCAAATTCTTTTAAAGTTCACATGACTTTAGTAATCTTTGGTATATAAAGCCAGTTTTTAAATTACTGGTAAAATATAATACAAATGTTTTCAAAATTTAATTTAGAGATTTTTGCCTGGATATATTCGTTTGATAGGATTAGAATGTTTCTGATAAATATTCAGTGATACTTTTGATATTGACTTACTTTGTAAGTTTATGTCTTGGTTTTAAGCTTTTAGATTCTGAAGACTAGACTAGTGGCCAGAGTGAGTGTTGGAAATAGATACCCAAAGTTCTTCCTGGCCTAGCTGTGCCTCTTGGCCATGCTAGGAAGGGTTAAGTCCTCCAGACATTGTCTTCACAACTCTGTTTTTTTGTCCTGAGCTCTGCATCTGTTACATAATTAAAACTGCTTATTTCCTTAGTTTTCCACCAAAATTAAGGGTTACTAAGAGTTAACATTGTAATTAATTTATGCAATTAAAACTACTAGATATGAGAAACAATTCAATATGCAAAATGTGTAAGAAAGATGGAATGTTTTTTAATAAGGAAGATTATTTTTAAAAGGCATTAAATGTGGCTTTTGTTAAAGGAAAAATAATTTTGTCTTATTTAGAGGCTATTTAAAGGTTCTTTTAAATTCAAAAAATATGAAAAATTGTTAAAACTAAATGGATATTAAAAAGTTTGTATTTGTCCATTTTTGTATTGCTATAAAGAAATACCAGGGGCAGGCCAAGATGGTCAATTAGAAGCAGCTGATGTCCACAGTTGTTACAGAGAAGAACAAAAGCAGTGAGTTAATTCTACACCTTCAACTGAGGTATCCCGGTTCTCACACTGGGACTGACTAGGTGTTCAGCATGACCCTTGGACAGTGAGAAAAGGCAGAGTAGGGTGATGGCCCACCCATGAGTGGCATGGAGCCAGAGGAGCCACTACCCCCTGCCAAAGGAGGCAGTGAGTGATTGACTCTACCCAGGAAACCACACTTTTCCTACAGATCATTGAAACCTGCAGATCAGGATTCCCTTGTGAGCCTGCACTACCACAGCCTTGGGTATGAAGCAGAGAGCTGTGCAGACTCTCAGCAGCCACTTGGGCAAGCACGGAGACTCAGGAGTTTTTGCATACTCCAGCCCTGGTAACTTCAGTGAGGGAGGAGATCTGTCCATTCCCCTAGGAAGGGAGCTGAAGCCACAGAGGCACGCAGTGTCATTCAGTAAGCCCCATTCCCATGGCACCTCACAAGTTAATACCTACTGCCTTGGGATTCCAGCAAGCCAAGGCCAGCAGGCTGGAGACTGTGTGAGACAACCAAGTTCCTGGGGAGGGTTGGAGGAGGGGTGCCTACCATCTCTGTGGCTCAAGTCAGCTGTTTTGGCCTGCCAGCTCCAGGGAGTCTGGGCAGTCCAGAAAAGAGAAATTCCCCACAGTTGCAGCACAGCTACTGTTACAGATCGTGGTCAGACTGATTCTTTAAGTGAGACCCCAATCCATCCCTCTCACTGGGCCAGGCCAATCTGCATGAGTTTTGGCATCTTGAGTCAGGGTTTTATGAAACGTTGATCTCCCTGGAATGGAGCTTTTTGGGGAGGGGCGGCTGTGGTCTCTACGGTTCAGCTGACTTAGTTTTTTCTGCCTGCTGGCTCTGAAAAGTCTGGGCAATCTGGAACAGGGGGTTCTTCCTGGAATAGTGTACCTGCTCTGCCAAGGGGTAGTGAGACTGCTTTTTTAAGTAGGTCCCTTATCCCATACCTCCTGACTGGGTGAGACCTCACAGCAGGGGTCTCCAGACGCCTCCTGCAGGAGTATTCAGGCTGGCATCAGGTCAGTGCTCCTCTGAGACAGAGCTCCCAGAGGAAGGAGCAGGAAGGCCATCTTTGCTGTTTTGCAGCTTTCACTGATGACCCCTCCAGATGTGAGAGGGATTCAGGTAATGGAGTCTGGAATGGGCCCCCAGAAAAATGCAGCAGCCTTAGGGAACAGGGGACTAATTGTCAAAAGAAGAATAAACAAACAGAAAGCAACAACAACAACAACATCAACATAAAACACCCCACAAAAACACCATTCAAATGTCAGCAATCTCAAAGATTCAAAGGTAGATAAGTCCACACAGATGAGAAAGAAGAAACACAAAAGCACTGAAAACTCAAAAAGCCAGAGTGCCTCTTCTCCAAATGATCACAACACCTCTCCAGCAAGGGCACAGAACTGACCTGAGGCTGAGATGGCTGAATTGACAGAAGTAGGTTTGAGAAGGTGATTAACAATGAACTTTGCTGAGCTAAAGGAGCACGTTGTAATCTAATGCAAAGAAGCTAAGAATAATGATAAAACATTATAGGAGCTGATAACCAGAATAGCCAGTTTAGAGAGGAATATAAATGACCTGATGGAGCTGAAAAACACAACTTGAGAACTTCACAATGCAATTACAAGTATCAATAGTCAAACAGACCAAATGGAGGACAGAATCTCAGAGCATGAAGATTATCTTTCTGAAATAAGACAGGCAGAAAAGCTTAGAGAAAAAAGAATTGAAAGGAATGAACAAAAACTTCAAGAAATATGGGATTATGTAAGAAGACTGAACCTACGACTGATTGGGGTATCTGAAAGATACAGGGAGAATGGAACCAAGTTGTAAAACATACTTTAGGATATCATCCAGGAGAATTCCCCCAATATAGCAAGGCAAGTCAACATTCAAATTCAGGAAATCCAGAGAACCCCAGTAAGATATTCCACGAGAAGATCAACCCAAAGATATATAGTCATCAGATTATCCAAGGTCAAAACGAAAGAGAAAATCTTAAGGGAAGCAAGAAAGAAAGTCCAGGTCACCTACAAAGGGATGCCCTTCAGAGTAACAGCAGACCGCTCAGTAGAAACCTTACAAGCCAGAAGAGATTGGAGGTCAATATTCAACATTCTTAAAGAAAAGAATTTCCAACCCAGAATGTCATATTCAGCCAAACTAAGTATCATAAGTAAAGGAGAAATAATATCCTTTTCAGACAAGCAATTATTGAAGAAATTTGTCACCACCAGGCCTGCCTTGCAAGAGTTTCTGAAGGAAGCACTATGGAAAGGAAATACCTTTACCAGCACTACAAAAACACACTGGAGTACACAGACCAGTGACACTATGAAGCAAATACATAAACAAGTCTGAAAAATAACCAGTTAGCATCATGATGACAGGATCAAATTCATGCATAACAATATTAACCTTAAATGTAAATGGGCTAAATGCCCCAATTAAAAGACACAGCATGTCATACTGGATTAAAAAGTTAAGGCCCATTGGTGTGCTGTATTCAAGAGACCCATCTCACATGCAATAATACACATATACTCAAAATAAAGGGATGGAGAAAAATGTACCAAGCAAATGGAAAACAGAAAAGACCAGATGTTGCAATCCTAGTGTCTGACAAAACAGATTTTAAACCAGAAGAGATAAAAAGACAAAGAAAGGCATTACATAATGATAAAGGGTTCAATTCAACAAGAAGAGCTAACTATCCTGAATATGTATGCACCCAATGCAGAAGCATGTAGATTCATAAAGCAGGTTCCTAGAGACCTACAAAGAGACTTAGACTCCCAAACAATAATAGTGGGAGACTTTAACACCCCACTGTAAATATTAGACAGATCATTGAGATAAGAACATTAACAAAGATATTCAGGACCTGAACTCAGCTCCAGATCAAGTAGACCTGATAGATATCTACAGAACTCTTCATCCCCAAACAACAGAATATACATTCTCATCACATCACACTTACTCTAAAATTATCACATAATTAGAAGAAAAACACTGCTCAGCAAAGGTAAAAGAACTTAAATTACAACAAACAGTCTCTCAGACCATAGCACAAACAAATTAGAGCTCAAGATTAAGAAACTCACTCAAAACTGCACAACTACATGGAAATTGAACAACCTGCTACTGAATAACTACTGGGTAAATAGTAAAATTAAGGCAGAAATCAAGAAGTTCTTTGAAACTAATGAGAACAAAAAGGCAATGTATCAGAATCTCTGGGATGCAGCTACAGCAGTGTTAAGAGGGAAATTTATAGCACGAAATGCCCCACATCAAAAAGCTAGAAAGACGTCAAATTGACAACCTAACACCACAACTAAAAGAACTAGAGAACCAAGAGCATACAAATCCCAAAGCTAGCAGAAGACAAGAAATAACCAAGATCAGAGCAGAACTTAAGGAGATAGAGACAGAAAAAACCCTTCAAAAATCAATGAATCCCAGAGCTGGTGTTTAAAAAAATTAATACAATGGATATACTGCTAGCTACACTAATAAAGAAGAAATGAGAGAAGAATCAAATAAACACAACCAGAAATAATAAGGGGGATATTGCCGCTGACCCCACAGAAATACAAACAACCATCAGAGAATACTGTAAACACCTCTATGCACATAAACTAGAAAATCTAGAAAAAAATGAACAAATTCCTGGACACGTACACCCTCCCAAGACTGGACCAGGAATAAGCTGAATCCCTAAATAAACCAATAATGAGTTCTGAAATTAAGGTAGTAATAAATAGCCTACCAACCAAAAAAGCCCAGGACCAGATGAATTTACAGCTGAATTCTATCAGAGATATAAAGAGGAGCTGGTACAATTACTTCTGAAACACTGCCAAAAAATTTATAGGAAAGACTCCTCCCCAACTCATTTTATGAGGCCAGCATCATCCTGATACCAAAACCTGACAGAGATACAACAAAAGGGACACTTCAGGCCAAAATCCCTGATGAACATCATTGCAAAAATCCTCATTAAATTCTGGCAAACCAAATCCAGCAGCACATCAAAAAGCTTATTCACCACGATCAAGTTGGCTTCATCCTTGGGATGCAAGCCTGGTTCAACATATGCAAATCAATAAATGAAATTAATCACAAAAACAGAACTAAAGACAAAAACCACATTATTATCTCAGTAGACACAGAAAAGGCCATCAATAAACTCAATATCTTTCGTGTTAAAAAGTCTCCATAAACTAGGTTTTCCTTTTTTTTTTTTTTTTTGAGATAAAGTCTTGCTCTGTCGCCCAGGCTGGAGTGCAGTGGTGTGATCTTGGCTCTCTGTCACCTACGCCTCCCAAGTTCAAGTGGTTCTCCTGCCTCAGCCCCCTGAGTAGCTGAGATTAAAGGCACCCACTACCACACCCAGCTAATTTTTGTATTTTTAGTACAGACAGAGTTTCACCATGTTGGCCAGGCTGGTCTCGAACTTTTGGCCTCAAGTGATCCACCCACCTTGGCATCCCAAAGTGCTGGTATTACAGGCATGAGCCACTGCACCCAGCCAATAAACTAGGTATTAATGGAACATACCTCAAAATAATAAGAGCCATTTAGGATGAACACACAGCCAATATCATACCGAATGGGCAAAAGCTGGAACAATCTCCTTGGAAACTGGCACAAGACAAGGATGCCCTCTCTCACCACTCCTATTCAAGATAGTATTGGAAGTTCTCACCAGGGACATCAGGCAAGAGAAAAAAATAAAGCATATTCAAAAAGGAAGAGAGAAAGTCAAATTATCTTTGTTTGCAGATGACATGATCCTATATCTATAAAACCCCATCATCTCAGCCCAAAAGCTTCTTAAGCTGATAAGCAATTTTGACAATGTCTCAGGATACAAATCAATATGCAAAAAATCACTAGCATTTCTATATGCCAGCAACAGAGAAGCAGAGAGTGAAATCATGAATGAACTCCCATTAACGATTGCTACAAAGAGACTAGGAATACAGCTATCAAGGCAAGTGAAGGACCTCTTCAAGGAGAACTACAAACCACTAATCAAGGAAATCAGAGAGGACAAAAGCAAATGGAAAAGCATTCTATGTTAATAGATAGGAAGAATAAGTATCATTAAAATGGCCATACTACCCAAAGCAATTTACAGATTCAATGCTATCACCATTAAACTACCACTGACATTCTTCACAAAATTAGAAGAAACTACTTTAAAATTCATATGGAACCAAAAAAAGAGCCTGTATAGCCAAGACAATCCTAAGCAAAAGGAACAAAGCTGGAGACATCATGCTACCTGACTTCAAACTTTACTACAAGGCTACAATAACCAAAACAGCATGGTGTTAGTACAAAAACAGACACATAGACCTATGTAACAGAATAGGGAACTCAGAAATAATACAGCATGCCTACATATGACCTTCAACAAACTTGACAAAAATAAGCAATGATAAAAGTATTCCCTATTTAATAAATGGTACTGGGAGAACTGGCTAGCCGTATGCAGAAAATTGAAATTGGACCCCTTCCTTACACCTTATACAAAAATTAACTCAAGATGGATTAAAGACTTTAATGTAAAACCACAAACTTTAAAAACTCTAGAAGAACATCTAGGCAATACCATTCAGGACAAAGTTACGGGTAAAGATTTAATGATAAAAATGCCAAAATCAATTTCAACAATAGCAAAAATTAACAAATGGGATCTAATTAAACTAAAGAGCTTCTGCACAGCAAAAGAAGCTATTATCAGAATGAACGGACTACCCACAGAATAGAAGAAAATTCTTGCAATCCAGCCATCTGACAAAGGTCTAATTTCTAGTCTATGATAATCCTAAACAAATTTACAAGAAAAAAATAAACAACCCTATTAAAAAGTGGGCAAAGGACATGAGCAGACACTTCTCAAAAGAAGACATTCATGTGGCCAACAAACATGAAAAAAAAAAAGCTCAATATCACTGATCATTAGAGAAATGCAAATCAAAACCACAATGAGATATCATCTCATGCCAGTCAGAATGGCAATTATTAGAAAATCAAGAAACAACAGAAACTGGTGAGTTTGTGGCAAAAAAGGAATGCTTTTACACTGTTGGTGGGAGTGTAAATTAATTGAACCATTGTGGAAGACAGTGTGGCAATTGCTCAAAGATCTGGAAGAAGCAATATCATTTGACCAGCATTTCCATTACTGGAAATGCTTTATATAAATGCTTTATATGTGTATATAAATTCCTTTATGTACATACAGGAATATAAATCATTCTATTTAAAGATATAATAAATGAATGCATATGTTCATTGCAGCACTATTCACAATAGCAAAGACATGGAGTCAACCAAAATGCCCATCAACAATAGACTGGATAAAGAAAATGTGATACATATACATCATGGAATACTATGCAGCCATAAAAAGCAACAAGATCGTGTCCTTTGCAGGGACATGGGTGGAGCTGGAAACTGTTATCCTCAGAAAACTAATGCAGGAACAGAAAATCAAACATTACATGTTCTCACTTATAAGTGGGATCTGAATGATGAGGACACATGGACATATGGTGGGGAATAACACACATTGGGGCCTTTTGGGGTAGGGTCCAGGCAGGGAGAGCACGAGGAAGAATAGCTAATGGTTTCTGGCCCTAATGTCTAGGTGATGGGTTGATCTGTGCAGCAAACCACCGTGGCACACATTTACCTATGTAACAAATCTGCACATCCTACACATGTACTCCAGAACTTAAAAAAAAATGTTAAAAAATAATACCTGAGACTGAGTAATTTGTAAAATAAAAAAGTTTAACTGGCTCACTGTTCTGCAGGCTGCACGGGAAGTGTGGCAGCATTTGCTTCTGGGGAGGCCTTGGGGAATTTTTACTTATGGCAGAAGTCAGTGCAGGAGCAGGAGTCTTACATGGCAGGGGCCAGATCAAGAGGGAATGGGGAGGTGCTACACACTTTAAACAACCGGATCTTGTGAGAACTCACTCTCTATATAATACCAAGGGGATAATACTAAGTCATTCATGAAAACTCTGCCCCATGATCCAGTCATCTCCCACCAGGCCCCATCTCCAACATGGGATTACAATTGAACATGAGATGTGGGTGGGGACACAGATCCAAACTATATCAAAGTTGGTGAAAAAATAGAATGGAAAAAATGTAAGAGGTTATAAAAGGTTTATAGAAATATTATCTTGTGTGGTCAAAGCTGATTAGATTAGACAGACTATAATGTTTCCTTATAATTAGCTTTAACAATAATAATGCACTGATATAAAAGGTAAAATTTGATTTTTTTTGAACAAGATTTTCATGTAGTATTAATGAGAGATAGTAAAATATTTTTGTTTATATTTTTAGTAAACTGCAAAATAAATATAATAAATAAATAAATAAAAGAGGTGAGAAGGGAGATACAGAATCAATATACTTCATGCTCTTTTTTAGGTCTGTTGATTGTTTGGGAAACTAAGTCTCCTCTCTATCAGATTTTGCTTCTTGACATCTTTGAATTATCACTTTGAATAGAGAGATGACTATTACTTTAGAGGAAGCTATGATTCTAATTTGATCAAGTGTTTAAAAGTTTTCATATTTTAATATCAAGTATTATAAAAGTTTGCTATTTAATAACTTCCCAAATTCAAATTTCACATTCCAAAAATAATCCTTAGAAGTTCAAAGGAGACATATTAGGCTTATTTGGTATGTTAAAATCATGTGGGAAGCATTGTCAAATAAGAAATTATGTTTAACTTTCCTTGAATTATATTTGTATAAATGTGTTATTAATATGTGTTTCAAAATTATATGAAATTCCTAAAATTCTGATATGTTTTGGTACATGTTGTCAGTAATGATTATAATTATTATGGTGTATGGTTTATGCCACAAAAATAACCCAATTTTTTTTTCAATTGTGTCTTTAACCATGTCTATTCTAAGTATTTTGTCATCCATGGGCAATTATTGTTTTACTTTAATTCTTCCTAAAAGGCAATTTATAATGAACTACTGTCAAAAATGTGCTTTCTCTTCAAGGAAATTCATAAAGGGACCCTGACAAGTACACTTAAATACAGATTTCTGATAACTTTAGAGATCATACCATTGGACGAGGTAAAAAAACTTTCAGGACTAATTAAAATGCTGATGCATTCATGAGGTTTATTAACCCGACATAAAGCGGAATAAAATTAATTATATAGTAGTGAACTGATAGACAACTAAAATGATTTTTATTACTTTTTTGTTTGAAACATTGCTGATTCTTTTTGTTTTGTTTTCAGAGTCAAGAAAACTTTTTTGAGCTATTTGTAGCTTACAATAATTGATTAATGTATACTTTTGTATAGCTTACAAAATGGAAAGATTTACCTTTCTCTCTACTTGATTTCTTCAGAATTTGGAAACTATTTGTGAGTGCTTTTGATTTATGACAATATAGTTATTTGCATAAATTCAATAAGAATCTGTTTTCTTTTGTAACAGGATAAAATTTGAGACACTAGTTATTTCACCAAGACTTTGACTGGACTAGCATATTTTCATGACTAGGCTGCTTTGAGGACTTGAACTTGACTTTATAGAGCCTATAAAAAGCCCCAAAGAAAGACTGGCCTGGTACTTTGTCTACATGGTTCTCTTACAAGGTTCCTGACCTTGAAGTAAGTAAAGGAGGTCACTTTTTGACAGGTTTAGGAACCTCAGGATATTTTGGGGACCTTGAGAACAGAGCAGTGCATCCAATTTGGACAGATATTGCAGGCACAATCCAATGGCAAATCCTTGACTTGACTTCCTAGCCTTGAGAGTCCCTATAGAGTCTAATCTGAAATTCATTATAAAAATTTCCAGCGAAGCCAACTTAAAAAGAGCCTGTGTGGCCGATCACTAGTCTTGCTGTACTTTATGCCAGTAATAAGCCTAATATAAGAAGACTAAAACTTATTTTGAAAATAAATTGGTCCTATTATGATTAATCTTTGGTAAAAATTGGAGACTAGAGAGAAAAAAAATTATGTTTCAGTAGAAAACTGTGGCACACCTGTTATTAGATTCTAGCCCTGACCATTGTTTTTGGCTTTTTATTATTTGCCTACAATTTGGACTGTATCCTGAATTCTTTCCCAGCTAAAATCTCCAAACTAATATTTTCAAAATTTTCTCCCATTTTTCATAGTTGGAATCACTGGACATTAAAGCTGTGCTTTTCTTGAAGTCCTGCTAACTGAAACTAGACAACTTGATATAAACGCTGGGGGAAATCACCACAGCAACTTACATGTAAACAGCTTTTGTGCCAGCTGATGTATAGACTACTCAGAAGGCTTGCTTGAATATCTAATTCAAACTCTAATCTAGGAAAATTTGTCAGATTGCTACTGCAATCTAAAGATGCTCCAGAGATTTAAAAAAAAAAACTAATCTATAGATTACACCAGACATTAACCTCTGTTTTTCTTCTATTTCCATGGAAATGTCTCTTATTGGCACTTCTTACGGTTTTCTGTGAGACCGTGAGGCTTCATTTACATAACAAGTCCCCTTTTGCCAGTCAGGCCTCCTTTTCCTGTTCCCATAACCTGTTTTGGGACAATCCAAGTCCTTATGCTTTCTGTAAAGTGCCTCTATGGCTAAGAACATAAACTGTTGATATGGTTTGGGTATTTGTTTCCTCCAAATCTCGTACTAAAATGTGATTCCTAATGTTGGAGGTGGGGCCTGGTGGGAGGTGTTTGTGTCATGGGGACGGATTCCTCATGATTGGCTTGGTGCCTTCAAAGTTCTATTTGCCTGTTTCATATATAGAGGCCTAACTCATCTGCAGTGCCACCTTCTGGAATGGAGCACAGCTGTTTAACTGACCTGATCTATTTTCAGGACTGAGACTGATTCAAGAAGATACGAGATGATATATTTAAATTTGTTCTTTTCTGCTTATCCCAGTTTATATTTTCCTTCCTTTGCCTATCTCTTATCTAACAATCTCTAACCCAAATCTCTCCAAAGAAATTGACTTGGTTTTTAATTTGTGAAGACTTTTAAAGTTCAAAATGGAGAGTGAAGGAAATAGTTTTCCCCCAAATACACTACTTTGACATGTTTTGAGATGGCTGTTCAGAGGGCACGTAACAGAAGTAGCTGAGCTGTTTTTCATTGTGGAGACTTGCATCTGTAGAGAAAATTTGCAGTGGTGCAGCCGGGTTTTCTCTGAGACCTTCCCTTTCCGGATCTAAGGAAGAAAAACCGAGAGTCTGACACCTTTTCTGAAAGAAACATTTATTATACTATCTGTTCTTTCTGAGGGCTGCTACCTGTGAGACTTAATTTACATAATAAGGCCCTGTTTGCCAGCCAGGTCTCCTCCCATTCCCACAATCTTTTTTGCACAATCCAAGTCCCCATTTGTTCTGTAACCTCTAGATGGTGTATAAGCTTCTGAACCCCATTTGGGGGTTGGGGTAATCACTTTAAGGTTCTCCTTTACATGCATGTTTATAAATTTGTGTTACTTTTCACCAGCTAATCTCCTTTTGTGTGTTGATTTTTGAGCAAACATTCAGAGGGCGAAGGGGAAGCTTTTCCTTGGCCCCTACAACCTAATTACCTCCCAAGGCCCTTAATACCAATACATTGAGGATTACATTTTAATACATGAATTTTGGAGGAATAGAAACATTCAGATCATAGCAGACATCTACAGTAGACCTGTGAGAGATACTTTAGGAATATTTATGCACTTTAGCTCACAGATTGACTCTGCAGAGGATATGAAGGAATGGTGTGACCCATGTTTGTATATGTATTTTTTAGTTTACAAAGATTTTTTTTTTTTTTTTTTTTTTTTTTGCTATGCAGGGCCTTGGTCTTCAAATGAGCTTTCAATTAAATGTTAGATCCATTTTATAGATGATGACCCTAAGAACAGTGAGGTTAATAGATTTATTTATAATCAGCAGGGGCTGGATTTAAATCCAGGTATTTAGATTTCAGAGTTTATGTTCTTTCCCCTATGTCTAAGAATATAAACTGTTGATACAGTTTGGATATTTGTCCCCTCCAAATCTCTTATTGAAATGTGATCCCCAGTGTTGGAGGTGAGGCCTAGGAGGAGTTGTTTGGGTCATGGGGACAGATTCCTAATGATTGACTTGATGCCTTCTCCATGGTATTGGGTGAGTTCTTACTGTTAGTTCACATGAGGGCTGGTCGCTTGACCATGTCCTCCCATCCTACCCTCTCTCTTGCTCCCTCTTTCATCATGGGACATGCCTGTTCCCCTTTCACCTTTCACCAAGAGTAAAAGCTTCCTGAGGCCTCATCAGAAGCTGAGCAGATGCTGGTGCCATGCTCGTACAGAATGAAGAACCATGAGCCAAATAAATCTCTTTTCTTTATAAATTACCCAGCCTCAGGTATTCCTTTATAGCAATGCAGATACAGCTGTCTTAATACCACTCCTGCTACTATTGCCACTATTTGTATTAAAACAATAAGAAAAATTTTGACAACTCTATTTTTATTACTAGTGTCTGCCATGTTTCTGGCACTTTCCTAAACATTTTGCATAGATTCATTCATCTGATACTCACAAAAACTCCAATTGTTTAGTGAGAGCACCGACGGCAGAGGGCAATCTATTTGCACATCGTCATGCAGCTAGTAAGTGGGAGAACCAGAACTTTAATATGACAATAAGGCCAGGTGCAGTGGCTCATGCATGTAATCCCAGCACTTTGGGAGGCTGAGGCAGGCGGATCATCTGAGGTCAGGAGTTCGAGACCAGCCTGGCCAACATGGTGAAACCCCGTCTCTACTAAAAACACAAAAATTAAGCCGGGCATGGTGGCGCATGCCTGTAATCCCAGTTACTCAGGAGGCTGAGGCAGGAGGATCGCTTGAACCCAGGAGGCAGAGGTTGCAGTGAGCTGAGATCACGCCACTGCACTCCATCTTGGGTGACAGAGTGAGACTCCATCTCAAAAAAAAAAAAAAAAAAATATATATATATGTATATATACAGAGAGAGAGAGAGAGAGAGAGAGAATAAGATGTCTTCCCACACCTACGTACAGCCTTCCTAACCATTGTCCCTGGGCCTGCTCTGTCAACCCTAAATTTCTTATCCCTTAACCCCCAATTTAAAGCACCCTGTTACATATTTTCAATGGATCAAAGACTCAGCTGTGTCTGGCAAAATAAAACAAAATAATACCAAAATAATAATATAAAATATAATAAAATAATATAATAATATAACATAAAATATGATAAAATCATAGAAAATAATAATATCAAAAAACAAAATAATATCAAATATGCTAATGCCTTGGGCCAGCCTCCTTGAGATTGTCTTATTCTTTCCCTAAGGTATTGTTGAACTACATTTTATTTGAATCACAGTTGTTAAAGGTATCTGCTGATTTATGCTAACTTGACTTTTCCGGGCAATACAAGACAAACAGGAAAGAGCTTGGTCTTTATTTTACCATCAAAGCTCAATCACTATCTGAACATTTCCATTGTTAAGCTAACTCTTGAATAAGCTCCAAACACTGGGACTCTACAGGACTTTGCGCTGAATTGTATAAGAATGTATAATTAGTACCCGTAAATGCAACTGGGGTTTGCAAGAGACACATCCAGATATATTTTTGTAAAATTGTTCAGTTAGCACTTTCCAGCTGGTCTGTTTCTCTGCTATAATTATGCTCAAAATGTAGGCATTCATATATGCTCAGGAGTGCTTGTACATGAGCTGAGTGTAATTACAGGTAATAAAGAAGAAAGCAATGGTGGAGTATTGTGGATATCTTGGCATTTTGTTATTGTTATTAGAAGTTGTGTTTGAGACCCAGATTAGCAAGTTATTGACCATATAAACTATAAACTTTGAAAAATGACTTAAATCTCAAATCTCCTATATATCTCTAAAGTAGGAGACATTGTTTCTGTGGAAATGAAATGTTTTAAATTACATAAAGCATTTTTGAAAAATAATGATAAAATAGAATTTAAATATATTAGATACTTTTTTTTTCTCATCAGGTCTCAAGACACCAAATAGTGTCTCCCATGCCAATACTATTCTCATAACAAATACTGCTAATTAATTATAGCAGTATTTTCAGACAGTGTGTGGGTGTGTGTGTATTTATATGTGCATTTATTTATTTACATTTTTCTATTTATAATTATATTTATATCAGAGTTCTTCTCAACACATCTTCCCAGCTGGTCACTATCAATTGTCCAGAGATACATGCTAGATAAAACTTATGTCCTCATCCTGGGCCTAATTTAGCAAATATTATTTGTATTCAGAGAAATTATGATTTATTCATTGAGTCAGCAAACATTATTAAGTCAAGAAAGGTACTTAATGCTGATGACAGAAATATAAATGGAGTGTGCTTCTGATCCTCTGAGATCTCCCAGTCTGGTGGGAGAGCTGGTAAAAGAATCAGTCATGATTATAACAGGGCAATTAGAGTTACAGTGGAGGATGCAGAGGAGGTAATGATTACTTAACCCCTTGAGATTAAAAATTTGATTAAAGCTGCTCTCTGGGCTGGGTATGGCATTTTCTAGGGCTATATAAGCATCTTTCCTGATAGGTGGATGGTAATGGTAAGAGTGTCCAATACCATGAGGTTATGTATACTAAGAATGAGAAAGCCATATCTTTAAATTCTCAGTTTTCTTGAAACCTATTTTTACTAGGAATTGGATTATGTAAAGGAAAAATTGATGAAGAAATTCAAAGCAATCATAATTGAGACAGAAATTTATCTTACTCCTTTGTAAGTGTTTGTTCCAGTCGTTTCTCTTTCTCTCTATCTTTTTTTTTTTTTTTTTTTTTTGAGACAGGGTCTCCCTCTGTCGCCCAGGCTGGAGTGCAGTGGTGCCATCTCTGCTCACCACAGTCTCGACCACCAGGGTTCAAGCAATCCTGCCTCAGTCCCCCAAGTAGCTGGGACTACAGGCACACACCGCCACGCCTGGCTAATTTTTGTATTTTTTGTAGAGATAGGTTTTCACCATGTTGCCCAGACCTCTCTCGAACTCCTGGGCTCAAGCGATCCGCTCACCTCAGCCTCCCAAAGTGCTAGGATTACAGGCATGAGAGTCACAAAACCTGGCCTCCAGTTATTTCTTTAACTTTTGTTTTCTGTAAACAACATTTACAATCCCTTATTAGAACACTATTTTTAAAAACCAAAAATTCATCCACATAATCTGCTAAGTACAAGTATAGTAGGGGAGACAATGGAGAAAATATTTTAAAGTGAGACAGTTTTGTAATATCTGGAGTTTACGTTGTGCTAAATAGTGAATTTTGAGTTTTCATTCAAGCTCTTCAGGGGATGGGGCTGTTTTATAAAGAGGGAAGATAAAGTAGAGAAGTGTAAGAAACAGTCCAAGCAATCTGTTGGTTGGTGTCATGGAATGGAAACATCCTTGACACAAGGGCAAGTCTTGCACACCAACAGCTATTCTACTAATGTGCCCGTTTTGTGTATCAGCTTCTCTGCTTCTATGATGATCTACTTTCTTGTTGCCACTGTATCAACTTCAGTCTTTCCCTCACCTTTTCTAGTCATCCCGTCTCCTTTCCTAAGTTTTTAAAGCAAAATTCAGCAACGTTCTTTCATTTTCAAAATTCCATTTCTTCAGTTGTAAATTATATTTGAGCCATTCATTTTCTAATCTCTATATGTGTGATTTAGACTATATATCCTTCCTGCTTTTCTGTAATTGTGAGATTCCATAGCTAATTATTTGTGTTTGTCTTCGAGAAAGCATTCACTATACATTCATCTCCCATATGCTTGACTTTTTTTTTAAGCAAAGGGAGTTAGTTATGTATTCACCAACTTCATGTTTCAGAGCTGTAAATCCCAGAACGTAACCTTGAAAAGGAATTTTCAAAGTTACAGAGCCACATCTAACAAGAATAAAAGAAGGGAAATTTTTATGAGATTCCTTGCAATATTGCATTTATGCTATGGCAAGCACATAGAAAACAGTATTTTCTTCCAAGTGGATCTGCAATATAAGTAAGATGCAAGCACTGATGATGCTAATAGCAAATTAACTAAGATAAATTGAGTTGAGATTATTATTTCTTTAACCATGTCGTTTGATTTCTTTAACTCTCTGTGTTCTTCCTTTTACCATCTTTGTCCTTTAGGGAGAACCCTACATAATGATCTATTATTGGAAAAACTATGGAACATGTGCACAATGAAGAAATGTTTGATAATGAAAAGGTGCTAGGACGGTGAGCAGAGAGAATATTAAAATAGAGATTAAAAATCAAACCGAACCAAAGTACCAACTAACTAAACAAAACTACCACAGGAAAAAAGCTAAATTGCTAAAGCAAATTGAAATTGATGATTTCAGATGATTATAGATTCTTGTGAGCCCAGTTACTCTTTTTAACAAAGGATCTGAGAAATAAGATCATTAAATACATAAAAGTTTGTTTGTTTGTTTGTTTATTTATTTATTTAGAGACAAGGTCTTACTCTGTCACCCAGGGTGGAGGGCAGTGGTGTGATCTCAGCTCACTGCAACCTCCGCCTCCCAGGCTAAAGTGATCTTCCCACCTCAGTCTCCTGAATAACTGGGACTAAAGTTTCAAGCCACCGCGCCCAGATAATTTTTGTATGTTTTGTAGAGACAGGGTTTCTTCCGTGTTGTCCAGACTGTTCTCCAACTCTTGAGCTCAAGCGATCTGCCCGCTTTGGCCTTGACCTCCCAAAGTGTTGATATTACAGGCGTGAGTCACCGCGCCTGTCCTAAAAGTTCATTTTCATCTGTAAGACCTCAGCTTTTATTATTTACTTATTTATTTATCTATTTTTCAAGACGGGTTTGCTCTGTTACCCAGGCTGGAGAGCAGTGGTATGATGTAGCCTCAATCTTCCTGAGCTCAGGTGATCCTCCCAGCTCAGCCTCCTGAGTAGCTGGACCTACAGATGTGTGCCACTACAGTCAGCTATGTTTTTTTAGATTTTTTTGGAGACAGGATGTCACTATGTTGCCCAGGCCGTGACCTCAGCTTTTTACCAGCATATTGTAAAATATCTAGATCTGTTCTAAAATTAATTTGTGGTAGAGGCCTAAGACTGGGCAAAGTTTATCAGTTATTAATTTCAGTATCTATTAGATGGTAGAAAATTCTAGATGCTGAGGATTCAACTATGAATCATACAATCCTTTTGATGTCAGTGTGTTTGTGGGAGAGGGAGAATTAAGATCAATAAATAATTATGTTTGCTAATTTCTGTAACCCAGCGTAACAGGCATTGAAGAAATGAGAATTCTCCACTGTGGTCCTCACATGTCTTTGCTTCCCTCCTGTCTCCCCCAGCTGCTCTTCTCCACCATCTTTTGCACAAGATCTTAGCTCCTAACTGTGTAACAACCCCTCCTTCCTTCTCTCTCAATAAAATCCAAATTTTCCAGTGGCAGCAAATTGCCTAATGCCTGCTAATACACAAGAACAATTCCTTCTTTTTGAGAGAACCATTTTTTGACCAAATATTGTTAGAGAAATATAAGTAAAAACAAAAACAAATTATTCTCCCAACCCAGAAAACTTCTCCACAAATGCAGCAGAAAATGAAAACAGTTTTATTATTGAATAAATATTAAACAGAGATATGATATTGCAGGCAATCCACTAAGAGATTGCAAAGACAGAAAGAAATCTCACCATTTTATGTAGCTAGGCAGTAACAAATGATTACATTCATGTTCTCAAGATAAATAATAACTAGTCCTCAAGCAAGAATGCTGACGGCACCATTTATTATACATAGTTCATCCTAAATTCACTGTGTAATTAGGAAGACCATCTATATTAGAAACTTGATTTTATATAAAAGAAAAACATACATCTTTATGACAGGAGGCAGCTTTGCAACTTGGAGCCAGGCCCTGGCTAAAGTTAGGCTCCTACCCTCCCACAGAGACTGAGAGGCAAGGGTGCTATCTTCCTTGATGTTTATACTTCAAAGATATGGAGCCTAGGTCCTTGAGAAAGACATCCCTGGATCACAAAGCTGGCAAGATGCTTTTTTAGCTTCCGGAAAAATTTATATACATTTCAAAAAAACCAGAAAAGGAACTTTTATAAGCTTTCTAAAGTAAATGCTCCAAGAAAAGGAGTGAGAGAATGCTCTTCCTTTATTTTCAACAGAAGAATTAAACCTCTTATTTCAAATTTGTTTTTGTCCTTACGCTGTTCTTAAAATTATCTGAAAATGATGCAACCTCTCTTGCTAAAATCCAATAAAAATTATCCCCCTTGGTTCCCAAATTAGAACAATCATTTAGAGCCTTCTCCTGCTAAGCATTTTCAAACAAAGTCTTATGTTAATGGTGCTATAATTGATTTTCTTCTATAGTAGCTATCAGATGGAGTCACACTGTCCTCAAAGTACAGCTTAAATTGACTTAACTTATTTTCCATAGATTGTGGCCAGTGCCTAGCACCATATTCTTGGAAAGTTAAGGAGTTTCTACCTTCTCATGGTTTCACCTTACTCTAAACTCCCACTTCCACAGTTAGCTTAGTTTAGAGATCCTCTTACATCATCCTCAATGTACTTAATATAAATCTAGACATCACGGAGGTGGAATTCTGTTCCTTGATGCAGGATATTTACTCAGTGTTTGGAAGATGAGAAGGTTTGCATTACATTAATAAAACCAGCTTAATATTAATCTTAAAATCATTCCATTCCTAAATTCCTCTGTGATAGTCAAAACTCAAACTAAAACCCTCTACTATACTGTCTTCTGCCCCTCCTCTCTGCTTTCTCTCTCTTTCTTACCAGGAATTCCTCTTCGCTGTTGTTGCAATCTAATGATCTCTTTTGTTGTCTTGAAGCCTACCAACACATTCCCTCCCAGCTTACCTTTTCTCCCTGGCTTAAATACGTGCTTCCTAATAAAGACAATTTTCTCTAATAGAATCCTAATGCCAGCTTTTAAATTAATAGAGCTATATTTATTTATTTAAAAATGTAGTGATATAATCCAACACGATGAAAAACAAATTAACTGAAAAAATAGGGTTATTGGGAAAAATAAGTTTAGGCTGAAATGTGTAAGTTTACTGTACAAAATGCACATTCTAAGCTCCTTTATGTTTCTTGGAGGAGGATCAAACATTCTTGTTCTTTTGAAATTTTTTGTGCTCTGAGGAAGAGGTCTGAACAAGGTAGCATAAGACTGAGCAGTAGACTAGGGCCATAGGAGCAAATAAGGCAGGGATGCCGATGACTCTCGTTGTGGGGGAAAACTTGAGCTTTTCAGATGTAGAAACCTGGGAAAGGTATTTCTAGGCAAAGACATGAATTAACAGTAGTCATGGTTTGCAGATTCAAGAAGCATCAGACAGACTTGAATGAATCTAAAGGCATAATGAGGAGTGAGAGACAAGAAATAAGCTTAGGTCTAATTATAAAGGGCCTTGGGTGCCTAACAAAGAGTTTAGGGTTTATCTGGAAGTTGGAGGGGAGAGGAAGGGAGTTGGAATTATTGAAGACTTTTTAAACACAGGAGAGACCTAAACAGATTTACATTTGAAAAAGCTTTCTGTTAACAGTCCACAAATTATGAGTCATAATTTAAAAGCTATTTTCAAATTTTTTTCTCAATTCATAAACATAGTTCTCTACTTAGAAGAAACAGGGAGAAGGAATTTGTGTGTGTGTACCTGCGTGTGTGTGTGTGTGTGTGTGTGTGTGTGTGTGTGTGTGTGTGTGTAGCTGTAGGCAGGAGTTGCTGTTCTAAACATGGTTTATAGTTTAAAATTTACTTTTGGGTTAGAGCTAAGTTTTTTTGGTTACCAAAAAAAGGTCAATCACAAAGATTTTTTTCAGTTTAATTTCTATGTAAAAAAGAAGTACGGGGTACAAATATCAGATTTTTTTTGAAGAGTGGGTACCTGAACTTATAATATTTGAATTGTTGGGGCTAGGTTTTGGACAATTCATTCACAGGTGACAGGCAGCTCATTTTCTGGAATTCCATAAGCATGTGACTTCTCTTACCAGGAGACTAAATTATTAAATTACTAAATATTGTTAACATAGCAGCTTAAAGCTTCTAGTTATTAAAAAACTACTAGACATATTCTAATATGAGATATCATATTTGAAAATTATACCATCTCTCGCAATCACAATTCAACAAAAACTCATCAAATAGGCTAGAATATTTAATATATTCTGGTTAATCTTTTCAGCATCTTTGATGAAGTGAATTGATAGGATCTTATTCATGGTAATAGAAAATACTGCAAGAAGATGTTAACAATTATCACATTCAAGTAAGAAATAGAATGCATGTGATTATTTGATCTGTTCACATTTCATATAAATTCTAGATGAGCTAGAGAAAAAGATTAGCCAAGAGGAAACTGTGAAATTATTTAATTCAAAAGGTTTAAAACTTATTTATAATGGTGTGATGGGGGCTGGGAAGTGTTATTTGAAGAGAGCAAAATCCAGTGGGGGAGAAATAAGCTGAAAAGTGACTGAAGCACAGAAAGAAATTTACTCATATTGACATGTTATTATGTCTGAGATTCATATTTCTGTTTCCTGACACATTACACTAAATTTGAGCTAATATATCACAAATATTGTTTTTGTTTGGTAAAGTGAATTATAATAGCAGGCAAAGATAGGGATTAATGGTGCACTAGAAAAGAACATGATTATATCATAATTCATTTTTTCTTACTGATTTCTGTTGATGAAGAGAGCAAACATATTGAATGAAACATCCTAGCCACTTGTGCTCTCTTAGGAGGCAACTGTTTTTTTTAATCCATCCCCAGCAATATTTTGAATAGTGTTTGAATTAATAGTCCTATAATGTTTAAAAGATTAGTAAACATCAAAATATGTTTGTATAGCTAGGGCATCTGATGTGGGTGATATTCATTTTGAGTTTGGTTATAAAATTTTATATATAACATGCTCTTATTGATATAATATTAATAGTTTTGTCTACCACATTTTAGTGAACAATGGAGAAAACTGAGAAGTCTCAGAAAGCTTACATGTGAGACTAACTAGATCATCTCAATCAGTGTCTACAACGCACTAGTGTGGGATACAGGTGTTCCAAATTATTGGCCCTTGCCGCTCTTGTGGCTAGTGAAGGTTTGGAATAGGTGAATCTCCAGGATGATGAGCAAATAACACCTTTCTTTGCCCAAAGTGACTGAGGAAATATTATCACCGTCTATGTGTGTCACCTTGTTCCAATGTTTGAGAAACACTGGAGGAACACTTATGGTGGATATGAGAGAAGCTCAGGTAAGAATGGCTTTTTCAGTAAAGTTAATGAAAAGAATTAGAAAGATCTGGGTTTGAGCCTCCACTTACCTAAATTTATGGAGCCTCAATTTTCTCATATGCATACTGGTGTACACAATTTTATTTACTTCAAAGTTTGTTTGGAGGATAAGATAATGTATCAGAGATATTTTGTAAAACTGTATCAAGCTGCGCACATGTGAATATATTCAGACTGATCCTCTCTGTGTTTAGTCACACCTGAGAGCAACAGAGCAGTTGCACGAGTTGTCACCAATGGCTCAGATGAATGAAATGCTGTCATATGCTTATCTGTTATTAGAGTTAAAATGATACCATGGAAAGGGGAGTGAAACACCTTTTGCAGTGAAACAGACTTGGATTTAATCGTGGCTCTGTGAGCTATCAGGCAAGGTATTGGAAGTTTGAACTGTCATAGTATTTTCTGAATACTGGAAAAATTAGTTAATTAAAATATGCTGGCCGGGAGTGGTGGCTCATGCCTGTAATCCTGGCACTTTGGGAGGCTGAGGTGGGTGGATCACCTGAGGTCAGGAGTTTGAGACTAGCCTGGCCAACATGGTGAAACCTCGTCTCTATTAAAAATACAAAAATCAGCTGGACATGGTGGTGGGTGCCTGTCATCCCAGCTACTTGGGAGACTGAGGCAGGAGAATCATTTGAACCTGGGGAGCGGAGGTTGCAGTGAGCTGAGATTGCACCACTGCACCACTTCACTCCAGCCTGGGCGAAAGAGCTAGGCTCTGTCTCAAAAAAAAAAATGCTAATATACTTTTAGGGTTATTTGTAATATTTAAAATTCTATCTATCTATCCATCCCTCCCGATACAATGCCTTTATGTGTAAAATGGAGGTAATAATACTTACATGATAGAGTTGTTTTGATAATAAAAATTAGAAATAATAAATGTGGAGTACTTTGAAGTACTTAGTATTTTGACTTGCATAATGTAAGTACCTGTGTCACCTATGTTTTTCTTCTTTTTTAATCTGGTAATTGTAGGCCATGGTTTTTCAACCCCAACACATTGATATTTTGGGATGAATAATTATTTGTTGTAGAGGGCTGTCCTGCTCATTGTAGTAGGTAAAATGTTTTCTGTGGTACAAAATTGCCTTCTGTTGAAACTACAGATTTAGGCTTCCCCAGGACAAGAAGCCATTCCAAAATAATTAACAGCCACTTTGTACCAGCCTTAAGGGGTTGCAAGGAATCAAGGTCTCAAAGGAGGATGCAAAGTATTCACTCCAAAAAGATGCTATCCCTTCTATTCCAGAAAAAGGGAAAGAGCCCATGGTGCAAAGAAGCAGGACTTTTAATTGTTTTCCCTATTACCCAAAAAGCTACCTCTGAGATCACTGCAAGATGGAATCCTTGTACTTTATCCTTATACTTTACCTACCTCTATCAGTGCTTCTCTTTAAGGGAGCGAGTAATCAGGGATACTTGAATGCTCTATGCCGGTTGGTATGCAACTAATATTGACCTGTATTATTATTGTTGCAATCTTATAATTATCATTTTAGTTACATTGTATAAATTGAATTAATGTTTTCATTGATTAATTTATCTGAAATTAACTGCATTTAGGAATACCATTTGAATGAAACTGGGGATAAATTGTAATAACCATAGATCAGATTGAGCAGAAGAGATAGCATTGTGACATATTTCGCCATTTTGAAATAGAGTAGGCCTATCTCCTATGAAGTGGTTTCAGTTCTTCTTGGTATATGCTTCTAGTTTTGTGATGCAGATTATGTAGCATCAAGAAAATTGGCAATCAATCCCTTGTGATGCAGTATTGGTATCTAAAGCAGAATCAGGAACATCCTTTCTCTAGGACCCATTTGTACATTCTGCATACTTTGGGGCCCACATCTACTAGGAAGCAATAAAGCAGGGAGTTAAAGATGATGCACATTAGCATATGATATTCTGCTAGATATAATTTGTGTGTGTGTACATGCCTGAAAGTGTGTTCTTTCATATAATAAGCCTACATAAGAAAGCAACGCATGCCATGCTGTACTGAAATAGTTTATTTCTGTTTCTGATAGAGAATCAAGGAGTTAGGGCAGAGATATGCCTTTGTTCCACAAAGGTGAACCAGATTAATTCCTATGGATCCATGTAAATGGATCATGCATTGCTTTTTGTATCTGTTTACACTAAGCAGACAGTAGTCTTTTTATAATAGCCTAATACACAATGAGCAAATGAAAGGTAATATTTCATTACCTTTGAAAATTGCCGCATAAAACAACGGAACTCCAAGGAAGTTCCAAGTTCCTTGATGAAGTTCCAACTTCATCAAGTTCCTTGATGAAGACTCCAAGGAAGTACTTAGATCTGAAAATAATTTGTGATAGAAATAATAATCAATAAAACAACTGCTTGATAAGTATTCTATAAATAGGTGTTGGATGAATGAATGGTTGGTTAGGATGTACAACTATTTGGCTTCTAAAAACATGACCAGAAAATCTTAAGAAAAATTATCTGAAATTAAAATATAGCAGACTAATTTCTGCTTTTGATAGAATATAGTAGGTAATAGGAGGTCAGTAGTTTCACTGCAAAAACTAGAAAAGGCTGGACAAGTTATATGGAATAAAACCTTATGTTTTTGAAGATATTAGTAATCTGTAGAAGTAATAAGAACTAGGTGGGTTAAAATTCCTAAGAAGAATTCTTATTTTCAACAGTTATTTATTTTCCTTTGTGGGCATTGCCCTATGGTAGATTTAGGCTAAGGAGCAGGCTGGGTATAGACAGAAGACCTCTTCTGGGTGAAGAGAAAATAATAAAGATTTCAGTGGTTGCCCAGGACTTGTGGGACATTGGAAACACGAGGAGCCTAAAATCCATGGTTAGATTTTTTCATGAAAAATTTGCTAAATTTTGACCTGCATAAGAGGTTCAAGAAGTAGGTTAACTGGGAGGTGGAAGTTGCGATGGGCCGAAATCATGCCATTGCACTCCAGCCTGGGCAATAGGAGCGAAACTCCATCTCAAAAAAATAAAAATAAAAATAAATAAATACATAAATAAGTGGGTTAAAAGATACTAAATAGCAGAATAAAATCTCTTTCAAATTTTTAGTGTTTCAGAAATAGGAAACAAAGACCTGATAGGAGAAAAAGGCCTGTTTTAACTCATGGCTGGTCTTTTCTTTGAAATAGTTTAATTTGAAGCCAAGTAGAGATGGAGGATTAAAAGCTAAACTGAAGAGCTCCAAAATCATAACTGAATCTTCCTCAGCTCTTTAAGGCTGAGGAAATCAGGAAGTATAGAAAGGCCATACAGACAATATACCCTTATACTATCAACCTAACAGAGGAAAGGAAAGGACAATATACCCTTACACTATCTACCTAACACAGGAATCACCTCTAATGAAGCACATTATTTCCTGGGACTTTTATAGTTCTTTTATAAACAAGTATAACACGGTATAAAAATTTATTAGACATGAAAGGAGGCAAGACAATTTTAAAAACAATCAAAATAAACAAACATTAGAAACAGACCCACAGATGATCAAGGTAATATTATTACATGATGATAATTTAAAATATTATGTTAATAAATTATAGAAATTTTAAAAAATGATAGACCACTGGAGAATATCACCAGATAATACAATCTATAAGAATATCAAAGGACTTTCTAGAACTAAAAAATGTAATATCTGAAATTAAGAACTCAGATGATTATAACAAAATATTCGATACAACAGAATAAAGAGTTTGTTAAACAAAAGATGGGTTAATAGAAAATTTCAAAAATACAGCACAAATAAACTAAAAGGATAAAACACAAACCAAACAGAAATACTAGAGATGTGCTTGAAAAATCTAAAATATATATAATTGTGGTTGCAGAAAAAGGGAAATAAGTAGAAACAATATTTAAAAGGTAATAGTTGAAAAGTTTCTAAAACCAGTAGAAAATACAAGTCAACAAATTCAAAATACTTAAAAAATCCCAAGTAAGATAAATAAATAAAAAAAATCTCATGTGGGCATATCATGGTAAAACTTTTTAAAACTAAAGATAAAGAAGAAACGGTATAGTTAGCCACAGGAAAAAAGATACATTACCTCAAGGGGTTATCAATAAGATTGATAATTTATTTCTCCGTAGAGACAATAAAAACCAGAAAGCAATAAAATGACACACGTAAAATGCTGGAAACAAACACCCTACAAGAACCACAAACTGGAATTTTGTGCTCATTGAAAATATCTTTCAAAATAAAATTGTAATAGAAATATTTCAAGCAAAAAGTAAAAACATTCTTTTAGGCCACCCTGCAGTTAAAGAAATATTAAAGAGAATTCTGGTAGAAGAATATTGGATGAAAAAATTCAAGAAGGAATGAAAAACTCAAGAAAAAAATCTGGATAAATATAAGAGAATACTGAATTTTAAAAAATGTAGTGAAGTATACAGTTTAAATTATGTTTAGAACTAAGTGCATGACAAAAATTACACAAAAGATGAGTGGAGTTAAGTGGAGTTAAAAACTCTAAGATTCTACTATTATTTGATCCAGCAATTCTATTACTGGATTTATACTCAAATGGAAAAAAATCACATCAGAAAGATACCTGCACTCATATGTTTATCACAGCACTATTCACAATAGCAAAAATATGGAATCAACCTAAGCGTCCATCAATGGAGAACTTGATAATAAAAATTTGATATAGATAGATAGACAGATACCATGAAACACTACTCAGCCATTAAAAATAATGAAATCATGTCTTTTGCAGCAACATGGGTGGTACTGGAGGCCATTTCCTAAGTTATCTCCTAAGTGAAATTACTTCAGAAGCAGAAAGTCAAATACTGCAGGTTCTCATTTATAAGTGGAAACCAAACA
Source organism: Homo sapiens (assembly GCF_000001405.40). Classification (NCBI taxonomy): domain Eukaryota; kingdom Metazoa; phylum Chordata; class Mammalia; order Primates; family Hominidae; genus Homo; species Homo sapiens. The sequence goes on along the minus strand of NC_000012.12, from coordinate 61,639,453 downwards.
GTGGGTATGCATGGACACACAGGAATAATGGACAATGGAGAATACAAAAGGTAGGTGGGTGGGGGGTAGTAGGGGTTGAAAAATTACGTATGGGTACAATGTTCTCTATTAGGGCGATCAGTACATTAAAACTCCAGGCTTCACCACTTCACACAACATATGCAAATAAGAAACCTACACTTGTACCCTGCAAATGTGTTAAAAAAAAAAGAAAGAAAAAGGATTATAGGGTTTTAATAATATAGAGAAAATAATAAATTTGTATTTTACTGTAATCAATATGTGAAAATATATTTGTTTGAACATATATGAACTTTTTTGTATGATAGCACATTAGTAAAAATGTTTAAAACAAGTAAAAAGAACTATATGTTATATGTCTGCAGAGAGAAGTAGAAAACATCTATGAAATGTTCTTACCAAAAAAATGAAATTTGAAACTGATGAAACCTCAGGAGCTAACTACAAATTTACAGGAACTACAGGGCATAGAGGAACTTGTTCAACTGTGCCATGGATATACAGTCAGCAAAGTCCAGACTATAAAAGCTTTTTGGAATAAAGAGCATGATGATATCAACAAACAAACAAGATTAAAAGAGGTGAAGAGAGAACCTATAGATGAAAATAAACAACAACATATCAACCAGTTGCAAGGAATAGATTTCATTTGGATGCATATATCAAACAAATGAAGTATAGAAGAAAAAATAACAATGACAGGATATTTATGGTGTTAGGTACCATAATGAAGTTTCAGGTATAAAATAATATTTTGGTTATGTTTCAAAAAGACTGCTTATAATTCATAATTGTATCTGAAATATTTATGAAGAAATGATAAAATGTCTGGTTTACTTCAAAATAATCTAGATTGTAACCCAGTACATATGGGTATTGTAAATAATATTGGCCATGACTTAATTTTTTAAAAACCTATGTTAAATGCACAGCATGGTTCATTATACTATGTTACCGTCATCTGTATATTATGAACTTTTTAATATTTTTATTTGTTTTCTATGACTTCTGTAACAAACATCACAATCTTTGTGGCTTAGAAGAACACAAATATATTACAGTTCTGTAGGTGAAAAGTCTGACAAATTTTCCTGGCCTAAAAATCAAGGTATCGGCAGGGTTGCTTTCATTGGCGGAGGCTGTGGGGGGATTTTCTAGCTGTCTTTTCCAGCTTTTAAAGGCTGCCTGCATTTTTTGACTTATGGCTCCCTTCCTCCATCTTCAAATCCAGCAACAACAAGTTAAGTAAGTCTCAGATTGCATCACTCTGACCTTTTCTTCTATCTTTCTCTTCTACTTTTAAGGACTCCTGTGAGTCCTTAACTGAGCTCACCAAGAGGATCTAGGACAATCTTCCTATTTTAAAGTCAGCAGATTAGTGACCTTAATTCCATATATAGCCTTAATTCCCCTTTGCTATGTAGCATACTGTATTTAGATATTCTAGGCATTAGGACATTGACATCTTTGAGGGGCTACTATTCTGCCTACCACAATATTCAATTGTTTAAAATTACATAGTGAAAGAAAAACTGGCAAGAGATATGTATAATGATTAAAATTGATATATTGAGAACTTTTACAAATCAATAAGGACAAATTATGCTATCTAATCAACTACTGGCCAAATGAGAAGGAAGATATAGAAGAAGAGACACCGAATAGCTAAAAAACCCACAAAACAAACAAAAAACCCTAAGAAAACAAGATTAATTTCATTTGTGACTAAATATAATTAAAGCCTCAGTTGAACATATTTCTCACCTGTAAAAAATGACAACATTTAAAAATTATACCAAAATGATGTACCATTAGGGTGTAGAGAAACAGTACTTTGTGCTCATTGTCAGTGATAGTCTAAATAGAAATTGTACTATATAGAGCACATTTGACAATACTTAGTGAAGTTTAAAATACTCAGACATCGTTGTCACTGGTAGAGGGTCGTGAATGCAAGTTGTCTAGGTTCTTCGCATTTTGAACAAAGAATTGGACAAAATGCCCAGCAAGGCAAAGAAGGAATGAAGCAACAAAAGAATGAAAGCAGGGATTTATTGAAAACAAAAGTACACTCCACAGTATGGGAACAGGCCAAGCAGTGGCTCAAGGGCCCGGATACAGAATCTTCTTGGGTCCAAATACCCCCTAGAAGTTTCCCATTGGCTACATCATGCTCACCTCATGTAAATAAAGTGATAGCCCACAGTCAGTCTGATTGTTTGCAAAAAGCAGCCAACCAGAGCCTGAAGTGAAGTTACAAAGGTCACATTCTCGTGCAAACATATGATTGGTTGCAAAAGGCAACCAATCAGAGGCTAGGGTGAAGTTACAAAGTTATGCGTCTATGCAAACAAATACTCATCCCACAATCAGTCTGATTTGTTGTGGACAGCCAATTTCCCACCTGCTGCACAGAAAAGGTGGGAGGTTTGCAAAGGGTGTATCCTCTGCTCCTTTTGTTACTTAGGCGTGGAAAGTTAGGGATTTCCTTTCAATTTAGTTCTAGGAAGTCGGCGTGAAACAGTCTTAGGTTGCCTGTCTCCAGATCCTGTTCTCCTGCCTCTTTGTGATTATCCATGTATAAGGGTCTAAGTTAAAAAACATTACTTTATAATGATTCAAGGCATTGACCATCTATAGCTGCGGACATCCTAAAAAGAGAGACAATGAGGCATTATGTGATGCTTAACAGAACACAAAACCATGGAAGAAATAGAATAGTATAGTCAAAAAGAATTTTAAACAAAATTGTATCAAGTTCCTATATCCAAATGTCAATTTATAGGAGATGCCAAGGACAGAGAAGTATGCTAAACTAGTCCACTAGGATGCAATCAACAAAGTACAAAAGGAAGAAAATTCTACAGGGCAGGAGACTAAGTTACTTTAACAAAATGTTATAAAGAAAGATAAATTTGACTTACAGTAATAATATCCAACAACTCTTCTCACATGAACTCTTCTGCAGATGACAATTGTAAAGTCTGACAAAATAGAAAAAAAATATTTGAAGTCACTATAACGTGAACAAAAAGAGGCAGATATTGGAGGGAGATAATGTTTCCTTGAAAGAAGGAAACATTATTCTGTAAATTTTCGACTATTTAAAGAGGTTTATCCCCAGGACAGAATCCAATCAGCATCATGCAGGGCTGATAAAACTCAGATAAACAACTGCAGTATTACTGGACTGAAGAACCAAAAGACAAAGTTCAAGGCACCTACAGAAGTTAGAAAGTGAAAGGGGAAAGTTCAGAAAAGAGACAGCCAGGTAGGGGTACCCGGAGATCTTCTCTATAAATTCTTCCCTCACCTGTAGCTGATCCTAGAACTATATGCATGGGGGTAGACTCCATCCTAATAACTCAACTGATACTAAAATATCTAAAGTGATACTTCAGAGTTTGGGATTTGAATTCATCCAAGATAATGCCTTCTAAAATTTTTATTAATATTTTTCAGAAGAAATGAATCTATTGTTTCAATAATGTATCATTGACAATGCTAATAATAAATCCAAAATTCATATATACTAATAAATATTAGGACAAAAACTGTGACCTATTACGAACAGAAAGTGCAGTCAATAGAGACTATAAGATGAACTAGATGGTGAAATTAGCAGACAAACATTTTAAAAGCAGCTGTTATAACTGCTCAATAAAGTAAAATATGCTTGTAATATGAGAGAATATAGAAAAACAATCACTGAAAAAGAAGAAAAAATAACTTAATGGTAGATAAGTGAAAATGATCAAACCTGAAGAACAGAGATAAAAAATCTTGAAATAAAAATTGAATGGGACTGAGAGACCTGTGGAACAATATCTACATGTGTAATTGCACATGTATATAACTGAGTCTCAGAGAGGCAGAAAAAATGTAAGTGTATAGAAAAAAATGTTTGATGAAATAATGGCATAAATCTTCTTACTCACCACTTCTATTGCACATTTTTCCGGAGGTCCTGACCAACACAATAAAGCAAGAAAAGGAAACAAAATGCATAAACATTAGAATGAAGAAATGAAATGTTCTCTTTAAGGATGTCATGATTTTTTATGTAGAAAATCTTAATCTTTCACAAACCTACTAGAATAAGTAAATTTAGCAAGTTCAGTGTAAAGATCAATTGTATTTTTAGATACTAGCCACAAAAGTTTGGAAAATGAAATAGAAAAATAATTATCTTACAATAGCAGTAACAAAGTACTTAGAAATAAATTTCGGTGCAAATACATTTTTATGCAGGGCATCTACACTGAGAACTACAAAATATTTGTGGGATAAATTTTAAAAGACATAAGGCATCTACACTGAGAACTACAAAATATTTGTGGGATAAATTTTAAAAGACATAAATACTTGGAGATTAAACCTTGTTCGTGAATTGGAAGACAATATTGTTAAGGTGTCACTTCTCCCAAATCAATCTTTTGATTCATCAAAATGTATAGTAATTAACACCGTGTGATGTTAGCCTAAGGATCAGCAGACAGATCAAAAGAAGGAAAGTAAAAAAAAAGAAATAAAAGAGGAAGGGCCCTAAATAGATTCACACATCTGTGATGTTTTGATTTCAACAAAGGTGTCAAAGCATATAATGTTGAAAGGAAAATCTTTTCAACATATACTGAAAAAATGGGATATCTACTGGAAAAATATGGACCTTGCCTCTTGCCTTACAAAATACACAAATATTGACTCAAACTAGACTACACCTAAACTGAAAAGCTAAAAATATATAGCTGGTAGAAGAAAACATGGGAGAATATCTTTGTATTTGGGCAGTAGGTTTCTGAAGATAATAAAGCCATAATTAGAAATAAAAGTAATAAATCAGCCTTTTTCAAAGTTAGAAAATCCCACTCATCCACAGACATTTAAAAACTGAATAGGAAATTCAGAGAATGGGAGAAAATATTCTCAAAAGATATAGCTGACAAGGAGACTAATGTTATTCATTCATATATATACAGCCTAATAATAAAAAAAAATCCAATAAAAATGACCTAAAGACTTGAGGAGGCACTGCATAAAATAAGATATATGGGTCATATGAAAGTGCCCAATATCGTTGTCCTCAGAAAAAATGTAAAGTACGTATCTACTAGAATGACTTAAATTAAAAAGACTTACAATCATTTACCTCAGCAAGGATGTAGAGTAAACTGACTCTCATATATTGTTGGTTGGGCTGTAAAATAGTAAAACCATTTTGGAAAAGATCTTTCAGTTTCTTAGGAAACTAAACATAGACCCATCCTATTATCCAATAATCTCACTCCGAAATGTTTACCTAAGAGAAATGATAACATATGTCCACAAAAGACCTCTACAGTAATGTTCTTAGCATTAATTAAAAAAAATAGCCCTAAACTGGAAATAGCCTAGATGTCCATCAGTAGGAGCCTGGATAAACAAACTATGTTGTATTCATACAATGAAATACTACTCAACAATAAAAAGAGAAAGATCTATTTTATGCAACAACAAGCAGAGCCCCCGCAATTGTATTGAATGAAAAAAGTCAGACATAGGAGTGCACACTCTCTGGTACTTACATGAATTGGGGGCAGCAGAAGGAATTGACTTGAAAGGGGGAAATAGTGAACTTTGTGGGCTTATGGTGATATCCCATTTCTTGATAAGGACTTTGGTTTTACAGGTTCATGCATTTGTCAAAACTCAGCAAATAACAAATATGCATTTATGATTTATGCATGTCATTATATATAAACAATAGCCCAGAGAAAAATTATAAAGAAATGTTAAGCTCTAGTGAATGCTTGGCTTCTGGTGAGGCATTCTGGTGTTTACTTGGAAACTCATCAAAAAAGGTAAGATGGATGGTGGGTTAATAGAGAAATGAATAATTGGAGAGATATGTGATAAAATATAAAATGTTAATTGTAGATCTAGGTCCTGGGGTATGAGTGTGTTTACTGTACACTTCTCAGACATTGATAATCAAATGTTGAGGGAAAATTAAAAAAAAAGTAGTAAGTGGGAAGAAATGAATAGAGGGTAATCAGGTAGGTTTATAACACTTAGGTGACCAGTTGAGATGCAGGCTCAGTAAAACTATGAATCTGATAGAGACACAGAAAGACCAGTAAGAAGTTAAAACACATTATTAATGAAAAATAGAAAACAACTCTCTGAATATAATTTTAGAACCCCCTTTATACAATTTAGACAAAGGTACTTTATCTGGGCTGATGAATTAGGAAAAACGTTCTCCTATAAATGACAGAATAAGACCAAGGTACAGCTCTTAGTGGCTTCAGCTTCTCTCAGTGGACACTGTTTGGCAAATGGAGTGTAGGCTAAAATTAAGTCCCAACAGCACAACTGTGTGCAATTCTGTGTAGAGGAGAATTGAGACATACTTTAAGTATAGAAGAGAAAGTGAAATAAATTACAAAGGTGTGAAAAAAATATGATACTGATACATGGCTTAGAAAGTCAATATAAACTATTACTAAGTTAGAAAATAAGAAAATAAAACAAATAAAGAGAAATCAGAGATTAAAAAAAAACAGAAGAAATATTTCTAGAACTAGCAAAACGATTTGAGCCTTTGCAAAGATTAAAATAATTTACCATGTTCCAGAGGAAATTAAATAAAATAGACTTTCTGAAAAAAAAATTTGACATGTTAGAGAGGAATAATCTAAGCACTAGTCAGGAAAAACAATGCTAATAAAAAGCAATCATTCTGGGCTCAGATGTTTCCTCATAACAGTTTATGTTTGAAGATAATGGAGCAATATACATACATTTTTCAGGAGATGAGATAACAATATAAACTTGAGGATGTAGTTAAGTTGGCATCAACAGAAATATATTGACAATTATTATAGGACACATGGAATGCATCACTCAAGTACCTTTTTTACACACGTTTTATAAGAAGAGTAAGAAAAAAATTAAGGACTTATGAAACGAAAATAAGAGAGCCTGTAATCCCAGCTACGAGGCAGGCTGAGGCAGGAGAATCACTTGAACCTGGGAGGCAGAGGTTGCAGTGAGCCAAGATCGCTCCACTGAACTCCAGTCTGGGCAACAGAGCAAGACTCTGTCTCAAAAAAAAAAAAAGTATGAGAGTAGAAATTGGCTTGAGTTTTTGTATTTTACTTCTACAACCCAGTATGATGTGACAAATAATGTAACCTTGAGAATTACTGTGGCATAAAAGGAGAAACAAATGAGTGATTGGCTTTGAACAACAAAACCAATGATCTAAATTATTGCTATTAATTTCTTAATAAAATTTTTGCAATGTACAAATTATTTCTAAAAGTGAAGAGAGACTACTAAAAATAACTGAGAAGCAAATTCCATAACTGAGTAGCAAATTTCATATTAAAACTGAGTAGCAAATTCCATATTATATTAACAAAGGCTGGCAGTGAATATGGGAATATTGGCATGAGATTCCTCAAAATTTACAAAGGAAAGATTGAGGAAAGATTGAGGAAAGATTGAGGGAATATGCATTAGAAAAATTATAACTTTGAAATTCATTCTTTAAGTCAGTTATCAAACATATAAATTTTTCCTATGTATCAAGCACATTTATGTTTGAGATACAAGATTGAGGAGAACATGATTCCTGCTTTCAAGGAGTTTATAGTCTAGAGCAACATTGTAAAGAATAGTCATATGTGACTGCGGAACATTTGTGATGTACCCTAAGGATAAGATCTACACTGGATTTCAAAGACATAATACAAAAGTAACTACAAAATTTTTATTAATAATGCTTCTATTGTTTATGTGTTGAAATTGAGGACTAAGCTCTGATTTTTTAAATCTTGCCCAAATTCCTATCTAAGGGGTCTAGGGAGTCTAGCCCTACAAACCATAAATTCTCATCAGATGGGTTTTATTTAACTCTATATATCGTGACTTACTTTCCAACCTGACTCTGACATAACATTACAAGACAAGGAAGAAAATAAAAATATTTTACCCCAAAACATGTTTCTTTGCCATATCTTGAAACGGCCCTGCAAAGCTGGCCTTTGTGGGGAAAAATTTGTGTCTGTAAAGAATCTCTATTAACATAGCTAGATCTTTTTCTTCCAGGCTCTCTCAATACTAAAGAGATTAACTAAAAGTCTAGCACCTTTTTTGTTTGTTTGTTTGTTTTTGAGATGGAGTCTCGCTCTGTCGCCCAGGATGGAGTGCAGTGGCGCGATTTCCTCTCAATGCAACCTCTGCCTCCTGGGTTTAAGGGATTCTCCTACTTCAGCTTCCTGAGTAGCTGGGATTACACCACACCTGGCTAATTTTTGTATTTTTAGTAGAGACGTGTGGTCAGACTGGTCTCAAACTCCTGACCTTGTGATCCACCTGCCTCGGCCTCCCAAAGTGCTGGGATTACAGGCGTGAGCCACTGCACCTGGCAAGTCTACCACCTTTTAAAGATCTGGATAAGAAACATTTGTCATCTATTGTCTCTAAGGTCAGCCACTATAAGACTTCATAAGAACCTTGGTCTCCATAATCTTTTAACTTTTATTTTAACCTGAACATTTCCTTTCTGTGGATCCGAGGTCTTTAGACAAGCTCAACCAATTGGCAACCAGAAAATGTTTAAATTTGCCTATAGCCTGGAAGCCCTCACTTTGAGTTGTCCTGCCTTTCTGGACCAAACCAATGTATTTCTTATATGTATTTGATTGATGCCTCATGCCTCCCTAAAATGTATAAAACCAAGTTGCACCCCGACCACCTTGGGCAAATGTTCTCAGAACCTCCTGAGGGCTGTGTCACGGGCCATGGTCACTCATATGTGGCTCAGAATGAATCTCTTAAAATATTTTATGGAGCTTGACACATTTCGTTGACAAAATGATAATGTTTTAGATATATTGGGTTATACTATTAAGTTAATTTTAGCTGTTTCTTTTTATTTTTTAAGGTGATTAGAACATTTAAAATTACATGTGTCTTGTATTATATTTCTATGAGAAAATGCTGGTCTATAACACTTCTGAAACTACTGTTGTGGGTATGCTGCTATAAGGACAACAGTTTACATGTGAGTAAAAGACTATTTCAGATTAAATAATTTGGTTAGCCATTATACAAGTTTTTTCTTTAATATGTTCAACAACATTGTAATTTTTTCAAGAAGTATCTAAAAGATATAGACTCCACCAATTCCTTTCTTTCCTGCATGAGAATGCTGTTCTTCCCAATAAGAGGTGGTGATTATTTTCCCTCCCCTTGAATATGGGCTGGCCTTCATAACTTTTCTGACCTATTGAACACAGGAGAAGCCATTTTATGGGACTTCTGAGGCTAGATAAAAAAAAAGCCTTGCAGCTTCGGGTTATGATTCTCAAAACACTTTGGGATATTCTCTTTTAAAATCCAGCCATCATATTGTCAGAAGCAAACTTCACATGTTAAGACCACATGTAGGCACTCCTGTTGGTAATCCCAGCTCAGTCTTAGCCATTAGCTAACATCAGCTACCAGAGGTGAGAGGGAGTCATCTTACACACAAATTGAATTTGAATGACTGGAACGCTTATCACCTGACTGAAACTAATAGAGACCCTGAGTTGAGCCCAGTCAACATGGAGAACAGTGAGAGAAAATGCTAATTTCTTGTAAGCCATTAACATTTGGAGAGGTTTGCTACATTACTAGCTTTTCTGACCCTTAGGACTATGTATTATGGTCCTGTAAGCTAATGTTTACTAGAATGCAGTTTATGATACAGTACTATAAAGAACTATAACATTTTGCATTTTTCTTTGAAGTAATCACTCATAGAATTAAACATAGAATATATATTTTTAAAATATACAGCAAAGAAGAGCAAATAAAGATCATACAATAAAAGACAGAAACTTAAAACAAACAGCAGTCAGATTAAAAATGAAATTAATGAAATGTCGTTAAGAATAAATACAAACATTTCAGTTACAATGAAATTGAGTAAAAATTTAAAAAATAGATTTTCTATAAGCATAGCTATTTTTTAATTAGAATGATAAAATATAAAAACATGGGCAAATATACATTAAGTAAAAGCCACTAAAACCAAAGCAGAGTATTCATACTAAGAGAAGACAAAAAAGTATTTAAGGAAAAAAAATCATTAAAACATAACAAAGAAAGTCTCTTCATATTCCTAGAAGTTAAATTCTACATGAAATTATAATAGCCAGAAAATTTATGTGAGTCAAAATATGGAATAAATTTTAGGAATTCAAGGAGAAATGGGCAGAAACTTAATTACAGTTGGGACAGTTAATGTCACTATCACTATTATAAGAAGTAGTCAAAAATTAAATGAGGACATGTCAGTTTTGAGTAATACAATTAATGAAGTTGGATTAATAGAAATATATTAAGCTCTGTACCAAGAAGCAGAAAATATATGTTCTTTTAAAATGTCCTTGTGTGGTTTACAAAATATGTTTGCTATACTAGGCAAAAATAAAATCATTTTTATTCCACAAAGAAAAAATCGAAGAGGTTACATTTTCAGTTTAGAATAGAGTTAGTAGATAAAAATAATAACTATGACAATATCTACCACATTGTAAATTGACAAAAATAAAATAAAGGCCCCTCTGTTGAAAGCACAATACTTTTATAAATAATTAATGTGTCAGCATCAAACAGTAGAAAATAGCAAATGAAAAGTACTACATATAAAAAAAGTTGTGAAATATTACCAAAGCTGAACTTAAAGGTAAATTTATAGCCCTAAATATCTTCATTACTATGAGAAAGTTATGAATAAAAAGTAGAATAGATATAATAATTCTATTATTAAGGATTAATATGCTGTAAGTATATGCAAAAGGATTAAATGTGTTGTAAAAATAGAAATGCTAATTAATTTAAAGTTTTCTTTAAAAAGTACTTTCTGATAAAATCTCAATAAAAACACATAAAATATTAGAAATGAAAACTGTTGCATATAGAAAGATTTTTTATATGTTTTTATTTTGAAACATTTTTAAATTGATACATAATAGAAATACACATTTTGAGGGTACATGTGATAATTTTTAAAAAACCAGTCATATAATTTGTAAAGATCAAATCACTATAATTGGGCTATCAATCACCTTAAATATTTTTGTTTTCTGATTTTTCAATGATCACATAATACTATTTACAGCTCTATGTTAAAATATTAAAATATTGTAACAAATTAGTTAATTTTATATAAACATACACATAACCAAATCAGCATAATTGTGTTTCAGTTTATATTTTAAATAAAACATGAGGAAATGGGATATAAATTTATACATGAAAATTTTCTTTCATCACTTTTTATATAGTAAAATCCTGAAAATAATCTAAATATTTGAACAGTTTGGAAAGCTTTTGACTATAAAAACAGAAAATCTGACTACCAGTTTATTAAATGGTAAGTACATTTATTGTTTATTTGATGATGATATCAGGCTTAGTCTTGCATGCAACAATATGATTAAGTTTCCAGTCTCATTTTGTGTTTCTGCTCTTATATCCATAGTATATTGGCATTTTTTAATTTTTGCAAATTTATAGAGTACATGAGAATTTTTTACATTTAAATGATGTATAGTGATCAAGTCCAGGTATTTAGTATGTTCATCACCCGAGTACAATACATTTCTAAAAAATATGGTCATCTTACTCTGCTATCAAACTTTGAATTTAATCTTTTTTTTTGGAGATGGAATCTTGCTCTGTCACCCAGGCTGAAGTGCAATGATTTCAGCTTACTGCAACCTCCAACTCCCAGGTTCGAGTGATCCTCTTGCCTCAGCCTCCCAAGCAGCTGGGATTACAAGCATGTGCCACCATGCCCAGCTAATTTTTGTATTTTTAGTAGACATGGTTTCACATGTTGGACAAGCTGGCCTTGAACTCCTGACCTCAAGTGATCTGCCCACCTCAGCCTCCCAAAGTGCTGGGATTACAGGAGTGAGGCCTCATGGCTGGCCACAGATACTGTATGTTTGTATCCATTAACCCACTTCTCTTCATCCTCCCCTGCCTCTTACTCACCCTTCCCAGACTTTGTTATCTATTTTTCCATTGTCTACCTCCATGTGTTCAAATTTTGTAGCTTGCACTTATGTGAGAACATGCAATAGTTGTCTTTTTGTGCCTGCCTTATTTCACTTAGGATAATGACTTCCAGTTCTATCCATGTTGCTGCAAATGACATGATTTCATTCTTTTTTATGGAAGAATATTCTATGGCGTATATATATATATAAAATATTTTCTTTATCCATTTATCTGTTGATGGATATTTAGGTTGATTCTGTATCTTTGATATTGTGAATAGTGCTATATTAAACATGTAAATGTAGGTATCTTTTGGATGTGTTCATTTCTTTTCCTTTAGGTAGATACTCAGTAGTGAGATTGCTGGATTGAATGGTAATTTTATTTATAGTTTTTTGAGAAATCTCCATATTGTTTTCCATAGTGCCTATACCAGTTTACCTTCCCAACAATGTATGAATTTCTGTTTTTCTGCATTTTTGCCACCATCTACTATAATTTGTCCTTTTGATAATAGCCGTTTTGACTGGCTAAGATAATGTATCTCATTGTGATTTTAATTTGCATTTCTCTGATGATGAGTGATGTTGAACATATTTTCATATAGCTGTTAGTCATTTGTATGTCTTATTTTAAGAAATCCTACTCATGTTTTGGCTCACTGTTAATTAGGATTATTTGTTTTCTTCCTCTTGAGTTGATTGAGTTCCTTGTTTATTCTGGATATTAGTTCCCTGTTGGAGGAATAGCTTGCAAATATTTTCTCCCATTCAATAGGTTGTCTCTTTACTCTGTTATGTGTGTGTGTGTGTGCAAAAGCTTTTTAGTTTAATGAAGTCCCATTTGTTTATATTTGATTTTGTTCCCTGTGCTTTTGATATCTTAGTCATAAATTATTTGCCTAGACCAACATCCAGGAGAGTTTTCCCTAGGTGTTCTACCAGTATTTTTGTAGTTTTGGGTAGTATATTTAAGTCTTTAATCCATTTTGAGTTGATTTTTGCATATGACAAGAGATAGGGGTCCAGTTTTATTCTTCTGCACATGGCTATCCAATTTTCCCAGTACCATTTATTAAAGAGGATGTCCTTTCTCCAATGTAAGTTCTTACTGGATTTTTTGAAGACTAGTTGTCTGAAAATAAGTGGCTTTATTCCTGGGCTCTCCATTCTGTTTCATTGGTCTATGTTTCTATTTTTATACCAATACTATGTTGTTTTGGTTACTATTGCCTTGTAATATATTTTGAAGTCAGGTAATTTATGCCTCCAGCTTTATTCTTTTTGTTTAAGATTGTGTTTTTTTATCTGGGCTCTTGCTGGGTCTGTCCCGCAGACCCTCGCTGACAGATGAAATGAGTACTCAGACACAGGTATGCAGTGTAAGAGCAGCTAGGTGACTGCCTGGCTGTAGTGATCAGAGAGCAGCCCTGAGAAGCTGGAGCTGCTTGCTTTTATTCAGTGCAGGCACAATGCGGAAAACCTGGAGCCAACACAACCTGCAGGTAATTAACATTTGTTGTTCCTCTTTCAGGGAATGTCACACGCGTGGATGATCAAAGGTCAGTTCCTGGTCAATATAAGTAAACAGGCCTGTTTAAGATAAATTTCCCTACACTCCCTTGTACCTACTTCTTGCCCTCTGCATCAGGTTTATAGAACAGCTGCCTTCAGTTATTCTCCCCTAGGGTTCTGCAGAACCTTCTGACCTTTCAGAAGGTTTGTGTCCTTTCCCTAATAGTTTTCCCCACCACTCTGACCAACAGGCTCCTTTTTGGTTCCATATGAAATTTAAGATTGTGTTTTCTATTTCTCTAAGGAATGATGTTGGTATTCTTATATTGCTTTGGCAAATATGACCATTTTAGTGATATTAATTCTTTCCAATCCATGAGCCTGAGATGTTTTTCCATTTGTTTGTTATCTTCAGTTTCTTTCACCAGAATTTTGTAGGTTTTTTGTTTGTAGAGATCTTTCATCTCATTGGTTATATTTATTCTTTGGTATTTTTTTTTTGTAGCCATTGTAAGTAGGATTACCTTCTTAATTTACTTCTCAGCTAGATTATTATTTGTGTACAAAAATGCTACTGGTTTCTGTACATTGATTTTATATCCTGCAACTGTACTGAATTCATCAATCAAATCTGAGAGTTTTTTGATGGAGTCTTTTGGTTTTTCTAGATAAAAAATAATCAGCAAAAAGAGAGAATTAGACTTCCTCATTTGCAACTTGAATGCCTTATATTTCTCTCTTTGCTTGATTGCTCTGGCTAGGACTTCCAATACTATGTTGAATAGAAGTGGTGAGAGTGAACATCTTCTTTTTTCCAGTTCTTAGAGGAAACACTGTCAAGACTTCTCCAATCAGTATGATGTTAGTTATGGGTTTGTCATATATGGCTTTTGTTATTTTGAGGTATGTTCCTTCTATGCCTAATATATTGCATGTTTTTTTTGTCATAATTGAATGTTGAATTTTATCAAATGCTTTTACTGCATCTATTGAGATGATCATATAGTTTTTGTTTTTCATTCTGTTGATATGATATATCACTTTTTTTGATTTGTGTATGTTGAACCATCCTTGCATCCCTGCTATAAATCCCACTTGATCATGGTATGTTATCTTTTTGATGTGCTATTGAATTCAGTTTTTGAGTGTTTGTTGAGGGTTTTTTTGCATCTATGTTCATCAGGGATATTGGTCTATAGTTGTCTTTTTTGTTGTGTCCTTGTCTGGTTTTGGCATCAGGGTGATGTTAGTCTCACAGAAAGAGTTAGGGAGAATTATCTCCTCTTTCATTTTTTTGAAATAGTTTCACATGGATTGGCATTATTTCTTCTTCATTTTTGGTAGAATTCAGCTATGAATCCATCAAGTCTTGGGCTTTTCTTTCTTGAGAACTTTCTTTATTACTAATTATATTTTACTCACACTATTGTTCTATTCAGGTTTTCTATTCCTGAGTCGGTCTTAGTAGCTCTTATATTCCCAGAAATTTATCTATATCTTCTAGGTTTTCCAGTTTGTCAGCATACAGTTGTTTATAACAGTCTTGAATGATTGCTTGTATTTCTGTGGTGTCAGTTATAATGTCTCCTTTTTCATTTTTAATTTTATTTGGGTCTTCTACCTTCTTGGTTAATCTAGCTAGCAGTTAATCAATTTCATTTATCTTTTTGAAGAACCAACTTTTTGCTTCATTTACCATTTATGTTGTTTTTAAAAATTCTCTATTTCATTTAGTTCTGCTCTGATTTTATTATCTCTTCTGCTAATTTTGAGTGTGGCTTTTTCTTGTTTTTCTAGTTCTTTGACATACATTCTTAGATTGTTAATTTGTAATCTTTCTACTTTTTTGATGTAGGCTTTTATCACTATATACTTGTCTTTTGTGTACTGCTTTTGCTGTATCTAAGAGTTTTAGTATGTTGTATATCCATTTAATTTGTTTAAAAAACATTTTTTTATTTCCATCTTAATTGCTTCATTGATCCAATGACCATTCAGGAGCATGTTGCTTAATTTCAACTGTGTATAGTTTCCAGAGTCCCTCTTGGTGTTAATTTCTAGTTTTATTCCATTGTGGTCTGAGGAAATGCTTGATGTGATTTTGACTTTTGAAAATTTATTGAGACTTGTCTTGTGGCCTAACATAGAGTATATCTTGGAGAATGTTCCATAAGCTGATGAAAAGAGAATGTATATTATACAGTTGTTGAATAGAAGTTTCTGTAAATGTATGTTAGGTCCATTTGCTCTAAAGTCCAGTTTAAGTTCAATTTTTCTTTGTTGATTTTCTGTCTAGAAGATCTCTCTGATGTTGACAGTGGGCTGCTGAACTCACTCACTATTACTGTATTGCAGTCTATTTTTCTTTTTAGATCTAGTAATATTTACTTTTTGAATCTGGGTGCACCAGTGTTGGGTGAATATATATTTAGAAATATTATATCCTCTTGCTGAAATAATTCTTTTAGCATTGTATAATGACCGTATTGTCTTTTTTTAATGCTGTTTTTGACTTTAAGTCTGTTTTATCTGATATGAGTGTAGGTATTCCTGCTTACTTTTGGTATCCATTTGCGTGGACTGTCTTTTCCTATCCCTTTAATTTTACCTTTCAGTCTATGTGTGTCTTTTCTGGCATGGTGAGTTTCTTTTAAGTGGCTTATAATTTATTATTTTTAAAATCCATTCAACAATTCTTTGTCTTTTAAATGGAGACTTTAGTTCATTTACATTCAAGGTTATTTTTGATATATAAGGCTCATCCCTGTCATATTGTTAATTGTTTTCTGGTTGTTTTATATATATATATTTTTTTTTTCTCCCATTGTTTTTCATAGTTTGGTGGATTTCTGTAATGGGACCATTTAAGTCTTTTCTTTCTTTGTGTGATTGCTTTATCAGTGAGTTTTATACTTTTTTGTGTGTTTTATAATGGTGAATGTCATCCTTTTGCTTCAGGTTTAGGCTTCCCTTGAGCATTATTGTAGCATCAGTCTAGTGGTAACAGATTCCCTCAGCATTTGCTTGTCTAAGAAAGGCTTAATTTTTTCTTCATTTATAAAGGTTGATTTTGCTGGATGTAGTATGCTTGGCTGATAGGTTTTATTCTTTCAGCACTTTGAATATATAATTCCATTCTCTTCTGGCCTGTAAGATTTCCGCTGAGAATTCCACAGTTAGTTTGATGGGTTTTCCTGTATAGGTGACTGGGTAGATTTCTCTTGCAAAAGGATTTACCTTTTGTCCTTGACTTTAGACAGTCTGATTATAATGTGTTTTTTGAATTTTATCTACCTGGGGTTCGTTGAGCCCCCTCTAAGTATGTAAATCTCCTGCTAGCTGTGGAAAGCTTTCATCTATTATTTTGTTAAATAGATTTTCTAATCATTTTATTTTCTCTTCACAATTGGGGATACCAGTAATTCATATATTTGGTTCCTTAGTGTTGTCTTAAATTTATGAATGCTTTGCTCATTCTTTTTTATTTTTTCTTTACTTTTGTCTTAATGGTTTATTTCAAAAGGACTGTCTTTAAGTTCTGATATTTTTTATTCTGCTTGATGTAGTCTATTATTGAAGCTTTCAAATGTGTCCTTGAAGTGTCTCCTTCAATGAATACTTCAGTTCCAAAATTTCTATTTGGTTCTTTTAAAAAATATCTACCTCTTTGATGAATTTCTTATTCATATCCTGAATTGCTTGTCTGCTTTCTTTGTATTGTTTTTCAGAATTTTCTTGCATTTCGCTGAGCTTCTTTAAAATCAATATTTTGAATTATTTATCTGGGATTATAAAAATTTCTTTTTGATTAAGATCTATTGCTGGAAAATTATTGTGTTCCTTTGAAAGTATCATATTTCCTTGTTGTTTCATGTTTCCTATGCCCTTACATTGATATCTGTGTACCTGGTGTAACAATTGCTTCTTTCTATTTTTGCATTTACTTTCATAGAGGAAGACTTTGTCCTAAAGATGAATCTATGGTGTTGTATGGGAAGGACACTTTGGTTTTGATTCTGGGCGTATGCAGTAGTGTAGCCTCTGTAGGATTTATTTGGCTGTAAACAGCATTAATGGTACCTGATTTCCATAGTGGTTTAGGGTATGGTTATTAGTAGAGGCTGTGGTGAAGTTGTGCTGGGGACTAGGATGCCAGGTAGGTTAGTTTTCAGGCCCCAGTGCTGGCAGTGTTGTGTTCAGCATGCTTGTCTTTGTGTCCCAGGGTAGTGTATGCTGGCACCTGTGCCTCTAGATGGCTGGCTTGGATGCTGGTAGTTAGTAGTGGCCTGAGTGGACAGGCAGATTTTCAGCCTCCTTGGCAGTCAGTGTGCCATGGGCAAAGAGTGTAGAAATGACAGGATGTTTCTCGGGGTCCCGAGTGGTGTGTTGATGTTGGAAGTGGCCACAATAGGCTGAGCAGGCCAGTCTTCAAGCCCAGAGGTGTCACTCAGCAGGTATCACCAGCTGAGGTGGTAGTTGTCAGGAGCTTTTGCCCAACATCAGGTCCCTGGGAGAAGTGCTTAGGTGCCCAGGGTGGTGGATTGTGTTGGGCAATCCCCAGGACCCCGGGGCTATGTGCTATTTTGTAGAAGTGGGCGGTCACACTGGGCTGGGCAGGCTTATGCTCAGGACCCCTAATGGTGAGAGTAGGTACAAAGCATGTAGATAAGAGGCAGGTTAATCCTCAGGCTCTAAGCAGAATGCTTGAATGAGGAGCTTTAGCAGTTGTGCTGAAGCCCCACCACTGGGGAGGATGGGGCCTCCCTCGGTGGTCACTGCCTTGGCTAGAGGGGAAGAAACACATGTCTCTTCATGCCCTAGTCCTGGTGGGGCTTACTCCCAAACCTGGCTGCAGGATCTCACACCCAGGTTGCAACCAAGTCCCAGTGGCAAATCATGATCTGCTTGCCTCACTACCTCAAATCTTGGCAGTGTAATGCTCACTTCCTACCCCTGGGTGCAGGAGTGCTCCTGACTCTCTCCCCTGTCCTAGGAGTGACAGCCTGCATTTCTTTTTTTTTTTTTCTCTTTCTTTTTTTAAAAATTTTCAATTTATTTTTTTTTTGAGATGAAGTCTCGCACTGTCACTCAGGCTGGAGTGCAATGGCACAACCTCAGCTCACTGCAACCTCCACCTCCTGGGTTCAAGTGATTATCCTGCCTCAGCCTCCCAAGTAGCTGAGATTACAGGCCCCGTCACCATGCCCAGCCAATTTTTTGTGTTTTTAGTAGAGACGAGGATTCACTATGTTGGCCAGGCTGGTCTTGAACTCCTGACCTCGTGATCTGCCCACCTTGGCCTCTGAAAGTGCTGGGATTACAGGCGTGAGCCACAGCACCCAGCCTGACAGCCTGAATTTCTATGATGCCTCATTCCTGGTGCTGATGGGTTGCCAGAGGCTAGGTTTGACAATGGCACCTTGCTCTAGCTGCTTAGGTCTCAGATAAGGTATGGGACCTAGTGTGACTTCTTTTCCTGGGCCAGCTCTGTCCCATGGCCTCCTAGCAACTTTCTGTGTTACTTTCAGTGATTAGGACACACTGTCCCATGGCTATTGGAAATCTCTTACCCATTCCCATGTTGGAAAGTCATTCCTGGCTCCCAGCTGATTCCATCCAGGTAAGCTGTCTCTCCTTCTTCCCCATTTTTGGTGTCCCCTGTCACTTCTCTGTTGAATTTCACTGTTCCATTATAGATAACATACTCAAAGTGTGACTGACTGTAAATTATTTTGGTTCTTTTAAGTAGAGGAGGCAGGCATAAAATGCTTCTAGTCAGCCATCATGAACACCTCTCATATACTGATACTTTATCTTCACTCTTGTTACTACATAGCTGCAAAATGGCTGCCCTACTGAAGACATCACTTTTATGTTCAAGGAGATAGGAGAAATGGGAGGCAGATGCATCTCTCCATCTTTATTTTCCTAATTATGCTTTTTTTGGAAGTGTTTTTTCCAGTATTTTTTTTCACTGTGGTATGATTGAAAAATAAGAAATTATATATATTTGAGATGTACAATATGTTATTTTGATATACATATAGATTGTAAAATGATTACCACAATCAAGCTAACTAACATATACGTCACCTCACATAGTTATCTCTTTTTCTGTGGTAAGAATACTGGAAGATCTACTTTTTGGGAAAATATAAAGTATATAATACACCATTATTAACTATATTCAACATGCTATACATTAGGTCTTCAGAACTTGTTTATCTTATAAGTGTAAGTTTTTACCCTTTGACCAACATCTCCTATTTTCTTCCACTCCCCAGGGCCTGGCAACCACCATTATACTCTCTGTTACTATGAGTTAATATATATATTTTTTGAGATTCCACATATAAGTCAGCTCATACAGTATTTGTCTTTCTGTGTCTGTCTTATTTCACTTACCATAACGCTATCCAATTTCGTCCAACTTGGCACAACTGTCAAGATTTCCTTTTTGTTTAAGGCTGAACAATATCACATATATATATATATATATATATATATATATGAATGAAATGTTTATATATAATACACACATACATATATAACACACACAAACACACACATATACATATATAACAAACACAAACGCACATACATTGCTGAATTATATGATAGTTGCATTTTTCAGTGTTTAAGAAACCTTCATACAGTTATCTGTAATGGCTGTACCAATTTACATTCCAACCAACTGCACAAGAGTTTCCTTTTCTCTATGTCCTTGACAATACTTAGGATCTTTTGACTTTGATGATAGCCATTTATTCAGGTGTGGGGTGATATCTCATTGTGTTCTGATTTGCATTTCCCTGATGATTAGGTGTGTTGAATAGCTCTTCATATACTTTTTGGTCATTTGTATATGCTTTTTGGGAAAATGTCTACTCAGGTCCTTTGCCCACTTAGTAATTGGGTTATTTGTATTTTTTGCTATTAAATTGTATGTGTTCCATATATGTTTTGGATATTAACCCCTTATAGGAGTCAGTATTTTCTCTTAGTTCAAAGACTGTCTTTTCATTCTGTTGATTGTTTTCTTTGCTATGCAGAAGGTTTTTAGCTTGATACAGTCTCACTTGTTTATTTTTTGCTTTTTTTGCCTGTGCTTTTGCAAATCCAAAAATTATTCCTCAGATCAATGAATTGGAGTTGTTTTCCTGGGTTTTCTTCTATTAGTTTTATAATTTATGTTTTTACATTTAAAATTTCTATCCATTTCATGTTGCTTTTTATATGTGGTATAAAATAAAGGTTCAATTTTATTTTTGTAAATGTGAATAAACAGTTTTGTGGCACTATTTATTGAAGAAATCTCCTGTCCTTTCATTTTATATTCTTGGCAACTTTATTGCAGATCAGTTGGCCATATATGCCTGGGTTTATCTCTGGCTCTGTATTCTGTTCCATTATTCTATGTGTCTGTTTTTATGCTAGCACCATATTGTTTTGATTACTATAGCTTTGTAATATAATTTGAAACCAGGAAGTGTATACTTCTAGCTTTGTTCTTGCTCAAGATTGCTTCAGCTCTTTGAGGTCTTTTATGGGTCCATAAGAATATAGGATTGTTTCTATTTCTGCAAAAAATGTCATTTGAATTTTGATTAGAATTACATCGAATCTGTAGATTACTTTGGATAGTTTGGACATTTTTACAATCCTATTCTTTCATGAACACAAGATAGCTTTTCATTTATTCATGTCATCTTTAAATACTGTCATCAATAGCACATTGCAATATTCATACATCATTATCAAGTGGGATTTATCTCTGAGATGAAAAGATTCAATGTACACAAATCAATAAATGTGATATACCTCATTAAAATATTTAATAAAAATTATATAATCAATACATGCATAAAAAGCATTTTTTGACAATTTTTAACATCCTTTCATGATAAATACTCTCAATAAATTGCTTATAGAAGGAATGTGCCACAATATAATAAAGGTCATATACTACAAACCCCCAGCTAACATCATATTCTGTATTAAAAAGCTGAAAGCTTTTCCTCTATGATTGCAGACAAGACAAGGGTGCCCACTCTCACCACTTGTATTTAACATAGTACTGGATATCCTAGCTGAAACAATTACACAAGAAAAAGAAATAAAAGGCATGAAAATTGAAAATGAAGAAGTAAAATTATTTCTGTTTTACAGATAGCATGATTTTATACATAGAAAACCCCAAAGATGCCACCCAATAACTATTAAAATTAATAAACAAATTCCGTAAAATTTAAGAATACAAAATGGGCCGGGCGCGGTGGCTCACGCCTGTAATCCCAGCACTTTGGGAGGCCGAGGCGGGCGGATCACGAGGTCAGGAGATCGAGACCATCCCGGCTAAAACGGTGAAACCCCGTCTCTACTAAAAATACAAAAAATTAGCCGGGCGTAGTGGCGGGCGCCTGTAGTCCCAGCTACTTGGGAGGCTGAGGCAGGAGAATGGCGTGAACCCGGGAGGCGGAGCTTGCAGTGAGCCGAGTTCCCGCCACTGCACTCCAGCCTGGGCGACAGAGCGAGACTCCGTCTCAAAAAAAAAAAAAAAGAATACAAAATGAACATATAAAAGTCAGTGGCACTTCCATACACTGATAAGAAACATCTGAAAAAATTTTCAAAAAACAATCTCATTTAGAACAGCATCAACAAGAATAAAATACTTCAAAATAAATTTAACCAAGATGGTGAAAGATCTGTTCACCAAAAAGTATAACTCCCACCTAGTTTTTTTACATTTTTTTAATTACATGTTTTATTGGTAAAATTTTAAATACAATTGTTGAGTACAATTTTCTGTAATAGAGTTTTCTTTTTTGTAAGTTATATTTTAAGTTTAGGGGTACATGTGCAGGTTGGGCACATAGAGGGGAGCAGCACACACTGATGCCTATTGTGGAGTGTGGAGGGTGGAAGAAGGGAAAGGATCAGGAAAAATAACTAATGGGTACTAGGATTCATACCTGGATGATGAAATAATCTGTACAACAAACCCCAATGACTCAACTTTACCTATTTAACAAACCATCTATTCTTTTTATAAGGAAAGCAAATACTTTTGAAATAATTCTAGTGAAAGATCATTTTCTCTTATAATGAGGGATTGGTTCTTTGGTGACCCTAACTATAAGGACCCTGGAAAATGAAGTGAATAGTTTTGTCCAGCTTTTAGTATGAGGTGCAGGCAAAGGAGAAGGAGATTGGGAATGACCATTTGGATAGCCATCAAAAGTGTGAGCTACAGTGTTCCACATTAAAAATATATATATTATAAGGTAGTCTTAGAATTATTACTATGAAGAGATTTTTGTTACACAATAAGTAATGATATATTAATCAAAAATACAGGCTATAAAAAGTAAAATATTTTATTAGCCATAATATAATATTTCACAAAATATGAACACATTCATGAATTCATAGAACACAGTAGAAACATGTTCTAAAATATTAGCTATGGTTCTATCCAAGTGGTGACATAATGGCCAGGTACATTGTTTCTTTTCTTTTTTTTTTTTTTTGAGACAGAGTTTCACTCTTGTTGCCCAGGATGGAGTGCAATGGTGAGATTTTGGCTCACTGCAACCTCTGTCTGTCTCCTGGGTTCAAGCAAGTCTCCTGCCTCAGCCTCCAGACTAGCTCAGATTACCGGCACCGGCCACCATGCCCGGCTAATTTTTTGTATTTTTAGTAGAGACGAGGTTTCACCATGTTGGCCAGCCTGGTCTCAAACTCCTAACCTCAAGTGATCTGCCCACTTTGGCCTCCAAAAGTGCTGGGATTACAGGCATGGGCCACCACGACTGGCCACATTTTTTCTTTCATGTCCTATGAGTTTCTCATATTTGAAAAATAATCATGTGTTATATTTAAAATTACAATTCTTTTTTTAGAAAATTAATGCACATTAATAAATTATAATTCAAATGATTATTTGCTTTTTGCTTTGCGTGTGATTCATGATACTCAGGAAACCATGGCCACATTTGGACTTCCTTGGTATAAAATAATTTTAGAGAAGAATCAATGGTGGAGGTCCACCCACAGCAGCTGGGTGAATGTTCTTGCCCGGTGTGATGACATTTGCTTTGAATGTGTTTGTGTTGTGCTGCCTATTTAAGAAATTGAAATGCTGAGCTGCCACTTTGGTGATCTTGACTTTAAAAAGAGGACTGTAAACAGAGAGAAATTGTATGGGGAGAAGGAAAACCAAACAAACAAAAGCACACTCATCACAATGTGGAGTGATCTGAATCCAGAATACGGAAAGGAGGTGCTGGTGAGGACCACTTCCCTTTGAAGGGACTGCTTCCCTTTCCCTAAGCACTAAATATGATAGTTCTTTGTAGTAAGAGTTGACCCAAAACTGAAATTCACTACTATTTTATGTGGATTTCCTTAGTTTTTTTTTTATAGAGCTGCTTATGATGAGTGTATGTACCCATATATTCACCAGATTGTGACTCAGCTTTGGGTTTTATATTAACTCCATAAATTTATGTAGTCAGATTTGCACAACAGTTCAATAGTCTGAGGTCTGGCTTTTCCGCATTTTTGAATTTTTGTTCATTTGAATGCAAAGAGTTATTTCAGCTCGAGGGATAGATAACATGTGGGTGGCAAGATGCTGCCTCAGGAGAAATCAAATTGAATTCCTTCTTAGGATCAACTGAAGGTTCTATTTATCACCTCCCAAAAGATAACCTTGAAGTTTGAGGGTAAAGGGTGGAAATTTTTTGTAGGGGCATATACGCAGACTTACATTTTAAAGCATATGAACTATGGGGATAGGAGTTAGAATTATGAATAGCTTGATGACTTATTCTCACTTTGTCATTCACCTAGTCAATGCAGCTTATCTTGTGAAGGTGCTGTCATCCAGAGTCAAGGTAAACTCCTAAGAGGATTTCATCTCCAACCTTACAGTTTATAGATATATATACATGCATATATATACATATACATATATACATGCATCTGGGGAATACTGTCTTTCTTCTTTTACTCCTCCTTTACTTAGGAAATTTACTTTTTTTATTAGTTATGATTTTCTTGCCATAAATACTTGAAATGTGTGATATATTAATGTGTTATGATTATTGTTATTCTTCTTCTCTTCTCTGGCATTTCTTAATGTGTTTCAGTTTTGGCTATTATATCACCTCCCCTTTTAAATGAAATGGATCATTCTACTCGTTGAACAACACTGTGAATACTATAATATGGTTAAATGGTTAATATAAGCATTGTTTTGGATTTTAATATTTATGGGAAGCCATGTAGATTAATGAAATTTTTATTTGAAAGTCAGACTATCTGACTTTTAGTATTAATGTATCTTTATGAAATAAATTAAGTTGATAGTATTATTTATTCCTATTTCAAAAAGTTTATAAAAGTTAAAAAAAACTAAATAATTAATCATATTAGTTTTTGAACCTTACTGAAGCTGGCTGTTTTTTAGTTGCCAATTAAATTTGAGGAATGTGCAGGTCTTATTTTATTATGTTTGCATCTTATAAGCTGATAATAGTAAAAGCTTTAAAGGGCATAAGAAATGAAAGCATTTTTTATATGATATAGCTATCACCTAAACAACTTATAATTTTACAGGCTAACAAAAACATCATAAATGCTTTCAATTACACCAGGAGATTGTGTGTGTGTGTGTGTGTGTGTGTGTGTGTGTGTGTGTATATAATGTTAAAATGAATATGCAAGCACACACACATTCATGTGTGTGTGCTTTTAAAACATTCAACAGTAATACACACATAGCCCCTCATCACAGAGCCCCAAAATAAAGATCTAAGTCAAAATCTTTCTTTATAAAAATGTATGTTTTCTGGGGAATTTGTGAATAAACAGTTTATGATGTCCAAGACCAAGTTTTAATTATACATTTGGAAAGATTTGGTGTCAATGCAGAAATACATAGGCCAGTACCAAAGATTTCTTGAAAACTATACTCATTAGTTTTAAAATTTGTTATTTTAAAAATTTCTTGTAATATTTTGATGTTTCATATAGTATCTAGAGTAAGGAAGTCCTGTCATTGAAATAACTGTGATTTTCAAGATTCTACCATCTGTCTCCTGCACACCCACTCACCTTATTATTAATTTCCCAAAGATTTTACTTCTCTCATTGCTTTCTAGAGAGTGATTGATGAATATACTCTCATAGTCACTTCTCTTGAAATAAGGGCAAGCATATAAACTTGCCCTGGTGTTTTTTTTCCAGTGTGAGTAGGTGGGTATACCCAGAAATAATTTCCATGAGTTAGAAATGTGATTGAAATGTTGGCAACAGTATAAGAAGAAAGGAGATTTGAGTCAGAACTGACAACAACAGGTTTAATGAAGATATTTCTGCTAGGATTGATCGAAGCCTTTTCACAATCAGTCTGACACATTTTCATGATTCTTATATGAATAGGAAAAGTAAGATATTAAGACAGCCGTTTTTCTTGCCAGTAGAATAGTACCCTGGCATCCTGGTCACAGAACTATTTGTAGAAATAACGTAACAAATGTTCATTGAGGGCGTGCTATGTGCCAGGCATTGTGCTTGACAATGAAAATCATGGTAAGTAAAATATAGTTCCCGTGCTAAAAAATGTACAAACTTGCTAGGAAAAAGACAGGTAAATACATGATAGCTTACACAGTGTTTGTTAGAACCCATGTGACGTAGAATGTGAGTATTTTAAATATTATACCACTTAGCTACTTCAAACCAATACTGAAATACTGATGCTAAGCAGAAATGTGCTTTCTTCTCAGATAACCATCACAAAAGTGCAATTCTTGGAAAAAAAAACACAGAATATACCTTCCATATTAATCCCTCTCAACAGGTTTGATTAGACATGAAGCTCCTCTGGGGCAGGGGATGAGCCTTCTTTATTCACAGCTAGAGCCAAGCACAGTGCCTTGCACAAATAGATGCTTAAAAAAGGTTTCTTGAATAGTATTTTATATGAATAAAAGTTTGAGGACTCATTCCCAATTCAAGAAACTTCTCTTTTACCTCTCACAACATTTTATAGTGACTCTATTTCTGAGTCAGCAATCCTGTGACAGTAGTGAATATAAGAATAGATACTTGCGTGAGAAGATGGAATAAGAGAGCTACTTATCCTTGACAGAATGTATGTTAACTTGTATAGACTTCCTACCATAATAGATATGGGTGTTAATAAAGATGGATGTCTTAAATTCTAAGCATTGAGATAGGGCCCAGAAGAAAAATGTCTGCCATACGAAGTAAAAGCCACCTGAGAGGGCAGGTGCCCCAGAGAACAGGGAGGTAGGCGCATCTCTCCATGGGTAGATGGAGGGGATAGAAACATATGGTAGTCCCCCTTATTCATGGTTTTGCTTTCTGCAGTTTCACTTACCCACAGTCAACCACGATTCAAAATATTACATGGAAAGTTCCAAAAATAAAGCATTTATAATTTTAAATTGCACATCATCTTAAATAGCCTGATGAAATCTCACATCATCTTACTCTGTCCTGTCCAGGATGTGATTCATCCTTTTTCTAGCATATCCACACTGTCTATGCTACCTACCTGGTAGTCACTTAGTATCTTCCTCATCATCAGTATGACTTTTGCACTATCACAGTGCTTACGTTCGAGTAACTTTATTTTACTTAATAGTGGGCCTAAAGTGCAAGAGTAGTGGTCATGCCAAAAGAGAAAACATAAAGTTCTTCCTTTAAGTAAGAAAATTTAAGTTACCAATTTAATAAGGAAAAAAGTTCTATGCTGTGGTTGCTAATTCCTACGGTAAAAAAAAATCTTCTATCCATGAAATTGTGAAGAAAAAGAAATTTATGCTAGTTTTGTGTCTCGCATAAGACTGCAAAAGTTATGATCATAGCGCATGATAAGTGCTTAGTTAGGATGGAAAGGCACTAAATTTGTACGTGGAAGGTGTGAAAGAAACGTGTTCTGATTGATGGCAATTGGATTTGGTACTATCTGTGGCTTCAGGCATTCACTGGGAGTCTTGGAATGTATCCCCATGGATAAGGGGCTGGGGCTTGCTACTGTACATGGTGGGGTATCTGAGAGCTGAGATAGGTTTCCAGCCACCACCTTCTCTGTTATGACTATGTCTATCTAAGTGGACAATTTTCATGTGAGCTACTGTGTGACAGAGCAGTTTCCCAGACCACTTGGAATTTGATTTTGAAGATCTATTTTGTTCCTTACCTGTTGACACATTCAGAGATGCTCTAGTCCAGTCTTATCACAACTAATGAGGATTGTTTTCCTTCAATGATGCAAAGTGAGCCTCTTTGAGAAGTTGTATGCTTTTATATTTCATGTTTTCTATCTCTTTTATGTCATAGCAATAGGAAGATAAGAAACACATAAATAATCTTTGTTCTTGTATTATAACTAGAGTTAGGGTAAAATGATTTGCTATTAAGGAAAAAAGTAATGGAAAATTAATTAAGTCTTTGAACTTCAACCCATGACATAAATGAATAAAATTCCTAGCAGATGAGTGGAGAAGCACAGAACACAACTCAAAAAGACACTGAGCAGAAATACAACACTTTGTCCATTTCCAGGCCTAAATAATACAGTGTGCTATTAAGATAATACTAGCTGTGGGGTGACATCAGCAACATAGTGGATAGGAGGGTCTTGATTATTCCTTTTTCCACAGACAACACTGAATGTATATCTACATACACATCAATCTTTCCAAGAGAAAACCGGAATCCAGTTGAAAGATTCCTACCATTGGATGACTGAGAAAATGTGCACATAAAAATAAGTAGGAAAAACAGAGATACATTGTGTACTAACCTTACCCTGAGCACAGAACCTTACACTGGGAAGGAAATCCCAACTCCCAAATTCTTCCTGAGAGGTAAGTAGTATTTATCACACATAAAGCACCCAACTTTTACAGTACCTCCTGAGAGCATGGCTTTTAAATCACCTTGTTCGAGGGGCAGCAGGAAGAGGGCATTGGAGGATTTCTTTCAAGCACAAATAACAAACTGGAGTTTTAACCTCGCGAGCACTTCCAGCAGCTGTACTCCCTAGAATCAGCCTAGCTTCCAACTTCCCCTTTGCAAACGGTTTGCTGAATGCTTTTCCAGCAGCTTCCTGTGGTTCTAGCTTCTATCAAGCCATTATCTGGGAGCCTATGTAGCAAACAAAGAATAAACTTCTGGAGCCTAAGTAGGAGAAGTGGCACTTCCTGTGCCTTCTTCTTCAGCTTGCTCCAGTGATAATTTTAGCCTGCAATTTATTTGTGGAAAGAGGTTACAGGTCTCTGCCAGCAAGTACTGGAGGGATGGCACTCCCTGAGCCATCTTTTTCTGTTTGCTCTAGAGATAAATTCCTGAAATTTCTTATTGGAAAGAGGCTGGGGAACTACTCCATGCTTGAAAGAGAAAGTAGGTATTCTATGTACCTTCTTCCCTGGCTTACTTCAGTTATAACTCCAGATCAGAAATCTCTCACTGCAAGGAGGTTATGAAACTTCTATTGCTCATACAGGAGAGTGAGCACTCCCTGTTACTTCTTCCCAGGATTGCTCCAGCAGTAAATCCAAATCTGCAAGCTCTCCTTGCAAGTAGTTTCTGCATGGCTTGGGTGCCTCAAGTTTTATAGGAATTGACCCAAGGGACTGGCTCTTAAATTACCTAGCTCTAGGAGTTGACAGTGCTCTGCACTCCTAAGTCTCTTAGATCACAGAGAACAAAAAGGTGATTTTTAAACCTGTAAACATGCAGCATCTATCTCTCCAAGTTCAAAGTAATCAGTCTAAAAAAAGGCATGAGCATCTGCTGCAGATTTTCTCCTTGGCATAGGACGGAACAAGTGAGAGATAAACTCTGGCTCTCAGCTTCTCCACAAGGAAAGAAGGAACTGGGACACATATCTAACACCCCAACTTCTTCAGCTGCATCTCAAGGGGCTGGCTTCTATCTTACTTTTCTCTCAAGGTAATAGCACAACTTGACACTTTCTTATCTCTTGGGGCCATAAAAAACAAAGACAGTAAGTTGGACGAGCACAAATAATTTAGGCACCTGGAATCTCTGGCTGGGCTGATTAGGGAGGAAAATCTTACTTACAACACCAGTCTAACAAAGTGAAGTTTCTTACCTAATGAACAGAAACCAACAAAGATAGCCACAGAAAATAAAGATATGAATAAATATATTTCAAATAAAGGAACAAGATAAATTTCCAGAAACCAACATTAATGAAATAGAAATATAAAAGAACAGCCATATAGGTCTTCACTTAGGTAAGAAGAGCAATACATGAGCAAACTGAAAAGTTCAACAAAAAGAGAATACTAAAAAGGACCAAAAAGAAATGATGAAGCTGAAGAACATAATAACATAACTCTAAAATTCAATAAAGATGTTCAACAGCAGACTAAATCAAGCAGAAGACAAAACTGCCAACAGTAGTACTATCCCTAACAATCCTGTCTTTCAAAAATGAAGGAACAATAAAAACTTCTTCAGACACACAACAGCTGAGGAAATTTATCACCACTAGATCTAACTGAAAATAAATGCTAAAATGAGTCTTAAAAGCTGAAGGAAAGGGTAACTAAGTAGCAACATAAAAATACATGAAAATGTAAAACTTACTGGTAAAAGTCAATATATAATAAAAGTCAGAAAATTAATATTGTGACGGGGTGTGTAATCTCAGCACTTCGGGAGGCTGAGGCGGGTGGATCACCTGAAGTCAGGAGTTCAAGACCAGCCTGACCAACATGGTGAAACCCCATCTCTACTGAAAATAAAAAAATTAGCTGGGCATATGGTGCGTGCCTGTAATTCCAGCTACTCAGGAGGCTGAGGGGGGAGAATCACTTGAACCCAAGAGGCGGAAGTTGCCCTGAGCCGACATCACACCATTGCACTCCAGCCTGGGTGACAGAGTGAGACTCTGTCTCAAAAAACAACAACAACAACAACAACAAACAAACAAAAAACTAATATTGTAATAAAGGTGAGAAATCAATTGTATCTCTGGTATAGAGACAAAACTACCAAAAACAACCATAGCTATAATAATTTGTCAAGGGATTCAAACTATAAAAGATATCAAATATCACATCAGAAACATCAATTGGGGAGGGGAATAAATGTGTAGAGTTTCTGCAAATGATAAAAGTTAACTTGTCCATTTAAAATATCCTGTTATAAGATGTTTTATGTAAGCCTCATGGCAACCATAAAGACCATTTGTAGATACACAAAAGATAAAAAGAAAGGATTCAAAGCATACTACTATAGAAAATTATAAAAACACAAAGGAAGACAGCTAGAGAGAAAGAGAACAAAGGATCTACCACATAATCAGAAAACAATGTAAAAAATGGCAGTAGTATTTCTTACCTACCTTCCCTTCTTTGTTAATTGAAGAATTCACTTACATTCCATTGAATGAATTCAGTTTCTTTCAACTGAATTAAATTCTTCAATTAAAAACATTGAGTGGCTGAATGGATTGAAAAACAAGACCCAACTCTATGCTGCCTATAAGAGATTCACTTTATCTTTAGAAATACAAAGAAACTGGAAGTGAAGGAATGGACAAAATTATTCTACACAAATGAAAAGCAAAAGAGGTTGGGGGTAGCTATACTTATAGCAGACATAATAGACTGTAAGTCAAAAACTGTAAAAAGAAACAATGAAAGTCATTATATAATGATAAAGGGGTCAATTCATCAAGAGAATATAGCAATTTTAAATACATATGCACCTCACATTGGAGTACCTAAATATATAAAGGAAATATGAGTAGATCTAAAGAGAGAGATAGACTGCAGTACTACAATATCAGGAGGCTTTAATACCTCACATTCAACACCGAATGCCTCATCTAGACAGAAAATCAATTAGAAAACATAAATTTTGAACTATGCTTTAGACCAAATAGACCTACAATATATTTACAGAACTTTCCATCTAACAGCAACAGAATACACATTCTTCTCAAGTGCACACAAAACATTCTCCACAAAACTAGTCTTAACTAATTTAAGGAGCTTGAAATCATGTTGATTATCTTTTCTGACTGCAAAACTTCTATTCAATATAGTACTGACATTCCTAACCTGAGCAATTAGGCAAGAAAAAGAAACAAAAGACATCTAATTGGGAAAGAGAATTGAAATCATGTCTGTTTGTTGATGACACAATGGAACTAGAGATAAATAGCAGAAGAAATTCTGATAAACACACAAATGTGTGGGAATTAAACAATGTACTTCTGAACAACCAGTGGGTCAAAGAAGAAGTTAAACTAAAAATTTGAAAACATCTTGACACAAACAAAAATAAAAACATAACATGCCAAAACTTATGGGATGCAGTAAAAAGAGTTCTGAGAGGGAAGTTATGGCAATAAATGCCTACATTAAAAAAGAAGAAAAATCTCAAACATACAACCTAATGTTATTCCTTAAGGAACTAGAAAAAAAAGAATAATAGCAGAAAAAGGGAAATGACAGATATAAGAGTAGAAATAAATAAAATAGAGACTAGAAAAACAGTACAAAAGATCAAAATAAAAAATTGGTTTTTTGAAAAGATAAAAGTGATAAACCATTTGCTAGACTAACACAGAAAAGAACAGAGGAGACTCAAACAAAATCATAAATGAAAGAGGACACATTATAATGGAAAACACAGAAATTTGAAAGATCATAGAAAACTACTATGAGCAATTATAAACAAAAAAATTGGACACCCTAGAAAAAAATCAAATTCCTGGAAACATAAAATCTTCCATGACTGAATCAGGATGAAATAGAAAACTTAGAATCATGGTGAAAGAAGGAGGACAATTGTGTCACATGGCAAGAGGGACTGAACTAGAAGAGAGAGAGGGAAGATACCAGGCTCTTTTAAACAACTAGCTCTCACATGAACTAAGAGGGAGAACTCACTCATCACCAAGGGGGTGGCATCAAGTTATTAATGAGGAATCCATCTCCTTGACCAAAACACCTCCCACTAGGCCCCACCTCCAACATTTGTGATCACATTTCAACACAAGAATTGGAGGGAATGAACATCCGAACCATATTATATCTCAACACAATAAAGTCCATATGTGACAAGCCCACAGGTAACATCATGCTCAGTGGCAAAGATCCTCTAAGATCAGCAACAAGTCAAGGATGCCTACTTTTGCCACTTCTATTCAATATAGTACTGGAATTCCTAACCTGAGCAATTAGGCAAGAAAGAGAAACAAAAGACATCTAATTGGGAAAGAGAGAATAGAAATCATCTCTGTTTGCTGATGACACAATTTTATATATAGAAAACCCCAAAACCTCTTCAAAAAACCAACCAAACTGTTACAAATGACAAATCCAATAAAGTTTTAGGTTGTGGAATCAACATACAAAAATCAGCAGTATTTGTTTTTCTTATTTTTTTGTTTAGAGTCTCACTCTGTTGCCCAGGCTGGAGTACAGTGGCACAGTCTCAGCTCGCTGCAAACTCTGGTTTCTGGGTTCAAGTGATTCTTGTGCCTCAGCCTCCAGAGTAGCTGGGACTACAGGCATGCACCACCATGCCCAGCTAATTTTTTTTTGTATTTTTAGTAGAGATGGACTTTTGCCATATTGGCCAAGCTTTTCTTGAACTTTTGCCCTCAACTGATCCACCCACCTTGGCCTTCCAAAGTGCTGGGATTACAGGCATTAGCCACCACACCCAGCTGAAAATCAGTAGTATTTCTATACACTAATGACAAACTATTCAAAAAAGAAAATAAAGAAACAATTCCATATATGATAGCATCAAAAAAGGAGTAAATATAACCAAGGAGGTGATGATTTGCACACTGAAAAATACAAAGCATTGATGAAAGATTTGAAGAAGACACAAATAAGTGGAAAGTTATCCTGTTTTCATGGATTGGAATAATTAATATTCTTAAAATGTTTGTACCACCCAATGTGATTTACAGATTCAATAAAATCCCTACAAAATTCTAATTATATAGAACAAGAAAAGACATTAATAGCCAAAGCAATCTTGAAGAAAAGAAGAAAGCTGGAGGTATCTCACTTCCTGATTTCTAAATATATTATAAAGCTATTATAACCAAAACAGCATAGTATTGGTATAAAGACAGACATATCGACTAATGAAACAGGCTAGAAAGCTCCGATATATACCCAAGTACTTACAGTCAAATGATTTTCCACAAAGATGCCAAGAAAACACAATAGGGAAAGGATTGTCTCTTCAATAAATGGTGTTAGGGAAACTGGATATCCACTTGCAGAAGAATGAACTTGGGCTCTTATCTCACACCATATACAAAAATCAACTCAAAATCGATTGCAGACTTAAACATAAGACCCAAAACTATAAAAACCATAAAAGAATACTTAGGGGAAAAACTTCCTGTTGTTGGTCTGGACAATGATTTATTGTATTAGACTAAAAGCATGTACAACAAAAGTAAAAATAGACAAATGGGATAGCATCAAACTAAAATACTTCTGTACAGTAAAGAAAACAATGAACATAATGGAGAGACAACCTACAGATTGTGAAAAATATTTGCAAACCATACATCCAATAAGGGGAAACATAAAAAATATAAAAAATTCAAACAACTCAATGGAAAAAAATAACCTATTTAAAGAAATGGACAAAGGACCTGTACAGATATTTCTCAAAAGAATACCTACAAATGGCCACGAGATATATGAAAAAATACTAACCATCAGGGAAATGCAAAGTAAAATCACAATGAGGTATCTCTTCACACTTGGTAGAATGGTTATTACAAAAAAGATGAATGATAACAAGTGTTGGTGAGGAGGTGGAGAAAAGAGAACTCTGGTACACTGTTGGTGAGAATGTAAGTTAGTACAGCTATTTTGGAAAATAGGATGAAGCGTCTTCAAGAAACAAAAATAAAATTACTATGAGACCCAAAATCCTACTTCTGAGTACATATCCAAAGGATCTGAAATCAAAATATGGAAGAGACGTCTGCACTCCCGTGCTTATATCAGCATTCTCACAATGACCATGATATAGAAACAAGCTAAGTTTCTATCAATGGATTAATGAATAAAGAAAATGTGGTATATATACACAATTGAATGCCATACAGCCTTAAAATAGAAGGGAATTCATCTTTTGTGGCAATATAGATGGACCTTCAGGATATTATGCTAAGTGAAATAAGTCAGGCACAGAAAGACAAATAGTGTATGATCTCATTTACATATGGGATCGAAAAGACAATCTTATAGAAACAGAGTAGAAAGGTGGTTAACAGAGGCTGGAGAAAAGTGGGAGAAGTAGGGGGGATGAGGTAAGGGGAGATGTTGATCAAAGGGTACAAAGTTTCAGTTAGGCTGGAGGTGTAAGTCTTAGTAATTTATTGCAGTGCATGGTGACCATGGCCAGTAATAATGCATTGCCTATTTCAAAATTGCTTAAAGGATAGATTATGTTTTAAAGAGATGGGATATTGCTATGATGCCCAGGCTGAAGTGCAATGGCTATTCACAGGCATAATCTTAATGCTCTGCAGCCTCAAACCCCTGGCCTCAAGTGATCCTTCCACCTTAGCCTCCCAAGTAGCTGGGATTACAAGTGTGCCACCTTGCCTGGCAAGAATAGATATTTTAACGTTCCCACCACATACAGAAATGATAAGTTGGTAAGTGATGGATATGTTAATTATCTAGATTTAACCTTTCTACAAGGTATATATAGACAAACATATCACATTATACCCCATGAATATACATTATTACTTGTCAATTAAAAATAAATAAATGTATCCCAAAAGTCTGATATTGGACAAATGTAATGTATATACAAAATATATTTGTATGTATATCTACATCCTCATCTATCTCTATATGTATACAGAGTGTAAATATCCCTGTAAATATCCATTCCAACAATTCATCTCCTCCTGTTATTTATCTCCTCCTGTTATGACCCTCTTTTCTTATCTGTGTATTTACAAATGTGACTACAGCTCCTATTGAGAGAGGGAAAGTATTTTTTTCCTTGATGGAAATGGCGGGATATGCCTTCCGAATAAGAGTTCTGGAGATGGTGGCCTCAAGCAAAAGAAGTCTTTAGTCATGGACAAGGGAAGTCAGGTTGAAGAGATGGCTGTTGCTCAGGGGAGAAAAGACTCTAGTAGCATAAAGACCTTAAGATTTTTTTGAAATGGAACTTCCAAAGGCCATTCATGATGCGGAGAGCTGGGTTTCAGGTGGATTTGGACCTCCTGCATGCTTTGAGTAGGCCCTGGCTACTGATTAAATAGTGCCCGCTGCTCTCAAAAACAAGTTAGGAGGGAAAATATCCACAGTGGAGCTTGGAGGGTCTGATTTCCTGGAGTACAGGCTAGAGTCCATGTTGAGGTTCAGAGGTTTTTCTCTGCAATGACATCCCCACTGAAAGGGAAGGACCTTGGGGAGCTAGCAAGAGGATGACATTGCTCTCCAACTCCCAGTCCCTGAGAACTGGGGATCAAAAGTCTTCCAGATCAAGTCACAAAAGTAGTAGGCTGCTTCTGTTT
Organism: Homo sapiens; assembly: GCF_000001405.40. Taxonomy (NCBI): domain Eukaryota; kingdom Metazoa; phylum Chordata; class Mammalia; order Primates; family Hominidae; genus Homo; species Homo sapiens. The sequence goes on along the minus strand of NC_000012.12, from coordinate 61,603,267 downwards.
TGGGAGGCATCCATCCCCAGGTGCCATCTGGCTACCTCATTCAGAGTGGGGAAGAAATCATAGGTACAAGAAGTGGCCATTTTCCCTCTGGAGTCAAAATCAGGACTTAGCTCCTGGCCAGCTATTGTGTGTTTATTCTTTAATGGAATTTTCCACAGTTAGTGCCTGGCCTCCAGCAAAGTCCTTGCAACCTCCACGGAGTCCCTCCACTGACATACTTGCTGTGTTGGCTGGCTACCCTCAGAGAAGCCCCAGCTAAAACCCAAGGTCAGAGAGCAGCCCACTAACTGTGTAGGATCCTAGCATTCCACAGAACATTGTTTTTATTTAAACTCATAATGCTTCTTTTAGTTTAAGCTAGAAGCTCTTCTGATACTTAATTGCAAACATGCACCATCACACACACACACACACACACACACACACACACACACACACACACATACACACACACACAATGTTTTAATCCATTTGAGCACATTTAGTCCCAGGATTCTATGGTTTGAATTTTAGTTTTTTTCCCTTTGAATCTCATGTTGAAATTTGATTGCCAGTGGAGCCATGTTGGGGATGTGGGGCCTAGTGGGAGATGTTTATGCCATGGGGGCATATCCATGTTGAACAAACTAATGCTGTCTTGCAGGAGTGAGTTCTCACTCTTGCAGCACTGGAATATTTACTGTGAGGGCAACTTATTTTAAAGCAAACTTGCCTCCATGTTTGGTCTCTTTCTGTATATGCCCACTCGCCTTTCTGCTTCCGTGCCATGTTGTGACATAGCACATGACCGTCACCAGAAGCAAAGCAGAAGGTAGTGCCATGCTCTTCGACTTTTCATCACAAGAATCATGAACCAAATTAATCTCTTTTCTTCATAAATTACCCAGCCTTGGCTATTCTGTTATAGCAACCCTAAATGGACTAAGACTCAGCGGTAATCAATCCCACCCCAATTCAGTTTGACCAGTTTTTATTGTCCTCGCTGTAGTTCATGGAACTTGAGTTTCTCAGAAGTCTGTGGCAGAGCACACATCACATTATTTTAAAACGTTTTCTGGAGCCCTATAGCTAATTGGAATGATTTGCAGGTGGTGGTTTTTATTTAATCATTGCTTAAAGCCCAGATGTCACATCTATAACCCAAGTAGGAGTTTGCTATATTTTTTTCTATTTTAAAACACAGTGCATCTTCAGGTTTCTTCCTTTGTTTCTTTTTCTTCACTTTTGGAGAAAAAAATTTCTGGCCGGGGCACAGTGGCTTGTGCCTGTAATCCCAGCACTTTGGGAGGCCAAGGTAGAAGGATTGCCTGAGCCTAGAAGTTTGAGGCCAGCCAGGGCAACATGGTGAGACCCTGTCTGTACAAAAATGAAATGAAATGAAATAAAATAGCCTAGAATGGTGGTGCATGCCTGTGATGCCAGCTACTTGGGAGGCTGAGGTGGGGAATTTCTTGAGTCCAGGAGTAAGAGTCTGCAGGGATCTATGATCATGACACTGCACTCCAGCTTGGGTGACAGAACGAGATCCTGTCTCAAAATAAAAAAAGAGAAAAATTTCAGTCTTTCAATGAAGTAGAACTTCTGCTTTTCTTTACATGTTCTATTTATCCTCTTCTCCTCTCTACCCCTTCTTGTTAAGCAGCACATCCTTTTCTGAGATCATGCATTTCTTGACTTACCTGTATCATGGCATTCAAGAACAGGTGAGCCTAACCACTTATAGTTTGGTATTTTTTTTCCTTCGCAGCATAAAAGTGACTATCCCATTCTCTGCATTTTGTTATCTGATATAGCCTTGCTATATTTTGTAGCTGCATTAGATTGGTTGTATTCTGTACAAGATGCAGTGCTACTTGGAATCATCTATGATTTGAGCCTGATAACAATTTACCAATATAGTTCGCTCTATCATGTCATTCCACTGACATAAAACAATTGATCTGATGATGTAATAAAAAGTGTTCCAGGAAAAGCAGAGAAAAGTGTGTAAACTACACATATGGGAAGAGGCATTCTGTCTTTTTAATAATGTGGTCATCCGTAATAATGAAGAAACAAGAGGGCTGGAATATAACAGAGACCAAAACATTTGGATATGTCAAAACTAGGGAGTCTGGAATAAAAGCTATATTTGGAAAAATATTATGTGAGATGTAATATTATCTGGTAGCACCTGTAGTTGCCTTAAAATTTAACTTTTGATGGCTTCCTTTCATTCCATCAAGGTCTTAAATATTTAAGAAGGGATAAGCTGGAAAGGTATTTAAGAGATAAGTGGAAAATGCTGGTCTTGGTAAGTCCTGGGCTTCTGGGAGCTGCTCAAGTGGCCAGCAGTCTCTGTGGAATCCAGGTGACTCTTCCCACTATGGATTTGACCAGCACTTCATATGGCTGTCTCTCAAAAGAATTGTTATGAAGGAGGATTGTTTTGATCCTGAGAAAAACCACTACCCTAGGATAACTACCAGAGAACAACTGGCCAAAGACATTGGCATTCCAGAGTCTAAAATACATACTAGGTTTCAAAAGCAAAGAATATATCACCTCAGGAAGAGTTGACTGGGGTCCGGATGCTCTTGAGGAGAAGAACAACTCCGGTGATAGCAGCTGCCTCAGCCTTGGACTTGGAAACATTGCCAAGAAGCCAAACAAAAGCAAACACCCATCAGTAGGTCACAAACCAGTATCCTTCTTCAAGCCTTTAAGAAGAATTGATTTCCTGGAATTGCTACTACAGAAGAATTGGACTACAGAGGAATTTCAGAATCCAGAATTCAGATGTGGTTTCAGAATCAAAAAGCTAGGCATGCAGGGAAGAGCGAGAGTAGGTCCATGAATTCCTTGGCAAAACACCCAAGTTGAAAACCTCACTTGACTGTCCAGGTGGACCAAGCAACTTGTACATTGCCCCAAGCAGCTCTCATCGCTTTCTTCCCTCCAATCCTTTTGGCAGCAACCAACCAGGCATTTGTACCAGCTCTTCCTCCACTCCACAGGTCCTTTGGTTGTTGGCATTCCTCTGTGGGCTGTGTAAGCCAGGTATCAAGCCTGGTAATGATGATCCAGCCAACCCAGGCTGTGCCAGGAGGAGAGATTTCTCACTTTCTTCTGACACTTCTGAGTTGTGTGTCAACAGTATCAATTCCAAGATGAAGGCTTTCACATATTTAGACTCCTTTCTAAGCCCCATACCAAGGAAAATTCCAGGAGAAAAAGAATAGTGAGCACACTCGCCTGGCAGTACTGCCCTTTAAGGACTCTACTCAGCCACAATATGATAATTCTTAGCAATAAATTCACAGTCTTAGGTCAGCAAGAGATATTACACATTATGGAGTGGTAGAGCGAGTGGCCATAGGGTTTCATGGTCAAATGGGAACCTCAGGAAGAGCCACTTTCAGCAGCCAGCACAGGTTGACACACATGTGGCAGCAGCAGGCACTACTGACTGAGGAACAATCTTATTTGCTTGAGTAACCACACCAGCACTCTACAGAAACATCAAGTCTTTTAGATCAATACTTGTTAACCAGAGTTTCAGGAAAAGGTATAATATTTTCTGAATTGGGATACCTAGGAGGAAGATCTTCTAACACCTTGAATCAGCCCTCAGCAAGGAATTTCAGGCTCTGCTTGTCATGCTGCAAAGCTCACCCAGGCATCAGCTTTAGGAGGTGGAAAGCATCATTCTCACCTCCTGGATCCAGGCCTCATTTCCTTAGATGCAGAATCAATATACAAAGGAGAATGAGCAATAAACACATTGTGTTTGGGAGCAAGCCTAATGCAAGAAGATGCAGCAACCATTTGGAAACCCAAAGGCAACATTTTGAGTTGGTCCTGTGGACAGCACTTATCTTCTGACCTTACTTCATGACCTAAATGATTGCTTCAAAGCTTCATACTGCCCTGGAGGCACCATGAGCACTGGGCCAAGGAAGCCTTCTTCAAATTCTGATGAACCAAAGCATTTTCATGATGAGCATGACATCCTCCCTGCAATCATCACCTCCTGAGCAGTCTGGACAATACACAAGCTGGAACTGAACCAAGGTGAGAAGAACAGGTATAAGAGAGACACATTCACAGTTCTTTCCTTTCTGAAAGGTTTGGAAGTCCAACCTAATGGCAGATCAATGTGTAGAAAATTAAGGGATGCTGTATTTCCTTGTTGTGTGAGTTCATGACATGATGTTTTTAATCCTAACTCTGAGAGTTGGAAATGGGAACTGGAAGTTACTTCACATCAGTCTATCAATGATTGATTACACAAGCTTATATTTATTATACTGAAGTACCCTTCATGTGTGATTTTCCTTTTGATGATGTAAACCTAGAGAATATGACAGAGAAAGTTAGCAAAGAAACTCTGAAATCAATGAATGTGTACGAATGTTAATCTTCCCACATTGTAGTATTTTGTATATATTTACATGCATATCTATATATAAAGCTGCTGTTGGTATTGTAAATAAAGCATATGTCAAGTTTAAGAACATACTTGCTGTTAAAATAGATATAACTCCAAATTTCAGTGGATTATTCTAGAAGTTTACTTTTCTATCTCATGATGCCCGAGCAAGTGTTCCAGATGGGCAGGTAGCTCTCCTCCAACAATGATGTAGAAACCTAGGCTCTTTTTCCTTGTGACTCCATCATATTTAACCCATGGATCATAAGGTGGTCCTTAGGATCATATTTCTTCCAGGCACTTAAGGGGAGCATGGAGAAGAAGGTTTTTATGAGTGTGGCTACTACTTGCATTCCACTGGAAATCAAGTAGAAAGACAACATGGGTTTGGTAAGTATCCAACTTGTCTCTGCCCCAGATTAGGTATTTATTATTAAAATTCAGTAATTTTCAAAGAGAACTTTGAGGATAAGGATGCTGTGATTAAAAAAATAAAAGAACATCTGTGAACAGAGTTTCAGAAAGTTAGAACTGTGTGGGATACACAGTAGAAGACCAGTGTTTACTTTGACAGCAACAACAAAAAAGTAGGTATCCCAGCGGGATTGGTGCCATATTACACTAAAGGTTTTCACCACTCCTTAATGAGGATTAACAGGATTACTCTCATAGCCTGCCTGCATGTAGAGCTTTTAAAAAATAATGATTTTACATAATTATACTATGTTTTATGTATATAATACATACAATTACATACATGTGTACATATATATTACAAATATTATATGTATATATATATAAAATTCTCATTCCATAGAATGGATTGTCACCCTTAACTGAGTATTTCGCTGTCCTCAAAAGGTTTACAGTTAAACAATCTTTTTAGTTGCTCAGGTATTCTCTTAGGGTTGATATTTAGATAGGTAGGGCCATCTAGACCATTTTATTTAACATTGCAGTGCCCAGAATGGGAAGATTTGGGTAAGAAGCCCTTCTATAATCATGTGTTTTTCAAGCTTCCACAGAGGCAGGAATAATTTACTCTGCCAAAAAACAAAAGGGAAGATGGCAAGCAACAAATTGGGCCAGAGCTTGAGCACGGAAAAGAAGTTTGCATTTATCATGTGAATGAAGATAGAATGGGTAGGTGAGTAGGGATCAATATCGGGGTTGGAAACCAAGTGGGAGGTGGAAGAACATAAGAAACACTATGGAGTTGTGAGACTGCATCCCAGCAAGCTCATAGAGGAAACTGCAAAAGGTATACGTTACAGCATAGGGTACTACACACTTGTTTTAATTTCCTTAGAGAGTTTTCCATTTTGGTCTTATATCTGTATCTATTGATTAGGTAAATATCCCTGCTGTCATAAATGACTTGGACAGACCCAGCCACAGTGCATGCTAGAATCTTGGCAACAAGAGCCCATGAGGAGCTGAGGCATTGCATTAGAAACAAGAAGTAGTCCAGATTCGACAGGTGAATAATAGACTTGGCTATAGGTTTTATTCCTATCACGATGTTGCAAGAAATTCATTGTAGAGTTGTTAGAAGGACTAGGCTTGAATCAGGCAGATAAAAGTAATTGGGGGCCAACATGGAATGTACTAGATGCTCAGTAAGTATTTGCTGAAGGACATAATGACTAAATCTGATGAATAAATAATAGTAAGAGGAATCCAGGTAACATAATACACTTGAAGTAAATGTACAGCCAGGCTAGGCCAGGATATGTATAAACTTATGTTGAAGGGAAAGGATCTAACATAACCTAAATTTACAGTCAAAATACTAAAGTTCAGAGCATGAAGGCTAAGCAAAGAAACTGAAGCAGAAACCCAGCTACTGCACAAGGAAGAGAGGTAAGATTACATTCTAATTTAGTAGGTTTTCACATTAATGAGGCTTACACTAGACACTGGATCTTCAAAGGAATGTGAATTTCTTCTTTGTTAAAATTCCAACTGTTTTGGCCAGAATTAATTCAGGAAACAGATATAACTGATTTTGGAATTAACACATCTCATTAATAGCATCTGGAAAGAATTATGAACCTGTATTTTAATTTGTAGACTCTGAACGCTTTGTGAACACATGCAGAATCCTTGATTGTCTGTTTTGCATTTCATTACTTTCACAATAATTCTAGGTATCCAATAAATAATTCACTTCGATTTTCCAAATAAAGGTTGATCCCATCTATGTAATTGAGACTTTTTAACAGACTGTAATATCAGAAAGGCAGAATTCCAAGATTAAAAAATGGCAGGTCTAATGTGGTCTGTGACAGGTGTACTTCCTGCGAATATTATCAGTTAAGACAATGAATTTTTTCCATCCAGAAAGTTGAGGGCTGGATCAAATTTTCTGGATAATAAGGTACCTAGTTCCTCCAAAATCTGTGTGATTCCAGTACTGGAATTTGGTTAGATCTCAAATTTTAGATTTTGGCCATTGTTTCCAACTTTGTATCCAACGTAAGAGATTACATCGCTTTTCCTTTTCCATCTATTACTTGTGCCACCATGCATTTTCCTTGTCTCTCAGTTTTATTCATCTTTAGGCTTTGCCCATTGTATACCTAATTGTTCATCAAGTTTTAGTCAATATTACACTAGAATGTCTTTGGGTCTTTTCCTTCTCCTGCATTCTGTGTACCGTTGTCCTAGTCAGGCTTCAATCATTTCCTGACTAAATTCCTATAGCTATCTCCCAGCTCAGTCTCCTTGGATCTGGTCTCTCAATCACCATTGCCTGCTGATTACTTCTTGGTTATGCATCTTAAGACCACTTTTATAAAGTCATTTCATTTAATAAACATATATACATGCATTCTACTTTCTACTTCATCAAATCCAAACTACTGTGACTTTGAGAGCTTTCAGTATGACCTTACACTTGTCACCCTTTTTCATTCCCATCTATTCCTGAACCTGCATCTTCTATATATTGAAAAACATCTTGTGTTTGTGTATCATCTTAGAGTCTGAAGAGCTTCAGAAATCTTATTCTTCTCACAACAATTAAATAAAGTAAGCATAATTATGCCTATTTTTCTGCACATGTATCCCAGAAGTTAAAGTAAAATAAAAAAAAATTATGTCTATTTTACAGAGACCCCAAAAGGCAATGCAATTTTATCAAGGTCACACAAACTAGCAAATAGCAGAGCTCATTAATCTATACCATAATATAGCATCTAAGATTTGCCTTTCATAGATTATGCTTCTTATTTATTCTTTAAAATTTTACCTCTTTTTCTATGCAGATACATAAAGCTATTTTAGCCCACATTCATACTTTTGGTGTATTAGTATGTATTTTATGTATTTTAATTTTAAGGTCAGAATGTTTTATAAGCAGGAAGTATGTCTTACTTGTTTTTTGAAAATAATTAATCTGTCTTTTATAGTATTGAACCATATGCTGTTGCCAGTAATTTTGGTTAGGTTGCACTGAGTCAAACACCTACAATGTACATGGCTGCATGGTGAACTCAACAACTGATGAAAATGTGGTCCCTACCCTGGAAGAAACTGTAGCCTATTGTGGGTTAGGCAAATAAAATAATTATATAAATAATTGTAAATTATAGAGAGCAAGAAAAGTTCTAAAACAGAAATACAATTCAAGTGTTATAGGTATTCTAAAGCGGAAAAGATTATAACAGAGGCATTAACAAAGGCTTCATGGTTGAAGTTACATTAGAAATGGTCTTTGAAAAACAATTAGCAAGATAAAGTTAGCTGGTAGATTTGAAATTTAAGATATATGCAAACATAAAATAGTATTAATATTAAACACATAATAAAATTTAGAAATGAAGAACTCAAGTCATTTGAAAAGAAAATGGAAATGTTTAGTATTCAATTACAGGTAAACACTGACAGCATAACAAAGTTTTGGTGAGTGATGAACTGCTCACTCCTGTAATCCTAGCACATTGGGAGGCTGAGATGGGTGGATTGACTGAGCTCAGGAGTTTGAGACCAGCCTGGGCAAGCATGGTGGAACCCCGTCTTTATTAAAATACAAAAAGTTAGCTGGGTGTGGTGGCGTGTGCCTGTAGTACCAGCTACTTGGGAGGCTGAGGCAGGAGAATCGCTTGAACCTGTGAGGCAGAGGTTGCCATAAGCTGATACTGCGTCACTGCACTCCAGCCTGGGAAACATGAGTGACAGAGTGAGACTCCATCGCTACAAAAAAAAAATATATATATATATATACACACACACACACACACACACACACAGAGTGATGGTCCCCCCAGACCATAATGGAGCTGAAAAATTTTTATCCACCTAATGATGTCTTGATCATGACCCTGTGTAAGCCTAGGCTAATAGGTGCGTTTTTGTCTTAGTTTATATATACATACTTTAAGTTCTGGGGTACATGTGCAGAACGTGCAGGTTTGTTACATAGGTATACACGTGCCATGGTGGTTTGCTGCACCCATCAACCCGTCATCTCCATTAGGTATTTCTCCTAATGCTATCCCTCCCCTAGCCCCCCACCAACCACAGGCCTCAGTGTTCTCCTCCCTGTGTTCCCCTCACTGTGTGCCCTCCCTGTGTCCATATGTCCTCATTGTTCAACTCCCACTTATGAGTGAGAACATACAGTGTTTGGTTTTCTGTTCCTGTGTAAGTTTACTGAGAATGATGGTGTCCAGCTTCATCCATGTCCCTGCAAAGGATATGAACTCATCCTTTTTTATGGCTGCATAGTATTCTATGGTGTATATATGCCACATTTTCTTTATCCAGTCTATCTTTGATGGGCATTTGGGTTGGTTCCAAGCCTTTGCTATTGTGAACAGTGCCACAGTAAACATACATGTGCATGAGTCTTTATAGTAGAATGATTTATAATCCTTTGGGTATACACTCAGTAATTGGATTGCTGGGTCAAATGGTATTTCTAGTTCTAGATACTTGAGGAATTGCCACATTGTCTTCCACAGTGGTTGAATTAATTTATACTCCCATCAACAGTGTAAAAGTGTTCCTATTTCTCCACATTCTGTCCAGCATCTGTTGTTTCCTGACTTTTTAATGATTGCCATTCTAACTGGCTTGAGATGGTATCTCAATATGGCTTTGATTTGCATTTCTCTAATGACCAGTTATGATGAGCTTTTCTTCATATGTTTGTTGGCTGCATAAATGTCTTATTTTGAGAAGTGTCTGTTCATATCCTTTGTCCACTTTTTGATGGGATTGTCTATTTTTTCATTAAACAGTTTTAAAAGTAGAAAAAACAAGAAAATAGAAAATTTTATAAATAGAAAAAAGCTTATAGGATAAGAATATAAAGAAAAAATATTTCTGTACATCTGTACAATGTTTCTATTTTAAGTGTTATTACAAGAGTCAAAAAGCTTAAAAATTTAAAGTTTATAAAGTGTAAAAGTTACAGTAAGCTAAGGTTAATTAATTATTGAAGAAAAAGCTTCTTAAAATAAATTTGGCATAGCCTAACTGTACAGTGTTTATAAAGTCGACAGTAGTATAGAATAATGGCCTAGGCCTTCACATTGTCACACCACTCACTCACTGACTCACCCAGAGCAACTTCCAGTCCTGCAAGCTCCATTCATGGTAAGTGCCATATACAGGGGTACCATTTTTTAAATCTTTTGTTTACAACACCTTTTCCACATTTAGATATGTTTGGATACACAAATACTTATCATTGTGTTACAGTTGCCTACAGTCTACAGTATTTTATACAGTTGCTATTGAACCCTCAAATTTAGTTTTGTGTATCTGAGGTGCAGTAAGCCAAACACTGACAAATCAGTGCTTAAAAGCAGAGAATGGTTTATTTGATTTGGTCAAAGTGAGAGGGCAGGAAAGACAGTTCTTCAAATCTGACTTGCCTTTGAACATAACTGAGGGCTTTTACAAGTAAGGCAGGTTTCATGCGCATCCATGTGAAGAGACCACCAAACAGGCTTTGCGTGAGCAATAAAGCTTTTTAATCACCTGGGTGCAGGCAGGCTGAGTCCGAAAAGAGAGTCAGCAAAGGGAGATAGGGGTGGGGCCATTTTATAGGATTTGGGTAGGTAGTGGAAAATTACAGTCAAAGGGGGTTGTTCTCTGGCTAGCAGGGGTCAGGGTCACAAGGTGCTCAGTGGGTGAGCTTTCGAGCCAGGATGAGCCAGGAGAAGATGTTTCACAAGGTAATGTCATCAGTTAAGGCAGGAACTGGCTATTTTCACTTCTTTTGTCATTCTTCAGTTACTTCAGGCCATCTGGATGTATACGTGCAGGCTTGGGCCCAGAGGCCTGACATTCCTGTCTTCTTATATTAATAAGAAAAATAAAATGAAATAGTGGTAAAGTGTTGGGGCAGTGAAAAGTTTTGGCAGTGGTATGGAGAGATAATGGGTGATGTTTCTCAGGGCTGCTTCGAGCGGGATTAGGGGCAGCATGGGAACCTAGAGTGGGAGAGATTAAGCTGAAGGAAGATTTTGTGGTAAGAGGCGATATTGTGGGGTTGTTAAAAGGAGCATTTGTCATATAGAATGATTGGTGATGGCCTCAATGCAGTTTTGTATGAATTGAGAAACTAAACGGAAGACACAAGGTCCAAATAAGAGAAGGAGAAAAACAGGTATTAAAGGACTAAGAATTGGGAGGACCCAGGACATCCAATTAGAGAGTGCCGAGGGGGCTTAGCGTAATTGCTTGCTTGGTTGGTGAGTTTTTAGGCTCTATCCAAGTTTTTGGGGTGCAGTTCAAGTGGGCTGGTGGCCTAATAAAAAGGAGTGTCCATACAGAAGCTCAAATGGGCTGTAACCTATAGCATCCTGAAGACAGGCCCGAATTCTGAGAAGGGCAAGTGGTAAAAGTATTGTCCAGTCCTTTTTAAGTTGGAGGCTGAGCTTGGTGAGATGTGTTTTTAAAAGACCATTAGTCTGTTTTACTTTTCCTGAAGATTGAGGATGGTAAGGGGTATGAAGGTTCCACTGAATACCAAGAGCCTGAGAAACTGCTTGGGTAATTTGACTAGTAAAGGCCGGTCCGTTACCAGACTGTACAGAGGTGGGAAGGCCAAACTGAGGAATTATGTCTGACAGAAGGGATGAAATGACCACGGTGGCCTTCTCAGACCCTGTGGGAAAGGCCTCTACCCATCCAGTGAAAGTGTCTACCCAGACCAAGAGGTATTTTAGTTTCCTGACTCAGGACATGTGAGTAAAGTCAATTTGCCAGTCCTGAGCAGGGGCAAATCCCCAAGCTTGATGTGTACGGAAGGGAGGGGGCCTGAACAATACCTGAGGGACAGTAGACTAGCGGATGGAACACTGAGAAGTGATTTCCTTGAGGACAGATTTCCATGATGGAAAGAAAATGAGAGGTTCTAAGAGACGGGCTAGCAGCTTGTAACCAACATGGAAGAGGTTATGAAATCATGACAGAATAGAATGGGCCTGTGAGGCTGGAAGGAGATATTTTCCTTGGTCTAAGATATTTGCCTTGTGTGGGAAGAGATTGATAGGTGGAAGTTTCAGTGGGGGAGTAGGTGGGAGTGACCGATGAGAAGGAGAAAAACTGGCCATGAGGGACAGAAGTTGGAATGCTAGCTACTTCTTTAGCTACCTTATTAACATAAGCATTGCCTAGAGCAATGGGATCTGATGCCTTTTGGTGGCCCTTGCAGTGAATGACTCCACCTTTCTTTGGAAGTAAAGCAGCCTTGAGAAGAGTTTTTATTAAAGAGGCATTAATGATGGAGGACACTTGTATAGTGAGGAAACCTCTTTCTGCCCATATAACAGCATGGTAGTGCAGGATATGGAAGGTGTATTTAGAGTCAGTATAAATATTGATGTGTAGTCCCTTTGCAAGAGTGAGGACCCAAGTTAAGGCAATGAGTTCAGCTTGCTGAGAGGTAGTGGAGGGAGGCAGAGTGGTAGCCTCAATGATAGACATGGAAGATACTATAGCATAGCCTGCCTTTGCTGGTGAGTGCTGATTAGGCCTGGTGGAGCTGCCATCAATAAACCAAATGTGATCAGGGTGAGGAACAGGAAAGAAGGAAATATGGGGAAATGGGGTGAAAGTCAGGTGGATCAGAGAGATACAGTCATGGGGGTCAGGTGTGGTATCTGGAATAATGTGGGAGGCTGGATTGAAGTCTGGGCCAGGAACAATGGTAATTGTGGGAGACTCAACAAAGAGTGAGTATAGCTGAAGGAGCTGGGGAGCAGAAAGTATATGTGTCAGGTGTGAGGAAGAAAATAGATTTTGGAAGTTATGAGAGCTGTAGAGAGTGAGTTGAGCATAGTTTGTGATTTTGGGGTCTTCTAAAAGTATTAGGGCGGTGGCAGCCGCTGCACGGAGACATGATGGCCAGCCTAAAACAGTAAGGTCAAGTTGTTTGGATAAAAAGGCTACAGGGTACAGTCCCGGTCCTTGTGTAAGAATTCCAGCTGCACAGCCCTGCACTGCGGCTGTGTGTAATGAAAAGGATTGGGATGAGTCAGGGAGAGCTAGTGTGGGAGCAGTCTCTAAAGCTGTCTTCAAGGAACGGAAAGAGGAGTGGGGAAAAGATTTAGGATCTATGGGGTCAGCTAGGTTTCCTTTTGTGAGTTTATATAATGGTTTTGTTAGGATGGCAAAACCAGGTATCCAAAGGTGAAAGTATCCAACCATGCCTAGGAAGGAAAGGAGTTGTTTTGTAGAAAGGGTTGGGGTTTGAGAGATCAGTTGGACGTGATCAGTAGGGAGAGCATGTGTGTTTTTATGAAGAATTATGCTGAGGTAGGTAACGGATGGAGAAGAAATTTGAGCTTTGGTGGGGGATACCCGATACCCTTTGGAGAATAAATGTTGAAGGAGCAGGAGGGTGTCTTGTTGGGAAGATTCAATGGAGGGGCTACAAAGTAGAAGGTCATCAATATATTGAATAAGGTGAGAAGTGGAGGGGTGGAAAGAAAGTAAATGATGAGAAAGAGCTTGGCTGAAGTAATGAGGGCTGTCCCTGAAGCCTTGAGGCAGCACAGCCCAGGTAAGCTTCTGGGACTGATGGGTGTCAGGGTCAGTCCACTGTGAGAATTACCCGAAACTCGGAGTCCGTGTTGGTCCAGGGGGTTTCTGAGGTGATTGGGCAGCGTCAGTCTTCAGCCGCTAAGCTGAGCAGATCTGGGAAGGAGTCAGTCAGAGAGCCTTGGCCTAGAGCTTTAGCAGCTCTAGGAGTGGCTGCTGGGTGAGCTGGGCAGTCTGATTTCCAGTGGGTCCCTGCACAGATGGGACACAGCTTGGGAGGAATCCCAGGCTGCAGGCATTCCTTGGCCCAGTGGCCAGATTTCTGGCACTTGAAGCAAGATCCTGATGGAGGAAGTCCTGTAGGAATGCTTGACTGCTGTGGCTTAGGCATGTGCAGCTTAGGCATTTTGAAGTTCTTGTGTGCTGGAGGTGCGGCTGGGTTTTGTCTCACAGCAGAGGCAAGTAATTGTAACTCAGAAATGCGTTGCCATCTGCCTGTCTCCTCTCTATTACTGTACATCTTGAAGGCGAGGTTGATTAATTCCTATTGTGGGGTTTGAGGGCCGGATTCTAATTTTTGAAGTTCTTTTCTAATGTCAGGAGCTGACTGGGTGATAAAATGCATATTTAGAATGAGACAGCCTTCTGACCTTCAGGGTCTAGGGCTGCAAAGTGTCTCATGGTTGCTGCCAAACAAGCCATGGACTGGGCTGGGTTTTTGTCTGTACCTTGGGTAGTTTCTTTAAGCTTGTCATAATTAATAGCTTTGTAAGCTGCCTTTTTAAGCCCTTCAACTAGGCAGGAAATCATGTAATCTCGCCTAGCTATACCTGGGGAATTTTCCTGATAGTTCCATTGGGGATCCTCTTGGGGAACTTCTCTAATGCCTTCCTGGAGGTCTGGCTTGTGGAGCCGACAGTTGTCAGTGTGAGATTGGGCCAGAGAAAAAACTCTTTCCCATTCATCTAGTGGGAGGATAAAAGTTAGGATGACATTTAAGTCACTCCAGGTTAAATTGTAGGACAGAGTTAGATATTGGAATTCATGTATATATTTAGTAGGGCCTGATGAGAAAGATCCTAAACGCTGACTGATCTGAGAGAGGTCCGATAGAGAAAAAGGCACATGTACCCTGACTATGCCTTCAGCTCCAGCCACCTCTCTAAGAGGAAATTGTTGGGCAGGTTGGGGAGAGCTAGTCACAGAACTAAACCGTAAGCCAGACCAGGTGTAAGGAGGGGAGGTGATAGAAAGATTATAGGGTGGAGGAGCAGAGGCTGAGGAAGAACTGGGACCTGGCTTGGCCTGGTGAGGAGCAGCCTGGGGAGGAGGAGAGAGGTCAGATGGGTCTGTAGAAAAGGAAGATTGGAAAGACTCAGCGATGCTTGAGGTTGGGACTGAGGGGACAGGCGGGAGGGAAACAAGGATGATTTGGGAGGAATTGCATTGGGAACAGAGACTAGGGAGGGAACGAAGTGTGAAAAATGTCTGGATGTAAGGCACCTCAGACCATTTGCCCATTTTTTGACAAAAATTATCTAGGTCTTGTAGGATGGAGAAACTGAAAATGCAGTTTTCTGGCCATTTAGAGCCATTATCAAGTTTGTATTGGGGCCAAGCGGTGTTGCAGAAGAAAATAAGGCATTTAGGTTTTAGGTCAGGTGTGAGTTGAAGAGGTTTTAAGTTTTTGAGAACACAGGCTAAGGGAGAAGAGGGAGGAATGGAGGGTGGAAGTTTGCCCATAGTGAAGGAGGCAAGCCCAGAGAAAAGAGAGGACATGGAGAGAAGGGGTGGGGGGTGCTTGCCCCCAAGGAAAGTGGAGAAGGGTGGGAGGTGCTTGCCTCCCAGGGAAGTGGAAAAGGGGTAGAGACACGGAGAGAAAGGGTGGGGGCTGCTTGCCCCCAGAAAAGCAGTGCTTGCCGCTAAGGGTGAAGGATCAAGGCAGGCATCCCCGCGGTGATCAGACACCTCTGAAACGTGGGTGAATAATCAAGCAGCCATCCTTGCAGTGATTAAACACCAAGGGAAGACTGTTTTCCTGAGTTCATGACCAGCACCGGAGTTTTGGGGTCGTGGATAAAACACATCTCCTCTGTCTCTACCAGAAAAGGAAAAGAATTGAAATTAAGAGAAGGGAGAGATTGAAGGATGGCACCAAGATTGAAAGGAGAAAGGGGTTGAGGGATAGTGAGAGAGGTTGGAGAAGAGAGTAAAAAGAGGCCGCTTACATGATTTAAAATTGGTGAGATGTTCCTTGGGCTGGTTGGTCTGAGGACCCGATGTTGTAGGTGCACCTTTCTCATGGAGCAAAGAGCAGGAGGACAGGGTATTGATCTCCCAAGGGAGGTCCCCTGATCCGAGTCATGACACCAAATTTCACCTGCATCCGTGTGAAGAGATCACCAAACAGGCTTTGTGTGAGCAATAAACCTTTTTAATCACCTGGGTGCAGGCGGGCTGAGTCTGAAAAGAGAGTCAGCAAAGGGAGATAGGGGTGAGACCGTTTTATAGGATTTGGGTAGGTAGTGGAAAAGTATAGTAAAAGGGAGTTATTCTCTGGCTGGCAGGTGTGGGGGTCACAAGGTGCTCAGTGGGGGAGCTTTTGAGCCAGGATGAGCCAGGAGAAGGTATTTCACAAGGTAATGTCATCAGTTAAGGCAGGAACCGACCATTTTCACTTCTTTTGTCATTCTTCAGTTACTTCAGGCCATCTGGATGTATATGTGCAGGCTTGGGACCAGAGGCCTGACAGTAGGTATGTGGGAGGTGGGTTCCCCCAATGATCAAAGCTATTTGAGTCCCTCAGCCCAATCAAACTTTAGGGGCCATCAAGAATTTCTGTATGACCTAAGAATCCTTGTTCTTTAAAAGAAAACAAGTTCATTAATCTTGTGGCCAGCCCCTGGGGTGAGGATATCAAATTAATCAATTACTAGGGACTACTCTCTACCAAAATTACAAGTAAACATGTATGGAGGCAGGAAAGGACAAGATAAAAGGAAAATAAGTTAAACAAACATCTTATGATCTTTATAATAAAGGCTCAGTTGCACAATATCATTCTGTACAGTTTTGCAGCCTAAGAGAAATAGGCTATACCATATAGCCTAGGTGTATAGTAGGTTATGTCATCTAGGTTTGTGTAAATGAACTGTGTAATATTTACACAATGATTAAATCACCTAACCGTGCATTTCTCAAAATGTCTTCCTGTCATTAAGCCACTCATGACTCGAATTAATTCACTTATTCTTTCACTTATTTATTAAAATAGCATTTATTAAAACAGTAAATATGATCCTTACCTACAAGGAACTCAGAATCAGTAGGTGAAAAAATTCATCCAAAGAAATAACTACAATACATTGAAGAAAAGACTGGAAAAGTGGTGTGGACAAAGCATTATAGGAGCACTGTGGTGACAGACACTATCTCTATGTTCCAATCACTTAAAACTAACTCTATGGTGAAAACTAGATGGAATTGGTAATGCAGCCATATTGGTTCATCTGCATTTCAACTCTCTTTATGGGCAGCTTAAGTTAATTTATTCTAAACAAGTTGAGTTCTCTAGGCAGACAGTTTGATGTATTGCATTTCATTATTTGCTAACATCGCATATTCTCTCTCAAAGTGGAGCAGGAATTGAGTTCCATAGCTTGGCTGAGCTGTTATCTTAGGCTTGTTAACTTCTTGAATGTAGCCCATGAACATTTATGTTCATGTGAGAGAGGTTATGAAAATATCTGTAAGTGAATTAAGTCAGTGGGGGTTTTCTCTGAAGCAGGCATTTACTAAAAAGTCTTCTATGAAAACCACTGTTTGTAAAATCTGACTGATTTTATTTGAAAGCATAAGCAGTGGGTATAATAAAATAATTCAATTATTGAACAATTTTGTCATCTTGTGTTTATTTGGCTGGAATAATGGCATTCAAATTAAGCTCTGTGTTCTGGCAGGTATGCAATATCTGCTTTACATAAATATATGGTAAATTCAGTAAGAGAATCTACTGAATTCTTTTTGGTTCTACTGTTCACTGGCTCTATTTTCTTATTGAGTATATAAACAATTTCAGGCATATTTCTTTCCTACCTGTAAGCAGTTTATTAAATGGTTGGGACTAATGCAAACACCTTTCATTCCAACTTAACCCCCAAATAATGATATGCACTCACAAGGACCACTGAAAATAGAAAAATCCTGTTTTATAGTTAGTAACTGTGTTAGCGATCATTGTTCCATGAGGATTTCTGCAGTCACACCATCCTTGATGCTATTTTGCCAAATGACAGCAAATTGTTGTTCTTTTATGTGTTGTTAGGAGTAGATATGGGCTAGAACAAGTTATATTAATGTGTAACTGGGCCTTGACACAAGTTTCATTGTTCAACAGTTGACCTTGTTATGCTTTTCATTTAGCCAGCCAACAGTACCGACAAGGCTTTGAAATGACCCAAGATATGAATGGGAAGATTAAAGCAACATCTAAAAGATTAAAGCAACATCTAAAAGAAAACTTTAGAAATACCACCAAAAATTAATCATCCTTTGTGGAAGCAGCTCTCTGAGATGTTTTCTCCCTACATCCTACCTCCTGGTATTGTGGAGGGGGTGCATCAAGATCATTACAGAACAAGGGCTTAGACTTTGGTTTCACACCACTGGCTTGTTAAAAGAAAGGGCTTTAGCCTGTGTTCTTTCACAGTGTTTAATGAGCTGGTATGTCCACAATTGGTGAAGAGAAAGGTACAAAATGTACCTGTAAAGTTATATTAGCAAGTTATTAGCCATTTGAGATGACTGTAAGGAGCACATTGAGGTAAGATCAATGGGATGACATAGTTAGTGCACGGCTTTTATATAAAAAGCAATTCTAAAACATAATAGCTAATAAAATATCTATTAATATTGTAAAATACACTAATAGGTTCATTCTAAGAAGTAGTAAGTAGGTGATAATTAGGAAATTGGTGGTTCAAACGGTATTGAGAACCCCAACAATCTTCCCAGCCTGCTCTGTAGGATGCCTGTGTTACATGTGCTTGGTGATAGATTTCAAAACAAAAATGTATTTCAGAGGAAATTTAAATCAACTTTGTTTTCTTTTTCATATGTATTCCATATAGTATAATTTCAGAACCTCTAGTCCGGTGGCCAGCAAAGCAATATATTAGGAACAGACAGATAAGGAGGGTATATAAGACAGTGCACGCATGTTTGCACACACGTGTGTGTGCGTGTGTGTGTGTTTATGTGGAGGGCTGAATGTGGGCCCTCATATAGGGTATGTGTGTCGGGGTTAAAGGGAAGGAACGTCTTTGCAGCAGCATGTTGTCTGTCACATCTCATACTGCTTGTTTTTAGATTGTTTTTGTATCTGGTTCCTTTGAAAACACTGCAGGAGACTTCTCAGTTTGCTTCATGGCTTGGCAAGCCTAGTATAGTATCAGAATTCTAGGAACATGATTTTAACCTCACAGCTTCTCAACAGGTTCTACCTTTTTATTTCTCTCATCTTCTTCTACCCTGCGGAGTAAAGCTCTGGCTAAAAAAGAAGAAAGGAAAGAAAGGAAGACAAAACAAAATAAAAGGAAACCCTAAAGTGAAAAATCATGATAAAATGATAAATTATACTAACCTAAAGCACTTGAGGGTTTGATAAATACAAATATTAAATCAAAAACATTTGATAACTGGCAATTAAAAATGCTCCTTTAAGCACTTTCTTCCCTGACTTCTTTCCTTTCCTCTCTGATGTCTCTGATCTGTCAATTTTTTTCTCTAGTCTGTGTCCCTGGAATATATCATGTATTACCACAACCAAAGATCTGAAGATTAAGGACACTCTCCTTAGTACTGTTTCATAAACCTCCTGTTGGAGTTACCGTCACTCACATCTCACAACTCTTATCTACCATAGTGATGATTAAATATATTTCTGAATAGGATGACTATTTTTTTTCAGAGACAATTGGAAACGTTGTAAATATAAATAATATTTGTGCATATGCTTCTGTATATAATTTAATCAATATAACAACTATAGGATGTATCTATGACACCGATTTTTCAAATGAGAAAACAGACTAAGAAAGCGTAGGTAACTTGCTAAGTTCAGCTAGCAGTAAGCAACAGAGTTAGGGTTTCAACTTGTTTTATTTAACTTCCTGATTCAATTTATTAGCGTTGTGATTTTGGAGAAGTTACTTTACTGCTCATTGCCTTGTTTCCTCATACACACACACACACACACACATAAAATTGGTGATAACATAAATTTCTTAGCTGTAGTGAACATGTCAGAGGTGTGTGAACAAGAGCAACTCCACCTTACGTAGGAGCTGGGTAAAATGAGGCTGAAACCAACTGGGCTGCATTCACAGATGGTTAAAGCATTCTAAGTCACAGGATAAGATAGAAGGTCATCACAAAATACAGGTCATAAAGACCTTGCTGATAAAACAGTTTGCAATAAAGGAGCCAGCCAAAATCCACCAAAACCAAAATGGTGAAGAGACTGACCTCTGGTCGTCCTCTCTGCTACACTCCCACCAACACCACAACAATTTACAAATGCCATGGCAATGTCAGGAAGTTACCCTATCAGGTCTAAAAAGAGGAAGAATGCATTATTCACCTCTTGTTTAGCATATTATCAAGAAATAACCATAAAAATGTGTGGGCGGCAAGCCACCCAGGCGCCGAGGCAAGAGACCGAGGACACAAGCTGTTCCAGTATAATAAAATATAAAACAAGAATAGTTATACCAGATATAGATCTTAGATATATGAATATCATTAATCGTTAGTTTGTAGCAATTACTCTTTATTCCAATATTATAATAATCCTCGCTCTATAATCATAACCTAGGAAAAGCCAGGCCATACAGAGATAGGAGCTGAGGGGACACAGTGAGAAGTGACCAGAAGACGAGAGTGCGAGCCTTCTGTTATGCCCAGACAGGGCCACCAGAAGGGCTCCTTGGTCTAGCGGTGACACCAGCATCTGGGAAGATGCCGGTTGCCAGGCGGACCGTGGTCTAGCGGTAGCGAAAAGTGTCAAGGAAAAACACCCGCTACTTAGCAGACCAGGAAAGGGAGTCTCCCTTTCCCCGGGGGAGTTTAGAGAAGACCCTGCTCCTTCACCTCTTGTGGAGGGCCTGACATCAGTCAGGCTCGCCTGCGGTTATCCGGAGGGCTAACCATCTCCCTGTGATGCTGTGCTTCAGTGGTCACGCTCCTAGTCTGCCTTCATGTTCCATCCTGTACACCTGACTCTGCCTTCTAGATAGCAGTAGTAAATTAGTGAAAGTACTAAAAGTCTCTGATATGCAGAAATAATGGCATAAGCTGTCTTTCTGTCTCCTCTCTCTCTCTGCCTCAGCTGCCAGGCAGGAAAGGGCCCCCTGTCCAGTGGACACGTGACCCACGTGACCTTACCTATCATTGGAGATGACTCACACTCTTTACCCTGCCCCTTTTCCTTTGTATCCCATAAATAACAGCACAGCCAGACATTCGGGGCCACTACCGGTCTCCGTGCATTTGTGGTAGTGGTCCCCCGGGCCCAGCTGTCTTTTCTTTTATCTCTTTGTGTTGTGTCTTTATTTCTACACTCTCTCATCTCTGAACACGGGGAGAGACCCACCGACCCTGTGGGGCTTGTCCCTACAAAAATGGGCAACCAGCAGCCCTTGGGGCTGCTCTGTCTATGGCGTAGCAATTCTTTTATTCCTTTACTTTCTTAATAAACTTGCTTTCACTTTGCACTGCGGACTCACCCTGAATTCTTTCTTGTGCAAGATCCAAGAACCCTCTCTTGGGGTCTGGATTGGGACCCCTTTCCTGGAACAAACACAGTGCTGAAATGCCATTATTAGTAGTCTGGCTCCAGAGCTTGCTGTCTTTGCCAGAGTGTCTCAAACCTTAGTGAGCGTTGGAATCACCTGGGATCCTTATTACACCACAGGTCAGTTCTGGTAGGTCTAGATGGGACTTGAGATTCTGCATCCCAAAAGCTCCCAGGTGATGCCAGTGCTGCTGGTCTACAGGCTGCCTACCACTTTGTCTCATGTTCAAGGAGAGTTCCGTTGGAATCATTCATAGAAAAATAATGGAGGCCAAAATCTTGTTTCTCCCTGGGGTGAATAATTTGGCCATGCTATTTTAGCAGTATATTTTGTTGAGATGTCAGGTTTTTGAAGTTGTATTTTCTGTGCCTTCTATTGTGTCTCCACCTTTCTCCCTTTGAAGAATGTAGCCTCATCCTTTACTTTCCATGCCTCGGGGGCTGTTTTGGGAAAGGAGGAAGAACAATGTTGTTCATATTAGAATGAAAGAGACTTTATTCTATCACCTCTGAAAGCCTCAGCTCATTCAAAATATTTAGGTCCTAAACGTCTTTTAGGGAGTGAAGAGAAAAATTTTCACTTAAGAATGGGGGCTGGTAAGAGAGAGATAGGGGAAGAAAAAGAAGGAGGAGGAAAAGGAAGAAAGGAGGAGAAGAAGGAAGAAGAAAAGGAAGAGCAACATGGCATCTCAGACTGGGAGAGGGTAGAGTTTGATGACTGCCCAAATGAAGGGGTGTTGTGCCCCATTCCCTGACAGAGCTGAAGCAAGTGGCAGAACCTACAAAGGCACCTGTCAAGGAAGGATCAGACACAGCAGCATTCTAAGTGTAAATCCCTTTTTCTTTTCTTTGCGTAGGAGCAGCAATGTGTTAAAGAAATAAATCACATTAGACAGAAAGGGCAAAAAGAAGTTGAGTTTATTATGTCAACTATTGCCAGCAACAGGGGAGAGAGCACACCAAAACTGAGTATGCAGCTATGCTGAAATGAAGGGCCAGAGAGATTTTAAGAACCATGATGGTGGTGGCGGTGATCTTAGGCTACCTGTATTTTCTAGTTGGCCTTACCCACAGGAGGTAGTTTTGCATCTTGGAGCAAGACATCTACAAGAGTTAGCAACATACTCTCCTAGACAGAATGGGAGATGGGAGCGCTATCTTCTTTGATGAATACATTTCAAAAAGATGGTGCCCAGGTTTTTGAGAGAAACATTCTTGGGTTGTAAAATTGGTTTAGAAACTTTTAAACGTATTTACATCTCAAAGGGGCAGAGAAAGAATTGGTAAGATTTCTGAGGTAAATGCTCTAAGAAAAGGGAGGTCAGGGTCCTAGAATCAGAAAGAAGCCTGTCTTCGGTTTCATCAAACTGAGAGAATGTTAAAGACCTCTCGCTCAAAGGTTGCTGTACTTGATGAGATCCCTTTATTTCCGAACTGAAAAGTTTTAACTAAGGCTCAATCACCTCTTTTCTCCCTCAAAGTCCTGATATCTTTAAATATTTCACCATATATGACCTAATTCACCAGATCCAATGCACTCACCAAATATCTTCTTGGCATTGTTCTAAACTGTTTGAAGGATTCTAAGAAGTATGCATTGAAGTTTCCATGAAGACAAATAAGCCTGCCAAGGACTTTTCCTTTAAGAAAGCAAGGCTGTATATGTTTGAGTGTCAAGCACTGTGGGACAGCAGGCCAGAGAAGAAGGTGTTAGTGAGCTTCCTGAAAGAGGCAGCGTCCTCCTAGGACTGTCTCGGTGCCCACGCCTCTTCTGCAGTCTTTCTTATTTTTTTTAAACCACTTTATTATGTAACCGAAAATTACCTCACTCTAACTGAGCCATACTACTGACTTCCAGAATCCCTTTTCTTTTCATTATTTAACCTCTTTGTTCTGATTTCTCATCATCTTATTTTAAAAAGAGAAAATAATAACTCCTTTGGCTGCCTTTTTTTTTTTTAATGAGTCTCTGCTTTCCTCTAGGTTGTTTAAGACAAGTTTTCTCCAAATAGAGCAACATTGTGAATACAAAGCAAAGGTCTGCTCTAGAGTAAGGAAGGAGAAAACTCAATATATTATGCTGAAATTGCTTTATTTAAAATAATGTCTTTTACCTGAAGATTTCAAAGTATTTATGAATTATAGTTCCATGAGCACCACAAAGGACATAGTCCATATATATATATATAATGATCCAGTAGCAATAATAATAATAATAATAGCTGCTTTGCATTTTTTGGCTATATTTGGAGCTAATAAAGCAGGTTTTCTCAAATATTAGATAACATGTAGATTCAGATCTTAAAGCTTTAATCAATGGCTCTTTCTATTGCAAGGATTTGTAGGGATTTCCAGGAGGCAGGAGTTTATGGCCAGCAGGGCCTATGCCCCCTTTTCTTAAATTCTGCTCAGATATTTAACCATCATCTCCTTAGGAATCCTTCCAATACCTTGCTAGTTAAACCAAAACTTTTCAAAGGCAGAAATAATGTCTTGCTAGATATGGTATCATTAGAATTAATTTGTAAATGTAACTAACATTTATTTAACTCCTACTTAGTTCTAGGCAATTTTAGGTGTCACACTCAATGTGAAGAGGACTAAGACAATAAAATATCATCAGTACTAAAAGAAACACAAACCATTCACTTATAAAAGGAGGCCTGTATGGCAGAGGGGCCAGCTAGAAATGGTCAGGGGATTAGTCTGAGGAAAGGGGATAAAATAATGATTTGAAGATGTTCTGTCTGCACTGCAGGGTGGAATTACTTAGTGGTATCAGAGATAACTTGCATTTCAAACTGTTTTATTGTGTGGCAAATGTGAAATATCCCAGTAAGGTCAGCTAGGTTTAAATGCACTTGAGGATGAAACTCAGCTTGCTGATAAGGGGAATGATTTAGAATAAATATTAATAGTAAAAGCTTAGACAACAACTTTGTAGAATGAGTATACCTCACAAAGCAAAGGAATTGCCTAAGCTTGCAATGCTTCAGAATTTGATTTTGTGTTCTTCAGTGGCATAGTGGTTTACCTGATAGTTCTGTAGAGTTTGTCCAATTGTACTGCCATGCATCTTATGATATTTTGAGCTAATCCTAGACATTAATGGAAGGCAAGTAGGGTTGGTTTTAGCCCTCCTGCTCCCCAGAATTTTGGACACTCCTTTTTTGTTTTCTTGTCAGGTGTAAGGGTAAGATCTCTTATTCTTACAGCTGTTGTTTTTTCCTATAGTATATTGACAAAAGATCAAAGCCTATACTTAATGAAGTTATTTCTATTAAAATGGTGGGAGAGATGCTGGAAAGCAAAAATCTGATAAGCTGTAATATTTTGAATTGGATCAGGGGCTGACGTGCAAAGAATGATTTTACCATGTTTTCTTTTAGGACCAACTCTGATGCTGTTTTATAGCTATAAAAACTGCTGTTTGATGTTAATATAATCAATACCTGTGACGTACAAACTGTTATGCAACCAAACCCCAGCAATCAAAGTCATATATTACATGAGAAGGGAGATACCCTTTCTCCCCGTTTTCCCATTAGACTGAAAATAGAAAATTAGAAATACTAAAAGCCATGGAGAGATAATGGCTCTGAGCTGGAGAATTTTAAATAGGCTTCCAATTTATCAAAGCTGACTTTAACCATCCCTAATAGATAGGCAGCTTTGTGACCCAGAAAGAAGATGAAATGCTCTGTCATAAGTATTCGCTAAAGAAAATTGTGCCCTGAAAGTCTTTTTTTCTTTAAAAAATTTAAAACTTCTGAGTAATGAGTTGCTCTGGAAAGACACATTAGCAGCATCTAACAGCATGCTGGCCCTTTGTCCACCCCATGGAAGATTATTATCTTCTAGGGCTGCCATCACTTTCCATGTGAGCAAGATGTTAGATTGTGGCACCTTCTTTTTCAGGCTCGACAGTAAGACATGAATAGGCAGACCTACTGTGCTTTACTTGTCTGCGGGCTTCAAGTGACTGACATATTAGTATACCATTAAAGCAATTCTCCAGGGAAGCGTAATATCATGATAATATAATGACTATTCAATGTAAAGTCTGCCAGTAATGTGAGGATATTTCCTAGTCTGTGCCAACAGAACTATTCAATTATAAAGTCAGGTAATTGCACTTTAAAAAAGCTTTAATTTCAATCAAACACAATTGCTACATTTAAAGTATCATTTGAGACTTTCGTCTTTACGTTTCACTTAACCTCTTGCTTTCTTGCTTTTACGTTCTATTTTTGTACTGAATAAGAGCATCTCTCCAACATTTTCTTAGATTCTCTCTCATTTTCGCCATTCCCCACCAAATCTATCCCTCTCTATTTCTCTCTCTCTCTCTTTTTTTTTTTTTTTGTCTTTTTATTCGTTTTTGTTTGAGACAGAGTCTTGCTACGTTGTCCCAACTGGAGTGGAACTACTGGGCTCAAGCCATCCTCCTGCTTCAGACTCCTAAGTAGCTGAAACTACAGGTGCATGCAAAAGAATGCCAACTACCACTGTATGCACCTGACTATTCCTCTCTGAATTGTCCCCAGTTTAGTAAATGGCATGACCACTTACCCAGCTGCCTAGATGCCAGACTTTGGCGTCATCATAAACTCTGCTCGTTTTCTGACTTTATGCACTATACGATTAGCAGATTCTGTCAGTGCTTTTCCAAAATACATTCAAAATTTAGCCACTTTTGACTACCTTCCTTACTCCCATTTATCCAAGCCAAATCTCTTACTTAGATTATTCCTAATGGCACTTTAACAACTTTTCCAGTTTCTATCATCATGCCCTTCAGTTTTTCCCAACACAAAAGGGAGATCTTTTTAAAACATATGTCAGATCTTGTTATTCTTCTGCTCAAAACCTCCAGCTGGTTTTCAGTGTATTTAGAATAAAATTCAAAGGCTTTACTAATTTGTCCTACATGATTACTACTCTGTCTTCTCATTCCACTTCTGTTTGCTCACAGACCCAATGGATCCTACCTCGGGGCATTTACATTCACTGTTCCCTCTGCCTGGAAGCTCTCTCTTTCCCTCCCACAACAAGATTCTCACATGGCTCATTCCCAGTTTCCTTCAGGTCCTTGTTCAAATGTCACCTCCTCAGACATCCCTACCTTGGTATCTAAAATATCCATGCCACCTCCCACCCCCTCCACCCCTTCCTATACCTGTTCCACTTTTTCTCATGGTACTCATCTCCACCTGTCATTGTATTATATAATAATTTTTTTGTTCCCTTCTTATTTGTCTCTCTCACTTTAATGCAAAGTAGAGAAATTTTCTTTTTGGTTCCCATCTTACTCCTGAGACATAGAAGTAGTGCCTGGCATATAGATATTCAAAGAAAAAGTATTAAACAAATGAATAAATATTACTTTCTCTATAATTCTTTTATGTTTTTAGAATTGATCTTTCTTGATTAACTGATAAATTACGTCTTCCAAAATTCCTCCTCCAAAATCAAATTTACCAAAGGAAAAAGCATGATACCTGCTTGTTTGAAATGCTACATTCAAAACGTCCAAAAAATATTTAAAAATGATTTTAAAGTCTAACACAACCCAATTAGGTTAAATGAAGTTTCATGCATGCATTTATGGTTTGGATAAAGTCATTGAGCAGCTACATATGTTTATAGTTTCACTCAGATACACACTAGGTTGTATCTAAAATTCAATTTTTCATTTAATTTAAAAATATTAGTTTCAGGTCAGGTGTGGTGGCTCACTCCTGTAATCACAGCACTTTGGGAGGCTGAGGTGGGCGGATCACAAGGTCAGGAGTTCAAGACCAGCCTGGCCAACATGGTGAAACCCCATCTCTACTAAAAATACAAAAATTAGCTGGGCATGGTGGCGCGTGACTGTAGTCCCAGCTACTCGGGAGGCTGAGGCAGGAGAATCACTTGAACCCAGGAGGCGGAAGTTGCAGTGAGCCAAGATCATGCTACTGCACTCCAGCCTGGCGACAGAGCGAGACTGTCTCAAAAAAGAAAACAACAACAACAACAACAACAAAACACATTAATTTCAGTATTTTAGCCACTCCTTTTCCCTTCCTCTTCACCACTCCAGAATCTTACTTCACAGCCTCTAAATGATATTTTCCACTGAAGTCAAGTCCTTTTGTTTGCCATTTCTCTTGGGGGCTTGCTAATTTGAGCTTTTGATTGCACTCCGTTTTGAATTCGGAATTCAATGTTCTCTCCTCTATATCCAAATAGTTTGAAGTATGATAGTGGCCAATACAGTATCAGTCTTGGTTACCACTGTATTCCCAGTGACTACAGTTGTCTCAACACAGAGGAGGTGCTCACTGAAGGAGTTAGCACAATGGCTTTTACTAATATATTTCTCTGTTGTGGATTGTATCTTTCCTCTGTCTGTCACCTCTCTACGGTAAATATTTAAGGTATCATTCTTTCTGAAGCTACATAGAAGAAGCTATAAGAAGCTGCACAAGAAAACGATCCATATATCTCTTGTACGAGAAAGTGGCCTTCAAAACAAATGCAGTGTTAATCTCCTGTGCCATTCCAATAATGATGAGATAGCTTAGTTACAACTGACACAAATCTTGTAAGTAGTAATGCTAATAGACAATTTCAAAATAAATTGAAAATCCTGAGAAGGGACCAATTCGATTTTTTTTCTCTTATCAAGAGGACACAGCTTTTATTCATTTACTGACATTTCCTAACAGGGTAAAAATAAGTACCAAAAAAATGTAGGAACCTATGAAACTCATTCTGTTGAAAACAAAATTGATAAACTCTCTTTTACCAATCGTTTAAAAACAAAAAAAAAATACATTTTCAAGATAACTAAATTTAATTATATTTTCAAAATATCATATTATTACCAGAGAGAATAAGAGTGTGAGTTGTAGTGTTTATCTAATATTTCATGAAAATACAACAATCTTAATTAGTGAGAACTTTTTCAAATAGATACAAATTGATCCGTTTTAGCACATTTCTGTCAGATGTAATCAGGTGTTAACAAATGCCCATGAGATCTGTGGAGTAAGGAAAAGGGAGAAAACTTTATTTTCTGAGTGACAATCTGTAAATTGGGGAAATGAAGCTTCTGAGGAAATTGAAAACACATACTTTGTAGAAAGGAAGAATACATTGTCATTTAAGCCTTCAGTGGTCTGTCTCCATGCATAGCCATGAATATTCATCAGGTTTGGGAATGTCTGTGAATATTTATTAAAAAAAGTCAAGCACATGTGCAGTGAGTTAACATATATCTAACATACATCCCATGTTCACTTTGGGACAGGGTTTTAACATTAAAATTAGATGGACTTCGGCTTTTTATGTCATAAGGTGAGCTGTAGGGCACAAATACATTTTGTGTGTAGTCTTTGTAGGCTGGCTGGAATTGGCTCAGGGTCTGTAGCTGCTTATCAGGAGGAATGTTTGTAAGGTTGGTCATCTATCTGGTGGGCGTGGCTGGCAGGACCCCAAGATGGGAATCTACCACTTAGCTGGCATCAGGCCGTCCATTGGAGCCAGCTGGGCAGTGTTTTCCTGGAACAGTTTCTGCCTAACTGCAGGAAGAAAACCTTATGGCAATGAACAAATCTTCTAGTAATTAACAATATAGGAGGATGTGACCAATCACTTTTCCCTATTATGACCACTTAATTTTCTTTCAAGGGTCTCATCTTAGCCACAAAGAGTTCACCTCATCTGTCAGCCAGGGGTACGATGTGAATATAGAATGAAGAGACTCAGTATTTTAAAAATCCCACTTTTGTTTTGCTGCCTGTTTTTATTCATTTGTTTGAGGACTCCTTAGAAAAGAAAAATTTTAAACTATTTTAGAAAAAAATGTTGCAGTTGTCTTCATCTGTTTGTGCTCCTATGGCAAAATACCTAAGACTGGGTAAGTTATGATTAATGGAAACTTATTTCTCACAGTTTTGGAGGCTAGGAAGTCCAAGGTCAAGGCACCAGCAGGTTCACTGTCTGGGGAGGGCGTCTCTCTCTCTCTGCTTCAGGATGGTGCCTTGTTGCTGTATACTCACATGGAGGAGGTGGAAGGGCAAAAGGCACAAAAAGCTCTCTCACACTTCTTTTATAAGGTCATTAATCCCATTCATGAGGGAAGATTCCTCATGACCTAACCATCTCCCCAAAACATCCACATCTTAATACCGTTGCATTGGGGATTAAGTTTCAACATGAATTTTGGAGGGAGCACAAACATTCAAACTATAGCCGTAGCTATCTTTAAAATTTGTTGTACCTATTCTTGTGGGAATGAGGAATAAATTTGAGGTGATGAAGTTTGAACTTTAGCTTTCTTCTCCTAAGACATAACAGGTTTTGGGCAAAACCATTTTATTTCAGCAGTCTAGATAAAGAATAAATAAGGAGAAACGGAGCCAGAAACTACCCACATACTTCAGGTGCAGGATACCATGGGACACATTTATATCAAGATTTCAGGCCCAGAGATTTAGCACAGATAGCAAGAATATTGCTAGATGCCATTTCTTCACCAAGGCAGTTAACAATAACTATATACAGACATGACTACAAACTGCATTCATAAATGCCACTAAATCCAAGCAAAATCTAAGTGTATCACCATCTCATTTTTCTTTGTGCCCAATCCAAATATACCCATGGCTACTTCAATGATACCTGACAGGGGAAGCATTGTGAAAGAGAAAATGTCCTCAAAAAAGTGCTTTAAATTTAATTGCAGTTAAAATATTTTTTGCGAATTATACCAAAGCAGAAGACCAGAAGAATATTGCCAGAGTCTCTCTTAGGGGCTTGAAACCAGCCTCTTCAGATGAGGAGCCCTGAAGCTTAAGCTTTGTTGGGTTCCAAAAATACCCAGCTCCAGAGGAAGTGTATAACAACAACAACAACTACAATAAAATGGTGTTAACTATAACACATAAGAGACCAGGCCAGAGGGCACTTCAAAAAAATAATGTATGAGGTCCTATTCTGAGCAGCTTCAGCTTCCAATCTCAGTGAATAAAGTAGAGGAGGATTTTTCTGTATATTTTGTAAATACGATGAAGATAGAGATGTTCTGACACTGCTAAAATTCAAAGGTCCCCTACCTCCTCTGTCCCTATTTATATTTGAAAAGAAATTATTTGCAAGGGGATTATTTGCAAATACAAATAGATCTCAATACTCCTATATTAGTCTAATTAATATTAAACACATTATTTACTATCCTTCCAAACAGGCCAGTTATTACACACAGAGAATGAGAAAGAGCATGTTATTGCTGTTAAAGACCCCACAGTAGAAAAAATTATAATGGCACTAAAGAAAGTATTTAAGAATTCATTAAGATGTAATCAAATTTTTGCAAACTCATCTGTTATTTGCAATTTAATGTATTTACTGTAACTTGCCTATTACTGTGAAACAAATCACCTTTATGTTAGCTTTTTTTGCTGAATTTTGCTTGTTGATAACATATTGAAATCACCCAGCTGTTGCATGTATCTACTCCTTTTAGCAGAAACTTAAATCCTCTTATTTTGTTATATGTATGAATAACTGTCCTTAACTGTGAGCAGTGCTCATAACTGTGTCCTGTACCAGTCCCATATTACAATATTTACCACTGAACTAGACCATGGCTTATGAGTACCTCTCAAAACAAATTATAGAAGTAAACAAAAAAGAAATAACACAGTTGGGGGATGATCTTTGGGAAACCCATTATGGTCACTATCCTCTCAAAGCTTCAAGGTACAGATACTTTCAGTTGCAACCTGAGAACACTTGCATAGGTCTCAGTGTGACAGCTATTATGCCTTCTTATTATATTTAAGGTCAAGGCCAATTAATTTAGCATTTGTCTTTATACTGCTTGCATTTTTGCTTGTGTTGCATGATTTACCATTTTCTTGCCTCTACTCTGACATTGTTTTCGCAGAAAAGGACACATTAAAAAAATAGTTTCTGGTACAATTTTTAGAATCCAGCACAATATTAAAAATAGTAGGTGATAATGATAAAAATAATAATTAGCTAAATGAATAAATGAATGAATAAATGAGTGGGAAGTATAAGACAAAGTCTGTCATATTTCATAGCCCATGAGAAAGATCACTGTTTTAGGACTTTGATTAGTGATTTTTTTTTTCTATCAGTCTTTTTTTTTTCCTCTGGCAAATAAAGTAAATATACTAATACAACTTTCAGAATTGTTTTATTTGTATAGGGTATCATTCAAGGCCTGACCTCACACTTGTAGCTCATGAGGCTTAAGATTAAAAGCTACCTGTTGGGTATTATGTTCACTATGTGGCTGATGGGTTCAATTGAAGCCCAAACCTCAGCATCACACAATATATCCATGTAATAAACCTGCACATGTAAACACTGAATCTGAAAAAAAAAGTATTTGGTAATAAATAAAAAAAATTCTGTCACCAGATAAAATTATTTTTTCTTTTTCTTTTTTTTCTCCCCAAGATGGAGTCTTGCTCTTGTTTTCCAGGCTGGAGTGCAGTGGCGTGATCTGCAACCTCCGCCTCCTGAGTTCAAGTGATTCTCCTACCTCAGCCTCCAGAGTAGCTGGGATTACAGGTACCCGCCACCACACCCGACTAATTTTTGTATTTTTAGTAGAGATGGGGTTTCACCATGTTGGCCAGGCTGGTCTTGAACGCCTGACCTTGTGATCCACCCTCCTTGGCCTCCCAAAGTGCTGGGATTACAGGTGTGAGCCACCACACCCGGCCCAGATATAAATTTTCTAGGGTTAACTCCATAGGGCAAATATTCTAGGTCTCTGTTCTTGTTTTCTGGGTTTGCCAATGAAAGCTTAAAAAAGAGAGTCAGTGGAATAATGTCTCATTCCAGTTGCAGGGAAAGAATGAGCTAAACTTTGATTGATTTGAAAATGTATAATTTATGTCCAGGAACAGATTTGCTTATTCTTCCCTTCATTTACTTAATTCATTTTTTCATTCAACAGAAGGCTAGTGAGGCCCTATTAAATATGCACACTAGGCTAGGCTCTTGTCACCAAAGTGAATATGATACATCTCTGCTTAAAATGTTTTCTGTCTTTTGAGAAAAAAAATCATAATAAAGAGATGATTATAGCTTAAATTTTATAATATACTTTCTTTGGATTGAGCTTCCAAGGGAAAGAGTTCTGGATTTGGAGAGAGAAAAAGCTAGATTTGGAAACTGGTTGCAGTTTGTGGGATTAAGTGCTATGTAAACTTTCTGAACTCCTGTGTCCTGACTGATTAACTTTCTAGAATGGTGTGAAAATTAAATGAGGTTAAGTTTGTAAATCACTAGGCATATAGAAGATGAGTAACAATTTTAGCCTTGCTGAGCCCCTCCTTTCCACCCCTTCCTAGGTCTAGTTGGGAGAGAGGATGGAGGAAGAGGTTTAGAAAAGATAAGGAAAGGAAAGGAAAGGAAAGGAAAAACATGTGGCTCTCCTTGGAAACACACACTATACTTATCAATATTATCTGCATTTTTTATGCAGTTAATGGCTATTTAAAGTCAAAATTTCCATGGATCTGCAGACAAAGTTTTGAGCATTCAAGAGTTCTATTGAGTATTATCATATAATTACACTGCCTACATTTACATTTGTATTTAAGATGGTATTTGCCCCAGATAAAAGCCAATTACATTGTCAAAGAAGTTATTAATGTAGCCCAGAGAATATCAATGACAGAATCGTGTGATTATGAGACACAAGGTAGTATAGGCTCACCAACCACAAAGTACCTGTGCTGAAATTGTACTACATATAAATGTTATAATCAATGGTATCATACTAATTCTGTTTGTGTATGTCAATTTGTAATATTTCATTAGCAAGAACTATGGTAGTAAATATGAAATGAATAATTCTTATTTTCCCAATTCCAGTAATTATTGAATTAAACTCAGTTTAATGTTAATTTGAGTAAGAGTTTTCAGAGTTATCAAGTGACTATTAAAATTGGCATTTGAGAGTATGTCTGATGAACTTGATTCATAAAAGGTGCTTGTCTGAGTTTTCCGTATGAGTGGACAAAAATTTGAGTTATTGATGTGTTCTTAACAATCATATTTGTGTAAATATCTACTTTATGAATTAATACTATTATTAAGTTAAAACTGAAAAGTATGTCACATATAAAACTAGACCTGAGGCTTCATCTTTTTACCATAAATCTCTAACTTTGGCAATTTAATTCTAGCAACACAACTTCCTCCTTTGCAGTAAATAAAATTATAACTTTATTGGTTTTATAGGAATTTTTAGTGATATTTCAGTTTATTTCTGTTTTAGAGTAGTTGAGATCTATAAACAAAAGGAATTTACAGCTGAATTTATGTCTGTATCAATTTTAAGTAACTTTACAAAAAATTAATTTAACACCAATAGTTAAGATATTTTGTTCTTTGAAAGCAGTTTGTGTATTACTTTACATTTTAGAAACATTGGCAAGAATCAATAAAAATCAATAGCTAAGAGAATATAATAACCTCCTTACTTTATAAAAATAGGAGGGAGGCATTTGCAGTGATGCGAATTTGCTAAGGCTACCTACATTACTTGAAGATCTCCAAAAGAAACAGCAAGTGTCACTTAGACTATCATGGAAGAAGAGGCAGAATTAAAAACTTTGGCTGAACCTGCAAATGTATGGAATAAGAAACACAAGGATTAACTTCTTAGCATAAGAATCCAGTACTTTTAAAGATAAACCCTAGAAGTTTGGCTTAATCAAATGTCACTTTGACAACAGCAGTGATAATCCGGTTGCCCAGATGTCTTACCAAGCTTCGTCTGTAAGAGGAAAAGATAGAGAGCATCAATGAAATGAAGTGTGAAAAGGGGAATTTACCTCTTTTCTTTTTAATTCCTGAGAATCTTCAATTTCATTAATACATTCATTTTGGAGAATAGGGGCTGTGGGAATTTAAACACTGTCAGTCAAGATGATCATTATCTGTGTCTCAGATATATGATGCCTTAGATTTTTTTAAGCCTAGACTTATCATAAAACCACTAGAAAGTGACCAAGAGATATTGACAGTAAATTAAAAACTGTCTTTATATAGTAAAAGGAAGACAATTGTTTTAAAATCATGTCCTTTAACTCACCTGTGGTGTTACAGAGATTAATGTTATGTTACAGCTGCTTTTGTATCCAAAATGAATGTTTCTATTTAGACAACTGGGGACAGCAGCATTTTGTATGTGTGTGTGTGATTAAAACTGATTAATAGAATCTGAAAGTTAGATATTATTCATATAGGGGAGCAAACTCAATTACATTTTTCAGGCTTTTACTTATAGGTAAAATGTCCATTTACATTATTAAGTTATTAAGCAATTAACCAAATGTGACCATTTGTGATATAATCAAGTGCTGATTTCTCTACTGATGTATTTCTTTTAGCTAGCCAATGGAAAACACTGTGTATTCTGCATAGCTATAGCTATTTTAATTATTTCTTAAGGTGCCTTGTAAAAGTCATTATTTGAAAGTTTAACTACTTAAATTCCTTTTGTCCTTTATTCAGTTACAGAAATATTGAATAATTTTTTTAAGTTTAAATTTTTCAAAATTTCTCTCTTTGAAGAGGGTGAATGTTTTTTGCTATGACATTTTGGGACCTTAGCTGTCTTTCAGTACCAAGCCTTCCTTTACTTCTCCAGATTCAGCTGTTTGATAATTATTTATCATCTACCCGTGCCAGGGGTGGTTATAGGCTTTGGAGATATAAGAGTGCATAAGAAGATAAAGATTCCCCTGGTTATGGATTTACATTTCAGTATGGTATGACAGGAAAAATAAAAAGACAACAGAAATGATCAATAAAATATCAGGCACTGAGTGGAGTTTTAAAGAAAATAACAGTGGTTCCTATAAGAGTGATGGGGGAAGGGCTTACTTTAGACAGGATGATCAGGTGCCATTTGAGATGAATCTCTATGTAAGAAGGAGCCAAGCATACAAAAGTCCCCACTGAAGAGAGGACCCTTTCTCTTGCTGGCAAAGAGCAGAGCTGCAGGCCAAGTTCTCTGTGTGTGCACAGATCACAAAGTGAGGCATGAGAGCAAGGGGCTAATCCATATGTGTGGTCAGTTCCTCTCCCAACTCACTGATCCAGCAATTAAATACCTCCCTGGGGAGGATTTAAAAATGGAACAAAAACCTAGGATTATTTAGCAAAAAATCCTTTATGGAACCAGAGAAGTCAGACAGAAATGTTCTCCTCCCCTCAAACAATTAGTGTGGATTTTATTGTGAGGGCAATGGAAAGTAATCACAAAAATGTAGCCAAGAGAGTAACATAATTTGCATTTTGAAGGATCATTTGGGCTGCCATCGAAGAAGGATGAAAAGTGGTAGCAGGAAGACTAGGTAGGATGCTGTTAGAATGAGCCAGATGAAAGATGTGGTGGTCAGGCCAGGGTGGTCATGATGGGGATAGTGAGAAGTGGCTGAATGCTATTATGATCCCAAAAGTGTCTGAGTCAGGTCTCAGTCAATTCGGAAACTTTATTTTGTCAAAGTTGAGGATGAGCTTGTGGCACAGCCTTAGGAAGTTCTAATGAGATGTACCCAAGGAGGTTGGGGTACAGCTTGCTTTCATATATTTTAGGGACACAGAATACATCTATCAATACATGTAAGATTTACAGTGGTTTGATCTGGAAAGGCAGGACAACTCAAAGGTGGGGGGCTTCCAGGTCATACATAAATTTAAAATTTTTCTGATTGGCAATTGGTTGAAAGAGTTATGATCAATAGAAAGGAATGTATGTGTTACAGTAAGTTATTACAGAGGCAAAGGGTTTATCATGCAGATGAAGCCTCCAAGTAGCAGGCTTCTGAGAGAGTAGATTGTAAATGCTTCTTATCATACTTAGGGTCTGCATTGATGTTAATGCTGATTGGATTTTCCTGAATTTCAAAAGAGAGGAGGTTTTAATGAGGAATGTTGGACCCCTCCTTCCATCATGACCTGAGCTAGGTTTTTCAGTTTAACTTTGGAGTCCCCTTGGCTGAGAGGGGAGGTCTATTCAGATAGTTAGGGGGCCCTAAAATTTAATTTGGGTTTACACTATGGTAAGCCAAAATAAATGAATAAAAAGACAAAATAAATGCTAACCATTTTACTAGTGTTATAAACTTTCTCAAACAGAAAAGACTCAATTGTGAGCACCTGAAATGGAAACCTTAAAATATATTCTGTTTTTTTCAAAGTTGTCTGAAGTAGGGTAGAAATGGAGAGAAGTGGACAGACTTATGTTTTTGTTTTGGAAGATGAACTGAAAGCATTTACTAACCGATGTGTTGCGTGGTGAGGGATGAAGAGCGTCAATGGCTCCACACACACTTTATGAACCAGTCACACCCTGAACTATTGATCATCTCATTTTATGCTATGCCTTTTCTTGTTTCTAGGCTTGTGCATGTGCCTCCCGTTCCCAGGATTCACTGCTCTCTAACTCTGTGCCTGGTTAATACCTACTGATCCTTCAAGTTGTAATTCAAATGTCACTTACTCTCTAAAACCTCCCCAATCTAAATTCCATACTTCTCTTTGACCTTCTAAAGACTCTGTGCTTGTACTCCTCTGAACGCAATTACCATACTGAATTACAATTGTTGATTTACATTGCAGATTCCCCTAAGAGCCTAGTGTGCCACAGTGAGCAGAGTGTGCCTTTCATCTCTGTACCACCATTTTCTTACATTTTACCTGGAATATGGTATAAAATTAAGACATGTTTGTTGTGAGATGTAATAAACTAATTTCTTGTTGCTTTCCTCTAGTCCAGAAGGCTCATGTTTCTGTTGTGTTTGTGGTTGCAATGGTAGTCCTAGTTAGAAAATTGTCCCCTCTTACTAATCTTTTTAGTTGTGTATGTGTTAGTGAACATGGCTACATTTGTTTAATAATAAATTACATAGTTGAATGTTTGCCTATGTCAAAGCAAAAATTGCAGTAGATAAAGTTAAACAGACAAGGAAGGCTTTATTCAAGATTATGATGAAAGGGCAGAGAGGCCGAAATTCACGCTGAACTCAACTCCACCGAAACAAATGGTAGGAGAGTTCTTAATTGCTGAGGTAGAAAGATTCTTAGGCCACTGTTTTTGCTAGTTGGCCTTACTCAAAAGAAAAGTAGTCTTTCTCCTGTCTTCATGGCAGGAGGTAGTTTTACAACTTGAAGCAAGGTACCCACAGAAATTAGGCACTTATCCTCCTACAGAGATTGGAAAATGAGGGCACTATCTTCTTTGATGATTATTTTTCAAAGAAATGGCACCAAGATCCATGAGAAAGACATTCCTAAGGTTTAAAACTTGTAAGAGGCTTAAAAAATATCTACTCAAAGTGGGAGAGAAAGAATCTATAATTGAAAATTTTCTAAGGTAGATGCTTTAAGAAAAGGGAGGTCAGGGGCTAGAGTCAAGAAGTCTGCCTGAAGTTTTAGTCAAACAAGTTTAGTCAGGAGAAATATTCAGGCCATACCAGTCATCTATCCAGTTGAAGACTGCATTTACTTTGTTATGCTATCAGAACACAAAGATTGCCAGATTACCACTTTATTAAGATGTAATTGCTAGTTACACAGGCTTTATATCTATATATCAGATATCAGGAGATACAGTGGTCCTTCACTCTTTCAGTGGGTGTTACAGATTTCCAGGTGCCAGGAAAAGTGGTTTGATGATGGCTTCACTATGAAATGAGCAGCTAGTCTGACTTACAATTCTCAAAACTGTGTGTTCTTGGTAGCTTTGTTTACAGTGTTTTTAAAACCAAGGTGGTAATAAATTAATTGAGACAAGATAGCCTTTGTGACCACTGGGAACAGTGCCAAATTCTATTTGAATTTTATTCATTTCAAGATGACCAGAAAAAAGATAACCACTGGGTTCAAAGATTTTATTTCTTCTGTTGATAAGGCCTGTGGTGAAGATTTTGTTTAAACAAGGTTTCAGGCTCAGTCTCACTAAATTTTCAACAAGTGAGATCTCCAGAAATTTAGAGCACAACTTCCGTGATGTTAAGAAATAGATTTATTATCTATTATGGTGGGGTACCCCTCCTTTTTATTTTTACCAAGTTTGCATAACAGAGTGGTTTGGAAAATGCTGTATGTTTGTTGCAAGTGTAAAAAAATGTGGCATATGAAAGAATATTTGATGATGAATTCCCTTATGTCTCATTCTCATATTTATCTGTTGGAGACTCAGCACTCATTCTAAAAACATTTTCGTCTCATTAACAAAACATTTCTGTCTCATCATTTTGATGTTGGAGGGCCAGATTGTGTGACCGTTGGGTAGTCAAGGACTGCAGCACCCAGACTGTCAGGCACCATCTCTCATCTCATTTCACAAGAAAGAGTGTGTTTGAATGACAGATTCAGATTAGATCCTTGGTCTTCTAGTGAATTTTGAAAAACTCTTTCTGATTTGACTACACAGATGGTCTAGAAGAGAAACCAGAGAGCCCCCCAAAACCAAAGATTCAAAGATCGGGGCAAGGAGAAAATTAAAAAAAAAAAAAAAAAAACACTTGCACTTCTTTGGCTAGACCTGTGTGCTTTTCAGTATTCATCTTCCCCTAATAAAGAGAGGAAAGTGGTATTTTTTTTAATGTTAATAAAGTTGTCATTGAAGGGAGAAATGCCTAAATGCCAGCTGGAAGATATCCACTATAGCCTTGCTATGCAAAGTGTTGTCTTTGTATCTGTAACACTGATGTTACTTGGGAGTTTGTTTATTAGAAATGTTAAGTCTTGGGCCTCACCCCAGGCCTACGAAATCAGAACTCCCAGACATTTATGCTGCGTTAAAATTTGGGAAGCACTGCACTATGGAACAAATTTCTTTGCTTATTAGTAATATAAAATGTAGTAGATTACTTAAAAT
Organism: Homo sapiens; assembly: GCF_000001405.40. Lineage (NCBI taxonomy): Eukaryota > Metazoa > Chordata > Mammalia > Primates > Hominidae > Homo > Homo sapiens. The sequence goes on along the minus strand of NC_000012.12, from coordinate 61,564,075 downwards.
AACAACAAAATAATAGTGCATTAGGATTTCCCTTAGCTTTGAGCAACACAAAACTGGCAAACAGATGTTTAAACAAATGTGGGATTGTGAAAATCAGTGAAGACCACTCAAAGGAGAACAAGAAGAAGCTATCTATTGTCAACTTTCTAAGTAAGGGAGTCAGACACTATCATTTGCATTTGGCAGAGATTCAAAGGCAATTAGAAAAGTTGGAAAGCAAGGCAGTGGAAAAAGATAAGGTTTTTTCCTTATTGCTCTGATTGTAGGTTGTTGGCATGGGAAAGATGGAGGTGGCACAATTAGATTTAGGGCATTTTATGTGATTGGTTTGGGGGGAAAATTGCTTTCTCTGTTTGGTTCTAAATTAGAAATAGAAGAGGGAAGTTGTCCATCACCCTTGACAAAGCCCTGATCATTCCAGGCCAATTGCTGCAGATTGTGGTTTGGCTATCAGGACTTTGAATGTAGATCAGAGTTCTTTTTCCATAGATCTGTATATTCAGTCTTTCAGGGTCAATGTTGCTCATATAACAAGAAACCCAGTGTGGACGTTCAGGGATGCTATAGCCATACAAGGAGAGCCTTTCCATTCCCTTGGTCTACCATTCTTAAGCATGTGGCTTTGGATCTCATGGGGGCAGAAAATGGCTGCTGCACTTCTAGGCATCACAACTGAATTCTGAATAGTGAAATTCAGCCAAGGGTGAAGTAAACATACCAAATTAAGCCCTCCCGTCCCAAGGATTTATCTTTTGATTTGGGGAGGAAAACCCTCCCAGGGATTTCTGCACCCTTCTCATTAGCCAGAACTTGGTCACCTGTTACCGTTTCTGGCTACTAGAAAGCTTGGAATTTTAGTATTCTGCACCTAGGATGTACTTTGGTCAAGGTAAGAAAGAAAAATACGATTTGTGTATTTGTGCCATCTGTGGTATTTTCCACACATGTATATAGATCCTTTTAAAAGAAACATATACTTTAACTAAATATGCAAGAGTGCAGCAAATAGTCTGCAATTATAAAATGAAATAAGTCTGTTATGACCCAGCCTTCATAATAACTAAAATTATAGCCATGTTACTCATAGAACTGACAAGTGTCTTTCCATTCACATATAATTGTTTCATGTCCGAATTATGTGCCGTGACACATATCAAGTAATACACATGTTCTACATTTAGACATTTGTATATTTAATCCATATTCCCAAAATGACTCCATCAGATATTAACTATAATTATCCCATTTTACAGATGAGGGACTTGGGGATAGTTATGCATTTTATCGCAAGACACAATGGGAAGTAGCTGAGTCTGAATTTAAACCCAGCTGGTCAGGTTCCAGAGCTTGTGCTCTTAATCACCTGCTATGAGCCCTTTCATTAAATATACAATTGCATAAATGAGAAATTCAATTTGGTCAGGCATAGTGGCTCACACCTGTAATCCCAACACTTTGGGAGGCCGAGGTGGGCAGATCACTTGAGCCCAGGAGTTTGAGACCAGCCTGGACAACATGGAGAAACACCATCTCTACCATAAATAAAAAAATTAGCTGGGCATGGTGATGCTTCTGTGGTTCCAGCTACTCAGGAGGCTGAGGTGGGAGGATTGCTTGAGCTGGGAAGTTTGAGGCTGCAGTGAGCCATAATATTGTACCACTGTACTCTTTAGCCTGGACAACAGAGTGAGACCTTGTCTCAAAATGAAAGAAGGAAGGAAGGACAGAAGGAAGAAAAGAAAGAAAGAGAGAGAGAGGGAGGGAGGGAGGGAGGAAGGAAGGGAGGAAGGAAGGAAAGAAATTTAATGGAAATAAATAAGTGCTATGACAGAAATGTGCAAAAAGCCATGAGAGTATATGATAGGGCTCTAATTTGTGGTAAATTCAGGAAAGCTTCTCTCAGAAGCTATGTTTAGCTAACAGTTGAAGAATGATTTGGAACAAGGTAGGTAAAGAATTGGAAAAGGAATTCTTTTTTCAGATAGAGAGAAAAATGTCATTAAAAGCCATGAGAATGAAAGTGCTGGGCATGAAAAGACGTGTGTATGACCAGTTCAAGGGCTGCCCAATAGGCTGCATAGAATGTGAAATGTATAGCTTCAGTACACCATTTCCTTAGTGCAGGATAGGAGACACTCTGTGACCCTGGCTTGAGCACAAAGCATGATAAAGGTATGATGTGGGCTAGTGTTTTATGGATTTTACATTTAAATCTCATCACACAGGGAAATCACAGAGAAGTGTGAAACACTGTAGTGATGTATTTATGTTTTAAAAAATTATACTAGCTGATGTGTGGAGAATTGTTTAGAGATGGGCAAGGATTGGTAAAATAGATGAATTAGCAGCCTACTGCAGTGGTCCAGGTGGGCTATAATTATAAGTTGGCTTAGGAAGAGAGAAATGAAGACACATAAAGTAGGTAAGATTGAGAAATACTCAGGAGGTAATTTTGAAACAAAGAAAAGGATTCCTTTGGCTTTCTTCCAGCTACTGTTTCATTTCTTTCTCCTTGTGTATAGTAAAACTCCCCGAAAGCACTATCTATATTTACTGTCTCTACCTTCTTACCTTTCATTCTCACTAGGGCTTACTCCAAATAGGCTCTTGTTCATAATATTCTGGTTCAAACAGCACTATTGAGTCATTACTAACTTTAATCTGTCCAATTACATGCTCAGGCTTTAGTCTTCACCCTGTTGGACCTCTCGGGAGCATTGGGTTCAGCTGATCACTCCTTCTTTCTTAAAACTCTTTTCTTGTATTATTTTGGATGTTGGTTTATCTGCTATGACAAAGCCCCAGCATAACTATGACTTAAAGAAAACATAATCTAATTTTCTTTGGTTACATACAAATTAAAACTGGCATGATCGCTGCAAAATCACCTAGAATAGACACCTTCAATTTTCTTGCTTCCTAGGTCGTTACCCTTAACTTATCTGCACGTCCAATGTACTCACCTTAAGTCCACATTCTAGTCAAAGAGAAACTCTTTCCTTTTAAAGGTATAACCCAGAATATCCACATAGTCTACAGTATCTGTAGGTCAAAATCTAAATAGATGGCTATATCCTCTGTATAAGTTTTCTAGGGCTGCCACAGTCATCACAAACTGGGTGGCTTCAAACAACAGAATTTTATTCTCTCACAGTTCTTGGGGCTAGAAGTCAGAAGTCAAGGTCAGCAGGGCCATGATCCCCCTGTAGGCTCTAGGGAAGAATTCTTCTTCCAATTTATGTGGCTCCAGGCCTTCCATTGCTCATGCTAGAATAACCCCAATCTCTGCCTCCATCTTTACATGGCATTCTTTTCTATGCATATTTTTGTGTTTCTCTGGGCTCTCTGCTCTTATAAGGAGAGCAGTCATTGGACTTAGGCCTTATCCCCTCAATTCAGAATGACTTCATCTTGAGATGCTTAATTATATTTGCCAAGATGGTATTTCAACTAAGGTCACATTCAAGTCTGCATAAATTTGAGGGCACACTATCCAACTCACTACACACCCTTGTTAGGGAAGATTAAAAATACAGCATTTATTCTGGGCATCCAGGGACTTAGGGAAAATTGAGGGTTTTATTTTTCTGGGAAAGAAGGCTAAACTTATCTGGAGGGAATAAGCTTTTTCCGTCACTATACTAGCTTGATTTTGTTTTCACCTCACTGGCTTCTCATTTTCAGTCTTCTCTGTTGGTTTTTGTTTCCTTTCTCAAACTGTAAATGTTGAAGAGCCTTAGACCTCAGTTCTTGAATTTCTCCTCTCTAACTACACTCATTCATTAGGTGATCTAGACATACTTTTCAGCATGTTACCTTTTCACTTAAAATATATATGAAATTATTTCACATTATTATGCCCTAATCTTTTCTGTTGTTGCCTAGTATTCTATTTCATAAACTTTTCAAATTTGCATTTTCTTAATCAACTCTAACTAATAGACACTTTAATTGTTTTCAACTTTTCTTATTAAAAATATAGTTGGAGTTTGTATGGGAATAACCATAGACTAAATTCTTGAAGGAGAATTGCTGGGTCAAAGTGTCTGTGGATTTTTCATGTTGGTAATTAACAAATGGGCTCTCCATATGGGTTGTGACAATTTAGACTCCTAGTAGCAACACATGGGAACACCTGTATCTTTACATCATTTTAAAATACTTTTATTTCATTATTATATGATTTCATTATTATATGATTATTATATATTGATAAAATTCGTATATTGATAAAATTTGTACACTGATATGTCTTTGATATGTGTCCATTGGATAGGTGAAATAAGTGATGTTGAGCATACTACATTTGAGTGATTTTCATTTCTCTGTAATGAGAGCTGTTTGTTTTTCCCATTTTCTACTGGAGTTTTAGTTTTTTTCTTACTGATTATAGGAGTTTTTTTTTTTTTTCTTTAGGGCAATTAGCCATTATCTATAATATGTGTAATAAGGATTTCTTTCTAATTTTTTAACTTCATCATAATTTTGCAATGCATACTTTTAAAACATTTTATCTTATTTTGAAAATTGGTAATTAGAGGGGAAGAATTAAGCACTTTTCTTGACTTGTCAGTAGAAACTTTGGCAGAATAACAAATAGACCCAGTTGATAGAAGGCAGGAGGGAAGGAAGGAAGGAAAATGAAAGAAGAAATAAAGAAGAAAGAAAAGAAAGAAGAAAGGAAAAAAGGAAGAAAAAAGTTCACATTTATCACCTATCAAGTGTTCTTCCCAAAATATCTAACCTGATTCTAATGGAGACTTTAGACATAACTGACAATTTACAGAAAATATAATGGAGAGAGGAACAAGTGTTATTAGACCATGAGCATATAATCGGACAAGCCTAGAAAACAATCTAAGAAATTCTAGAAGACAACTTGACCTTATTCCCCCTTCAAAATAAAATTAGCATCATTAAAAAACAAGTATGAAGTGTTTTAGATTAAAAGATGATTTAAGAGACATAATGATCAAAACTGTAATCTTTCATTAGATGTAGTTCCAATTTTTTAAAAAAGTCTCCAAAGATTTAGAGCTCACTGACAAAAGCATACATAAGCAAATTCAAAATTCTGTTATGCTCAAATTGTTCCCTAACATATCAATTGTATTGAAACAAAGTCAACATTTTCAGAGCAAACATTATAACAGAGCTAATTGCATCCGTGAATTATCCATAATGCTTTGACTTAATGATCATTGGGATGGCTGGAGTATTGGATGAGTGGTCTGGAGGAGAAGTAAAGTGCTAAAGGTGCACTAAGACATTAACAAAGAGAGAGAGAGATGGTTTATGATAGACCAAGATCCCTGTGGATTATTGTGTCAGCAGAAATTAGTTACTTCTATGTAACAATGCGTATGTTAGTAAGCATTGACCATTTCTGGTAATGACGGCCTTCAACTCAAACAAATGTGGTAGGAGAAAAACGGCTTTCCTAAGAGAGAGCACACCAAGTTGGTGGCATATTTAGCTAGATCCAGGCTGAGGTTCAGTTAGGTCAAAGAATCACCAAGATCACTTTCTCTTACCAAGCTGGAGGGTTATATCATTTACATATTAACTACTATATGTTCAAACTGCCGCTTCCTCTGAACCTAATCTTAAGCTTTGAAATATAATGGATACCTAAACCTCATTTATAGCCCCCAAATTATCCTACCCCAATGCTTACAAACAATTTAGGGACTTTCCATATAGCCTTGGCTTTTCCAACCCATGGGAGTGACTGTGGTCTTTTTCAGGATAAAATAATTTCCCAAAGACATGCTTCACTTTGTTTTACTTGTGGTTGGCCCTAGAAAAGAGGTTTAGAAAATGTGTTTGGGTTATTGGGTTTAAAAATGTATTGATTCAGAATCCAGGATTTGGGCAACATAGAGTGTTTAGGAAGCTCAGAGATTTTATCACTGAAGTAAGAAAAATTAAAATGTTTGGGGAGGAGAGATGCAAACAGTTTTGATTGAATATGGAATAGTGAGAGCGAGACAAATTTAGAACAGAAGAAAAATTACTGATGCACATGTGCTTCACAGGACATAATAGCATATTCAGAAAAAAATAACACTACATTGTAGAACAGCTGTGGCATTTAGGCCACTTCATGATATGCTTTTCTTAGCTTGTCAGGCCTTTGTATTTGTTTGTAATATGAAAGGATTAAAATATGTTATCAGGCTGCTTACCCCAGTAAAGTTCAAAAAAACTCCCGGTTTCCCCCTTTTGTTTTTTTTATCATTTCCCTCCTTCCTTCTGTAATGTTTCTTTTATTCCTCATCCTCATATCATTTTATTCTTTTTTCTTTAGTTTTTGATGAAAATGAAAAACATAAAAATTTTATATATGCTTTAGAACCACATCATAAGGAGAAACAATACCTCCATCAGTGAATTTAAACAATTGTTGTGTAGTAAAGAAACCATTTCCCTTTTGAGAAACAGACTGCACTTATTCTATTAAAATGTCTTTGGATTTTGTATTTTAGTGTTTTTGAATGCTGAACAGGAATTCAGAATATGGGTCTTCGACCACTTGTGTATTGGTTTTCTGCTGTGGCTGTAAAAATTACCACAAATCTTAGTGGCATAAAACAACACAAACTTATTACCTAAATAATTCTGTGGGGTAGAAGTACAACACAGGTCTCACCGGGCTGAAATCAATGTGTCAGCAAGGCTATGTTCCTTTCTTGGGGCTCTAGAGAAAAATCTGTTTCTTGCTTTTTCCAGCTTCTACAGGCCACTGAAATTCCTTATTTTAAAGGCCCCTTCATCCATCTCCAAAGCCAGCAAGGTTGTATATCTCTGACCATTCTTCTGTAGTCAACGCCTCCCTCTGAGCAGCCCCGGAAAAAGTTTCCTACTTTTAAGGATTCATGTGATTCGATTGGACTCATCTGTATAATCCAGGATACTCTTCTGTATCTCAAGATCCTTTATCATAATTACATCTGGAAAATTACTTTTTCTATGTAAGTTCCCATGTTCACAGGTTCCAGAAATTAGGACATGGGCTTTTTAGGGAAGTGGAGGAGTCATTGTTCTGCCTGCCACAACCTCTATAATAGTTATATGGGTTTCTTGTAATTAAAAAAAAGATTTCTACATTTTTTTTGCTAGATTTACAAGATGGAACTCTAGGAATTTGTGTGAATTTGTACTTTTAAGAGTTTCTCTAACAATAGCAAAGATGTGGAATCGACCTAAATTCCCAACAATGACAGATTGGATAAAGAAAATGTGGTACATATATACCATGGAATACTATGTAGTCATAAAAAAGAATGAGATCATATCTTTTGTGGAAACATGAATGGAGCTGGAGTCTATTATCCTTAGCAAACTAATGTAGGAACAGAAAACCAAACACTACATGTTTTCACTTATAAGTAGGAGCTAAATGATGAGAACTCCTGAACACAAGGAAGGGAACAACAGACACTAATTGAGGGTGGAGGGTGGGAGGAAGAAGATGAGCATAAAACATAACTTTTGGGTACTGGGTTTAATAACTGGGTGATGAATAATTTGTGCAATAAAACTTCGTGACATGAGTTTACCTATGTAAAAGCTGTCACACGTACCCCTGAACATAAAAGTTTAAAAAAGAACTTCTCAGATATTTTTTATGCAGACGAAAATTTGAACCACCCTAATCAACATCACACCTACACATATTCTTCCCTTTACTCTCATTCCTTCACTTCATCATAAGAAATAAATTTGAAAAACTCAATATACCCCTCTCTGATCCTTTTCCTCATTTTATGTACTATTCTTTCTCTCTGACCAAATCTAAATTGAGTAGCTTTGGGAACCTTGAACAAATGGTTTCTGAGGAACCTGCATACTGGTGGGCTAGGTGGTCATGGAACCGTGTCTCAGTTATTTCCAGCTCCTGAGCATAACTGTGATATCTTTAAATGAATTCTACAATTTTTCCAGCTTTTCAGTTTAGGATAAAAATGTACCATGTTTAAATGAAATAACATCTACCAGATGCTTTAGCACAATTTTCAAGCAGTCTACATTGTTTTAAATGCAGAATTTTATAGACATTGAGCACTGTCATACTCTTTGGCTATTTAATTTAAAGTCTGGAATTCACCCAGTAGACCGTAGTAGCTATAAAGTGAATTGACAAAATGGTAAGTAACACACAATATGGAATGAAAAGTAATCCCTGTGCTTTAATGGCTGGACAGAGCGTGGCATATTAAGGACTGAATTTCTTCAGTAAATTGGAATGTCTTATAGTAATAGGTGCCATTTAGGTCATTATTGTCACTTTTAATTAGTGTAGTTATTATTAATTTAAAGCTTAATATTATTAATGACATGTGAACATATTAGTGTTTCTAAATTAGTGTCTACTAAAAGTTTGAAAGATAGTTGTATTTTTGGTGAACTTGTAACCTGAAGTTTTCAATGATGTTAAACTTATAATCTCCTTTTAGACTTAGAAGATCAAATTTAATTGTAGTATTAAAATAAAAATAGAACCCTGCTACACACTATATAGTTTAGTAATATTTAATAAGATAAAAAGAAGAAAACCATGGCACAGTGGAATAATAGAGCAAATAACTATTGGAGCAAATACAAGAATCACTCACCAAGGCTGCTCCTATTTTTGGATGAAATAGGTGATGCTTAGTAACATCATTTGAGCTGCTCAGGAGGAGTGTCTCCTAAAACTCTTCTTTTCATTGAGGTATGTATTTAATGATACTTTATTTAATGAAACATTTGTTTCATTTCTAGGCTTAAATTTTGACCTCTCAATGAGATTTCCTCTGAAAATGCAGACATTCTTTGGTGAGGTATCACACTGATATTAAAATTGAATAATTTATTTAGCTAATTTCCTCCAGGTTAGGAAAGCCTGGGAGGAAACACATAATTATTACAAGAATGAGAGGGATACAGAAAAGGGTAGGTAGGTATTCCTAAAACCCACTTCATAGCCCAGAACAAGATTATGTACACAGGCTAGAAGTCCAATGGAAGGTAGCATCTCTCAATATCCATTCTACGCTTTGCCAAAGTAATGGCCATTTCCTAAATATTTGCTGGTAATAACAGTTTCTCTTAGAAAGAATAAACTTTTCAGCCTCCTTTCTATCTTTATCTGGCCTTGTGACTATGCTCTTTGATGCAAGAGAACATGATATGTGCAAATTCTGCAACGTGTCCTCAAAAACAGACAAGTCTTCGCATGCAGAAATGCTAGAGCTGGATCAGTCATTTTGGCTCCAGGGTAGACTCTTCCTTTTAAGAACGAGAAGGCAAAGGACAGAGGGAGCCTGTGTTTCTGATTGTCATGGATCTACACCACTAGCTCTGAACTGCCTCATTTCCATGGAATGAGAGCGAATCTTTTTACTCAGTTAAGCCACGATTGTTTTGAATTTTCTGATGCCATTAGCTGAGCTGAATGCTAACTAGAACAGAAATCTTAATGGCTAATAATTCCTTTCACTGCTGATTTAGGACCAAACAGTACTTGAAAGAGGTATAAGTAGTAGGTGAATGAGTCAGCAGTGGGTAAGCGTACCAAATGGAAGCAAATAATATTTAATTTGTCTTACTTATTTTTCATCTTCCTAGCCACTCATTATACTGGCATCTCCCTTCTATTTTCTTCTGATTCATTGACTCATACAAAAGTCATATACCTGTTTACCTTTAGGCATTCATTTTCTTATTCAACATTTCTTGAAGATCTACTGGGTTCCACAGCACTGGGTAATAGTAAGGTATGCAGGTTTCACAATGAGACATAAATGCTATTCAGGTAGCCTTTTGATTTCTTCAAAATATAGGGCTGAAATTGATCTTAGAAATCAAGAGGTCCCATACCTTAATTTCACCTGTGAGGAAACTGAGACTCAAAGACACTCTATGTTGCACAGCTAGTTAGTGGCAGAATGGTGAACTGAAGTCGGAGGCTCTCACATTTGTGACCAGTGCTTTTTGTGTTGTACCCTAGTTTTATTTCAGAGTTTCCATGGAAAGGGGGCTTCATCAGATTTTGAGGTGACATTTAATTTTGTAATTTAATTAGGGATAAAAGACGGTGTTCTAAAATTTTGCCTTTAGCCAAAAACATTTGAGAGCTTCACACAACTGCTCCAGAAATTATATATTGCTTCCTAATAATGTGCAAATGTGCATGCAGTGGTGGCAACTTTGGAACGCTGGATTTCAATTTGATTTTGAGAAATATTGAAATACTTTACTATCCAACTAGTAGTAATTTTAGTTGTAGTTGTGCAATGGTACAGAAGACATAATTGTATCAATGTAGATTGGTTAGGAATTGAGTAGTTGCTAAACTGGAACTTAGTTCCAAATTTTCCTGCCCATAGACACTATAGAGCCAAGGAGAATTTTTCAAAGTGGTAGAAACACTCTCTATTACTTGGGAGGTTTGAGTATAGAAAATAGAGCAGAAGCAGCTATTTTTCATATCCTATGGTTGTGATTCCCCTGTTCACCTTCCTTCAGCAGTGAAGTTTTAATGAATTGCTACAAAGGGTGAGGTGGTTTGAATCTCAGGAAAGATAAAATCACTGGGCTCCAAAAAAACCAAAACAGATGGCATGCCTTAACAAAGTTTTTTCTTCATATTTCAATTGTTCAAAAATATCTTCTGCAAAGCTGATGTCTGTTTTGTAAAGGGCATTTGCACAGTGAGGAAGGAGCTAAATGAGTTGGGAAAAGCAGGTTAGACTGCTTAAGGCATTTTATTTTTATTACAACAGAAAAAAATTTAATTAGTTATTTACAGTGTTTCAGGCTTGGAACTGTTTGTGTGCCAGAAGACACCCCTCCTTCCTTAGTAAATATGGGCTGATTTCTATCCTGTTTTGCTATTTTGAATGCTATTTTAAACATTTAATTAAATTTTAGATTTCTATCATATTTTTGGAGTGGTATGCTTTATTCACAATGGTTAGTATAGTTTATATTCTACTAAATGTCTATAGCTGGTCCAAAAGCAATTATAAGCATCTCTTCATTTTGTACAATATTCTGTGCTATGTCTGAGAATAAAGGTGAAGAGACAGGTTTCATGACCTCAGGAAGATCCCTTATGGGAGCCCCATAAGGAAGATGTGGATTACTGCAGGAGAAAGGGTAAGGAGCTAACTCTTTCTGATGGAATAGAAAAGCCTTTATACAAGAGCCCCTACCTGAGGCAAGAGCTCAAGGATGAGTAAAAGTTTGCAGGGTAAATAAGGTGGGACTGGGGTTAGCACACTAGGCAGAGGAAAAAGCAAGATTAAACTCATGGAACTTGAGCAGACACATGGCATATTAAGTTATGTTAAATATTTTAGGATGATTTGAGGACTGAATATTGTGTTAGAAAATAAGACAGATAGGTTGCCAAGTGAAAGACTTCCATTCTTCCTGGAAATGATTTTCTGCCTTTACCATGCTCTTCAATCTCCTGGGCTTTCACACCACGCTGCACCACCTCTCAACTTTCAGCTCATAACCTTGATTCACGTTACAATGAGGGAATAGACATCATCAAAAGGGTACTTCTTCATCTTCCATCACCAAATTAATAAATATGCCTCAACCCATATCCGTTATTTCCTTTTAGGACAGCAATTCAGCAGAGAAAACACCCGTGGCCATTCCTCCTCTGTTTTGGATCCCATTCCCTTTGCCTTCTCAAGAAATTTCTCTTCTGAGATTTCTTTCTTTGATGCTTCTACAACTCTGTGTCTGATGTTTCCATCAGATAGCAAATGTGCTCTAGTTTTTCCCATCTTAAAAACAAACAGACAAATAAAATACAACAACCAACGAATAAAAACATTTTTTGACCCCACATCCTGCTTGAGTTTTTCTGATAAAAGCAGTACATATGCATCAGATATTCCAAGTGTGCTCCTAAGATTCCTAACTTCCCTGGACCATGAGTCTGGTTGTGGTCCATGGACTGGACTGTGGGTGAAAGTCATGTGTAACACTAACAGTGTGCGTCAGTCTTCAATAAATCCTTTCCCTGTCCTGGTGAACATAGAGGGCACCTGTTCCAGATGGCAGAACCACAGGATGGGGTTGGGGAGGGTCATCATTAAACACTGCATGAACAAAACAAACATTAACTGTGTAAAGCCCTTGGGTTTGTCTGTAGAGGCAGCTTGCTTAAATCATCCTGATTAATAGAGTTACCACTTTCCTCCTCTGCCCTTTTCCACAACCAAGATTTGTAGAGTTTTTGCACAGACGTTTTCATCTTCTTTGCATGCTCCCTCCATTTCACTGGTCTCTTGCTAAGGTTAACAATGACTGCCATAATACTAAAAGAAATTGAATTTGTTAAAATTTATGTTACAAGACTTAGTAGAATATAATATTGTTGGCCACACCTCTTCAGAATAGCCTCTTTCTTGCCTTCAAATGTTCTTCCTATTCCTCTGGCTCTTTCTCTTTGTCTCCCTTGGTGACTTCTGCTCCTCTTCCCAATTTCCCAGTAACAGAGTTGTGAAGAATTGGCCTAAGATCCTTTTAAATTCCTATTCTGTAATCTTTTGCTTGGTCAGTTCACTACAGCTTATAGTGCAATTGCTGTGGTGAGGACTCCCAGATTTCTTCAAGTCAGACAAATGTTCTGACTTCTCACTCCTATAGCCAGATATTTGCCATTTTTGCCAGCATTTCCTATAGGCATCTCCAACTTAATATGAACCAAAAAACTAATGACATCCTTTGCTTTCCATCTCCAAGATCGTTATTTTTATCCTTCTGTTTAACAGAATTCTATCACTAATGACCCAATTTTTGACTTTTGGAATATTAGACTTACTCTTGACAAGTTTCTATCAACCTACACCTCCAGATGATTAAGCGTTCATGATCTATTCAATTCAAATAAATTTAAAATCTACTCCACTTGCTCTATTTCTGCCCAAACCTTGAAATGTTATGGTCTTTGGACTGCTTTTACTGCTCTCAGCCTCATATCCCAATTCATTTTTTATTCAGCAGCTAGACCAATCTTTTAAAGTATCTAAGAGATATAGAACCATTTGAGGAAATGTTATAAATACAAATTCTGTTACAAGAAGGATCATTTTAAATAAACCAATAAAATGTGAAGGAAATATATAGAGAGCAAGATATAACTAAGATGCTCAGAAAAATGACTTTAAGTCTTTAGGCATAAATATTTATTTAAAGCCTCATCACTATGCTATATTCTCAATAAAAGGGCAAGAAATTATCGTTTTTGCATAGACTATTACTTTTTTATACAAGTGGCATAAATTACATAGTATCTCATTCAGCGAACAATTTTCCATCTATGGTACACAAATTTCAACAATAAAAAAGATGAATTGATTAGATGATGGTACGCCTATTTTTGCATGTGCCAGATATTGTATTTTTCAATGTGATTGGTGAATGACACGTTATTCGACATGTTATCTTACAGCATTGAGTACGAATTTCCACATAAATAACTTAATAGTCACTATTAGTATCAAACCCAACAAAAACAAGAGTTTATACATATCCTAGATCATTATTCAACTAGTTTCGGTAGAGTTTAACTTTTTAGCACTATATCTAAGTAGCAATTTTCAACATTTGGAGGTCACAGTTCTCCAAACCTATTCCCCAGAAAATTGAGCATACTTACAAATACATATTCTTAACACTTTTGTTGCAATTTTTAAAAAAATTACCGTAGTTGTAATGGTTAATTTTATACAGTGAGTAGTTTTGTTTTGTGTGTGTGTGTTTTTTTTTTAGACAGAGTCTTACTCTGTCGCCCAGGCTGGAGTGCAGTGGTGTGATCTCAGCTCACCGCAACCTCTGCCTACCGGGGGCAAGCAATTCTCCTGCCTCAGTCTTCCGAGTAGCTGGGATTACAGGTCCCTGCCACCACACCTGGCTATTTTTTTTTTTTTTTGTATTTTTAGTAGAGACAGGGTTTCACCATATTGGTTAGGCTGGTCTCGAACTCCTGACCTCAGGTAATCCACCCACCTCGGCCTCCCAAAGCGCTGGGATTATAGGCGTGAACCACCACGCCCTGCCTACAGTGAGTAGTTTTTAAAAGGGAAAGTTTGTGTGTGAGAGTGTGTGTGTGTATGTGTGGTGTCTTTGACTATTTTATGAACATGTACCATGCTGCTTACTAGAATGACATCTGTGAATCTCATTTTTTACTTATCTCTTAAGAAATGTTATTTTCAGTGGCTTAAAGAGCTTAAATCTCTTGCAGGAGAGCAAAAAAAAGAGAACTCCAAAATGCAGAAATCCAGATGCTTCTTCAAAGAAAGAAGGCATTAATACAGGATGCTTTTGTGTATATTTTTTTTCTAGTCTTGAAACCCAGGCACAAAAACTGTGGTGTCTTTTTAGTAGTGCAAGAACAGATCTTTAAAATGGAATAAAGGGTAAAATATAAAAGCTGCATTTAAAAAGTCTATCAAATTTTAGGGTCACAAAGCTGTCATCACATCTCTGTTCCCTTAGCCAGATTATATTTATTGTTTTGGTTTTAGGAATACAAATGCTGTAACAGACTTTCTCACTGTGAATGTCTTGGGCTGATTAAAGTTGTGAGTAACTTACAATTACTGTCAAGTATTTTAGTTTACTGCAACTTTTTTTAAAAAGCTTGATTTTGAATTTTTCTACATCGTTTTCCCTAAAATCCCTACCTCTACAATGGTCCTGAGATAGAATTGTGAGGTAATGGAGCAGATATAAATTAAATTCATCCACCATGACTAAGAGACAGCTGGCTGGTAGTGATAGAAGCACTGAACTTGTTGCCAGAATACCTAGATATATTATGGCTTTGTCATTTATAATCAACGAGAGCATATTTTTCTACATTCTCTGAGATTCTGGATTTTAAAAATATGTAAAATAGAAAGAATACTATGTACTCCATTGGATTGTTGGGAGGATAAAATGTCTAATTTTTGGAAAAATGTTTAGCACAGTACCTTTTGTATTCAGTGGGTTTTCAAAATGCATTTAAATCTGGATTGAAACTCACATAATTGATAGTAATAACCATTAAAATTTGGGGTTAGAAAACACCTTAAATGATTTTTACCATCCACTTATTTCTCAGGAAATAAAAACCAGGTGAGTTGACCTGCCTAGAATTACACAGCTAATGGCAGTTCTGTGGCTAACCCATAGGCAACCCTGTGGGCTTTTCACCAGTTGACTCTACTGCAAGAAAAGTGACATGGGTCACTGTGTATGACCAAATATCACATGTCACAGAACCAACTTCTGTTAAGAGAAGTAGAACATTTAGTAATTATATAGCTGTGGTGTATGGAGAATTGGGTTCAAATAGGGCTCCTCTGTTTGCTAACAATGATTTCTGGCAAGTCACCTCTATCCTCTGAACAATGGTCTCCATAACACCCCCTTTGGATAACTGTTGCTTCAATTAGATTAGAAAAAAATTAGTGAATAAACTTAGCACTGTGTTTTAAACATAGAGTGTTCAGTAAATAAATATTTGAAATTTGGATCCATTTTGTGAATTAATTTAATGTATCCTGACAACCTAGCTAATTTAGATTACAAAACAAAGTTTGCCTCAGATGATCTTTTCCTTAAATTGTCTAAACATCCTTTTAACTCTGTGGTTCTTGAGGCTTCTGGAAGCTTAGCCATGATGGATTAGGATAGTTAACTTTCTTCACATTTCCATAACAAAAATTGAATTGCAGCTGCCAAGTTTTGACACAGTTTCCCTACATAATCTCTTACTTGTGATTATGGAACTTTACAGTATTCTTTTCACCCTAGTTACTCATTCCACTGCCAGCCAGAGAAGGCTAAGAGTTGTTTTTTTGTGGTGTTGTTACTATTATTTTTCTTCCCCCGACCTTAGCCATAAGATAGGCAGATCTGCCTGCCTGTCTTATTTTAAGGCCAAAGTGACCTACAAAAGGGGATTGCCTTTAATTGGATCTATTTATATTCTCCTTTATTTCTGCTAGGGCACTGACCCATGCCAGGAGCTCTTCTGCCCAGTGGCCGCCCCAAATTGATACAGTACTTGACCTGTTACACTTCATTTCCTGAGCCTTTGTCCTGATAGAGTCTATTTCCATAACCCTCAGAACCCTGACATCACTGGGATGACAGGCTTTTTCTTTAACAATTGTCTTCCCCCAAACTAGCTTTCAATATGACTACTTCGTTATTAGCAATGTATTTTTTGCTAGCTATAAAATGCGGATAGGTGATGGTGGAGTATTTCCTTAAGGAGTTCCTTTAAATTCAGGCTGTCATTTCACCCTTAGACTTGTGCAGTGGTGAGTGACACAAGCTGGAGATTTTCTTTTGTTCCTCAATTGTCAGGTATTATATTTGTATCCCCCCACTCCCTGGTCCATGATAACTTTGTCATTAACAGAAAGATTAATAGAAATGCAGTGAAATCGTAAGACTCAGTGTACATCATAGTCATATTACTTTAAGAATGCCTGCTACTTTAAAAGTAGATTTTGATGCTTTGAATCTGAACATGGTGGATCTGTATGCCTTGGAAAGATGTCCAGCATATCTTGATATATTGTTAAATAAAAAAGAAACTGTAGAAGAACATTCTTGGCATAAATGCATATTTGAAATATATATGGATGTGTATAAATATAGATTAAAATAGTTTCATGAGATACAATTAAGAACAATATTCCATTTCTGTTTTACATATTTCATAATAGTTTGAATATTTGCTATAACTTAGTATTTTAATAACTTTTAAAAATTAGAATAAAATGAGTTTTAAACATCAAGAATAACAAAAGAAATGAGAAAGTTCGAGCAGATGTATACTATTCAAAGAGAATGCTTTTTCGAGTGATGCTGTGGAGAAGAATAAAGGTCATGTTGACATTTCTTATTAGAGCTTCTTAATACTTACATTTAATTTTTAAATTAAGTTTACCTATTATAAGCCCCCTCATCTTTCTATTATATAAAATAATCATTCTGAAGATGTTTATGCAATTAAAAGTATTTAAGCTTAATTGGACATATTAAAATGTGGATTTTTAAGTCTCCTCCAACATTAAATAATTTATCTACATATAAAATAGCAATAGTGATAGTGAAATATATGAGTTAATATAATGGCTAAATATACAACGTAGAAAGTTGCATAAAATAGTCTTCTCTTCTCTGATGGTTCGTGATATATTTGATGTAGTGCCACAACGTAGCATTGTTGCTTTGACATGATCACTTTATCTTTTCTTTAGGATAGGTGTGAGTGAAAACTTTCTGCAAGTTAGGGCCTGTAAAAGAAAATGTTTGCACTGGACACTTATTAAAAATGACAAGACAGATATTATTTGAATCCTGCAGTTACAGAGAGAGTCTTCAGTATAGAAATGAACTCAACTCCAAACATAGCAAGGACAGCTGGTAATTTATAACCGGTAAGCAGAGTAAGGGGATCAGTAGATGAAATTTCAAACATGAACTTGATTAGATGTTAAGGTTAGGGAGATTCTTGCTAAACTGGCTTAACAGGATTCGTGCTAATGCTGGGCTAGGTAGTTGAACATTGAGGCCATGTCCAGAAGAGGGCTCAAAAGAGCCTGACTGAAGTTTGGTCATGGAGGAAGTCTTGTCAGGTCTCAGAATGATACATATCAGGACATGATCTATTACGAGTGATCTACAAACAGGTTTCCTTAGTAAGAGGTGCACCGAGGTAAGCGGAGGAGATCCAATGTTTCCTAAAGATTTCTCGAGTTCCCTGCATAGTATCTTTCTATATCACTGTACATGCTTATGGGAGTAAAATGACATATGAGGTTGCTTGACACACAAGCAAAGGGCAAAACATTGACGTATTGAAGTGCCCTAAGCAAGGTCATCATTACTTATGTGCATTAGAACATGCTTTGGGGTTTTGACTCTGCAGTCTAATTGCCTGGACCTCTAAATATCTCAGCTCTAAATCCTTCTTGCTCTGTGACCTTGGGCAAGGTTCTTACTCTTTCTAGGTTTCTATGACTGAAACTGCCTTCGCAAAAAATTATAACTGAAGAAATTGTGACAGTGAAAGAGAGCTGATCTAATTGACTCCTTCTTGCTTCTAACCTCCAAACTGTCCCTGCTCATTATTTGACATAGGCCAAACTAACTTTGGGAGGAACTTAGTTTATAGTTTAACCTTCCAACAAAGATGATAACAGCCCCTTTCCAAAACAGACCCCCATCTTGCCTGGGTACTAGACTGTTTTTCCCTACTAATAAATTAGCCACAAAATTAGAAATTATGGCTTAGGACTTACTCTTATAAAACATGAGATTAGTGCTTGAGATATTTTGCAGATCCTGTGTTCCAATGCACCAGCTGACACAACCCAGATCAATAAACTGGGTCATCTGGTCTTGTGGTCCTCACTTGGGAACTGACAGTGCAAGAGGAGAGCTCCAGCTCCCTATGATTTCATCTCTTCCCCAACCAGTCAGCAGCAAATACCCACTACATGGCCATCCCTTCTCCCAAACTGCCTTTGAAAAACTCCTAACCTACCAGTCTGAGGGAAGATTGATTTGAGTAATAACTCTGATATGGTTTCGATCTGTGTCCCCACCCAAATCTCAGGTCGAATTGTTATCCCCAGTGTTGGAGGAGGGGCCTGGTGGGAGGTGATTGGATCATGAGGGCAGATTTCCCCCTGGCTGTTCTCATGATGTGAGTGAGTTCTCACTGGATCTGGTTGTTTAAAAGTGTATAGAACCTCCCCCTTCTCTCTCGGCCTCCTGCTCCAGCCACGTAGGACATGCCACCTTCCTCATCACCTTCTGCCACGATTGTAAGTTTCCTGAGGTCTCCCCAGACATGCTTCCTGTAGAACTTGTGGAACTGTGAGTCAATTAAGTCTCTTTTCTTTATAAATTACTCAGTCTCAGGTAGTTCTTTACAGCAGTGTGAGAGTGGACTAATACAAACTTTGTGTGGTATAGCCAGCCTTGCATCAATTAAACTCTTTCTTTACTGCAATGCCATGGTAAGTACCACATTATTATGAGGGTTAAATGAGTTTAACTATGTAAAGCATCTATGGCCATAGTAAATTATCATGACAATGATATGTTTACATATACAAGTGCTTTTAATATAATCTTGCCCATAATAATTGTTCAAAAAGTGTTTTGTTTTTGAGTTTGTAATGTTGTTTTTTTCCCTAGACATCTTTTAAGAATCTATTTGGCCTTCTCTAAACCCCTTTTAAGAAACATCTCTATATTTTCTTTAACAAGTCTGAGATTATTCTATTTGCTATTCCAGAAATAGCTCTTATTTCTCCTGTACTTGGGGGCATCTAACACATTTTTACAGTGGTTAAAGTATTTTATCTTTAGCAAAGGATTGGGGAGAACTAAGATAGCTTTTTAATAGTGGGTATATTGGGTTCTCATAGTACATATATTTGATAATTTCATTTTACTATTTATATATGTAAATTACATATCATTCTAATACTTTAAACACTCTGCTGTATCTTATTGTATTTAAAATTAAACTCTTTTCTATAGTCTATAATGTTCCGTAGTATATGAGTTTTATCGATTTGGCACGTTAAACCCTTCCCATTAAACACCTGTCATGCTGGGACTTTTTTTGTAATTCATTAAATTTGCAAATGTCTCTTGGCCTTAGAGCCTTTGCATGAGCTGTTCCCTCTGCCTAGAATACTTTTTCTCCTATTCTTTGTATGGAAGTCTCCATCTTATCATTTTTGTTTTCATTAAAATATTACCTCCTCCAAGAGACAGACCCTAACCACCCTCCATCATCTCTTCATCAGTCCCTCCTTTGGTTCTTATATAAGACCTATAATTTAAAATTCTTTTTATTAGTTTAATTGTTTTTCTTGTTATCCATCAATAGAATATAATTTGCATGGTTAAAATTACACATTTGCAAATGATTATTGATGATTTTCTCATTTTATGTCTTACTATTTTCTTAACCACAATGTTTTAGTTTCCTCTTGCAAATGAACTGCATAAACCTTAATGTTGGTGGGAAAGCTATCATTAAACTAATTTTTAAAACCTGTGGAAATTGTTTTTATTGGATCAACAAATTCCCTGGCTTATGAACCCATTAAAAATCTATGCTGTGATCAAGAAGCGAAACCAACTGCTTCGAGAGTTACAATGAATCTGCCTATTTTCATCTTCTAGTTTGAGATAAAAGGGGGGAAGGTGTTAAATCAAAGTAAACAGAATGTTTACTTTGCTTTCAGTTTTAATAAGTAAATGTATTATTCACTGTTAGGGAGTTTTACTTTCTCTCATTTTTTTTATTATTTCACAAACTTCTTTTTTCTTTTCCCAAACTTCTTTATATCTCTCTCATCTTTTTTAAATAAATAAAACGAAGTAAAATTTTTTTGCACAATGAACTGCATTTTTCAATATCTTATACTTCATTCATGTATATTTGGATTACTTTAGAATTTATGTTTGGCCCTGATTCTAATGGTCACAATTGAAAACAAATTATCAATTTTCATAGTGTCATATATATTATGTTTGCTTAAAATTTCAGCAACAATTTTGCAAATATTTTCTGAGCATCTGTTACGGCCAGAACACCATGCTGGGTACAGGGTACATGTTGGTGTATTAAAGAGATTCAAATTACCAACAAATTCAAACTAGTATTCTTTTAACTTAAAGTCACAAATCAGCACTTCCATACTATGTATAACTTCCATGGAATTTTTCTTGTGTTCCAAGTATAATTTGTTTTGCTTCTGCCTAATCACTGAACATGATAGGGAGATACAAGACCTATTGCTATGGCTTTTCTGTAATGTAGTGGTTATCAGTATTTTCACCTGCCCAGCCTTCCGTTTACTGATATAATATAACTCAGTATTATTACTTTTAGTCCATGTAGTTTGGTTGAGACTGATGCTGCCTCCTAGAATGGGCACATGATTTAGGCCTGGCCAAAAGGAATGGAATAACACAAAGACTCAGTTTTGAGGTTTAAAGCAGACGTGAGCAAGCCCGGGAGTCAATGTCAATCTGTGAAGTTTGCTAGAAGAACTGAAATGGAAAAAGAGTGCTCTCTTGCTATGCTGGTAAAACGTAAGGGGGAGTTCCTGCCAAGAAGGTGGCCAGCACAGAGGCAAGAATACCTTGAATACCTTACAGTTCCCCCAACTTTATTGCTAGCAGCTGTGTTTGGAATCAGGCTTGAAGAAATATTTTCCCTGAACTTCACTTATTTGAGCCAATTTAATCTGTTTTAAATTTAATCCAGTTTAAAAAAATAATTTTAAATCATAACTGCCTAGAAAAATACACATAGCGACCATTGAATTTATTGTGAGTCATCATCTCTGGAGGAAAACAAATTGGGAAGATGCTCAGTGAAGTTACAACTAGTTCTTATTTTGACAGCTTGTAAGAACCGAGTGGATCAAGAAGATGGAGAGGGAGCTGATGAGGAAAGAGCTGGAGTATATAGCCTTGGAATGCCTAGAGAACATTATGATTGCAATTCCTCATTTCTGCAGAGGTATAGAATCAGAAAGAGAGCCTCACTTACATTGACCATCAGGAGGCAAAACTTGAATGAAACATAACTGTTATTCTGCTTTTAATTGTTAATAAAGAGACATCTTAACAGATGCATAATAATGTCCAGTGGGCTAGTTCCACTGAAGAGGAACCAGACTTGTTCTATATGCCTCAAATAGGACCATTGGGATCAATGAGTTTTAGCCACAGAAAAGAGACTTCAGCTCCAGATGAGGAAGAATTTTTAAACAAGTTTTCTGAAGAGTAAATGGACTGTTTTGAGAAGTGGGTGTCTCATCACCGGAGCTTTTCACTTATATGCCAGATAACCAACAGGCGTGAATGTCGACAGGCAACGTAAGTACATAAAGGTAGGCTGGGCATGAATGTCTTTCCTATCCTGTGCAATCCTGAAATGTGAAGGTTCAATAGACATGGTAACCCAGCCTGCTTTGGCAGTTATTCTACCTAGGTCATTTAAAGACTTCATTCTTCCAGGAAAGAGACATCTAACTAAGTATATTTTGTATCTCTATTAATCACTATTAAAATATGCTAACATAGTCCTCTAAGAGATATTATCATAATAACATTTTTTAAAAATATTTAAATGTGTAAATTACCTTGGGCAGTGTGGCCATTTTCACGATATTGATTCTTCCTACCCATGAGCATGGAATGTTCTTCCATTTGTTTGTATCCTCTTTTATTTCCTTGAGCAGTGGTTTGTAGTTCTCCTTGAAGAGGTCCTTCACATCCCTTGTAAGTTGGATTCCTAGGTATTTTATTCTCTTTGAAGCAATTGTGAATGGGAGTTCACTCATGATTTGGCTCTCTGTTTGTCTGTTGTTGGTGTATAAGAATGCTTGTGATTTTTGTACATTGATTTTGTATCCTGAGACTTTGCTGAAGTTGCTTATCAGCTTAAGGAGATTTTGGGCTGAGACCATGGGGTTTTCTAAATATACAATCATGTCATCTGCAAACAGGGACAATTTGACTTCCTCTTTTCCTAATTGAATACCCTTTATTTCCTTCTCCTGCCTAATTGCCCTGGCCAGAACTTCCAACACTATGTTGAATAGGAGTGGTGAGAGAGGGCATCCCTGTCTTGTGCCAGTTTTCAAAGGGAATGCTTCCAGTTTTTGCCCATTCAGTATGATATTGGCTGTGGGTTTGTCATAGATAGCTCTTATTATTTTGAAATACGTCCCATCAATACCTAATTTATTGAGAGTTTTTAGCATGAAGGGTTGTTGAATTTTGTCAAAGGCTTTTTCTGTATCTATTGAGATAATCATGTGGTTTTTGTCTTTGGCTCTGTTTATATGCTGGATTACATTTATTGATTTACGTATATTGAACCAGCCTTGCATCAGATTCAATGCCATCCCCATCAAGCTACCAATGACTTTCTTCACAGAATTGGAAAAAACTACTTTAAAGTTCATACGGAACCAAAAAAGAGCCCGCATCGCCAAGTCAATCCTAAGCCAAAAGAACAAAGCTGGAGGCATCACACTACCTGACTTCAAACTATACTACAAGGCCACAGTAACCAAAACAGCATGGTACTGGTACCAAAACAGAGATATAGATCAATGGAACAGAACAGAGCCCTCAGAAATAACGCCGCATATCTACAACTATCTGATCTTTGACAAACCTGAGAAAAACAAGCAATGGGGAAAGGATTCCCTATTTAATAAATGGTGCTGGGAAAACTGGCTAGCCATATGCAGAAAGCTGAAACTGGATCCCTTCCTTACACCTTATACAAAAATCAATTGAAGATGGATTAGAGACTTAAACGTTAGACCTAAAACCATAAAAACCCTAGAAGAAAACCTAGGCATTACCATTCAGGACATAGGCATGGGCAAGGACTTCATGTCTAACACACCAAAAGCAATGGCAACAAAAGCCAAAATTGACAAATGGGATCTAATTAAACTAAAGAGCTTCTGCATAGCAAAAGAAACTACCATCAGAGTGAACAGGCAACCTACAAAATGGGAGAAAATTTTCGCAACCTACTCATCTGACAAAGGGCTAATATCCAGAATCTATAATGAACTCAAACAAATTTACAAGAAAAAACAAACAACCCCATCAAAAAGTGGGTGAAGGACATGAACAGACACTTCTCAAAAGAAGACATTTATGCAGCCAAAAAACACATGAAAAAATGCTCATCATCACTGGCCATCAGAGAAATGCAAATCAAAACCACAATGAGATACCATCTCACACCAGTTAGAATGGCAATCATTAAAAAGTCAGGAAACAACAGGTGCTGGAGAGGATGTGGAGAAATAAGAACACTTTTACACTGTTGGTGGGACTGTAAACTAGTTCAACCATTGTGGAAGTCAGTGTGGCGATTCCTCAGGGATCTAGAACTGGAAATACCATTTGACCCAGCCATCCCACTACTGGGTATATACCCAAAGGACTATAAATCATGCTGCTATAAAGACACATGCACACGTATGTTTATTGCAGCATTATTCGCAATAGCAAAGACTTGGAACCGACCCAAATGTCCAACAATGATAGACTGGATTAAGAAAATGTGGCACATATACACCATGGAATACTATGCAGCCATAAAAATGATGAGTTCATGTCCTTTGTAGGGACATGGATGAAATTGGAAATCATCATTCTCAGTAAACTATCGCAAGAACAAAAAACCAAACACCGCATATTCTCACTCACAGGTGGGAATTGAACAATGAGATCACATGGACACAGAAAGGGGAATATCACACTCTGGGGACTGTTGTGGGGTGTGGGGGGAGGGGGGAGGGATAGCATCGGGAGATATACCTAATGCTAGGTGACGAGTTAGTGGGTGCAGCGCACCAGCATGGCATATGTATACATATGTAAGTAACCTGCACAATGTGCACATGTACTCTAAATCTTAAAGTATAATAATAAAAAAAAAAATATTGAAATGACCAGTATTTTTACTGAATTTGTTTTTCAGTCAAACAAACTGAAAAGCAACCCTCAAAATCTCTTGCTGGGTTTCAAAAGGGAGTGAGAATTTGGCAGTCTTCCAACTATTTTGGTCAATAGAAACTGCCAAACTGTGAGATCTAAATAGTTAAGTGATTTGGATTTTTAAATCAATACAATTAATTAGGTAATTAGCAAATCCTCATACTTCATCATGTGGATCATTGTTTTTTAATTGCTGTGAAGTTTTTATATGCGTGAAAGTATTTTATAATTAAAATTCTATTCTTAGTTATTAAAAGTAATAAGGACATGCTCTTTTAGGTGTATAATATTTGACTTAAACACATACTTATCCTTTGTGGAGAGAACACCAGGAGGCAGTATGACATTGCGATTCAGAGAATAGGCTTGTGAGTGAGAGAGCCTTGGGTTCTAGTCTTTGAAGAATTGCTTTATAGGTAAGTGACCTTGGACAGGTTATTAATTTTCTTCAGCATCAGTTTCTTCATCTGTAAAATAGGGATAATATGCTCACTACATCTATCTATAATCCAGTTTTTAATCTCAATTCATATGAACACTTTAGGTATCTTAGTTTTATGCTTTATTTTTTTCTCTTATCTGTTGTTTCCTTTAAAAGTCCTACTCATTTTTTTTAAGGATTAACCTAAAGATTTCCTGACCCCGAATAATACATCTTGATCCCTGTCATATTTTATCATACCATCTCTTCAGTTGCTCCTTTCCAGTAATTATTTTAATTGTAATTTTGTTTTTTCTTATGTTTTCATGATTTTAATTTCTCTTTTCCTTGTCTATCTTAAACCTTTTCAAAATGTTATTTTCTCACGTCATGCCTGGAACAAGTGCTCAATAAATATTTGCAAAAGAATAAATAAAGGGCTTTTGATAAAAATTCAGTGAGCTAATGGGCCCCAAACACTTAGAAAACAGTTTCGATATTGTAAGAAATCACTATTAACAGAAGCTTTATTCCTTTCTCTCCTTCACTCACCAGAATCTTATCATAGCAACCTTCAAAATATAAATAGTAACAGCTAGAAATTAATTTCAATAGATATCTAGGAAAATTCTTTCATAGAACTTACCAAAACTACAACATAGATCTACTTAATTTTCCTGCCTCTCTTTGCCACTGGACTGTAAACTCTTTGAAGACAGGGGCTATGTGTATCTTGTTTCTTGCTGTACTCCCAGTTCATCTTACAGTGCCATATTATGACATTTGTGATTTATCCTAAGGAAAATGAAATTCACAAAGTTTTTCAAGCAGGGCAGTGGCAGTATCAGATTTGATAACTTAGAAAATCATTCTAGCTGCTGGATGGAGGCTAGATTAATGTGGGACCAGAGTGTATGTGGACAGAGCAGCTGCAAAGGCTATCATAGTTTTCCATGAAGGAAATCAAGATGACTCAGACTAGGGTAGATGGAAACAGACATCCACACACATAGATGAATTCAGGGAATATTATGGAGGTAGAATCAACAGAATTTGGTGACTGATTAGGTGATGGTGGGTAAAAGAGGGAGATAAATCTATTATTATTATTATTAAAAATTATTAGTATTTATATTTATTTAGATTATTGATAGCATAAAAAGGGGTTATCAAGGTAAAATGATAAAATATTTCTCTCTAGAGATATCAGAAATGTGAATAGAATCAGCAGATGGCTTGCAGGTTAGAATGTAGGCAATTTTTGAAACAACCTTATCGAAGTATGAATGATATACATACAAAAAACTGCACATGCTTAATGTGTTCAATTTGATGACTTTGGATGTATGCATACGCCCATGACATGATAACCACAATCCAGGTATTAAGCATTCCATCCCCTCTAAAATTTTCTTGTGTCTTTTTTGTTTTTTGCTTTTATGTAGTAAACCACTCAACATGCAGTCTACCTCTTAACAGATTTTGAGGTGTGCAATACCATATTATTAGCAACATAAGCACACTATCTTGCACAGGAGATCTCTAGAACTTATCTTGCACAACTGAAACTTTCTACCCATTGAGCAACAATGCTCCATTCCCCTCTTTCCCCAGATTGTGGCAATTTTCTAGATTTTTGGCAATTATTATCTCATCTAATATGGGTGAGTAGGAAAAAACTTAAAACTGAGAGAACAGGACATATGTTAAGAGCAAAGTTAACACTTTGTTGTCTGTGGAGCAGGGAAAGGATTGTGGAATTGGTCAGTAAATAGTTGTTTCCAATCCAAATGACTGGCATGTCTCTCTGTTTCCTTCATTTTTTATGGGTGATTGAGACTGAGGACAGATCAGGGCCTCGTACAGGCAAAATGACTGACATGCCCAGAGTGAGAAAATATGAGGTCACTGACATTCCAGAGACAAACAGCACGTGTACAAAGGAAATATAACTGGGAAAAAAAGGAAAGGGTAAAGAAAAGAAGTAGCCAAGTCTTGTATGAGAGTGAGCCCAATTCATTGGGCAAGTGGTCTTAGTAAAATGATATGAACAAGATACGAAGAAATCCAAGAGCAATGCAATTTGAGTTCAGTGTAGGAGAAGATGGGAGAGGACGGTTATGAAGCTCCTATTCTGTGACAGGTGGTGGGCTAGGTGTTTACGTATGCTGTCATGTTTGGTTCTTGTTATAACCCTATTAGCTGAGCTTCATTTCTATTTCCATTTCCCAGAGAAAGAAACACACTTGGGCTAGTTTCATCACTTGCTTATGTTCACACATTAGTCAGTGCCAGTGGCTGGACTAGTTCCCAGGTTTGTCTAATTCCAAGGCTTTTTAAAATTTTAAACATTATGCCACAGTTCTCAACTCAAAATCCTTCTGGGGCCAGGAAGGTTATATAAATGAGCAAAACTGGCTGGAGTGTGAGGCACTGGAGGTGGAGGGCACTTTGTAACCAGAGAGCGTATACTTCATTTAAAGGGGGAAGTGTCTTTAGCTCCAGGAAGATACTGCCGCATGGGGATGTGGGCTCAGTGTTGTCAGATCTTCCAACTTCATAAGACAAACTGAGAATTTGTGTTTTTATGTGAAATCTCTTAATTTGTAGATGCTGCTAATTAATTCAGTATTTCAGAAAGCTTTTGACTGATTTAAAAAAAAAAACTGCTTTGCGGGCTGAATCCAGCCTGGTGACTACTGGGTGGTGATCTCTTGATCTCTGTGTTACACCTGCTGCTTGGGGCTCACTTGGCAGTTGGCACATTAAAACCTGCGACACAGTGGCTGGAGATTTTGTAAATACATAGGTAGTCAGAAGACTGTAGTCACACAAAACAGGTAATAAATGGAAGAGCAAGAACAAGACAAACAGTACTCTGCTCCCATCACTTGAGGGATTTTAGTTAGGACTGGATGAATGCA
This sequence comes from Homo sapiens, assembly GCF_000001405.40. Taxonomy (NCBI): domain Eukaryota; kingdom Metazoa; phylum Chordata; class Mammalia; order Primates; family Hominidae; genus Homo; species Homo sapiens. The sequence continues at coordinate 61,536,142 of NC_000012.12, read as the reverse complement.
GAAAGTCCATCTACGCTGCTGGTGTGTGGAGCTAGCTCACGATAGCTCACAAGAGCCAAATGTTAAATACTGAAGAATTTTGTCAGCCATTTTTAGACCATTGGTAGCTTGAAATCAGTGATGGTGGAAGAATCTATACCACGGAAATCTGCAAATACCAAAAATTAGAGCTTTTCTTCCCCAGAATGTCAGCACATCACTGCCTGTAGCTGTAACTTATAAAAATGTTTGATTGTTTATTAAGTAAAGCCATTTAAAATTTGTTTATAATATCATTTGGTTAACCCCTAGTGATCCATCTGTCTCTAAAGTACCAATGTAATAAATCTATTCAGGACTTGATGTTTAGGTGAGCTCAGATTATCATTTCATTTCCTTTGGTGGGCCTATGATGATGACTCCATGACTGAAGTTCTAGAAGCAACTATAACAAAAACTGTATCCAGAAGACAGAATAATTCATCCCGTAATTAGTTTTGAATGATATTAGCTAATACTCAGCACTTCTACTTGCCAAGGTATTATTCTGAGATTTACAAAGATCAAACTTGTAATTTTCACAACAGACCTATGAGGTAGATGTTTTAATGTTATAATCATTTTAATGATGAGGAAATTCAAGTACAGAAAAGGTCATACAAATAGTAAGTAGTACTGGTGGCAATTGAATCAGGTACTCTCACTTTGCAGTATGCCAACGTGTGTACTATATGGCTAAAAAAAGGAATGGCCTTGAAGTTACTATTTTTAATTGAATCAGCCTGTACACTGGTTTATCAACAAGATAGTAGAAGAAATAATAAGGGCTAAGTAACACACATAATTCCTGGATCATAGTGGATTATTACTGTAAAATAATCTTTCCTGTCTCCTACTGAAGGCTAAAGATATTGCACAGAATTGTCACATAACACCTTCACAGACTTGATATATCTTAATAAGAAATGAAAATGAGGCAAATTATTCAACTTTACACATTAACAAACATTCAGGTATTGGAAAACAATAAGAAAATTGAATTTAATTCTTATTTAAATAAAATATTTTCCTATAAATGTATAAATGATTTGAAAGACCCAACTCCACACTCTTAATTTTTTCCTGAGCTGTCCACTTACTTTTCAAAACATGCTACCATGTCCCCAAAAGTAAATTATGTAAGTTACTTCACTACATAAATTAGTATAGTATGCCATATGGTATCAGGTATTATAAGACTTAATATATTTTTATGCTGTTATTAAGGCAGTTATGTGTTAGACATTAAGATTAGAAAACGTATTCAATTGTTTTAGAAATTCTGAGAAGTACAGTTTCATTTACGTGTGCATAAGTATTGCAAACATTTACTGTTAAGCTTTTCTGTCACATTTCAATAGATTTTTAATTTTCCAATGTCCCTGAATATAAACTTCTTTTATCTTGGCCATACAAAAATTGCTATAAATTTATAGTGTTGGCATTGTTTTAGAACTCACCAAAATTATTTTGGGCCTTAGGAAAGAAAAAATTCTTTCCCTAATTTGTCCAGAAGCCCAAAGGCCTAATTTTCTTTCTTTTTAATTCTTTAATTTTATACTAAATAAGATATGAGGAATTTTATTTTAATATATTTATAATCAAGTTTCCCAGATTTACCCATTTTTAGGGAATTAATCAGTTCCTTCAGGAGATGTTATGGATACAATGTAAATATCAATATTTACTGAATGCCATGAAATGAAAACATTAGGATGTTCAAGAGTTTTCAGGGGGCTTAGAAGATAAGACAGGCAAAATAATTGAAAAGCAATACAGGAGACGATTTACAAATGCTGAGTGTGGTAGAGAATATAAATCAAAGAGTTGTAGAGATAAGACAGGGCTGACTTCAGGTCAGGCAGTAGGCATTGCCATGGCGCCAGTCCTTGAGTGAAAAGATGTGTCAGGACTAGATTTATTGGGAAGACTGTAAGGAGGAAGTGAGATTTCAACTGGATCTTGAAGATGGGTAGGGAGGGGCTAGATGTGCAGAGAAGAGGAGGAAGGGCTCTCTAGATTGCAAAAACCAAGGTACCATGTTAAGTATTGGCCTTTAATGTATGGAGGTCAATGGTAAGTCTGTCTGGCTGGAAAGGACTCTTACTGGGTGAAGGATACATAAGGCTCTACCACTTGGACATACCAGGCAAGCTATGTTTTCTTTTCCCAGATATGAATTTTACTGGAATTATAATCACATACTGTCTTAGCAGAATTATTTATTGGTTCTTAAAGTTGTATTCTTGGCCGGGCACAGTGGCTCACACCTGTAATCCCAGCACTTTGGGAGGCTGAGGCGGACAGATCACTTGAGGCCAGTAGTTCAAGACCAGCCTGGCCAACACAGTGAAACCCTGTCTCTACTAAAAATACAAAAAATTAGCTGGGCATGGTGGCACACACCTGTAATCCCAGCTACTCAGGAGGCTAAGGCATGAGAATCTCTTGAACTCATGTAGTGGAGCGTTCAGTGAGTTGAGATCACGCCACTGCACACCAGCCTGGGCAATACAGCGAGACTGTGTCAAAAAAAAGCTTAATTTTTAACTTCATTATTTTATTTTTTATTGCTTATGAAGAAAAATTAATGTTGTATTCTTAAATAAAAGGGAAAACCAGAGCTACAATCTAATGATCGATTCATTCAGACATATATTGAGCGTCTCATATGTCCCAAGAATCCTTCTATGCTCTTGAGACACAAAACAAAGCAAACTGTTTTGCCTGTCTTCAAAGAGTTTACAATCAGTAAAAAATAAGTAAATAATTGGAATAACTTTGACACATGTATTATGGATTTTGTGTAAGGGATCTTGGGAGTATGGAGGGAGAAGAGACTTATTTTGAACAGGATAGACTAGAATGTCTTCAAAAATTAGTTGATATTTGATCTTGACAAAAATTGTTGCCCAGAGAGAGAATAGAGTGCAAAAGAATGTGTGTAAGGCAGAAAGACTGTTCGTTGTTAGGAGTACACTATTGAGCCTGGATGGGGCAGGGGTGCAAAATTGTGCATAGCTCCTGTCTCTATATGTGTGTGTGTGTGTGTGTGTGTGTAAGTGTGTTACAAACATTTTTGTTGGCTTAACTGCAGAGGAGTGGTTGTAGAGAGAGAGGCCTGTGCTGTCATATGATAACACACTTGACCCTGAAGGATAGGGTTAGGTGAGAGCTGAGCTCATTGTTGGAAGTGAATTGGAGATTGGATACTTCTGTTACATGTCTCCAATCATAAAAGCAATTTATTTGTCTCATATTGAAAAGTGATACTGTCAGTCATGTTATTTCCTCCATTGAACTTAAGATCGACTTTATGCTTTTCAGTTACAAGCACCATAAACTCTCCTGTGACATTGTGCTGTAGTCGCATGCAAACCTACTTCGCTGCAGTCTGGATATTATTGACAATACATAATGCATTGCTAAGTCATTGAAAATCTGCCACAAGGCTTCATTCCAAAGAAGTGTATTACATTGCTCTATAGATGACTTTTCATTGCTCAGACTCCATTAGAAGACTTGAGCTGCCCTGTTCTTCCCCCGTACCCAGAGGGGAAGTGGTTCTTAGAACATATGGAGCACTTTTTGGGCCTTTGGAGAAAGCAAATAAATATGCAAAATTTCTGCTGTAGACCATCAGTGCTATGTAGAAACTCAAAGGTTTGCCACATGTAACACTGACCTGTTCGTTCACTTGTTAATTTTTTTAAATAAGCATTTATCAGAAGTCCACTGTGCCAGGTACTTTGCTCAGTATTAGGAAACCAAAGTCAAATAGGCCACAATGCCTGCCCTCAGGGCCTTGCTGTCAAATGGGAAAATACATAATATAGTGAGATATTTGCCATAATGGAGCTGCACAAAGGCTCATGGTCCCAGGAATCCTTCTCTGCACTATGATAGAAGTGGGAGCACTTAACTAAGTTGACCTTGGAGAATCAGGGAAGATTTCCACGAAGAAGTGATACTTGAGTTGATGGAACAGTCAGATGAGTTTGGGGAACTGGGGCTGGGATTGGGACTGGGAGGAATTGCAGGTATCAGATCATGAAGGGCCTTATATGGTCCAGAGATTAAATTTTATATTTAAGACAACCATAACCTAGAAGGATTTAAATAGGGAATAAATAGAGTCTATTTGGAATATTGGAAAAAGCATTCTATAAAGCATAGAGGCTGGGATAGATAGATTGGAGCATACAGACTGCAGTAATCTAGGCAAGACTGACAGAGCCCTAAAAATGCCAGTACAAGTGGTCAGGAAAAGGGAAAGGGGTAAACCAATAGAAGTGAAACATATTTAAGTGTTAAAATTAACATGACTTGACGAATTAGGAATGAAGAACAACAAAGGGGAAAAAGTTTTTAGATACTTATGTAACATTGAACTGATTCCCATTGGCCATAAATATTGAGGCTTTTTTTTCCCAACTCTTATTTTAGATTGAGGGGGTACATCTGCAGGTTTGCTACCTAGAAATATTGTGTGATGCTGAGGTTTGGGGTACAAGTCCCATTACTCAGGTAATGAATATTGTACCCAATAGGTAGTTTTTCAGCCCTTGCCCCCGCCTCCTTTCCTTCCCCCTCTAGGAGTCCTCAGTGTCTACTGTTCTCATGTTTATATCCACGTGTACCCAATGTTGAGCTCCCACTTATAAGTGAAAACATGAGGTATTTGGTTTTCTGTTCCTGCATTAATTTACTTAGGATAATGGCTTCCAGCTGCATCCACATTGCTGCAAAGAACGTAATTTAATTCTTTCTTTAAGTCGGTCTGTCTTTTGGTCAGTTATTTGAAAGCTCTGAAGATAAACAGTTGTGTAAACCAGTAAGAAGGTGAAAAATGAAACCATAGGATGTAACAGAGATAAATGAGGTGGTGTTTTACAATGAGGAAGATGAGACAATCAAAAGTAAAAACCTGGGGAATGCTAACTTTTAAAAGGTAGTATTCCATAGTGTATATGTGCCACATTTTCTTTATACCATCCACTGTTAATGGGTGCCTAGGTTTATTCCATGTCTTTGCTTGAATGGTCAGACTGAATTCATGTACCCATTCTTAATCGGTACATTATAATGAAATGTTTTTGCTTGGCTCCTCTGTCTCCCCTCACCTGTTTAGGGATGTAACTTTGGCAGTAGAGAAAAGTCATGTTTAGTTGTTGAGTGGAGAGAGATGGAAAGAAAAGGGAGAGCAGGGAGGTGAAGAGAGGGGGAAAGAGAGGGAGAGGAGAAGGAGAGAGAAGGGAACAAAGGGATTTTTCTAGTGCTGAAGCTTCTATGGTTGGTAAAGTCATTTACTGGGAAATAACAAGTTAAAAATATAGGGAAGATGGGAATGATGAATAATTAGATTTGGAGTGAGGTTAATTTAAGTTACTGAGACTCAGCCCACTGTCTGTCTTTTGGCCAGTTATTTGAAAGCTCAGAAGACAAACAGATGTGTCACCAGTAAGAAGGTGAAAGATGAAACCACAGGATGTAGGAGAGAGAAATGCAGTATTGTTTTATTATGAGGAAGATGAGTGATATGATTTAGCTGTGTCCCCACCCAAAGCTCTCCCACCTTGAATTGTAATAACCCCCACATGTCAAGGGCAGGGCCAGGTGGAGATAATTTAATCATGGGTGCCATTTCCCCTATACTGTTCTCATGGTAGTGAATAAGTCTCATGAGATCTGAAGGTTTCATAAATGAGAATTCCCCTGCACAAGCTCTCTTTCCTGCTGCCATATAAGATGTGACTTTGCTCCTCATTCGCCTTCTGATTGTGAGGCTTCCCCAGCCATGTGGAACTGTGAGTCAATTAAACCTCTTTTTTTTAAATATACATTACCGAGTTTGGTGTATGCCTGTTTCCCCTTTGTTTTGATCTATTTCTCCCTTTTAGAATGGGTGTCTTTACCCAATGCCTATACCCCCATTGTATCTAAGAAGTAACTAACTTGCTTTTGATTTTACAGGATCATAGGCAGATGGGTCTTGCCTTGCCTCAGTTGAGACTTTGGACTGTGGATTCTGAGTTAATGCTGAAATGAGTTAAGACTGTGGGGGACTGTTAAGAAGGCATGATTGGTTTTGAAATGTGAGGACCTGAAATTTGGGAGGGGCTGGGGTGGACTGATATAGTTTGGCTGTGTCTCCACCCAAATCTCATCTTGAATTGTAATAATCCCCACAGTTCAAGGGAGGGTTCAGGTGGAGATAATAGAATCATAGGGGTTGTTTTCCCCATACTGTTCTCATGGTAGTGAATAAGTCTCACGAGATCTGACGGTTTTATAAAGGGGAGTTCCCCTGCACAAGCTCTTTTGCCTGTTGCTGTGTAGGATGTGACTTTGCTCCTCATTTGCCTTCCACCATGATTGTGAGGCCTCCCCACCCATGTGGAACTGTAAGTCATTTAAACCTCTTTCCCTTATAAATTACCCAGTTTTGGGTATATCTTTATTAGCAGCATAAGAACAGACTAATACAATGAGACAATCAAATATAAAAACCTGGAGAATGCTACCTTTAAAAGGTAAAGTAGAAAAATAGGAAGTTGTAGTTAAATAATGGGACAGAAAAAGAGATATGGACCTTGTTTAGAGAGTCAGGAAGATTACAAATAAAGTAACTCATGATTTCTGACTTTGAGAAATGTATATTTTAGAAAGCCTGGCAATGGTCAAGAAAAGTAATAGTCTCCAGAATTGTGCAAATAGAGCATATTCTTTAAAAATAAGCATATACCTACTTCGTTTATTATAGTCTCTGTAAAAGCCTCTTTAGATATAAGTGGAAGAAAACCTGGCTCAAATTGGTCTATGGAAATAAGAAGATTTACTAGCTCACATTAGCAAAAATGTTCAGAATTAGTCCAAAGTAAAGGTACTATTTTAGGTTAACTTTTCCTAGAGTAAGACCTAGAAGCATACCTACAAATAGACAAAGATTTGAGTGCAATTTCTTTCCTGACCTCTGAAGCACCATTATTGAAAATGGAAATAAGGTAGGCAAGAGGAAAAGACCAATATAGGATGCATATATGAGCATGTTATCATTGTGAACAACCTAGATTCTGTCTGGGTCCTCTGGAACACAGTTTCAACCATGCCTAAGAGTTGTTCTAAGAGGTAAAGAAGTTAGGTTATTGATGTCCAATCTATTCTATCATTGGTTAAAGGGCTGCTCATAGGCATACTGACTCTCTAGCACTTTGCCTGCCGCAAGTATAGGCTTAACATACTTTTATGGACAGAGAAAACCTGCATACAAAATCACTGTTGTTTGCAGTTGGCAGCTGTAAGCATCCATGGAGATATTGATTGCAAAAGACATATGGGCATGGGGGAGCATTGACACCCTCACCTACAGTCCACTCTTGTGCTACTTAGACTTACTTTTCCCCACATTATCATATGTAAACATATTTTATATATATGTATATATAGGATATCAGAAAGTAAGTAAGGCTAGCAGCAGTCATCCAGTCAAAGCAATATCCCCAGGTATGAATAGACTGTCTCCAAATTCAAAAGGCCTACCAAACATGAAGATATGAAGCTTCTTTATTTTATATTTTATTTTTTTAATTTTTAATTTTAATTGTTTGAGACAGAGTCTCACTCTGTCACCCAGGCTGGAGTGCGGTGGCGTGATCTCGGCTCACTGCAACCTCCACCTTCCGGGTTCAAGGGATTCTCCTGCATCAGCCTCCCAAGCAGCTGGGACTACAGGTGTGTGCCACCATGCCCAGCAATTTTTGACACGGGGTTTCACCGTATTGGCCAGGCTGGTCTTGAACTACTGAACTTGTGATCCACCTGCCTTGGACTCCCAAAGTCCTGGGATTACAGGCGTGAGCCACCGCACCTGGCCTATTTTTTACTTTTTAGTTAGATACTGGATCTCTCTCTGTTGTCCATGCTAGAGTGCAGTGGTGTGATCATAGCTCACTGCAGCCTTGAACTCCTGGGCTTTAAGCCATTCTCCTGCTTAGCCTCCTGAATAGCTAGAACCACAGGGGTGCTCCATCACATTGGGCTAAGCCTCTTTCTTAGTGGTAGAAAGTAGGAGGTACAGGGTTCAACAACTTGTTTTTTAACTCAAGTAGGGGAGGTGCTAGTATGCTCTACAACTCTGTACTCTAAAAACTTCACTGACGCAGCAGGTCTCTCTTAATCTTCTCTTAATCTTTGTAGGGTTTGTTACCTACTCTGTTTTTCCTGTGTCTTACAAGAGCATCCAGAGTATTTGCTGTTTTCTATTCAGGAGCCTTATTAACTTGATGTGATTACTAAACAACCAGTGTGTTGACTTCTGGAATATCATATCATCTATGTCTAAGATGATCAAACTCTTTTTGAACTATATCGTGGCAGAGAGTGGGAAGTTAATATAGCCCCGAAGTAAGACTATGAATGTATATGTTCCAAGTGAATGAGATCTTTTGGGGTTTGAAAAGACTTCAAATGCCAGATATAGTTTTTGCAGGATTGTAGTGAATTATGGGATATGATGGGGACCATCAACCACACTTTCATCATTTAAGTTTTTGAGATTGAACTGAGATTTATTGCTTCTGAATCACATTTAAGTTTCATCACATTTAAGTTTTTGGGATTGAACTGGGATTTGGTATTGCTTCTGTATCATACCTTGCTGGGGCTTCCATTTGGACTTTACTGCCATAATTGCTCTGATTCCATAGGTCCAGAACCTGGTGATGGTTCTCCTGGGTGCTTAGTATCTGTCTTTTCTCAAGATCACATAGTAAGTGGATGCACAGTGAGCTCCACCTACTGTGAGGCAGACTTGGGCCAGAACTTCATCAATCATCTGGACTTCATACATTCCCACTTTAAATAAAGCCCATGATGGTATTTTGGCATTTATAACAGCTACTACCAATTATATGACAGCTTTCAAAAGATTTAGGTATTCATCTGTCCTCTGTGGCAGGTATTCTAAGTGGTTTTTGGTCACTTTGGGAAAAAAATTGGAGGAATCACTATTGTATATACTTTCTATGAAATTGCAGGGCCCTTCAAGAAAATGGGCCTGCTCTTCAATTGAATGTTTTTGTGTTTAAGAACTAGCTCAAGTCCCTTTTCTTCTCTGTCAAGTTTCTGACTGTAGCATAGGAGGCTTGCCAAGGCTATGAATTCAGCTTTTTCTGTAGCGCAATCTTTACAATCAAATTTTGAGTCTGATTTTCAGCAGTCTTCCATCTGACTGCAGAAAAGAAGATCTTTTTTGAGAGTTGGCTTGCTTTCTTCCTTTTTTCAGGGAACTTTTGGCTAATAAGACCAGCCTACCAACTCCAAAGTTATTGTAAGTACTAATACTCTCATGTCTTTCAAAGGCTAGAATATTACATAATTGTGCCCATTGCCATCCATTTTATTTCATCCCAATCTGCCACAGGTAAGGTTCTTAATAATCTTCAACTTATGAGAAGAATTTTACTGCACAAATCAGCAGTGGAGTCCTTGTGGTCAGTTGACTAGTAAGTGATCTGATTCTAGAATTTCACCTTGAGGGTCTGATTCCTAGGGCTGCTTAGGCACCAACTGTGTTAGATTGGGTTCTCCCAGAAGCAAACTCCAAAACAAAGTTTAGCATACTCATGAACTTTATTTTGGAGAGGACCTCAAGAAGCATTGGTAAAGGAATAGGAAAGTGAAGGAAGAAAAGAAAATAACCAAGCAAATGTATGTTGACAGTTTGCTACAGTGGGAAACTGAGGCTTAATCGACCTCGGAATGCTGTAAGATCATCTCAGAGTTATCCTAACTGAGGAGCAATGAAGCAGGGGTATTTATCCTTCAATTCCAATCATTCATTTATCCCTGTACATAGCTTCCAGGTATGTCTGGCCTCCTTTGTGCTCAGCCTGAGCATACTCCTCCAATCAGAGACAGACTTCAGGTAGAGAGTTGTAGGTACTGACAGTAGGAAGTTGTGGGTGTGCATGGAAACCATAGGTGCTGAGAAGCTATGGGCAAGGTAACAACATCTGCCACATTTGCTTTTATTTCAGGACTTAAACTATAGCACAGGAAAACATTTCATTCTACTTTCTCTGCAGTGGTTTCTTTTTTTTTTTTTTTTTTTTTTTTTGAGACAGAGTCTCGCTCTGTCACTCAGGCTGGAGTGCAGTGGCCTGATCTCGGCTCACTGCAAGCTCCGCCTCCCAGGTTCACGCCATTCTCCTGCCTCAGCCTCCCAAGTAACTGGGACTACAGGCACCCGACACCACACCCGGCTAATTTTTTTTATTTTTAGTAGAGACGGGGTTTCACTGTGTTAGCCAGGATGGTCTCGATCTCCTGACCTTGTGGTCTGCCCACCTCGGCCTCCCAAAGTGCTGGGATTACAGGCGTGAGCCACCGCGCCTGGCCTGGAATGGTTTCTTTCCAAGGCTCTTACACGGAGGCCACTTGTACCTTTACGCTTAGAGTTTCAGCATTTTCATTAAGCAGGAGAGTAATCTCTTGCCTGAGAGCTTAAAACTGGTCCTCTAATTAAGTCCCATTTCCTGTCTCCGAAACATGGCATGTGAACACATGGGTTGAGTGTGGCCTAGGCTGTCTGATTTAGCTTAGGCTAAATATATACTCTATCCTTGCAGCCCAGGGAAGGTATTCACTACACTTTGGGTGCACAATGTGAGAATGGGGCAAGGTTGGTTGCACAAAACAAAGTTTCCACAGAAGAGTAGATAGGAATCAGGTAGCAAAAACAATTGTCTACTATACTTTGTTTAATAATCTTGTTTAATCTCTTAACAAAACTTTTGGAGTCTATTTCCTTTTTTCTGGGCTCATTTAGGTAAAGTTGTTAGATAGCTACTTATGTCTCAGCTGATTCAAAATTTCTCTTCTATGATGCATTTGAGATGCCCTATTACTACTAATTATGTCACTTATCTTGGTATAGATCATTTTTCAGTAAAAATGTTTTCTGTTATCAGTGAAGGGTAACATACTTTACATGGATTAAGTGAACAGATGAACTAGTCAGAGCAAGAGGCCCGTGGTTTGAGACATCTGGGGAATTGAAACGAAATTAACATTTATCAAGCACCTGCTATTTTTTAGGCTCTCTGCCAGAAACTTTACATATACCATCTCTTTAATCTTCAAAACAACCATAGGAGGAAAATGCACTGATAGCCATTGCATGAGATAAGAAAATGAAGGTTCATTGGGGCTGAGTAACATTGCAAAGCTCCTTTAACTAGGAGTGCAAGAGAGAGCTTGAAGTCTGATTCTAATGCTGTGGGCTCCCTACACTGGGTATGTTGTGATATGGACAAGAGCTTGGCAGTTGTCTGACATATCCCATGAAGCATAAATACGGTAGGCATGTGGCTAATAACATTTCATTTTGCATGGAGTGGTTTGTCTTTAGAGGAAACCGTAATATGACCATGTTCATGGGAATGAACCCCAAAACTTCAAAATTAAGTAGATGCAACTTTTGGGTTACTTTTTGGCTACTAGGAGAATGTAAGTTTAATGTTCTCCAGTCCCATGTTAGGAAGGAAGCTCGATATTTCCTTTTAAGAAAGGAAGTTATAAACTTTTCCTCCCAGACAGCTTCTGATGATTTAAGAAATGCCTTCCCCAAATACTCTTAGCAAGCATGCAGTCATGCACCTTGAATCATGTAATGCGTGTTCTCTGATAACAACACCTGAATCATTATTTGCATCACTGGCCTCCATGCTACTTTGGAAGATAATGCAGGAGGATATGGAACATATTTTAACAGTTCTGCTGCATCTTTCATAGTTTCAGTGCACATTTGATGGAAAAATTATTAGCTCTTATGTTGCCTTTGGGGTTACTTATTTATTGTTCATTTTCACTGTTATAATTTTTTATTCCTTCTTTATCTTTTCACCTACAATATTTTTGGGTAAGGCACTGAGAGGGGACATCAGAAGAAGTGGGTTCTCACTCTGTTTAATGCAAATAGCAATAGCATTAAAAATAATAGTGACAAAACAATGACAAAAATAAAAATGCCATATATTTTTAAGCTCTACTTGTGTGTGATGTGTATGTATGTGATGTGTGTGTGTGTTATGTGTGTGGGGAAAGGGATGAGAAGACACACAATAAACAAAATAGGGTAAAACATGGAGTATATCAGATAGTGAAAGAATTATGAAGGAAAATAAAATAGGAGTTTGGGGAGCCATGGAGGGTTACAATTTAAGACTGGCCAGCTAAGCAAGCCACAAAAGTGATGCTGGAGCAGAGATCTGAGAGAAGCAAATGCCTGGAGGAGGGGCTGTCCAGGCACAGAGAACAATGCAAGGGCCTTGCAGTAGCTGCATACTTGGTGCACTCTGTGATCAGCAAGGAGGCCGCTATGGTAGGGGGAGACAAGTGAGGGGAAAACTGTTTCAGACACAGTGAGAGATATAATAAAGACCAGATTAAATAGAGCTTTAGAGGACACTGTCAGGACTTTGGTTTTTACTCAGAATGAGATGGAAGCCATTGAAGAATTTGATCTGCGGAATGACATAATCTATATTTTAAAAGTGTCATTTGAACTGTGTGTGAAAAAGAAGAAGGAGCTGTGGGGGAACCAAGTAGGAGCCTATTGGAAGAATCTAGATGAGAGATATTCTTGGCTTGGCCAGGTGTGATGTGGGGGAAGTGAAAAGCATAATTCTCTGCTGAACATTTTATAGAGAGTACCTCATTTAAGTAGCTTTACGAATTTTCTGAAATAATTTCACTAGTCTAAGTGTCAGTTTTATCATCTCTAAGATGGGAACATAAAGTGGTTCTGTTTCTGAATATCTGCTGAAGGATGTACACTGATAGCTCCAAAGAGAAGCTCTGTAATCAAGTTGAACCTGCTGACCGAACAGGGGGATGTGGTGAGTTAGAAGTCTTGGGAAAAAGACCAGTTTTTTGGAAAAAGGCAGAGCTAATAGGTAGAGATCTGTAACAGCCTGTGGTCCCTTGTGAAACCGAATTCCCGTCCCAAATAAAGCGAAAAAGTTTCAAAAACTGATTCCAAAATGAGGCATAGGAAATTAAAACTATTGGGCTGGGCCTGGTGGCTCATGCCTGTAGTCTTTAGGGGCTGAGGTGAAAGAATTGCTTGAGGTCAGGAGTTTAACCCCAAACTGGGCAACATAGTGAGACCTCATCTCTACAAAAAAAGATAAAAATTAAAAATTAGGCTGGGCATGGTGGCTCACGCCTGTAATCCCAGCACTTTGAGAGGCCGAGGTGGGCGGATCACCTGAGGTCAGGAGTTCAAGACCAGCCTGGCCAACATGGAGAAACCCTGTCTCTACTAAAAATATAAAAATGAGCTGGGTGTGGTGGCACATGCCTGTAAGCCCAGCTATTCAGGAGGCTGAGGAAGGAGAATCGCTTGAACTCAGGAGGTGGAGGTTGCAGTGAGCTTAGATAGCACCACTGCACTCCAGCCTGGGTGACAGAGCAAGACTCTGTCTCAAAAAAAAAGAAAGAAAAAAGCCAGGCATGGTGGTGTGCACCTGTAGTTCTAGCTGGGAGTCTGAGGTGGGAGGATCACTTGAGGCCAGGAGTTTAAGGCAGCAGTGAGTTGTGGCTGTGCCACTGCACTCCAGCCTGGGCAACAGGGTGAAAACTTGTCTCAAAAGAAAAAAAAATAAAAGAATTATCAGAATGACGGAATTGCTAAAAATTATAATCTGATTGGTGGTCCTGAAGAAGCATTTTTCACCGCTTTGGGATCACAGCTATGGGAAAAGAAAACAAAAGGCTCAATACATACATCCCTAGTATGAGACTACCTGTAGAAGAAATGGAAGTTGATTGTTGGAACAAATCAGTATAGTTTATTCCACAATAACACTGGTAGGAGATTAATGTTGGCACCAAGTACCCATACTTTTTTTCTGAAAAGTTTGTACTATCTCACTGGTGAGGAAAATTAAGAATCCCTACGAGGAACAGAAACAGTTTCTGGGACATCATGGAGTTCTCAATCTCTACTGACCTTCCATTCCATCTTCATCCTTCATACAGGAATAGGGGCTTTCGGTCGTGAGTTGGGGGACTCTAGCTGGTGGAATAAAGGGTATATATCAAAATAGGCCCTGTCTGTACTCCTAGATGTCTGTAGCTTGAGATGATTGATGATACTAAATGAGTGGGTTAAAAATACAAACATTTTATACATGGATAGCATGATAAATAAATATATCATCAGGACCAACATCAGGACAAGTTGTGAAGACACAGGCCAGTGTCCTGCTTTTCATTCTGCCACCTTGTGATGTGCCATCATTTGGCTTCCTTGCTGCCCAGAACCCTCACTAAATGCCTCTCTATTAGCATAATCACAGCTATGCTGAACCTCTTAGTCTTTCAACATATATCTTGTCTAATATCTATTTTCTTCAGGTATTGGTCCTTACCAGATCTTAGCACAAGCAAATCCTGTGCTATTTCCTTTATGCACTCCTGCTTTTCTGTTTTTTTTTTTTTTTAATGTCATGGTTGTGGTATATTACCTTTTATTTTGTTACTTACATATTCAGCTTGAAATGCATATAAGAAAGCTACAAGGAGATGTTAAAGAGTTAGTTGAATACATGGGTCAGTAGCTCCCGGGCTTAGTCTGAATTGGAGAAGTACATCTAAGAGTCATGAGAGAATGGATGGTGAATAGAACCACAGGAGTGAAATGAATCACAAAGAAAGTAGCCTTGAAAGAAAATTGTGCCTCAGAGAGATCCTGGGGAAGCCCAGCATTTAAAGTTCAGGTAGAGGAAACTCAGTTGGCACAGGAGGCTGAATGGCATAGCTTTGGACATAGTAGGCAAGTTAGGATAAAGAAATGTCACAGGAGGCAAAGATTGAGAATATTATAAGAAGTCACAGTATGCCCATCTAGCCAATACTGATGAGAGGTCAACTGAAGAGTGTCTTTAGGGTTTAATGGCACTGAAGTCTTAGAAGACATTATTTGTGCACTTCTCATGGAACTGGTATAGGGCCAGAAGCTAGCTGAGAGAGGTGTGAGGATTGAGAGGCTGGTAGTGAAATGGAGATGTACGGTATAAACAATTCTTAAAGTTTATCTGTGAAGAGGAGGATGCTGACAGAACAATAGCTAAGGGGAAATGTGGAATTAAAAGAGGTGCAAATTTAGGAGCATATTTAAATGCTGGCAAAGTTTTTTGAGGGAAGATAAATTGTTCATCCATGCTTAACTCCACTTCTAACAGATAACCAGATTAAATAAGAATAAAGGGACTAAGAAAGGTATACATTCACAGTGGTAATCATGAGAATACAATACAATTTTGGAAGCAGACAGAGAAATGGTAAGCAATTTATTTACAAACTAGGTTATGGCAGAGGGAAATACCAATATGGTTGTAATTTTAGTACCCCGAAATGACTCAAGACGCTCGGTAGAGCTTCATATTTTAGAGATACCATGTACCATGAAAAATAAACTGCAGGCGTAAGAAGAAAAGGAGAGGGATTTTGAAGATCTGTGTGTGGAGCACCTGGCGTTGCTGACCCACTGC
The DNA here is from genome assembly GCF_000001405.40 of Homo sapiens. Lineage (NCBI taxonomy): Eukaryota > Metazoa > Chordata > Mammalia > Primates > Hominidae > Homo > Homo sapiens. Next base: position 61,520,567 of record NC_000012.12, on the reverse strand, counting down.
CCCAGTCAGCACAGGCAAGCGAACCACCCTCCCACACAGCCATCCAGCAGACTTTTCAATCTGAAGAAATTAGGCCACCTGACACAACAGGAGGGGTGTGTGTGTGTGTGTGTGTGTAAGTGGTGAAGTACAGGACTAAAAACAAGGGAACTAAGGGTTTCCATATTGAAGAGTGGGCATCCCAGCAGGTATTCTCCACCCTGCTTCTAAAAGAGAGAAGCCAGGAACAGAGTTTCCTGGAGGGCATTCAGAAGTGGAACATTAATTTGCTAGGGCTGCCATAACAAAGTAACACAAATTGAGTGGCTTAAACAACAGAAATTCATTGTCTCACAGTTGTGGAGGCTAGAAATTTGAAATCAAGAAATCAAGGTGGCTGAGCTCACACCTGTACTCCCAGCACTTTGGGAGGCCAAGGTGGGAGGACTACTTGAGCTCAGGAGTTTGAGACCAGCCTGAGCAACATGGCAAAACACTGTCTCTACCAAAAAAAAAAAAAAAAAAAAATTATCCAGGCCTGGTTGCGTGAGTGCCTGTGGTCACAGCTACTCAGGAGGCTGAGGTGGGAGGATTGCTTGAGCCCAGAAGGTTGAGCCTACAGTGATCCATGTTCCCACCACTGGACTTCAGCTTGTGTAACAGAGAGAGACTGTCTAAAAATAAATATGTGTCATATATATATATATATATATATATATATATATATATATATTTATATGTCAGTAGGGTTGATTCCTCCTGAGGGAGGTGAGAGGGAACCTGATCTATGCCTTCCCCTGGTTTCTGGTGGCCTGCCTGCAATCTTTGGTATTCTTGGCTTATAGAAGCATCACCCTGATCTCTGCCATATTTTTCATAAGGTGTTCTCCCTGTGTCCAGTCATGTTGGATTAAGGGCCCACCCTACTCCGTTAGGAACTTGTAACAGCTGCAATAATTCTATTTCCAAATAAGTGCACATCCTGTGGTACTGGGGGTTAGGACTTCCACATATGAATGTTGACAGGAAATACAATTCAATCCATAATTAGGAGTTAAATCAACTCTGATGTCTAATGGAGTCCTTAAACCGAAAGCTCAGATCACCCTTTACTGGAAAAGCTCTTTCTGCAAACAAGGTATTTCCATTGGCTTTTCAGTGCTTTAAGAATGAACTCACAGCCAAAGAGAAACTAAAACACTTTAGGAACCTTAGTCATGAAAGACAGACCAAAACAAATGAAGAGATGAAAGGATCATGGATGACACAGAAGTAATAAAACAAATCTTCAAAATATTATAATGCCTTTTGAGAGAAAAGAAATGTTTTTGTGAGCCTTAAGCAAGTGACAAGTGACACCAATAAAGAGATACCAGGGTGAGGAAATATCTGTTACTTGTTATAAATATAATAGCAAAAATAAATAATAAAATGTTGGGAATATAAAAAATCGGACTCCCGACCCCCAAATTAGAATGTTAGGGTTTAGACACAGGAGACAGATGGTATAATACCTAGAGTAAGATTTCGGAGATGGAGAAAGAAATGGAAATTTAGAGATAGGTAAGGAGATTGTTCTATATGGGGGATGGAGGAGAGGAGGAAATGATAGGGCAAACACCTTGCATATAGATAGATTTGTTGATGGGATATTGAGTTAATTCCTATAAAATGGTGTTTATATGTTTTTATGTGAGGCAGGATGAAATTAGAGCAGATTCTTTAGAGCTGGACTGCCTGAATTTGAATCCTGCCTCTGCCTTTTACTAGCTGCTGCTACTTTTCTTTCTTTCTTTCTTTCTTTCTTTCTTTCTTTCTTTCTTTCTTTCTTTCTTTCTTTCTTTCTTTCTTTCTCTTTTTCTCTTTCTTTCTTTCTTTCTTTCTTTCTTTCTTTCTTTCTTTCTTTCTTTCTTTCTTTTCTTTTCTTTTCTTTTCTTTTCTTTCTTTCTCTTTTTTGAGACGAAGTTTCACTCTGTTGCCCAGGCTGGAGTGCAATGGCAACATTTCCACTCGCTGCAACCTCCAGCTCATGAGCTCAAGTGATTCTCCTGCCTCAGCCTCCTGAGTAGCTGAGATTACAGGCACCTGCCACCACGCCCAGCTAATTTTTTTGTATCTTTAGTAGAGATGGGTTTTTACCACATTGGCCAGGCTGATCTTGAACTCCTGACCTAAGGTGATCTGCCCATCTCGGCCTCCCAAAGTGGTAGGATTGCAGGCATGAGCCACCACGTCTGGCCAGACACTGCTACTTCTTTTGTGCCTCAGTTTATTTATCTGTAAGATATAATTAATGATGGTACTTAGCTCATATAGTAAATGGGCCATTGTAGGCAAAACAGTTGGAAAAGTGCCTAACATGGAAGCTCTATAAAATGTAAACTATGGTTAATATTAATGTTATTATTATATAAAAATAATGCCAAGACTTAGGGAGTTGATGGAATATGATACAATGTTTGGGAAAAGAGGTTTGTGATAGTTATCGTGAAGTGAGAGACTTCAAATTGATAGGAGAAATATAACAGGAGTAAAAGTCAGTGACCATGAATTTCTAGGAGATATTTCTCTCCCCGTGCTTAACTTTCCAAGTGCAGGTGTGGAAGAGGCACGGTAACTGGATTAATCCAAATTGTTGCTATGGTTGTTTCTGATGATGACTGGTTTTTAGATGGTCCTAGAGCAGGTCAAAGTGGCAAGGAAGTTAAGTGTATTGACAAGTGGAGGGTGTAAAGGATAAGATTATAAATGAATGAGGGGGTAAGTGAACACACATGGCTTGCTTTTGGATAGGGAGAAGGTTGAGGTGCCAATAAACTGGAGAATTAATTGAGCCTGAACAATAGATAGAGATATTAGTTGAAAAACTAAGTTGGAAAAATTTAAGTGTGAGGTCAAAAAAGGAATGTTGGCTTTAGTGATGTTGGAGGTAGAGCTATTTGGGATGCTGCCAAGGATTATGCCACTAAAAAAAAGTGTCAGAGAGGTACCTGGAAATGAAGAATTATCTTAGTTAAAACTCTCCAAGTAACTCAAGCAAAACAACAAAGAAAATGTATTGGAGATATCACATAATATATATATATATAATATATATATATTTATTAATTTATTTATTTATAAAGTTCTGGAACCAACCCAAGGGCAGTCTGGCACTAAGCCATCATGCTATAAAAGTAAATATAGAGCCATCATCATTCAAGTGATATTCTGTTTTTTTCTTCTGCTTCTGTGTCTATATATCTGCTTCATTTTCTTTCTCAGCACACTGGATTTCACTACTTGGCATGCACAGAAACAAAAGAGGCCACTTCACAGCTCTGGAGTTTAAAGACTTCTCAGTTCAATTGACCAGCTCAATTCTAAATCTTGGGAGACAGAATGTGACTGGTGTGGCTTGGGCCTAATCAACTGTCCAAGGAATGTTACATACTGTTAACATGATTTCCAGGGCTGATATTCCTGCACACCAAAGTCCGTTCTCAGAGAAAGAGGATGAAGATATGTATAGGGAATATCTGTAGAGAGGTCTATTGGAGGACTTTGGAGAACTGAGACACCAGGATATTGGATGGGGTATTCAATGTAACCCAGAATCATAGCAGGTTTGAAGGAGTGAGAGACTGTGAACCAGAGACCCAATTTGTCATGAACAGAGTGGCGCTGTCAAGGATAGTACTATGGAGATTAATATGACATGGCCCCATGCAGTCACTCAATCACTAATTTTTTTGTCATTTTCTTTTTTAGAGATGGGGGTCTTGCTATGTTGCCCAGGCTTGAGGGCAGTGTCTAGTCACTGGTGCAATCATAGCATACTACACTCTTGATACTCAATGAATCCTGTCACCTCAGGCTCTGACTAGCCGGGATTACAGGCATGTGCCACTGTGCCCTGTGAGCATTCATTATTTTTAAATCAGCAAATATTTATTCAGTCTCTAATAAGGCATAAATATGGTGAAAAGGATTGAAGATAGAAAACTAATATTCCAAACTGGTGAAGACTGAGAGCTATGGAAGCAGTAATCTCTGGTCTGCAATTTACTAGATGTGAGATGTGTGACATTGAGCAAATTTTTTTGAGATTGCTTTCCCTTTTGACAAAGAGAAAAAATAATTTCTATCTCTGATTTTTAAGAATTAGATGCTACATTAGAGGTGCTAACCTTGGAGCAGATATAGAAAGAGCTCCTAAAATGGCAAGATGCTCATAAATCAATGAGGCAAACTCCTCAAGGGTGACAAACTGGGGAAGGAACAGTGAAAAGTTACTCCAGGGCTGTACGCAGCAGATCTTTGGGGCATGGAGGTGAGAAAGACTTGGGGTAGGAGGGATCTGGGAAAACTTCCAGCAGATGCTATGCCTGAGTTAAGTTTTGAAGGATGTGCTGGAGTTAGCCTCATAAACAGAAATAAAAGTACATTCTAAAGTCCAGAGGTATGAAACCATATGCCTCCCTAACAGAGCTCTAGACACAGAACTCTAAGTGGTGGTGGAGTATGATGATGGAACAGACATATTTGTTTATGGTGAAGGGGCAGGAAAGGAGGCTGGGTGTTACAGATTGTTGGTAGCTTTGTGGCTTAAACTGGTGTTTAATGTTATGAAAAGTTAAGACAATGTGGGGGCCTTTGACTTAGAGACAACTGTAGCCCAGTTATTAGACATGGGATGAAAAGGATGAGGAGGAACTGGGGAAGGCGGGCATAAAACGACTTGGCCTTGTTACCGTATCTGGCACACACGATCAAAATGGGCTAGATAGCAAAATGCTTGCGCTGAACCTCGAGAGTTGGGCTTGTGAAAGCTCAAACTTTTAGACATAGGACAAACATTTTCCTAGGGATGGTGGTGAAATACACTTACAGTGTGCATCAATTGGCTTTAAAATCCTAATGGTGGTGGGAGATAAGACACTTAGACCTGTGATATGCAGAAATGAAATGTAACATGTTCTTTCCACCTGCAGCTATTCCTTTCAAAACGTAGGGTGTGTCCAGAGCTTCCAGGTGGAAGCACCTTTCAGACAAGTATTCCTCAGCATTAGGGAGCAGAGCTGAATGTGCCTATGGTGTCAGGTTGTCTTCATAAGGAATCAGCTCCGAACTATAAAAGCAGAGAGCCTGGAGCAGAGTTTCTATTACTCCATGAATTCTTGTTGGATGAATATTGAATTTTATTCAAAAAATTTCAGGAATATTTCAAGGGGAAATAAGTGAAAAACTTTCCAGACGTGTCTTCTCTCCTGTATAAGAAGGATTTCTTAATGACTAAAATTTAAAAACAATAAAGACTTTATTATGGAAGCAGGAAGACAGGTGAACCTTATTGTAAGTAATAAACATGATTGGGGAAAGATGCATAGAAATATACTTTAGCAGAGAGTGCACTATATAAGAACTAATTATGGGAAACCTTAGTGGATTCCTTCATTGATTCTTAAGCCATTCCACATATAAATGAGATAATGCAGTATACTACATTATACTCTGTAAATATATTAATATATAAATATCATTTGTCAATTAAAAATAAAATTTGGAAAGCAAAAAAAGAAACCATTCCTTATTTGTCATTTTAAGCTTGAGGCAACATTTTGCAGCCACAAAGACTGTAGATATGATGAAATAGATTGTGTATTAAAAGCTTTGAGATGTATAGATTGATGGTTTTCTGTCTCCTCTTTTCTGTGGTCCTACTTTCCCCCTGTACCTCTGAAATTTGGTCATGACTTAGAATCAGTCATGATTCTTTTGTGTTCTTTGCTGATTGCACTCAGGTCACATCATAAAGCTTCGCAGAGAAGAAAGTTTCATTTTCTGATTGTCTGGGGGCACTTAGAACTTAATCTTTAAAGTACTGATTACTAGTCCCTTGATTTCTATCTGAGGCCCTAAAAAGACCTAAATATAGAGAAATGTTTGGAGTTTTTTTTTTTTAACCCTTTGAAAGTTTACTCAGATTTGAAAGTGATGATTAGTAGTTTTCAAACTACTTATCTTCTAAGTCCTAAATTCTTATTTACAAAGCCCAGTTTAGTTTTGCCCCCAAAGGACTGCGACTTTGGAGGAAATGTTTTCTCATTCTTTTATATGCCAAAGCTATTTTAAAGGAAGGGGCTTAAAGTTTTTCTTTTTTTTCTTTTTGGTTCATTTTTGATTCGTGCTGCATGGCCACATCTTCTTCCTTTCCTCCTTTTCTCCCGTTTATGGCCTCTGGCTCCCCCCACCTCATATCTGGAACAAGATTATTATATCAAGTGATCTCCTCTTATGAGGTTTTCTTGTCAGCGGCTTCAGTGGAAGTCGGGCGTGCAGAGCTGTGATTTACCACCACTCAACACTGAGCGATTTAATGTATTCACACATTTTGAAGAGCAAGATGAATGGAAAAAATGCCTGGGAATGAGAATAGTCGGTTCACTTACTAACCACTGCTGCAGTGGGAAGTTGGCTGCTGAGATAAATGAATGGAGCTCGTTTAGCGAGATGAACAGTTTTTAGAATTCAGGTAGGATGTCATTGTACTTGCTGCTGGGTTTGAACATTGTATAAAATGCCTTATCTTGTACAGAAAGGATTGACTCATCATTCTTAATAAGAGCTCTTTGTACAGAATTGAACAAAGAAAATGTTAAGTGAGGAGGGAATGAGAAAAACTGACTTCATACTTTAGAAACTATGAGGTAGCAAATCAGGGTTAAAAAAACTAGGAAATGATTAATTTGGACAGAAAAAATATATCCTCATTCTCAAATATTTTATTTACTTTTCTGAAAGTTCATTCATTGCATTTAAAGGAGAGATAATCTTTTTTTAATAAAAAAATTTTGGTCATAGGACAATCACCTATGATTTTGTCTTAAACCTGAGGTGACGTCATAGAACATAGTCTCCAATGTCAGTGACATTTAGCTCTCTGAGGAAAATTCTATACCTGGCCCTAGATAATGAACTTTCCTGTTGAACTTTCCTTCCCTGTTGAGGTTCTGGACCGTTCTGGAAACATTTAGTCCTTTTAGTCCTTTTTTTAATAGTGTGTTTTGAACCAAACTTGAATGCTTTTTTTTTTTTGTAGTGGTTCCAGAAGTGCCTCCTTTGTGTTCTAAAATAATTGCCTCAGTTTTCCTATAAGAGACTCAACACATAGTTTATGTATGAACTGCATCAGTCACTGGGGGTGCTTTGGGATGTATATTTTTGAGTAGTGCTCTAGACCTATAACTTATTACTGAGAAGTGGAGCCTAGGAACCTGCATTATTACAAGCACCCTATGTGATTTTGTTTTGGTTTGTTTGTTTTGCTTTGTTTTGTGGCAGGGTCTCGTTCTGTCATCAGGCTGGATCATGGCTCACTGTAGACTTGAGCTTCTGGGCTTTAGCGATCGTCCTGCCTCAGCCTCCTGAGTAGCTGGAACTACAAGTGCATGCACTACACCCAGCTAATTTTTAAGATTTTTGTAGAGACGAGGTTTTGCTATTTTGCCCAGGCTGGTCTCAAAGTCCTGGCCTCAAGCAGTTCTCCAGCCTTGGCCTCCCAAAGTGCTGAAATTACAGGTGTGAGTTACCACGGCCAGTCCCAGGGGATTTTTGTGTACACTAAAATCTCAAACCATTTATAAAAAGATGAAGGAAAAAAGCACACACTTATGAGCACCATACTATTTTCTTATCACTTTTCCATGTGCTTTTTGAATATTGCTTATTTAATCCTCATATCATGTTATACATCAGCGATTATTATTATTTTGCAAGTGACAATGTGGTTCAGCACTCTCTCTCAAGATCATGAAACCAGGAAATGCATTAGGTGCAAAATCAGGTTTATATGGTTTAGCTTCAAAGTCTGCGTTCTTTGTCTTATGGCACACTGATCTCTTCAACCTCGAGGGTGAGCTGTGCTCCTGGAAGTTTCCCAAGCTGCACTGCCATCTAGCTCTCTGTGATGAAGATAAAGAGACACTCAACTTGGCATTATCTACTCGGAAATCACAGCATCTCCTTTAGGGGCATTGCCTGGTGTCTCTTCTAGCTCATTCTTAAAGAGTTCAAACTAAAAACACACTCAGGATGATTCTACAATAGTGATTCATACGTATGTTGCTCTGCCAATCCATCCGTGTGATTGCTTAGTGCCATTACAGCAAATAGTGCAACACTACATTGACCTATTGACTCCCAGTGTGTTTCAGTTCATAAGATTTGATTCTCAAGCTTAAGGTCTCAGATGGTTAAGCCCTGTGATGACCAGTGTTACTCTCAATTCAGTCTGGTTTGCAGACTCTGGCAATGTGTCTTGACAAGATGGTTTTTATTCACATAGTGCACTCAGACATAGTTATAGTTGACTGAATTCTGGCTTTTAAACATTGAACCTCTTGATCAGAACACAATCCTTCTTTATGAAAATATTTGGGAAATTAGACTTGCATTGTATTATTTTGGCTTATAGTGTTGTGTTGAGAAACAGTACCACTCTGAACTTTTATTAGCAAGAAGGTGGAAGGATTGAGGGAAGACAAACATTAGGCTGCTGAGTTGTAAAGTCCATTAAATGTATCAACTAAGTCATGTTGCCAGTTTTGTACCTCATACCCATTCTTTGAATCCCTTTCTGCTTCTCTATGTCTTTCCTTTATTGATGTTGCTGAATCCTAGGAGCCACCAAAAACTTGATTTAAAAAAAGATTCTAATTTCCAAACACTGATTAAACCTACCCTCTCCTTTCCAGCCTCTCATAATTTGAGAGGAGAAATGGAGCAACCAGCCTCTCCTTTCCAGACCTTCATAAATTTTGGGGTACTCTTACCATAGTCTTTGAACTGGTTTTACTTTGGGATTGCCAACTTCAATTTATCATACATCTTTGTCCAATGAAAACTTTACCTTCTTCTGCTTAAAACCCTTAATAATTTCCACTGCCTATGTACCACCTTCCTTTCCTTTTACCACCATTGTCTTTAACTACTGTTACAGTCTCCTAACTGGTGAGTATCAACTCTGTCTCATCCCAGAGCTTTTGTCATACCGAAGCTAGTGTGATATTTTGAAATCGGATCACGTCAATGTCTGCTTAACACTTAGAAGTACTCATACAATCAACCCAATCCTTCTTAGTTTAGCCTCCAGTCCAGCATGGTCTGGCAACTGCCCCATTATCTACATTTATCTCATGCTGTGTCACTTTGTGCTTTTCAGCAACACTAGCCTTCTTTCAATGTCTCTTCCCCACCATGCTCTGTCACATCACATGGCCTTTGCACAGGCTATCTCCTTTGTCTGAAAAGATTTTCTCTTCCTACTAGTCAAATTAGCTCTTACTCCTCCTGAAAATCTTTTATTATCACTAGCTGATTTCTGTCTGTGAGATTGTCCTGGGCTTACGACCTCTGACTGGCAGTTGAATCTTTGCAACACTCTTACAGTAGCAGAGTCAGTCGTGTGTTAGCAGTCTCATGAACACAGAACTTCCCTGAAACTTCTGGCTTTTGAGTTAGCCCTAAGATTCTGGGCTTGGCCAAGAAGCTTGCATTGAATGTCCCATTTATAACTGCCTCTTTAGGTCCTGAGGATGCTCACCTTGATCTCATTTACTCTCATTAATTTTTGAGAAAAGCCAGGGATACATATAATATGTAAAGATGTGAGTTGATTATATGACTATACAGTTATATATATAATTACATATGTGTGAAATAGTGATTATATCTGCATATATATTGAATAGTTGTGAAATAGTGAATACACACACACACACACGCACGCACACACACAGTATTCCACTATTCCAGTAAGGCTAAGGAATTTTCCCTCTGTGCCAGTTAAACAGACATCTTAAAAGAAAATACAGTAATTCTTTACTGATACCCATTCTTCTCCTGCTGCTGCTGCTGCTTCGAAGTACCCCATATGTGCCAAGCACTGTGTTAAATAATTCACATACATTGTCTTGATAACAACACTCTGATTACCCCTGCTTTACAGATGACACTGAGCATAGAAAGGGTTAAATAACTCACATAAGGTCACATGTCTGTTAACTTGCAGGCTCAGATACAAGTCCAGGTTATTTAACTCAAGAGGCATTTCTTTCTTTCGGGAACTTAGAGGGACCTAATTAAAGTGAAGACCTTCTGTGAAGCAAAAGAAATTATCAGCAGAGTAAACAGACAACATACAGAATAGGAAAAAAAAATTGCAAACTATGCATCCAACAAAGGTCTAATATCTAGAATCTATACGGAACTTAAAAAATTCAAAGCAGGCACAAATAACCCCATTAAAAAGTGTCCAAAAGACATGAACACTTCTCAGAAGAAGACATACAAGTGGCCAACAAAAATATGAAGAAATGCTCAACATCACTAATCATCAGAGAAATGCAAATCAAAACCACAATGAGATACCATTATTAAAAAGTTGGAAAACAACAGATGCTGGCAAGTTCACCGAGACAAGGGAATGCTCATACACTGTTGGTAGGAATGTAAATTAGTTCAGCCACTGTAGAAAGCAGTTTGAAGATGTCTTGAAGACCTTAAAACAGAACATCCTTTGACTCAGCAATGCCATTACTGGGTATATATTCCAAGAAAATAAATAATTCTACCAAAAATATATCATGTTTATTGAAGCGCTATTCACAATAGCAAAGACATGGAATCAACAGAGGTACCTATCAATGGTGGACTGAATAAAGAAAACGTGGGGCACATACACCATGGAATACTATGCAGCCATCAAACATAATAAAATCATGTCCTTTGAAGCAACATGGATGGAACTGAAGGCCATTATCCTAAGACAATTAATTCAGGAACAGAAAACCAAATATGTTCTCACTTGTAAGTGGGAGCTAAACATTGGGTACTAACGTACATAAAGAATAGTTACAATAGGCACTGAGGATTACTAGAAGGGGAGGATCAGAGATGGAGAAGGATTGAAAAACTATTGGGTACTACACTCACTACCTGGGGGATGGAATCAATCATACCCCAAACCTCAGCATCATACAATATACTCATGTAATAAACCTGCACATGTAACTGCTGAATCTAAAATAAAAGTTGAAATTATATCTGTATGTTGAAAATCCCACTTCTTTAACCACCAGGCTCCTCAAAGTGTGGTGTCTGGACTAGCAACAGCAGCAGCAACTGGGAGTTTGTTAGCAATGCAGTCTCAGTTTTACTCCCAGTGTCTTGAAATGAAATCTCAAAATTCACAAGATCTCAATGTAATTCAAACGCACTTAAAGGTCTGAGAAGTACTGCAATATACTATGTAAATTTCTAATTGTATAGAAGGTCAACTTTCTATTTTCACTTTCATCCCTAAAATGTATGGTCTCACGTTGATAGTACCTATTTATTTTCATTCATATTTATAAAATGTAGGAAAAATAGGTCTATTATGTACTCTTTGGGCAATTTGAAGTTTATATTTTTAGTTATTGTTTCTATCAATTTAAATGTCTGAGAGATCATTATTCAATGTACCTGAAATCACACTTAATCTGTAAATACGTAACATCCTAGGTTATAAATATTTGGGATATGCTTTGGGAGTGAGAATATGAGGAAGTCAATGACTAAATTGTTTTTCAACTAAAACGTTTTATATAAAAACAAGACAAAGCTACAAGAATATTTGTATTAGCCTGAAGTTATTTTGTAACTGGAATAAAAAGCTATTTTTGTTTGGTATTATATTTGGGTCTGAAGAGCATTTTAATAAAGAAAAATTAAATCGGAGGCTAAAGGCATGGAATTGCTGAGTACAAGGGGTACAGAAAGCACTGAGACACTCCAGGAAACTGATAATATCTTCAAGCAAAGAAATGCTTGCTTGGCAGCTTGGCATGAGCATGGCATTAAAAGAGAAGAACATTCTTTATAGTTTGAAGTGCTTTCTGGATAGTCAAACTTGACTTTATCCCTTTGGAGTTTAGGTTGTATCACCAAGGGCCTCTATTTGCTTTTACTTGTGTTTGCACTTGTCCTAAACTAGGTGCCTCTATAATGGTGACAATTCACTCGGAGCCTAAATGTGGATAATTTGTGCTGTGGTTTTAGGCTAGGACCAATCTTAAGGCATGGGAAGATTGAGAAGGGATTGAATTTTGCCATGTACTTCTGTGTCACCTTAGGCTATTCAGTTAAATTCTCTGAACCTCTTTTTCTACATAGAAAAAGAGGAATAACAATGACTGTCTTACAACGTTGTCATGAGGATTGAATGAGGATATATATGAAGAGCTTAGCACAATGTCTGTCATATAGTTAGTATGGGAAAGACATCTCTAATCCAAAAATCCAGAATCCAAATGCTGCAAAACCTGAAACTCTTTGAGAGCTGACATGATGCCACAAGTGGAAAATTCCAAACTTGACCTCATGTCACAGTCACAGCACAAACTGTTTTTCTTGCACAAAATTATTAAAAACATTATATAAAAATATCTTCAGGCTACATGTAAGTGTATATGAAACACAAATGAATTTTGTGTTTAGACTGGGATCTTGTCTGCAAAATGTCTCCTTATGTATATGCAAATATTCCAAATTAGAAAAAAAATTAAAAATCTGAAGCACCCTGATACTGAGTATTTGGAATATGGTACACTCAACCTGTACTCCAACATCAAATTACCACAAGAAGTTTGTCTCCTATCTTACTAGCCACCACTGGAAAAAGTTCTAATATATTTCACTACACACATATATACATATACATACATACCATACAGTATATATACATACATATATATGTGTGTGTGTCTATATACATACTGAAAACCTACTACAGGTGTGGTTTATTGCACTAGAGACCTCTCACTGTGGTACAGCTCTCTTTGTAAGAGAACTGTGTTCTCTACAGACTCTTTGTTCTGGAGAGGAGACAGAATGAGTCCATACAAAAGCATGGATTTTCAGGTGGATGGAACAGCTCCTTAATTTGGAAACTCATAAAGTTATGGACAGTGTAATTCTTGGCAAGTGAAAGGAAAGTATTCTTTCACTGTTTTATCTAGGAGATAGAGGTGTTCTTTGAAAATGTTGCTAGGTGGCATAAAAGTCTGAATTAAAAACATATTAGAAAATTCACACCCCTCTGATAGTAGCAGCGTCAGTATCAGAAAATAAGGGTGAGAAAAGTAGGCAGAGAGCACAAGAGAGTAATTTCTAGAAATGGGGGTCTAAGTGAATGTGAACTCAGTGTTTGTTGAGCCATCAACCCACATAGGCAGGGCTGTAGTTTACATCATAGTGGCTAGCGACTTGGAGGGCAGTTTCCTTGTACACAAATGACAGGATTAAGGATTCCTCTGGAAAAAGAGATCCTGCATTGAATGAATACACATTTCCCTAAAACATACGATTCAGGACTTTGTGAATTTAAGGTATAATGAGACAAATTTTATTTTTATTAATTTATTTTTTTTGAGATGGAGGTTCGCTGTTGTTGCCCAGGCTGGGGTGCAATGGCACGATCTCAGCTCACCACAACCTCCGCCTCCCAGGTTCAAGCAATCCTCCTGCCTCAGCCTCCCAACAAATGTTTTTATATACAATTTCTGTTTACTCCCACTATATCTTCCTCCTGAAGGCCATATGACAAAACTGAGCTAAGTTAGGGGAGCCTTTGACTTGTATCTTGTGTTGATTGCTGTACCCACCAACCACATCTCTGCCTACCCCCTCCTCAGCCATTATGACTTAGCCACACACTTCCACTTTTGAGTAATTCAAGTTGTCCTACTCTCTATCTGCTTTGAGAAAAGAAAATGGGAAGAATCTAAAAACTTCCAAACATCTCATTGATACTTTAATGTAAATGAGTTTACCAGTGTTAACTTACACATCTTTTGTAAAGTTTAAGTCTTTGGTTGTGGGCTAAAATGTCTTCAAAAGCAAGGTTTAGCAAGCAGATTTTTTTTTTTTTTTCAGAATTTAGATAGGGTGTTCTAAATGATATGGAATATTCTATGTTGGAATAATATGGCCAATGAACTTCTTAATCAACCCAGGCAATTCCTTTCTCTCAGGAAGCCAGGATGGGTTTACCTGGCCTTGGGGCTCTGTACAGGATGACACTGTACCATGCAGGGGTACTGAAAGGCTGGCTTCTTATCCCTGCTTTGCTTCTCCATGTTTTGCCTCTTCTCTTGGCTGCCTCTCTCCTTCATTCTTTATCTTAGCATTTCTTTTATTTGCCATTGTTTGAAACCAAATTTATATTTCATTTTAAACATTTGATACCATTTTAGCTAACTTTAACACAATGCCCCCTTTCTAGTGAAATTCACAAAGCGTGCTGTGTATATTGAAAAGCTGGATTTCTTGCCATTACTATATGTGGGAAACTATGTACTTTACGTATCTTTCTTTGTTTAACTCAATAAAGTTTCATTTATCCCATTTTAGTTGAGGAAATTGAAGTACGCTTAGGTTAACAAACTTACTAGGCAAATGGGATCTAACAATAAAAAGGCAAGTTTAGCTTGATTCTAGCCTTGATTAACAATTTAATGGGGGAAACAGGGAACTTAACAAGAATCTTCAATGTAGCATAATCAGTTATTTACCAGAGAATCACATACAAAAAAAAAAAAAAAGTGGCATCAATCTAAGACTTGGGAGAGGCTGAGCAGATGCTTTTCTGAGTATGTATTGTCTACGCTGGAATCTGGAATTAATAGTAGTTAGCCAGCAAGGGCAAAGAGTAGGCCAGAATGGAGGTCACAAAGAGCATTGCTTTGTAGGAAGTAAAAGAAGTTCAATATGGCTGGTGTATAAGCTTTGAGGGCAAAACAATTATGAAGGATCCTATGGGCCATTGAAAAGCTGCATTATATACCAAGGATAATAAAGAAGGATAATAATGAAGCATTGCAAAGCTTTAACCATAGAAAATGCTGTGATTAAATTTGTCTTTTTGAAGGATCAGTCTGATGGTAGAGGAAGAAGATTAGAGATAGGTCTAGTTAGGAGGTTGTTTTAGGAATCCAGGTGAGAGAGGATGGTGGCTGAACTTCATTAGTATGGTGGAGAGAAATGGAGAGACTGAAGATACATTTTTTTGTTTGTTTTTTTAGGTGGAAATACGGGACTAGAGTTCTGACAGTATGGTCTGGTTGTTAAGTGTTTGTTCTGGGGACTGATTATTCAGGATCAAAATCTACCTCCACCATTTGTTTTCCATGTGGCTTTGATGGAGTCACTAAACTACTATATGCATACATTTCCTTACCTGTAAAACACTGTGTAGCAAAGGTTACCTAAACTAACCCGTATAAAGCACTTAGAGTGCCTAAACACAGCAAGCCCTTAAAACACATCAGGTATAACCTTTTCTATTACTATCTAGCTCTCTGACATAGAAAGCTCATTCATTCAGCAAGCTTGTATTCAGTGCCTACTATGTCCCATTGGTTCATTCACTCTTTGGGCTTCAATTTTCTCATCTGCAAAATGATTGCCTTGGAGAAGTTCTCTGGGTTGCTTCCAGCTGAAATTTGGTTGGACTAATATTCATTAGCATTGGGACTACCATGCTGATTAAGTTGCAGTTAAGGGAAAAGTGACTCATTTCACTAACCAGGCCTCTGTGTGTCATTTGTCAATCCTTTTCTGTAGTGGGAAGCAGGGAGCAGGAACATAATTGATTGCACAGCTCTGAGTGACTCCCTATTAAACTGCAGAGCAGGAGGATTTACTCCAGAGCATTTAATGACTTAGCAAGAATGTGCCACAAGGATAACAGAGTTTACCTGGGCTAATGTTTAAGTTTACTTTCCAACACGTTATTAAGGTACTTTAAGCAAAGTTATGTAAGAGAAGGGTGGAAAGTGAGAAACATAACCAGTCACTGCACTGGGGTTCAGAGCCTCACAGGAGAAATCAAAGGCAGGTCTCCCACTGCTGGGGATCATTAGTGCAGGCAGACAGGTAGGGCTGGAAAATTTTAAGAGTTAAAGGTATTTAAATGGATTTCCTGCTGAGTGGAATAATGCCAGCCACAGCTGCCTCTTGCTCTCTAGAGGTTGTGAAAAGGATGATTAAAAAGTAAAACATTTATGACAAGGAATATAATTTCAGCTCTCATTTGTTGAGCACCTACTCTGTCCCATATTTTAGTGCTTCACACTTTGGTTTATTTACAGCCTTTTAATCAACCCTGCAAGGTAAAAGTATGATACTTAATTTTCAGGTGAGTAATCCGAGGTTCATGGAATTTATGTAATTTACCAACCCCACATAGCTAGTTTGTGGTGGAACCTAGGATTAATGCTAAAGATGATCCGTATTCAATGAACTCAGTGTTTCCACTACTATGTACTTTGTTTAAATCATGAATTATTTTAATTAACTATGTTATTTTTACTGAAAATGAGAGTGAGGCATGATTATTTTAGGAAAAAAAAATTGAAAAACATATCACTGATATTCCAACACTTTGACTTAACTACTAATATTTTCAGGCACTTCTTTTGTAAACCAAAAAGTATCTGAGACAGGTCTTAATCAATGTAGAGGTTTATTTTGCCAAGGTTGAGGACCATAGCCAATGATACAGCCTCAGGAGGTCCTGAGAATATGTGTCCAAGGTGGTTGGTTTACAGTTTGGTTTTATACATTTTAGGGAGACAGAAGTTACAGGCAAAGACATAAAATCAATACATGTAAGATATACATTGGTTCAGCTTGGAAGGGTTGGACATCTCAAAATGGGGACTTCTAGTTCATAGGTGGATTCAAAGATTTCCTTACTAGCAATTGGTTGAAAGAGTTAAGCTCTGCTTGAAAATTTAAAGTCAGCCTGAGTTAAGGTAAGGGTGGTAGAGGATTGTGGAAGCCAAGGTTCTTGTCATGTAGATGAAGTCTTCCGGGTAGCAGGCCTCAGAAATAATAGATGTGAATGTCTTATAGCAGCAATTTCCAATTTGCTGTCATCAGGGACCAGTTTCATAGACAATTTTTCCATGGACAATGCGGGGATGGTTTTGGGATGAAACTGTTCTACCTCAGATCATCAAGAATTAGATTCTCATAAGGAGTGTGCAACCTAGATCCCTGGCATGTGGAGTTCACAATAGGGTTCATGCTCCTATGAGAATCTAATGCCGTCGCTGATCAGACAGGAGGTGGAACTCAGGTGGTAATGCCTGCTTGCCTGCTGCTCACCTCCTGCTGTGTGGCCCAGTTCCTAACTGGCCACAGACCAGACCCTGGGGGTTGGGCACCCCTATCTTATAGGACCTTAAAAGGTGTCATACTTTCTGGAAAAGACCAAATAAGGGAAGGAGATTTTCTACAGAATGTAAATGTCCCCCACAAGAGACAGCTTTGGAAGGCAATTTCAAAATATGTCAAATATATTTTGGAGGGTAAAATACTTTGATGTTCCCCAGGGCCCGCTATCTGTAATGTAATGTACCAGTCATGTTGGAACTTAGTATCTTATTGCTACAAAGAGTCCGCTTTGTCAGTCTTAAGATCTCTGTTTTCATGTTAATGCTGGTCAGCTATGCCTGAACTCCAAAGGAAGGAGGGTATAATGAGGCATGTCTCACCCCTCTCTTCCTGTCATGGCCTGAACCAGTCTTTCAGGGTTTTTTTTGGGATCCCCTTGGCTGAGAGGGGAGTCCATTCTGTTGGTTGGGGGGCTTAGAATTGTATTTTTGGTTTATACTTTCTAGATCATATTCTCTCTTTCCAACGTCCACTCTCCACATATGTACTTTTTAAAGAGAATTATATATGGGAGGGAAAATAAGTAATGAGGTGAGAATGAAGTAGAAAATAAATACAAATGAAGGCTGTTTCACTTACTCTCTTATAATCACAATGACCAAAATATACAAACTAGTTCAAAGATCTCTCATTACATACACGCTGGAGCAATCTATTAAGAAAAAAGAAAGCAGATTATAGTTAAAATTTGGAGTTTAAATTTCAGTTTCTGCGTATGTGAGGGAGGTAAGGGAGAGAAGAGACGAGACAGAAAGGAGGTGAGATAGTAATGGATTCCTGGGGGAGAATTAGAGCAACTCAGCTAGAAGTGAGCTGTTACCTCTACTCAAGATAATTTGTTTCCTAACTGATTGCTATTTATATTTTTTATAAAGCTGTAAATCATATTATATTTATTAAATATAAATATTAAATATTTGTTAGTATTAAATATAAATATTAAATATTTGTTAGTATTAAATATAAATATTAAATATTTGTTAGTATTTAATATGATTTGTTAATATTTAATCTGATTAAATATTAACTCATTACATTTACAGGTTTGTGCTTTTCAATGGACTTTATAACATGATCATTACCCATGTTCACATAAATTTTCATAAATCCAATTTTTAATAGATGCATAATAGTCCATGTAGAGCTATAGCAAATAATTTTGGAACCAGTTTGGGTCTAGAAAAATAAAATAATCGTATGAATAATCTATATTTTTCAAAGTCATGTTTCTGTTGGTAGTGTAAACCAAAAAGTATCTGAAACAGGTCCATGACACAGCCTCAGGAGGTCCTGACATGCGCCCAAGGTGGTCGGGCTACAGCTTTATTTTATACATTTTAGGGAGTCATAAGACATCAATATATGTGAGATGTATATTGGTTTTGTCCAGAAAGACGGGAGAACTGGATGCAGGGGTTTTCTGATTGGCAGTTGGTTGAGTTATTATCTGAAGACCTGGAATCAACAGAAAGGAATGTGTAGGTTATAATAAGCGGTTCTGGAGACAAAGGTTTTGTCATGCAGATAAAGCTGTCAGGTAGCAGGCTGCAGAGAGAATAGATTGTAAGTGTTACTTATCAGATTTTAAGAGTCTGTTCTATCAGTCTTAAGATCTGTGTTGATGTTAATCATAATGAGCCATGTTCAACTTCCACTTCCCTTCATGGGCAGGACTAGTGTTTCAGGTTAACTTTGGAATACCCTTGGCAAAGAGGAGGTACATTCAGATGGTTGGGGGACTTAGAATTCTATTTTTGATTTACAGTAGATATTTAAGTTATCTTCAGTTTTTCCTCATTGTAAATAATATGAACATTTTCATGTATTAAAAAATGCCATTGGTATGATGGTTCGGTTAGACAAGCAACTCAGACATTGAATCTGAGCTCCAAAACTTACTAGTTACGGTATCCTGGATAACCCCCCAACTTCTCTCTGAAAAATTCTTTAAAAATGAGAATGACAATATCTGTTATTTTTCTTTTAACACTTCCCTTGTAAACATGTGATAGAGGACTTAACCAAATGGATGGCTAATAAATAGCAGTTTTTATTGCAGCATTTTTGTTTTTAGTATTTTAGACCGATTTTAAGAATAGATTTTATAAAATAAAATTAGTGGGCATAATTTCAATTAAGACTCTTGATATATGTTACCAGGTCCTTTTCCAAAAAGCTTTGTCAATTTACTTCCATTAATAATATATAATAAAATATTTTAATATTTATAATTAATAAATTATTATTTTAATTAATAAATAATTATAAAATATTTAGTAAAAATGGTATCTCATTTTAATTAGCATTTTTTCATATTGATGTTAAATAACATTTCAAACTTTCATTAGCTATTTCAGCTTTCATTTTATAAACTGTTTTTATGAAGAGCCTTACTAATTTTAAAATGGTAATTATCACATTTGTTGCAGACATTTTTGTCTGCATTACATATTATTTTTGTTTGCTTTATAATATGTACGCAATTCTTTATGTAAAGCTACTTTTAAATGTTATGTTTTTATTTGACTTTGCCCATTATGATTAAAATCAGAAATCCTCTCTTACAAAGAGAATAAGTGTACCTATTTTCTGCCATATTTTTCTCTAGTTATACCCTGAATTACTTTTTATTATTTATTTAATATTTATTATGATTATTATTTGAGACAGAATCTTGCTGTGTCACCCAGGGTGGAGTGCAGTGGTGCCATCTCAGCTTGCTGCAATCTCTGCCTCCTGGGCTCAAGCAATTCTTGTGCCTTAGCCTCCCAAGTAGCTGGGACTACAGGTGCACACCACCAGCCTGGGCTAATTGTTTGCATTTTTAGTAGAGACACGATTTTGCCATGTTGCCCAGGCTGATCTCAAACTCCTGAGCCCAGGTGATCCACCTGCCTTGGCACCCCAAAGTGTTGGGATTACAGGCGTGAGTCATGGTGCCCAGCCTGAATTACTCTTTTTTTAATGAGGGATTAGAAAAGATCAGAATGATTTGTATGGGAGATACTTTTCTTAACAGAAGTATGCTTCAAAGCTATCTTTTTTACTTCAAACAATGGAGAATATGATAGTCCAAAATACAATAGGGTACTTGGCGGGAATCTGAGTCAGGAGTAACTGGTAAGTTGTGGATAATAAGGAGAATGAAGTGCTGATGATGGGGGAAATTGTGGCTGTCTGAAGAACCCAGGAGAAGACAGAACAAGCAGGCTTGCTAGTTCCATAACCAGGGCACAATACCATCTCCCCACTTTCAGCGATGTCCCTGGAATGTAACCAGGGCATCACTGTCACCCCTTGGGGAACTGGTAAATCTAAGATTGTACTGAAAGAAAATGTTGTCCTGTGAAACAGCACAAGAAGTACGTAAGTATTAATAGAGAACAGAGAAAGGGAATGTTTTGCAAATGAATGCAGGCTGATAAAAAAGGCAACTTGTTTTCTTGATTAGACACTGAGACATGTCTTTGTCTCTTCGATACATTAATGCAATGCTAATGGAGAGGCCAAAAATAGGCAGAGGTTAGGATTAATGGCAATAAAATGTTAACAGGTCTTTAAGCAAAAAATCTCTATTTTTTTTGTTTTTGGAGACAAGAGTCTTGCTCTGTCGCCCAGGCTGGAGTGCAGTGGCGCGATCTCGGCTCACTGCAAACTCCACCTCCCGGGTTCATGCCATTCTCTTGCCTCAGCCTCCCAAGTAGCTGGGACTACAGGCACCTGCCACCACGCCCAGCTAATTTTTTGCATTTTTAGTAGAGACGGAGTTTCACTGTGTTAGCCAGGACGGTCTCGATCTCCTGACCTTGTGATCTGCCCGCCCCGGCCTCCCAAAGTGCTGGAATTACAGGTTTGAGCCACTGTGCCCAGCCAAAGATCTCTATTAAAATCAAGGATTTATAAGTACCACCATGGTCAGCATTGTTTCGGGGATTATTTTTGTCAGCAACAAACATAATCAGTTCATATTAGGCAGTTGGGCTTCAGGATCAGGTAAACAAGAAATCTGGATTAAAAATGTAACTTGGTTGCTGGTGAAAATGTAAAATGATGTAGCCACTTTCAAAAACTGTATGGTGATTCCTCAAATAATTGAACAGAATTACCATATGATTCAGCATTTCACTTTTAGATATATACCGAAAAAAAGTGAAAAGAGGTAATCAACCAGATATTTGAACACCAAAAGTACATAGCAGCATTATTCACAATAGACAAAAGGTAGAAGCAATCAATTGTTTATTAATGATGAAATAATCGACAAAATGTAATATGTACCTACCATGTAAGATTATTCAGTCTTAAAAAGAAAGGAAATTCTGACACACCATACACCATGGATGAACCATGAGGACGTTTTGCTGAATAAAATAATCCAGTCACAAAGGACAAAATTGTATCATTCCAATAATATAAGGTAACTAGAGTAATCAAATTCATAGAGTCAGGGAGCAGAGTGGTAGTTGCCAGGGGCTGCATGGAGTGAAAAATGGGGAGTTGGTGTTTACACAGAGCTTGAATTTGGGAAGAGGAAAAAGTTCTCAAAATGGATGGTGGTAATGGTTGCATAACAATGTGAATGTATTTAATGCCACAGAACTGTATATTTTAAAAATGGCTGGCTGTGTGCGGTGGCTCATGTCTGTAATCCCAGCA
Organism: Homo sapiens; assembly: GCF_000001405.40. Taxonomy (NCBI): domain Eukaryota; kingdom Metazoa; phylum Chordata; class Mammalia; order Primates; family Hominidae; genus Homo; species Homo sapiens. The sequence continues at coordinate 61,498,670 of NC_000012.12, read as the reverse complement.
CTTTGGGAGGCTGAGGCGGGCAGATCACCTGAGGTCAGGAGTTCAAGACCAGCCTGGCCAACATGGTGAAACCCCATCTCTACTTAAAATACAAAAATTAGCCGGGTGTGGTGGCAGACGCCTGTAATCCCAGCTACTCGAGAGGCTGAGGCAGGAGAATTGCTTGAACCCGGGAGGCAGAGGTTGCAATGAGCTGAGATCCCACCATTGCACTCCAGCCTTGGGGACAAGAGAGACTTTGTCTGGAAAAAAAATATGGCTGAAATGGTAAATTTATGTTATATTTATTATCCTGCAGTAAAAAAATAGTTTATATATATTATAAATTTAGAATCTTCACTGTAACAGTATGTGTCATATGCTGAAAGTAATTGCTTAGTAAAATAACACCAATAGCTAAATTAATTATGTAAAATTTATTATTGATTTTATAGTTTGGTTAGTATTTAATTTATAATTTTATTTAGGTTTTATACATTTAGAATTTATATATGAAGTTTATAACTAGTTATAGGTTCATATTATAACATTAAAAATATAGGCTGGCATTGTAAAATAAATATTGGAAACTCAGGGATTGGTTAAACTGGACTCACTATTATTTCTATACGTATACTAGTTGATAATATATGTATCTTTGTTAACAACTTACTGTTTTGTTAAGTTATAATGTAGTTCATCCATTGTGATGTTTGGGGATATTTAATTATGTCCTTTGTCTCCAAATTGTACTCAGGAGTTTAGTTGAAATGCCTGATATTTGGGATAAAATAGTTCTCTGGTTATGGTAGGTTTGCCAGGGAAGTTACTACCCTTAACTGTATCAGCCGGGTCCCCATTGATGCTGACCAGACACTAGTTACCCTAATGGTTCCTCATCAAAAATGTCCCCACTTACTGTGAACCCATCTTGTGAAAAGTTCCCTGCATAGTGCTTATGACTGATTTGGCTGCAGCAAATTGGTTGCTAACAAAAGTCTCCTGGAGGTTGCACCTAGAATTCTGATTGAGGTAAAGTATATTTGCCCCCCTAATTCTTTTCATTCTAGCAATCTAACCACAAAGTATAAAAAGGTAAACTTATCCAAGTGTGTGGGCCACTGTGAGAACCAAAATCTATTGGGAAAACCCTACTGCTAGCCAATCAGAAGTGATTGAGGCAGTTATTTAGAAGTAGTTTTTCAGATAGGTTTGTTGAAAATGAAAATGTTGAAAATGTTGCACTTTTCTTTAATGGCTTTATTTTTGCTGATGACACTGAGTAACCCCTGCAGTACAGGAATTACTCTAAGATATATTAGATTGTAAGTCTACAGACTTATTTGCCACTGATTTCGAATCAAGATTGTGCAGGTGACAACTTTATATGCAATAGGAAAACTAAGTGTTGGCTATCACATAGTAGATAACATTAATTCAAATGTGTGCTATTCTTCACCTTAATAATTACTAATTTTATCTAGGTACAAGTCAACTTGTGTTTTGGGAGAGTTTAGCTTTTATGCTATAATCAATAGCTATAACCATTTAGTTTCAAAACCAAATAAATATTGACCCTCTACTTTTCAAGGATTAGATTATAAAATCAGGTTTCTCATGAATCCATTTAGATGATAAGTAGGTTTAACACTGTTGATTCAAAATAAAAATAAATTTAAATCCTTAATGTGTCTCTGTGTATCTAAAGTCAAATGTACATTTGATTCTAATTACTTCTTCATCTGTATGTAACTAGTTTTCTGTATTTTGTTTCTTCAGCACAATGTGTGTTTTAAAATATTGTGCGGAGGGTCATAGATTATACAAGATAGATATATTCCAATTTTTTTTAAAAAAATTTAATAATATGAGGTATCTTAAGAGTATTGTTCTATTCCTGTCCACTTTAGTAGTATGGCCCTGTTAGTGGTATCTCATAGCTGAAGGCATAGAAAAACCTCATCAGATACATATTACTCCATCGTGCAGCAGGAGAACAGCAATTTGTTTCCTTAGAGCTGAATTCTCCCAGCTATGGGCTGAGTATTGTTTATTTTAAATACTTGATTTTACCAATTGTAATGAAAATGACTACTGATAAGAAATCTTGAGTGTGTTATCTACTGGCAGAAGAGGAGTAAAGAAAATAGGAAACTTTGCAGTTAGATGAATCATACTGCAGAAGTAGAAGTGGATTCATGCCTTATTACCTACCATAACCTTAACTTTATTCAACTGAAAAAATCCAGAATGATAAGTGATCCATTTGTAATTTAATGTATTGCTTCTCTCTCTCCCTCTCTTCATCTTTCCTTCCTTCTCTCCTTTCTTTACTTGTTCTCTTTTATTCTTTCTAATAGAGAAGATTTATTTTTAAAAAAACTATATTGTTGCATTGACAAAGACACTAGTATCTGTATTAACACTACATGTTTCACAAATTGGAACCCTTTACAGTTCATAGCAGGTAACCTGAAACAGCAGAATGGAATTGAATGAAAAGCATCTGCTTGGCTGTTAAAGAATATGAACTTCTGCCACTATATATCAGCAAGACCTTCATAGTGTCACCTATTCTTTCTGAGACTCAATTTTATAATCTATAAAATACTAATATTTGTCAGTGTTAATAGAAGCACTTATAAGAATTTCAAAAGTTATAGTAAATGCAGCTATTTAATAAATATTTATGTTCAGGGTACTTTGAATACAATAGCTCATTTAAATTTTACAACATTCCATTTAAGTTTCTGTAAAGGAGTAAGACAGGTTTTCTAAAATCTCATCTCTAATATGATATATTCTTAGGGTTGCTAGATAGAATACAGAAAGCCTGATTTAGTTTTAACTTTAAATAAACAAATGTGCCGGGCGTGGTGGCTCACGCCTGTAATCCCAGCACTTTGGGAGGCCGAGGCGGGCGAATCATGAGGTCAGGAGATTGAGACCATCTTGGCTAACACGGTGAAACCCCATCTCTACTAAAAATACAAAAAATTAGCTGGGCCTGGTGGCAGGCGCATGTAGTCCCAGCTACTCGGGAGGCTGAGGCAGGAGAATGGCATGAACCCGGGAGGCGGAGCTTGAGTGAGCCGAGGTCACACCACTGCACTCCAGCCTGGGAGACAGAGGGAGACGCCGTCTCAAAAATAAATAAATAAACAAACAAACAAATGTGGCACATATACACCATGGAATACTATGCAGCCATGAAAAAGGATGAGTTCATGTCCTTTGTAGGAACATGAATGCAGCTGGAAACTATCATTATCAGCAAACTAATATAGGAACGGAAAACCAAACACGCATGTTCTCACTTATAAATGGGACTTGAACAATGAGAACACATGGACGCAGGGAGGGGAACATCACACACCGGGGCCTGTCGGGGGTGGGGGACTAGGGGAGGGAATTAGGTTTTTCTCCTAGCATTAAGAGAAATACCTAATGTAGATGGTGGGTTGATGAGTGCAGCAAACCACCATGGCACATGTATACCTATGTAACAAACTTGCACGTTCTGCACATGTATCCCAGAACTTAAAGTCTAATAAGAAAAGTAAAAAAAAAAAAAAATAAGAGAAATAACATCAAACAGAAAATTAAAAAATTAATTAACAATATTGCATATGATATACTAAAAAAAGTACTAAAATATATTCATTGTTATCTGAAACCAAAATGTAACTGGGTGTTCTGTACTTTTATGTGCGGAATCTGGCAACCCCACATATGATGATTAAACATTTTATAGATAATCTGGATTGGAAGATGTGCATTTAGTCTCAAACACTAACTTCAACTTAATAAGATGAGATTGAGGTTAGAAATCTCTTGATGAGAGACAAGTTGCTAGAGAATATGAGGACATTGCCAAGAGGGAATGGGATAGGGCAAAGGGCAAAGGCACATTCTAAAGCTCTTAAATTCTAAATCAGCACTTCAGTATTTTGAGGTGATAATTTTTTCCCTTATTTTTTATTTTTAAAATTTTTGTTGTTACATAGTAGATGTATATATGTTTATAGGGTACACAAGATGGTTTTGATACAGGCATGTAATGTGAAATAAGCACATCATGGAGAATGTGGTATCCATCCCCTCAAACATTTATCTTTTTTTCCTCCTGTTTTGCAGTTGAGGAAAATGAGAAAAATAAGTTGTTCATGTGACTAATAAGTAGAAAATCAAAAACCAAAAAAACCTTGGAATTGAATCCAGGTCTCTTTGACTCTTAAACCTGAGGTTTTTTGTTTGTTTGTTTGTTTGTTTTTTTGGGACAGAATCTCACTCTGTCACCCAGGCTGGAGTGCAATGGTGCGATCTTGGCTCACTGTAACCTCTGCCTCCCGGGATCAACCGATACTAGTGCCTCAGCATCCCGAGTATCTGGGATTACAGGCACCCACCACCATGCCCGGCTACTTTTCGTATTTTTAGTAGAAAGGGGGTTTCACCATTTGGCCAGGCCAGCCTCGAACTCCTGACCTCAGGTGATCCACTAGCCTTGGCCTCCCAAAATGCTGGGATTACAGGTGTGAGCCATCGTGCCTGGCCTATTTTTTTTTAATTGCCATAAGATTTTTCATCTTTCAAAGGTAGGTGGAGAGGAAGGGTGATTCTTCCTTCTCTGATAGAGGAAGAATGATAAAGGTGATTGAAGATGTTCAGGAAACTTGAGATGAATTTGCAGCAAGATGAGGTAGCTCATATCAGAAGAACTCTAATCAAATTATAAAGTAGTATCATTACAGAAAGTCAAAATCGTAGGGCTGGGATTCAGAACTTAAGGAAAATAGAAAATGTTTGGAAATAGCACTGTGGATGCTATGTAGAAGTCAATTGAGATATTTCATGATCAACTGGTTTTGAGAAACAGCTAGTTGGAAGGGAATTATTAACTTTCTAGTCAGGGTGAATAACCATTTATGATTCTGTTAGGGTGCTATAAAGCTGTGCAGAGGAGGAGTATGGGACTAAGAGGGAGAGAAGTAAGATGGATTTTAGACAGACAGCAATGAAGATATCTAGGTGGAGATGTAGTCAGTTTGGAATTATATTGGAAAGAGCAGAATTAGAGAAAGATAGCTATAAAGGGATAAAAAAAACAAAGTGGAATAATAAAGTGACTACGTATTGAAAGTGTCCTATGTGTAGATATTTTCTCTACCTTGTCTGATTCTTCAGCAACCATATAATGCAGGTGTTATGGTTATTTGGGGAATGCCGTCATGCTAAAATATCTGACCAGTGTCATACAATTACTGATTATTAGAGACAAGATTGAAATGTGGGTGCCTATGTATATGGAGGAGGAACAGATGATACAATGGAGGAAAAGAAGTTTGTATTTAAAGGACCAATAGAAGAAGAAACAACAAAATAAATTTAAAGTAGGAGAATTAAGAGAGACCAGTAACTCAAAAATGTAGAGGAGAGATTTTCAAGAAAAAATTGATAAATGAAGTGTCTGTGTATGCATATGTAAAAAAAATGAGAAGTAGAGACATGATTTCTCCACCAAGAAGTCCTTTGATGGCCTCTTAGGGATCAGTTTCAGAGGGCTGGGGTTAGAAGTCACGTTACACAAAGTTGTAAATTAAAAGTGGGGAGGGTGATATGTTAAGTTTAGATTTTTCTTTAAAGATAACAAGTGTGTGTTGGTTGGGGGGACTGGAGCAGGCATAAGTCTCTTGCTTTAAGAAGCAGCAGGATTATAGTGACCATTCTGTGTATTAGTTTGCTATTGCTGTTTTAAGCTTAGTGGCTTAAAACAAGACAACTCTATTATACTAGAGTTCTGGAGAACAGGAGCCCAAAATGGGTTTCTCTGGGCTAAAATTAAGATGCCAGCAGGCAGTGTTTCTCCTAGAGGTTCAGAGAGAATTGGTTTTCTTGCCTTTTCTAGTTTCTGGAGGCTGTCTTTCTTAGCTCATGGTCCCTTGTTCCATCTTCAAAGCCAGCAGCATAGCTTCTTTAAACGTCTGGGTCTGATCCTCCTCCTTCCTTTATTTTATAAGGATGTTGTGACTATATGGATGTACCCAAGTAATCCAACACAACCTTCTCATTTCAAGATCCTCGAAGTAATCACATCTGCAAAGCCCCTTCCCTTTTACCACAAAAGGCAGCATATTCACAAGTTTCAGGAATTAGGATGTGCACACCTTTGAGGGTTGTTATTCAGTCTGTGATGCCTGACTTGCATGTTTGATAATGACTCTTCTGGGAAAAGCTTTGTTTTTTTCTGGAAATAACTCTTCAGTCCATTTATGTGGGCACTAGGGGAACTGCTATATTCTTATATGAACTTGCTCTCCTGATTATAATTAATTGATATATGTTGGGCATCTAATCCAGGTCCAGGCTGTCAATCTCTTGGAACCTCAAGAGAAAGTTGGCTGAATATAAATCTTGAGGGCTACTGGAAGCCATATATGTATCTCCTTTTCTGTTTGATCTACTTTGAGCTGGGTTTCTTCGTAACCAAAATCATCTGCATCAATTCAAGACTGGAATGTGGAAGATATATTAGAATGGGAGGGCATGCTTGTAAGATGATGATTAGGAGCTACTGTGGGTGGAAAGAATCTTTTCTAGTCCTATAGATCAGATGTCTGTGTTGATCATCTCAAACCACATTTCCGATTTCCTTTTACTAACAGTGGAAAAAGAAACTTTGTCCTTGGAGCCCATCCTTATGTTTCTTAGACCTTCCCTTCTGTTCTTCTAAATACAAACTGGGCAAAATTCCTTCAACGCTTCACAGAAGGTCAGTTTTTCATTTTGTCAGTAAAATTAGATGGTATATGTCATATAGTGCATCAATAAGCTTTACATCTTTTATAATCTAATTATGAATTTACAACATCTCTTATTTCCCCAGGATATCTTTATTATAGGTGTCCTTTCCCAAAGATTTCTTCCAAAAGATTTCTGAGGCTCAGAGATTTTAGTTTCTATTATAAGAAAGAACAGAATTGCTCTATTCTGAGTGAAAAGGGATTACATTCTTGAAGAAGTCTTTACAAAGTTATATATTTAATTATTTACCTTTATGTAATGACATCCCAGATGGTCAAGGCTCCACACAGTTTTTGTTAAGCCCAGTGAAATATACTAGGAATCATCAGATAGCCCTAAGTTTTCAGTAAATGCTTTTGTGGCTATATCAGTTAATGACAGAATTTTATTAAATATTTGCCCCACTTCCCCACACCATTTCTTTGTAGAAAGAGAAAGATACTGGACTTTCCAGGATTCCTGGCTCTGGTCAGTTCTACACATTTTGAAATTCTCATCACATTCACTCATTTAGTCATTTAAGAAAATGTTTGCTAAGAATATTCTATGGGCTGAGGATGTTGTGATGAGTAATCTGTGGTTCCTCTTGCTGTGGAATCTGTGGTTGAGTTGGACAGCCAAACAAGAAAATGAGTGCTAGAGAGAGGTAGATCCAAGTCCCCTCCAAGATGTGAAAACATTAGAACACTTTAGAAACAAGGAAATCGTGGGTTTGTTATTACCATACTGAGGGCCAATGATTGAAGAGAGTCCTGGGAAAGCAGATACAATGCAAAATTTCATCTGATCTTTGTGGAGAGTCAACATTCCAATGGTTATATGTGTGAGGACCAGAAAAGATCACTTCCATGGACTTAGAACCCTGGGGTCTTTCTGGTTCTTGGATATATGCTCAATGTTTTTTACTTCATCTTATTTTGTTATCAGGAGTGATTAGTGTGGGGATTTAATACAGACAAGCTGTGACAAGTTGTATGACCAATTTTCAACTGACAGTAGGGTAAGCTGTATAGGGAAATATTACTTGCAGGATCTTAGGAAACTTACTAAATCTTTCTTTTCCAATTCTCCTCTCTTATGAGATAATTAGATGCATCTGTTTTTATCCAGGGACATTACAGCTCCAAGAGGACCTATATTTAGGTGTTGGCAGTGTTTCCTATAGTGTCATCTGCACAAAACCCATCTCAAAAGTTGGCCCTTAAAAAAAGAGAGTTGTGAAATTGCACGTGAAGTATTTGTCTCGTTCTCCCACTGCATTTCATGTTGGAGAATTGCAAGACGTACTGTAAAAGAAAAAAAAATCTGTTTAGCATCACCTAGTGTTTCCCAAATTTATCTCACCAATGAGTCTTTTTATTTCTCATTTTGAATAATACTTATCAAAATTATAAGCAATTGGCTTTCCACAGATCTCAGTTTGGAGGCTCTCCAACAAGGAAAGAAAAAACATAAATGGAACACTTATTATGTAGCAATTCTCTGTATGAAGTTGGAAACACTTCATGACTCCTGCCCTCATTAGATTTACAATTTACCAGGAGAAAATGGACATGACAAATTACAAAAACACATTTTAAATAATAATTGTACTTGAACTCCAATGCAATGAGCTTTCTCTTACTATACATGTGTGGAAACATGGATGTGTAGGAATCATTTTATGTGTGTATTTATATACAATGTTGTTTAATCCTTATAGTGTCATTAGGAGGTGGATATTATAATACCTCTCTCTGCTGCTCATCAGGGGATCTTCTTAGGCTCAGCTAAACATTCAGACTTATAAGACTATTATAGGCCACATTTGATACTAGAATCCTTTGAAGGCTATGTATGATAGGGCCATAAAATGCCAGCAGGGAAGCATCATACATTTTTCTTCTCTGGGAGTCCATGCAGCAGTCCAGCAGATAGTGCAGGGATTAGAAAATGAGACTCACATCAAGAAGATGCAAATAGGCCTGACTTTGAAGCCTCATGTTCTACAGACGTCAACAGCTCTTGTAGCAACTCCACAAGTATAGTTTTTGGAAGGCTGATGCTAGTTATAAGAGCCTTTGCATTTATGAAAGTCTTTACCTATGGTATCATAAAATATTTATTGTACATTTATAATTCCTCCCTGTCCAGATGCAATTTACCATGCAAAAGTCATTTGGCTAGGGTTAACCATTGGCTAAATTTCCATGCTATGGGGAAAACAGTTTTGTAGACCCTTTCCTACTTGTAATGGTTGAGTAACTTGGCTAAGGTCACAGTTCTAGGAATTAGGGAGCAATGAGCTATCAAAGTTGGAACTAGGTCTGTCTAATCCTGAAAGTTAATCTCTTTCTACTCTTATAACATCTTTCACTAGAGAAGTGCTTCTCTGAGAGGCAGCAAGAGATAAAATAATAGAGAAACAGTAGATGTGGAAAGTACTAGGGATAATTTCTTCTCTGAAACAGGAGGGAAGGAGGAGAAGAAAGATTAATTTTTAGATAATTAAGAATTGACAATGTTATTTTCAAGATGTATGAGTTCTACGGTGGCAGGCATCAAAACATGCTAGGATCAGTTTTATCGATGAGCAGAATAATCTTTCAATATAATACATTAATGTCTAATTAACTTTAGTGAAAGTTAGTTTCCCAAACAGAGGAATAAGTGGCATTAATTTAAAATTAGAAAGTATAAACCCCTTATATAAACAATAGTTGAACAGTTTCAATTGTTTACTTTGTTTCCTATGTGAATGAATACCACAATTCCTTCACTTTACCAGTTATAAATATTTAGTAATAACCTGCTGTACAATAGGCATTCTTTAGAAAGTCCAATATGATTCACAAGGCCCTGGACAAAATAAAATATTTAAACTAAATAAATTCATTTGGTTTAGAGCCAAGGGGAAAATAAATATATGACAATAAAATTTTGTTTTTAAAAATGGTTATATTAGCAGTCATCTTGAGGTAGTATAGTAGAGTCTGCTCGTTTAGGAAAGTAAGAATCATTTTGACAGATTTGGTACTTTTCTGGGCACTGAGATGGAACATGCTACACGCGTACTATTACATTTGTCAGTGATTGCACAAAGTGCTCATGCTTTTTTCTGTATATTGTTATCTCAGTGGAGTTTCAATTGAGGAAATTAAATGTACATAGTGATTTAATGGGAAACAGAGGTGTTTAAAAATGCTGAAACGTGTATATTCAAAAGTGGCTTGGTTTAAAATGAAACTGCAGCAGTTTTCAAAATGGGATTCTTACTCTATTAAAATGCAAATAAACAATGTCTTTTTTTCCTCCTTTATTTCTGTCTTTTCCCCATACATTCTAGCTTAGTTATAACTTTCAAATTATTTTAGGTCTTATTGTTGAGACATGTTTTGTGTGTGTATGTGTGTGTATGCTGAAATTAATAAATTTTGAAAATATTATCTTTTATTTGTAGCAGGAGACTGGTCAGATAAAGTTCAAAACTGAATTTTTAAAATTACAAATAAATAGAGGAAATCCCTGGAAGAAATATAAACTACTGATGAAGGGGACATAAGCAAAGCCTACACAATCTAAAACAGTGACTTTCTCTGAGAATTGACAGCACTCACTCTACTGGATTGGAAGTTTAGGTGATTTCTTTGTATATTTTACTGTTTCTCAACTCACCAAAATTAAGTAACGAAGTTGAAACCCCTCTTTGCTGATTGTATAACAGCAAAGATGTAAGCAACTAAATTTAATTTCCATTCCTACACTATTTTTTTTTAACTCAAGATATCCTGTTTGTATCTATATAGCCCAGTTTAGTTAATTGCAGGCATTTTATTCTTGTTTCCAGATGGCTGGAAGCACTGAACTAGGTGTTAGAAAACTGCACTTGCAGATATGTAATTTCTGAGTCTAGGTTTCACTCTACTTTTCTCTATCATGCCCTCTGCTCTGGGTTGAGTGCTAAGTTGCTGCAGGAATACTACCCCCTGCTGTCAGTTGTGACTCCTCTGATTGATTCCTTGTGAGCCCCTCACTCATGTCAGCATCCTCACATTGTTCTTCCATCCTACTTCAATATCTTTGCTAACAGTTTTTAAAATCATGATTTATTGAAACTGTTTCCAATAATGCAGTAGGTGAACCTTCTGAAATATAACCTCCCAAATGGTGGCATAACTATTGCCAGAAGTAGATGAGTCCAGAGCAGGGTGCCAAAATTTCCTGGACTCATGTATTGGTGCAAATGGCATCCACCTCAGAGGGGTGTCTTGGAGTCTCTTGTCTCGTTCTTCCTCTCTCTCTTTCCCTCTGTTTCTCTTTCAATTTTTCTACCACCATGCTCTGCTTCCAAGGATTCAGACTGCATTCTTTAAGATATAGGCAAGGTTCTTCTGTTTCTCTGTGATATTACAGCAGAAGAGGCAACAGATTATTCCTGTTCTTTTTTTAAAAAAAGTTTATTTTTAATTGTGTAGGTACATTCATAGGTGTATATATTGATGGGGTACATGACATTTTGATACAGGCATACAGTGTATAATAATGACATCATGGTAAATGTGGTATCTCATTTTGGTTCTTACAATATTTGAGTGTGATGGAAAAATTTAGATCCTTCATACTTTCCAGAGGGAAATAACTATAAAACAAAAGAAAAATCCTTATTATGCTAGTTTTGACTGCCTCTTTTAGATATCCTTTTATTCATTGTAAAGCAAGCCAGAGCTCCTTCTTTCCTATTTGTCTCACCAAAGCCTCATTCCTAAAAAGGAGTAGGGGATTGAAAACCCTGGCCTGCTGTATGTAAAAATTAAAAAAAAATTATAATGCTTTTTATTGTTATTTATTTATTTTGTAACTTTCATTTTAAGTTCAGGGGAATAAGTACAGGTTTGTTACACAGGTAAACTTGTGTCACGGGGGTTTGTTGTACAGATTATTTCATCACCCAGGTATTAAGCCTGGTATCCATTAGTTATTTTTCCCACTCCTCTCCCTCCCCCCACTCTCTACCCTCTGAAAGGCCCCAGTGTGTATTGTTCCCCTGTATGTGTTCACGTATTATCATCATTTAGCTCCCACTTATAAGTGAGAACAGTATTTGGTTTCCTGTTCCTGTATTAGTTTTGATCTCCAGTTCCATCCATGTTCCTGCAAAGGATGTGATCTTGTTCCTTTTTTATGGCTGAATATTATTCCATGGTGTGTATGTACCACATATTCTTTATCCAGTCTATCATTGATGGGCATTTAGGTTGATTCCATGTCTTTGCTATTGTGAATAGTGCTGCAATGAATATATGTGTGCATGTATGTTTATAATAGAATAATTTATATTTCTTTGGGTGTGTACCCAGTAACGGGATTACTGGGTCAAACGATATTTTTGTCTTAAGGTCTCTAAGGAATCACCACAGTGTCTTCCACAATGATTGACCAAATTTGCACTCCCATCAACAGTGTATAAGTGTTCCCTTTTCTCTGCCGGCATCTGTTATTTCTTGACTTATTAGTAGCCATTCTGACTGGTGTTAGATGGTATCTCATTATGGTTTTGATTTGCATTTCTCTAATGATCAGTGATGTTGAGCTTTTCTTTCATAAGATTGTTGGTTGGATGTATATCTTCTTTTGAAAAGTGTCTGTTCATGTCTTTTACCCACTTTTTAATAGGGTTGTGTTTTTCTTGTACATTTGTTTAAGTACCTTATAGATGCCGAAATATTAGATTTTTGTCAGATGCACAGTTTGCAAAAAATTTCTCCCATACTGCAGGTTGTTTGTTTACTCTATTAGTTCCTTTTGCTGTGCAGAAGCTCTTTAATTAGATTCTATTTGTCAATTTTTGGTTTTGTTGCAATTGCTTTTGACGTCTTTGTTATAAAATCTTTGCCCATGCCTATGTCCTAAATGGTATTGCCTAGGCTGTCTTCCAGGGTTTTTTATAGTTTTGGGCTTTATGTTTAAGTTGCTAACCAACATTGAGTTAACTTTTCTATATAGTCTAAGGAAGGGGTGCAGGTTCAATCTTCTGCCTATGGCTTGCCAGTTATCCCAACTCCATTTATTGAATAGGGAATCCTTTCCCCGTTGTTTGTTTTTGTCTGGTTTGTTGAAGATAGTTGTAGGTGTGTGGCCATACTTCTATGTTCTTGATTCTGTTCCACTGGCCTATGTATCTGTTTTTGTAACATTACCATGCTGTTTTGGTTACTGTACTCCTGCAGTATAGTTTGAAGTCAGGTATCATGTTGTTCTCTTTGCTTAGGATTGCCTTGGCTATTCAAGCTCTTTTTGTGGTTTTGTATGAATTTTAAAATATATTTTTTTCTAGTTCTGTGAAGAATGTCAATGGTAGTTTAATGAGAACAGAACTGAATCTACAAATTGCTTTGGGTAGTATGGCCATTTTAATGACACTTGTTTTTCCTATCCATGAACATGGAATGTTTTTCCATTTGTTTGTGTCATCTCTGATTTTTCTGAGCAGTGGTTCATAGATCTCTTTGTAGGGATCTTTCTCTTTGCTTTTAGCTGTATTACTAGGTATTTTATACTTTTTGTGGCAATTGTGAATGGGGATTTGTTTGGGATTTGGCTTTTGGCTTGACTGTTGTTGGTATATAGGAATGCTGGCAATTTTTGCACATTGAATTTGTATCCTGAGACTTTGCTGAAGACACTTATCAGTTTAAGAAACCTTTGGGCTCAGAAGATGGGATTTTCTAGATTTAGGATTGTGTCATCTGTAAACAGAGATAGTTTGACTTCCTCTCTTACTATTTGAATTCCTTTTATTTATTTCTCTTACCTGATTGCCCTGGCCAGAACTTCCAATACTATGTTTAATAGGAGTTGTGAGAGAGCACATCTTTGTCTTGTGCAAGTTTTCAAGGGGAATGTTTCCAGCTTTTGCCCATTCAGTATGATGCTGGCTGTGGTTTTGTCATACATGGCTCTTATTATTTTGGGGTATGTTCCTTCAATACCTAGTTTATTGAGAGTTTTTAACCTGAAGGATGTTGAATTTGATTGAAAGTCTTTTCTGTACCTATCGAGTTAGTCATGTACTTGTTGCCTTTTGTTCTGATTATATGATGAATCACATTTATTGATTTGCATATGTTGAACCAAACTTTCATTCCAGGGATGAAGCCTACTTGATCATTGTGGATAAGCTTTTTGATGTGCTGCTGGATTCAGTTTGCCAGTATTTTGTTGAAGATTTTTGCACTGATATTCCTCAAGGATATTGGCCTGAAATTTTCTTTTTTGTTGTATCTCTGCCAGGCTTTTGTATCACCATGATGCTTGCCTCATAGAATGAGTTAGAAAATAGTTTCTTCTTTTCAAGTTTTTGGAATAGTTTCAGTAGAAATAGTACCAGCTCTTCTTCTACATCTGATAGAATTCAACTGTGAACCCATCTGGTCCTGGGCTATTTTTGTTTGTTTGTTTTTCGTTGGTAGGCTATTTATTACTACCTCAATTTCAGAACTCGTTATTGGTCTGTTCGGGGATTCAATTTCTCCCTGGTTCAGTCTTGGGAGGATGTGTGCATCTAGGAATTTATCCATTTATTCTAGATTTTCTAGGTTATGTGCATAGAGGTGTTTATAATAATTCTCTGATGGTTGTTTGCATTTGTGTGGGGTCAGTGGTGTTATCCCCCTTATCATTTCTGATACTGTTTATTTGAATCTTCTCTCTTGTCTTCTGCTAGCTTTGGGATTTGCTTGCCCTTGGTTCTCTAGTTCTTTTAGTTGTGATGCTAGATTGTTAACTTGAGATCTTTCTAACTTTTTGATGTGGACATTTAATGCTATACATTTCCCACTTATCAATGCCTTAGCTGTGTCCCAGAGATTCTGATATGTTATATATTTGTTCTCATAAGTTTCAAAGAATGTCTTGATTTCTGCCTAAACTTCATTATTTACCCAAAAGTCATTCAGGGGCAGGTTATTCAATTTCTATGGAATTGTATGGTTTTGAATGAATTTCTTATTCTTAGTTTTAAATTTGATTGCACTGTGATTTGATAGACTGTATGTTATGATTTCAGTTATTCTGCATTTGCTGAGGAGTGTTTTACTTCTGATTATTGATTGATTTTTGAGTAAGTGCCAATTGGCAATGAAAGAAAGTATATTCTATTGTTTTGGGGTGCAGGGTTCTGTAGATATCTCTCAGGTCCATTTGACCCAGTGCTGAGTTCAGGTCCTGAATATCTTTGTTAATTTTCTGCCTTGGTGATTTGTCTGATATTTTCAATGGAGTGTTAAAGTCTCCCATGATTATTGTGTGGGATTCTAAGACTCTTTGAAGGTCTCTAAGAACTTACTTTATGAATCTGGTTGCTCCTGTGTAGGGTTCATATATATATATATGATAGTTAGCTCTTCTTGTTGAATTAAATATTTTATCATTATGTAATGCCCTTCCTTGTCTTTTCTGATCTTTTTTGGTTTAAAGCCTGTTTTCTCAGAAACTAAGATTGCAACCCCTCCTTTTTTCTGTTTTCCATTTGCTTGGTAGATTTTTCTATATCTCTTTATTTTAAGCATATATGTGTCATTGCATGTGAGATGGGTCTCTTGAAGATAGCATAGCAATGGGTCTTGGTTCCTTATCCAGCTTGCCACTCTGTGTCTTTTTATTGGGGCATTTAGCTCATTTACATTTAATGTTAGTATTGATATGTATGGATTTGATCCTGTCATCGTGATGTTAGCAGATTATTTTGCAGATTTGTTTATGTGATTGCTTTATAGTCTCACTAGTCTGTGTACTTAAGTGTGTTTTTGTAGGGGCTGCTAATGGTCTTATGGTCTCTGTTTCTTTTTTTTTTTTTTTTTTTTTGAGATGGATTCTCACTCCGTCACCCAGGCTGGAGTGCAGTGGTGTGATCTCAGCTCACTGAAACCTCCACCTTTTGGCTTCAAGTGATTCTCCTGCCTCAGTCTCCCAAGTAGCTGGGATTATAGGCATCTGCTACCACACCCGGCTAATTTTTGTATTTTTAGTAGAGATGGGGTTTCACCATGTTGGCCAGGCTGGTCTGAAACTCCTGACCTCAAGTGATCTGCCTGCCTTGACCTCCCAAAGTGCTGGGATTATAGGCATGAGCCACTGTGCCTGGCCACTAATGGTCTTTCATTTCCACATTTAGTGCTTTCTTCAGGAGCTCTTGTAAAGCAGGACTGGTGGTAATGAATTCCCTCAGCATTTGCTTGTCTGAAAAGGGTTTTATTTCTTCTTCACTTATGAAGCTTAGTTTGGCCAGATATAAAATTCTGGCTTGGAATTTCTTTTCTTTAAGAATACTGAATGTTTTATCCCAATCTCTTCTGGCTTGTAGGGTTTCTGCTAAAAGGTCTACTGTTAGTCTGATGGGCTTCCCTTTGTAGGTGACTTGGCCTTTCTCTCTAGCTGTCCTAATATTTTTTTTCTTTGATTTTGACCTTACAGAATCTGATTATATGCCTTGGGGATGATCTTCTCATGGAGTATCTGACTGGGGTTCTCTGCATTTCTGGAATTTGAAGTTGACCTGTCTAGCTAGGTTGGGGAACTTCTCATGGATGATATCCTGAAATATGTTTTTCAAATTAGTTCTATTCTCTCCATCTCTTTCAGATACACCAATCAGTCGTAGATTTGATCTCTTTACATAATCCCGTACAAAAAAATTTTTTTTCATTCGTTTTCATTCATTTTTCCTCTATTCTTGTCTGCCTGGCTTATTTCAGAAACACCATCTTCATGCTCTGAGATTCTTTCTTTCACTTGGTCTATTTTGCTATTTATACTTGTGATTGCATTATGAAATTCTTCTATTGTGTTTTTCAGCTCTTTCAGGTTGGTTACATTCTTCTCTATACTGGTTATTTTGTCTGTCAGCTCTTTCAGTGTTTTATCACAATTTTTAGCTTCTTTGCATTTTATACAGTGTTCAAACCCGGCAGCAGACAATAACATCCTAGCAGAATTCTAAAAACTGTTTATCGTACTAAAGAAGCTCCACTCATTTATCTCAGCAGCCAACTTCTCACCCCAGCAGTGGTTAGTGAGTGAACCGACCATTTTCTCATTTCCAGCCATCTCCAGCCTCAGCCCAGTTCTAAACCCTTGCTGGAGAGGTGAGGTGGTCATTTGGTGGAAAGAGGGCACTCTGGCTTTTTGAGTTTTCAACAGTCTTGTGCTGATTCTTTCTCATCTTTATGGGCTTATCTACCTTCAATCTTTGAGGTTGCTGACCTTTCTATTTTTTGTTTTTTTTCTTTTAACAGCCTGGCCACTCTTCAGTAGGGCTGCTGCGGTTTGTTGGGGGTCCACTCCAGTCCCTAGTCATCTCCGATTTTCCAGTACCTGGAGGTATCACGTGTGAAAGCTGTGAAACAGCAAATATGATAGCCTGCCCCTTCATCTGGGAGCGCCAGGGAGGTACGGACCTGTTGCTGACCTGAATGCACCTGTAGGAAGTGGTTGAAGACCCTGGTTTGGAGGTCTCACTCAGTCAGGAGGAATGGAATTAGGGAACCTCTTAAAGAAGCTGTCTGGACATCCTTTTGTCAAGCAGCCATGTTTGCTGGGATACCACTTCTGTTCCTGGTTGCCTTGGGCTCTTGAAAGGCTGGAGGCTGGAAAGACTAAGTTTTCCAAACAGTAAAGATGGCAGCCTGCCTCTCTCTTTGGGAGCTCCATCCCAGGAAATTTCCAAATCTCTGTTGGCTAGAGAACACTGGTGGGGACGGCTGGAGGCCCCGGTTGGGAGGTCCCGCTCAGTGAAGAGAAATGGATCAAGGACCTGCTTAAAGAAGCAGTCTGGCCACGTTTTGGGAGAGCAGCTGTGCTGTGGTCGGGGATACGTTCAGCCCTTGGTTGGTTTGGACTCTCCAAAGCCCACAGGTTGGAACAGCTGAGTCATCTAAACAGCAAAGATGGCAGCCTATTCCTTCCCCCAGGAACTTTGTCCCGGGTAAGTGCAACACTGTTTCTAGTGACTGGCTGGAATTCTAATCCAGTAAGTCTTATCCTGTGATATGCCATGGAAGTGGGGCCTGCAGACCATCGCTGTTTGGCCTCCTGGATTTAACCTCTTTCCTAGGGGTATGTACAAAGGTCTAACCTCCCGCTATGCTGAAGTTGCAGTTACTTTTGCTGGGAAGTCTGGAGCCAGAGTTTGTAATGCTTCTGGGTCTCCCCACATGCCTGAGTGGCTGCTTTGCTTGAGACTCCACATTGCGCTGTGTGTCCGACTGAAGGCCCTGGTGGAGTGGGTTCATGAGGGGATCTCCTGACCCAAGGGTTGAAAGGGTCTCTGGGAGAACCGTGGTTTACCGAGGTCACACATTCACACACGGCTTGCCTGGGTGAGGAGGTTTCCTTGGCTCCGTGTCACTCCTGGGTGACCCATCGTTTTGCTTTGCTTTTCTCTGTTCTCCATGGGTTGAGTTGTTTTTATGATTAGTCCCAATGCAAGTATCTGGATGTTTCAACTGAAGGTCCTGTATTTACTCGTCCTTTTCATTTCTCTCCATAAAAGCCACATCATAGCTGCTTCTAGTCAGCCATCCCCACATGTTAAAATTATCCATTTTATCTGTCATCTCTAACTGTTGTAACAAATTACCCAAGAGCTTATAGCACAAAACAACTACTGTTTTCTTATGCTCATGGGTTCTGTGAGTCAGAAATTCAGAAAGGGGATAGTAAGGATAGTTTTTCTCTACCCCACAATGTTTGGGCAACAGCTGGGAAGACCCAGATTCTGCAGTGACTTGAATGACTGAAGGCTGGATTTATCTGGAGGCTTCTTCACTAACATGTCTGGATGATTCTCCTGGTGGTTTGGGCATGGAGAATTCATGGCATGGAGAATTCAAGATATTCAGACTTGGAGCTCAAGACTCCAAGTGCTTCAGTAAAACAATACAAAATCTGCATGGTTTTATGCAAACTTTCCTCAGAAGTCAAATAGTATTACATTCACCATACTCTTTTGGTTGAAGCCGTCACGACCCCACCCAGATTCAAGGAGAAGTGGCACAGACCTCATCTCTTGATGGACAGAGTGTTAAAAAGAATTCATAGCCATGTTTTAAAGCCACTACTCTCTCCTTTTGAAGAGTACATTTATTTCTGTTGGCTTGATCTTTCTGTCTTCCTAGCAACCAGGCAAAGTATAGATATGTCGAGAAATACCCCCACTAAATTATGTTCGGAATTGTCTATTTCCTCAACATTCATTTCACTTTCTTTGGTCTAACTTTTGAATACCTTTAATGTATTGCACTCTAAATTTCCAGTAATACCAAAGGGGAAGATATCATTAAACAGCAGCTTGGGGAAATTTTTTTCCGAAAAGTTGGTTGTTTGACTGTTTTTTCCAATATTTCAGTCACAATCTCTCTTCTAAGGACCAGACAGACGTGGCTGAATTGACAAGACCTCATCATTTAGGTCTTGCTTTAGCACCTTTGACTCTTTTAAATGGGAACCTCATAGAGTTTGTCTTAATAAAATGTAAAAAATAAATGCAAAATTACTTTCTAAACTGTAACAGATATTGCAAACTGAAATTATTATGAATATTTACATGTTTTTGCATACTCCATTCCTGATATTTACTATGTGAAGACGTGACTTATATTAGTTGTGGGAAAAACTCTTTGTCCCCTGAGCAATAATTGATTTTGTACTTATAGTGACTAATACTGACTTATTTCATAGTAATTTGATGACTACAAACAGGAAGAAAGTTTGACAAATATTGTTTTATTTTCTTTTATTGTTTATGCTAAGTTTTAGACTAATTAGGAAAAAGGGATACAATGTATACTTATAAATTTTGGAAATAATATAGTATTTACATATGTATATCATTATGTTAATAAAGTATAAATTGTAGTTAGTAAAGCAGCAAGAGGAAATTTTAATTGGAATACAACAAATAAATATTATGAATCAAAGAATATTACCAATATATAATGGGACTAAATTTTTCAAGCTTAGAATGCATGTACTGACAATAAAATATAATATTTAACACTGGGATTGAGTTGGAAAATGTGGGTTGTATCATCCACATAACTGTACAGAAGCATCACGTAATTGTTTAAATACATCTTCAAGAATACTTCAGGCTAAGCTAAATTTAATGTACAACTATGTTGATTTGGAGCATAGCTATGATTAATAGTAATACTCAGCTATATTCAGTAGCTTCCTTATGAGGGTTCAAAATTATTTCAGCATAATGCTATTAATTTTTATTATCTTGGGAGGGAAGTGCCAAGACTACACTTGACTATGAAAAGTTGACATCTAGAGATGTGCTATAATTTATTTTGTAAACATAGGTGAAAAATTTGGAGCAAAAACATATGCCAAGTTGTTTTGTTTTTTCAATTCAAATCTAGAATCTTGCACTTTCCTTTAAAATACTAGTCCAGCAAATATTTTTAGTTCCCTATTATATCATTCCAAGGAGAAGACTGTAGCTTTACTCTAGGATGTTCTCTAGGACTATGCAGGATCTTGTTTGTGAGCAGAAATAATGCAACTCTTAATTTTGTTTTCTCTGCCATCAATAAACAGAATGCATTACTGTATTTTTATGTTCCCATCTATTAAAAATATCTATGAAAATTAAGTAGGATATAATAGAATTATTCAGTGTATTATCTCTTGAATTTAATGGTTTTAACTCGATCTATCTTTGACAACTGATCTGATTGCCAACTGGATTGATTGTTAAGTTGACCACCCTGTGCTGGGTTGGAGTCCATTTATTTTGTCATATGTGGATATGGAGTAAGACAGATTGGCATTTATTTCACAAGGTTGTTGATTTCTTGCATAGGCTCAAATTGGCATTAGGAAAAGTTTTCTGTGGGTCAATGAAAAGAAGAAAATGCCTAAAGCACTCTACTGTAAGTAGGATAATTTTCCTTGTGTTCCTTTCACTTCCAAGATTTGTGCATTGCAGAACCATATACACTTCATGTGGTATTCTCATGAGGGCAAAAGTGTGATCATTGGAGACTTAGTCATCACTTTATGTGTTGTGTCCCAGAGGAAAACAAAGAGAGAAGTTGTTGCATATAAAGTAAGCCATGTCTTGAATTAGAATTTGTAATTATTTTTGCATAAGCCTGAGGAGAGACTATGTGTGGATTTTTTTTCACTTCCCCAGTACTAGGAATTGAATTGAAAGTGTGTGTGTGTGTGTTTGTTCACGTGTGTGTGCATTTGTGTATGTGTGTGTGTAAGTTGCCTTTATGTGAAGGATACAAAACCTTGTAAAGGGGAATAGAGAATAAATTCAAAAAAAAAACCAAGCATTTTTCTAAGATTTAAAAAATTGTTTTACAATTTTATATATCATAAAGATTGTCTGACGTACAAGAGTTTGATAGAAACAGGTTATAAAAAACATTTTACATATCCACTAAGATTAAAGATATTTTTAAATTATTACCAAAATTAATATTATATTGATTAAAAACATAATGATTATAGATGTTTCTCTATTTTTCAATAATATTTTTTTGCCTGAATTAATTGATTAATTCCAGTTGATGTGTTTTAATTATATTTATCCCCAACCCTTTAGTGCCTGCCTCTATTGTAAGATTAATCCCATTTAAGATGTTAAAATAAACTAAGAGATTTACAAATTAATTTTTTTGTGTAAGTATGTATTACTGTAATGGTAATGGTGGTATGTGATTCTGATATGTCCATAGAAAAAAGAAACAAGGAGTAATATGAAAATATGAATCAGTTGTAAGAAAAAGTGTTTATTAAGCAGCCACCCTGAGGACCTAGAACAAGGATATTTGATAAATTGTCACCATCTTTTCTTATATCTTTAATCAATACTCTTATTAACTAGTGCTACCTTTTATATATTAACTTTAAGTCAATCAACTTTATTTTACATTTCATTTTCACCTTCGCTAGGCAGAAAATAATGCTATTTGCTTTGTGTAGATGAAGTTTTGTATGTACAGTCCACATAAAATCCTCATTAATCACAAAATTCATTTTGTATTATAAAAACTCATCAAATAATAAATAGAATAATTGAGTCTTTTCAATTTTCCCTTTCAATTCAGCAGAATGGGCCAAAGAGCCCAGAGCACTGTGCTCTGCATTTTTCATTTGCGTCGAGTAATAGCCTCTATAGAAGAACTTGAGAGCCTGCTTTCCATTAACATTCTCCACAATTTCAATCTTTATCAGAGAGTGCATATTTGAATAGGCACAGTGTGTGACGTATGCTCTTATCGTTCAGCTAGACAAAAAGGGCATGTTCCCGTCTTACAGCTTGTATGTAGTTAAAGAAAAGAAAATAATGGGAAATCAATGATTTAAGTTTCTGATCTTTTATAATAAACATTGTTGGCTATCTAAGATGATTTAAATTCATTTAAATTCATTTTTAATTCATTTTTCATTTAAATTCATTTTTCTGTAATGATGACATAATTTTAAGATTCCAAACTTCTCTTCAAATCAAGGCCTAATGTACTGGTCAGAAGTGTAGGTTGTCTTGAATAGTGGAGACACATGCTTTTTGTAGAATTCGTAAATCTATACAGGCAGTCTCACAAGATCAACTATTTTGCTCAAAAAATATATATACATAGCATATATATTTGCCTTAATAGTTTAATAGAGAAATTTTAATTATTCTGTTAAATCCAGAGAAATTTGCAGAGCAGGTATATTCTAACAACTATTGATGGCTGGGCACAGTGGCTCAGGCCTATAATCCCAGCACTTTGAGAGGTCGAGGCAGGAGAATCTCTTGAAGCCAGGAGTTCAGCACCAACCTGGGCAACAATGTGATACCCCATATCTACAAAAACTAAATTATAATAAAATAATTAGCTGTGTATAGTGGCATGTACCTGTAGTTTTAGCTGTTTGGGAGACTGAGGCGGGAGTATCTCTTGAACCCAGGAGTTTGAGGTTGCAGTGAGCTGTGATCAGGCCATTGTATGCCAGCCTGGGTGACAGGGCAAGACCCTGTCTCAAAAATCCAATCAACAAACAAAAAATGATCTATCGATAATTCTAGACTCTAACCTTACAGAACATAATAAAAATAGGGGGAGAAATATTTCACTCATTAGCATTCCTTATAGGCTTAAATCCTTCACTGAGTTCCTTTGATATTAACACTGTTTGAGACATTGGGATCTGTTATCCCATGTCATAGACAGAGGGAGTTTCAACAGAGGTTAAGCTCAGTTGACTCAGTGTTGAGATGTTCTGTTCCAGAAGCTGTCATCACCTTGTATGTTTAGTAAGTTTGATGGTCTGATACCCAAGTGGCTACAGATTTCCACTAGATGATTTGCTGCAGTAGAGACTATGTTGCCACTATGGTACCAAATGAAGTAAGGTTTTAGTAATGTTTTACATGGTTTAAAACCCCATAGTGTCTATTTGATTCTTCTCTGTTTTCTTCTTTATTAGTCTTGCTAGCGGTCTATCAATTTTGTTGATCCTTTCAAAAAACCAGCTCCTGGATTCATTAATTTTTTGAAGGGTTTTTTGTGTCTCTATTTCCTTCAGTTCTGCTCTGATTTTAGTTATTGCTTGCCTTCTGCTAGCTTTTGAATGTGTTTGCTCTTGCTTTTCTAGTTCTTTTAATTGTGATGTTAGGGTGTCAATTTTGGATCTTTCCTGCTTTCTCTTGTGGGCATTTAGTGCTGTAAATTTCCCTCTACACACTGCTTTGAATGTGTCCCAGAGATTCTGGTATGTTGTGTCTTTGTTCTCGTTGGTTTCAAAGAACATCTTTATTTCTGCCTTCATTTCGTTATGTACCCAGTAGTCATTCAGGAGCAGGTTGTTCAGTTTCCATGTAGTTGAGTGGTTTTGAGTGAGTTTCTTAATCCTGAGTTCTAGTTTGATTGCACTGTACTCTGAGAGACAGTTTGTTATAATTTCCGATCTTTTATATTTTGTGAGGAGAGCTTTACTTTCAAGTATGTGGTCAATTTTGGAATAGGTGTGGTGTGCTGAAAAAAATGTATATTCTGTTGATTTGGGGTGGAGAGTTCTGTAGATGTCTATTAGGTCCGCTTGGTGCAGAGCTGAGTTCAATCCCTGGGTATCCTTGTTAACTTTCTGTCTCATTGATCTGTCTAATATTGACAGTGGGGTGTTAAAGTCTCCCGTTATTATTGTGTGGGAGTCTAAGTCTCTTTGTAGGTCACTCAGGACTTGCTTTATGAATCTGGGTGCTCCTGTATTGGGTGCATATATATTTAGGATAGTTAGCTCTTCTTGTTGAATTGATCCCTTTATCATTATGTAATGGCCTTCTTTGTCTCTTTTGATCTTTGTTGGTTTAAAGTCTGTTTTATCAGAGACTCGGATTGCAACCCCTGCCTTTTTTTGTTTTCCATTTGCTTGATAGACCTTCCTCCATCCTTTTATTTTGAGCCTATGTGTGTCTCTGCACGTGAGATGATTTCCTGAATACAGCACACTGATGGGTCTTGACTCTTTATCCAATTTGCCAGTCTGTGTCTTTTAATTGGAGCATTTTGTCCATTTACATTTAAAGTTAATATTGTTATGTGTGAATTTGATCCTGTCATTATGATGTTAGCTGGTAATTTTGCTCGTTAGTTGATGCAGTTTCTTCCTAGCCTCGATGGTCTTTACAATTTGGCATGATTTTGCAGTGGCTGGTACCGATTGTTCTTTCCATGTTTAGTGCTTCCTTCAGGAGCTCTTTTAGGGCAGGCCTGGTGGTGACAAAATCTCTCAGCATTTGCTTGTCTGTAAAGTATTTTATTTCTCCTCCCAAGACTGAACCAGGAAGAAGTTGAATCTCTGAATAGACCAATAACAGGCTCCAAAATTGTGGCAATAATCAATAGCTTACCAAACAAATAGAGTCCAGGACCAGATGTATTCACAGCCAAATTCTACCAGAGGTACAAGGAGGAACTGGTACCATTCCTTCTGAAACCATTCCAATCAATAGAAAAAGAGGGCATCCTCCCTAACTCATTTTAGGAGGCCAGCATCATCCTGATACCAAAGCCGGGCAGAGACATAACCAAAAAAGACAATTTTAGACCAATATCCTTGATGAACATTGATGCAAAAATCCTCAATAAAATACTGGCAAACCGAATCCAGCAGCACATCAAAAAGCTTATCCACCATGATCAAGTGGGCTTCATCCCTGGGATGCAAGGCTGGTTCAATATATGCAAATCAATAAATGTAATCCAGCATATAAAAAGAACCAAAGACAAAAACCACATGATTATCTCAATAGATGCCGAAAAGGCCTTTGACAAAATTCAACAACCCTTCATGCTAAAAACTCTCAATAAATTAGGTATTGTTGGGATGCATGTCAAAATAATAAAAGCTATCTCTGACAAACCCACAGCCAGTATCATACTGAAAGGGCAAAAACTGGAAGCATTCCCTTTGAAAACTGGCACAAGACAGGGATGCCCTCTCTCACCACTCCTATTCAACATAGTGTTGGAAGTTTTGGCCACAGCAATCAGGCAGGAGAAGGAAATAAAGAGTATTCAATTAGGAAAAGAGGAAGTCAAATTGTCCCTGTTTGCAGATGACATGATTGTATATCTAGAAAACCCCATTGTCTCAGCCCAAAATCTCCTTAAGCTGATAAGCAACTTCAGCAAAGTCTCAGGATACAAAATCAATGTACAAAAATCACAAGCATTCTTATACACCAATAACAGACAAACAGAGAGCCAAATCATGAGTGAACTCCCATTCACAATTGCTTCACAGAGAATAAAATACCTAGGAATCCAACTGACAAGTGATGTGAAGGACCTCTTCAAGGAGAACTACAAACCACTGCTCAATGAAATTAAAGAGGATACAAACAAATGGAAGAACATTCCATGCTCATGGGTAGGAAGAATCAATATCGTGAAAATGGCCATACTGCCCAAAGTAATTTATAGATACAATGCCATCCCCATCAAGCTACCAATGACTTTCTTCACAGAATTGGAAAAAACTACTTTAAAGTTCATATGGAACCAAAAAAAAGCCTGCATCGCCAAGTCAATCCTAAGCCAAAAGAACAAAGCTGGAGGCATCATGCTACCTGACTTCAAACTATACTACAAGGCAACAGTAAGCAAAACAGCATGGTACTGGTATCAAAACAGAGATATAGATCAATGGAACAGAAGAGAGCCCTCAGAAATAACACTGCATGTCTACAACTGTCTGAACTTTAACAAACCTGAGAAAAACAAGCAATGTGGAAAGGATTCCCTATTTAATAAATGGTGCTGGGAAACTGGCTAGCCATATGTAGAAAGCTGAAACTGGATCCCTTCCTTACACCTTATACAAAAATTAATTTAAGATGGATTAAAGACTTAAACGTTAGACCTAAAACCATAAAACCCTAGAAGAAAACCTAGGCATTACCATTCAGGACACAGGCATGGGCAAGGACTTCATGTCTAAAACAGCAAAAGCAATGGCAACAAAAGCCAAAATGGACAAATGGGATCTCATTAAACTAAAGAGCTTCTGCACTGCAAAAGAAACTACCATCAGAGTGAACAGGCAACCTACAAAATGGGAGAAAATTTTTGCAACCTACTCATCTGACAAAGGGCTAATATCCAGAATCTACAATGAACTCAAACAAATTTACAAGAAAAAAACAAACAACCCCATCAAAAAGTGGGCAAAGGACATGAACAGACACTTCTCAAAAGAAGACATTTATGCAGCCAAAAGACACATGAAAATATGCTCACCGGCCGGGCGCGGTGGCTCACGCCTGTAATCCCAGCACTTTGGGAGGCCGAGGCGGGCGGATCACGAGGGCAGGAGATCGAGACCATCCCGGCTAAAACGGTGCAACCCTGTCTCTACTAAAAATACAAAAAATTAGCCGGGCGTAGTGGCGGGCGCCTGTAGTCCCAGCTACTTGGGAGGCTGAGGCAGGAGAATGGCATGAACCTGGGAGGCGGAGCTTGCAGTGAGCCGAGATCCCGCCACTGCACTCCAGCCTGGGCGACAGAGCGAGACTCCGTCTCAAAAAAAAAAAAAAAAAAAAAAAAGAAAATATGCTCACCATCACTGGCCATCAGAGAAATGCAAATCAAAACCACAATGAGATACCATCTCACACCAGTTAGAACGGCAATCATTAAAAAGTCAGGAAACAACAGGTGCTGGAGAGGATGTGGAGAAATAGGAACACTTTTACACTGTTGGTGGGACTGTAAACTAGTTCAACCATTGTGGAAGTCAGTGTGGCGATTCCTCAGGGTTCTAGAACTAGAAATACCGTTTGACCCAGCCATCCCATTACTGGGTACATACCTAAAGGATTATAAATCATGCTGCTATAAAGACACATGCACACGTATGTTTATTGCGGCACTATTCACAATAGCAAAGACTTGGAACCAACCCAAATGTCCAACAATGATAGACTGGATTAAGAAAATGTGGCACATATACACCATGGAATACTATGCAGCCATAAAAAATGATGAGTTCATGTCCTTTGTAGGGACATGGATGAAATTGGAAATCATCATTCTCAGTAAACTATCGCAAGAACAAAAAACCAAACACCGCATGTTCTCACTCATAGGTGGGAATTGAACAATGAGAACACATGGACACAGGAAGGGGAACATCACACTCTGGGGACTGTTGTGGGGTGGGGGGAGGGGGGAGGGATAGCATTAGGAGATATACCTAATGCTAAATGACGAGTTAATGGGTGCAGCACACCAGCATGGCACATGTGTACATATGTAACTAACCTGCACATTGTGCACATGTACCCTAAAACTTAAAGTAAAATAATAATAATAATAATAAAAATAAAACCCCACAGTGTGATAATCAAAGAGACAGGAAATAAAAGGTCTTTCTTCTTAATTATAATTTTTTAAAAAATTAACAATAGAATAAATGAACAGTTAAGCTTGCTGTATTAACATTGCTGAAACCATATTTTACCAAAGAAATACACCTACTCTTGAGTTAATGCCTTTAATTATTTTCCCCAAAATGGGATGTGAGGCAAAAAAAAAAAAAAGACATTTCTTGAAGTGACCGTTATCATAATGAACATTTTGTATAAAAGCACAGTGTTGCTTTTAGCAAATACAAGCCTGACAGCAAGCCTTCTCTCTCCATATGATATGTGACAAAAATGGATGCTCTGGCTGCTGCTCTTTCCAACTTTCTCACTCTCTTTTGCTGAGCTTTTCTGCATCATTTCCAAAGATGATGTTTCTCTCTGTTCTATTAGATCTCCCTTCTTAAAAATCATTTAAGGGGGCTGGTTTGCATGAATGATGGCAAAAATAATTTTGGTAAATAGCACCTCATACATAGTCAACCTCATGTATGTTTACACACTTGAATACAAGTGAAGAAGGCAATGCTTGGTGGTGGATGCTGTAACTTGCACTACTGGGAATTTTTCTGCATTGGGAAAATTGCAGGATAAGCAGAGGGATAAACATTGTGCTATAGATTCAGAGCTTAAGATTTTGTTTCTGCTTTCTTATTGAGAAATTTTAAGTGGGTACAGTTATTCGGAAGTGCTATTCCCAAAATATCAATGCTTGTTAAGGAAAGGAAATTTATAGAGCTGAATGTCTATTTATAAGTAGACTTTGTTCTCCCTAATAATTGCTTCTTATTGTCTTAAATAGTCATTTCAGCTCTGGTTAAAGATGGTACATTTAACACTCACATTTACCTTTAGTTTCTGTAAAATCCCATTTTAAAAACAGCAAAGGCATTTATAACAAGGTGTAAAAGCACATCTATTAAAAACATTGGAAGCTGGAAAGTTGTGGTCAAGTGGTTACTCACTTAACAGATCAAAGAAAATGGTTCTGAAGCCAGTGATAGGGAAAGCTGATACACAATCTAAATTAGAAAATTTATTTAAGAGGGAAAGTTAGACAGCAAAATTCAGTCTAACTTAGCTCATTCCCACCAGACTGAACACTATGGAGTTTATTCACCAAAAAGCTTAAAGCAAAGTGGTGGATGGAAATACCACATAGAAAACTTTAAGTATAATTTTACAACGAAGGTTGAAATCCTTAGCCTTCTTACCTGAAGACAGATGTGCAGTCTTCAGGCAGGTAATCTGACAAACTCAAAATATGAAGGTATTGACAGCCAGGGTTCCCCAACGCAATGGCCTATAGTGAAGCCTACAAATGGGAAGACCCTTGTCATGCCGTTTCTGGTCATCTTATCAGCACTCTAGATCACAGCATAGAGTTGCAGATCACAAGACATTTAAATAAATGATCTTTGAATGGCAGATTCTAAAACTGACAAGCACAATAACAAATAATAAACTAGTCTTTTAGCACAATACGTATAGGGCTTACCTTATCCCACGCATTGTTTTAAGTACATGTGTTAGTCATTTGATATTCAGAACAACCCTATCATTTATAGTATTTATACATAATGGAATTGAGGAACTGAAAGGTTAACATTCCGAAGGTCACGTAACTAATAAGTAGTGGAGTCAGGACTTGAATGCAAATACTTAGTTACTGGACCCTATGCCAATAACTATATTACATTGCCTTTAGAGTAAATCAGGAATTTTAAGTGTGAAGAACATATTTAAAATATTATGAATATTTTCAAAGAGATAAAAGATACCATATCCATAAAATAAGAAAAAATATTCTATAGAAGGATTCACGTTAAAAAGAAATAATTAAAATTAAATAATTTCAATTTAGAAATTAAAAATATTATGGAAATCAAAAACTCAAAAAGGGGTAGGAGGAGAAGGATGAGGAAATCTTCAGAAAATGAGGCAAAGATAAAAAATATGAACATCAAGAAAGAAAATATTAAAAAATCAAAGAACCAGTCCAGGATGTCCAACATCAGAATGGTAGGAGTACCAACAGAGAGAAAATAGTAAGCAGAGAATAGAAAACCAAAGCAATAATTTAAAAAAATAAGTAGAAATGAACATCAGTTACAAGATTGAAATTTCCCTGACCAAATAGCACATTGCGTGAAAGTAGAACCACTGGGATACTCATCACTGTAAA
The DNA here is from genome assembly GCF_000001405.40 of Homo sapiens. Taxonomy (NCBI): domain Eukaryota; kingdom Metazoa; phylum Chordata; class Mammalia; order Primates; family Hominidae; genus Homo; species Homo sapiens. Next base: position 61,468,791 of record NC_000012.12, on the reverse strand, counting down.
ATTTCTGAACAGAACAAACAAAATTTCAACACTTAGAATGGCATTAGCTAGCTCAATAGCCACATTGGAAATTAGAAATGGAGCAATGGTTTGATAATTCTGATAAAAAATTATTTCCTATCTAGAATTTCAATTTATAACCAGGGGAAGATATGACATGCAAAAAACAGAACTCCAACACAGAAGAGGACAAAAAAAGTGCTCAAAATATCAGTGAGAGAAGTTCCTAAGAAAGTTGCATCAGGCTTAGAGGACAACCATTCAAATGTGAGTCAAGATGTTCTCGAACATATTTCTTTTACAAATGAAAGTAACGCAGTAACTGATTGTTTCAGGGTATCAAGGAGAAGTTTACACATTTTGGCCAGACTAAAGGGGTTAAATCAGTGGTAAGTACTTAGAAAGCTAAGCAAATGAGACAAAAAATAGAGAAAACAAAATATTGTACAGGAAAGCAAAAATAATCATGGTAGAGAACACAGTTCAGCTGTGACTATCATGAATATAGTAAAGTAAAACTGATAGAATATTTATCTTAACTAAATTCAGAGGTTGGGGGTTGGCAAATGTGTGTGTGAGGGGTGACTGGAGGACATTATTTACTCACATTGTGCCTAAAACTGGAAGTAAAATTTTAAAATCTCACTATGAGCAATTATTTAGAGATAAGGAGGTTAAATATAAAAAGATTTAGCTAAAAATAAATCCTCTGGCAAGAGAAAATGAGGACAAAAAGAGTGCTGTTTTTAAAGATCATCCTTGTAGAATTTTTTGACTTTTTAATTTACAGGTATACTTGCACAAAAAAAACTAAATTAATTTTTAAAATTTTACTCATGTTGTTATACCTAAAAGGTGAGACATGTTTGAATATTTTTATCATCGGTGCATAAGAATAAGAAACCCTAGTCATATCTACAATTCAGTGACTTGTTTATTTTTCTCAGAATTAATGTGGCTATTCCTTGCAATTTATTGTCAAAATCCTTCTCTGTCTATAAAGGTGTCTCTGGAGCTTTCGTTGAGGGCAACATCAGAAGTTTTTGCAGTTCCTTTTAGCTGGGCTCATAAGTACTTACAACTTATGACTATTTCCCTTGACATTCGGATGCTCTAATAATTTCACACATGTTTCAGCTCCCTCGTCTTCATGATTTTATTTTGCTTTCTAGATAGTTAAGTGAGCCGAGAGAAATGCTGGGGCGCTGATGTCAGGTTGGGTTTCCCTTCAACTGGGAGACATCTCACAAAGGTGAAGTGAGATTTTCTGGTTTTCTCCAAGATTATTCCCTCTGTTATAGGAAAATTTAAGAGTTTAGCATGAACTAAAATTTGAATTATTTCCTTAGCAAATAAAACACAAAAGTTTCTTATGACAGTGGTGAGAATGACAAAAGATTTACCTTTCCAGAAATAAATCTGTGAAAAAACAAAATAGGTTCTTTTCTCTGTAAATCTTAAGAGCAATTAATATTGTTAAAATGTTAGAAAAAGGCTGTTCATAATTCCAGCATCCTAACATGGTATTTACTTTTATAACTTAACTGCTAATCTTTTTGAAATTTGTATGCTATATAATTGCATACTAAAATTTTCTTCATTTATTTTTATTTTTTTCCGTTAACCTTATTTTTCTACATAGTATTCAAAATTGTAATTTTAATGTCTACACATTTCTTTTACAGTCTATGCTATATATTACTCAAAAAAGGTAGTATGTATGTGTGTTTTAAATTTATTTATTCATTTTTATTTCAATAGCTTTTGGGGTACAAGTGGATTTTGGTTACATGAATGAATTATATAGTGGCGAATTCTGAGATTTTAGTGTACTCCTCACCCAAGTAGTGTATGTTGTGTCCAATATGTAGTGTTTAAATCCAACCCTGTCTCCCATACCCCTCTTCTGAGTCTCCAAAGTCCATTATGTCACTCTGTATGCCTTTGTGTACAAACAACTTAGCTCCTGCTTGTAATTGAGAACACACGGTGTTTGTTTTTCCATCCTTGAGTTACTTTACTTAGAACTCCATCCAAGTTTCTGCAAAAGACATTATTTCATTCCTTTTTATGGCTGAGTAGTATTCTGTGGTGTATATATGCCACATTTTCTTCATCCACTCAATGGTCGATGGGCATCAGGTTGGGTCCATATCTTTGCAATTGTGAATTGGGCTGCGATAAACATGTGTGCATGTTCTTTTCATATAATGACTTCTTTTCATTTGGGTAGATACATAGTAGTGGGATTGCTAGATTGAATGGAAGATCTACTTTTAGTTCTTTAAGGAATCTCCATACTGTTTTCATAGAGGTTGTGCTAATTTACATTCCCGCCAGCAGTGTATAAGTGTTCCCTTCTCACCACATCCATGCCAACATCTATTGTTTCTTGACTTTTTAATAATAGCCATCCTTCAGAGCTTGCAGTGAGCTGAGATTACACCACTACACTCCAGCCTGGGCGACAGAGCAAGACTCCGTCTCAAAAAAAAATAAAAATAAAAATAATGGCCATCCTTGCAGGAGTAAGGTGATATCTCATTGTGGTTTTAATTTTCTTTTCCCTGATGATTAGTGAGGCTGAGCATTTATTTCATTTGTTTGTTGGCCATTTATACATCTTTTGAGAAATGTATATTCATGTCATTTGCCCATCTTTTGAAATGATTTTTTGCTTTTTCTTGCTGATTTGTTTGAGTTCCTTGTAGATTCTGGGTATTGGTTCTTTTTGGGTGCATAGTTTGCAAGTATTTTCTCCCATTCTGTGTGTTGTCTGTTTACTTTGATGTTCTTTTGCTGTGCAGAAGCTTTTTAAATTAAGAAGGTCCCATTTATTTATTTTTTGTTTTGTTGCATTTGCTTGTAGGGTTTTAGTCATGCATTTGTTGTCTAAGCCAATGACCAGAAGAGTTTTTCCAAGGTTATCTTTTAGAATTTTTATGGTTTCAGGGTCTTAGATTTAATTCTTTGATCCATCTTGAGTTGATTTTTGTATAAGATGAGAGAGAGGGATCCAGTTTCATTTTTCTACATGTGGCTAGCCAGTTTCCCCAGCACCATTTATTAAATAAGATGTTCTTTCCTCAATTTATGTTTTTGTATGCTTTATTAAAGATCAACGGGTTGTAAGTATTTGGCTTTATTTCTGAGTTCTATATTCTATTCCATGGTCTATGTACCTACTTTTATACCAGTACCATACTGTTTTGGTAACTATATTCTTTAGTATAACTTGAGGTCCAGTAATGTAAGGCCTTCAGATTTCTTCCTTTTGTTTAGGATTTCTTTGGTGATTTGAGCTCTTTTTTGATTCCATATGAATATTAGCATTGCATTTTCTAATTCTGTGAAAATTAGAAAATGTTGGTATTTTGATGGGAATTGCTTTGGATCTGTAGTTTTTTTGGGTAGTATGGTCATTTTCTTTTCTTTCTTTCTTTCTTTTTTTTTTTTTTGTTGTTATTGTTGAGACGGAGTCCCGCTCTGTCGCCCAGGCTGGAGTGCAGTGGTGCAATCTCGGCTCACTGCAAGCTCCGCCTCCCGGGTTCACGCCATTCTCCTGCCTCGGCCTCCCGAGTAGCTGGGACTACAGGCACCTGCCACCATGCCCGGCTAATTTTTTTTTTTTTGTGTGTGTTTTTAGTAGAGATGGGGTTTCACCATGTTAGCCAGGATGGTCTCGATCTCCTGACATCGTGATCCGCCCGCCTCGGCCTCCCAAAGTGCTGAGATTACAGGCATGAGCCACCGCGCCCAGCCAGTATGGTCATTTTCACAATATTATTTCTTCCAATCTATGAACATGGGCTGTGTTTCCATTTGTCTGTGTCATCTGTGGTTTCCTTCAGCAGTGTTTTGTAGTACCCTTGTAGAGATCATTTACTTATTTGGTTAAGTTTATTCCTAAGTATTTTATTTTTATTTATATCTTTTGCAGCTGTTGTAAAAGGGATTGAATTCTTGATGTGATGTTCACCTTCATTGTTGTTAGTGTATGGAAGTGTTACTGATTTGAGTACATGGATTTTTGTAACTTGAGACTTTACTGAATATATTTACAAATCTAGGAGTCTTTTGGAGGAGTCTTCAGGGTTTTCTAGGTATACAATCCTATCATTGGCAGACAGTGATAGTTTAACTTACTCTCCTCCAATTTGGATGCCCATTATTTTTCTTTCTCTTGCCTGATTGCTGTGGCTAAAACTTCCAGTGCTATGTCGAATAGAAGTGGTGAAAGTGAGCATTCTTGCCGTGTTCCAGTTATCAGGGGGAATGGTTTCAACTTTTCCCCATTCAGTATGATGTTGTCTGTGGGTTTGTCATAGATGGCTTTTATTAATTTGAGATATGTCACTTCTATGCCTAGTTTCTTAAGAGGTTTTATTGTAAAGGGATGCTGGATTTTATTGAATGATTTTTCTGCATCTATTGAGATGATCATATGATTTTTGTTTTTCATTCTGTTTTTATGATGTATCACAGTTATTGATTTGTGTATGTTGAACCATCCTCACATCCCTGGATAAAACTCACTTAATCATGGTGTATTATCTTTTTGATGTGCTGTTGGATTCAATTAGCTAGCATTTTGTTAACAATTTTTGTATCTATGTTCATCAGGTATATTGGGCTGCAGTTTTCTAATTTTTGTTAATGTCCTTTCCTGGTTTTGGTATTAAGGTGATGCTGGCTTCATAGAATGATTCGGGGAGAATTCTCTTTTTCTCAATCTTTAGGAACAGTTTCAGTAGGATTCATACCAGTTCATCTTTGAATGTTGTGATGGTTAATATTGAGTGTCCACTTGATTGGATTGAAGGATGCAAAGTATTGTTCCTGGGTATGTCTGTGAGGGTGTTGATAAAGGAGACTTACATTTGAGTCACTGGACTGGGAAAGGCAGACCCACCCTCAATCCAGATGGGCACAATCTAACCAGCTGCCAGCATGGTCAGAATAAAAGCAGGCAGAAGAACATGGAAAGACTAGACTGGCTAAGTCTACTGGCCTCCATCTTTCTCCCGTGCTGGATACTTCCTGCCCTCAAACTTCAGACTCCAAGTTCTTTAGATTTTGGACTCTTAGACTTACACCAGTGATTAGTCAGTGGCTTTCAGGCCTTTGGCCACAGACCGAAGGCTGCACTCTCAGCTTCCCTACTTTTGAGGTTTTGGGACTCAGACTGGGTTCCTGGCTCCTCAGCTTGCAGATGGCCTATTGAGGGACTTCACCTTGTGATCGTGTGAGTCAGTTCTCCTAATAAACTCACATATGCATCTATCCTATTAGTTGTGTCCCTCTAGAGAACCTTGACTAATACAAATGTCCAGTAGAATTCAACTGTGAATCCATCTGGCCCTAAGCTTTTTTACTGTTGTTGGCAATTTTTTTTTTTTACTGATTCAATCTTGTTGCTTGTTATTGGTATGTTCAGCATTTTTAGTTCTTCCTGATTGAATCTTGGAGAATTATATGTTTCCAGAAATGTATCCATTTCCTCTAGGTTTTCTAGTTTGTGGGTATAGGTGTTAATGGTAGTCTAGAATGATAATTTGTATTTATAGTGTCAGTTGTAATGTCTCCAGTTTTATTTCTAATCGAGCTTATTTGAAACTTTTCTCTCTTTTCTTGGTTAATCTAGCTAATGGTCTATCAATTTTTTCTTATCTTTTCAAAGAACCAGATTTTTGTTTCATTGATCTTCTGTATTTGTTTTGTTTCTATTTCATTTAGTTCTGCTCTGGTCTTTGTTATTTTTTTTCTTCTGCTGCTTTTGGGTTCAGTTTGTTCTTGTTTCTCTAGTTCCTAGAGGTGTGACATTAGGTTGTTAATTTGTGTTCTTTCAGACTTTTTGATGTAGGCATTTGGCACTATAAACTTTCATCTTAGCACTGTTTTTGCTGTATCCCAGAGGTTTTAATAATTGTGCCACTATTATCCATTTCAAAGAATTTTAAAATTTCCATTGCTAATTCAAAAATCATTCAGGAGCAGACTGTTTAATTTTCATGTATCCTTATAGTTTTGGGGGTTTCTTTTATAGTTGATTTCTAGCTTTATTCCAATGCGGTTTGAGAAGAGATTTGGTACGATTTTGATTTTTAAAAAATTTATTGGGTGTTATTTGGTGGCATATCGTATGGTCCATCTTGGAGAATGTTCCATATGCTGATAAGAATATATATTCTACAGTTCTTAGGTAGAATGTTCTGTAAATATCATGTTAGGTCTATTTTTTCAATAGTGCAGTTTAAGTCCATTGTTTCTATGTTGACTTTCTGTCTCAATGACCTGTTTAGTGCTGTCAGTGGAATACTGAAGTCCCCCACTATTACTGTGTTGCTGTCTCATTTCTTAGGTCAAGTAGCAATTGTTTTATGAATCTGGGATCTCTAGTGTTAGGTGCATATAAATTTAGGATTGTAATATATTCTTGTTGGATTGATCCTTTTATCATTATATAATGACATTCTTTTGTGTTTTTTTGCAGTTGTTACTTTAAAGACTGTTTTATCTGATATAAGAATAGCTACTCCTGTTCACTTTTGGTTTCCATTTGAGTGGAATATCTTTTTTTACCCTTTACCTTCAGTTTATATGAATTCTCATGTGTAAGGCAGGTCTCTTGAAGACAGCAGATATTTGTTTTCTGATTTTAAAATTCATTTTGCCAATCTCTATCTTTTAAGTGGGGCATTTAGGCCATTTACATTCAATGTTAATATTGAGATGTGAAGTACTGTTCCATTCATCATGTTAATTGTCATCTAGGTACTTTGTTTTTCTGTTGTTTTTGTGTTATAAAACAAATAGTTTGTATTGTTTTGTGTGTTTTTGTGTTATAAAACAAATAGTTTTATAGGCCCTGTGAGCTTTATGCTTTTAAGAGGTTCAATTTTGGTGCATATCAAGCTTTTGTTTCAAGGTTTAGAACTCCTTTAGCATTCAGAACTCCCAAATGCATTTCTTATAGGGATGCTCTGGTAGCAACAAATTCCCTAAGTATTTATTTTTCTGAAAATGACTATTTCATCTTCTTCATTTATGAATCTTAGTTTTGCTGGATATAAAATTCTTGACTGAGTTCTTCTGTTTAAGGAGGCTAAATATAGGACCCCAATCCATTCTTGTAAGGTTTCTGCTAAGAAGTCTGCTATTAGTGTGATAGGTTTTCCTTTTTAGGGTACCTGATGCATTTGTCTCATTTCTCTTAGAGTTTTTTCCTTCATGTTGACTTTAGACAGCCTGATGACTTGATGCCTTGGTGATGACCTTTTTGCAATCTATCTTCAAGGAGTTCTTTGAACTTCTTATATTTGGATATCTAAATCTCTAGCAAGGCCTGAGACGTTTTCCTCAATTATTCCCTCAATTAAATTTTCCAAATTTTCGCTTTCTCTTTTCCCTCAGGAACACCAGTTATTCTTATGTTTGGCCATTTTACATATCTCATATTTCTTGGAGACTTTGCTCATTTCTTTTGATTCCTTTTTCTTTATTTTGTCTGACTGGGTTAATTGAAAAGCATTTTCTTTGGACTCTGAAATTATTTTTTCTATTTATTCTATTCTATTGTTGAAACTTTCCGCTATATTTTGTAATTCCCTAATTGTGACTTTCATTTTCAGAAATTCTGATTGGTTTTTATTTAAGACATCTATCTCTTGACAAAATTTTTCACTGATACCCTGAATTGTGTTTCAATTTCTTTACGTTGGTTTTCACCTTTCTCTGGTACCTCTTTGAGTAGCTTAATAATCAACCTTTTGAATTCTTTATCTGATATTTCAAAGATTTCATCTTGGTTTCCATCCATTGCTGGAGGGCTAGTGTGATAATTGAGTGTGTTACAGAACCCTGTTTATCGTATTACCAGAATTATTTTTCTGGTTCCTTGTATTTTAGTTAGATTACTTATTCTAATTATTCTTGAATTTGTTTTTCATTTGATTTTTTAAAGTTTCTTTTTCCCCCTTAAGCATGTGGTTTTAATCTTTGGTACAATGTTTGTCCTGTCAATAGAGAGTACTGGCGAAACAGTATAGGAGGAAGGGTCTTCTTTTCCTCTTCCGGTTTCCCTCTTGGTAATATGGCATGGCTGCCTGACTCACAGCTGCCAGGTTTCTCTAATTATGATGTGTGGTCTCAGTGGGGCACATACTCCAGACTTTCATTGACACCTAGGCTAGCTGTTTTCTGCCCTCCAGTCCCAGCGGCAGCACCTCAGCAGTCTTCTCTGCCATCCAGTGGATCACAGCCCTATCCCCATCAAAGAGTTGAGATCTCAGCCTGGTGCAGTGATTTCAGTTACCATGAAATCATATTGCCATTTGCTAAGGAAGTTTTTATGAGCACTTTCAATGATCATAAAACTTACCTACTTCTCTGGCAATAGATTCTTAGACTAGTATACAAGACCACTGAAAGAATTTGCTCCTAAATTTAATGTCTTAGTTTTTCATGAGCTTTTTTATGTGCCAGGTCTTGGACATTTAAAGGCACTATCCCTGTTGCTGTTAGAGTGAAGGGGAGCATAATATTTTGCTGGTGGCCACCTTAATTTCCTTGTTTGCAACATACTTCCTGTATTAGCTAGTGAATAGCTTCCTCAGATCTTCAGGGATCACAGCTGAGATAAGAAATTTACTCACTGTGATTTCAAATTGTTTTCACCTTTCTATGAAGTGTTTTTTCCCTTTTTTCCTATTGTGATGGGACTGTGAATTTAAATGTTGTTAATTCTTTGATACATAAACCATGCCCTAAAAATTTATGATTAAAAAAAGTATGTGTGTATATGTATGTATGTTTTTATATATATGTGTGTGTATACCACATATGTATATATATCTTTATAGTAATACATGGCAACAGTTTTCCTCTTTACCATCTTGATGGGATATCAACCCCAGATTGTTTTATCAAAGAAATATATAAAAAAAACTTGAATTGATTGAATCTTTTTGAGCTTTGAGGTGTCACAAATATATCAGAGAGGTGTCACAAATATATCATACTTTGAAGTATGATAGCTTACCTGGGAGGTTAATTAATTAGCTGTGGTACTTCAAGGAGAGGAATGGTCGACAAAGGTGTGTAGGAACCTGCCTATTCAATGGAAACAATCAAGGGTAACCAGATGTGATATCCAGAAGAACTTTGAAGTAGTGCTGCCAAATCTACCCCCATCTTGTTTTCTTGGCATCTTTTCCTATTGCACAGTTTGTGCTTCCTTGTTTATTTCCTTTTTATTTTCATAATTAATTTTAGGCTTGTTCATTTTATGCCTTCCTTTTTATTATTATACTTTAAGTTCTAGGGTACATGTGCACAACGTGCAGGTTTGTTACATATGTATATATGTGCCATGCTGGTGTGCTGCACCCATTTACTCATCATTTACATTAGGTATATCTCCTAATGCTATCCCTCCCCACTCCCCTGACCCCACAACAGGCCCCGGTGTGTGATGTTCCCCTTCCTGTGTCCAAGTGTTCTCATTGTTCAATTGCCACCTATGAGTGAGAACGTGTGGTGTTTGGTTTTCTGTCCTTGCGATAGTTTGCTGAGAATGATGGTTTCCAGCTTCATCCATGTCCCTACAAAGGACATGAACTCATCCTTGTTTATGGCTGCATGGTATTCCATGGTGTATATGTGCCACATTTTCTTAATCCAGTCTATCATTGATGGACTTTTGGGTTGGTTCCAAGTCTTTGCTATTGTGAATAGTGCCACAATAAACATACGCGTGCATGTATCTTTATAGCAGTATGATTTATATCCTTTGGGTATATACCCAGTAATGGGATGGCTAGGTCAAATGGTGTTTCTAGTTCTAGATCCTTGAGGAATTGCCACACTGACTTCCACAATGATTGAAGTAGTTTACAGTCCCACCAACAGTGTAAAAGTGTTCCTATTTCTCCACATCCTCTCCAGCACCTGTTGTTTCCTGACTTTTTAATGATTGCCATTCTAACTGGTGTGAGATGGCATCTCATTGTAGTTTTGATTTGCATTTCTCTGATTGCCAGTGATGATGAGCATATTTTCATGTGTCTTTTGGCTGCATAAATTTCTTCTTTTGAGAAGTGTAGTAACCAAAACAGCATGGTACTGGTGCCAAAACAGAGATATAGACCAATGGAACAGAACAGAGCCCTCAGAAATAATACCACACATCTACAACCGTCTGATCTTTGACAAGCCTGACAAACACAAGAAATGGGGAAAGGATTCCCTATTTAATACATGGTGCTGGGAAAACTGGTTAGGCATATGTAGAAAGCTGAAACTGAATCCCTTCCTTACACCTTATACAAAAATTAATTCAAGATGGATTAAAGACTTACATGTTAGACCTAAAACCATAAAAACCCTAGAAGAAAACCTAGGCAGTACCATTGAGGACATAGGCATGGGCAAGGATTTCATGTCTAAAACACCAAATGCAATGACAACAAAAGCCAAAATTGACAAATGGGATCTAATTAAACTAAAGAGCTTCTGCACAGCAAAAGAAACTACCATCAGAGTGAACAGGCAATCTACAGAATGGGAGAAAATTTTTGCCTTCCTTATTTTTTACTCAGAATTGCATATCTTGTTGTAGTGGTTTTACTCCTTCTATGCTGTATTTTACATTAAAGCATTATCCTGTGTGCAGTATAAAAGAGTGTGTCTCAGGTGGAGATAAATTCATTATTAGTAATACACAGAGAAAATACATTTTTAGGACACTTTTATAAATGTGAGAGAATCAGTTTTCCTTTAGATGTCAGCATCATGGTCCCAGACCTAAGAATGTTAAACCAGTTTGCCATTTAATAAACAGAAAAAGCATAAGTATTTCAAAATACTTGACATATTTTAAATTTAAAATTGAAATAACTTATGAAAATTAAATGACCCAGCTTATTTGTGAAGGCTCTTTTATTCTTTCTTTCTTGTTTTCTTCACCTCTCTTCTATATTCTCTGTTCTTCCAATTCCTATTCCCTTTTCTTACTTTGTTTACATATGTATGAATAATACATGAGAAAATGACTATAAAAAGTCATTAATTGATGTCTATATGGATATTGCCGTAAAGCTGATATTTCCTTTGTATTAATAGGTATTACCAGTTTTTAGTAAAAAAAATATTATAACTACATTGTCTTCCATTTTTTCTTTTAGCTAAGGCCTATCTTTAATATTAACTTTGTAGAATGACACTATTAGAGAGGCATAGAGTCAAAATAAACAAGGTCTATTCACATATTAGGGCTAATGCACAGATAATCTATTCATGGGGGTATTTGGAACATGTCTGCACTCATTCTAAACTTCAATAGTATTTTGGTTATATACCTTTGGAGATTTGATTGATCATTGCATAATTCACCCTGATTTTAAATAGTTGATTTTTCATTAGTTTTTACCTTGCTTTTTGTTTTCCTATTTGGTTCCTTTGCCTCATTGTTCTGTGTTTTGGGCTGTTGTCACCTTTTCCCTTTTTCACATAAGCATATACACACTTTCTTGCATTTCTCTTCTCTTGTTTTTATTCTCTTTCCCCTTGGGATTTTTCAATGGCCAGGTATGCATCATGGTCCTGTAATATTTAATTGCAAATTTAAGCATGTCTGTCTCTGAGGTGTGAGCCAAAAAATAGAAATCTTGACAGACGTTTTCATAAGGGATTGCTCTCAATGTAGTATTTCTGTATCAGATCTTTTTTAATGAAAAGAATCAATAGCTTCTGATTTTGGTGTGGCAAGTGAAGATGTAGTGATGGGAATTCTGATTTTAATCAGATCTCCTTCATCTCTGCTTTACATGATAGACGTTCTTTGTTTGAGTTCAAGGTTATTTTCTCTTTGACTGAAAGAATTGTGAGACTACTTTGCCTTTCTTAATGTTTCTGGGATAGATTTAAAGAAAAAGAGGAGTAAGAATAAAAAAGGCTACACTTGGTTTCCTTTTGGAAGAAAATGTGATACATAGGGTGAGAAGACTATAGGGTTAATTTTCATACTACATATGAAGTTATACATCTTCTGAAAACAAGAGGAATAAAGCTATTTTGTCCCCCCTTCTGTGTACTTACTTTTAATTTACTTCTTGTTGATTTAGATCAGAAAAACATGACTGTCATTCATTTCACCCCTCCTTTTCTGAAGACAAGTGTTGTCAGTTATCATATTTCCAGTTCCTGAAAGTCTTTAAGAGTTCAACATAGGATGTGGGTTCAATGACTTTTATAAGGCATCCTGACAAAAGAATGTAGTCTGGACAAATGCAATTAGACAAATGTAACAAAAATACTCCTAATTTCTGTGCTTGCCTTTTTACTGACACTTGCAAACTTTGTTCTCTTTTTGTTCCTGTTTGGGTCTCATGTTAGTCTCTTACCAGACATGCTGCTATATTTAAGTCTGATCTCAATGGGGACAGGCAAATCCTAGATGTCGGCATACCAGCTCTATTAACTATGCTATCTGAGATATCAGACCCAGTTTTTTTCTCTGCCATTCCAGTGTGGGCTCAGAAAATTGTGAGATATCCTAATCAAAGACCTGGTATAAAACGGGATGGAATACGTTGCTCAATACAGATTAAAAATTCCCTTTTGTATGAACCTATGAGAAATGTGGTTTATATAGGGCTGCTTGGCTGTCTAAAGATTACACATTTTTAATAATGTAGTTCTTAGTAAAAAAACACCCTGTTTTTTATTATGGCATTTGATTTTATTTATTAAGTATTTAATAAGTTTCTAGTAAATGCCATGCGCTGTGCAAAGTGATACATACACAGTGGTGAACCAAACAGGTAACATTTTTGCTTTTCCTTTTTGTGAGTTCTCTTCCTTCTAACCCAATCAATGTTAGTTGGAGAATTACTGGATGGATAGAGCTTTGTTCTTCTTTATAGCATTGGCCACAATTGTAGTTAAATAATTCATTGTTTAATTAGTAGTTTTACATCTCTGTTTCCTAGTAATATGTTAAGTTTATGTAGATAAGTCAACATCAGTCTTTATTTCTACTGCATCCTCACTTTTTAGCTCACTGCTTTGCAGACAGTAGAATTCAGAAATCCATGTTGAATAAATGGCTAGATGAATTTCTCAGCCTGTAATTAATAAGGCTTAGACTTGCTGTCTGCATAAAATTTGCTAAAACAATGCTTCTATCTATCTATCTACTAACAGAAATGATACTTGAATTTTCTGAATAACCATATCTAGTCAGGATCAGCTTTAATCTGATGACCAGCCAGTAAAATCTTAACCAATACTCCATCAATAAAATTGCTAAATTAAGTTCCAAAGATAGCACTGAAAGTAGGAAGTAAGTTCTTTTGCTTTTAACCCAGCAGGCCTTATCACACACAACACAGATTCAACAGATGTACCTCCCGGGAAGGGTACAATTCCAAGCCCAAGGGAAAGGAAAGGTTTACAGTCTTCACCATATTATTCAGGGTGCAACATTTTCTGAAGGCAGAGAGGGCGTTAATTGTTGTTTTCAGTCTCTGCAGATCCCCAAAAGCTGACTTTTTCTTGTCTGATCAGAGAGGTCAGACATTTTATTAGCACCATGGTAGAATAATGGTAGATAACAGTCTTCCATTATTAGTACTGTGGTGGAATAACAGTCCCCCAAAGATATCCATGATCTAATCTCTAGAACCTGTCAATGTGTTAGGTCAGGGTTCCCCAACCCCCAGGCTATGGACCAGTACCAAGCTGTGGCCTGTTAGGAACCAGGCTGCACAGCAGGAGAGTGATGGTTGAGCAAACATTACTGTGTGAGCACCACCTCCTGTCAGATCAGCAGTAGCTTTAGATTCTCATAGGAGCGCAAACCCTGTTGTGAACTGCACATATGAGAGATCTAGGTTGCTCACTTCTTATGAGAATCTAATATATGATGATCTGAGGTGGAACCATTTCATCCTGAAACCATACTCCCCTGCCCCCACATCAGTCTGTGGCAAAATTATCTTCCATGAAACCAGTCCTTGTTGCCAGAAAGGTTGGGGACTGCTGTGTAAGGTTACATGGCTAAGGAGAATTAAGGGAAGATATGTTATTAAGGTTGACCTTGAAATAGGAAGACTATCTTGGATTATCCAAGTGGGATCAGTGTAATCACCTGGGTTCTCATTAGTGGAAGAGGGAGACATAAGAGAGAGAACAGAGAGATGTATTAGTCCATTTTCACACTGCTGATACAGACATACCTGAGACTGGGTAATTTATAAAGAAAAAGAGGTTTAATGGACTCCCAGTTCCAAGTGGCTGGGGAGGACTCATAATCAAGGCAGAAGGTGAAAGGCACTTCTTACATGGTGGCAAATGAGAGAAAATGAGAACCAAGAGAAATGGGAAACCCCTTATAAAAACATCAGCTCTCCTGAGACTTATTTATTACCACAAGAACAGTATGGGAGAAATCACTGCCATGATTCAATTATCTCCCACCGGGTCCCTTGCACAACTCATGGGAATTATGGGAGCTACAATTCAAGATGAGATTTTGGTGGGGACGTAGCTAACCATGTCATTCTGCCTCTGGCCCCTCAAAAATCTCATGTCCTCACATTTCAAAACCAATCATGCCTTCCTACTGTCCCCCAAAGTCTTAACTCATTTCAACATTAACTCAAAAGTCCACAGTCCAGTCTCATTTGAGACAAGGGAAGTCCCTTCCACCTATGAGCCTGTAAAATCAAAAGCAAGTTAGTTACTTCCTAGATACAATGGGGGTACAGGCATTTGGTAAATACAGCCATACCAAATGGGAGAAATTTGCCAAAACAAAGGGTCTATCGGCCCCATGCAAGTTTGAAATCCAGCAGGGCAGTCAAATCTTAAAGTTCCAAGATAATCTCCTTTGACTCCATGTCTCACACTTAGGTCACGTTGATGCAAGAGATGGGTTCCCATGGTCTTGGGCAGCTCTGCCCCTTTGGCTTTGCAAGATACAGCCCTGCTCCTGGCTGCTTTCACAGGCTGGAGTTGAGTGTCTGCGGCTTTTCCAGGCGCACACTACAAGCTGTCAGTGGATCTACCATTCTGGGGTCTGAAGGATGGGGTCACAGCTCTACTAGGCTGTACACCATTGGGGACTCTCTGTGTACTTCCAGTCATAATTGTTTGCATATCTATCTCCATGAGAAGACTGTGAGCTACTTGCGAGAAGGTGGTATGCCTTCTTTATTATTATTTCCCCGACACCTAGCATAGTGCCTGGCACTAGATAGGCACTATTCAATCACTGTTTGATGAATGATGGCAAAATGCGTAGTATTGACAATATAGTACTGGTACTTCAGAGAATGGGAAGATTGATATCGGTTAGAATGCTCACAGAAAGCCTCATGAAGAAGAAACTGAGGAGACTCTTGAAATAAGTGGGACAACACTACAATTACAGAATCTATATAAATAGAGGAAAGGAGGCAGGATGAGCTTGGCTATTTGCAGGGAAAACAAAAAGGATAAAGTGTAATGAGAATAGACAGTTTATGTTGAGAATATAAGGTTTGCTACAGAGAGAGAAAATGTATTGAATAGTATTGATACCACATGAATTACTTAGTATTTCTTCTGCCAAAAAGGCAATTTTGCTTGCCTTTTCTGACCCTTTTGAAGTCTGGGCTTTTTACTTTTCTGCAAGCTCTGCATATTAAATATTTTAGTACATTTGCAAATTGTAAGTGTATTCATTCTTTTTCAGCTTGTTTTGTCTGGAAGAAAATATTCCCTATTGAAATCTAATTTTGTTATTAACTTGGGCCATATCCATTGAGTCGTTTTTAGGTTAATTCTTGAAAAATTGGGTAAAAATATAATACTGTTTTGACATCTTTAAATACTTTAACAGTTTAAAAAGGATCAAATGGGCCGGGCGCGGTGGCTCACGCCTGTAATCCCAGCACTTTGGGAGGCCGAGATGGGCGGATCACAAGGTCAGGAGATCGAGACCATCCTAGCTGACATGGTGAAACCCCGTCTCTACTAAAAATACAAAAATTTAGCCGGGCGTGGTGGCGGGCGCCTGTAGTCCCAGCTACTCGGGAGGCTGAGGCAGGAGAATGGCGTGAACCTGGGAGGCGGAGCTTGCAGTGAGCGGAGATGGTGCCACTGCACTCCAGCCTGGGCGACAGAGCGAGATTCCGTCTCAAAAAAAAAAAAAAAAAAAAAAAAAGGATCAAATGGAGGAAATGATAAAGATGTTTTGAGATTCATATGATAGCAGTTATGACTTTTGGTATGCTAAGAATCTGTAGATAGAGCTGTATTCATTCTGTCAATAGGTGTTGTGTTAACAAATACTGAGCTCTTTTTTAACATTTGCCATTATTATGTGTCCCATAGGAATATTTTTTTAAAAACCACTTCCGGGCTTAAATGTCTGAACCTCCCACACTCTCTCACACTGAAGCATCTGCCTGGAATCTTTATTATTGGCCTCTCTTCCACATGCTAATGTTTATCCCTCCTTTGTTTCTCATATTAGACATCACTTCCTCACAGAAACCTGCCCTGAAACACCACATTCCTCATCTTACCAGGAACTGGAACAAACAAAAAACCCATTGTGCACCCTGGGCTTGTGACTAAAGCAGCAATGATCACACCCTGTGTTTTACTTGCTTACTTACTTGTAGGTATACTTTACTAGTATTTATTGTTATATCCTCAAAATGTAATACATTGTCTAGAACATTCAAAGCATTCGAAACTATTAATGAATGTTTAAATGAATGTTGAGTAAATTTTGCTATACTGCAAAAAAAAAAAATTCAACGCAATTTATTGGTTTGTGATCTAGTATATATTAGGCATACCATACTTGTTTTTTTAATGTTAAATATTTTTATGTTATAGATATTTATCTCTGAAGTTATCTCAAATATAAACAAATACATTAAAATATTTTTTGTATGTAACACTATAACTCAAGATATACATTGGGAAATATACTATATTTTATCTAGAAATTTCCTGAGAGAGTTAAGAAATATTGTGATTGACTACAGTTGCATGTTCTTTTGTCTCATATGTTGAAATATTATTATGAGGTACATTAGATAAAGAATAAGAACAAAGAAGTTAAACTAAAGTATCATTTATTTATACATTTTAGGGATATGTATGCCTTTTAGATCAAGAACCATCTAGCTATTTATAGCCACTGAAATGTGTTTAGTAATTTTCTGAATTATTGGGGCTCAGACTTAAGTAGTGTAGTTTTGTTCAACTAAGGCTGAATCAGATAGCTTGTTATGTAACTTCATAACCCATCCTCAAAAAGTGTGCAGGACTGATAAGAAAATAAACACTTTTCTAAAGTTCTGAAATAATACTTGAATAAATAAAATGCATATCTGGCGGAGAAATAAATGTATAAAATATTAATTTTATCTAAACAAAATTATAATTTAAATGTAATTTGAATCATATATCTACCAGAAATTTTTTGGAATTTTGTAAAATAATACTTGAGTTTGTATGAAAATTCACATGTGATAATATCTAAGAAAATTATGATGAAGTTTAATAAGGATAGAGTTTTTCAGTTATATGATAGATTATTTTATAAAGCTACAGAAGTTAATGCAGTGTGGTAGCAATACGGAATGTGGTCAATGAATATAAAAGAACAGAAACCCAGAAATAGATGCCAGTATATATGAGGATTTCACGTATGATAAAGATAACATTTCAAACTGTGGGTGAAAAGATGGGGCATTCAATAAATGGTTTTCAGACAACTAACTCATCTTTGGAAAAATAAATTAAGATTTGATTACAACCTCACTTCTTACACAAAAATAAATACCAGATAGAAAAGAGCTGTGTTTATTTTTATTAAATGTCTATATTGAAGTTTTTACTTTATTAAATTCTTTTCCCAAATTGCAAATGAAATTTGTATTCAAACTCTCATCTTTGTCTGCAATTATCATTTTTAATAACCTGATATATACACGATTTTACTCATGCTTATGTAAATATACACAAACATATAAAGCCGTCTAAATAGTGATGTTATTGCTGTATTGTTTTACTAAAATTAGATCATTCAGAGCACAATATTTTGTAAACTCCTTATCCCAGCAATATATCCTGAGTATCCTTTCATCTGAATACCTATTTGTTAAATACATACTTTAAAATAACTTTAATATTCCATGGAGTGAAAGCACCACCATTTATTCAATCATTCACCTACTGTTGTCTCTTTAGATTGTTTTCTTTATTAATTTTTTCTATGAGCAATGCTGCAATATATATCCATGTCTGCGTGCGTGTGTGTGTGTGTGTGTGTGTGTGTGTATTCTTACATACTAATCTTTTATTTCTATGGGAAATCAATTTATAATTTGATAATGAATTAGGATGTACATTTATCCATATTCTTGCTAACACTGGATGTTGCATCTTAAAATTTTTGCCAATCTGATTAACTAAAAATTATACCTTATTATTTCTTTTATTTGCATTTCCCAGGCTACTAATGAGTTGGGAAATCGAGTCACAGATTAATTGGCTATTTGAACTCTAACAAGTTAGAATAAAGCATCACTTATTTTTAAATTATAGAATGCAATTTGGATTAAGAGCCATCTGACTATTTCTGAAGTGCGTTTAGTAAGTTTCCTGAATTAATAGGGTTCAAATTTAACTAGTGTACTTCCTTAAGTTTGTTATTCTTCTGTGAAATTCTCATTCATATCATTTAATGACTTTATGTTTTTTCTTTTATTTCCCTCAATTTATAGACATTGGTTGATGTTAAAATTATTGACTCTGTATCTGTCCCATATTTTGCTAATATTTTTCCTAACCAATCATGTCTTTGAACTTTGTAATATATTTTACCATACTCTTTTTGTGTGTAGTCAATATGTCTATTTTTTCTACACATTTTGAATATTAACTTAGTAGGAAGCTTTTCTTCATTTCAAATTTATACTAATCATCTCCTGAATTTCCTTATAATGTAGAAGCCCTCACCGAAACAAATAATTGCCTGAACATTTGAGTTCCTCTCTCATCAATTAATATGAACCCTACAAACCAACTAGTCAATTAATTAAAATTCTGCCACACAGGCTGCTGGAGTGCAGTGGCACGATCATAGCTCACTGTGGCTTTGAACTCCTGGGCTCAACTGATCCTCCTCCCTCAGCTCCCAAGTAAACAGGGTTACAGGCATGAGCCGCTACAACCAGCATCAAGTTTTTTGTCTTAATTTGATTTTAATATATTAGTATTTTGTAACATGCTTTTATTAATAATATTAGGTATTTGAGCAAAATAATTTGTGGTGAAATTTCATAACAATTCCTAAAAATTAAATAACATATTATTCTTTAAGCTTATTAGATATATTTTCAGTTATTTCAAACATTCTACCATTATATTAATTGTTAAATTCCCCAAATTCCAAATTCGAATGCACAAGTATCTATAATTAATTTATAAGGAGGTAAACAAAGAGGTGCAAAAAAAATTACAAAAAGCTTGTGAGACATTTAAGACACCAAGCTTTTAGTTCCTGACACCGACTGCTCTCTGTGTGCATATATGTATATATAAATTCTTTAATTTTATACATGGATATTTATTTAAAAATAGTTTCTCTGAAGATCTGCCATTCAGGACTTTCACAGGATTCACTTAAAATTGAGAGCAGCACTGTTATAGCTTTTCTGATCTAGGCCACAGCTGTTCATTCAGCTCCAGTTTGGCACTCTTTCTATGCTTTTCATGTTGTGCTTCTCTTGGTTCTTGAAACATTATCTGCTTTAAACTGACATATTTCATTTTAGCCATAAAGTACTTAACAAATAGCTTCTACTCAACTTCTTAAGACTGTGGAGAATATTATTTTCTGCATCGTTAAAAAAATTAGCATGGCTGAAGATGTTCAGTGCTTACTGATAGATGGTTAACATAGCAGGGAATTAGTGGCAGTAGGTTCTGTTTATATGGATAAGATATTCACTTTGGCTTTGCTGAGGCAGAGGCTGGGGTTTCAGGAAATGGCAATGGACTGAGAACTAGAAGTTTAGACTGAGTAGGCAATGCTGAGTACATTCAGGGAGGTTCAGAGTCATAAGAGAAGGGTCAACCAGCATCAGAACATCCACAAAAATGTTAAGAAATCATCAGATTTTTAAATCCTCCAAACACTGGAAAACCTTAAAAGATGATAATAATATGTACATAAAGTCAGAGTAGAAATCCAGTCTAATTAGCAGAATGCTAAACACAAACTCAAACAAATAATATAATAGCAACAATCTTGTGATCCAGAGAAACACTATTTATGATGGCAAAGGTTATAAATATGTCCACCAAGCAGCATAAAAGGCAAAGATTTAGAATAATATTTATCCAAAAGTAGATAAATTCTCTTCTATGTTTACAGGGGTTGGAGAGTGGGAAGTTGGGGATCAACAGTGAAATGACCTTGTTTAATGGTAATCAACCTATTTGCTTCAACTTAGGAGGTAGTAATGAGTATTTTACATTATTCCTGGTGGGGCAGAATCTAGTTTATAAATGTGGCCTGCCCAGAGCCAGAGGTAAGGAGGCAGCAATATTTCAGCGGTGGGGGAAATAAATAGTTGGAGAACAGTTAGCTTTTTTTTTTTTTTTTTTGTTTTGTTTGTTTGTTTTGGGTTCTTGGTACTGAGAAGTATTTTTTTTTATTATTATACTTTAAGTTTTAGGGTACATGTGCACAATGTGCAGGTTAGTTACATATGTATACATGCGCCATGCTGGTGTGCTGCACCCACTAACTCGTCATCTAGCATTTAGGTATATCTCCCAATGCTATCCCTCCCCCGTCCCCCAACCCACAACAGTCCCCAGAGTGTGATGTTCCCCTTCCTGTGTCCATGTGATCTCATTGTTCAATTCCCACCTACAGTTAGCTTTTAATCAATAAATTATGACAATAATTTCTTATAAAGTTATTCTACTCACAGTAAAAATTCATCCAATGGGTTCTGTTTTAATGAAAACATATTTTCAGAGAAAATATGATTTAAAGATGATGGGGTAAAGTTGACATTCATTATTTGCCTTCCTGAGCATTACTCAAAAGCAACAAGAAATACCCAACACAGAAGAAATCTATTTTCATGAAACCAGGAGACAGCTGAAACTACAAAATACAAAATAGAAGGGTTAACAAACCCTGGGAGGACTGAGTCGGGAGGAAAGTGGAAGGATGGGAGAAAGGATACCACCTCTGCAGGGCTCCAGAAGACCTGGTGTGTGGTCCTGGAAGCTAGGGGCACTCCCTGAGTGAGTGGCAAAACCTAAATCCTGTGGTTACAACAGCACAAGCAGGATGCTACCTTAACCTAGTTAAACTTCTAAAAGTGCATGAGAAGGGACTTCCTGGAAACTCACACAGCCGTATCTGTGGGATTCCATCTCTCTCTCTGGGAAAAGCAGAGAAATCTTGGCTCTGTAATGGAGGCTACATGAACCTGCACACAAATCGTGGGTCATGAGGAAAATGCTAGCTAGCCAGAAACATAACCTTAGCCCATCTTCAAATATTTATTTGGAGCCTATTATGTGCTTTGTATTTTATTTCCAGAGAACCCCAAATGGATTTTGCAATAATCTTATAGACTCAGTCATAATTGTGAGCATGTCAAATGCCAAAACATCTAAAATTATTTATTTTTTAATATAGTATTTTTTCAAAATATATATACAGATAAGGGTAATGATTTCATTGTCTTTAGGGGAAAGTAAATATTTGCACAATATTGTTGATGATGGCCTTTATCATAAAAAGAAAATTTTGTGTTTGTAAGTGTGCATATGTATACACAAATTTTTTATAACACCTATAATTTTAAAATTCAAACAAATGACTCCTTACAAAGTATCTGTTGTTTATGGAAGAGAAATACAAATTGAATGAAAAAAAAAAGATGAAGTCTTCCTTTTGTAGCTCAAGTCTCAATGATCATGTCTCCATTCATCCATAAATATATCTTAAGTGCCTATTCTCCACATCTTTGAAGAAATAGAAGAAAAAAAATACTGCCCTTGGCTTCAAGAAGGTCACTACTTGAAAAATTAAAGTATTTGCATACATGCACATTATTAATAAGCATAATGCTTAAATATCAATATAAGATCTCTCACACAGTGATATAACAACATTTGTCAAAGAATCAAGATCTCATATCTTTAACACTATGCTCTTCATTCCAGGCAGTTTAGTCTCCTAATTCTCCTAAATAATGCATTTTAGTAAAGGGATTTAGAACTACCATGTTTCATTGAAGCTAAGATGTTTATTTGTTATAAGAGGCATCACAGTGTGAGAAATGGTAAAATGTAAAATAGTGCATTTCTAAAATACAGCAGGAAGCCTCTTGGGCACCTGAGGAATTCCCCAATGTTGACATAGTGCCCAGCTCTAGTGGGTTTTCTGAGTATTTTTTGACTGAATGTGATCACCTGCTTTCTAATCTGATCCTATCCACACTTAACCACACTCTCTTCAAATGTACCAAGTCTTATTATAAACATTTTACACGAGTCACTCAGCTTGTGATCAGATTAGAAAACTGAATAAAACCTATGATTTTCTTGATACAGTGCTTAAATAGAGGCCAGATTTTTTTTAAAAAAAATAAATATTGTACATAGTTTCTCCCTTAATTAAACATGTACATTTGCTGAATATCTTTAAGAAGCTGAACAAGAAAAGAAAACAGCCAAACTATTGTTTTCTAACTAAAATTTTGATAGTCAATGCAGTTTCTGTGACTTCTCATTGTCTCTAAGTATCATATAATTTAAACGCCTTTTGTCAAGTATGAGTTTCAGAGAGATACAAATTTTATATATCACTAGGAACTAATGCAAAAGGAAAAAAACTGTATGACTTATTTTTAAAATGTCAAAAGAGAAAAATAAAACTAGTTGTAAAACATTTTGTACTTGCATTTATTTAAAACTCCTAATAGAAAAAATTTCCGTTTATTTTTCTTGAAGCTCAAATCGTTCAATAGTACTACTTATTTACTTTGACATTCTGGCAGTACCTCCCTGAAATAGCTTAAAACCCTAGATAACTAATAATACATTATAATCAAGTTGCTTTCCATAACTATATGGAGCTCATTACTATGAAAATAGTTAACTATTTTAAAAAATGTTATGGCTTGAACTTTGATACTAAAAAGAGTTTCTCCGTGTGATTATTCATATAGAGTTGTATTTCTCTCCCGAAATCTAAAGTGGCTAATTTCTAACAAAGAAATATCTAATGGTTTGCTTGAGTGCACCATATAGAACCACAGAATTGTGATTGAATTCAATTATCACTTGTTTCCTTTCACTTCATGATGAGTGTATGAGCATTCCAACAATAACGCCAATTGTTAATACTAATATGCCTTTAGTGTATGAAGTTTGGGTATTTATATTTTAACTAAAATTCTGTAGCATGACTAAACAGGACAAGTAAGAAAAACAAATACATTCTTAAGATTAAAAAAACTAAAAAAATTATATTAGTGGTGCTTTTATTTTAAAAATATTTGTAACAAATAAGTAAGGTCAATTGCTATAATAGTGCCTTGAGAAGAATCAACTTTTTGTAGCTTCTACTGATTGCTCTGTCACATAGAGTATTAAACAGAAATAAAAATTAAGCAAACTGATTATCATTCTTGGTAACTGAAAAAGTTACAAAGGCAAAGTTCTTTAGAAGATGCTGATGTATGAGAAGTGATACACAAAATAAATCATATTTCCACAGCATATACTATCAGTTTTGACCGAAATATTCCTGGGAATTAATTTGGAAGGGCAGAACTTAATATCCTATTGCTAGAAAAACTGAGATCAAGAGGGGTTCTCAGTGTAATAAGGCCAAGGTATTCAGCATTATTTTTTAGACTAAACCCAGAACACTTACCTCAATTATTTAATACATATTCAGTCACAATGAATAGAGCCTAAGCAATAATATCTGAATATCTGATTCCTTGAATCTTGTTTTGAAATTTATTGTCATGTCAGAGTCCTAAGAAATAAACAGAAGGTAATTTTAATGCTGGTGAACCCCAAAATTGGGCTCAGCCTGGGAGGGTTCTTCGTTTCATGCAGGAAAGAATTCAAGAGTGAGCCAACAGAGTAAAATGAAGTGAATTAGAGCAAGTTTATTAGAGCAACAGAGTACGGAAAAATGGCCACTCCATAGACTGAGCAGGGCTAACCCATAGGCAGTGTGGCACTCATGTATTGCTGGCTAGCTATATTTATAGCTACTCCTTAATTATATGCTAAATAAGGGGTGGGTTATTTACAGGTTTTTAGAAATGAGATGAGGAGTTCCCAAACTGACTGAAGGCACCTCCTCTTTTAAACCATGTAAGGTAACTTCTAGGCATTGCCATAGCATTTGTAAACTGTCATGGTGCTGATAGGAGTGTCTTTCAGCATGCTAATACACTATAATTAGCATATAATGAGCCGTGATGGCAACTAGCGGTTGCTCTTGTCACCATCATGGTTTTAGCTGGTTTTGGCCAAGTTTCTGTTTTGATCAAATCCTGTTTTTTGTTTTTGTTTTTTTTTTGAGACAGAGTCTCACTCTGTCACCCAGCCTGGAGTGCAGTGGTGTGATCTCAGCTCACTGCAATCTCCGCCTCCTGGGTTCAAGCAGTTCTTTGCCTCAGCCTCCTGAGTAGCTGGAATTACAGGCGCCCACCACCATGCCTGGCTAATTTTTTGTATTTTTAACAGGGATGGGGTTTCACAATCTTGGCCAGGCTGGTCTTGAACTCCTGACCTTGTTATCCATCTGCCTTGGCCTCCCAAAGTACTGGGATTACAGGCATGAGCCACTGCGCCCGGCCCCAAATCCTGTTTTATTAGCAGGGTCGTGACTGGTGCTTGGGAAACAAGTCCTGCTGATCTCTTACCTCAATTTGAGGGAATTCAGGAGGCAAAATATAGTTCATATTTGTTTTGTGCCTCCACATTTAGAAGCAAATGAGAGGCCAGGCATGGTGGCTCACGCCTGTAATCCCAGCACTTTGGGATGCCGAGGTGGGAGGATCACCTGAGGTCATGAGTCAGAGACCAGCCTGGTCAACATAGTTAAACCTCGTCTAAAAATACAAAAATTAGCCAGTTGTGGTGGCACACGCCTGTAGTCTCAGCTACTCATTTGAACCCGGGAGGCAGAAGAGGAGCCGAGATTGCCCCACTACACTCCAGACTAGGTGACAGAGTAAGACTCCATCTCAAAAAAAAAAAAAAAAAAAAAGCAAATGAAAGCCATGTGCAGCAGGCAGAGAGATGGACATCAAAATGTCACTTTTATAACTGGTACGTTAAACTTGGCTCCATCTTCAAAATGCTTCCAAAATCCATCTACTTCTCACTACCTCTTCTGTGACCACTGCAGTCCAACCCAGCAGCATTTCTTGCCTGTCTTATTGCTAATAGACTCCTAACTGGTTTCTCTGCTTTTCTTTCCCGACCTTGCTGAACATAACAGCCGGAGTAAGTCTTTTACAGTGTCAGTGGCTTCCTTTCTTGTTCATAATAAAAGTACAACATCATTATAATGCCCTATCACCTTTCTACTCCTTACTTATTCACTCTGTTCCAGCCATCCTGGCCTCAGAGTTTCTGGTCCATGCCTGAAGCATGTTTCTGCTTTGGGTATTTGCTACTATCTCTGCCTGGAATGGAATACCCTTACCTGTTGTGCATATGACTGATCTCTCTCTTACCTCTTGGAATCTTACACAACTGTCACCTTCTCAGTAGGACCTTCCTCGTTGTTCTATATAACATTGCAGCCCTGCTTGCTACTATTTCCTTGCCTCATTTTCTCCATAGCATTTACCACCATTTAACCTTGCTGTCTATTTTGCTAATTCACTTTGCTCATTGTGTGTTTCATACTTGACTGAAATTCTTTGAAGGCATAGAGTTTTGTCTGTTTTGTTTAATGCTGTATCTCTGGAGTCCAGAACAGTGCCTGCCACATAGGACCTGTTCAATAAGGATAGATTTTTAATGGGAATCCATAAAAGTTCTATGAAATCAAAGGTGGTATGCGGGAAGAATGAGATGGAAGCTGCAGGAATAATTGGGTCTTCTAACCTGATATATTAGGATAATGACTACCAGCTCCCCAAGTTCATTCAGCAAAATTCTTGAACTCAAAAGAGCCTCCAATCTCAGCTTCCCAAAGTGCTGGGATTACAGGCTAAGGCATGGTGTGTGGCCTAGCAAAATTCTCAATGCCATATGACAAGTTTTGTAGTCAGCCAAATTTTCCAAATCCTCATCTCACTAGCTAATGCTCCACCATGCAACTCACTTTTTAAATGTCATTTGGTGACTGCTTCAATTTATTTTCTAGGGGAAATAATGGCTTCTAATATGAATTGAGCACTTACTATGCAATGTTTTAATCATTCGAGTATATCATTTCATTTAACATTATATCACACACTTTTACAATTAAGGGAAGAGACTGGAAGAGCATAAGTAACTTTCCCAAACAATGTGACTAGGATTTGAACCCACATTATCTTTCCTTAGAGCCACAGCTCATAACAATGCTATTATTCTGCCTCCTAATAGAAGCCATTTGGCGTGAACTCCAAAGTGTCCCTCTACAATCTTTCCTGTCTTTCTTTCCAACCTTCTTAACAGAAAAGTTGTTACTTCTTCTATTCCAGGCTAATAATCTCATTCATATTTTAGAAGCCCACTCCTCTAATTATGTCTTATATTATCTTGAATCATTAACACCTATCCTGTACACTGAATACTTTTAAGCAAAATACAGATCTTAGTGCTTCCCCTCTAAAAATAAGACAAAAGAAAACAAAAGTAGACAGCTTTTGATTCATCCTGCAGCTGTGAATTCTGCATCTCCCTGTGGTTACAGATTCTATTCTCTACTTCCTTTGGTATCATGTCTGAACTCTAGGTATAGTTCGTAGCTGAACTATATATCTTCCCTTGTCATTGGCATTTCCACATCAACTCTTATGTAGTCCAGCTTATTTTGTGCCCAACATTCTGCTGAAATTACTCACACTTCTTAAGTATAAATGAATATTCTTTGAGATACATTTTCTGCATCATTTGATGCTGGAGTCTCCCCTTTTCAAAGTCTTATCATCCCTTATATCCTGTGATCTCAATGTCTTCTAAGCTACTTCCTCCCTTTTTGACAGTTCTCCAGACTACTCTTCCACTACTTACTCCATTCACATAAGGGTGACCAGGGTTCAGTGCTCAGTTTGGAACTGCTCTCATTCCAGCTTTACTCTCTTTGGCATTCTCTTTGCTACCCCCACAGTTCAAATTTTATGACTCCTATTTATGACTTCCAATTTTATGACTCATATTTATGTCTCCAATATCCCTCACTCAGACCTTTCCCCTCCGGTCCACATCTATATTTCTCATTGCCTATTGGACATCATAATCTAGATGGTGACAGCCATCTCAAGATCAACATGTCCAAAAATAAACACATGCTCAATCCTGTCATCCTTCCTCCAGTTAAAAATATCCATTCTTCTGTTTTTCCTGTCTCCAACAATGTCTACTTTTCCCAGTCACTCGAATAACTCAGAAATATGATTCCCTAGGCCTCTTCCTTTGATTCACACCCTCAGTAAGTTGATCCTGAAACACAATCCTACCTCTCAAATATTTCTCTATTCTATTACCTCCTCTTCAGGCTTATTGGCAATGCTTAATTAAAGCACAGGTTATTTCTTGATTGGATTATTGTAACACCAAGCTTTCCTTACTGATTGGCTTAATGTTATTCAAGTCTCTTCCCAATCCATTTATCCTTCATTCAGGTGTCAGAGTAAATTTTCCAGAAATAAACTCTGCTCTTTTATACTGGCTCTTGATTGTTGTCCATCATGTCTAGGATAAAGTTCAAATTATCTTCTTGACAACTGTTGTGAGACCTTGGTTCTTGTCTTCCTAGTTTAAAAGAATTTAAACAAGAGACACACAGCAAAGGAGATGCAGCACAGAGTAATTTATTGTAAAAGAGAAAGAATACTTGAAAATTAAGTGCAGAATAGACAGTATACCCTGAGAGAGACAGAAAGAGAGAGTTCAGGGTGAGCTACCCATAAGGATGAAACAGCAAAAGACTGGCACTAGGAAGACTCACATTATGGGAGTCTTACCTGATTATTCGTAAGGAGCTAGAGATGTTACTAGCAAGCATGTTCTGGGTGATCCTCTGAGTGCACATGCGCAGTAGCTGTACATGCTTGTTCATACATCACATGTCTCATTAACTCTTAAATCTCCACCCAAAGGTGTGTCTTTTACTGTTATAATGAGCAAAGCGTAACTTTGAGGATGAGGAATATCAACATGCTCATGCCCTCTACAGGGGAAGTTCCCTACTGATGATAACTTCGCTTGAATGAGCTCAATTACAATGTGAAGGCTGAGGCTTACTATGTTGATTGTGTGGTCATCACAGTTGTTGCATCCTGAGAACATGGTTACTTCCTTGACTACCTATCCTGCCTTACTCTAATTGCCCATATAAACTCTAATTGCCCAGTTTAGTAGATCACTTCCCTACCGCTTTCCTGGCTTCATGTTTTACCCCCTCCCTAGTTTCACTCAATGCACACAGCAGACTCCACATAAGAGCATGTGTGCACACACAAAAACACATTTCATATGCCAGCCATACTGAAATAAAATATAGTTATCAGATGCATCAGATTCTGTTTCTATGCTGCATATATTGTACCTTATGGTCACCACAATATTTCTATTAGGACTGTTCCAAATTCTAAACATATAAATAAGTGTGCACAATTCAAAGATAGAAATATGCTATTATAAGTTTCTAGGCTGCTATACCACTCTGCTGTTTGTCCTAGAAAGAAGAAGCATTCCTATTTTTGATAGCCTGATTTTCAGTCCAACTTGATGTTGAGATGTGGCTCACAAATGATAATGGAGTTGTATTGTCTCTATAACCCCCTTG
The DNA here is from genome assembly GCF_000001405.40 of Homo sapiens. Classification (NCBI taxonomy): domain Eukaryota; kingdom Metazoa; phylum Chordata; class Mammalia; order Primates; family Hominidae; genus Homo; species Homo sapiens. The sequence goes on along the minus strand of NC_000012.12, from coordinate 61,439,717 downwards.
CTTTCTGATAGTCTTAACACATAGTTTTTCTTCCTCTGCCTTAGACTGTCAACTAATTTTGCAATAGAACTGCAATTCCAGACTTTTCTGCTATCATAAACTCTGTCAGTAACTACATTTAACACCCCATTCTTACTTATCAGTAGTAACTGAATTTACCACTCCATTCTTATCAGCAATAGGAGGAGAAAAAAAATGACTTATTATTGAGTGAGTGAAGCAAGAATATTTTGAGTGACTATTCTCCACTTCTGTAGAAACCGTGTTGCTAATTCAAATAGAAGATACCAGGATCAAAAATAGTAGACAACTCAAGTATTACTTCATAGCAAATTCACCCGCTTTTGATTTATCTTTCTTGTCTAAGGTCCAGAAGGATCAGAGATGAGACCTTAAATAGTCTGTAGCACTGTCAAGGAGAAAGCAAAGACCCAACTGCCTGCTAAGCTCCCCAAACTGGAGAGAGCCTTTTTCTTCTTCTTTTTTTTTTTAATTTGTGTTACTCTTTTTCACCAAGTGTCTTATTAAATGAAACAAAACTCATACAGTAGGAGTTGTGTTTGCTTCTACCAAATTCAAAAAATGGACAGTTTCACTCACATGATGGTTAGAGTTTATGCAAAGTCAAATACAGATTCCCTGCCATGGTCATTGACAGATGCACCCTTGCTCTCCAGATCTACTTGGGGAGGCTCCTTTCCTTAAAAGTTCAGTTTCCATATGGTCACTGCTTCTAGAGATCCTTCTCTGACTCTCTTATCTGAATTAGAAGACATCTTTCTGTGATCCCACTGTACCTATCATAACATTTAATATACAGTACCATAACTTAACTTTTCTTTCTACTCTACTAGGACATGAAGAAAGGAATGGGTTGTGTTCACCTCTGGGCTCCCAGAGTCAAGCTTTGTACCTGGAACACAGTATATAATTGTTAATAGATTGAAATGTAGCGAATAAAGCAAGGAAGTGGAGGATAAAAAGAGGGAGAGAGTGGGGATAGAAAAAAAAAAGAGGGAAAAAGGAAGTTAGGAAAATGGGTTTAATTAGTTTTCGGTACTGTACATCTCACATGTAAGCTTCCAACCCATGTTGACAGGTAAATTCATTCCTAACGTGACCTCTTGATGTTACAATGTTGAGCATTACTCCACAGAGCAAGGGGGAGCTGTTATCTTTGCCCTCCAGGGGAGTGTTATTTGAACAATTGGTACTAGTGATGACTTACGTTTCCAAGACAGTACAATGAATTAATAATCTTAGTTTTAAAAAATTCTTCAAATATTAGATGACATTTCATAACTCTACCAAAGCAACTGTTATGGTCAATTAGGTGAATAATTATTACTTTAAAAAGTCATTAAATGGTTTTAATGATGGACACTAATAGCTCCTTTGGAGCTGTAAGTTGGATCAATAATTCATATTTTAAAAACACTCTAAATACATATTTTTACATTAGATTATTAGAGATTTCTCAGTCAATATCTTCTGAAGAAATAGATTTAGATAGTTAGCAGTAGCAATTTTGTGAGTAGTTCAATATATTTCTATGCCAATCAAATATACCATTATAATTAAAATTAAACAACTGTCTCCCTCTAAGCCTCTCTGATTGATTATGGAAATAACTGTAGAAATGGAAAAAGTAGTAATTTCTTATCATGTTTAAAATTTTTTTAAATTTAAATATATTTAAACAATTATTATAATTTATCACATTACTCATTTTTAGTCAATTATTTCTTGAAAGAACTTTTAGAACATCTGAGGGGAAAAGCTAATCACTAAATAAAGGCAATTTTATATTTATTTAATAAGAGCTTTCAAATATGCTTTAAGTTATATAGTATTTTATGTAGAAATTTAAGATATGCTTTCTGTAAATAAGACATTGAGTCAAATTGAGGCAAATAATTTGGACAATTTCTATTTTATACAGCTGCATAATCCCTTTGCCTTCTTACCTAATTTCCATTGTTTATATATTTTTTTCATGGTGGTGGTTGTTCCTATGTTTCTATGAATAATGGTCTTTTTAGATTCAGCAGGCACTTATTGATTGCTTACTATGTGAAGAACATTTACAAATCTTTTTTTTCTTCAAACATTATTTACTTAGCCATCCCATTAACTCAAAATGTTTAATAGTATTATTTTTTAAAAATTCTCTGTAAAGAAATTTTGGCTTAGAGAACTTTTAAGTGACTTACTACACTCAGAAAGTGATAACAGAATTTGAATTTAGTCTTCTGAGCCTATGTTGAGTGTTTTCTCACTGATCCAGAGATACTCGTATTTACCATTTCTATATGACATAAACTTTGACAAAACACTGGGAATTACTGCCAAACGGATGAAAGACTCCAGATTTGGTTTTACCCCAAATTCCCTCCTCTTTGTTAGAACGATGGTAGTAGTATGTAGGAGACCAGAATGCCACTTTAGCTTAAGAATTAAGCTAAAGGCAATTGAAAAGAAGCAGACGTAAGAAGTGCTCTCTGCCCTCCTTCTATTTGCCTAAAAGCAGGACATAAACTTAAAAAGGCAATGTGTCCCTTCTCCCCTTTCTATCAGGAAAAGCAAAAGCTGATCATAGGAGATAACGATAGGCCATTGTCAGCCTGAAGACTACACCAGAAAAATCTACATAAAAACTGCACTAAGTTGCTATTATCTACCATTTATTTGTCTTCCCACAATTGGGTGCCCCACAGACTCAAAGTTCTTTTTCTTTGCCCTGTCAATTCTCTAAAAATGTACTGTTCTTTTTGTTGAATATGCCACATAAGCCTGAATTCAAAGCCACCTCTTTGAAAATTATTCATTCCCTGGGAATCTCTCATGTTATATGAAATGAACATGTTAATAAGCTTCTGTTTGTTTTTCTCTTGCTCATCTGTCCTTGTTACAGCTAAGAACTCAGAAGGTAGAGAGAAAATTATCTTTCCTCCTCTACTAATTGAAAAGGTAGACAGTACTGAAGATTTTTCAGACGTCTGTACTTCACATCTTAACACAGACCATTTTAAAGCTCCTGTTTATTTGCTTTTTCAAATGTCCAACCCTAGTTTTGCTTTTTAATACCTTTCTCTTTCCTTATATTTGCCATTCTTGCCTTAATCTGAGCATGCTCTGTCTCTCTCACTCTCCTTTCCTTCCCCTCTCCCCTTCTCTCTTTCTCCTTTTTTCCCTTTTTGTTTCTGCTGAGGTATGTATTCTTTCTTTTTCTCCTTTCATTTCTGCCCCTTATTCCTACTTTTCTCTTCTGTTCAGCTCTTATTCTCATTTTGAGGAGTTTATAATTTCTTATTTCTTCTTATGTAATAAACACAGTTTCTTTCTGTTATTTTCAAATATCAACAGTCAAATTAATCAAGGTCATTAAAAACATTGAAAGGGACCCTCCATTTAAAAGAATACTTCAGAAAGCAGTTTAGTGGCCCACTTATATTATTAAAAATAATCCTGAGTGGCTTAGTACTAAATAAATAGAGAGACAGGGAGAGAAAGAGAGCAAGAGAGAGATAGATGGGGAGAAGAGAGGGAGAGAGAGAGAGAGAGAGAGAGAGAGAGATTTTCCTTAAGAGGGATATTGCTGAAAGAAATCCTTTCATTTTTGTTATGTAATATTGATGAAGGTATGAAGAAATGTTAATGGCAATGCAAAATGGTATATTTCCTGATGTAAATGTTTCTACATGTGTTTAAGATTTTAAAAATTATATTTCCTTTACCCTGAAATTTCATTTCATTACTGTATTCTAAGAAGATGATTAGACAAATCACACAAGTGCATTTATCTAGGAAATCCATTAGAGCAGTATTTACAGGTAAAATTGGAAATAAATTAATTATCAGTAGACAACTAATTAAATAAATTATAGTACAGCCTAATCAAATATGCTGCATTATTAAAGTAAAAAAGTAGATTTATAGTTTCTCAATATGTATTTCATGACCTTGTTGCTTTTTTAAAGAAATTATGTTTCAAAAGAGTAGCTATGGCACAGTTCATTTTCTTTTTGATAAAATGTGTTTATGTTTGTGTATGTGTATGTATGTATGTATTATAGTTAAAATACATAGAAAAAGCCTAAAAGAAATGTTAACTGGAGTTATCTTGGTAATGATATTATACATACACTCTATTTTCTCTTTCATGTGTCTCTCAATTTTATAATTATATGTAAAAGGGTTTTATATGATTCTTTATAATCAGCAAAGGCATAAGTGCTAAAATAACATTAAAATTAATTAATTAGCAGCAAAGTATAAGTCTAAGAGACCTTTTCAAAAGCAAACAAGTGAAAGAAGGTTTACTCTACACAGAGATAACACAGCTATGTGTTAGATTGAATTCCCTAATACGAAAGCCTGAGATAATAACTTACTTGCCTGTAGTTTATTTGCAAAGAGATACCAGGGAGTGTGTGTGAGGGACAGTGGGACTGAATAGAAAAGGAGAGAGAACACAAGGACGCTTTATTGCGTTGTGTACCATGATGGGTAACTGGTGCTTAATCTCATTGCACCTTCTGAAGAGCCATAGAAAGTATGTCTTAAAACTGTCATCTTAGAACTGTCTGCCGTGAGAATAAAAAGAGGAGGAATCATTCATCTGTTCCAAATTCTGTAGTCAAGACAGGCTCTGCAGGTACTGACCCTTTCTACACTATGAACTGTATAAGTGCTGGCTAGATGACACTGAGTATTCCATGTTAAGACATCAGAGAAGACCTGGAATATGTCTGGAGTACAAGCCTAAGGGCAAGCATTGAAACCTACGTAAAACTGGTCAAATCACAGTTTTTCAGTAAGAAGTGAACCTGATAGGACCTGAAGTGTGCTTGTGTTCTTTATTAAATCCTGAATATCATGGAGTCCCCTTTATCTTGGTGGCCAAGCATAAACTCTGTGAGGACTTATAAGAAGTTTACTGGAAGAATAGATCCCATTGCTGCAGTTGATTAATAAGTGGTAAATAATATAATTCATCTTTCTTCTCCATTAGTCATTTTAGATTTTCCTCTCCAATGACTGGCACATTGTCTGGTTTAAGTATTTGCTTAGTGGGATAATCCCAAGGAAATGTTTTGTGGAATACTGTGCCAGAATATCAGGCATTCTCTGAGTTCTGTTGCTGCTGGCAGAAGAACCATGGGTAGGGAAAGTAAATACATATCCATAGTAGGTGTCTGTTTTGATAAATATATATCACTGTCTCCTCCAGGGTTGAAGGAGTCCATGTAGTAGACTTACTCTCAAGAGGTTGAGTAGTCTCCTTGAGAAATAATAGCATGTTGATGGCTCATTGTTAGCCTTTACAGCAGGAAATTTGGGCTTTAATTAGTGACATCAGCTAGATCAGCTTGATGAGAAGGAGCCAATGCTGCTGATCTCATGCAAGCCTCCTTCTCTGCCACCAATGCCATTCATGGGCCCATTGCACCAGCATTAGAGTGAAGAAAGAGGATGGCTGAGTCATTCTGCCTACATGGTTTTGCAGTGCCTCCTCTGTGTTGCTTGCTCTGGGGGTATTGACTTGACATACAAAGATCCTTCCACTTTGGGTCTTGCTCTTATGTCTTACTACATGCCTCTTCCCCAGATTTCTTTATCTTAGATCTTCCAATTTTGCTCTTTTAGGTCTTTTAGCTACCAGTCAGTGCTTTTGCTACTATCCAGGCCACTTCTTTGAAACGAATTCAGTAATCAACTGTGCTTCTCACAGCTCTGCCCACTGCAGGGACTTCTCTTCACCATTGTCTTTTAGGTCCACTTCTGATGGGGTTCTAGTATAGCAGAACTACATTTATAGCAAGTACTACATATTGTGCTGATCCATCTGCGAATGAGGCTAAGGTTGGTTTTTGAAAAATTAATTAACTAATTTTTTTTATCCTTTATTAGGTGGATGTAGGAAATCCCGCATAAGACCAAATGAGTTGTAAAAAAGTGTCAAGGCATCAGGGATGGGTAGAGTAGAAATGTGGATTACTTGTTCATGTGATTTATTTGCAATTTCTATAGTTCTTGGGCTCAATTCTAAGTGTATTGTATCTACTGTACAATGAATTGTTGCTTGGCCTACCTTCTGTGGTGACTTGGTGTAATATGGTATGATAACACCCAGCTTCTGTTGTTTTTTGCTGATCACATTCGCTTGTTGTCTAGTTACTAGACAGTTTTTTTTTTAGAGATCAATACCACAACAGAAACTGTTTTTTAAACAGTGAGTGGTTCTCTGGAAGAAAAGGTATGACCTTTCTCCAAAATCCTAGCAGTATGTCATGAAATTTTTCTATTCATACTTGTCAGAAACTCTACAGCATCCTCATCTACTATGGCTGCCATTAGACTGTCAAATCTGTGGGCCATATTGCCCAAATAGCAGGGCAGCAGGCAGCAGACCGAACCTGCTGAAAAGCCTTCTTATTCTCTAGGCCCCACTCAAAATTGGCAGGCCTCTAGGTCACCTGAAAAATGGGATAGAGCACTATTCCAAAGTGTGGTTATACTGCCTCCAAAATTCAAAAAGACTACCAAGTGCTTTTATCTTAAAGGCAGCATTTGTATAAAGTGCAACATTTTCTCTTTTTCCTTGGAGAAAATATCTTTATATGCTTCATATTATTGAAGCTCTGAATATATCACCAGTATGGTAATACCTATATATAGATATATGGTGTATAGGTATTATATAGATATAAATAATATATGTGTGTGCATACACACACACATACCCTTGCATATATTTGAGATTTATCTCTTACTTATTGACATCCATGTATTAAGATGCCTAGAGTGATTCCATATCTGCTCACCATATATCTGTTATAATGTCATCCATTTGCAAACAGCATGATATTCAGTGTAATATCAAGACAATTAAGGAATATATTGTGACAGAGCAAGAGAATGAATATGGTCATGGGGCAAGACAGTAAATATGCTTTCCTAGGTAATTACAAAGAACTGTGTTTGATCCTCCTATTCATAAAGATTTAGAAGAATATATTTCCCAGATCGATTGTTGCATACCTATTACAAAATGCCTTACTGTTCTGTTCCAGTGAAGATTTCTCATTTGGCATGGTAGCTGTGACTGGGGCTACTACCAAGAAAAACTTACGGAGCTCAGTATCATCTGCCATTATGTATTTAGTTTTTTGGGGGGCCCTGAAAGTCTATGATTGATGCTATGATGGGCATCACCACCCCTGAATCTTTTACAGCTTTGGTGGCATCATTAATCCCCATAGTTCCTTTGGGACATATTATTGCTTCTGAATTACTAACTTAATGGGTGAAGGGAGTTTCAGAGACTTCCTAACGGGGCTTCATACTATTTTCAGGTCAGAGTTGCTGCATTAACATGTACAATGGAATAAGAAAATATTGAGAAGCACCCAAGTGGATCACTTGTGTTCTACTCATATTTCTTCCTGCCTCCACTGTATAAAAACAGTACTATATACTGTTAGTAATTAGGGTAAACTGCCCCCCAAAAGAAGCTAGCTCCTCTTCTTTCACATTGATTTCTGTATGCAAGGAGTACAAAGTATCTTTGTAGCCACTATGACTTAATGAGACCCTTGCTATGTCCTTTGGTAAGATTGCACCCACTTTGGAAATGAGGCTTTCCAATCTTACACAGCCCACAGCTGTAGGAATGGTAAGCCTGGAGTCCTTTAATGGATCATTCAGGATAAGAACAAATCCTCATTCTATACCTTTGTTCCTGGACCCGTGGTTTCTTCTTATTGAGGAAATAATGCTGAATATAGGTGTAGTCTGCTCTCCTATTGCTATAAAGAAATTCCTGAGACTGGTTAGTTTATTCAAAAAAAAGAGAGGTTTAATTGGCTCACAGTTTTTCAGGCTGTACAGGGGGCATAATGCTGGCATCTGCTTAGTTTCTAGGGAGGTCTCAGGAAACTTACCATCATGGGAGAAGGCGAAGGGGGATGCGGGCCCATCTTACATGGCTGGAGCAAGAAGTGGGGGAAGGTGCTACACACTTTTAAACAACCATATCTCTATCTTATGAGAACACTACCATGATAACATCACCAAAGGGGGAAATCCACCCCCATGATCCAATCACCTCCTACCAGGCACCACTTACAACATTGGTGATTACAGTTCAACATGAGATTTGTGCAGGACACAAATCCAAACTATATCAAGGGGTCTCTGATTTAATACATATTCCATATACTGAAGAACAGTATTCATGATTTCAGAAAGCACCTCTGAACTGGCTGTGGATTTGGAAAGGCATTCCAGTGCTCTTATGAGGCCAGCTTTTTCTAGATGATACGGTATGTGACATAATCACTTGTTACTATTAATGAAATCTAGGAAAGGCACATGGGAGAGGAGAGCAGTGTGTGGACGAGAAGGGTTCATGCTGGGGAGAAAAAAGTAGAAATGGACTTCATCAACATTAGGATCATTTTGTTAGATTTATCTGTCTTTAATTGTAGCCACCTTTTTAATGCATTATGTGTTGTTTGTGTAACTGAGGCTGGTATGGGGATATAATGATAAAATGGATAAGCAAATTTTTGAAAAAGTTCAAATCGCAATCAAAGTTTCTATCCAGGAAGAATTTTTTAAATATGATGTCACAACTGAAGAGAGATGAATGAGGCTTCTAGGCAGGACCTAATTAATTCATAAACTAAGCCCTGAATAGCCAAGAGTGGCTTGCATTTCCACTTTATTCAGATGGTCATATAATCAGTGTGAGAATGTCAGAGTTTTCAGAAAGTTTGAGGTGATTGGTCTTGACAATGACTTCCAGAATTTCCACATTGTAAATATGATCAGGTAAGTGAAATGACAGTTTTCACTGAGTTTGGAGAGAGTCTTTCCATCATTTAGCTCTGCCTTGGGATGTCATAATTCCCATATCATTTAGGTCACCCTGCTTCACCGAAATTCAGTTAATTAATTGTGATTGGTTGGGATTTGAGCATTCACTAGAATTTGCATTTTTTGGCATCTAGAAGACAGTATCTGTAATGGCAAAAAGAGTACCTTGGGCTTTGTAAACAGAGAAGAAATAGCTCAGAAGTGTCAGAATTCCAACCCCATGTTCACCTGTACTGGTTCTACATTTATATCCTTTACCAAACAAACTTCCTAGGGGAAGTACTATCAGAGATTTTTATATAGTGTTGTTTGATAGAAAATAGTTCTCAGTGAATATGCTAGCAAATGTTTCTCTGAGACAAGCACACATGCATCAGTGGTCCCTTAAGATAGCTGGACAGATTCAGGAGTTGTTATGCCATTCCCTCATTGTATGTGCAGCTTACAGAAGTTTGGCACATCCACCGAAAAAAACATATATAAATGGCCTGACCTCATATTCAATGGGTCTAGCTTCACATTGTGTAAAGTATAGGCACTGCATTGAGCCAGATGACAGGCAACTGGGGCAGTTTCTTTCTGATGGCTGGTGTCGTATAGAAGCATGTTGCTTCATGGGGGCTCTAAGCATAGGGGGGTCTGTCCTTTCTCCTTTCCCCTGCTTGTTTGGTCTCTTAGAGTTTGTACCATTAGTGGGAACATGAATTCCATGATTACCCAGATTATCGTACGTATGAGAAAGCTTATTTGAATGTACTTTGCATTTTGTGAGGGAGTGCTCTGTAAATATCCAAGGTTCTATTTGCAGTATATTCAAGCACTCATTATTTTTCTGGTTTGTTCACATCCCACATAGAGCCAAACAATGTGAAAGAACAGTGAGTACAAACAAATAATCTATATGTTTTATAATACTTTATGTACATGTTTATGTTAGACCTTCTCTATAAATAAGATAGAGTACAGTACTTTGGGCCATTATGGATTCCATTATCCCCTCAAATACTGAGCAAGGAAATAATTCTCTTTTATCTAATGCGCCAATTGTAAAACAAATGGTGTCAGGAGTTTCATTTGTTCAGACGTGCTTGATGAGTAATAAGAAGGTGTTAAATTGAGTTTAATGGAAAGATTACTAGGAAGGTTGGCTCTTTATTGTGACCTGCAGGTTGTTTGCTTTCAATCCTCTGGTTCTGGCAGAGTTGTGGTAAAGGTGTATATTTCTGTATAGCTAGCTATTTAGACTTAAGTAGTGTCAGAGGCTTCTAGAAAGCATTTCTCTCTTCAGGCATTCAATACTTCAAATAAGCAGCATTTGCATCAAAAATTTATAACAAAAATATTAGGAAAAAAGCAGATGTTTTTCTTTAAACATTATTTGATTCAGTTATTTATTTTTAAAGGCATTAAACTCTTCTACTACTTGAAGGATACTTCTCCAAATATTTTGGATGGGTAAAAAGATGGTTTTTAAAAAAGAGTTTTATGTTTAACTGCGCGTAAGTTTTATTACAATGAAAGTGAATTAGTCTGCTACAAACCAGTTTTATAGAAGTAGCTTTGGTGGTTGAGAAATAACTTATTAGTGTTATTAAATTTACTCCTTAATAACGTATTGATATTTCTAATGGAAGTACTCAATATATACTAGGTTTTAGCTTTAAAGTATCCAAGAAATATTAACCATGAACAGATCATAGGCACTGTTGTTTTTGGAAGGCTACTGATGTTCTTGCATTTTAATTTACTAGAAACTGATCTTGAAAGAGAAATAAGTTATTAGATATAGTTCATTTTGTAACAAGCATCAAAATTAGTCATGATCTTGACCAATTCACAATAACAGAATAATCAGTTCTTCAAAAAGAGATCTCCAAACTATTAACAGTTTGATGTGAACATTATTTAAAATTGGAGGTGTGCCAGTTATCAATTTTTTTTGCCTTTCAGCTCTAAATTTACCTTTTGTTGCCCTGCTTGTGATATTTCTTCCTTGCCAGTTGTTTCAGTGTTAGGTTTTGCAGTAGAAGATGAAGGAGGGATGCTGCAGGAGGAAGGGAATTCTCTTCCCTTTGTGCTGTGCTCCTCGTCCTACTGGCTCCTGTGGTGCAGATGGGTATGCAAAGGGCCCAGTGGAAACAGCATCTCTGAGTCAGTTGCCCTGCAAGTACCTTGGGGCTGTATCTGGTTTCCTCACTAGCATCCCACTCAGGCATCTTTTCTGTGAGTTTCTTAGCATCCCACCCCCCAAACCAAGGTGACTTCCAGGCAAGCATTTCATGGGTGCCCCACACAGCATTCTGATGGGCTCAGCAGCATCTTCTCACTCCATTCCCCTCCCACCCTACCCCCAGCAGCTTCCAGTGAGTTCTGTTGGAGTCCACCCAACTTTCAAGTGAGTTCAACAATAGCACTCTGCCATGGGCAGCTTCTCCGTGAATTTCACTGACACGATCATATAGTTACCTGCCCACCAGCCTCAGCTCACTGACAGTGGACTAGCTCTGGCTCAGCACAGTGCAGTGAGTACCCCTTACCATTGGTGTGCTTCAACCTCACCTTCTCCAACAAGGTCTACACCGCAGCCTTGGGAAGGGGCCCCTTTCCAAGTTTGTGAAGTTTTTTCCCTTAGTACTTTTCTTCAGCTCTAGCATATTCTTTAGAATTTTCTTTCATCTCCTGGAGTAGCTAATGTCCTATCAGTAGTTTATTCATATTAATACCTCTGTGTTTATATTACTATATGGCTTCTGTCTCCTGTGTGGACCCTGACTAATATGGGGATTGAATAGAATGTGGTGGTAATTATAGTAGTTCAACAAAAGCTTCATTTAATCATTTACTACAAGAAATCTGTCATTTCTTAAAGTAAAGGCACTATTTAAAAACATTACTACATTTTAAAATGCTTTTGAAAACTAGGGGGAGCCAGATACGTTTAAAATAATAAATTTGTTTATTTTATTTTGGTTGAAATCTTATTTTCACATCTAGTTTTCTTATTTTCATACTGTTCATTATTATATATTCCTGTTTTTACTCTTCTAATATTTAATGTAAATCTTGTTTATATTCTATGATTACTTTGTATATTTGTGTTTTACTTGCCTTAAAACACAATACAATACTCTCAAATTAATGTTTTCGTTTTTCCTTCTAAGAGGACATAGTCCCATTTCCAAAAGTATATCTTGGCATTTTGATAAACTATTCATATATATACATAGAAAATGCAAGTTTTTCTATGTAAATATATTACAAATGATTCCTAATTTTCAGTCAATTGTCTACTTAATTTTAAAATTATTCTGACATAATATAAGCAACTCATTTATTTAATTCATTAGAGTAAGACTTTGTTTGCAGTGTTCAAAGATCTACACTGATTCTAAATCATAAATAATAAAGAATAAAGGGGCTAAAATAGTCTGCCTGGTGAAATGAAAAATTAGTTCCAAACATATATGGCAGTACATAGACAAAATAATTAGATTTATTTTTCCATTTTGTTTTGTTTAGTTTTTATCCTTTCACTGCTGTGTTTCAGTTTCAAATCTATCTAAGTTGGCTGAGTAAAATGTGGTGATAATAGTAGGCTACCTCCACACACAAATAAAGCTGCAGAGAGGAAGCTTGTCCACATCATAGCACTCGGAAAATCTCTGTACCTTCGTTGTCTCATCTTCCTTTTCAAACCCACGTGCTGATATTATGGGTTACTTTTTTACTATCTTATTTTAGCATGTTAATCCTGGTTTTGTCTTCTCAGCCCATCCTCAACTTGAAATTTGTTTTCAACTATTTGATTGCTTTTTGCTCACTAGGTCATCTCAGAAACATTCTTGCACACTCTACAACCTACAGTCTAGACCTGATGTTACCCCCATATCTGGCACTTGATATTAGAGTTACACTTGTAAAATAAGATGCCATTGGTCAAGAGTTTATTTCCTGCAATACTTAAAATTAAGGATCTTGGCTGGGCACGGTGGCTCACGCCTGTAATCCCAGCACTTTGGGAGGCTGAGGCAGGTGGCTGACCTGAGGTCAGGAGTTTGAAATCAGCCTGGCCAACATGGCAAAAACCTGTCTCTACTGAAAATACAAAATTTAGCTGGGCATGATGGCAGGTGCCTGTAATCCCAGCTACTTGGGAAGCTGAGGCAGGAGAATAACTTGAACCCGGGAGGCAGAGGTTGCAGTGAACCAAGATCGCGCCATTGCACTCCAGCCTGGGCAACAGGAGTAAAACTCCATCTCGGGAAAAAAAAAAAAAAAAAGGGATAAGGATCCTAAACCATAGTAATCCAACAAGTCTCAGGGTACTTGGATAAATTATTAAATTATCCAACCGTGAGTCTTTCTGAACAAGCCCCAAAGCATGTTTTAAATGCTTCGGTCATGTACACATTATGTTTTCCTCACCCCGAACACATACTCGCAGACACACACTCAGATACACACATTCACATACACACTCACAGACATGAGCTGCTAATGTAGAATCATAAGTCTACCCTGCTCTTTGCTTAGGAGAACTGATTTTTGAAGCCAGGAAAGTGGCCATAGTTTTTGGCTTGTGAGGATATTGAAGAGATGCCTCAGCAAAAGGCAAAGAATAGGGGTGAATTGTTCTTCTCCATCAGTGGTTCCCATTCATTGCCAGGCTTTAAGATCATCTTGGGAGCTTTGAAAATTAATATCTTGGCCCAACTCCAGACCAATTATTTTAGATTTTCTGGTGGTAGGCCTGGATATTAGCAGTGTTTTACTTAAAAGCTTTCCAGGTAGTTCTGATTTGCAGCCAGAGGTGAGGGCAACTCTCAATTCTTCTATAATTTTAACTCCATTGCCTCCAATTTTAACCTGAGCTAGACTTGCAGTGGCAGCAACCATACTAGACTTTCCTTGCTGACTGCCGTTTAGCTAATTTTGCCACTGTATTCTTGCTTGCTAACAATTGGTCAGCTAATATTTATTGAGATATGCTCTTTCAATAAATATTTCTTGAGACTGTTTTGGGCTCCGAAAATCAAGAGGAGATTGAAACACAGTCCCTGCCTTGTTGAGTAGCAGGGGAAAGAAGACAATTAAAAACAACAACAGGTATATATATCTTATGTCAGTCAAGTGTTAATAAAACGTGCTATAATGAAAAATCAAGCAAGGTAAAGCATTAGAGAGTGCTGGAGAGCAGAGATTGTTAAACTATGTTAGATATAGTGTCTTGGAAGGTGTCTTTTTAAGATGATATTCCACAGGAATATCAGAAAAGTGACTGAATCATGTTGAGATTTTGGGAAACATGATTTTAGGCAAAGAGAAATAACAAATTTAAAGGATCTGAGGACACAAGCTACCTTTCAGCAGTGCTCAGTGAAAAAAATGTTTAAGTGGTATGTTTGATAAATATGTAGGTGGTCTTTGTAGAAAATCTTGCAAATTGCATTTTCCTTTTTAAAAATCATCTTTGTGGAGATATAGTTAGCATTAATAAAATGAACACATGTGCATAGTTTGAAGTTTGGAAAATGTATATACCCATTTAATTATTTCCAAAATCAAGATACAGAAAGTTCCCTTGGGTTCCTTTGCCCTCACACTCGCCACTCTATAGACTACCAATGATCTAAGTTCTATACTATAGATTCGTTTTGTCTACTTTAGAGCTTCATTGAAAGGGAATCATACTGTTATGGAATGAATTGTATCCCCCTCCACCAAATTCATATTTTGAAGCCCTTATCCCTAGTGTGACCGTATGCAGTGAAATTTGGTAAATGTAAATGTACCTTGATAAATAATTGACAAGCTTCTTTGCAAAATAGTTGTATTAAATTACATTTCCACCAGCAGGGCATGAGTATTCCAGTTGCTTCCCATCTTCATCCATAATTGGTATTGTCAGCTTTTCTGATTTTAGCCACTGTAATGAGTTGGAAGTAGTTTATCATTGTGAACATTTCTAGACTTCCAGAATGCTTTCGGGCCTTAAATCTAGATTGGTGGCAGAAAAAGTTATTCATTAGTGCCACAGTGCTATGTTGGCCTCATTTATACTATCTTCTTATTGCTTTAAGAATCAAATTATTTCTGATTGTAATTGTTAGAACAGTAGAGTGTATTCATAATGATAATTAGTAATAGTCAAAGCATTTTTGAGTGTTCAAGAACAGGTGAAGTCACATTTAGGCTCTGCTACTTACTGGTTGTTAAGTTGTAAGCAAGTCACTTAATGTTTCTGGGATTCATTTTTCCTGATCTGCAAAATAAATTTAATAAATAGCTACCTTGAAGATTTGTTGTTAGAATTACTAAAAATATATATGGGTCATACTTACTGAACAGTTTTTATGTGTCAGGCATTTAAAATACATTATTGTGCAAAACATTTAAAATATATTATTGTATTCTGTTCTCTAAACAACTCTTTGGAGTATGGTGCATGATTATTTTTGTTTTCAGATGGTGTATTAGGGTTCTCCAGAGAAAAAGAACCAATAGAGCATGTGTGTGTATGTATTGTGTATGTGTGTGTGTATATGTGTGTGTGTGTGTGTGTGTGTGTGTGTGTGTGAGAGAGAGAGAGAGGGATTTTAAGGAATTGGCTCATGTCACTTGGTAGGCTGGTGAGTCTGAAATGTTCAGGGCAGGCTAGTAGGCTGGAAACCCAGGAAAGAGTTGCAGTCTCTGATGCAATGGTAGTCTTCTTTCTCAGGAGACCTCATTCTTGTTCTCTTAGGCTGATAAATTATTGGCTGATAAATGATTGGATGAGGCCCACCCACATTATGGAAGGTAATCTGTTTTACCGGAAGTCGACTGGTTTAAATGTTAATCACAACTTAAAAAATACCTCCACAGAAACATGCAGACTGGTATTTGACCAAACATCTGGTTACCATAATCAAAGTGACACATAAAATTAACTATCATAGATGGTAAAACTGATTCACCAGAAAGTAGTATGATAAAAGTCGTTTAGGGTGTAAGTGGTAGAAGAGGTTAGAGTTGAAAACAAACAACCCGATTCTATAACTTGGGTACTTAACCATTACATTGATTATTTTAACATCTGGCACCATCATTTTACTTCGGTAGGAAACTGCCTTTGTTGAGAAAAGTGAGGTCTAGAGAGCCTGAGTGAAGCCTGAGAAACAAAATCTACAAAAAAAAAAAAATCTAAATCATCATGCAAAATAATTAGGAGATAATTATTTTTATTCTTTCACAGAGGTAGAAGGGAAAGAATCAGATGAGAAAAGGAAAGACTGGGAGCATGGAGTGGTTAAATGAGAACCTTTTTTGGACTACATGGGAAAAGGTCAACAAAATTCCACTGAACAAGATGGCTGAAAGGCATGTGTAAGCAATGATGCCTACTGTCCCAGCTGAATGTAATTGTATTGCACACACCCACATGCACATATCCACACTTAATTTGTGCCATGTAGCACACCGAGGGCTAGCTAAGATTCAGAGAAAAGTGTCTTTATTAATAATAGATTACATGACTTTTGTTGCTGGCCAAGATGGAGGACAGTGACCAGATTTACCCTTCCACCTGAAATAAAATTGGGAAAAATGGATGAAACAGCCTTTGTATATTGGCAGTCTCCCTGGGTGGAGACTGAGCTGAGAGCTCAGGAAGGCCAAGGCAGTCAGAATTCACACATAAGAGTACAGTGTTTCAGGTAGAGAGGGAGGGAAAGAGACAAACCATAGTCACCTCACAAATCTTCTAAGGTCTTCCTAGACTCCTCATTCCAGCTCTGATTAGCCTTGTATGTGAGGATATTACACAAGACCAGAGACAGAACCACCTGAAAGGAGAGAGGGAAGAATAGCTGTAGCTCACACAAGGCCAGGAATGGTTTGTGTTAACACCAGCCAGAGTATAAAATGTTGAAATTCAAGGTGAATCATGCAGAGTACTCACAATGGTATTGCCTGTATAGTGGAGTAAAAGTAACCCTAGATCAAAGGCTTTTCTAGTTTAACAAAGGTTAAAAGAAGGACAAGCCTAGAAAGGATGAAACTGTTTCTGTGTAACATAACTCTGTCCTAGGAAACACCTTAAGAATATTTATAGTAATACAAAAATTCCAGATTTAAGACGTGCAAATTCAATCAAATATTACCAGGCATGAAAAGAAGCAGGAAAATAAACCCATAATGAGGAGAAAAAGTCAATCGTTGAAACAGACTCAGAAGTGACACTGATTACAGTATTGATAAATACAGAAATTAGCACAATTTAATATTCCATATAGTCAAGAAGTTGGAGGAAAGATTTACTATATTAAGGAAGATATAACAGAAACCAATATCAAACTTCTAGATGTGAAAACTATAATGTCTGAAATTTAAAAATGCATGAGAAGTGATTAGCAGCAATTAGACTTTGAAGAATAAAAGATTAGTAAAGTTGGAGATACAGCAATGGAAACTATCCAAAATGAAATAAAGATTGAAAAAAAGAGAAAAACTCTATGTTCCAGATACTATTTTATGTACTTTACATATATTATTTAGTATTCACAAATTCTAAGATACTATTATTATCCTAGTTTTACACATGAACGAACTGAAGCACAAAGAAATTCATAAATTCATTAACAAAGTCACACATTAATGCCTGAGCGTGTGTCATACTGCAGTCAGTTGTTCCAGAGGTCTGTAATCTTATATCCTACTAAAGATGGAATCAAAGCAAGGGAAGCATTAATCTTAAAACAGAAATTGTAGCTCTGAACACTGCATTTAAATTCTAAAGCTACTGAGTGATTTATAAACTCAGTGTAAGAGGGTATTGTGGTTTTCGTATGGGTTTTATCTGAACCGTGCTGTGGGTGGGTTCCTAAGTATTATATTCCCATTTACAAATTCTCTTTATACAAGTTTGGAGTCCTAATTCTTTTGTAAACTCATAGCTTTTTTTAAAAAAATTATGATTTTCATTGATTCTTATCTGTATCAGACTTGTTTATCCTTTTCTTTTTAAAACTAAATTATTAAAAATAATAATTACGTAAGAAATAAAATAACAATAACAAAAACAATAGATAACACTTAAATACTCATGTCTCACCACCATTCCATTGAATATCCTTCACTTTGGAAGGCCAAGGCATGTATTGGGCATTATGGATTATTGTCACTATAGCTGTGTACATGCATGAGTTTTTTCAGGGTTTTTGCCTAAGGCAGAATTGCTGGGCATATGTATGTGAATTTTCAACTTTCTGCATAGGCAGTACCAAATTGTTTTTCAAGGTTGTTTTATCTAGTTAGACTTCCCCAGTGCTGTTTGCATTGATGCACAATTCCATAAAACTTGATATTTTTTTACCTTTCAGATTTTCCCCCTTTTGGGTGTGAAATGGTGCCTTATTATTGTTTTTGTTTGCAGATTGTCTCCTCTCACTTTTGTATCTCCAGATCCTAGCAGAGTTATATCAAGATTCCATTGGCAATATTGAGTAATTTATTCATTGAATGGGTAAATAAAGTTCAGGATTTAGTACTGGTTGATTAAAAGAATGATGATGCTGTTAATAGAAATAAAGAAAAAGAGAAATTTGGGAGAAATCTGATGATATTGTTTCTCTGTAGGGCAGGTAACACTTAAAAAAGCTGAAATAGACTGAGTACCTATTGTGTCAATTAAAACACATGATGGCAGAGTCAATACTAAAAATTCATGTATCGGTTTTTTTCAAGATGGCTGAGTAGGAACAGCTGCGATCTACAGCTCCCAGTGTGAGCGACGCAGAAGACGGGTGATTTCTGTATTTCCATCTGAGGTACTGGGTTCATCTCACTAGGGAGTGCCAGACAGTGGGCGCAGCACAGTGGGTGCAGCGCACCGTGCGTGAGCTGAAGCAGGGCGAGGCATTGCCTCACTCGGGAAGCTCAAGGGGTCAGGGAGTTCCCTTTCCTAGTCAAAGAAAGGGGCAACAGACGGCACCTGGAAAATCGGGTCACTCCCACCCTAATACTGCGCTTTTCCAACGGGCTTAAAAAACGGCCCACCAGGAGGTTATATCCCGCACCTGGCTCAGAGGGTCCTATGCCCACGGAGTCTCACTGATTGCTAGCACAGCAGTCTGAGATCAAACTGCAAGGCGGCAGCGAGGCTGGGGGAGGGGCACCCGCCATTGCGCAGGCTTGCTTAGGTAAACAAAGCAGCCCAGAAGCTCCAACTAGGTGGAGCCCACCACACCTCAAGGAGGCCTGCCTGCCTCTGTAGGCTCCACCTCTGGGGGCAGGGCACAGACAAACAAAAAGACAGCAGTAACCTCTGCAGACTTAAATGTCCCTGTCTGACAGCTTCGAAGAGAGCAGTGGTTCTCCCAGCATGCAGCCGGATATCTGAGAACGGGCAGATTGCCTCCTCAAGTGGGTCCCTGACCCTTGACCCCCAAGCAGCCTAACTGGGAGGCACCCCCAAGTAGGGGCAGACTAATACCTCACACGGCTGGGTACTCCTCTGAGACAAAACTTCCAGAGGAACGATCACACAGCAGCATTCGTGGTTCATGAAAATCTGCTGTTCTGAAGCCACCGCTGCTGATACCCAGGCAAACGGTCTGGAGTGGACCTCTAGAAAACTCCAACAGACCTGCAGCTGAGGGTCCTGTCTGTTAGAAGGAAAACTAACAAACAGAAAGGACATCCACACCAAAAACCCATCTGTACGTCACCATCATCAAAGACCAAAAGTAGATAAAACCACAAAGATGGGGAAAAAACAGAGCAGAAAAACTGGAAACTCTAAAAATCAGAGCGCCTCTCCTCCTCCAAAGGAATGCAGTTCCTCACCAGCAATGGAACAAAGCTGGATGGAGAATGACTTTGACGAGTTGAGAGAAGAAGGCTTCAGACGATCAAACTACTCCGAGCTACAGGAGGAAATTCAAACCAAAGGCAAAGAAGTTAAAAACTTTGAAAAAAATTTAGAAGAATGTATAACTAGAATAAGCAATACAGAGAAGTGCTTAAAGGAGCTGATGGAGCTGAAAGCCAAGGCTCGAGAACTACGTGAAGAATTCAGAAGCCTCAGGAGCCGATGTGATCAACTGGAAGAAAGGGTATCAGTGATGGAAGATGAAATGAATGAAATGAAGTGAGAAGGGAAGTTTAGAGAAAAAAGAATAAAAAGAAATGAACAAAGCCTCCAAGAACTATGGAACTATGTGAAAAGACCAAATCTACGTCTGATTGGTGTACCTGAAAGTGACGGGGAGAATGGAACCAAGTTGGAAAACACTCTGCAGGATATTATCCAGGAGAAATTCCCCCAATCTAGCAAGGCAGGCCAACATTCAGATTCAGGAAATACAGAGAACACGACAAAGATACTCCTCGAGAAGAGCAACTTCAAGATACATAATTATCAGATTCACCAAAGTTGAAATGAAGGAAAAAATGTTAAGGGCAGCCAGAGAGAAAGGTCGGGTTACCCACAAAGGGAAGCCCATCAGACTAACAGCGGATCTCTCGGCAGAAACTCTACAAGCCAGAAGAGAGTGGGGGCCAATATTCAACATTCTTAAAGAAAAGAATTTTCAACCCAGAATTTCATATCCAGCCAAACTAAGCTTCATAAGTGAAGGAGAAATAAAATACTGTACAGACAAGCAAATGCTGAGAGATTTTGTCACCACCAGGCCTGCCCTAAAAGAGCTACTGAAGGAAGCACTAAACATGGAAAGGAACAACCGGTACCAGCAACTGCAAAATCATGCCAAATTGTAAAGACCATCAAGGCTAGGAATAAACTGCATCAACTAACGAGCAAAATTACCAGCTAACATCATAATGACAGGATCAAATTCACATGTAACCATATTAACTTTAAATGTAAATGGACTAAATGCTCCAATTAAAAGACACAGACTGGCAAATTGGATAAAGAGTCAAGACCCATCAGTGTGCTGTATTCAGGAAACCCATCTCACATGCAGAGACACACATAGGCTCAAAACAAAGAGATGGAGGAAGATCTACCAAGCAAATGGAAAACAAAAAATGGCAGGGGTTGCAATCCGAGTCTCTGATAAAACAGACTTTAAACCAACAAAGATCAAAAGAGACAAAGAAGGCCATTACACAATGGTAAAGGGATCAATTCAACAAGAAGAGCTAACTATCCTAAATATATATGCACCCAATACAGGAGCACACAGATTCATAAAGCAAGTCCTGAGTGACCTACAAAGAGACTTAGACTGCCACACAATAATAATGGGAGACTTTAACACCCCACTGTCAACACTAGACAGATCCACAAGACAGAAAGTTAACAAGGATACCCAGGAATTGAACTCAGCTCTGCACCAAGCGGACCTAATAGACGTATACAGAACTCTCCACCCCAAATCAACAGAATATACATTTTTTTCAGCACCACACCACAACTATTCCAAAATTGACCACATAGTTGGAAGTAAATCTCTCCTCAGCAAATGTAAAAGATCAGAAATTATAACAAACTGTCTCTCAGACCACAGTGCAATCAAACTAGAACTCAGGATAAAGAAATTCACTCAAAACCACTCAACTACATGGAAACTGAACAACCTGCTCATGAATGACTACTGGGTACATAACGAAATGAAGGCAGAAATAAAGATGTTCTTTGAAACCAACGAGAACAAAGACACAACATACCAGAATCTGTGGGACACATTCAAAGCAGTGTGTAGAGGGAAATTTATAGCACTAAATGCCCGCAAGAGAAAGCAGGAAATATCCAAAATTGACACCCTAACATCACAATTAAAAGAACTAGAAAAGCAAGAGCAAACACATTCAAAAGCTAGCAGAAGGCAAGCAATAACTAAAATCAGAGCAGAACTGAAGGAAATAAAGACACAAAAAACCCTTCAAAAAATTAATGAATCCAGGAGCTGGTTTTTTGAAAGGATCAACAAAATTGATTGACAGCGAGCAAGACTAATAAAGAAGAAAAGAGAGAAGAATCAAATAGACACAATAAAAAATGATAAGGGGGATATCACCACCGATTCCACAGAAATACAAACTACCATCAGAGAATACTACAAACAACTCTATGCAAATAAACTAGAAAATCTAGAAGAAATGGATAAATTCCTCGACACATACACTCTCCCAAGACTAAACCAGGAAGAAGTTGAATCTCTGAATAGACCAATAACAGGCTCTGAAATTGTGGCAATAATCAATAGCTTACCAACCAAAAAGAGTCCAGGACCAGATGGATTCACAGCCGAATTCTAACAGAGGTACAAGGAGGAACTGGTACCATTCCTTGTGAAACTATTCCAATCAATAGAAAAAGAGGGCATCCTCCTTAACTCATTTTATGAGGCCAGCATCATCCTGATACTAAAGCCGGGCAGAGACACAACCAAAAAAGAGAATTTTAGACCAATATCCTTGATGAACATTGATGCAAAAATCCTCAATAAAATACTGGCAAACCGAATCCAGCAGCACATCAAAAAGCTTATCCACCATGATCAAGTGGGCTTCATCCCTGGGATGCAAGGCTGGTTCAATATATGCAAATCAATAAATGTAGTCCAGCATATAAACAGAACCAAAGACAAAAACCACATGATTATCTCAATAGATGCAGAAAAGGCCTTTGACAAAATTCAACAACTCTTCATGCTAAAAACTCTCAATAAATTAGGTATTGATGGGACATATCTCAAAATAATAAGAGCTATCTATGACAAACCCACAGCCAGTATCATACTGAAAGGGCAAAAACTTGAAGCATTCCGTTTGAAAACTGGTACAAGACAGGGATGCCCTCTCTCACCACTCCTATTCAACATAGTGATGGAAGTTCTGGCCAGGGCAATTAGGCAGGAGAAGGAAATAAAGGGTATTCAATTAGGAAAAGAGGAAGTCAAATTGTCCCTGTTTGCAGACGACATGATTGTATATCTAGAAAACCCCATTGTCTCAGCCCAAAATCTCCTTAAGCTGATAAGCAACTTCAGCAAAGTCTCAGGATACAAAATCATTGTATAAAAATCACAAGCATTCTTATACACCAATAACAGACAAACAGCCAAATCATGAGTGAACTCCCATTCACAATTGCTTCACAGAGAATAAAATACCTAGGAATCCAACTTACAAGGGATGTGAAGGACCTCTTCAAGGAGAACCACAAACCACTGCTCAATGAAATAAAAGAGGATACAAACAAATGGAAGAACATTCCATGCTCATAGGTAGGAAGAATCAATATCATGAAAATGGCCATACTGCCCAAGATAATTTTTAGATTCAATGCCATCCCCATCAAGCTACCAATGACTTTCTTCACAGAATTGGAAAAAATTACTTTCAAGTTCATATGGAACCAAAAAAGAGCCCGCATCGCCATGTCAATCCTAAGCCAAAAGAACAAAGCTGGAGGCATCACACTACCTGACTTCAAACTATACTACAAGGCTACAGTAAGCAAAACAGCATGGTACTGGTACCAAAACAGAGATATAGATCAATGGAACAGAACAGAGCCCTCAGAAATAACGCCGCATATTTACAACTATCTGATCTTTGATGAACCTGAGAAAAGCAAGCAATGGGGAAAGGATTCCCTATTTAATAAAAGGTGCTGGGAAAACTGGCTAGCCATATGTAGAAAGCTGAAACTGGATCCGTTCCTTACACCTTATACAAAAATTAATTCAAGATGGATTAAAGACTTAAATGTTAGACCTAAAACCATAAAAACCCTAGAAGAAAACCTAGGCATTACCATTCAGGACACAGGCATGGGCAAGGACTTCATGTCTAACACACCAAAAGCAATGGCAACAAAAGCCAAAATTGACAAATGGGATCTCATTAAACTAAAGAGCTTCTGCACAGCAAAAGAAACTACCATCAGAGTGAACAGGCAACCTACAAAATGGGAGAAAATTTTTGGAACCTACTCATCTGACAAAGGGCTAATATCCAGAATCTACAATGAACTCAAACAAATTTACAAGAAAAAAACAAACCCATCAAAAATTGGGCGAAGGACATGAACAGACACTTCTCAAAAGAAGACATTTATGCAGCCAAAAGACACATGAAAATATGCTCACCATCACTGGCCATTAGAGAAATGCAAATCAAAACCACAATGAGATATCATCTCACACCAGTTAGAATGGCAATCATTAAAAAGTCAGGAAACAACAGGTGCTGGAGAGGATGTGGAGAAACAGGAACACTTTTACACTGTTGGTGGGACTGTAAACTAGTTCAACCATTGTGGAAGTCAGTGTGGCGATCCCTCAGGGATCTATAACTGGAAATACCATTTGACCCAGCCATCCCATTACTGGGTATATACCCAAAGGACTATAAATCATGCTGCTATAAAGACACATTCACACGTATGTTTATTGAGGCACTATTCACAATAGCAAAGACTTGGAACCAACCCAAATGTCCAACAATGATAGACTGGATTAAGAAAATGTGGCACATATACACCATGCAATACTATGCAGCCATAAAAAAGGATGAGTTCATGTCCTTTGTAGGGACATGGATGAAATTGGAAATCATCATTCTCAGTAAACTATCGCAAGGACAAAAAACCAAACACTGCATGTTCTCACTCATAGGTGGGAACTGAACAATGAGATCACATGGACACAGGAAGGGGAACATCACACTCTGGGGACTGTTGTGGGGTGGGGGGAGGGGGGAGGGATAGCATTAGGAGATATATCTAATGCTAGATGACGAGTTAATGGGTGCAGCACACCAGCATGGCACATGTATACATATGTAACTAACCTGCACATTATGCACATGTACCTTAAAACTTAAAGTATAATAATAATAATAATAAAAATTCATGTATCACCATGATCTCTTTTTATTATTGGCTCCCAAAATTCAGTCCAGTATGTAAGGATAAGGTTATTTGCATCATCTTATTTTCTTAAAACTAATTATTTTCTTCATAGCAGACAAAGAAAGAAAATCATCTTGTCTTGCTTTAATATTTTAAAAGTTGGCAAGAAGTATATGCAAGTTGTGTGTATGTGTGTGTGTCTTTTAAGCTATCACTAGTATTAAGTTCATTGAATTTTTTTTATGATTAAGACTGCATGCTGAGCTAAATGAGTCAATTGTAAGAAACCTGTCCTGATGATGAATCACCCATTATTTTTAATAGAAGATGTAAGCAGTGCTAATGCATACTTGAATGTAAGAACTGTTTCACTATTAAAAATGTAAGTGCCCTTAGAAGTAGAGAAAAACATTAAGACAAAAAAAACTGAAACCATAGTAAACTGATCTAGTCATATGGCTTACAAAGCAAAACACAGTTTTATGATTACCAGTGGATTAATAAATGCTTGTGTAACGGAAAGTTTTAATTCAAGGAACATATTTAACCTGGGTATGCAATGAGCTGTATGTTTAATGAACAATTGTGTAGAACTTCACTTTAATTTGGTTATGCCTGCCTGGGCACTTCAGCATTTCAGCATGTCATTAGATTGTTATTTTCACACAGTTTTAACTATTTTCTTATTAAGAAAATAATGGTATAAGAGTACTTTGATGCTGTCCTTTTCAATGCTAGAAAAAAATCTTCAAACATATTGTGTTTGTTTTAGGTAAATCTTTATGCAAAACCACAATCTTTTCAATATTTAGGTAAGAACTATCGTTCTACATAGAGTGAAGTTCATGCCTGGTACAAAAAGTGGTTGGTATTTATTCCACTTAAAGATGTAGTAAATCTGAGAAAAATCAGTGTTGTAAGGTCCTTAAATACCTATATGTGTTCATTTGTGTATTAGCAGAGTTATCTTGTTAGATTCATTAGTGTTGGCAAAGTGAAACTGCTCTTCAGAGGATAAGCCATAACATTGGCAAACCTCAATAGAAAGAGTAAGTGGGTAAAGGGAAAGCTAGCAGCATTCATATTTTCATTCATTTATTCACTTGTTTTCTCATCAGTTTTTAATCTCTAATGAATTTACTGAGTTTGTGTTATATGTAAATTTCCATATTAGTTGTTGTTATGGATTGAATTGTATTCCTGCAAATTTATTGGTTGAAATCCTAACCCCCAGCACTTCAGAATGTGACCTGATTCAGAAACAGGGTCCTTGTAGATATAATAAGGGAAATTAAGATCAGATCGTACTGAAGTAGGGGGGGTCCACTGAATCCAATATAATTGGTGTCTTGAATTAGAGGCCCACTTTATATGATTGGTGTCTCTATGAAAAGGGAAAATTTGGACACAAACCCACACACAGGGAGAATGTCCACGCGCATGTTGCTGCCAGAAATTTAGAAACTACCAGAGACTAAGAGACAGGTCTGGAAATTATCCTTCTTTAGCACCTTCAGAAGTAGAATGGCATGGGCCTCCTGACACCTCGATTTTAATTTTTTCCTGTTTTTTTTTTTTTTGAGACGGAGTCTTGCCCTGTTGCCCAGGCTCAAGAGCAGTGGTATGACCTCAGCTCAATGCAGTCTTCGTCTCCCAGGTTCAAGAGATTCTCCTGCCTCAGCCCTCCAAGTAGCTGGGATTACAAGTGCTCGCCACCAGGCCCAGTTAATTTTTGTATATTTAGTAGAGATGGGATTTCACCATATTGGCCAGGCTGGTCTCAAACTCCCGACCTCAAGTGACCTGCCCACCTCAGCCTTCCAAAGTGCTGGGATTACAGGCGTGAGGCACCACACCCTGCCGATTTTAAATTTTTGATCTCCAGAACTATGAGACAATAAATTTTTATTGTTTCAAGTGACTTAATTTATGGTGCTTTGTTATGTATCCCTGGTAAACTAACACAGGTGGGGGTTGCATTAAAATGGGCTATTCATCTCTTTTAGGGAGCTACAAATGCACAGTACAATTAACATAAATAATTAGCATGGAGCAAGAGCTTAATAGAGTGGTGCAGAAGAGGTCTTATGGAATTTCAGAGGAAATGCATACAAAAAAAGTTACTTTTACCTCCAGAGAACACAAGATAGAGAGGCAGGGTGATATTGGCAGTAATTGTTTTGGTTAAGGAATAGTTTTGCTTCTTTTTGAAAATTAACTTGCTTTTATTTTCTAGATTTTTTTCATCTTTAATTTTTAGAGCCAAATTTGTGGTCTGTCTATAGCATGTTCATTGGCCTTTATGATGTTCATTTTTGTACTTCCTAACTTTTTTAATGTTCCCACCCTGTCATTTTATCCCTTTTTTCTCAACAGCTTCAAATTTGTGTTACCTTGATGATTTTTATGTGTCTTTAAATGCCACACTTAAGTTCACCCCAAAGTAGGTGGTCAGATTTGGAAACATACATGAAAACCAGGAATGAAATGAAAGTGGAGTGGGATAAGGATGGATACAAAAAGTTGCAGAACAGGATGGGCAAGACGTGTGTGCTGCTACTGCAGGGGAACTTGACACTGGGCTTGAAGGGGAACCATGAAGTGCTCAGGTAAAGGACAGCAAAAGCATAGCACTGAGATCACATTTCTCTTTTCATGTTCATGACAGGCGACTAATCATATTTTCTCTCTTAGCTCACTGGAAGTTTTAGAATTCTTTTTGAACATAGAAGTACAGTCAACCAGTGCCAACACACACAAGATGAAACTTCATTTTCATCTGTGCTGAAATGAAAGAAGGAAGGGCAGAATATGGAGTATTTATAGGGTTAGGTAAGGAAAAACCAGTTCAGCTGATGAATTCTGGCAGTTAATTTACAGGGAAAAAAAGATAAACTGGAGAATTAATATAATACAAGTACATTTTTCAATCTTTTGATGTAAAACCAAGACAGTTTTCTTTTTCACTGATTGAAATTCAGCATCATCCTTTTGACATAAGCCCCACCCATAAGGCAACACCTAAGATCTCCACTTTGAAGATGTTTAAAATAGAACAAGGCCTTAAATATACATAGGAAGCATACTGAGTGAGTAATTCTGCATATTTATAACTCTTCAGTCTTTGAAAGTTGACATCCAATAGCAATGTCTTTAAATGTAAATCCCATTTATCAAATTTTCTATAGTATTTGAATTAGTTTTCACAGAAGCACCATTTTTTTCTTTCACACTTGTTTTATACTGATTTCCATAATAATAAATTACTTTATGTAATGAGATTGAAAAGTCCAACTGGTAGAAACAGGTTGGGAACCAATGTTATTGATTTACTTGTAAAAAGAAGAAGTAAATAAGAATGGTAGCAAATAGTCTACCAGCTGTGAGATTTCAGTATTTTCTGGACAACAGGCTTTACAGAGAAAATAAATGATATTGGTTTATCTGGAAAGTTTAATTGGTAAAAATTTATTTAAATATTTTCCACTAGCATTTTAAAAGGTCAGAGTTGTAAGGGAAAAGGAAATTGATGAGCAGTAGTGTAGAACAAAATCTATGTCAATTCAAAAGTATAAATTAAGTGCACACTATGTTCTACACTTTGAAGTTACATAAGGGAAGAAGTACACAAGGTCTCTATTCTCAAGGAGCTTATATTTGTAATAAATATATAATTAATCAAAAGAAACTAGAACAAGAATAGAGAAAATAAGTGTTATTTTAGGTAAGGTTGTTTATGAGGACCTCTCTGATCAGATGAGATTTACTCTGAGTAGAGACATACATAAAGTGATAGGGAATCCATGAGAACATCTGGAGCACCCTCTTTCCAGGAAGAGATAAGAATACTTGGCATAATCAAGGACAAATAAAGAGACAATTGGGTGGAGGAAAAGTAATCAAAGTTGAGGAGGGACAGAAGATAGAAGCAATGATTACAGAGATTAGGAATGAGGGTAGAGGATGAAAATCATGTGAGATCTTATAGGAAGATGGGGATTCATTGGAGGAATTTTTAGCAGAGCAGCAAAATAATCCATTTCTACTTAAAAGACCTGGGAATAAAAGCTAATAACAATACAATTTGTATTTAGAAACTAGGCTCTGTTAAGCCCAGATAATACCAGTTTTGTCTTTATTCAGCTCATAGTCATCTTTAAACCTCTTTACCCCTTTTCTAGAATTCTTCAAACCTGCTTTAATTCTGGTGAATCCTATGTCACTGTGTGACTTGTGGCTTTCTCAAACCCCCCAGTTGTTGATAACATCAATCTAAAATTAATTCCTGACTTATCCCTACCTCATGTTGCCCAAATTCATTCAGTCGCTAAGTCCTGTTTTTTTTTTTTTTTTTTTTTTAATGTCCATTTCCACTGTTTCCATCAAATCACACAGGTTGACCCTTCTGGACTGCAAGCTCCATAAAGGCAGCTATGTTTCTCTTGTGTTCCTAGAATTTGTTAATGTCTGGCATGGAACAGTGTTTAATAAAATGGGAATAAATGAAAGAGTTGTCCCTTTCATACTAAATCACCAGGATTTATTGATAATCTTTTATCTCTTCTATGACTGAGGACATCCATGATACTGCTGGGTAGCAGGAATTTATTTCCTTCATGAGAAGATCAGAATCCATGTAGCTCTATTCAATATAAAATTGGATCCTGAATGCAAGATTAGAATAGATTGAATGAAGTAATAAAAGTATGATAATAATTATGCAATGAATTTTCCTCCTCCTCATGAGGATGCCAGAAAAGAAAGGAAAAGGATAGTCTTCATATATTTTGTACTTTCTAAAATGGCACCTTCCAGTGGTCTTTCTCTACCACGGTATTTAAAGTCACTACTTGGTAAATCCCCCTTCCTACCACTTTCAATATCTTTTCTCTGATTTGTTTAGTTTCACTGTATTTACTACCATATGACATAAATGTAGTTATATGTGTGTCCATATATGTGCCTATGTGTGTACATGTGTATGTGTGCATTTATCTCCATGCCATCACTAGGAACTCCACTGATGGCGTAAATCTGTATTTATTTTGATTTCTGAGGTATCTCTAAAATTAGAATGATTCCTGGAATACAGGGGTTGTTCAATTAATATTTGTTGAATAAATGAGTGCCTCTCAGTGATCTGCAATTCTCTTTGGTTATCATATTCTAAATATCTCTAAATGTTTTTCTAATAGTCCTTTTATTCATTTACATGGAATTTCTAATATGCCCTGGGCTCTAGCTGACACCATTTCTGTTTCTCTTAAATACTTTAAAGAAAAAAAAAAAAAAGAGTTTCACTCTTGTCGCCCAGGCTGGAGTGCAGTGGTGCAATCTTGGCTCACTGCAACCTCCGCCTCCCAGGTTCAAGCTATTCTTCTGCCTCTGTCTCCTGAGTAGCTGGGATTACAGGCGCACGCCACCATGCCTGACTAGTTTTTGTATTTTCAGTAGAGATGGGGTTTTACCATGTTGGCCAGGCTGGTCTCGAACTCCTGACCTCAGGTGATCCACCCGCCTCGGCCTCCCAAAGTGCTGGGATTACATGTCCAGCCTCTCTTATGTACTTCCGAACCCTGTTATTCTTCTTTTTTCCTTGATCAGCCCTCTCTACAGACCCCAGAATAGAGGTGGATCTTAATGCTTTATGTTGGATTTTGTTTCATGCTCAATCTCTAACTGTTGATGATAGGTCAGGGAGAGCAAGGTATTACTGCCTCCACATCTTTGTGTGTTTTCTGGTTTCTGGCTAACTCCCTTCTCCTAGGCTTAATCCTCTCATTCATGATGAGCACATTGATGCTGGGTGCTTTGTGCACCAGATGACTGGTGAGGGCTAAATCCTGATAGATACAGATTCTATGGTGCCTTTTTTAAGGCATTCCAGTTGCACTTGTATGTTCAGGCTCAAATCCAATATGTATAACTCACTGGATTTGTTGTGTGGTCTATGCTGTAAGGTTAAAAAGGGTTAGTTGGAGTCAATTATGTGATATTCACTGGGATATGTTTTGATGTAAATTGTGGAGGTGTCTGTCTGTGGAAGGCGAAAATCTGGTACTTAGGCAGAAGCAGATGAGGAACCTTACTAGGGAGATACTACTAGAATGAATGGAATCTTTAGCCTCGAATAGCTTTTGGTGGACCAGATCTGTATTGTTTTGTCATATCTTAAAGGCATTATTAATTAATCAGTCATTCCATCTTAAAGTGATCTCTTCTTTTTCTAAGCAGTCTATTACTGGTTGAGCTCTTCTAATATTTGTTATTAAAGTTTTCATGGAATTATGTCTTGCCTCTTCAACTGTAAATTTTTTAGAAGTTGGGTGCACCTCCAGCAACACAGTACATTGCCTTTTATAGTGATCAATAAATATACACTAAATTGGCTCAGTACTCTTCTAGGACAATAGTGACTAGAGTGAACACTTGGGGAAGTCATTGGGGAGCATTTAAAAAGGATGTCAAAGATTGAAGACTGAAACTGAACACTACTACAGCTGTTTATTGTCATATTCATATATATCCTACCTGCCTGCTCAGAAAGGCTATTCAGGACATGCCACAGGTCACTAAGAAGGCAGTTCAGGACTGGTTGGGAGACAAAATGACTTAATCATTTTAAGGAGTCAGAGTTTGATGAATTCAGTGGTTTCTTTAAGCACAATTTATTTTATGATTTTTTTTTAACTCGGAAAGCAGAAAATGATAAAAGCAGCAAAGTTTCATTTTATTGCCATGCCTCTCATCATTTCAGCAAAAAATCTAGGCCAAATCTAAATTTAGGATAATATGTAAGTGATTCTACCTTGTCCCACAGTAAATCTGTGACCTCTATGTCAGCCAGGCTAAGAAATATGGAACACAGGCTGTTCCATTTGAAATTAAAGAAGACTTGTCTTATTGAAAGGTTGCAAAGATGCATTCTGTTGAGTGTACAGGTTTTTAAATGAGAGTTTACCACACATCCTTCTTGCTTTTTTATCCTCTCATTGATTTCCTTTTTAATACCAGAAATGCTTTCAAACCTCTGCCAGAAAATGAGTTTCTCTAAAGAACCACAAAGCTCCTTTGAGTAGTACATATAAGGCATTCAACCAAGATGGTATCATTGGCCACAGACGCGTCTTTTTAATTGGATATAGGTGCATTTGCTCTTTAACAGTGTCACCCAGTTGTAATGTTTACATGCTTCCAAGTAACCTTTTTAAGATTTAAAATAACACTAGATGAGACTTCATTGCAAAGTGAGCTATTGCCTTACAGGATACTTGAATTTTTAACTTAAAAAATAAGTGCAAATTGGCATACAAATGTGATAGGTCCCACTTCAACAAAAACCTTCATTTGTCCTCCCTCCTTGGGTAACATTACCCCCACATACTTGGGTAATAGCTTCTATCACTGTCCTGCTGCTGTTTTCTCCATACTCTTTTCTTTAGAGACCTCTTTTACTTCCAAAGCTTTGATTCTGCATCTATACATACGGCTTCAAAATCTTCACCAATGTCAGTTTCCTTCAGTGTTCCAGACACATAGCTCTATTTACCTAGTGGACATTTCTTATAATAAACCTACTCATTACTTCAATTTCAAATGTCAAGAACCAATGTAAATAATCTTTTACTCTCTTCTTAATTTCCTAAGTATTCTTGATAATAATATTGAGGTGTGCTCTGGATAATGATGGTGACAATGAGAGAGAAGGTGTACTGGAGCCAGTACAGTGGAATCAATCTGGAGTGCAGTGCACAATGCAAGTTCTAAGAGATGTTCAACTTAGATATCGATCTGTGTCAGGAACACATCCATTCTCTTCATTTGACCGGGCAGTTAATAATATACTTCCCTAATGACATCATTTCTATTCCCCTCTCCTTTTATCTGCTCCCACATGTCATTTGTGGTTTCAATCATCACTTCTTTTATCTTCTAGAAGATGACATTTTCAGTAAGGAAGGTCAACAACTTATCAGATAATGTTTTTAGCTGAATAAAACTTCTGATAAGTGTCTAAAGAATTGAAATTCTCCATTACTCCTATAAAATGCTTCAGAACCAGAATTCACTATCCCCTGGATATGTTGTTTTCTTTACATAGAACTATATCCAGCATTTTTTCATGGAAGTAGACTTTTCAATAGAGAATATTCTTCTAAAGATATATCCCAATTCTTTCCCTTCAAGATCAATAAAGGAAAAGGAAGAATGTTCACCATATTTTATTATGGTTTCAAATTCCAATCATAATAACCAATTTTCTGAAGGTATCTGCTAGGTATCCACAAGATGTAGTGGCAAAACCATGGTTGTTGTACTCAGCAGGCCTAGCTTTAGATGCTAACTCCACCAGAAATCCTAGGTTCACCACTTACTTGCAGAATTAACTCAGACAAGTCATTTAACCCTCTGAATCAAAGATTTTTAAATTTTTTGTAGTGAAGGTAATAATGCCTATCTTGTATGTTCATTTTAAAGGTTAGAGGTAATTTCTGTAAAGTTGGCTGAACAAAAAAATAAGTAAGTATAGCTAAGATTTCTCTGGGGCCATTTATATTATTTCCAATTGAGCATAGATACGTGCCAGGAACTATGCTAGGCAATGGATGGAGAAGACCAAAATTCCTCTCTTAAAAGAGCTCCAATTCTAAGTAGAGAGATAAGTAAAATAAATATTTACCAAAAAATGATGAATACTTTAATTGAGGTATCTACAGGGTTACTCTGCCATTTACAATGAAAGATTTCCCAGGGCTATTTGAGTCTTTTCTTCCTTCTGATTATTCAGATCTTCTATCGAAGTCCTTATTTCCAGGCTTAATGAGATACTTTCCTTCCTTTACCATTATCCTTCTCTTCTGGGTTCTTAAGTAATAGCTGAGAAATATAAATTTTGTTTTGCTTTTTACAATTAGTATCACAACTCATATAGAGACAAGGCCTAAGGATGAAGAGCACCCATCATCCAGCAAACTGTTGGAAGCTATGTTCAAACTGAAAGAATCATCTGAGGTATTATTTTTCAAAGCATTTTTGAGATATAATTCACATGCAATAAGCTGTACAGTTAATGTATACAATTTGAAAATTAAAAAATGTTTGTAACTACAAATCCCTTATAAAAATCATTATAATAAACATATTCACCATCTTATGTTTTCTTCTGCCATTTCATAATCCCTCCCACCCGCTCCTCCCCACCCGCTTTTATCCCCAGGCAATCACTTATCTGCTATCATTTATAGATTAATTTGTATTTTATAGAATTCTTTAATGGAATTAATAGTATGTACTTTTTCTGATCTGGCTTTTTTACTCAGCATGATTACTTTGAGATTCATCCATGATCATACATCAACACATGTACTTTCATGTGTCATAACTCATTTCTTTTAATTAATGATATTACGTTGTGTGGATATAACACAGTTTGTTTATTCCTTTTCCAGTTTTTGGTGATTATAAATAAAGCTGCTATATATGTTTGTGTATATACGTTTGTATGAACATAAGCTTTTATTCTTCCTGGATAGATACCTAGGTAGGACTGCAATAAGTCAATAATTAAAAATTTTATGTTTATTTTTTTAGATGCTGATAAACTATTTTCAAAAGTGCTTGTATCATTTTACATTTCCACCAGTAGCGTAGGAATGCTCCAGCCATTCCACATCCTCAAGGTCACTTGATATGGTCAGTCTTTAATATTAGCTATTCTAATAGGTACGCAGTGGTATCGCATGTGGTTTTAACTTGATTGAGCATCTTTTCAAATGATCATGTGTCATGTGTTTCTTTAAAGTGTCTTTTAAAATCTTTCTTCCTTTTTTTTTTGGTTGTACGCTTTTTAAAATTATTGTGTTTCAAATGCTCTTTCTGTGTTCTGGGTACAAGTTCTTTATCAGATATGTGATTTATAATTCTTTTATCTGAACCCGTAGCTTGTATGTGTGCTTTTAGAAAAGGAAATATTCTTAATTTTGAATAAGTCCAATTTACCATTCTTTTTCTTTAAGGATCATGCCTTTGATGTTGTGTATGAGAGATTGTTGCCTAACCTAAGGTCAAGAATATTTTCTCTTGTATTTTTTAGAAGTTTTTCACTTTTAAAATTTACCTTTAGGTCTGTAGTACATTTTGATTTAATTTTTGTGTGTGATGTGCAATGTAATAGCCAGAATTCCTAATGCTGTGTTCTAGCCACTATGTACTGTAATAGGATGAACAAAACTGACAAAAACGGGAAATTGGAGAGGTAAGAAAAATATATAGTAATCATGAGAGAAAAAAATTGCGGTTTGCTTGACTGATTACTTAAGTGTTGGATTCAATGAATTAAGTTCTTAAATTCAGGTTGAGTAAAACATATCAGAGACAAGTATGGAGAAAACAAATTAGTGATTTTAGTGATCTTAAAAAATAGTAATAAACCATTTTATCTAATGGAAATGTTTTCAGCATTATTCTATTTAGAGTTATTCTTCATGAACTTTAAAATTTAATTCATCCCTCATAGATTCAACAGTTTTTACTCTAGCACGTCGTACTTTTTCTTCAAACTCTGTACAATGAAATATATAGACTCAATTATTCTCTTTCAAGTCAGAAATTCCTAATCATCCAAGTTGAAATCTTACTCCGTGGTGGAGACTTCTGTCATCACAGAAGTCACTCTTTTCTAGGCAGCGTGTGTTGGTACGTCTCTCTAGAACCTTGGACACCTGCATTGCATCCCCGGATGTACCTAAGTGGTTAGCTTCCCTACACAACAGTTAATTATGACCACTCTCCAAGAAAAGAGGTTGTATCTTGAGCTCCACTCTTTCAAAGAGAATGACAAACCAAAGCTCACTAAAGGAAGAAGAACAAGGATAGTGAAATTAAAAATCTCAGTTTACAAATAATTTAATGGGTTGAGGGCCTTTGTAGAAGGCGGGTAGTGGTTAGGTTACATGAATGACTTTATATATGGAAATGGGGTCAGATTGCCTAGATTCAGAGACTAATATCAAGAGTATTAGATAAGTATGAAATTTTCAGGTCATTATAATGAGGAGCTTGCTTTTAAATAGTTAAAGTTGCCTGGAAGTAGAATGATCTATTTTAAGAGCCTATTCCTGTTAGCAGTTTGTTCAAAATATATTCTGTAACTACTTGGCAAGAACGTTACAAATGAAATCAAAACATTTGGCGAGTCTAGATGAAAGTCCATCTATAAAAATCTGTGATTATTTAAATTTGGAAACCTGAACTCTTTATTCACACATTGTCCAAGAGGTATTTTTTAAATATTTTTTTACAAATGTCTCTGCTTTCCTTTCCTTTCCCTCCCCTCCTTTTCTTTTTCCTTCCATCCCCTCCCCTTCCTTTCCTTTCCTATTATATTCTCTCTCACTGCCATTACCAGGCCCTAAAGGAAATAGAATTCTAACAATGCAGTTTAGTTCTTAATTGACATTTTTACATCCAATTCATATATTTTATAATTTATTATTTATACCAGAGAGATATCTTGAAGACTGCTATCTCAACCTAATATCTGCTCAAAACCTTTCAATGACATGGTTGACAACTGAAAGTTACTGAGCATGTACTAATGAGCTTCCACCATGTACCATCTCATTCTTCTCATTTAATCTTCTTAATGATCTTATGAGGTTAACTAATAAGTGGTAAAAATGGGAATCAACCCTGATCTGATTCAAAAATCAAATCGTTAAACATGACACTTTACACTCTCTCCAAACACTTTATTCTGGCTCTCAGAAATTTAATTTTGTTCCAACTGTTTGTCCACCCTTATAGTCCATTGCTCGCTGTTCTAGATAAATTTATTTCAGATGAATCAATCTATTCACTGTCCCCCAAATATTTCTCATATATTCTTTGTATACTAAGGCAACTTTCTTAGCTTTTCTGAAATTTAGGTTTTTTTTTTTTCAGCAAAATTAGTATTATAATACTGTGTGCTGCATAGGGCTATTGTGAGGATTAAATGAAAAAACTTGTATAAAGTCCTTATAAAGTCCAAGAATATATTTTCAGTAAACATTAGTTGTTATCATTCTTATAATCATTAATCTTATACAGCCTGACAGGTTCAAATTGGGATTATGTAATATATTTTGGAAATATGTAATTGACAAAGCACCATGCAAATTCACATTGGAATTTAGGTGAGGTATTCAGTAATATATTGTAATCCCACTGTGAGGGGGATTCCTAAATGCAGATTCACTGAGTTATCACTAGACTATTTTGCATAGGTGCCTTCTACGAAAATGCTTTAGTGGCATTTATTAAAATTAGTTTACATTTAAATATCACTCTATTGTGTTTATTGATTAATGTAGTATTAGCTAAACTTGCAGTAGATTTACAATGTTATGCATTGGATTTTAACTAAAAACTTAGTTTCAAGATAATTTAACATTTTTTCCCACTTAGTTTTAAGGCATATAAAACAAAATTGGTGAGTTATAATTTTTTTTATTATACTTTAAGTTTTAGGGTACATGTGCACAATGTACAGGTTAGTTACATATGTATACATGTGCCATGCTAGTGTGCTGCACCCATTAACTCGTCATTTAGCATTAGATATATCTCCTAATGCTATCCCTCCCCCCTCCCTCCACCCCACAACAGTCCCCAGAGTATGATGTTCCCCTTCCTGTGACCATGTGTTCTCAATGTTCAATTCCCACCTATGAGTGAGAATATGCGGTGTTTGGTTTTTTGTCCTTGTGATAGTTTACTGAGTATGATGATTTCCAATTTCATCCATGTCCCTACAAAGGACATAAACTCATCATTTTTTATGGCTGCATAGTATTCCATGGTGTATATGTGCTACATTTTCTTAATCCATTCTATCATTGTTGGACATTTGGGTTGGTTCCAAGTCTTTGCTATTGTGAATAGAGCCGCAATAAACATTCGTGTGCATGTGTCTTTATAGCAGCATGATTTATAGTCCTTTGGGTGTATACCCAGTAATGGGATGGCTGGGTCAAATGGTATTTCTAGTTCTAGATCCCTGAGGAATCGCCACACTGACTTCCACAATGGTTGAACTAGTTTACAGTCCCACCAACAGTATAAAAGTGTTCCTATTTCTCCACATCCTCTCCAGCACCTGTTGTTTCCTGACTTTTTAATGATTGCCATTCTAACTGGTGTGAGATGATATCTCATTGTGGTTTTGATTTGCATTTCTCTGATGGCCAGTGATGGTGAGCATTTTTTCATGTGTTTTCATTCTCTTTGAAAACTGGCACAAGACAGGGATGCCCTCTCTCACCACTCCTGTTCAACATAGTGTTGGAAGTTCTGGCCAGGGCAATTAGGCAGGAGAAGGAAATAAAGGGTATTCAATTAGGAAAAGAGGAAGTCAAATTGTCCCTGTTTGCAGACGACATGATTGTATATCTAGAAAACCCCATTGTCTCAGCCCAAAATCTCCTTAAGCTGATAAGCAACTTCAGCACAGTCTCAGGATACAAAATCAGTGTGCAAAAATCAGAAGCATTCTTATACACCAATAACAGACAAACAGAGAGCCAAATCATGAGTGAATTCCCATTCACAATTGCTTCAAAGAGAATAAAATACCTAGGAATCCAACTTACAAGGGATGTGAAGGACCTCTTCAAGGAGAACCACAAACCACTGCTCAATGAAATAAGAGAGGATACAAACAAATGGAAGAAAGTTCCATGCTCATGGGTAGGAAGAATCGATATCGTGAAAATGGCCATACTGCCCAAGGTAATTTATAGATTCAATGCCATCCCCATCAAGCTATGAATGACTTTCTTCACAGAATTGAAAAAAACTACTTTCAAGTTCATATGGAACCAAAAAAGAGCCCACATCGCCAAGTCAATACTAAGCCAAAAGAACAAAGCTGGAGGCATCACACTACCTGACTTCAAACTATACTACAAGGCTACAGTAAGCAAAACAGCATGTTACTGGTACCAAAACAGAGATATAGATCAATGGAACAGAACAGAGCCCTCAGAAATAACACTGCATATCTACAACTATCTGATCTTTGACCAACCTGACAAAAACAAGCAATGGGGAAAGGATTCCCCATGTAATAAATGGTGCTGGGAAAACTGGCTAGCCATATGTAGAAAGCTGAAACTGGATCCATTCCTTTCACCTTATACGAAAATTAATTCAAGATGGATTAAAGACTTAAACGTTAGACCTAAAACCATAAAAACCCTAGAAGAAAACCTAGGCATTACCATTCAGGACATAGGCATGGGCAAGGACTTCATGTCTAAAACACCAAAAGCAATGGCAACAAAAGCCAAAATTGACAAATGGGATCTCATTAAACTAAAGAGCTTCTGCACAGCAAAAGAAACTACCATCAGAGTGAACAGGCAACCTACAAAATGGGAGAAAATTTTCACAACCTACTCATCTGACAAAGGGCTAATATCCAGAATCTACAATGAACTCAAACAAATTTACAAGAAAAAAACAAACAACCCCATCAAAAACTGGCAAAGGACATGAACAGACACTTCTCAAAAGAAGACATTTATGCAGTTGAGTTATAATATTACAAAAATAAATGATAATAGTATCTGGAAAAGTGAGGAAAAGGTTTAATAAACACATTCTTAAACATGTATTTAAATAAAGAATATACTAATTCTTTATTTAAATATTCTTAAAGAATATACTAATTCTTTATTTAAATATTCTTAAATATGTGTTTAAATAAAGAATATAAAAGAGTTACCTTCTTTAAAAAAACTAGCCTTTGGGGTAAAATAAAAGAGGCAAACAGTAACTTTTAGTAGAAGCTTTATATTCTTGGACTTTTATATTTCTATATTTTCTCTATTACAAAGCTTAAAACATGAAACATTAACTTACAAATAGCAGGAAACATAAAGATATATCAAGTAGTTACAAAATGCAATGGAGCAAGATGTTGAGATAAAATTGGCTGGAGATTGAAGTCGGAAAGATCAAAAGCAGAAAGATTCAGGCCTTAGAAAGTGCAATCAGAAGACTGTCAAATTTCACTGATATCTCAATGCAGTTTGTAGATTGATGGATGCTGCTAATAATATATCAATGTAAATGTCTATGGCAATGCTAGATATGTTTTTATCACTGTGAGAGAGGATGTCTGTAAAGATTGATATGAATATTTTGCAGTCTCCCCTCATTGTTCGTAACAGCTTTTTATCATTAATTACAGAGCCTATGCTTCATTCCTTTTGTGACTTTTACTTGAAAATGGTGTATGAACATGATTCACCTGTTCTTTTTCACTCTTTTTGATGCCTTATTGTTTCAGGTTGTGTTATGGGTAGTGTGTAAGTGTATGTATACATGAACATGTGTTCACACACATGTTTGACACATATATATGCATGTATATGTGTTCTTTTCCTGTTCTTATTGGTGTCATCTCCTGCAAGTTTTTGTCTTCATCCAGTGACTGAAGAGCTGTTGGTTAGATATCTGCAAATATACACTATTAGCAAAAACAAATAGATTATTAGGTTACTTATGTGCTGCATGGTAGAAAAGACAATCTATAACACTATGTGTCATAAAATACTGATAGAGTTTAGATATTTGTCCCTGCCCAAGTCTCATGTTAGATTGTAATCCCCAGTGCTGGAGAGAGAGCCTGGTGGGAAGTGTTTGGGTCATGAAGGTGGGTCCCTCATGTGTGGTGCTGTCTTCATGATAGTGAGTTCTTGTGAGATCTGGTCATTTAAAAGTTTGTGACACCCCCCATCCCATTCTCGCTCTCCTTCCTGCTCTTGCTTTCACTATGTGACATGACTTTTCCCCCTTCCCCTCCGCCATGATTGTAAGCTCCCTGAGGCTTCACTAGAAGCTGAACAGATGCCAACACCATGCTTCCTATAAAGCCTGCAGAACTATAAGTCAATTAAACCTCTTTTCTTTATAAATTACTCAGTCTCAGGTACTTCTTCATAGCAATGCAAAAGGGGCCTAACACAAATAACAAAAATGCAATATGCTTACCTGAACACTTAACTGGAAAGGAAAATAATAAAACATCGTCTTTCTTTCAAGTTCCTGTTTTATAAAGTCAGACTCATAAAGTTTTGTGAATTGGAGAAAATCTTTATTTAAAGAAATAGTTGATATTGTTAAAATGTTTCAGCAATCTGAGTATATAAGCATGGGATTTCATGAATTTATAAATCTAACTTTGGTGGACAGACTCCATTCTAAGAAACATTTATCATGTTAAGCTATTTCCATTTGGGCTGACAGTAAAATCTTCCTGTGAGAACTGTTTGGATGAATTCAGTGAGCTATTTTTTCACTCTTTATAGCTAAGTGATGTGCATATGACACAACATATTTTAGATACAAAATGTTCTTGAGTTTGATGAATGAAAATATAGTAAATAGATTTTTATTCAACCTGATTTCCTAATAAAACAGTATGTTTCCTCCTTCTTAGAATGAGCTGTGTAGTTCTGTTGCAGCTGTAATATATATATATATAAAATTCAGGAAAATATAGTTTGTTTAAAACAAATCCTGGTTAAAAGAATAGATAAATATTTTGGCATAGTCAATAAATTAGCTTATACATTATAGAAAAAGTTAAAAATAATGAAGGATTAATTACATTTTAAAATACTTCCAATTTGTTCAACTAATCTGCAAAGTTTTAATTAATTCTGTAGTGGGTTGAGTAAGGCACGATAGATAATTCTGAAGATGTTCTTCAATTGCAATTAAAATTAGTTGAATCAAACATTAGGTTTTACCAACAATTAATTGGTTTAATTTCAGTTTTACCAAACTAAAAGCATTAAATATAAAAAAGAAGAATATAGTAAAACTGTTCCAACTGATGAAATAATGCATGAATTACAGGAATTGAACCAAATTTCAAAGTCAAACTCCTCAATAAAAAATGTTAAATAGTCTGAAACAAATTAATTTGAAAAATCTGAGGGATGTTAACTCATTTTTAACCACAAACATCTGGTCTAGACTGTGTTTATACTATGGTTACTAAGCTTAAAACCTGCTCATTAACTGAGAGGTAAAAGAAATAAGAAGTTTCAAAATAAAGTGTTAGTCATCATATTTATAGGGCAGTAATGCCATGTCAAATCTTTACCTGCTCAAAGTAAGCACAAGAAGTAAAATATAACAAACCTTAGTTCCTGTGTGGATGTATCATTTTCCTTTTAATAAAATAACAATTTTTGTAGTCCAGTTTTGGTGGTGACATATTTACTCAACTTTTGCTTTTTCAGAAAAAAATAAATTATTATTTAGTCTTAATTTGTGAAGGATATTTTTGCCAGGTAAAAATTCTAGGTTGACAATTAATTTTTTCTTATAGCACATAGATAATATTTTTCCAAAGTGTTTTGGCTTGCCTGGTTCCTCATAGGATGTTTGTGATCATTATTATATGTGTTCCATGGAACACAATGTAACTTCTCTGGCTACTTTGCAAATTTTCTCTTTACCACTCGTTTTCAGCAATTTGAGTATGACATGCTTTACTGTGGTTGGTTGTGTTTTGTGGATCCGTAGATTTATAGTTTTCATCAAATAAAGAAACTTTCAGCATATCTCCATGTACTTTTTTTTCTGAATCCCTTATTATTTCCCAATTATGAGACCATGTAGATTAGAATATTTTATATTTTCATGTAG
This sequence comes from Homo sapiens, assembly GCF_000001405.40. Lineage (NCBI taxonomy): Eukaryota > Metazoa > Chordata > Mammalia > Primates > Hominidae > Homo > Homo sapiens. The sequence continues at coordinate 61,397,260 of NC_000012.12, read as the reverse complement.
GTCACTAATACTTTTTAATTTTTTCAGCCATTTTACTCTCTAGGATTCATTTTGGGTAGTTTCTATTGCTACATCTTCAAGTTCACTGATCTTTTTCTTCAGTAGCAAATCTGATGGTAACACCTTGTAGCAAAGTATTCATTTCAGATAATGAAATTTCTAATCTCTAAAATTTCTGTTTTGTTAAATTTTTATTTTTGTTTTTCTTTTTATTATATCCATATTTTTCAAATTCATGTATTTATAACAAAGATTTTAAAGTTCTTGTCTGTTAATTCCATCATCTCTTTCATTTCATTTCTGGGTCTATTTCTGTATACTATATGTAAGTTTTTTTATTGGATTCTGAGTACTATAAATTTTATATTAAGTACCAGTTTTTGTCATTCCTAAAGATTGTTGGACTTTATTTTCTTATTTTCTTTTTTTTCTCAGCCGTTAAGTTACTTGAAGATAAAATTAATTATTTTAAGGCTCATTGTAAAGCTTTGTCAGGACAGGTTTAGAGTAACCATTTTCTCAGAGTAGCCTCTAGGGCACACGGCACCCCAAGAAAATATTTTTATGTGGTCTCTGTTTATATAAGCAAATTGATTCAAATATGTATTAAAAAATTCATGGACTCATGTTAAATGTGGTATTTATCAATGAATATTTAGAATAATGGTGATAGAAGAAGGCCCCATGTATTTCATTTTTATAATTAGGGCAGGTAAAGATCCTTCATGTGTACAGGGACCATCACTTTCATTTCAGGTCAAGGAACCATTTCTTCATTTTTGTTATTTTCAATTGTGCTACTCCTGATTAATATCCTCTGTCCCATCATGAGTAAAAGGTAATGCTGGTGTTATGCATAATATCACAGCTCTTTGGAATCTGTTTATACTGAAGTAATACAAATCTATTTGCCTCTCCAGTTTTCTTATAATATTTATTTAATACAAAATTATTTAATATATGACAAATTATAAATCATGAGTCAAGTTTTGTCATTTTTGATGTGTCACCTATGAATCTAATTTTCAAGCACTTTCTTAAAAGTTTTTACTCTTCTCCCTGACTAAAATTTTAAGTCTTATCTGGAGTATGCAGAAAAATGCAAAAAACAATTTATTTTCTGGTTAACTTTAACATTCAGAATTTTATAGCATAAAGGTAGAACACCACCACTTTTAACTATTTCTTCTTCTGAACTCTTTAGGTTGAAATTACTGCATTCCTAAAATGTAATCTTTTTCATTGTTGAGAGCACTCTTGACTTTTATTTATTGCCACTAGTGGGAGAAGGATGGTTGGAGGGGCTGTGGATAGAGTGATAATAGCAGAGCAGTGTGCTCAAGGATCGACTGTTCTTTGTCTGGCGCAATATAAGGGCAACCCAGCAAAACACATCACCATATAGACTGAAGGCAAGAGAGGACATTGATCAAAGAGTCCGTTGGTGTTTCAGAGCAATGGTGTGAAAACTCCTGGAAGACATGAGCATGGCCACTCCTCAAGTGGCTGCCTGACACATGATCCTATGGAAGTGTTGAAGTGACGGCCTTGGGTGTCTGAGGTGATGGTAAAATGAATAGGAAGGGTAAAGGGTAACTGTTTCCACACTCACTACCCTCAGACATGGAAGATGACAGGAGGTGGCACATTGTCAAAAGAACTAAAGCACCAGCCTATATGAGTTTCTCAAACTCTAGTTTAGAGGTAGAGTTTCATCGCCCTAGAGACTATTGAATTCATCCTGTATCCAACATGTATGAGAGACACAATAAATCAGTTTGTATGAAACATACTGAACACCTAATCTCACATAAAATTGTGAAAGATATACTATGCTAGTCGTCAAGAATAATAAGCTTGCCAAGCGTTCTTATAGAAACATGCAGCCTTTAGACAATTCTACAAAAATGAATCCCAGACATCTTTGGGACATCTAGTGGACACCCTGCATAGGAAAGTTCTGAGAGCCCTGAAGGAAAAAATGGGGACTGGAGCCCATGTAAACTGTGATCAGGGCCCAAGGACACTCCACTCATATGTCACCGTCAGGCTCAGATGTTTCCAGGCAATGGAAGGAGACTTCCCTTGAGTAGGCAAAACGTGGAGGTCTCCTGAGGCATGGTTCAGGGTCAGGGATCCCTTGCCCATGCATATCTAAAGATAGCATTGTATTTCTTCTAGTACAGGCTTTCTAACCTCAGCACTATTGATATTTTTAGTGGAATATTTTTTTGCTGGGGAGACTGACTTGTATTTTGCAGAATAGTTATAGCATCCCTGGACTCTATACTCAGTAGGTGTTAGTAGTACCCCTCCTCCCACCCTCCAAATGTGAAAACCAAAAATGTCTCCAGACATCACCAGAAGTCTTTGGGGAAAGTAAAGTCATTCCCGGCTGGACTGAGAATCATCGTTTCACTGTCTGTTTAGTCCTTCTAGTAATGTATGACCCTTCTGCTGTTTCTACTGAATCCTCTGGGTATTAAAAGAGTTCTCTCCTTTTTACTATCCAGATTTTACTGTCTTCCAGCTTTATATGAGCTCTGGAAATTGCTTTTCTTAATGTTCCCCGGAACATTTTTTCAGTTAACCTTGCAAAGTTTCTGCCTACACATTTGTGACTTAATATTTAGCAGCAGATTTAAGGAAGGCCCTGTGCAGATTTCTTGAGTTCTTTCCTCCTGTAGTTTCCTTTTCTCTGTTCATTGATCTTGCAAATTTTACCACCATCACTCTCCAAATGCTCATCTCTGTCTTTTCCTTTTTGCCACAATTCCAAGAATGTCTTATGATATATCTTCCTGTGATGGTCCAGAAGGGATCTCTTGGCAGAAAATCAGGGCTAATGAAGGGCATGTATCACTCTCTCCTAGGTCACAGTAAGACCCTACCTGCTGATTGACACTTGAAAATAGTTGTTCTATATGTTTTGTTCAGTATTCTAGTTGCTTATGTCAGAAAGGTAAGTCTAGTTCCAGTTACTTTATAATAGCTGAAAGAGGAAGAACCACTTCCCACTACCTTCTTAGCAAGATAAGCTTCTGGACCAAGCTATAAATCCTTTCATTCTTTACTTTCTCACTTTCCATTCTCACTTCAAGTCACTGTAATCTGTTTTTTACTTTTTTTTTTTTTTTTTCAAGACAGAGTCTTGCTCGATCACCCAGACTGGGGTGCAGTGGCTCAATCTCGGCTCACTGAAACCTCTGCCTCCTGGGTTCAAGCAATTCTCCGCCTCAGCCTCCCGAGTAGCTAGGATTACAAGCGCCCGCCACCATGCCTGACTAATTTTTTTTGTATTTTTAGTAGAGATGGGGTTTCACCATCTCAGCCAGGCTGGTTGTTTTTCACTTTGATCACTCTACTGAATGGTTTTGTCTAACGGTATGGAATGGTTGCTGTATCTCTAACATTACATGGCATGTTTTCACTTTTCAAGTTATCTGACCTCTGGGCACGGTCAGGCATTTTATTTTTTTTAAATTACCATCTCCCTCCTTGGAAAAAACAGAAACATAAATACAATTGAAAAAAAATCAAATTTGACTTTCCTTTGTTATTATGACATCGAGGGTCCTGGATTTCCTACTTCTTTGATGACCGCATCTTTGTACTTTTACTCTTTCCTTCCAGCTATTAGAAACCCCACAGCTTGGACCCAGGCCCTTCTCCTGAGCTCTAGACTTCTATATTCATTTGGTAACTTGATAATTCTGCCAAGAAATCTCAAAGGAACACCAAATATGATCTCAAAGACAAACTACTTGAGCTTACTGGCTGTGAAACCTAATTTCTTCCTGAGTTCTTTATCCATCTATCTGTGCCAAAAAAGATGTCATTGACAACTTCCTCACCTTTGCTCCTATGCCATTCATCACTAAGTCCTGTCAGTCAATTGAACCTCCTAAATATCTTATAAAGTCACCAACTCCTCCCCTTTCTTACCCTTGATTAAATCAACTTCATATTTTCAAGTCTATTGTAACACCTTACTAAGTGATCTTTCTTTATTTGTGCTGGTTACTATATAAACTCTTCTCTACCTTGCAGCCAGAGTAATCTCAAAATGCATTCTAGTGGCTTGGGTGTTACCCAATAGCATTTAGAATAAAAATGAAAATCTTTAATATGGTTTACAGAAAACTGCTGGGTTTCCCTGCCTATTTCTGTAATCTAATCATACTGATCTTTTTTCAGTACCTTGAGTCAGGTACTTAAATATATCCCTTTCTCTCTTACATTCCCATGTACTTGTATAAAAGGCTCCTCTTTTTACAATATATCACAGCTTATCACAGTCCTCCTCCACCAACAACCACACACAAATGCATTTATTGCTTTCTTATTTACAGATCTTAGGTCAGGTGCTATTTCTTAAAATAATGTTTTCCCTGACCAGGTCAATTCCTTTTATTTTAGGCTCTTATTGAAACTTTATATATCCTATCTCTCTATTTGTGATCATTTAGTTTGTGTTTGTCTCTGCAACTATACAATGAACTCCGTGACAACAGCATCTCTATCCTATTTTAAATAGATTTTCTGGCGTAGTGCTTTGAACATGGTACATACTTAATTTGTTGGATGGATGGATGGATGGTTGAGAGGATGAGTGGATGAATGATGGAATTACCTTAATTGGCAAACATGAAATTCAGAATCATGCAAATGTGCAGAATTACCTAGACATTTATTTAAAAGAAGTAACTCTTATAATTAAGACATATATTTAAAATTAACTTCACTGTATTCTATAGAAGAAATTGGTTTGAAATTCCTCTGCACAATATTTGTGTGCTTCTGATCCATAATTTGATCTGACATGACTCAAGGCCCTGAATTCCTCAGCCTCATCTAACTTACTTTTAAAGAGCCAATTCTCATTTTTCCTTTGGCTTCTTCTACTTCTTTACTGCTGCTGACCCAGTTTTCTGCCTGATTTTGTTGTCTCTGTGCTATTCTGCCTCTCTTAGCCTACCACTTTGTCCTTCCTTCTGTTGTTTCTATAACTAGCAATGGTTAAGCACTTTCATGATTAATTTTTAATAAATGTATAATAAATTATAGATCTTTAAGTCACTTTATGACAGAATTTCCAGCATTTCTGCTGTATGAAGACCTAGTCCCAGTACTCATGCTGTTGTTCCTTTCTCTATCCTTCTCCATTCCCTGGCAAGTAAATCCAGCTAGAAGTCATAAAATCATTACAATATGTTTATTTTATTATGTCCTTACTAGTATTCAAATAGCACTCTTATTTATGTCATGTCACTCTTGTTTGTATTCTCTGTGACAACTCTTCCAAGATTATTCTATATGATTAAACTGCGTGCTTATTTTAATCTCAATCTTTTCAATCTTTTATTGTAGGAAATAGGATCACCTCTATTCCACTGATTACCCCCCTTTACGCTCAGAAAAGATTAAATTGATCTTATTTTTAATCCCCATTTTCAAATAGTTTCTCTGGATTTCTAGTTTCTCAATCTTAATCTTCATTCTTTGTTGTTTTTTTTTTTTTTTTGAAATGGAATCTCACTCTTTCCCAGGCTGGAGTCTGGAGTGCAGTGGCAAGATCTCTGCTCAATGCAAACTCCACTTCCTGTGTTCAAGTGATTTTCCTGCCTCAGCCACCTGCGTAGCCAGGATTGCAGGTGCCCATCACCACTCACACATGCAGCTAATTGCTGTGTTTTTAGTAGAGATCGGGTTTCACCATGTTGGCCAGGCTGGTCTCTAACTCCTGACCTTAAGTGATCTACCCACTTCAGCCTCCCAAAGTGCTGAGATTACAGGCATGAGCCACCGTGCTTGGCCTCAATCTTAATTTTCGTCAGAGAATAGGCTTCATCCTTTCCAAGGCTTACCACTCTCCATTTAAAATTTGGAACCTAACCCTTTCCTTGTCTGTTATGAATCTTTGTTGTTCATGGCATTCCATCTTATATATCTCATATGTATGTGGCATAGGTGTGTTTGTATGTGGCTAATGAACTTATCTTAAATTGAAGACAATTTAATCCCACAGAACGAGGTCCAGCTGCTCGTTCTTGTGGTCCAATAAGGAGATGCAGACTGGGAAGGAAGGGCAGTTTATTTCTGCAACTGATTATAAGGAGAAGGTCAGAGTAACTCACCAGACAAACTCAAAGTTACAAGTTATGTTTTTCAGTGCTTACATATATTCTAAGCTCTATGCCTACCTATGGGAGTGCACCTACTAGCGGAGTGTTTCATTCAATATATATCTAATCTTTAGGGTCTAGGATCCAGAAAGCTTTCTCTAGAGTTTTGGAAAGTTTGTTAATCTTAAGTGGGCCCTGGGATGAGGTGTATGTGTCAGAATGCTGTTATTATATTATTTGATCAGATTTTAGTGTCTGAAAAAACCCAGGCGGGGTCTTAATGGGTTTGTTTTCACACTCCAGCCTTGGTACTCAGGCACCAGTGTCTCTAGTTTTTTAATGTTTAACTTTTGCATTCATCAAAATTATAGTAAAGGGTTAGTGGAAACTGACTGTTCTGGTTGCTAATGGAAACCTGGCCTGCCACAATAGTAGAAATCAAAGTCATGCAAAGCATGGGATTATTCAGATATTTGTGTGTATATTTATGTATTGTTTTTTTTTAGAGATGGGGTCTTGTTATGTTGACCAGAATGGTCTCAAACTCATGGGCTCAAGTGATCCTCTTGCCTTGGCCTCCCATAATCCTGGAATTACAAGTATGAGCCACTGTGCCCTGCCTATTTATGCATATTTAATGTTGTTATTTCATTGCCAATTATTGCAATATTAAGCTTTTGTTATCTGACTTTTACTTTCAAATCCTACTAAAATTGCCCTTAAGAGTTCCCCAACACTTCCAGGTTGTATTCTTTTCTCATATTTCACTCTTCTGAAATTCCCTGTGGCATTTGACAGTGATAGCCAGCCTCTCCTTTATGAAAATATCTATCCTTTGTTTTTGTGAATCTGTAATCACCTAATAATATGGTTTGACTGTATCCCCACCCAAATCTCATCTTGAATTGTAGTTCCCATAATCCCCATGCACGATGGGAGAAACCCAGTGGGAGGTAATTGAATCATGGGGCAGTTGCCCCCATGCTATTCTTGTGATAGTAAGCTTTCATGAGATCTGAAGATTTTATAATGGGCTTCCTCCTTCACTAGGCTCTCATTCTTCTCCCTGCCACCATGTGAAGAAGGACATGTTTACTTCCCCTTCCACCATGATTGTAAGTTTCCTGAGTCCTCTCCAGCCCTGCAGAACTGCAAGTCAATTAAACCTCTTTTATTTTTTACCCAGACTTGGCAGTTCTTTATAGCAGTGTGAGAATGGACTAATACAGTAAATTGGTACTGGTAGAGTGGGGTGCTGCTATAAAAATACTCAAAAAATATGGAAGCAACTTTGGAACTGGGTAACAGTTAGAAATTGGAACAGTTTGGAGGGCTCAGAAGAAGACTAGAAAATGTGGGAAAGTTTGGAACTTCTAGAGACTTGGAGGGCTAGGAAGACAGGAAGATGTGGAAATGTTTGGAACTTCCTAGAGTCTTGTGGAATGGCTTTGACAAAAGTGCTGATAATGAAATGGACAATGAAGTCCAGGCTGAGGTGGTCTTAGATGGAGATGAGGAACTTGTTAGGAACTGGAGTAACAGTAACTTTTGCTCTACAAGGAGACTGGAGGCATTTTGCCCTTGCCTTAGAGATCTGTGGAATGTTAACTTGTGAGAGATGATTTAGAGTTTCTGGTGGAAGAAATTTCTAAGCAGCAAAGTGTTCAAGAGGAAGCAGAATATATTTAAAAAATGTAGAGCATGATGATGCAATAGAAAAGAAAACTCTATTTTCTGGGGAGAAATTCAAACTGGCTGTAAAAATTTTCATAAGTAATGAGGAGCCAAATGTTAATCACCAAGACAATGGAGAAAATGTCTCCAGGGCATATCAGAGACCATCATGGTAACCCCTCCCATCACAGGCCTGGAGGCCTAGGAGAAAAAAATGACTTCTTGGGCTGGGCCCCAGGGCCCATGACCTGAATGTGAGACATGAAGTCTAAGGAGATTATTTTGGAGCTTTAAGATTTAATTACAGCCTCGTTGGATTTCAGTATGCTTGGGGCCTGTAGCCCCTTCGTTTTGGCCTATTTCTTTCATTTGGAATGGGTGTATTTACCCAATGTCTGTACCCCCATTCCCCATTCTATCTAGGAAGTAACTAACTTGCCTTTGATTTTACAGACTCATAGGTAGAAGGGACTTGCCTTGTCCCAGATGAAACTTTGGACTGTGGACTTTTGGGTTAATGCTGGAATAAACTAAGACTTTAGGGGACTGTTGGAAAGGCACAACTGTGTTTTGAAATGTGAAGACATGAGATTTTGGAGGGTCCAATGGCAGAATGATATGGTTTGGCTATGTCCTCACCCTAGTCTCATCTTGAATTGTAGTTCCCATAACCCTCATGTGTGATGGGAGGAAGCTGGTGAAAAGTAATTGAATCATGGGGGCAGTTTCCTCCATGCTATTCTCATGACAGTAAGTTCTCATGAGATCTGATGGTTGTATAAGGTGCTTCCCCCTTCACTAGGCTCTCATTGTTCTCCTTCCTGCTGCCAAGTGAAGAAGGACGTGTTTTCTTCCCCTTTCACCATGATTGTAAGTTTCCTGAGGCCTCCCCAGTCCTGTGGTACTGTGAGTCAATTAAACCTCTTTCCTTTATAATTTACCCAGTCTCAGGCACTTCTTTATAGCAGTGTGAGAACAAACTAATACACCTGACATTACCCTTCTTTCTTCACCACCAAATATCATTCCTCTCTATTGGCTCTCATTCCCATTTTCTCCCCACCAAACTGAGCATTCTTTATAAGTAAGTAATATTATTTGGATATTTGTCCCCCAAAAATCTCATGTTGAACTGTAATGCCCAATACTTGAGGTGGGCCTGGCAGGAAATGTTCAGGTTATGGGGACAGATCTCTCATGGCTTAGTGCTGTCCTTGCAACAGTGTGTGAGTGCTTCTGAGATCTGGTTATTTAAAAGTGTGTGGCACCTCCCCCTTACCTTTCTCTTCTGCTCCTGATATTGCCCTGTGATTGACAGTTCTCCCTCTGACTTCCACCATGACTGTAAGATTCCTGAGGCCTCATCAGAAGCCAAGCAGCTGCCTGGCACTGTACTTCCTCTACAGCTCATGGAACCGTGAGCCAATTAAACTTCTTTTCTTTATAAATTACCCTGTCTCAGATATTTCTTTACAGCAATGCAAGAGCTGTCTAACATAGTGAGGATTTCTTCCATTTATTTTTTTCTCTTAATGTTGTTTTCTTAAACTCACACATTTGGATTAGTCTTTGAGAGCTTTTAAGAATTTTACATTACTCCCATATCTTCCTTTTCTAACTAACTGTAACATATATTTGAATGTGTTGTTCAAGCCTCAAACACGTTGTATCTAAAACTTAAATATCTTACAATTCCAAGTCCTGCCACTTCTTAACTATTTTATTTCTGAAAGGACTGAATTACTTTTTAGGGCATTAGAATCGAATATTTGGGGACGTCTTCAACTCCTCCTTTCTCCCTTACAGGCAACCAATGAGTTCTGGTAATTATGTGCTTGCAATTTCCTTTATATATACTATTCACATTCCCATTTACATTGTTTAAGTTTTCATTATTTCTTATACACATGGATACTCTGTAAACAAACAGCTCTGCAATTGATTCTCTTTATTTCACTCTTTCCTTATTTTAATCCATCCTAGATTGCAAATCAGATAAATCTTTCTAAAATGTACCTTTAATATGCCAGCTCCACTGCTTAGGAAAAAAAATTCATTAATGATTTTTCCTTGTCAATGAAGAAAATACAGACTCTTCAGCCTGGTTAATAAAGCGCCAAGCTAATGTTCCTTTGTTATTTACCCTCATCCCATTATACCTGCTTTTTGCTTCCAATTACACTACTCCCAGTTCTACGGACACACTATGCCTCATATGCCATCCTCATCAATCTTAGACTTTAAAGTATATCTTAAGAAGTGTCAGTAAATCCATTTTATCCCAGAACTGTAAAACCTGCTTAACAAAAATTAATAACCTCCCCCTTTGCTATTCTAGGCCCTTTGTTTGTAGAAGCACTTGTAATACTGTATTGAGTTATTGTATAATTATCCGTATTCCTAATTACACTGTAAAGCTTTGAAAGCTGAAACTAATATTTACTCAACTTTGTATTTCAATTACTATCCAGCTTAATGGCTATTACAAAGAAGGCATTTAAATAAATATTTTAAAAATGAATTTTGTTAGTTAGAATTGGGTTAGTTAGTATTTTTGTTTACTGAAGAAGAATCTTTTGTGCCTAGTATCAATCTTACAAGTGGATTAGCTAAAAACTGCAAGATATTTTTTGCTGGTATATACCTAAAGAAGATATTACTAAAAGATTTGATGAGTTTTACACCTATCAATTCTTTTTAAAATGAAAATATTATTATAGCTAATATGTATAAAGCCCTTACTGTTCTTAGTGCTTTAAGCATATTAATTCATTTAATCCTAACAATAACCTGATGAGTGAAGCATTATTATTGCCATCATACATTAGAAACCTGAGATATGAAGACATTTAGAGACTTATCCATTGCTATGATTTGCATGTGTGTGTCCCTACAAAATTCATGTGTTGGAACTAACCTTCAAGATGATGTTATTAAGAGGTGGGGCCCTTGGGAGGTGCTTAAGCCATGAGGACTCTGCCCTCATGGATTCAATGAGTGCCCTTATAACAGGGCTTGAGGCAGAGAGGTGGTTCTTTTTACTATTCATTGCCCTTCTGCCATGTGAGGACACACAGCATTTAACCCTTTGTCATGTGAAGACACAGCAATTAGGTGCCATCTTGGAGGCAGATTGAATCCCCTTACCAGACTGTGAATCTACTGGTGCCTTGATCTTGGATTATCTTTCCTTTAGAACTGTGAGAAATAAACTTGTATTATTTATAAATTATCCAGTTTGTGATACTTTGTTGCAGTAGGAAGAACAGACTGAGACATCCATAGTCACAGGGTTAATTAAGTAATGAATTTAGGATTCAAACTAGGATTTAAATTTATGTGACTTCTCTCTTTATTAAGTTGCCTAGAATGAATAACATTTTTCATTTGTAAGATAGGTCCACCCACAAAACTATTTTCTTACCATTGAAATGTTGCCATTAGATTGAGTAATGCCTAAAAGTATATTAGATTGAGTAATGCCTAAAAATATACATAAATGCCAGAGCATTTGAGTCAGTGGCTTCAGTGGACTAACAGCCTCCCTTCCTTGTATTCTTGTGTGCTAATTAATGTATAAAATGAATGCCACATGAACTAACATATTTTAAGAGTACCAGTTATATAACAAACACAGTATTATTCTACTTTGGTAACTTGATACTGGTCATTCAATGTCTTTAGTATAATGTGCACTTTTTCTCTTAATATTTTAGCTTATTCACATAAAGATTAATTTAAAAAACATTCATGTTGTTTGCTTTAAATCCTCTTGACTATTTGTGTTGAGAACAGACTCATTTATTGTACATTCTATTGTCGATTACCTGTTCTCCATTATGATTTTCTTTTCCTTGACTCACTTGCAAACTAATAAGACAATAAAATCAGGATTGATATAAAACCAGTAGCAGCATCCATTTCACTTTAATAATATATTTAAATATAAAGCAAAAAATGAATATCTACATACTATATGAACTTAACTCTTTAAAAACACACAAAATGAAACATTGCACATTTCTGATCTTATGTGACTTCATGAAGACTTATGATTTCTGATTAATGACTAATCAGAATAATTTTGTAATGGGAGCTTGGTATCATCTTGAAGCACCTGGCTCTACTTTTATGGATAGTCATAGAATCTCTGCTGTACATGGTTTATGACCTTAATCTCACATTTTGAGAGAGAGTGCTGGACTTAAAATACTGTATTTTGATTCTTCACATTTGTGATGTTCTCTTTTGTAATCCTAAAATGAGCATGATGTTCCGATATGTGTTTCCAAGTTCTAACTCTTCATGTTGAACATCCAAGTAATAGGCATATATTATAGACAGGTCTTGTTTTGCATCTTTCTGTGGTAACTGAGATCAATGTGAAATCATACTTCTTATATGCCCTCCCAAAAAAAGACATGTCCATGTCCTAATCCCTGAAACTTGTGAATAGTGTCTTTTTTTTTTTTTTTGGTAAAAGGGCCTTTGCAAACTTAAGCATTTCCAGATCAGGAGATCATCCTGGATTATCCAACAGGGCCCTAAATACAATGGTAAATGTCCTTATGAGAGAGGCAGAAGGAAATTTGAAACAAAAAGAATAAGGAAAGACACAGAGAAGAGGAGGAGGCAATGGATCATGGAGGCAAAGCCTGGAGTAATATGGCTGCAAGAAAAGGAATGCAGAGAGCCACCAGGAGCTGGAGGAGACAAAGAACACATGGAGACTCCAGATAGAGTGCAGCCCTGTGAACGGCTTTAATGTGAACATCTGGCATCAATAATTATGAGAGGATGAATTTCTATGGTTTAAGTCACCAAGATTGTGATAATTTGTGATGGAAGCCACAGGAATCTAATATAACAAAGATTGTCTGTATTTTTAATTATGCAATGCCATCTTTTACTTTTTCAATCTAGGCCTCTATATGATGTCCATACACTGTTTCATATAATATTGAATTTGTAATACTTATTTAAATATTCTCAGTCTATGTGAAAGAAATTCCATAATTCACTAAGATAGGTATTTTGGTATTGAGAAGATCCTTTAAAATTTCTTTTCAGGCAGGCATTATACATTTTGTTAGCTAGTTTGCTTGTTTAGGTGGAAGACAGAGGGAGAACTAGCCATAATATCTGATTTCTAAATCAAGTCTCATTGCCAGCTTCTTGCCTCTAGGCTAAACATTCCCAATTACTTTAAGCTTTTCTAATTGGCAATATTTCCAAATATTTATTTGTTATTTTGCTCTTCTTTGATCAATTGATTGGCTCTTTACAGAAATCATTCTGAAATTCATATTCATAGAATGTCAAGCATTTCAGAATCCACTCTAATCACTGTCTTGGGTATGCCCTCCGTTAATCTTATTTTTTGGTAGTATACAAATATACTATACCCCATCTAAAATATATTGATCACCAGTCATGTGGATTGATCACATTTGTTTCTCTCCTAGTTTTCCCAATGCTTACTGAAATATCGCTGTGAAAAAGATGAAAGCCAAAGACAAGAATGGGAGAGATATCTGTTGACAAAGACTTTATACACTTTTGACAAATAAATGTAGCTAGCAGGAGGAGGAAGATGTAGAATAAAGTATACTCACATTGATGTGAATAAGAAGAAAGTTAATTAGACTCACCAAATCCCAGAGATGTTCCCGTCACAAAGATGCTACTTAAAACAGAGAACGGGCAAGTTAAATGATTTAACATGAGGGTTGTTGAAAGTCAATATTTGGAGGAGCTCATGTTTTCTCTTCTATTGCTCTATGCACGGAATAATAGCACCAAAATGTCTACATCCCCTCTTTAATTACAAATAATGGGGGGTCTCAAATAGAGATGCCAAGTAGGGACTGAAGGAAGAATTTGCGGTGCAGGGGTTAAAATAGAGAAAAAGTGCTAGTTTAATACCCGAGAGTTAACTTCTAAGACCCACACTGTCAATTCCCAAACAAAATGCTAGCAGCCTGCTTTCTACCCTTTACAGAGTTTCTGAGCAAACAGAAATCTGTAGAATTCCCCCAGATAAACAGCACACGTTTTTTGCCAGTCATTTTTGATATAAACCTTCCTTCCTTCTCCAGAATTTCCAATCAGTTTTTACTGTTTCCTTACTAAATATAATTGTTGAGCCAATGATTATTAGACATTTGAAAAAATCCTTGAACATGAGCAATGGAGATAACAAAGCAAACAAACAGAAAAATGTAAAACTAAAAGAAATGCTCCTTTACAGGACAAAAGAAAATTTCCATCCTCGCTAACTCAAAACATTTAAGAAAATCCAATTCTTATATATCTCAGAGTGTATGAGAAAATTGTATACATTGAAAATAATACAATGCTATTTAAAATAACAAGAGTGAGTTATTGAAAGTTCAAAAAAAATGGTTAATTTTTTAAATCCATCAAAAAGTTTTGATAAAAAATAAATCTCTCAGAAAATAGAACAGAAAGGCAGTAACAGCAAATAGGATAACACAAAATTTTTTAAAAAACTAAGAAAAGTGAAAATCTATGTGAGTCAATGTTAAAAGAACTGAATAGAGAAAAATAAATGAAGGTAACTAGCACAATATCATAGAAATTTCCCCGGAATTGAGGTATCTCAGTCACATGAATGAATGAACCCACTGAGAGGTCAGTGAAATCAACGAAATACACTCATCTTAAACACATTATGTGAATTTTCAAATGTCTAGTAAAAAATGAAGACAGTTAAAACCTCCTGGGGTGAGGATGGGGCCCCAGGTAGGAAGAGAGACAAGCAGCACTGGACTATCCTTTCAAAAGCAAACTTGGGTGCCAGAAACAGGAATAATCATTTGACATTCTGATTGAAAGATATTTGCAATAAAGAATTCTATGCACAGGCCAGGCACGGTGGCTCATTCCTGTAATCCTAGGAATCTGGGAGGTTGAGGTGGGTGGATCACTTGAGGCCAGGAGTTGGAGACCAGCCTGGCCAACATGGTAAAACAGTCTCTACAAAAAATATGAATGGCTGGGCCTGGTGGCACACGCCTGTAATCCCAACTACTCAGGAGACTGAGGTGTGAGGATTGCTTGAGCCTGGGAGGTCGAGGCTGCAGTGAGATGTGATCACAAAATTGAACTCCAGCCTAGGGGGTGACAGAATGAGACCCAGTCTCAAAAAGAAAAGAAAAGAAAAAAGACATTTTAAGATATTAAGGTCTTTTGAAATTTACTTCCAGCATACATTTTCTTGGTCAGCTACAGAAAGAAATGTTCCCATCAAATGAATGAGTACTCTACAGGTACAACTAAAACAATAGGTAACATTCATTGTGTACTAGGTGTTGTTCCAAGAGCCTTACATTTACGAAATCATGTAATTTTTAGAAAAGCCTTGTAAAGTAGGTATTATTAGTCTCATTTACAAACGGGGAAAAAAAAACTGAGACACAAAGGAGTTAAGTGCCTTTTAAAGGTTATACACAGATATTAAGTGGCCAGGCTAGAATTGGAGTCTGAGCAGCCTGGTTCTAGAGTTCACGCTCCTCACTACTGTCAGTTCCTCCTGGGAGTCACAGTGCCTGCTCTCGATTCCTCCCAAGAGTTACATAGAGGGAGGGAGAAAAAAACCCAGAAACCCCAGGATGACAACTCTTCATTAGGCCTAGGGATAATAAATTATGATGCCACAGGGAAGAGAACAGAGATTTGTCTTCAAATAAACCCAGTGTTTTGTTTTTCAACAAAAATGATAGATGATTAGATGCAAAAGATACAATCACTGGAAGAATAGAAATCTTTGAAGCTATGATAAAGCAAAATATGGAAAAATAGGAAATGGAAATTCTGGGAGAAAAATCTGCATAAAAGATCCAGGCATAGATCATTGTTTTGCTCTTAATTATGTAAAGGCTAAAATATCACTTCTTCACTTCACAGAGAAAAACTGAGAATCAAATGTATCAAATACTGCATTCAAAGTCACTACAGGTAGAGAGTGATATAGTGACGAGGGAAACAAGGCTGTCTTCCTCCAATGTCTGAACTTTTACAACCATAATAGCAAATGGCTCATATTCCAAGAATGGTAGGGAAGATTTTCCTTATGAGTATACAGACTTCCATTTTTCATTCTAGAAAGCAAAAATGTGTTTGCTGACTGGGTGGTAAGTCCTACGTGGCAAATCCAGAGTTGCCTGTTCTTCTAGAAGGTCTTGTGTCCTACCCAAAAGGGGTAGGAAATATCATAAGAAACACCAAATCTTCCAACCCCTAACCATTCTTTTGATACATGATAGTTCAACACTAACAACCAAAAACTGAAGAATTTGAGGATGAAAGTAGTGTTTTCATCTTCTTCCAGCTGAAGTTCATAACTTTCAATAGAAACCTGTTCGTAAGTTAAAGAACTGGCTGTAAATAGGTAAACAATGAAAAAACTAATATTTAGGGGACAATTACTATGATTAAAAGACTTTTTACTTATCTACTAACTGTTTTGTGATAACACTATTATCTTCATTTTACATGATAATCTGCAAGTTCTCAACGTGTACATGATTCGCTAAAAATAAATGGTAAAATTTGACCTTAGGCCTTTAAGTTTGAAGCTGATGTTCTGAACCACTTTGCTCTTTTTATGCCAAGAACTTTCACTTTATTAGACTGCAGTGAAAACTAATTTTGGTAATTTATTGCTAGGATATAAAACAATGTCCAATAATAGTATGGTTGAGAATGAAGACTAGAAAGCCAAATTATCAGCTTCTGCATGCTTTTATTCTCTGAAATAGTGCACTATTTATTTTTGTCTCAGAAGAATGGTATCTATAACCCACAGAAAATTAGACAATCAAATGTAAGCATCTCTGTTTCACTTATGCAACAGAAATACAATGTGGCAAGTACGGTTAAACCAAGGAATCCTCCTCCTGTAGAAGGAAAACTATTAGGAGTGTTCATATAGGTTAGGACAGAAACATAGGTTAGGACAGTGTTCATATAGGTTTCATGGACAGAAAACAAGGGCTGAATTTGGATTTCATGGTTTGTGAAAAATGATTGGAAAAAGTCTGTGTAACTATCAGTGGGACTACAGCTCATTTAAATTTTCCCACCTAGGGAATGGGAAGAAGTAGACATAGCTCAATGGTCAAGATCTGGGCCAAACCACGACTAACTCCATGAGTGGTGGAGCAAGATGGAGAAAACCACTGAGCTACTAGACAACAATGGGTGAGTGCTGGGGAGAAAACCAAACCAATAAGCTCTCACCCCAAATCAGGCTATGACATCAGATTCTGATATTTATCAAGAAAACTAATGCCAAGAATAATCACCAACATCAAACTTCAGGAGATGGATTTATTCCAGATAAATGAAAAATAAAATAGAATAATCTGGAAATGAATTAAAAATAAATCTGTCAACGAGGGTTCAAGAAATAAAGACAAAATGACATCCACAAAAGAAGACAATATTACGAAATGAGAAAAGAAATTTTCAGAAATAAGAGAAGATGAAGAAACAATTACAATTTCTGGAGGTGAAAATTTATTCAAAGAAAGGGACGAAGTTTGCATAGAAGACACAATTTACATCTATCTTCATTGCAGTGAAAAAAGAATTAAAGTCCCATATTTTTGTATGTTTTGGTTCATTAGCATTATTAATAGCACGAGGGAAGGCATTATGTTAATAAACCAAAATAAGAAGGAACAATAAGTGCCTTAATTCATGTAGAATAAAGATAACAAAAATTTCAAATCATGACTTTTTACATCTTTTCATTTTTTATTAAATGAAAAGTAGATTAAAGGCATGACATAGTGGTATGTGTGACTTTTTATACTTATCTGACAGGTAATCACAATTTCTCTGTAAACTTTTTTATCCATATATTTGAAAACACTAGTTTTTATGAGATGTTATAGAATAAAATGTATGGGGACAATAAAAATTAATAACTTAATCCTCATGCCTGGATGTTTTTGTTCTCTGCATTCTAAAATATTTGTTGGCTTTCATAATGGTAGTACCTAAGTAAGAGAGTCAAACAATGGCAATAGAAGAGAGAAAAGTCTTTTGATAACAGGTCACAGTTATTTTTTCACCTTTTGTTTCCTACATTGTGAGTGCCTAAACCCTAGCAAGTGTGTAAACATATTTCTTGGAACACTTGAAATTGTTGCTATGATCTATCCCTGAATCAACTATTTTTTCTATTTGCAGTGTAAACATTTTAATTATAATTCAAATTATATGATACAACCATGTAGCAGTAAACAAAGAACTAATTTATGTTCTTTCTGCACTGATCATTTGTTGATTAATTGGTTTCTTTATGAGACACCAAGTAACTCTTCTAAATACAAACCTCCTGAGGATATAAAGGTTAATTTTAAAGTGATTACAAATATTGCAGTAACATTATAATTAATAGTTACATTTGTAATGCAGAAGCCTTCTCAAATACCAATAAATAACCTCTGTAAATTAGTACTGATAGTAGGCATCCTTTAGGATGCTTTTGCATGATTCCTTTCAGTCATTCAATTGAGTTTTGACATGAAACAGAATCAAATATTAAAACCATAATTATTCTGAAACCATGTCTTTGTGTGTGTGTGTGTGTGTGTGCATGCACACATATGAGAAAGCAACATAACACACACACACACACATATTGTGTCTGTGCATGCTGCTAATTCACACTCTCAGCCTGGGCCTAAACTATGCAAACTGCTGAGACTGGACATATTTTACAATAATTCATTAAGTCATGGTGAAGAAGACCACTTATATGAGGGACACAGGAGCCTAAGCCTCTGAAGAGAGAATTTTACCTACAGGCTGAGAGATTACCTTTTCACAAAACATGAATGAATGAATGAATGAATCTGAGAAAAACTGGGTATTTACCATTCCACTATGTTTCTGACTTCACCTTAAATGGATTTATACATACATATTTGGAAGGGAAGGGTCTGTTCTGTTAAAACTGGAGTGTTTTTTTTTCTTCCACTAAAATTTCTGAAAGTCCTTGCAATTCTAAAGTAACATTGACTGGAATTCACTTTATTGTTTCAGTTATTTGTGGTAATTGTTAAACGTATTACATGGCAACTTTTATTCTAATAGGTAAATTACTAGAGTTTGGTACTGATTTAGATCTTGTATAGATCTAAACTGTTTGTCTTGTATAAATCTTAACTGTTTTAAGGTATTTTAACAATCATCTAACTTTACATATCAATATACTTTCTTGAATGATAAGAAATAATTCAACAATTATGATCAGAAACTTGGCATAATCCACTGCCTATTTTATCAGTACCATAGCCCGTATTGTTTATGATTAATAAAGACAATATTTATATTTGATTGCTGGGCTTTCAAGTTGTGATTGTAGGGTTATTTATCTTTTAAGTGTTATTAATGTGTAAATTGTTAGAAAGGAAACAAAAATTGTTTATAAGCATATGATGTAATTAAATATCTACTGAGATGTCCGACTGGCATGTCAAATCTAGTAAGTCCAAGCTACATTTATGATTATCTCCATCAAACTTCCTTCTGCAAATTTTCCTCATTTTAGTTGTTAGTAAATCCATCCTTCTACATTTCCAAGTCAAAAACCTGAGATAGAGTTCTTTCTTTATTTCAATTTATTATCTATCTTCGTATATTACATCATAAGTATTTTTGAATCTAACATCTAATATGTCATCTAATTCTTTCAGCTGTAACTTAAAAATATATTCAAGAATCCAAGCACTTCTCACCACTTACATGACTACACCCCTTGATCAAGCTGTCATTACTTTCACTTAGATCATAGCAAAAACCTAATAACACTCCCTATTTGTGCCTTTGCCCTTCTTCAATCTGCACTCAATCTAGCATCTACAGTGACATTTTCAAATGTATGTCTGATTATCTTTCTTCTTTGTTCAAAATTCTCACATCTTCAAGTGTATTTATGAGTGAAAGCCAAAGCCCTTCCCTTTGACCGAAAAGGCCCTGCAAGATCTTGCCCTTCGTTGCTTCTCCCTGAACTCATCTCCACTTCTCTCTCCCTTTCCCTCATCTGCTCCAAACACACTAGTCTTCTTACCATTTTAATGAGAACACATGGACACAGGAAGGGGAACATCACACACCGGGGATGGTTGTGGGGTGGGGGGAGGGGGGAGGGATAGCATTAGGAGACATACCTAATGTAAACGATGAGTTAATGGGTGCAGCACACCAACATGGCACATGTATACATATGTAACAAACCTGCACGTTGTGCACATGTACCCTAAAACTTAAAGTATAATAATAATAAAAGAAAGAAAAATCACTCAAACAAGCTCCTGTCTGAAAAGTTAATGTTTTCAAATGACCACTTTATTTAAAATTGCATCCTGTCCCCCTTCCAAACCAATTATTCATATCTACCTTCTGAGCTTCATCATTTCCTCCTTGGCACTTATATTAGATATACATTTTATTGTCTGGTTTCCCTCTGTCTCTTTCCAAAAACATACAATCAGGGAAGGCAGGACATTTTGTTTCTTTTATTTCTAGTAAAGATTGCCTAGCACAGAGTAAATGTTCAAAAATGTTTTTGAATAAAAAAGTATCTTATATTTTCTTGAAATTATTTTCTTAAGTAAATAAATGATGGTTACATTGGCTAAATTAAAACTATCAAATGAATGGTACAAGTGAAAGCAGCAATGGTACCATTTATTAGGTTTAAAAATCAATAAACTCTCTATATTATAATTTTAATGATAGTGTACATTTTAATTTTTTTCAGTTCTGTATACCTAGTCACCTTATTGATGTTATCTGCAGAATCTAGAAAATATTAAGGTTTAGTAAAATAAATTTTAATGTATGATATTAGCTACACTTATTTTTATCTACAGAATACAAATTTTTGATCTCTCTAAATTTTTCATTTAATTATTTCCCTGTTAGTAAAACTACTTTTATAAGTAAAGACAAAGTAGCTATTTTTTAATTATTTCCCCACAAAAGAGTATTTTTTTTTGTTTAATCAATATGTGGATACGCCCATGAGAGCATGTCATGTATTTGCATATGATCAGCCATTTGTATATCACGGTAAGGTATTTCATGATGCATTCTCCTTCTGCCACCATCACCACAATTTGAAAGAAGAAAATTATGCCATTATCATCTCAAGTATTGAGGATGAATGGGCATTATTCTGCTCTGCAAATCCCAGCCATCTTGACCTCTGAACTCCAAATTCTGACTCCTTAACTCAGGGAAATCATGGGGTTCTGTTTGGGCTCTCCCTCCCAATTACCAGAAAATTAGCTGATGTAATTATAGCCTTTACTTTGATTGTTTCCCTTTTCTCAGGGACCATGATGATGCACTGCTGTTGTTCAATACCAGAAAACTGTTGTTCCTTATGGGTTTTCTTATTGTTTATGATGAGAGGCTAAATTGGGTCCCTGTCATACTTTCTTGGCTGGGTATGGAAGTTGTTGATCATTAAGTTAATAAAGTGCAGGTGGCTGTCATTTAAGTATAAGCACACTAGATCTGTGACAAAATAAAAGCTGGATTTATAAGAAGTCCAAGGGCTAATAAGATATGTGTAGCACTAGAAAAATACGAAATTTTTTTTCAAAGTGACAAGTTCAGAAATTATGTATAGGTTTTCCGAGCACCCATGTTCATGCCCTTCCTATTGTCTTACATATCTCTTGGTTTCCCTGTCTTTTTTGTATAATAGGAATAAATGTTAGGCTATGCCATATATGAAATTATGATTGAACACCACTTTGATACTATCTATGTAATGTGAAAGTAACTTGCCTTTTCTGGTTTTACCTTTCTTACAGGTACAATGGAGTACACTGTCCTCTTTCTCTTTTATTCTTAAATTGGGCAAAGTTGTAGTGAAGCTAAAGTGATATATTTACAGCACTTTGAAAAACATAAAGTCATACAGGAATGCAATTGACCATTTCCGGAAATATTGGGACTTTAGTGTTTCTTCCAAGCAAAGTGACCAGAGAATGCAATCCTTGCATTAGGAAAAAATATTCTTAGGCAATCCAAATATATTTTAGGCAATCCAAACTTTTATTTCAAAGTATCCTCTTACCTCTTTTTGCACCCCTATAAAGCAATTTCAACTTGTCAGAATCCTATGTGGTTCTGGTGGTCTTTGTAAGGGAAAGGATTATCTAGTGATTGCCTGGCTTTAGAATCCCATCACAAGAAAGCAGACAGTCAGCAGGTATGTCCATAGCTTGCAGCTTTTTTCTTAACAGTAGTCATGTGTGCTTTTTGCTGATAACTTCAATATTTAATTCTGTTCATAAAAATGCCATGTTTCCTGTGTTTGATGTCATAATTTTGCTAATACCACAACTCTCATCTTAGACATTTTGTGAGTTTGTTTTCAGAAGAGAGAATGATTAAAGGAAGAATCAAAATGTTTTGTTTTCTGAGAATAGAGGTCTACTTTCTCTTGCTACTTACAGGACAGTTGGAAGTAGTGATTCTCTCCATTATGTGACATAACAGCTCAGAAGTTAAACTAATCTTAAGTGCAAGCAGGCATGAGACAGTTTAACACAAAATCTGATGAAGCTGAAAGTGAAAATATCAAAGTTGCTGTCCGAGGGATATTAAATAAATAATTCTCTGTAAGAAAAGGGTAGTTTCATTGCAGTTCTCAGCCTCTCAGTTATTTTCTTTTATTTACGATACAGGGAATTCTAAAAAACTCCACTGACTACAGTATCTCAGAGAAGTAGGTTTGAGCATAGCATGTCCACTATAGAGGAGATCAAACCTTTAATATTTCAATATTTTCCAGTCTTGGTTGTTTGTTTGCTACTGTGTGTATCTTTGCTTTGGAGGCTACTTAGAGTGCATATCACTAAAACTATATAAATCATACTCTGTAATTTAATGCCTAAAAATTGAACCATTATGAGTAGCTAGCTTATATGTAAAAAGGAGGCCAAATCCATATTAAAAACTACAGTGTGTTATAACTTCTAAAACTTGGGTTTTGGAATTACTTATGTGACTTCTCCCTCATCCCCCAACAAAATTTCTCTGATAAATTCTTAGATTTCTTATGCAGCATTTCACATGTACTGGAAACTGGATTCATTCAGGTTCCTCCCTCTCGGCCAGTCCTGGAGAACCTTATGATGGCATTGTTTCCACAAACACAATGCTGTCCTGCCATGTGCCATGCCAGGTATGTACTCCTGCCTCCCGGACTCTTTTTTCTTTTGTAGCCAGCTTGAGCACTCTGCATGCCATAGGTACCCAAGGGTTTCTGTTAGATTTGGCACAAAAAGGCTCTTTTTCTAGCTCTGTGTTTCTCTGTATCTTTTGGGCCCCAAAGCAATACTATGTGACATAGCTCCTTTAACTTCTGCTCTAACTTGTCTTGTGGTTGGCAGAGTTCTAAATGGTCTCCAAGATTCTTGCCAGCTATGGTACATGCTCTATGTGACCTCCTCCATTTGAGTGTGGGTGGCCACAGGATGCGATACTGACTCCCATGATTAGTTATATTATATGGTCAAGTGAAGGAATTTTTGCAGACTTAACGTCCCAAATCAGCAAATTTTGAGTTAACCAAAAAGGAGATTATGCTGAGTGGTCTTACTTAATCAGATGAACCATCTAAAAGAGGATCAAGAATTCAGACACTCTCCTGCTGTCTTTGAAGAACTAAGCCTCCCCGAGTTCTGCAGTGGCAAAGAAATAAATTCTGCCGGCAACCATGTAGCTTTGAAGAGAACCCTGAGCCTCAGATGAGACCCTAGTCCCTACTAACACCTTGATCTCAGTGTTGGGAGAACACAAGGAGAGATCTCATTCAAGCTGTGCCTGGAGAATAAGAAAGTCCTGAATAATTATGTCCAGAGTGATGCATTTTATTTGGCCCATATATGAATTACTTAATACTTAAAATATATTTTATTTTATAGAATATAATTGCCAACTAATATTTTTTCTGCATCTCACTCATAGGTGGGAATTGAACAATGAGATCACATGGACACAGGAAGGGGAATATCACACTCTGGGGACTGTGGTGGGGTGGGGGGAGGGGGGAGGGATAGCACTGGGAGATATACCTAATGCTAGATGACACATTAGTGGGTGCAGCGCACCAGCATGGCACATGTATACATATGTAACTAACTTGCACAATGTGCACATGTACCCTAAAACTTAGAGTATAATAAAAAAAAATAATAATAATTAATAGAAATCCTTTAGAAATTATAGAAAATATATTACTGTGAGGATCTAGTTGGTATTTTCTTTTTTCTTTTCTTTTTTTTTTTTTTGAGACAGAGTTTCACTCTATCACCCAGGCTGGAGTGCAGTGGTGTGATCTCGGCTCACTGCAACCTCTGCCTCCCGGGTTCAAGCAATTCTCCTGCCTCAGCCTCCCAGGTAGCGGGGATTACAGATTCATGCTGCCACACCCAGCTAATTTTTTGTATTTTAGTAGAGATGGGGTTTCACTGTGTTGCCTAGGCTGGTCTCAAACTCCTGAGCTCAGGCAATCTGCCCAGCTCGGCCTCCCAAAGTGCTGAGATTGCAGGCGTGAGCCACCGTACCCGGCCAAGTTGGTATTTTCTATCATGATCTGGAAAGCTGACATGCATTAAATGACTATGCAATATCTCTGAAAGCAATCAGGCTGTTTGAAATCAGATGGGACCTTAAATTCAGTGTTGTAAGTGGTTGCATCAGACAACAAAGTCTGATGGGATGTGTCTGTGAGATGTCTCTGTTCTCTCGTACATAAAATAAATGGAAGCTATTGAAATATTAAATACCATTTGATTTTGAATTGAGAACATGGATCAACAAGAGGCTAGGTGACTATTCTTATTTCAGACATCACTGTCAGAGATAGACAGCATATCTCTGTTCTGAGTTCTGTACAAGAGAGAAAATTAAATAAGGTGTCTTATTTGGTAAATTGAAATTCAGCAACTTCTAAAAAAAATTTGAATCTCCTAAGTAACGTAATCAAAGCTTATGTGGTAAACAAGAGGTACAAACGAGAGAGATGAAGGAGTGGAGCCAAAGGAAAGCCTTGACATGAGGCACAGAGAGACATGATGCAAGTTGATGGAAAGAGCAGGGACACAGAACCATGGAGACTATTGCTTAGGGTGTCTCATCCTCAGCACAGGTGACATTTGGGCCTCCATAATTCTTAGTTGTAGGGTGCTATTCTGCGCATTAAGTATGCTGGCCTCTACCCACCAGATACAAATAGAATCTTCTATGCCGTGTTGTAGCAGCTATAAAAATCTCCAGACATTGCCAAATGTTTCTGATGGGGAGGGGCTGCAAAATCACCATGACTGTGAGTTGTATAATGTGATAAACTATGTAGAAATCAATGTTGGGGAAAAGTGACTTTTGAATAATTTACTTCATGATTAATTACTTTTGGACATATTAATTTATTCCTTCATCAAACAAATATTGTTAAATGCCTTTATGTGCTAGGAACTGTTCTAGGTGGTTAGGACTCATCAGTCAATGAAATAGACCACTGTTTCTGTTCTCACTGCACTTGATGTCTAGCGTGAGGAGGCAAGAAATAAATAACAAACATGATAATTAAATAAATCTTATACTATATTATATAAATTGAGGCCAGGCAC
Source organism: Homo sapiens (assembly GCF_000001405.40). Taxonomy (NCBI): domain Eukaryota; kingdom Metazoa; phylum Chordata; class Mammalia; order Primates; family Hominidae; genus Homo; species Homo sapiens. The sequence continues at coordinate 61,371,771 of NC_000012.12, read as the reverse complement.
GGAGGCTTATCCTGTAATCCCAGCACATTGGGAGGCTGAGGCGGGAGGATCGCTTGAGCCCAGGAGTTTGAGGCCAGCCAGGGAAACATAGTGTGACCCCATTTCTGCAAAAAAAATAAAACACAAATTAGCCTGGCATGGTAGCTTGAGCCTGTAGTCCCAGCTACTCAGGAGGCTGACATGGGGGGATCACTTGAGCCCAGGAAGTGAAGGTTGCAGTGAGCTGTGACTGTGTCACTGCACTCCAGTCTGGGTGACAGAGTGAAATCCTCTGTCTCAAAAAAATAAAAAATAAATAAATAAATTGAGGTTCTAAGGAAAAATAGGGTAAGGAGTAAGAGGGATTAGGAGTATTGAATTGACAGGGGAGTGAGTTCGTAGTTTTAAATATGGAGACAATTAGACTATAAGACTATAGTATTAAAATTTAAAACTTGATGGAAAGAGCATAGTTTTCTTTGTGTCCTTCAAAGAGCTAATAGAGTGGATGACACATAGTAGGGACTCAATATATTTACATTTTCATGAAGCAAATATTTATTGAATAACAGATAATTATCCAGCCACTAAGCTAAATGCCATGGACACAATGATGAACAAAATAGATATATTCTCTGTCCTCATGGTATTTACAGTTATGACAAAGATATACACTCACAAAATAGTTTAAAAATCAGATCTTGCATAACTCCACAAGGAAAAGGCACATGGAGTTATGAGACATAAATTGTCTGAACCTGACCTAGTCTGTGATTGTATGTATAAGTAAAGGCTTCCACAGCAAAGTGCCATTTAAGTAGAATTAGTTTGGCAAAGTAGAAAGTGATGCATATGAAAGCTGTACACAGAACAGCATATATAAATAATAAGTTGTAACTATAGCTTATAGAATATAAAGGATATCATAGAATACTATAAAGAATGATTAGGCACCAGCTATAGTGTGCAGAACACATTATAAATTTACTCCTTTATATTAAGAGAAATAAAATAGCAATGAAATGTTTTAAATGGGGATGGGGAGATAATGATGTGATTCGATTTACCTATTGAGAAGATAACCTAGCTGCAGGGAAAGAACTAACTTGTGGGAGAAAAGGTGAGATGAAATATGAGCCAGAGAGGCTATTGAGGCAGCATAAAGAATAAAGACTATTTGGATTAGTGAGTTAGCAGTCATGCTGAAGAGAAATAGATGAATTCTTGAGATGTGTGGAAGGCAAAATTGATATAACTTGATGATAAGCTGAATGTGAGACTAAGTGGAAAAACTGCTCATTAGACACAAACAACTCGTATTTTAGTGGTTTCATTTGAAAGAACCGGATTTGGAAAAGTTTGTAAGTTGAGTTTTAGACCTATTGATTTTAAAGTGTTTTTGAGACATCCAAAATAAATGTTTAGAAACACTTATTGTCAATTGTCAATATCTTAGCACAATATTTTGTGCTGCTATAGCAGTATACTGAGTATTTCTGGAGGCTGGGAAGTCTAAGTTCAGGGCACCAGTAGGTTCAGTGTCTGGTGAGGTCATTCTGTTCTTCCAAGATGATGATTTGCATGCTGTGTCTTCCAGAATCAAGGAACCCTTGATCCTCACATGGCAGAAGGTGGATGGACAAAGAAACAAACTAAGGCTGAAGTTACCCTTTCATAATGGCATTAATCTCACCCACAAGGGCAGAACCATTATGGCTCCAGCACCCCACAAAGGTCCCATCCTCCAATGCTGCCACGTTGGTAATCACATTTCAACAGAAATTTTGGAGGGGACACCTTAAAACCATACCTTTTTAAATATAGAACTCAAAGACATGATACAGCTTTAAAATACATATTTCTGAAATCCATTTCAAAAATTGACTGATAAAATATATGACAAAAATAATTAATATTCCTTCCAATACTCTCACTTTAGAGGAAGTAAAATAGTCCTTGTAAGAGAATGGCCAAAGGATATATCTCACTTTACTGGAGAAAATGTTTGTCTAAGTTACAAACTAGTCCCCTCCGGTCTGCGGCAGTGTCATTGCTAACAGCTTTAGACTCACATATGTGGTCCGTAGTAAGAGCCAAACAGCTGCAGTCTGAGCTGAATAAGTGAATAAACATCCTTGATCATATTTTCAATACTAATTGAAGACCAAATGTTTACCATTTTACTAGAACTTTGTATAATACATATTCCATGAGGGCCAATATTGCATTGTAGGTAGATTAGACATACCACACTGTTTCAGTGTTTTTATTTTTTATGCCATTGTTAAATATCTATTTAGTCCTATTTTTTGATCGTTGGAATTTGATCAGCTTCCCAAAACTAAGGGGAATCATGCCAGGACTAATAGGAAAATGTTTCACATGTGAAGAAGCTAAGGCAGAAAACCATTCTAAAGAGTTCCCCAGAGTGGCTGGGAGGAGAAAGTTATGAAGATGCACTTGTAATTACCTGTCTCTAAAGAAAGAATAGCCATAACAACACAAACTCACTTTTACAACTTATAAAATTACACTTGTAAAGACATAATGATAACCCTATAATGACGTGAATGGGCAAGATCCAAGCCTAAAAAGCCAGGAGACACTAGGACATCCATCATTTCAAGTGAAGTGTGTGAGTCAAGGAAACAAATTGTTACATCACTGACACTTTGACCTACTCCACACCTGTCTACATATGCAATAACTTCATTGTTTATGTTTTGAAAAAAATGCAGTCATTCTTTTGGAGTTTACTCAACATGCCTTTACTAAATATACAATTGCAATCTAACTTAGCCACTTGCTATAAAATACCTTTTTCCTAATTATTTGATGAATGTAAACCAGTTCCCAATGAATATTATGTGGACCTTACAAATTTGATTCTAACATTCCTCTAGATGCAAGGATGTTGAAAACTAAAAACAACGAGAATCTTGTCCTGTCACAAACCAACTATTATATAAACAGTCAATTTTTCTGTTAAATCTCTACTTAAGTCTACCTCACCCTGTCTTTCCACAAATAATTTTGGAAATATTTGACAAATGGTGTGAAAATAGGAAAATGGAGTAGGTCAGTGTTGTGAAAGAGACATTAAGAATGATTTAGCTATAATTAGGGAATTATATGAGATACTGACATTCAAAAATTGCTGGAAAAATAATGGACTGTTCTAAAATAAATAATGTTGAATAATTGGCTATTTGAACAGAAGTAGAATTCTACCTCAAATAAAGCAGAATACATTAAAATTTGATTAAATATCTACCTTTAAACAATATCAAAAAGAAGAAAATTGTCTCTGGAAGTACAGAACACAAAACTGATAATGTGTTTACCTTTGCAGGGTGTGGATCAAGTGTGTCAGGAAACTTAATTGTCACTTTATAGCTTTTTTCATACTTTAAATTATTTATCATTGTTTGTATTGCCTAAACCAATAAAATAAAACCCAGACTCAACAATGATACTTTGGGGAATTAATTTTATTAAAGAAGAAATTTAGAAATAAGAAATGAGACCAATATTAACAACATGAACCTATGAAAGTACTAGAAAACATTTCCACTGGAGGAATGGACAGGACTTTCTAAGCATGCCATTAATCTCAGTGGTGATAAAATCATAGGCAGATTTGACTTAATAAAAAAATAAAACTTTTCAGTTGAAAATCATTCACTAGCAAAACTGAAAGAAAAGCAACCAATTGGGAGAAGACTTTTGTAACAAGTAGATCCAGGTGCAGTGGCTCATGTCTGTAATCCCAACGCTTTGGGAGGCGAGGCTGGCAGGTTGCTTGAGACCTGGAGTTTGAGACCAGCCTAGGCAACATAGCAAGTCCCCATCTCTACAATAAATGCAAACAACACACAAAATAGCCAGAAGTGGTGGCATGCACCTGTAGTCCTAGCTACTCAGGAAGCTGAAGCAGGAGGATTTTTTGAACCCGGGAGACAGAGCTTGCAGTGAGCTATCATCCCACCACTGCACTCCAGCCTGGGAGACAGAGCAAGACCCTGTCTCAAAAAAAAAAAAAAAAAAAAAAAATGTGCTCCATTTTACTATTTATGAGGGTACACTGAAAAGCCTAAGGAATTGCTCAATATCCAGGCTGTGGGAAGTTCAGTTAACCAGGACCTCTCCTCTCACCCAGCATCAGGAGTTTGTGGCATTCTTTCTGGAATGTTGATAACAATGGAACTTTCTCTTAACTGCTTCTGGGCTTCTTGTTTCTTCATTCACATTTCTCCTATGATAAAGAATGTGATTGGCTCACCTTCAAATTGTATGTCTCCCTCTATTGGTGCTGACCATGAGAACTTTTTGTGATGATCTCTTATGGTAGCTACTAGCCACACATGGAAATTTGGCACTTGAAATAGGACAAGTATAACTGAGAAGCTGAATTTTAAATTTTATGAAATGTTATGAATTTACATTTAAATAACCACACGTGAATAGTTGCACTATTCACTAGATCATAACCAAACTCTAGGTTATGGGCAAAAAAGTAGTGCTGCAGAGTTTTGCAGCATAGATAAGGTTGCTCAGGAAATTCTAAAAAAGGGAAATTTCTGTGAGTTGGGTTTACAATATACACTTACTTGTACTCAGGTGGGGAGATAATAATAATTACCACTTATCACTGGCTGATATTCTCTTCCAAGTACTGGAATAAATGTTTTATTTGGATTAATTTAATAAATCCACAAAACAACTTACAGGTAGAAACTCTTATAAGCATTCTTATTATAAAAGTGAGCCTTTGAGAACTTGAATAATTTACTGAGCTACTAAGGTAACATAGCTACTAAGATTTGAAGTTATTATTTTAACCCAGGCAGTCTAAATGTAGAACACGGCTCTGAAACTGAAGTTGCTGTTCAGTTTCCTTGCTGTAATCTTTACTTCAAGGTCCCCCACCCTCTACGTTTCTGAGCATTTCTCAGATAACCTTAGCTGCCTATTCATATTTGAAAGCAAGTTTACAGAATAGCTGATTGGAACATCAATTCTCTCTCCCTTTGGATTATTTGTTCCCATGTCTTGGGTCTTTCTTTTTCTTTAGTCTTTCATTGTAGGAGCATATCTTTAAGAAACATGCTGAAAAACATGGAAAATATCATAGTAGTAAAAAATTAACATCTCAAGAGTGAGTATGAAGTGTAAATTTATACTACCCACTTGTAAATGTATCTTTAAGGAGAAACTGATATTACAATGCTCTGGAACATTCTCAGTGCTAAGAAAAGTACATGAAACAATGAAGGTGAGACTAAATCCTTTATAATAAAATGCAAAAATATTGCATCTGGTTAAACACAGAGATAAGAGTGCTTTATTATCCTTGTTGCAAACTTACTCTGTAAAATATTATCATAAGAAAGATTTATACTATATTTTTTAAAAGAAACCAAGAAAAATTAAAATTAACATATTTAGCATGTAACTCCAGCATTTTAAAGGAAAAAAGGTAGAATAATATTAAAAAAGTAAAAATGTAGAAATTATTTTAAAAACTAGAAGGAATAAACAGAAAAATACAGTAGATGGCATCAGTAATTTAAAAAAATTGTTTAGAGACTACAATACAGAAAAAATTCTGGGAACTTCTATCAGGAGAAAAATAGGTAAGGCATAATTAAGTAATACTCATATTGAAGAAGACAAAATTTTTATATGATAAATTTGTAAAAACATATGAGGTGCTATAAACAATTTTGAACCAACATGTTTTAAATCTTAGAATGGATATTTTTAAAAACCTGTATGTATTTAAGAACAAGAAATAGACAACTTTGATAGGTCTAAAATCTTTAAAGAAAAAAATTAGAAATAAAATCTGCCCACAAAAAAAGCACGAGACTAGATGGTGTTATAAGCAAGTTTAGCAAACCTTTGAGAAACAGACACTTAAGTTCTAATTACTTGAATAATTAATATATCAACTTTCTGTGGTTCATGTTTGCATACTGTATCTTTTCCTAGCCTAGTCATTTCAAACATTCTATGTCCTTATATTTAGGCATATCTCTTAAAAGTAGCATATAATATATGCTACTATATATCCGTTATAAACAAATGGTTCCCAAGAATGGACGGAAAACTTTACCTGATCCACGACTAAAGCTAAAACTTCATACTAAACCCACAAAAGAAATTCACAAGACCAGTGGCCCAGTGGAGCAGGAGTGGAATGGGCCATGTTAAAGTAGTAAGAGAAATGTTTATATAATTAACAGGGTGACATTGGAGAGCAGATTATGTAAGGCCTCTAGGCTATTGTAGGAAAAATAGATTTTTGTTTAATTTTTCAGCTTTTCTCTCATCCTCCTCTTCATTCATTCCTTGTTTGTTATGTTTTTATTCCTTGTTTTGTAGATTCACTTTGTGGATCTTTAATATATTGGGAGAATTATCAAATTTATTCATTTTTAAACTGTCTCATTCTGTCTTATATAATATAATACAGTGGTGTCTCTAAGATGTTTTCAAAGAGACTGAATATTTTAATGGACTGTGACTAGACTATATGTGAAAACAGAACCCAGACCCACAGTCTGCAGCAACCAGCTCAGGAAGCCAAATCATAACCTCTGTAGCCAATTGTCCAGGAAGTGAAACCACAACCTTCATAGCAATTGACCCGAACATAGCCAGGAGTTGATTAAATAACTTTCATGTTCCCTATGTTTTTCCTAATTTTGTTTTACCTTCAACTTAAGATCAACCAAGGGAAGCCAAATATGCATCCCACCTCCAGCTTCCTTATGTCAACAGCTTCTAATCGGGAGACACCTGAAGTCTTCTTTTTTCCACTATAACTTTTTTTCACTTTGTCTGCCTTTGAATCTCTACCAAATGCGAGTGAGTGACTGACTCCTTTGCAAGCTCAAATAAATCACCTTTGCTTGGTCTTATTTGGGTGGTCTTCATTTATTTTCACAGATTTATTACTACTTTTCAATTAGTTATTTATTCCTTTCTTAAACCCACAGGTTATTTTATATTATGTGGTTTTCATACATAGTGATTTTTAAATTATTCTTTAAAAATGAATATGCAGTTTAATATGATAATATTGAAATGTTGAATCTTCTTTCTTGCTTTTATTTATTTTTGAAGCTTCCTTCTTGGGGCTTAGAATGTATTATTTCATAAATATTCTATGTGTGCTTGAAAAGAAGGTGCATTCTGGCTGCGCGCGGTGGCTCACACCTGTAATCCCAGCACTTTGGGAGGCCGAGGCGGGTGGATCACGAGGTCAGGAGATGGAGACCATCCTGGCTAACACGGCGAAACCCCATGTCTACTAAAAATACAAAAAAATTAGCCGGGCGTGGTGGCAGGCGCTTGTAGTCCCAGCTACTTGGGAGGCTGAGACAGGAGACTGGCGTGAACCCGGGAGGCAGAGCTTGCAGTGAGCCGAGATCGCGCCACTGCACTGCAGCCTGGGCGACAGAGCAAGACTTGAAAAAAGAAAAAAAAAAAAAAAAAAAAAGAAAAGAAGGTTCATTCTCTGTTGGGTATAGAGTTCTATGAATATTTAAGAACTGGAACTTAGCATTTGTATTGTTTATATTAGGAATTGGCAACTTTTTCTTTAAAAAGCCAGATAGTAACTTTTTTAAAACAGTTTTATTGAGATATAAATCACATACAGTACAGTTCACTCAAATTTTACAACTCAATGGTTTTTAGTATATTCGTAGACTTTTACATCCATCACCACAATCAATTTTAGAACATTTTTACTACTCTCAAAAGAAAACTTGTAACCATTTTGGCTACGTGGGTCAAATTACCTCTGTGGAACCTACTCTACTCTATCATTGCAGTGCTAAAGCACTACATATAGACAATGTGTCCCAATAGAGATTTATTTACAAAAATATGTGGCAGGCAGGATTTGGTCCACAGTCCATAGTTTGCCAAACTCTGATTTAAGGGTATTAACATCTCTCTATCATACTAACTTTTGCTTGATGTATTTTGAAGCTGAATTTTTAGGTACCTATGCTACTATGGTAGTTGTATCTTTCTACCCTACTTTTCGGTTTACAAGCATATAATATCTTTCTGTGTTTTATGTTATTTTTGACTTTGTTTTTTTCAGATATTAAGATTGCTAGGCTGATGTCATTTTAGCCTATTCTTTTTTAAATCCCTTTATCTTCAGTCCCACTATTGCTTTTTATATGTGTGTCACTTGACAGCAATATATACCTCAATATTATTTTATTTTTCATTCTGTCTCAGAGTGTAATTGTAAAAGTTTTCAATTACTATACTTTTCTGTGTTATTGTTTCTCTCTATTCTGTTTTCCATTGAATAGATGAAATTTTATTCTGCCAGCTTATGTATTCTTTATTTTTATGGTAGTTGACCTTAATTAAAAAAAAATTCTTATTGAATACTGTTACTTTTCCCACATCCTCTGGATTTGTTTCCCTTATTATCTGAGGACTTCATCCAACATGTCTTCAGGGTAGATGTTCATGAGATCAATCATCTCAGGAATACATGGAAATATTTTTATTATGCCCTGATTTTCAAATAATAATTTAGCTAGACATAAAGTTATAAGCTCAAAGCTATTTTTCTTGTATTTAAAATTTATATTCTATGATCATTTTGTATCGAATATGCTCTCGAGAAACATGATGTCAAACATTGTAATTACTTGTCTTTTCCAGTGTATCTTTTAAAATTTTATTAGAATTAATAACAGCTTCACTTTTAATATGTTTCTTTTTATCTAGTAATAATTTCCCCACATCTTTTTGCCAGAGATGTAATCCTCTCAATATAAAAAAAAAATCAGATGATCCAACAGATCAATTTTTTTCTCTTAAACATATTCCTGGAATCCTACATCCTTCTTTTCTTATCAGAACTGGTTGATCACTAAGCCTCATGCACAATTCTTATCTTTGTGCTTCTCCTTACTCTTATGCTGGCAATTGCCTTAGCCTCACAGCTGTGTTGGTTTCCTACATCCTAGATGTTATGTCTTTTTCCTTTTACTCATTTATTTTGGTTAACACATTTTCCTCATAATAGAGGGGTTTTTCCCTGAAAAAAGAGAGTGCAACATAAAATTAGTGTGTATACATCTTCATCTATATATAGTATATGTATATATGTGTGTATGTGTATGTGTAAGTAAATATAAAACTGACTTTATACTGATACTTCCAATACATGTCTAATACCACAGGGTACATTCTAGCCCTTTGTATTTTCTTATTTATGACTCTTTTCTACAATAGTAAGGAACCTGCTCTCATTGTACACTCTATAGTTATTTGCTTAAACCTAGAATATACATAAAATGACCTTAGAATTGTTAACCCATATTTCTGTAAAAAACCTACCAACTAGGGTACAATATTTGTGGAGAGTTCTTTTTTTATGTTTAGCCTTAGAGAGTATAGTCAAAATACAGTTTTCCAATGTTATTTATGTTTATTTTCCTCGTGCCCCTTCAGTGAGTTATATTGCTCTTTTATAGTACAGCAAAGTTCATTCGTTGCTGTTTTTATTTTATTTGGCCTTCCTCCCCACCTTCATTGATTCTTTTAAATACAACTAGGGTTGCCAGGTGTAGCAATCAATTAATAAAAAAGAAGGAAAGGATGAAAAGAAGGAAGGAAAGAAGAAAGGAAGAGAGAGATAATGTATTTTTTTCTGACAACCGTAGGTATGACTATAATTTACAGATTGGTTCTTGTTTTTTATACTTTATGCCAAGCATTTTTTCTTTTTTTTTCTTCTCTTTATGCATTCTAACTTTTTTGAGGTATTTTAACATGCGTGTTTCCATGTTCTGCAGCATCGTGTCTTCTCCTTACTCATACCAACACACGTTTTAATAATCTTCTGCATTCATTTCATGGTATGTTTGCATTCTTTTCTTATTTTAGGGACTACAATCCTTTGTCTTTATTTTACCATTTTTAACTTGTTCCTTTTGATCTAATTTTTATTGAAACTATCTTCTCTATTCTATTTATTACTTAATTATTCCTATTGACCCAAACACATGATTCCTAAAATGTTCTTTATTTCTTGCTGTAAATAGTTTGGGTATTCCTTTATTCTGAGTTTTCAGAGTAATGATTTCTTTCACTTGTGCTTCAAATTATTTTAGTAGACTTGTTACTTTTTTCCTAGTTATATATTCTGAAATAATGGATATTAGCTACATGTGGTAAGTGTATAGGTGAATACAGCCTGTGAAACACTTTTGCCATTCCTAACTGTCCGTTTGAGCAAATGCAGATTCATTTGTTCAAATCAAAATTTGGAGAACAGTATCTCACTCCATTTCTAATGTCTTTCAATTATTTGTCATGTAGATTAAAATTAAATCTTCTACGACTTTTAGAATTTTCGACTATGACAGAATTAAATAGAGTCTGTAGTTCTTTGAAATACTATGATGCAATCTATGCCACCCATAAGGATGCCTGAGTGATATTCCTGAGTCTTTACTTAGTTGTAGAAATGTATTAGTCTGCTATAAATTCCAGGAAGAGTCGCACTGCCAAATGATCTTCTCTTTCCAAAACATTACATTTCTGGAGTTGTAATATTCAAATAGATATAGAAATAACAGAGGTGAGAGGTTGTAGGACCCAGTGATAAGTCAGAAAATTGTTTACAGTTCTGCCAAACAGGGTCTCATGGTTTCATTTATTCCACATTTTTAATATTCTAAATATATGAAAAATTATTTTGTAAATCACAAAATAATTATAGAGAACTGTCTACAGATTATGAAAATCATTTTTACAAAATGTTTCTCTAATTATTAAATTTATATATGTTGTGCTGTACACTACCTTGCAAAGCTTATATTAACTTTTACACCTATTTAGTTAAAAGGTGAGCTTTTTAGAATTCAGAGAATATTTGTCAAATTTGGGAAAGATGGATCACAACATCTATTTATATAATATTTTGAATTCTTCATTTGCTTTACTTAACAAATAAAACTAATTTTTATTACTATGTTGTTTTTTGATAGAATATTTTTACTATAGAATTAATACCAGATTTAATTTAGCTTTATGCTAACAAAGAAGAAAGAGTTATTTAACTCCCCTCTTTGGATTGGCAGCAAGTGGATCTGGAGCAGATAGAAAGAGAACTCGTTACCTGGTGATGCGTGTTGATGAACTAAAGGGACGTACATATTAATTAGTGAGATAGCATGGAATTGTACTGCGGACCCTCACGGTGAGTTTTACAGCTCTTAAAGATGGTGTGTCCGGAGTTTGTTCCTTTAGATGTTCAGATGTGTCCAGAGTTTCTTCCTTCCAGTGGGTTCATGGTCTCACTGACTTCAGGAGTGAAGCCGCAGACCTTTGCAGTGGTGTTACAGCTCTTTTTTTTTTTTTTTTTTTTTTTTTCTTAGAGACGGAGTCTTGCTCTGTCACCCAAGCTGGAGTGTAGTGGCATGATCTCGGCTCACTGCCAGCTCCGCCTCCCAGGTTCACACCATGCTCCTGCCTCAGCCTCCCAAGTAGCTGGGATTACAGGCGCCCGCCTCCACGCCTGGCTAATTTTTTAGTAGAGATAGGGTTTCACCATGTTAGCAAGGATGGTCTCGATCTCCTGACCTTGTGATCCTCCTGCCTTGGCCTCCCAAGGTGCTGGGATTACAGGCATGAGCCAACGCGCCTGGCCGAGTGTTACAGCTCTTAAAGGTGGCACATCCAGAGTTGTTTGTTCCTCCTGGTGGGTTTGTGGTCTCGCTGACTTCAGGAGTGAAGCTGCAGACCTTCCAGGTGAGTGTTACAGCTCATAAAGGTGTTGCAGACCCAAAGAGTGAGCAGCAGTGAGATTTATTCCAAAGAGCAAAAGAACAAAGCTACCACAGCGTGGAAGCAGACCTGAGCAGGTTGCTGCTGCTGGCAGGGGTGGCCTGCTTTTATTCCCTTATTTGGCCCCACCCACATCCTGCTGATTGGTCCATTTTACAGAGAGTTGATTGGTCTGTTTTTACAGAGTGCTGTTTCGTGCGTTTACAAACCTTTAGCTAGACACAGAGTACAGATTGGTGCGTTTTTACAGAGTGCTGATTGGTGCATTTACAAACCTTTAGCTAGACGGAAAAGTTCCCCAGGTACTCACCCCACCCAGAAGCCCAGCGGCTTCACCTCTCAGGATGTCACTGACTGAACAGTAGATATTACACCCGAAGTGGCCATAGCAACAAGTGTCCATTTGGTCCCTGAGAAATATGATCAGGGCAGAGTAGGATGCAAGAAAGATGTAGATTAGGGAAGAAGGTGAATAGAGCTTTTTGTGTGTTGCCAGTGCTGTGCTGCATATGACTGGGCTGGATCTATTTAAATCTTGGCATAGGGAAGACACTATGGAATTGCTAAGGACATATCTTTAATAAACATAAAGGAATTAGCTGGCCATCTTACAATACACAATAGCCAGAAAAACTGCTTTAATTGTCAGAAGTTAGGCATGACTTCTCATCAGAGGTTTCAAGAGTGCTTTAAGAGATGCAGCTCAATCTGTTTAGGATTCTAAACTTAGAAAGAAGGGTCTTATCTACAGCTCGTACAGTTGAAAAGGTTCAGTTGAGGGTAAATTTTGTTCCAGAAGGCAAATTTGGCCATAGGGGAAACTCTCATATGGTCAGGGAGTAAGTCAAGTCCCGTGGCTTATTTGGCTCAGGTACCTTATTGCACTTTAAATCTTAAATAGCCAAATCTCTGAACACCTGCTGTATATTTAATGGGACCCTAATGATTACAGAACGTCTTTAAAGCCAGACTTTTAAAAATGAATATACTGAAATGAAGATGGGTTTTTCTTCAGATATTGGATTTTTTTCTTTTAAGACTTTTAATTATCCTTTGGAGAATCAGTACTTTGAATTTTTGAAAATGTTTTAAATGTAACTGTATTAATTTTGATTTTTATGTATTTTAACTAAACAACCCTATTATAGTAAACACTATGAGTATATTAGTAGAGCTTATAAAAATATAATTAACAAGTAGATTTTGATGGATTGCAATGACTTCGTGCATATATTTTACATACATTCATCTGTATAAAAGTTAAACAATTTTTTTATTTTAAAATATCCCACAGAAATGTTGTGATGTAGATTATTTTTAACAGATGCTTAGGAAATTATTTTAATAATGATGGATAGTATAGTGTGGAAAGAGATATGAAATATGTTTGCAAAGCAAGAAAATAAATAAAGTTTATTGTTTTGTTTGTATGACTTTCATTGCAACCAAATTCTTCGCATAAGGGTTAGGTACTGCATAACTTTGCTCTAGATCATTAGTTATGAACAGCCTTTTTGCTGGATGATTATTTAATTTCAGTTAATAAAATATGTAGGAATTGTTTACATATTGGGACTTTCTAACAAATTAACATATTTGTTCTGGCAATTAGGTTTATATGAAAAATTAATAAAGCCACAAGTTTAATTGTGTCCAAAAAATTTCGACTTTTGATTCTTACCATAGTTATTAATTAGCTAAATTGGCTAATTATTAATGTAATTTTTCATTTTGCTTATTTTCCCGGCTCACACTCTGGGAGAGATCTGAGTAACTAGATAAATGTGTACAATATAGAAATAAAAAAGATGTGGTATTGAACACATGATTAAAACTGATAACAGTAATCTAAGTTTCATATGATTTGCAGAAATAGATCAACAAGTGGGTAAAATGAAATCAGGCACTAATATATGGAGTTATATATTTAGGGAATGCAATTTGGATAATGACATATCTGATGCTACTAATAAAGATGACTATTATAATGTAAAAAACCTTGCAACCACTAAAAATATGGCATGTTTAAAAAAAATCTCATTTTAAATTTAATTTCACTGAACATAACCAAAACTATGATATATTGGAGAGATACTAAAAAACATTCCAAATTACTGTTACAGGATCTTTGGAGTATTGCTTTACTGGCTGAAAACCCCTGTGGCCAGTGGCGCCTTTGCCTGAGTTTTGCTCAGATCCACTGGGTTCGTTCCACCCACTTGGCATGGCAGGCTGTACTCAGCTCATGCTACCAGCCTGGATCCCAGGCCTGCCAAAGGAGAGTAAGGCATGGAATGGCAAGGTGTGTGTGAGTGAGCATGGAGTCCAGCCACTGTGCAGTCAGACATGAGCAGGTGCACCACAAGCAGCTTCCAGAGCTGGCACCGGGAAACACAGTGGTGCCTAGAAGCTTGAAGATGCCAGGAACTGCAGGGCCCGAAAGAGGGAGTCACAGCCCTGGCTTGGGGAGCTTCCAGGTCTGGGATCCCTGAAGGGACACAGCTCTTCTCTCCTTCTCTTTGCCCACAAGGAGCATGTCTCAGCACTGTTTGTGTTACAGCTCTTTTAGCCCCGCCATTTGGTGGGTCCCGAGTTCTTGCCCTGTGATCCAGGAAGAATGAGGTACACAGACAAGTGGAGGTTCAGCAAGATGAAGAGGAGCTTTATTGAGCAATAGAACAGCTCAGAGGAAAACGCCACCGTGCCTGCTGCAGCAGGGAGTCGTGAGTGTGGGGGCAGGAATGGCTGCAGGAGGAGCAGTGAGGAGGGCAGCGGGACCCCTGTGCCCCACATCCCCTGTTCTTCACATCCCTGAGGGAGCCAACTGCACTGCCCTCACCCTCATATAGCCAGGTGGGACCTGCCCCAGGCCTGGAGTGTCCATCGCTCTGGACCCCAGGCCCATGCCACTACTCTCACATGCTGCTGCTGCGAGGAGGGTGTGGGGAGAAAGCAGATAATCCCTGGAGCCTGCTGCGCTGGGGGCCACCATAATCAGGCTGGGCCGACTTGCCCACCTGTGGGGGAGCAGTGCACTTGGGCAGAGAAGGGCCCCAAGACAGAGCTGAGCCCAGGGCACTGCCACACTTGCACACAGAAAGTGGGTGCTGGGCCTGGGGTGCTGAGCTGGGGCTGTGCTTTGGGGACCTGGCACAGGAAGTGGGAGAGTGCTCGCTTTGGGGACTTGGCCAGCAGTGTGGTCACCAGGCCCACCCCACTGAGGGCACCGGGTTCCTGCATCTCGGGAGGAGACCCTGTACAGGGTCACCTGGGGCCATGTCCCCAGGGTCTGCCTTCCATCGAGATGACTGCTGAGCCTGACATTCCCTATGGCTGGGCCAGGGCCTGTGATCTGCTCCTGGAGGCACCCCATGGTCAGAGTCACAAGACAGGTGGGCGGGACCCCCATCTTCCCAGGTGCAGTATTCGGGCATCTCTGTAGTCTGCACCCTTGGGGACCTGCAAAGCCCCCTGCTGCCCCTGCAGGTTTGGGGGTGTTTGCTCCTGCTGCCTGGCCTCTGCCCACTCCCAGTGCCCTCTCTTATCTTGGAGCAAGGTTGGAGCCAAGCCCAGACACTGTCACAACCAAGCTGGGTGTGCACACACTCGGGGCAGCACTAACACTTGAGCCCCCTGCCACTCAGCCGCCTCCAGATTTTGGGCACTGACAAGCATGGAGGGGAAGCTGGAGGGAGTGCTGAGGGCAGCTCAGCACTGGCCTGCAGATGCCCCTTGGTGTGAGCAGCCTGGGCACCATGGAAGGCAGCAGGAGGCAGACAAGCTCCTGGGCAGACGGGGGTAGGTCCCTGGTGAGGCCCCACCTTCAGGGCACACCTTCAGTGGGGACTTGTGGTGCCTTTTCCAGGCCCACTTATGGCCACCCATGAACCAATCAGCATGCACTTCCTCCCCTCTGAGGCCCATAAAAACCCTGGTCTCAGCCAGAACAGAGCAGAAGACAGAGATGATGGGTTGACCAGCTGTGGCGAGGAGCTACCCTCTCTGCTGAGAGCTGCAGAGATGACAGGATGACCTGCCTGTAGAGAGGAGTCACCCATTCTGTGCACTCCTCTCTGCTGAAAGCTGCAGACTATTGGACAGCCAGCTACAGAGATTGGCTACCCTCTCTGCTAGGTGCTCAACACTCATCAGGACACCTGGCTGTGGAGAGGAGCTGCTCACTGCAGGTCTTCTCTGAGGTGTTCTATTGCTCAGTAAAGCTCCTCTTTGTCTTGCTGACCCTCCACGTGTCTGCGTACCTCATTCTTCCTGCTTTCAGGACAAGAACTCAGGACTCACTGAATGGCGAGGCTGAAAAAGCTGTAATACAACCATTGATGAAACATGCCCCTTGCTTGCCACATTGTGGGTGAAGAGAAGGAGAGAAGACATGTAGTGCTTTAGGGAGCCCACATCTGGTAGCTCCTCAAGCCAGATGGATGCAGTGGCCATGCCACTGGCCAGGTCTCAGAAGCAGGCTCCACGCCCACCTGCCTCCCTGGGTCCCCAAAGTGTGGCCACAACTCTGCACCCCAGGTTGGCCCCCATGCTCCATATGCAAGTGCGGCACCACCCGGGGCCCAGCTTTACCTCGGGGCTGCTCTCTGTCCGCTCCTCCATGCCCATCCACACTGTCTGTCCCCACAGTTGCAGATGACTCTTAACTGCCCCATCGTGGAGGGCTCTGGGGGGCTCCCAGGGGCAGGCTCTGGGGACTGTCCACCTTGTCCTCATGCCCTCCTGCAGCGGCAGTGGGTGAGAGCAGTGACACAGGGCCAGGATCTAGAGACACGGAGGTGCCAGGCCTGGTTGCGGTCCTGCCTGCTGAACGAGGGTAGGGGTGGTGCAGACGGCTGCCTCAGGAACACGGGGGCACAGGGGATGGGGGTCACAGGGATCCCACTTTTGCCACTGCTGCTCCCACAGGTTCTCCTGTCACCACCAGGCAGAGCTTCCCCTTACATCTGGTGTGATGGCAGTGGCCACTCCCAACGTCCTGCCACTGGCATATTATCATGTAAACAAAAACGTGTAAAACCCTAGTAATCAAATTCTCTGAAACGTTTACATACTTGTTTTTTTGTTAATTTTTTTATTGAGACAGGATCTCACTCTGTTGCCCAGACCCAACAGCAGTGGCATAATCATGGCTCAGTGACCTGGAACTCCTGGGCTAAAGGGATCCTCCCGCCTTAGCCTCCTGAGTAGCTAGGACCACATGCACACAGCATCACACCTGGCTAATTTTTGTGTATTGTATTTTTTATGGAGACGAGGTCTCTATGTTGCCCAGGCTAGTCTTAAACTTCTATCCTCAAGCAATCCCTCTGCCTTGGGCTCCCAAAGCACTGGGATTACAGACATGAGCCTGTATGTGCTATAGCTCATATGTGCTACTGCTCCTGGACACATTTGTGTTTTTCTCTACTAAAAACATGCCTCTATGGAGGTGATCCTTTCTTATTGGGACTCCCCATTTTCCCTCTCAAAGAACTGTCAACATTTTTGGTCTCAAATCTTTTATGCCTGGGTGTTCTCTTTTCACTTTTCTTTGGTAAAGTTTCTCTTGGCCACTCCTGAGGGTGGAATGCTTTTCTTTATCAGTTGCAGGTGTCATTACTTTCCCACAATCCACCCTTTATATGCAGTTCTTAGGTGCTTTTTGCTTCTCTTTTTAAGGGTTAAAATTCATAGCAGTATATAGAAAATTCCTATTTGCAAGCATTGTTTTATTATAAATTGTCTTTGGTTGAATAAAACTAGAAGTATAATGAAATATATTTAAGATATAATTGAAGTATATTGCCATCTTTATCCATAGATTCTTATTCAAAAGGTCAAGAGTAGAAATGTATATTTTTGGTAAATATCTCTGTTATTTTGATTGCAGAGAAACAAGCAAATGGCAAATTCAAGGTTATAGGGACAAAAGTACTAAAGACAGACAACAATTTACAGAAACAAACAGATTTATAAATCTATATCTTCTAAAGTAATCACATATCTATAGTAGAGATACTATTTAAATTCATAAAGTTAAATTATACTTGATATATTCCATTTACGAAGAAAAAATTATGTGTTATAGCTAAGATTTTAATGTGAAAAAGAATATTTGGAAAAAATAACCTTCAACAGCTGAAAATTTCTTCACCCAAAACCATGCATTTGGTTATGCTGGACAAAGTAGTTATTTTGATCAAATTCTTCCGGGTGTTTTGATATGAACTAAAGCGCTCTTGTGATACAAAGAATATCATTAATTAGGAACTTTAGCCAATCAAAGATGGACTTATGTAATATTACAGATTCTATTGGGATTGAAATATAATGGTCTTTTTAGTACTTCCTGGCTATTGACTTTAACTATGATGCACTCACTGGTAGTCAAGAATAAAAATGTATTTCACCTAAGATATTTAGTAGTTAGCTAGAAAATATGTTCATGGTGTAATGATTCTAAACTTTAATATCAGATTTTAAAGAAAATAAGATTCATGACTAAAGTTTTTTTGAGACACATAGATAAATATCAAGACATTTACAACATTTCTTTCTCTTCTGTTTCTTATCCTGCTTTAGGAGCAGCAATACAATATAATTTAAGAGTGGTGAAGAGTTAAAATAGACTTTCACTTACAAGCTTAGAGTTTGCTGCAGTATCA
The DNA here is from genome assembly GCF_000001405.40 of Homo sapiens. Classification (NCBI taxonomy): domain Eukaryota; kingdom Metazoa; phylum Chordata; class Mammalia; order Primates; family Hominidae; genus Homo; species Homo sapiens. Next base: position 61,353,289 of record NC_000012.12, on the reverse strand, counting down.
GCAGGTGTGTGGCTAGCCTCTGTGGTGAGGACACATGAGGGTTGTTTTTAGCTTTGGATTGTGCCCTCCTAAAATAAATTGCATCTACTGGAGTTCTTGATTTTGTTATCGTTGATGATGGTTATAGAAAAATGGCAAAATGAAACAAGTCGTTTAATGCTAGAGTAGAATATTTTGGATCATAGGCTTATAATCAAAAGGGTAATAAATATATTATTAAAATATTTACCCTTATAGTCCTTAATTGTTGTTTTATTAGTATTGATAGGTAAACTAACTCAATTCTGTATAATTGCAGAGAATATGTTGGTTTAGACCAGGGTACCAAATTAATTGCCTGGGTTTTATCGCATCTTTACTGGCGACCACTTCTTTGAAAATATGATTATAACAGTGCAAAACTGTTACATGCATTAAGAAAACCAAAAATCTAGGCTCCCACAATGATGTAGCATTACCATTAGTTTAAACAGAGAGAGCCTGTTTATTTATGGCCAGAAATGCAGACATTTTTATCTACTCTGTGTTCTAGCAGACTTTTTATTAGAAATTGTAACAAGCATGAAAGAACTGGATTTGGATGGCAATTAATTTTCATTTTCTAAACTATCCTCTGAAGGAAGTCTAAATAAACAAAAGAAAGGCCAATAAATAAGAACATGAACAGTGAGAAAAAAAAAAGAGAATCAAGGGGCCTAGATCATTTACAAAATATATAATGTGGTAGACCTGCAGTAATAGAGTATTGAAGATTTTACATTTCAAACAAGGTGAAGAAGGAAAAGCTTTTCAGGTTAGAACAAACATATACAAGAAAAGCAATCTAAAAACTGAAGAAATATAAGAGCTTGGTCATTGTGGGAGGAGGTTTATTTAGCAAGGGTCTTTAATAGAGAATATAAAGTTATAAATGAAAACTTATATTTAGTATTATATAAGGTAATATTTAACATAATTTATATAATATGTAACATTTAGATATTTTAAGCATAAGAAAATTTGAAAGTATAGAAAAAGAAAAATTAGACTTGTCTTTAGCTTCATGGATCTGCAAATACTGGAGATGACTTTGGGAAATGCTAGATATTACGTTGTTGATACAGAAATAATCAGTGACTAGAGAATGGTTGTTTTTATTTAAAAAAAAATACAACCATGTAAGTCTTTTCCATGATATACCTCTGAAATAGATCTGAATGCCTTAATGTGGCACAAAATACCCTTTTTGGTTTGGTATATACTATAAGCTTCACAAGTTCAAAGATCTCATGTTTTCAACCCATTGTAGCAGCAGAGAAAAAATATATTTACATGTTAAAAATCACCTGTGGAGATTTAACAAACCTTCCAATGCTCTATCTCTGTTCCATCAGTAAAGTCAGACTCTGGGAGTGGGACAAAGACATAGACAGGTATTTTCTTCCTTTTTATTATAAGATGAAACATAGATGCTGAAAAACTCACCACAGATGTATAAGTTACATGCCTTCGTACCCACCACACAGGCCAAAATATAGAATATTGTCAGTCTCATCTTAAAATCTCTTCCATATACCCCATCCCAATCATATCCCTTTTGATCCCTCAAAAGTAACTACTATTTGACTCACACACTAATCACCTTTGCATTTCTTATAGTTTTGACAATCAAGAGGACATCTGGGACACTGTAATTTAGTGTTGCCTATTTTAAAAGCATTGTTAATTTTTCTCTTTTAACAATGTATCCTTTGAAGAACCTGAGCTACTGGAAGTTGAAAAATGGGGATATGCTTATTCAATAATGTCTTTGTATCCATTATTTGGTTATCCTATAGTAAAGTTAATATAGGAATGGCAAGATAAAGCCTTGATTTTTTTTTTATGTACCAGTTTTCAAGATAGTGAATTGTTTCCCTAAAATCTTCCACCCTCCTTAAATTATGATGCCTCCTCTTCATCTCTTGCCATGTCTACAAATTGTGTTGCATTGCCATCCTTTTAGTATTTGCTATATATGTTGTTACCAACACTTCTTATGAATGTGTATCTTCCAGAAAATAAAGACGAAGAAAAACAAATTATTCTTCTGTATATTTTAGCTGTGTAAACCTTTCTTTTTATGTGGTCCATGTTCTAGCCTGCTGACTTTCTTTTGTTGGAGAAAACTGCTTGTAGTATAGAAATGATAAAGTTTGGCTTGGTAAAAGGGTAGAGAAGAAAAAGCCTTTTTGCTTGGATATTAAATGCTTCATCATTTGTGTCCTCTTTGTGGGCACTAAATACTACTGATAATGATGGCAAAACATGGTATGGGTTGAGATCTGATGACATGTGGTCAATCCATTTAAGTTCCCAAGAAAGAGATGGTAGGCCTATAATAGTCCTCCAGGGAAACATAATATTACATTAACACATAGAACCAGGAGACAAGGAAAGAAAATGCCACCTGAGCTCCCACTCTCGGGAAGCTAACGGCAATTTCAGAAACTTATGCTATGCTGTTGTTTTGTGGAATTGCCACACTAAGTAACATGAAGAAAAGCCCTGAGGATCTCTTTGTAAGACTGATATCATCAGAGTTTGTTTGCCAGGAGAAATTCTCTAATGAATCTAAGTGGGGCCAAAACAGACAAACAGATACGAGACTCCATATTTCTGAATGGAAGAGCCCTGCTGGGGATGGGTAGCTTGGATCTGGGTCTCCCTTGCACATGGGGATGCCGCTGTGTTTATTTTGGGTAGTGTGTTACTTTAATGTTTACAAAAAAATGATAAGAGGTTTATATCACATCATTATCTAATTATTTATAATATTAAAGTGATATATACTCATTAAAATAAATTTAGCAGAGAAATGTACATTTTAAAAACTAAAATGTCCCCAAATCTATCTATCTTTCAGCACCCCAATTCAATTCTATTGATATAATCACTGCTAATATTTTAATGCATATCCTTCCAGAGATTTAAACATATATAAAGGATACATATTAATATATATAATTAACATAAACTTTAAAAATATATTGTTGTCAGTAATTTGATTTTTGTTTTAGTTGAAATCATACTAAAGATAACTTTTCATATCAGTATGTATCTGCATACCTGCTTTTGTATTTCTTAACAGCGGTCATTATTTCATTATGTGGATATAGTAGCATATGTGTAACCAGGAAACTTTCCTTTGGATTTAGGTAATTTTCAGATTTTTTACTTATCCAATTCTGTCTTAAACTTCCTTGTGTATGTCTCTTTGCACACATATGATAGTACATCTGATAGATGTTGCCAAATTGCCCTCCAATTTACATTTCCTGCCACAGTATACGGACCACCTGTTTATCGGTCTTTACAACTCTGTTAGATTGAGCTGAAATGTGTCACCAATTCTTGTTAAATTTCCATTTTTTTTAGCAGGGTAGATCATTTTTTCTTGTTTATATTGTTTTTAGAGCAATGTGGAATAGTGGTTGAATGTTCAGGGTTTGGAGCCAGACTGTCTAATCTCAACTCCAGCCTTTAATAGCAGTGTGACCATATCCAAGTAACTTCTGTGCACCTCACTTTCTTCCTGCATAAAATGGGATGATAGTGGTATTATCTACAACTTGCTTTTGTGAGGATTAAACAGGTTAATATTTGTAAATCACTTTTATAGTTCCTAAGACACAATAAAGACATTATAAATATTTACCATTATAAAACATTTTATAAGGGAACTACATAATTATGTTCTTTGTTCATTTTTTCTGTTCATTTAGTTGCCTTTTTATTGATATGCAAGAGCTTGAGATTAAGAACATTAACCTCTCTTCCTTGCATCTTCAAAATTTTAATTTTCTTAAGCAAGGACTATATCTCTTTGGATACTCAATAACAAACATATTTATTAAGCACTTTATCAAAATTTCCATTATCTAATCATTTAAAATTTATTGAACCAAAAGCTTATTTATTTTCCAAATATTGGGATAACACAGAATACAGAAGTGAAAAAGAAAATAGATGATCTTTGCTTTCCTGAGGTTATACTCCAGAAATAGATGGAAGTTGCCATTTTGATACAATGTAGCAAATTAACATGATTTATGTGTGGATGGGGGTAAAAAAGAGCCTCTTATGATGCCAGTGAAAATCAAAGTATGGATGGCATTCCAGAAAGAAGGTTGAGTGTTTTTAGAGACATGAAAGTATTCTCTGATGAATGACAATAGAAGACTATCATATTGGCCTTCTGGAATAAAGACTCGATTCAGAGTTATTCTTTTATTCAATTTCCCATGGGCACAGATTATCTGAAGCACAAAAACACTGGCACTATTATTTGAGGAGATACGGTTGGAGGAACTAAAACTCCTTTAGGAAAGAGGGGGAGTATGTAGTAATTCCATGAGGAGTTGAGAAGTTGAAATCGCAAAGGATCTGTAGAACCTCTACCTGTCCTTTTTTTTTTTTTTTTTTGGTATGGAATTGACAGGATGTCTGTATAAACATTTAAGTTTTCTTACCTTTGGGGAGCAATAATTTACTTACTATTTTTCATAGCCAATCATCCCATATCATATTTTGTCATAATTTCCAAGAGTTTAGCTTTCGAAATAGAAAAGTAACATGTCAAAATTGATGCATCCAATTTATTTAATTCAATAAAACACTTAAAATTTTTTACTATGTTAGCTATGTCAGAGTTTAAATAAACTCTTTGTTCCTCAATCTTGAAAAGTTTTTCTTAGGCTTATTTCACACACACATAATCGTTGGCTCCATAAACAGGAAATCCTCTACATGAGGTCAGAAATATATCTATTTTTACCTATTTTTGTTTGAAAACTGTCTAATGTAATTGTAAGTATTTGGCTGTGGGTACTAAATATTTTTCATCTTATACACCAAGGCTCTATTTTAATGATCCAGGATTAAAATATTTTCATATTAGATCTGAGGACACTTGGAAATATAATAAATCATTGTTAATCAATGTGTACACCTGACGTTTTCATTCACGAAACAAAGTACCAAATACTACACACAGAATTTTAAAAAAATAAATATATACATACACGTGTGTATACAAACACACATGAATTTCTATATTGTTTCATTTGGATTATTCTTTTGTTGTTGAGAATGTTGTCTTAGTCTTGAAATAGTAAATTCACTTGCGATTGCTAAATCTCAAACTACTGTAAAATTATTTTCCTTTCCTTTCCTCTCCTCTCCTCTCCTGTCCCTTCCTTTCCCTCCCTTTCCCTTTTCTTTTCTTTCTTTTTCAGAGCCTCGCTCTGTTGCCTAGGCTGGAGTGCAGTGCTGTGATCTCAGTTCACTGTAATTTCCACTTCTCAGGTCGAGTTCAAGTGATTCTTGTGCCTTATCCTCTCAAGTAGCTGGGACTACAGGTGTGCATCACCCTCCTGGCTAATTTTTTGTATTTTTAGTGGAGACGGGCTTTTGCCATGTTGGCCAGGCTGGTCTTGAACTCCTGGACTCAAGTGATCTGCCTTCCTCAGCCTCCCAAACTGTTGGGATAACAGGCATAAGCCACTGCACTAGACCAAATAATTTCATTTTAGAACAATTCAGGAAGTAACATGTATTTATATGTCTTCAAAAATATATTAATATTAAAGTTTCCATTTAGTTGAAAAGATTATGCTTTCTTGCTGTCATACTCTCCAAAATTAACTTTTAAAGACTGTCCTTTACTTCTTATCTACTAAGGAATAGGAAAAAAAAAACTCTCCATAAATTTGCCACAGAAACCTGTAAGTATGTTGTTATGCTCCAATAGACAGCTTCAGCGCTTTTGATTTTGTTAGCCCTGTCATGAATTTTTTTTTTTTTTTTTACACAGAATGGGTATTTGATACATCAGTAACTGCCGAATTCTTTTCATAGACCTCTATATCTATATCCCCTATATCAGCATTCCCAAATATTAAGGATACAGTGAATTTTGTTGTGTTTAGTTTTTTTCTGTCTTTTAGTACCATTGTGTACCAGTTACTTTGACAATGTGTGTTTTCTTTTTGTACATTTAACCTGGAAAAACCAGAGGAAACAAAACTTCCCAGCCATTGCCAGTTCTGTCCTCTGGTGGTAATAAAAGTAATAATAAAAGTCACTGCAGGTTACCAAACAACAAGATTGTGGAAGTATCGACACTTCATATGGTGTGGCTTATCAAATTATTTATTACCTCCTTATAAAATAATTTTAGAAAGAAACCATATACTACATGGTAGAATTTTGCTTATATAATTAATTTTCAGGCTTCTTTTTTGCAAGACCATTTGTCTCAGATTATTACCAGGTTCTATACATTGTTTTTCCTCTTTAAAAATGTATTTATTTGGCTGGATATGGTGGCTCAGGCCTGTAATTCCAGCACTTTGGGAGGGCGAGGTGGGCAGATCACTTGACCTCAGGAATTTGAGACCGGACTGGGAAGCATGGTGAGACCCCCATCTCTACTAAAAATACAAAAAATAGCCACGTGTGATGGCCAGTGCATGTGGTCCCAGCTACTCAGGAGGCTGAGGTGGGAGGATCACTGGAGCCCCAGGGGCAGAAGTTGCAGTGAGCCAAGATCAGGCCACTACACTCCAGCTTGGGTAACAGAGCAAGACTCCGCCTCAAAAAAAAAAAAAAAAAAGTTTATTTTTTTAAAAAAGTAAACAAGGGTATCAATTAAGCTATTAATAATTAAAATTAGAAAAAGTGGAAAATAACACATTTAAAAAAACAACTTTGTTGATATTGTGCAGTAATAGTACGTAATTTAATACTGGTTCTTCTTTTGAGATTGATTTAAAATCTCAAACTCAATCTAGTTCACATTATGTACCCAGTGGCCAGCACAGTGTCTGACACTGAATTGTGCTCTAATAATATATACTAAGGGAACAAAATGAATTCAATTGGATGATTATAAGGATATTTATTTTTCCGACCCCATTTTGGTGCTGCAGAGAATATTTCATATAAGAAGGCTCTACAGGAAGACTTTAAAAATATCTTTATTATGCTATCCTGCTCATTCATTCATTCAACAAAAATTTATTGGGCAGAAATTGTTCCAGGCAAACTCAATTAAAATATCAAAAAATGTAATTTAAGGGGGCAGTTGCCTAGATTATTTTAAAATTTATATGGAAATGAAATTAGCAAAACTAAGACAATTTTAAAGTACCAAAGTCTACCTGGAGAAGCAACATTCCTAGACAGACTTACTATAAAGGTATAATGATTAATAGATCATGTTTTCTTTTTTTTCTTTTTTTTCTTTCTAGAGGTGGGGTTTCTGTAGTTTGTCCAGGTGGGTCCCAAACTCCCGGCCTCAAACAATTCTTCCACCTCAGCTTCCCAGTATGTTGAGATTATAGGCATGAGCCAGTGCACTCAGCTGAGATCCTATTTTTTACCAAAGAGACACAAACAGATTAATAAAACAGAATAGAGACACAAAAACGTACTCATACTTACATGAGTACTTGATTTATGACAAAGGTAGCAGTCCTGAGCAGTGGAGAAATGGGGGTCTTCTCAGTAAATAACACTGGATCACTTGGCTATTCATACAAGAACAAGAGATAATCTTGGCCCTCCATCATACAAAAATATCAATTCCATATGAAATATAAAATATAACACACCTTTTAGAAGAAAATCTAAGGATATTATTATGTCCTTGTGGATGGTAAAGGTAGATAAAATTATTGTGGTATATTCATACAAAGAGATATTCAACAGTAATGCAAAAGAATAGATTACTGCCATATGCAACAATATAGTTAAGTCTCAGAGGCATATTGTTGTGAAATAGGAGCCAGGTACAAAGATAATATGTTTTATGATTCTATTTATATGAAGACCAAGCAAAGACAAAACTTATGTATGATGAAATGAGTCAGATTAGTAGTTACCTTTAGGTGCTAGTGACTTGTGGGGGGGGGCTTGTGGGTGAATTTTTGTTGGTAATATACTATTTCTTAATCTGGAGGATGTCCAAAGGCCAATTCTCTTTGTTAAAATTTCCCAAGCAGTGCCAAGGAGTGTAGACTTATGCTTTATGTACTCTTTCTTGATGTCGGTTACTAAAGACAAAAAAATCACTTGAAGGTCCTTTCTTACTTTTCATCCTTCTTTCCTTGAGTATGGAATTATATTTGTTTGCATCAGGAAATCTGTTAAAGAAAAGCTCTTCAGTCTTCAGGCATGTATGTCAGAGTGTGCCTGCTATGTGACCTTGAGTGTACAGGAGCTCTAGGCAATATATTCCAACCAGGGTGAGAAATATGCATTTTTGTTGATAAAGTAGTACCGTGACTGGTCCCAAAGAAAAATTTACAATCCTTTCCATATACTTTTTCTTTTTAAGCTATGTTAAGTGTTTCCACTTGTAATCCTGAGAGCCTTATTAAACTTTCTTTTGGGTCATGCAGCACTACCTTGCCAGACAAGTAATAAATTAGGATTTTTATTTTTATTTTTTTTACTTTTTTCCCAGCACTAGTGGTCTTAGTATTTTGACTAAGTGGTTCACGCATTTAGGTCCCAGAGACTTGTTGTTGTTGTTAATCAGAAATTCTCCTCAAAACACTTTTAGTCACTTTTGCAATGTACCCAGAACTTTTGTAGTAAGAACTGACTTCATAATCTTAAGATTGATATGTTTGTTTCATGAGGTTGTTTTGTTAAGGCACAGTTTGGGGGAAATAAACTTCTTATCAAAGTGTTTTATTATTAGAGAATATCCACTGGAACCTATTTACAAACTTAGAATCGTTTTAATATTGTTATATATATTACTAATAGTTGATATAAGATGCTTAATGTGTACTACTTAAAAGTGCAAGCCTTACCACTTATGCCACTATGCAATTGCTATACAGAATTTAACATTTTCCTAAATATGAGCACCTTTTGCTTGTTATATCAGGGCCACTAAAATACACCACACACACACACACACACACACACACACACCATACAATGATTGTGATTACCTTGCTACTCAAAAAAGATACTAGATATTAATTAAGAATTTTGTTAATATAATATTCATAAATAATAAAAATATACTTAATTTTAAAGATGTTTTCTCCAATTTAGATTTAAATGGCATGTCAACTTGCTGCTAATGAAATGTGTGAAAGAAGCCTGTACTAACGTATTATTTGACCTCAAGCAAAAGTAACAAAAAGTAAAAAGGAAAAAGGTCAATAGATTATTTGTTTAATTATCAAAAAATACTATTAGATAATTTGCATTGTTATGAAACCTATTGATTATTCTTAAAAATCCATTGAATTGATTACCGACATTGGCAGTACCTGATAGCCAATAGCTATTGGCTTTAGTTCATGGTAATTACGAAGAGATGAAACTTTAATCACAATGATTTATCTTCACTGGATTCAGTTAAAGAGATATAAATCATTTTTAAGTATGCTATTTTCATTGTAGCATCATGTAGCTAAAACAACTCTTATTACTGTATAAGGAAAATCACCTAATTTTACCATTGTAAAATACTTGCACTTATCAGTGAGAATATTTTCTGGGTTAAGCAATAGCATATAAATTAATTTAACATTATAACATTTCAAGAAAAATCCAAAGCCAAATGAATATAGAAATAGGATATTGTTGCAAGATGTAGAGGCATTTAATTTAAAGAATAAGTGGTTTTCACTTTTAAAAATAGAGACTTTTCAAAAGACTAGGAGGCAGCTAGTGTGATCCTTGGATTATACTAATGCTTAGTAAATTGCTTTTATTATCAGTTTTTAGTGCATTCATGCAGAATTTAGTCTTCAGCATTACCTTTAGTAGCAGAGATTGCACACTGAAAATGCTTCTTTTATGTAAACAAATGTTTTAGGCAAAATATTTCTACAAAGGTGAGAGCTCCTTCAGTAACTTCACATAAATATTACTCAGTGACCATTATGGTAGTACCTATATCACAATTGTAAGATACCTGACCTCTCCTAAATGAAATAATGATAATTAGCCGTGAACCACTGAGATTCCTAAGGCATTTATTGGAAAAGCCTTGCCTTGTGCTTTATTCTGTAGTTAACATTCCAAATCCTTCAGCTGTCCTATAATAAATGTTCTTCATATTTTATAAAGGCTATTTATGTAAATTCTCAGCATATTTCATGATAAAAAAATGATAAGCATATTTACTGTGATCCATGCCTGTAAAATAGATTAGCCCTATTTTCTTTAATTATTTTTATTATTTTATATTTTGGCAAAAAGAGTATGATCTAATTTTTTTTTTTTTTTTTTTTTTGAGACGGAGTCTCGCTCTGTCGCCCAGGCCGGACTGCGGACTGCAGTGGCGCAATCTCGGCTCACTGCAAGCTCCGCTTCCCGGGTTCACGCCATTCTCCTGCCTCAGCCTCCTGAGTAGCTGGGACTACAGGCGCCCGCCACCGCGCCCGGCTAATTTTTTTTTTTTGTATTTTTAGTAGAGACGGGGTTTCACCTTGTTAGCCAGGATGGTCTCGATCTCCTGACCTCATGATCCACCCGCCTCTAATTTTTTTTAAGACAAGGTATTGCTTTGTCACTCAGGCTGCAGTGCAGTGACATGATCATAGCTCACTATAACCTCAAACTCTTGGGCTCAAGTGATCCTCCCACCTCGGCCTTCCAAAGCACTGGGATTACAGGCATAAGCCACCACACCTAGCCCTCTTTTCTTTATAACAAAAGCAGAAACTCCTTAATGAAGTTCTTTGAATCTTTCAAGGTTGAGTAACGATTGGCTGACTGGCCAAGACCAAACATTCAAGCTGAAAAACTTATAAGCAATTACACGTTGTAAGTCTTTGTAAGTCATTTTACCAACGCCAAAATGAGAGTCGTTCTTGTCCTGAAAACTGGAAAGAAATCTTAATGATAGTCTGTGTGGTCAAAAAGCAAGGAAGGGGGAAAAATTAAAAATTGGAAGAGCCAAGGATGATTGACCTCAAAATTCTACACATAGGAAAAATTATTATTTTTGGTTTTAATTATTAACCCATATATACATTTGTCTCTCACATGACCTTAAATATTGTCATATCACTACACACCTATTAGAATGGCCAAAATCTGGAACACTGACAACACCAAATGCTGGTGACAGTTGTGGAACAATAGGAACTCTTGCTCATTGGTGGTAATGCAAAACGAAGTGGCCACTTTGGAAGACACTTTGGCAGTTTTTCATAAAACTAATCATTCTTACCATAAAATTCAACATCTCTGTTACTTGATATTTACCCAAAGGAGTTGAAAACTTATGTTCACACAAAAACCTGCACATAGATATTTATAGCAGCTTTATTCCTAATTGCCAAAATCTGGAAGCAACCAAGATATCCTGGAGTAGGTGAGTGGACACATAAACTGTAGGACATCCAGACAATGACATATTATTTAGGGGTTGAAAAGGCATGAGCTACCAAGCTAGGAAAAGTCATGGGAGAAGCTTAAATGCATATTACCAAGTGAAAGAAGCCAAAATGAAAATGTGAGATACCATATGATTCCAATTAGATGACATTCTGAAAAAGGCCAAGCTGTGGAGACAATAAAAGATCAGTGGTTGCTAGGGCTTACAGGGAGGGAGGGATAAATAGGTGGAGCACAGATTTTTAGGGCAGTGAAACGACTCTGTATGATAACTATAATGGTGGATACATATCATTATACATTTGTCCAAACCTATAAAATATATGACACCAAGAATGAATCCTAATGTAAATATGGCTTTTGGGTGATAATGATGTGTCAAGGTAGGCTCATTGAGTTTAACCATGTACTACTCTGATGAGGGATGTTGATAGAGAGTATAAGTTTGTGTGGGGCAGAGGGTATATGAGAAATCTTTTCCTCTTAATTTTGCTGAGAACCTAAAATTTCTCTCAAAATATAAAGTCATTAAAAATTAAAATTAAATGTCACCTTGTTATTCATTTGAAATAATTCAATTAATTAATAAATTATGTTAAGAGATCTTCCTTTAAGAATATAAATCTTATAGGCCATGATAACATTAACCATGTACACTTAGTATGAATTACTCTAATCAGATGACTTTCCTCCTAAAACTGGTATCAAGTCCACTATATTTTGTTCATGTTACCATTTGGGGAAGAGAGATTTTACCCTATTTCAGAAATGAGGAAATAAATAGAGAAAAAAGAAAATAAGACCCATATGTGCAAGCATACACACAGAAAAATTTATATTTCTTTTCATCTTTATTGCTCTTACTTTCAGTATCACATGATTCTCTACTTCTAGCATTAAGAACTGTGTTTACAACACTTATTTCTACAATTAATTTAAATTTTGAGTTAAATAAGTATGGGCAGTCAGAATTCCTACGAACTATTTCAGTAGCCATGACTTTGTTTTTATGAAATAATATTTTACAAGATTACTTAGATTATCCATTTTAAAGAGTGGGGTACCAGTAGTATCAAGAATGTTAGTATTTTGTCCAAAACTGATTTTGGGGGGACATATACATATAATAAACACCAAAAAAAAAAGAAAATTATTTTTGTTGACTGATACTGAATATGTTTACCTAATGATTTTACCTCCCTCTACTTTCAATGAAAATTTAATGTACTTTAAAAAATTTTTGGTGATTATATTTAAAGTATAAATTTGTTTAAGTAAAAATGGTAGAGAATTCCAATGTCCCTAGCCACAAGGGACCAGTTCCACTGAGAAGTGAACAGTGGGAACTCAAAATTTCAGAAACATCAGGGGAAGGGAAAATTGGCTTTCTCTTAATTGGCAGATGTTCCAGTGGGGGGCTCTGTTTTTGTTGGGATGTGTTATGTTGTATGTATACATATATGGACCAGAGTCTGCTGAGTTTATAAGGTTCAAAAAATATGGTAAAATCTTGGTTTTTGTTAATTTATCTCAATAAAAGCCCACTGGAACTCCAAAAAAAAATAAATTTGTTTAAAATTCCTAAAGAGTTTGTGGTATGTATTGACAATGTTTACTGATGCTTAATTCTTCTCTATTTGTTAAGAGGGATTACAATTTCCCACACCATAAATTTATTTATTTTCAGTATGTGGAAAGTTGCATTGCAACATATGTGGAAGTGTTGCATTAAAAAAGAGCAAAGGAGGTATCCAAAATTTCCAGAATTTATTAGTCCACCTTCTTAAATAACAAAATATAGTATTTCTAAAAATAGGTAGGCTGGGCACGATGGCTCACGCCTATAATCCCAGCACTTTGGGAGGCCGAGGCAGGCGGATCACCTGAGGTCAGGAGTTTGAGACCAGCCTGGCCAAAATGGTGAAAACCCATCTCTATTAAAAATACAAAAATCAGCTGGGCATGGTGGCAGGCCCCTGTAATCCCAGCTACTGGGGAGGCTGAGGCAGGAGAATCACTTGAACCCGGGAGGCAGAGGTTGCAGTGAGTCGAGATCGTGCCATTGCACTCCAGCCTAGGCGACAAGAGCAAGACTTCTCCTCAAAAAAAAAAAAAAAAAAAGGTAACAGCTCTGTGCTATAAGTCTAGTATTTCAACAAATAAAATTTATTTGAAATCCAATATTATAAGTTATATATTATCATTTTCTTAAAATTCTGAGAATGTTATATTTAATCAGCTTCCACATCATCTATTTGCATTGAAATACCAAAAAATATAGTCACAGTGAAAAAATAGTATTAAGGGACTTTTTCATATAAATGAGAAAGAAACCCTGGCTTCTACATAAACTAACTAGATGACCATCAATTTACATATAATCTAAAATGGAAATAACACTTACCTCACATACTTGTTGGGAGGATAAAATAAGATAATGTATGAATAATGTCTTGTAAATTGTGAAGCATTATACAAATCTAAAGTCTTCTTTTCACTGCTAACTTAAAATTGTTTTAAGTAGGAATCAGAGAGAATTATCATGTTAAGAAAAATAAAAATGAAACAACAGGGTTAATAAAAACATGATTAGTTTAACTATGATCAAACTATTGTGTTTTAGATATAACACTTTTAATTCTACCTGTTTAGATTATGTAAAAATTTAGAAAATTACTCGATGAGATAAAAATGTAAAGACATCTATCATCACTTTAGATATTTTCAGACTTTATCAGCAGACTTTTCCTTATATATAGTTGTTCCGGGTATAAATAGCAGACTTCTGCTTGGTTGTGTAGTTACTGAAAACAGCATTTGTTTTCTTATCTCCATCCAGAAAAGATCAGCACTTCTAGAACTGAAGCTTTATTTCTTTTGCTCTTGTGTTGCTGATCAAACTGTTCATGTTAGATTGAATACAGGTAAATCACATCTTTGGAAATAAGCATCTATTTTAACATTTTCACACTGTGAATAAAATAACATAGGGCACATCACAACACACAATTTTATTCCACTGTCTGAAACATGCTTTTTTTGTTCCGAATGTATTTTTGGTTTATCTCATATTCCCTTTTTCTCACTCCCCCTCCTATTCCTTTCTACTCTGTGGGTCAAATGAGCAGAGCAAACTTTTTCTTCATAAAAAGTTACTTCAATACTGGGCCATGCACAACATCATGGACAACATATTAATTGCCATAAGAGCATGGGATTCTGCTGCTAAAAAGTTCCCTGATTCCATCTATCATTCAGGAGATAAAAAAATGTCTCAGCAGCTATTTAATTTGTTTGACAATCTTAAAATCCTTAGAAACCTTATGCAGTGAAAATTATTTAGGTTACCAGAAACTTCCCTACAAAAAAATGGCTTTATGACCAGCATACTGTATGAAAAAAATGAAAAAAAAGAATTTTATGATGTTTAGCATATGAAATGAAATGTAAATTTTGTATCATTCTGTCTCAAGATTTTTTTACATTGCCAAATATTTTCTGTAGCGTGTTTAAAATAATAAAGAACTGGAATTTTATGTTATTTCTATAAATATATGAATGTGATTTTTAATATTTCTGGATGTAGTTTAGGCTAAATATATGTATTTATTTACTCAATGCATAAAATTTATTTTTGATGGTTCTGATGGGTTACAGTGAATAGTAAACTCAAACCAACACTGGTAATGTGTTCTGGTATCACTATACCTTGTAAGAAAGCATAATATTTAGGACAATCATTGTCTTTAATATCAAGACTCTCTAAGTCATCCAGCTGGTTGGATGATACTGACAGGAGTCTAAAAATCGTATCCGAAAGTTGGAATTAGCTCTTTTATCAAACAATTATCTTCTTCAATATAACAAAGAATATAATTGATTTGATTAAGAAAATATTTTTAAACATTTCCTGAATAGATGACCATTCCTACTTTGCCAATGTTCTATACTTCTTATTCATTATTACTATCATTATTGATATTATAAATTGATTCTAATTCATTTGGTCTAACGTATGTCACAGAAACTTATTTTGTAACAAGTCCTTCAAATGAGTGATTATCAGCAAGGTGTGGAACCTCAATTAACTTGAGCTTAACTCGTCATTTCACATTGTATTTCTATTTGCTAGAATATTTTCTTTTGGATAGAATTCATATTTGTGTTTATATGATAATATCTGTAAGTTATTTATATTCTGATCTTCTAAGAATGTGACATATACATATTATAAATACTAGAAACTACTTAGTCTTGAAGATAGAATGAGAATTTAAGGAAAAAAATCAAAGTACCCATGTTTTCTATTATCATGAAAGTCTCAGTTCTTCCCATTCTACTTTCTATTCACGAGTTCTGTGATATGCATGATTGCCTGGCAATCTCACAATTTCTATATTTCTGACAAGTTTTCTGTAAACTCTTTTTTTCCTTATATTACCCTTACCCCATCATCAGAGCTTCATAAGAACATTACAAGTACCTTAAAATGGAAGTAATGATATTTTATTTGAAAGATGATTTGGTTAATCATAAATGCCTGTAGTTACTCAAAGATTTGCACCTTGGCCAATGCAAGTTTGAGGGCTTATGCTTAGAGATGCTGAGATGAACAGATAGAAGCACAAAAGAAATAAAGCTATTACAAGTCTCAAAGCATAATATAAAATGTTGAGTTAAAAAAATAGGGCTTCCACAATGTCTCATTATGTCAGTAGTTTCTATATTTTAATATGATAATTTACTAAAATGTATTAAAGTACAAATTCAATTTCTCAGTCATGCTAACCAAATTTCAATGCTCAACAGCTTTATGTGACTACTAGCTACCACTCTGGAAACACAGATACAGACCATTTCCATCAACACAAAATTCTATTTGACAGCGCTGGTTGAACCAAACCAATCCTGCAGCATTGAAAACTGCTAAGATGATAATCTGTACTAGACAAACTGCCTTTGATAATGATATTCAGTTGAATTAGAAAGTTTAATGAAATTTCTATGAATGTTAATAACAGTTTGAAATCTAAATTGAATAGGTTTAAAAGTAATGATTCTAATATGAATAATACTAATAATATTATCATCCTTTAAAGACATTTCTGATTTTTTTTTCAGATTTTTACTATAAGTCCGATTTGTTTAATTCCTCTAAAAATAGTTGTATGTAATGATATTTTTCAATGTTCTCTAATATATTCTAGTATTGATAGACTGTTGACTTGTTTCCAGGTTGAGGCTATCATGAATAATGCATGTTTAGACTTCTTTTGGTTACCATATGTACACATTTCTGGTGGATGTATACCCAGGTGTTTCTAGTGCACATCAAGCTCGTCTCTCCCTTTTCATTTGTGTTTGCCATTTCCTCTGTTTTGAACATTCTTCCTCTAGATATTTTAATGACTGGGTCTTTTTATTATTATTATTATTATCATCATCATCATTATTAAGGTCTTAGATCAAAAACAATTCCAGTGATGTGGTCTGGCTCTGGGTATCCACACAAATCTCATGTAGAATTGTAATCCCTGTGTGTTGGAGGTGGGGCCTGGTGGAAGATGATTAGATCATTGAGGTGATTTCTAATGGTTTAGCACCATCCTCCTAGTGCTATCTTGTGATAGATTTCTCATGAAATCTCGTTTAAGAGTATGTAGCACTATCCCCTCTGCTCTACCTCTCTCTTCTGCTGCCATGTGAAGAAGGTGCTTGCTTCCCTTTTGCCTTCCAGCATTATTGTAAGTTTCCTGAGGCATCCCAGTCATGCTCCCTGTTAAGCCTGCAGAACTGTGAGTTATCCAGTCTCAGGTAGTTCTTTATAGCAGTGTGAGAACAAACTAATACAGAAAATTGGTACTGGGAGTAGGATACTGCTATAAAGATAACTGAAAATGTGGAAGTGACTTTGGAACTGGGTAATGGGCAGAGGTTGGAAAAGTTTGGAGGGCTCAGAAGAAGACAGGAAGATGTGGGAAAGTTTGGAACTTTCTAGAGACTTTTGAATGATTTTTGACCAAAATGCTGATAGTGATATAGACAATGAAGTCCAAGGTGAGGTGGTCTCAGATTGAGGTGAGGAAGTTATAGGGAACTGGAGTAAAAGTCTCTCTTGCTATGCATTAACAAAGAGATGGGCGGCATTCTGCCCCTGCTCTAGGGATCTGTTGAACTTTGAACTTGAGAGAGAGAATTTAGGGTATCTGGTGGAAAAAATTTCTAAGCAGCAAAGCATTCAAGATATGGCCCAGATGCTTCTAGAAGCCTATGCTCATTTGCATAAACAAAGAGAACATATATTTAAAAGAGAAGCAGAGCAAAAAGTTTGAAAAATTTGCAGCCTGACCATGTGATAGAAAAGAAAAAACTCATTTTCTGGGGAGGAATTCAAGGCTGCAGGAATTTGCATAAGTAAATAGGAGCCAAATTTTAATTGCCAAGTGAATGGGGAAAATGACAGAAGGAATTTCAGAGACATTTGTGGCAGCCCCTCCCATCACAGGCCTGGAGGCCTAGGAAGGAAAAATAGCTTCATGGGCCAGGACTAGGGCCCCGCTGCTCTGTGCAACCTCAAGACATGGCACTCTGTGTCCCAGCTGTTTCAGCTCTAGCTGTGGCTAAAAGGGGTTAAGGTACAGCTTGGGCCATTGTTTTAGAAGATGCAAGCCCCATGACTTAGAGGCTTCTACATGGTGTTGGGCCTGTGGATGCACAGAAATTAAGAGTTTGGGAGCTTCCACCTAGATTTTAGAGGCTACATGGAAACCTGAATGTCCAGGCAGAAGTCCACTGCAGGGGCAGAGCCCTAATGGAAAACCTTTACTAGGGCAGTGCAGAGGAAAAATGTGGGATTGGAGACCCCACACAAAGCCCTTACTGGGGCATTGCCTAGTGGAGCTGTGAGAAGAGGGCCACCATCTTCCAGACCCCAGAATGGTAGATCCACCAACAACTTAAACCATGCACTTGGAAAAGCCATAGGCACTCAATTCCAGTCCGGGAAAGCAGCTACAGGGGCTACACCCTGCAGAGCCACAGGGGTTGAGCTTCCCAAGGCCTTGAGAGCCGACCCTTTGCATCAGTGTGGCCTGGATGTGACACATGGAGTCAAAATAAATTATTTTTAAAGTTTTAATGACTGTCCTGCTGGGTTTCAGACTTGCAAGCATCTTGTAGTCCCTTTGTTTTGGCCAATTTCTCCCTTTTAGAATGGGAATATTTACCCAATGCCTGTCCCCCATTGTACCTTGAAAGTAATTAACTTGCTTTAGATTTTATAGGCTCATAGGCAGAAAGGACTTGCCTTACCTCAGAAGAGACTTTTCACTTGGACTTTTGGGCTAATGCTGGAATGAGTTTAGACTTTGAGGACTGTTAGGAAGGCATGATTATGTTTTGAAATGTGAAAAGGATATGAGATTTAGGAGGATCAAGGGGTGAAATGGTATGGTTTGGCTCTGTGTCGCCACCCAAATCTCATGTGGAATTGTAATCCCCATGTGTTGAAGGTGGGCCCTGGTGTGGGGGGTGATTTCTAATGGTTTAGCGCCACCCCATAGTGCTGTCTTGCGATAGAGTTCTCATGAAATCTGGTTGTTTAAAAGTGTGTAGCACCTTTCCCTTTGCTCTCTTTCTCTCTCTCCTGCTGCCATGTGAAGAAGGTGATTGCTTCCCCTTTGCCTTCCACCATGATTGTAAGTTTCCTGAGGCTTCCCATTTATGCTTCCTGTTAAGCCTGCAGAACTGTGATTCAAATAAACCTCTTTTGTTTATAAATTAGCCAGTCTCAGGTAGTCCTTTATAGCAGTGTGAGAACAGACTAATACATCCAGTAAGATTTTTTTTCCTACCAGCAATCAAATTAATTGCACATTCAGATTCCTCCATTCTGGTTATAACAATCATTTTCTTTATAGCACTTATCATTATGTAAAATTACATTATTTGATTATTTACAATGTCTCTCTCACCACATTGGAATGTAAGCTCTATGAAAACCTTTGTGTGTGTTTTGTTCATGACTACTAGATTTTCTAATAAAATGTAAATGTCTGTTAGTTGAATAAATGAAAGAATTCATTCTCTACACGAAAAGAAGCATTCTCATTTTAAATCTAACTTGAATCATGCAGTATTCTGCTCCCAACTCTCCAGTTAAACATACAGCATGGTACACATTCCTTAGCAAAAGCTGGAAGAAACAATTACCATAGCCATTGACACTCTTTTTTGTCATATCTGTTACCATCCTGTTCCTCGCTCCTTCAGGCTTCTCTGATATTCATTTCTGAAACACATCAAACACTTTTCTGCTGCAGAGTCTTTGCAAAGTCTGCTTCTTATACTGGCAAAGATTTTTCCCTCACTCCTGACTTCTCTTCTTTTGGGCCACTATGCTATACTTTCAAACAGATGTTTTCTGACTATTACATATATTCTTTATATTTTTATTCTCTATATGTTTACTTTGTGACAGTTATCATAGCTTGTCATTATTTTGTCCATATATATTTTTCTGTCTGCCCTTTTCAATAATAATCTCTGTGAGGAGAGGATATAAAATCTTGAGCAAACATGGAAACTTGAGCAAAGCCAGTGAATGAAAGAAAGTGTTGGGTCATAGAAAAGCATGTTAGTTGACACTAGACTCCAATTTGACTCAATGATGTGTGCATAAAACAAGATAGAAATTTTATTTATTTTATTTGATTGGTGTAGTTTCAATCCTACTCACATTGGATGTCAAGCACATATGGGCCGTTAAAAGTGGTGGTTGGGGCAACAGAAAGAAAATTCAAAAGGGCGCCTCTAGAGATAAATGAGAGACTAAACCTATAGTTTAGGCTTGAGAAGCTCTGCCAGCAAGTGACCACCAAAAGTAATTTGTGCACTTTAAAAGCCTCTATTATTGTAGTCAAGTGAGAAATGATTGAGAGGTTGGCTACTAACCATAAAAATATATTAAACTATGTGGGAAATAAAAGCCATTCAAATTGATAAAATGTACATACCTACTTTGTGCAAGAATATTCGATTGTGGGTATCTAGAAGATTACTGATAGAATTGAGTGTATGTGCTGAGTTCTAAAGGATTTGTAACTGCTATTTATTTGGTGTTAGAAGACTTCCCTGACCTGTGGTATTGTTTAGCATATTTAAAGAGTTTAAGCTCCTCTTTTTGATGTCACATAAATGAAAGCCCCCAAAAAACCCTCTCACCACTTCTGCCGGTAATATAAAAATAATTATTCAGGAGAACTTGGTGAATCCAATGCACAGGTTATTTTTTTTCTAATACCACAGACTTTTCAGACAGAAATTTCAGGACAGAATAATTTAAAGGTAGTACCTAAAATTTGCTGCTCTCAGGACTCTACATTCTGAGATAGGCTTATAAGCCACCTGGTTAAGAAGATAAGTGTCATAAAAATGAAAATATAACTTACAAAGCAATAATATCTTAAATTCTACTGAATTTTTATGAGAAATAATGGATGCCAGAGACAGTGGAATGATGTCTTGAAAGTGATTCATGAAATTACAAACAAAAACAACAATTGTCAATCTGAATTCAATATACATTGAAAATGTCTTGGGAGAATGGAAACAAAACAAAGGTGTTCCAGGAAAAGGAACTAATAGAATATGTTGCTAATAGACCTGCATTACAAGGAATAGTAAAGGAAGTTCTTTAGGCTGAAAGGAAATGATATCAGATGAAAGTTGGACCTCAAGGAAATGATAAATAGTTAAAATAGTTAAATTAACGTTTAATGAACTAGTTAAATATGAGTTTAAAAAGTTAAAAATGGATAAAAAATTAATATCCCACTGAATTTCTTTAAAATTCATATTAATGTTCAAAGTAACATTATATTGAGGAGTTTATAGTATATGTAGATATAACACGACAAGTATAGCATAAGGGATTAAAGGATATAAATCATATCTTGAATATATATGATTGCAAGATTTCTGTAAATTGTGTGAAGTGTTGTAGTATTAACTCTAAACAGATTGCAAAAATTTGAGGATGTATTGTAATGTATACATTAGTAGAACAACCACTTAAAGCAAAGAAGTATAGCTGAAGACCTAATAGATAAATTAAATTGAATTTACAATATATATTTAATCAAAAAGGCAGGAAAGGAAAATTAGACAAGAAAATCTAGGAGCAACAAATAGAAAACAAATAGGGTAATGGTATAACTAAGTCCAACCACTAAATAGTCACTCAAAAGGTAGAGATCATTGAATGAAAAAAATAAAAAAGACCCAACCATACACTATCTATAAGAAAAGAGAAATACTCTAAATATGATGACAAAACTAGGCCAAAATTAAATGTATGTAAAAGGAATCTAAGTAGAGGGTATATGGATATTCACTATAAAATTCTCTCCATTTTTCTTTATATTTGAAGTTTTTCATAATAAAATATTGAAAAAATGAGATTGGTCTATTTAAGTGATTTTTAAACTTTTAATTGTGAGACCTTTCATTAATAAAATCTTTAGCAGAATTTTGACATATAAACATTTAAAGTGTAGCTGTTTTGGTAAAAGATGAGATGTAGTTAAGAAGACTTCCTGCTCCTTTATTACTTCTTCCCATGTGCTCACCCTGAAGACATCATGGCACATCCTAAGGCTCTGCAAAATGTCATTTGAAAACAATTTTAGTGATTATTGTTCTTTTAGTTGTTCATTATTTTCAAAGTATGCTTTTATACTTATACTTATCTAGGGAAGACCTTTGAAAACTGAGACTTTATATTTCTTCAAGTGTCTCTGGAAATGTAAATGTATTCATTCTCAGTGCAAATAAAACTGCTTAGTGTATATAGACATTGTAAATTTTTCATGGATTTGGAGAAAAACTTGAAATCTGAAATGATAACATATTGCTCTCAAAGGATTTTCTTAGACACATATAACATGACCCTACCTGAGGACCTCTCTTTGGGGATGGTAGTCCTGTCACAATCAGAGGGTCTTTGCAGTACGTGTTTTTTTAAAATAAAGAAAATATTTCAGCATCATAAGTATTGTGTGATTTAAGCTTTTATATAAATCTTTGTCAGGGAATATTGTACACAACTGAATGCATACAGGAAGGCTAACAAATTCCATACCTTAGTCTCTTGTATATACTGTTTCCCAACAAGAAAATAGTTTCATATTTCTGTTATTGTGATTGTCCTGTTTATGCCCTTGACAGAAAGAAATCAAGATGCCATAAAAACTTTGAGTTAACTTTGGCTTGCATATAATCATAAAAATTAGGTAACACCTTTCTTGCTGGAAGTTTGTTTTTCTTTAAGTTGTTCATAGCTTGTAATAACAATTGTAAAAAAAAATCTTATGATTCTAAGAATTACCTTCAAATTTAAAATGTAGAACCATATTGTATGGGGTATTTTGCACAGCCATTCCTTTCCATACTTATAGAATCCCTTATCATTAAAGCTCTCACTGTGTAAAAATTGTGTTTGTCATCCAGGTCTTCCTTATTCATGGTATATAATTTTTTTGCAAATTGCTGTCTCTCACATTTTCTTAAAATACTGATTACAGTCTGTATCAATTTGCTTGTTTTTCTTAAGCCTCCTGATTTCTGCCTATGTTTTTGTCCCATGATCACCATTGCTAATATATCCTTCATTTCTCCTGTTTGGTTTCTCTCTGACTGTTTAACACCCACAGTTTCCTTTTACTTACAAATTTAATCTGTATATAAGTATAAATATGCATTGGCAGTTTTATTTCTTTTATCTCTTGTTAAAAGTTATTCTTTCATTTCTGTTCATCTCTCTCAAAAGCCAATTTGTAAATGCTGTTAGATGAAAACACAGAATAAAATATACTCCCACTTTGATCACATTTACTAATGCTCTTTTTTTTTGGCTAAAGTAGATAGACTCATAGAATGTTGAGTTTGAAGCAAATTTAGATATTATCTTGTTCTCCTCGCTCATATTCTAAAACTGCAATTGAAACACAGAGCAGTGAGTCAACTTGCTTAAGACAATAGAATTCACCTTTCCACTCTCCTAGATTCCAGAAGCAGTAGGACCAAATGCATTTCATCTAAACTATAATAACTAGAACGTGAATGAATAAAAGGGCATCTGGTAGAGCTGGGAGACCATGTGGTTCTATAACTGATTCAGTGGGCGAGCATAGGGTACATAGTTCACTACTTATATCATAGTCTACTTCTGATATTAACAATGGTAAGAAAATAAAATGATCTATAAAGTTCATATCTACCTCACCAAAGATAATAAATATTAAGGCAGTGAATGTGAAAATTCCTCACATGTAAGTTTTCTATAATTTAGAAATTAATGACATTAATGGAAAACAAATAACTTCTGAATAATTATAATTTTGTTCTTTTTACGTTATTATAATAGCTAAACCTGAAATAATACTTAAATTAATTTGACTGCAGTACATAGAAATAGCTAGATTATTAGTTTTCTGTTATGAAGCAGAAAGAACATGTATTAGAGAGCTAGAAATTACGTTGAATTTTGGGAATAAGAAATTTAGGTGTGTTTGTCTTGTTATTTATTACATAGCCGGATCATGAGGACGATCATGTCTATGAAACACATACCCAATATACAGAGCATGTGTCCATGGCTGAATAGTCAAGCAGTATGTATCTGCACCAAGGCCGTGCTACACCACAGTTACAAAGTAAAGTTATCTTGAGCCAGTACCTGTTATGTTTTGAGAGAAGAGTTGTGCAGAGATAAGACAGTCTTAGAAACCATTGTTGATTTTGAAAATATGCCTAGAAAATTATAGGAGTGAATCTAAAAGGGTAGATACAGGGTGATAAGCAGAAGGTAGGGATGTAGACCAGAGAGGCTGGAGCAGCTGAGAAGATTCATCTCAAAAATGGGTTATCTCAAACAATGGAACCTCTTCTGTGAGAATTAAGAACAAATCAAGCATGGATTACCTAGGACTTGATGAGACAGACTGATAACTGTATCAGCAGAGTCATGACCCCAGAACCAAGCTAGAAAGAACACTGCCTACCCTGGAAAACATTAAGATGACTGCTGGGAGATGTGGAAGCATCTTTATTTCTGCTTTGTTTGTAGTAAACACAAAAACTTATTAGTAAGGAACATCTTGCAGGTAATGTAAAAACTCAGGCTAACTTGAGGAAACACAGGAAGCAGAAAGGGGCCAATGGGGCTTTTCCAGTCCTAGAAGAGCCTAGATACCAGGGTCCATTTTCAAACATAGATGGAGGTATGGGCAGAAGTAGCATATAGAGATTTCCACCAGGTTCCAGCCAATGAAGACTTTAGCTTAGGTAAAAATATTGGCTCACATATCATCACTGAAACTCCGCAAACCTTTTTCAACAGAGGGTTATATGGCTATATGGTTCTTATATAGAAAGAAAATCTCTTCTTTACCAAACCCTAGACTGGCTCCTTTGAACCTGATTCTCAACTAGACCTCAACCTTGGCCAATTAAGACTTGAATAAAAGACTACTATAGGTTTTCTTTAAAGCTTTACTGAGGTATAATTGATATATAAAATTGCACATGTTTAGCTGGTCATGGTGGCACAGGCCTATAATACCAATTACTCAGGAGGCTGAAGCAGGAGCATCTCTTGAACCCAGGAGGCGGAGGTTGCAGTGAGCCGAGATTGCACCACTGTACTCCACCCTGGGGGACAGAGTGAGACTCTGTCTCAAAACAAAAAAAAAGTACATATTTAATGTATATATTTTGGTGAATTTGAACATATGTATACACTTATGATACCATCACCTCAATCAAGGTCCTAAACATATCCATCACTTTCAAAAATTTTCTTCTTTTGTTTTTTGTTTTAGTTTTGTTTGGTAGTAAGAGCACTTAACATGAGATCTGTTTCCTTAATGTATTTTAAAATGTACAATATTGTATTTTTAACTCCAGATACTGTGTTGTAATGCAGATTTCTAGAACTTTTTCATCTTGCATAACTAAAACTTTATATCCATTGAGCAAACAATTCTCCTTTTCCTTCTTCTCCCAGTGCTTGGCAAACATCATTCTATTCTCTGCTTCTATGAAATTTAACTATTTTAGATACTTTATATGAGTGGAATCATGCAGTATTTGTTCATCTGTGACTGGCTTATTTCACTTAACCTAATGTGATGTAGGCTCATATACATTGGTGTAAATGGTAGGAGTTGCATATATCACATTTTCTTTATCAATTCATCTTTCAATAGGCATTTCAATAGGCATTTGTCTCTGTATCTTCTCTATTGTGAATAATGCTGCAGTGACCATGGGAGTGCAGACAGCTCTTCAACGTACTGATTTAAATTTTTTTGATATATACATGGAGTAGGGTTGTTGAATCATATGATATCTGTATTTATAAATTTTTGAGGAACTTCCATACTGCAGAGGTTGTATAGTGGCTGTACCATTCTGCATCCCCACCAACGGTGTGTAAGGGTTCTAATATCTCTACATGTTCACCAACATTTACCCCTTTTTTTTGATAATGATGACTGGTATGGTTAGGCTGTGCCCCCACCCAAATCTCAACTTCAATTGTATCTGCCAGAATTCCCACGTGTTGTGGGAGGGACCTAGTGGGAGGCAATTGAATCATGGGGCCAGTCTTTCCTGTGCTATTCTCACGATAGTGAATAAGACTCATGAGATCTGATGAGCTTATCAGGAGTCTCTACTTTTGCTTCCTCCTCATTTTATCTTTCTGCCACCATGTAAGAAGTGCCTTTCACCTTATGCCATGATTCTGAGGCCTCCCCACCCGTGTGGGAATGTAAGTCCAATGAAACTTCTTTTACTTCTCTGTCTCAGGTATGTCTTTATCAGCAGCATGAAAACAAACTAATACAGTAAATTGGTATCAGTAGAGTGGGGTGGGGTGTTGCTGAAAAGACACCCGAAAATGTGGAAGCAACTTTGGAACTGGGTAACAGGCAGAGGTTGGAACAGTTTGGAGGGCTCAGAAGACAGGAAAATATAGGAATATTTGGAACTTCCTAGGGACTTGTTGAATGGCTTTGCCCAAAATGCTGATAGCGATATGGACAATAAAATCCAGACTGAGGTGGTCTCAGATGGAAATGAGGAACTTGTTGGGAACTGGAGCAAAAGTGACTCTTCTTATGTTTTAACAAAGATACTGGCAGTATTTTGCCCTTGACGTAGACATTTGTGAAACTTTGAACTTGAGAAAGATTATTTGGGGTATCTGGCAGAAGAAGTTTCTAAGCAGCAAAGCATTCAAGATCTGACTTGGATGCCATTAAAGGCATTCAGTTTTATAAGGGAAGCAGAACATAAAAGTTTGGAGAATTTGCAGCCTGACTATGCGATAGGAAAGAAAAACCCATTTTCTGGGGGAGAAATTCAAGCCAGCTGCAGATATTTGGATAAGTAGCAAGGGGGCTAATGTTAATACCCAAGACCATTGGAAAAATGTCTTTAGGCCATGTCGGAGATCTTCATGGCAGCCCCTCCCATCAAAGGCCCAGAGGCCCAGGAGGAAAAAATAGTTTTGTGGGCCGGGCCCAGGGTCCCTGTGCTGTGTGCAGCCTAGTGTCTTGGTATCCTGTGTCCTAGCTGTTCCAGCCTTGGCTGAAAGGGGCCAATGTACAGCTCAGGCTGTGGCTTCAGAGGGTGGAAGCCCCAAGCCTTGGCAGCTTCCATGTGGTATTGAGCCTGTGGGTGCACAAAAGCGAAAAATTGAGGTTTGGGAACCTCCATGTAGATTTCAGAAGATGTATGGAAATGCCTGGATGCCCAGGCAAAAGTTTGCTCTAAGGGGCAGGACCCTCATGGAGAACCTCTGCTAGGGCAGTGCAGAAGGAAAATGTGGGGTTGGAGCCGCCACACAGAGTCCCTGCTGGGGCACCACCTAGTGGAGCTGTGAGAAGAGGGCTACCATCCTCCAGACCCCAGAATGATAGATCTGCCAACAGCTTGCACCATGCACCTGAAAAAGCCACAGACACTCAATGCCAGACTGTGAAAGCAGCCAGGAGGAAGGCTGTACCCTGCAAAGCCACGGGGGTAGAGCTGCCCAAGACCATGGAAACCCACCTCTTGCATCAGTGTGACCAGATTTGAGACATGGAGTCAAAGGAGTTCATTTTGGAGCTTTAAGATTTGACTGCCCTGCTGGATTTCAGATTTGCATGGGGCCTGTAGCCCATTTGTTTTGGCTAATTTCTCCCATTTGGAATGGCTGTATTTACCCAATGCCTGTACCCTCACTGTATCTAGGAAGTAGCTAACTTGCTTTTGATTTTATAGGCCCATAGGTGGAAGGGACTTGTCTCAGATAAGACTTTGGTCTATGGACTTTTGAGTTAATGCTGAAATGAGTTAAGACTTTGGGGGACTGTTGGAAAGGCATGACTGGTTTTGAACTGTGAGGACATGAGATTTGGGGGTGGGGGCAGGGGCAGAATGATGTGGTTTGGCTGTGCCCCCACCCACATTTCAACTTGGATTGTGTCTCCCAGAATTCCCACGTGTTGTGGGAGGGACCCAGTGGGAGGTAATTGAATCATGAGGGCTGCTCTTTCCCATGCTATTCTCATGATAGTGAATACGTCTAACAAGATCTGATGGGTTTATCCGGGATTTCTGCTTTAGCTTCCTCCTCATCTTCTCTTGCCAGCACCATGTAAGAAGTACCTTGTGCCTCCTGCCATGATCCTGAGGCCTCCCCAGCCATGTGGAACTGTAAATGCAATTAAACCTCTTTTACTTCCCAGTCTCGGGTATATCTTTATCAGCAGTGTGAAAACTAACAAATACAGTGATAATAGCCATTCTAAAATATATAAGGTAATATCTCACTTTGGTTATGATTTGATCGAATTTCCCTAATGATTAGCAATGTTGAGCATCCTTTCATAAAACTTGTGGCCATTTGTATGTCTTCTTTGAAGAAATGTTTATTTATGTCTTTTCTCCATGTTTAAGTCAGGATATTTGTTTTCTGCTGTTCAGTTGTAGAAGATTCTTACATATGTTGAATATTAACCCTGTATCAGATAAATGATTTGCAAATATTTTCTCTCATTCTATAGGTAGTCTTTTCACTCTGTTGGTTATTTTTTTTTTTTCCTGTACAGAGCTTTTTATTGTGATGTAGTCTCACTTGTCTATTTTTTATTTAGTTGCCCATGATTTTGGGACAAATCCAATAAATTATTGCTAAGACCAATGTCAAAAAGGTTTCCCCCTATGTTTCCTTCAAGAAGTTTTAGTTTCAGGTCTTAAGTTGTCTTGAGTTTAAGTCTTTAATCAATTTGGAGTTGATTTTTGTGTGTGGTGTAAGATAAGAGTCCAATTTCACTCTTTTGCATGTGGCTAGCCAGTTTTCCAAACGCCATTTGTTGAAGAGATTTTCCTGTCCTTATTATGTGTTCTTGACACACTTCTTGAAGATCAGTTGACTGTAGGTGCTTTATGTTTATTTCTGGGCTCTCCTTATCTGTTTCCTATGTGTCTATTTTTATGTCAGTCCCATGTATGACAAGCCTACAGCTAACATCATATTCAGTGGTGAAAAACTGAAAGCTTTTCCTCTGAGATCTGGGACAGGATATGGGTGACTACTTCACTACTTCTGTTTAACATAGTACCTAAAGTCCTAGCCAGATAAATTAAGCAAGACAAAGAAATAAAAAGCATCCAAATTAGAAGAAAATGTAAAATTACATATGCTGAATTTATTTATTAGTTTTAACAGTTTTTCTATGTAGTTTTTAGAGGATTTTTATATATACACATGATCACGTTATCTGCAAAGTTGTGAGATGAAAAACCAGCATACAAAAATTAGTTGTGTTTCTTTATGCTATCAAGAAACTATCTGAAACGAAACTTAAGAAAGCAATCCCACTTATAATAGCATCAAGAAGAATAAAATATTTGGGTATAAACTTGACCAAGGAGGTGGAAGATTTGAACTCTGAGAACT
Organism: Homo sapiens; assembly: GCF_000001405.40. NCBI lineage: Eukaryota > Metazoa > Chordata > Mammalia > Primates > Hominidae > Homo > Homo sapiens. The sequence goes on along the minus strand of NC_000012.12, from coordinate 61,323,882 downwards.
ATAAAATAATGATGAAGGAAATTAAAGCAAACACAAATAAATGAAATGACACCCTGTGTTTTTGACAAAATAAATTACTGTTTGTTTCAGTCAGCAGCTGAAGATAGCACCCCTTTCTCCCAGTTTCTCTGGGAGGAGAAGAACCTAACTTCTGATGGGTTTCGCGTGAACCAACTCTTCACTTCCCTCCTGCTTTTTGTAATTTTTCACTTCCCTGACTCTACTGAACCTTGATTCAGTCTCCTAACCCTGTGCTGCTGATCTCTCATTTCACCTTTTAAAAACTGGCCACCTCGTACAAATAGAAATTCAGTTTATTTCACGCTGAACTTTTTGTTTCCCCTTTTTGCAGTAGTATATTACTGATTAAATCTGACCTTACAACTTTAACTAGAGTCTGGCTTTGTTTGTCTTTGACAATAGTAACCTGTTCCCCATTTAGAATGGTTATACAAGCAAGGGGTCCCTACTAGCAATTAGTAACATAGTATCGTAATATTCGTATGAATGATTTTCCATTCTGATAAAACTAATTTACAGCAGATATCTAGGTCTAGCACATAACTGGGACACACTTATTTGTGGGAGGGTGGAAACTCCCACATATGAGTATGTCCCTTGGCAGAAGCCCAGATAGTCACCACTGTTAGAACTGCAGTGGGCTACTATTTTAACATTTTAATAATGGATTTTTATTTTCAGTCTTTCATTTAATCTGTAACACTTGACATCAAGTCAATGGCTTTTTTTTAAAAGAGAAAATATTTACCATAGGGTAGATAAGGAACAAAGAAATTTTGAAAAATACTTAAATTAGAGCAGACAAAGTAATCTTAAAGCCTTAGTATAATTTGTATACGATGAATAACACATCCAATGAAATGGTACTATGATGGAAAAGAGAGCTTTCTTGTTCTAAGAAAAATAATGTCAACCAGAATAAAGGTGGGAAATGAATAGAAAAAGAAGAGCAACAGAACGCCCTCATATTCTTTTTTTAAAATATATATATTGTTTTATTATACTTTAAGTTCTAGGGTACATGTGCACAATGTGCAGGTTTGTTACAAATGTATACATGTGCCATGCTGGTGTGCTGCACCCATTAACTCATTATTTACATTAGTTATATCTCCTAATGCTATGCTTCCCCCCTCTCCCCACCCCAAAACAGCCCCTGGTGTGTGATGTTAAAGTGTTCTCATTGTTCAATTCCCTGTGTCCAAGTGTTCTCATTGTTCAATTCCCACCTATGAGTGAGAACATGAGGTGTTTGGTTTTTTGTCCTTGCGATAGTTTGCTAAGAATGATGGTTTCCAGCTTCAACCATGTCCCTACAAAGGACATGAACTCATCCTTTTTATGGCTGCATAGTATTCCATGGTGTATATGTGCCACATTGTCTTAATCCAGTCTATCATTGTTGGACATTTGGGTTGGTTCCAAGTCTTTGCTATTGTGAGTAGTGCCACAATAAACATACATATGCATGTGTCTTTATAGCAGCATGATTTATATTCCTTTGGGTATATACCCAGTAATCGGATGGCTGGGTCAAATAGTATTTCTAGTTCTAGATCCCTGAGGAATCGCCACACTGTCTTCCACAATGGTTGAACTAGTTTACAGTCCCACCAACAGTGTAAAAGTGTTCCTATTTCTCCACATCCTCTCCAGCACCTGTTGTTTCCTGACTTTAATGATCGCCATTCTAACTGGTGTGAGATGGTATCTCATTGTGGTTTTGATTTGCATTTCTCTGATGGCCAGTGATGGTGAGCATTTTTTCATGTGTCTTTCGGCTGCATAAATGTCTTCTTTTGAGAAGTGTCTGTTCATATCCTTTGCCCACTTGCTGATGGGGTTGTTTTTTTCTTGTAAATTTGTTTGAGTTCTTTGTAGAATCTGGATATTAGCCCTTTGTTAGATGAGTAGATTGCAAAAATTTTCTCCCATTCTGTAGGTTGCCTGTTCACTCTGATGGTAGTTTCTTTTGCTGTGCAGAAGCTCTTTAGTTTAATTAGATCCCATTTGTCACTTTTGGCTTTTGTTGCCATTGCTTTTGGTGTTTTAGACATGAAGTCCTTGCCCACGCCTATGTCCTGAATGGTATTGCCTAAGTTTTCTTCTAGGGTTTTTATGGTTTTAGGGCTAATATATAAGTCTGTAATCCATCTTGAATTAATTTTTGTATATGGTGTAAGGAAGGTATCCAGTTTCAGCTTTCTACATATGGCTAGCCAGTTTTCCCAGCACCATTTATTAAATAGGGAATCCTTTCCCCATTGCTTGTTTTTGTCAGGTTTGTCAAAGATCAGATGGTTGTAGATGTGTGGTATTATTTCTGAGGGCTCTGTTGTGTTCCATTGGTCTATATCTCTGTTTTGGTACCAGTACCATGCTGTTATGGTTATTGTAGCCTTGTAGTATAGTTTGAAGTCAGGTAGCGTGATGCCTCCAGCTTTGTTCTTTTGGCTTAGGATTGACTTGGCAATGCTGGCTCTTTTTTGGTTCCATGTGAACTTGAAAGTAGTTTTTTCCAATTCTGTGAAGAAAGTCATTGGTAGCTTGATGGGGATGGCATTGAATCTATAAATCACCTTGGGCTGTATGGCCATTTGCATGATATTGATTCTTCCTATCCATGAGCATGGAATGTTCTTCCATTTGTTTGTGTCCTCTTTTATGTCATTGAGCAGTGGTTTGTAGCTCTCCTTGAAGAGGTCCTTCACATCCCTTGTAAGTTGGATTCCTAGGTATTTTATTCTCTTTGAAGTAATTGTGAATGGGAGTTCACTCATGATTTGGCTCTCTGTTTGTCTGTTATTGGTGTGTAAGAATGCTTGTGATTTTTGCACATTGATATTATATCCTGAGACTTTGCTGAAGTTGCTTATCAGCTTAAGGAGATTTTGGGCTGAGATAATAGGGTTTTCTAGATATACAATCATGTCATCTGCAAACAGGGACAATTTGACTTCCTCTTTTCCTAATTGAATGCCCTTTATTTCCTTCTCCTGCCTGATTGCCCTGGCCAGAACTTCCAACACTATGTTGAATAGGAGTTGTGAGAGAGGGCATCCCTGTCTTGTACCAGTTTTCAAAGGGAATGCTTCCAGTTTTTGCCCATTCAGTATGATATTGGCTGTGGGTGTGTGATAAATAGCTCTTATTTTGCGATATGTCCCATCAATACCTAATTTATTGAGAGTTTTTAGCATGAAGGGTTGTTGAATTTTGTTGAGGGCCTTTTCTGCATCTATTGAGATAATCATGTGGTTTTTGTCTTTGGTTCTGTTTATATGCTGGATTACATTTATTGATTTGCATATGTTGAACCAGCCTTGCATCCCAGGGATGAAGCCCACTAGATCATAGTGGATAAGCTTTTTGATGTGCTGCTGGATTCGGTTTGCCAGTATTTTATTGAGGATATTTGCATCGATGTTCATCAGGGATATTGGCCTAAAATTCTCTTTTTTTGTAGTGTCTCTGCCAGGCTTTGGTATCAGGACGATGCTGGCCTCCTAAAATGAGTTAGGGAGGATTCCCTCTTTCTCTATTGATTGGAATCGTTTCAGAAGGAATGGTACCAGCTCCTCCTTGTACCTCGGGTAGAATTTGGCTGTGAATCCATCTGGTCCTGGGCTTTTTTTGGTTGGTAAGGTATTAATTATTGCCTCAATTTCAGAGCCTATTATTGGTCTATTCAGAGACTCAACTTCTTCCTGGTTTAGTCTTGGGAGGGTGTATGTGTCGAGGAATTTATCCATTTCTTCTAGATTTTCTAGTTTATTTGTGTAGAGGTGTTTATAGTATTCTGATGGTAGTTTGTATTTCTGTGGGATTGGTGGTGATATCCCCTTTATCGTTTTTTATTGTGTCTGTTTGATTCTTGTCTGTTTTCTTCTTTATTAGTCTTGCTAGTGGTCTATCAATTTTGTTGATCCTTTCAAAAAACTAGCTCCTGGATTCATTGATTTTTTGAAGGGTTTTTTTGGCTCTATCTCCTTCAGTTCTGCTCTGATCTTAGTTATTTCTTGCCTTCTGCTAGCTTTTGAATGTATTTGCTCTTGCTTCTCTAGGTCTTTTAATTGTGATGTTAGGGTGTCAATTTTAGATCTTTCCTGCTTTCTCTTGTGGGCATTTAGTGCTATAAATTTCCCTCTACACACTGTTTTGAATGTGTCCCAGAGATTCTGGTATGTTGTGTCTTTGTTCTCGTTGGTTTCAAAGAACATCTTTATTTCTGCTTTCATATCATTATGTACCCAGTAGTCATTCAGGAGCAGGTTGTTCAGTTTCCATGTAGTTGAGTGGTTTTGAGTAAGTTTCTGAATCCTGAGTTCTAGTTTGATTGCACTGTGGTCTGAGAGACAGTTTGTTATAATTTCTGTTCTTGTACATTTGCTGAGGAGTGCTTTACTTCCAACTATGTGGTCAATTTTGGAATAGGTGCAGTGTGGTGCTGAGAAGAATGCATATTCTGTTGATTTGGGGTGGAGAGTTCTGTAGATGTCTATTAGGTCCGCTTGGTGCAGAGCTCAATTCAATTCCTGTATATCCTTATTGACTTTCTGTCTCGTTGTTCTGTCTAATGTTGACAGTGGGGTGTTAAAGTCTCCCATTATTATTGTGTGAGAGTCTAAGTCTCTTTGTAGGTTGCTCAGGACTTGCTTTATGAATCTGGGTGCTCCTGTATTGGGTGCATATATATTTAGGATAGTTAGCTCTTCTTGTTGAATTGATCCCTTTACCATTATGTAATGGCCTTCTTTGTCTCTTTTGATCTTTGTTGGTTTAAAGTCTGTTTTATCAGAGACTAGGATTGCAACCCCTGCCTTTTTGTGTTTTCCATTTGCTTGGTAGATCTTCCTCCATCCTTTTATTTTGAGCCTATGTGTGTCTCTGCATGTGAGATGGGTTTCCTGAATACAGCACTCTGATGGGTCTTGACTCTTTATCCAATTTGCCAGTCTGTGTCTTTTAATTAGAGCATTTAGTCCATTTACATTTAAGGTTAATATTGTTATGTGTGAATTTGATACTGATGATGATGATGTTAGCTGGTTATTTTGCTCGTTAGTTGGTGAATTTTCTTCCTAGCATCAATGGTCTCTACAATTTGGCATGTTTTGCAGTGGCTGGTACCAGTTTTTCCTTTCCATGTTTAGTGCTTCATTCAGGAGCTCTTGTAGGGCAGGCCTGGTGGTGACAAAATCTCTCAGCATTTGCTTGTCTGTAAAGGATTTTATTTCTCCTTCACTTATGAAGCTGAGTTTGGCTGGATATGAAATTCTGGGTTGAAAATTCTTTTCTTTAAGAATGTTGAATATTGGCTCCCACTCTCCTCTGGCTTGTAGAGTTTCTGCTGAGAGATCAGCTGTTAGTCTGATGGGCTTCCCTTTGTGTGTAAGCCAACCTTTCTCTCTGGGTGCCCTTAACATTTTTTCCTTCATTTCAACTTTGGTGAATCTGACAATATGTGTCTTGGAGTTGCTCTTCTCAAGGAGTATCTTTGTGGCATTCTCTGTATTTCCTGAATCTGAATGTTGGCCTGCCTTGCTAGGTTGGGGAAGCTCTCCCAGATAATATCCTGCAGAGTGTTTTCCAACTTGGTTCCATTCTCCTCGTCACTTTCAGGTACACCAATCAGACATAGATTTGGTCTTTTCACATAGTCCCATATTTCTTGGAGGCTTTGTTCATTTCTTTTTATTCTTTTTTCTCTAAACTTCTCTTCTTGCTTCATTTCATTCCTTTGATCTTCAATCACTGATTCAGTTGACTGAACTGGCTACTGAAGCTCGTGCATTCATCACGTAGTTCTCGTGCCTTGGTTTTCAGCTCCATCAGCTCCTTTAAGGACTCTCTGCATTGGTTATTCTAGTTAGCCATTCATCTAATGTTTTTTCAAGGTTTTTAACTTCTTTGTGATGGGTTCGAACTTCCTCCTTTAGCTCGGGGAAATTTGATCATCTGAAGCCTTCTTCTCTCAACTTGTCAAAGTCATTCTCTGTCCAGCTTTGTTCCGTTGCTGGTGAGGAGCTGCATTGCTTTGGAGGAGGAGAGTTGCTCTGATTTTTAGAATTTTCAGTTTTTCTGTTCTGTTTTTTCCCCATCTTTGTGGTTTTATCTACCTTTGGTCTTTGATGATGGTGACGTACAGATGGGGTTTTGGTGTGGGTGTCCTTTCTGTTCGTTAGTTTTCCTTCTAACAGTCAGGTCCCTCAGCCGCAGGTCTGTTGGAGTTTGCTGGAGGTCCATGCCAGACCCTATTTGCCTGGGTATCAGCTGCGGAGGCTGCAGAACAGCGAATATTGCTGAACAGCAAATGTTGCTGTCTGATTGTTCCTTTGGAGGTTTCCTCTCAGAGGGTTACCTGGCCATGTGATGCGTCAATCTGCCCCTACTAGGGGGTGCCTCCCAGTTAGGCTACTCGGGGGTCAGGGACCCACTTGAGGTGGGAGTCTGTCCGTTCTCAGATCTCAAACTCCATGCTGGGAGAACCACTGCTCTCTTCAAAGCTGTCAGACAGGGACATTTAAGTCTGCAGAGGTTTCTGCTGCCTTTTGTTCGGCTATGCCCTGCCCCCAGAGGTGGAGTCTACAGAGGCAGGCAGGCCTCCTTGAGCTGTGGCAGTCTCCACCCAGTTCGAGCTTCCCAGTCACTTTGTTTACCTACTCCAGCCTCAGCAATTGCGGGACCCCCTCCCCCAGCCATGCTGCCACCTTGCAGTTAGATCTCAGACTGCTGTGCTAGCAATGAGCGAGGCTCCGTTGGCGTGGGACCCTCCAAGCCATGCACAGAATATAATCTCCTGGTGTGCCGTTTGCTAAGACCATTGGAAAAGCGCAGTATTAGGGTGGGAGTGACCCGATTTTCCAGGTGCCATCTGTCACAGCTTTGCTTGGCTATGAAAGGGAATTCCCTGATCCCTTGTGCTTCCTGGGTGAGGTGATGACTTGCCCTGCTTCAGCTCACACTCGGTGTGCTGCACCCACTGTCCTGCACCCACTGTCCAACAAGCCCCAATGAGATGAACCCGGTTCCTCAACTGGAAATGCAGAAATCACCCATCTTCTGCGTCGCTCACATGGGGAGCTGTAGACTGGAGCTGTTCCTATTCGGTCATCATATTCTTTATCCTTTTTGCTAGACTCATCCCAATTAGATGGTGATAAGAATGCTTGCATTTTGGGTGACTGCAGTATAGTAGAGAAACCTATATCTGAACTTCCTAAAGTGTAGCTCAAGAGATTATAATATGATAGAGAAACTTTGTATCCAACAGGCAGCAAATGGTCAAGTAGCAGTAATTGAGTGAAAAGTTCAAGGAAATGGCTCTGCAGGATGCTTCATTGTTCAGGTACCAGAGCACCCATATACCTATAAAACCCCAATTTCAGTATGAAAGTGGTTGAGAGAAGACTGTTGTACCTCTGTCTCTATGAAAGTGGTTAAGAGAGAACTGTTGTACTTTATGGAGGAGGCTGTGGTCAGTACAGGCAAAAATCAGAATGCAAATCCTTGAACATGTCAAGACTTGGGTCGTTTTGTTGTGTGCAAAAAGGGTTGACTGCCAATGCTTATGTCATAGTGGCCAAACACAAACCAAAAGGAGGAAAATTATACATCATCATATCACAAAGTAAGAGATGCACCTCACCCCAGTTTATACTCCACACTCAGCTCATGCCTGGATGATTGGATAAGATCCTTGGAACTTAAGTGCATTCCAAGAGAAAAGGCAGCTTTCTCAATATGCCGAGATTAAATTCATAATTGACTTACTTTGAACATAATTAAAATATCAAATGACTACTAATTTCACTGAGTTTACCTAAAAATAAATATATTAACTTTTCCCTATCATAACGGGTCATTGATATCTAGAAATTCAGCTGAGTTATAGAAAAACAAATAATTTTATTGCATACCTAATTTTTTTCAACCAAAGTGCCTGGAAAACATATGAGGAACAACTAGAACAATGATTGGTTGGAATATAAAATGATACAAACATTTTGGAAAACAGTTTGGCAGTTTTTTGAAAATGTGAAGTATGCATTTACCATGTAACATAGCCATTTCACACTTAGCCATTTATCCAAAATAAGTAAAAACATGTGTCTACACAAAGACTTTAATTTTATTTATTTTTAAATTGATAAATACAATTGTATACATTTATATTGTACTATATAATATTTTGATATATGTATACATTGTAAAATGGCTAAAGTAAGCTAATTAACATATTTATCACCTCACATACTTATTTGTTTTTGTGGTGAGAACATTTAACATTCATTCACTTAGTAATTTTCAAATATATAATACATTGTTATTAATTATAGTCACCATATTGTATAATGGATCCCTTGAACTTACTCCTTCTGTCTAACTGAAATTTTGTATGTTTTGGCCAAGATCTTACCAAGTCCCTCTTTCCCTGCAGCCCCTGGTAAGCATCATTCTACTCTCTACTTCTATGAGTTCATCTGTTTTTAGATTTTACATATGGCAGTATTTGTCTCTCTATGCCTAGCTTATTTTACTGAACATGATGACTTCCAAGTTCATCCATCTTTTTGCAAATGGCAGAATTTCCTTCTATTTTTAAGGCTGAATAGTATTCCACTGTGTTTATACCACATTTTCTTTATCCGTTCATTCCTTAATGGACAGTTAGGTTGAGAAATGTCTATTCGATTCCTTTGCTCACTTTTCATTTTGGTTATTTATTTTCTTTTTACTTGATTTGAGTTCTTTATATCCACAAACAGACTTTTAAGCAAATATTGATAAAAGCTTTATTCATAGCCCAAACTGGAAACAATTTAAATATCCATAAGCAACTGAATGGATAAATATATTGAGGCATATTCATACAATACAATAATACACATCAATAAAATAAATTATTGAATTAGATGCAACTACAGAGCTGAGTCTTAACATAATTACAGCGAGTTAAAAAGGTAGGATGAAGAAAAACAGTATATAGGGCCGGGCGTGGTGGCTCATGCCTGTAATCCCAGCACTTTGGGAGGCCGAGGCAGGTGGATCACCTGAGGTCAGGAGTTCGAGACCAGCCTAGCCAACATGGTGAAACCCTGTCTCTACTAAAAAATACAAAAATTAGATGATCCTGGTGGCATGAACCTTTAGTTCCAGCTACTCAGGAGGTTGAGGCAGGAGAATCACTTGAACTCGGGAGGTGGAGGTTGCAGTGAGCCGAGATCACACCACTGTACTCCAATCTCAGCGACAGAACGAGACTCTATCTCAAAAAACATGACAAAACAAACAAAAATAATACATAATATATAATTCTATTTTTAAAATTCCAAAAACTGCAAACTATAGTGACAGAAAACATGTGTAAGGATAGGGAGTGAGGTACAAGGAGAGGTGAGAGGGAGAGGGAAAGAGATACTTTGGGGAATGACAAATTTGATAATTGTATTAACTATAGTTAACGATTTCAAGTTGGTGTACATATGTCAAACCTAATGACTGTAAATGTACATAGTTTACTATATATCAATTTTATGTCAATAAGTCTATCAAAATACTGAGACAAAAAGCAAAAGTGAAATAAACATTCATACACAATTTTACGAAAGCCCTTACAAATTATTTTAAGTAACTCAAAATTAATCTTTGAAGTAGTGGTGGGGCCATTTATTTGAGAAAGCTGTTTTGGGTGTTTAGGTAAGAAACGATGCTGACTTCTACTAGGGTAATGACAGTAAAAATGGACTAAAAGGAACAGGTTTGAGATGTTGTCTATGTAATATTTTCTTAACTTTATTTTTCAGAATATATCTCCTAAAATGACATGGCCTTCACTTCCTAAGACATAGATATTTGTACGATTACATCATATATTTTAATTGTTATGAATTGGTAGTTAAGTGTCATATTTCTGGTAGGTAACTGATACAAAAATTATCTTTGCATCCTCTGAGTTATTTATTTTGTTATCTTTGACATGCATCTTTGACATAATATTCATTATTAATATCTCTTTATGTCAACATCAATACTGATTTAGGCTTACTCTAGAGGACTACTATGTATATGAATGACCTTTCTCGGTTATGATATTTTTATATTAATGTTCAATGACAACCATTACAATAAATTCTACCTTATGAAGTATGAATCAGGAAATTCCACTATTCAGAACTTATCACTATATTTTACTATATGGGTATTTATACGTATATATATATATATATATATATATATGTATACATGTATGTATATATAATTTCTATGACACAAAAATTATCTGTAGTGTTAGTCCTAAATACTTACATGCATCAGTATTTGCAAGAAGCAATAAATTTTTAAATATTAGAACTATCTCATTCTACAACATTATGCAACATTTAACTCCGAATGATAAGAATGTTCAGTAGATGCGTTATTCTCTAACTGTTTTGTACTAACACATTGGGGAGATGTCAAGATATTATAGACACAAGTCTTACCAGGAAAAAATATGTCAAACATGTCTGTATATGAGAAAGCGCTTTCTTACAGGCAAGGTGGCAATTAAACTATCACATAATACAAGTCATAAAACTTGCAACTTTTGAAATTATGAGTAAGTGTAAACTTTCCATTGTCATTGTCTGGATACATTGGGATTAGTATTTCCTTGAACGTCTATTTTCAGATGAACTTAGCAGGATTATTAGATTCATCCTGGTCTTCATCTCTAACATTAATTACTGCACAACCTAGCCTATTTTTTTAGTGTCTTCTAGTTTCTATTCTCCTCGCTGAAATCAGATAATTTTTTCTAAAGTACAAGCTAAACTGTGTCCTTCCTATGTAAATACTCTTATTTTTTTCACTATTTTCTCAGAAGAAAAGTAAAAATTCCACCTGGACTCTTGTGTCTACACAGTCTCCTTACCTGATTCTTTGACATTCCACCCGCTCTCCAAATTTTCACAATTCATAGTAGATGCCATAATTGTGTTTTCATATGTCTAAGTTCCTCCCGCTATCTCTTCCATCCCTACTCCTTCATCAAGGATGCATGTGAAGTCTCCTCCTTACTAGCTACCAGTTCCTTGAAAAGTGAACTGTGTTTCAATAATCTGTTTCTCAAACAACTTACAACAGAGCTACAATTTAACCCAGCAATCTCATTACTAGCTATATACCCAAAGGAATATAAATCATTCTACCAAAAAGACATATGCACTCATATGTTCATCATAGCACTATTCACAATAGCAATGATAGGGAATCAACCTATGTGCCTATCAATCATAGCTTGTATAAAGAAAATGTGGTACATATACACCATGAACTACCATGCAGCCATAAAAAAGAACAAAATCATCTCCTTTGAAGCAACGTAGAAGCAACTGGAGGCCATTATCCTAAGAATTAATGATGAAACAGAAAACCAAGTATCACATCTTCTCACTTATAAGTGGAAGCTAAACATTGAGCACACATGGATGAAAACCTGGGAATAATAGACATTGCAGACTACTAGAGTCAGGGCTGGTAAGTGGATGAACTACCTATTGGGTATAATATTTACTACATGGGTGGTGGGATCTGTACCTCAAACCGCAGCATTGCACAATATACCCATGTAACATATCTGCACATGTACCTACTGTATCAAATAAAATTTGAAATTAAAGAAATACATAATGTACATTATCTGTTCTAAATTCTCTCTTTTCACAGTTGTTTATGGCTCCTCATTATTTTTATAACTGATGCTTTTCTTGGGTTCTATTTAATCTGATACTAGTTTTGCTATACCAGTGTTTTTTACTCATATTTTTTTACCTTGTGTAGATTTTTGTCATATCATTATTTTCCATTTTTCACTGTAGTTTTATGTGTTCTTTTGTTAGGTATATACATCTATATTTGTTTCTATTGTTTTCTTCTTTTGCTTATTTGTTTGTTACATTGATTTTCAAATTTAATTTGAAGTTTCTATAAATGAGTTTAATGCATTTATATTTTTTAATAATTTTAATTTATTCCTTTAATCATAGTTTGTTTCCTGCCTACCATTTATTTTGCTTCCTTCCACTTTTCCTATATTTTGATAATTTTTTAAGTTTCATGTATTCTTTGTTTTATACTGTGATAGAATAGAATACTGTGAAATAATATACTCTAGTTAAATGTTTTTATTACATTTAAAATTTACAATAATCTGAAGTCTGAAGTTCTTCATTGTGTTTATTCTCTTCCTGACAAATATAGACCTTGTCCTACTTTAACTGTTCAGTTAAAATTTTACTTGTTATAGTCAGTTATTGAGTTAAGTTTATGTTCTACAAATCATGCATTTTATTTTTCAATAACAAAAGTTAACTAAATTTCCCAAAATAGCTTATACATTATTTATTCCTCTGAGTTTAATATTTGTCTTGGTAAAATGTATTCTTTTAAAATATTTTTGTTTACTTTTTTTGTTTTAATTTATTTTTGAGGGTCCTTAGTAGGTGTATATATTTATGGGGGGGTACATAAAATGTTTTGATACAGGCGTACAATGTGAAATAAGTACATCATGGAGAATAGGGTATCCATCCCCTCAAGCATTTATTGTTTGTATTATAAACAATTCAATTGCACTCTTTTAATTATTTTAAAATGTACAATTAAATTATTGACTATAGTTACCCTGTTATGCTATCAAATAGCAGATCTTATTCATTCTATTTTTTTTAATCCATTAACCATCCCCACTCCCCACAACAGCCCCCCACTACCTTCCCAACCTCTGGTAACCATTCCTCTAATCTCTATGTCCATGAGTTTAAATATTTTGATTTTTAGTGAGAACATGTGATGTTTGTCTTTCTGTGCCTGGCTTATTTCACTTAACATCATGATCTCAAGTTCCATATTCTTATGAATTTTTGGATTCCAGTGAGGGTGTGATGATAGTAAAGACTTATTTTTATTTTCTTTTTTACTGCCAACTTTCTTATGCCCTTGTTCTTAAATGATCATTATTAATAGTTCATGATTTTTGTTGAAAGAATAGAGTGGATAACAACAGGTGAACATGCAAATATCTTTTAAATTTTATTTTTTAATTCACAAATAATAATTGTACATATTTGTGGAGTACGTAGCAATGCTTCAATACTTATAATGTATAGTGATCAGATCAAGGTAGTTAGCTTATCCATCATCTCAAACATTTATCATTTCCTTGTGTTGGGGTCATTCAATATCCGCCCTCTAGCTATTTGAAATTACATATTAACTATAGTTACCCTACAGTTCTATAGAACACTAGAACTTATTCCTATCTAGCTGTAGTTTTGTATTTTTCAAGTCCCTCTAGTCATTAATTTTATATTTGTTGGTCTTTGCCTCATCTGTTCCATTAGATCCTTATAAACATGCAGGGGAGAAAAAATGTGTTATGAATATAAATATTCTAAAAATAATATTTGAAATACTTTTTTGTTCAAGATACACGTAATGAAAATTTTTCATTGAGAAAATTTTTAATCAAAATAAAAAGAAGGAAAGCATGCTTTTTGTGTTTTCCTTTTGAAATCCATCTTCCTTTTCCTAATTTATTTCCTTTTGTTTCACAAAAATATTCATCTAGGTTTGAAATATTTTGGAGACTCTCTTAAAAAACGAACTTTTAAAAAACATAGTTTTAGGTAATATACTGATAGACAAAGTAGAGAAAATATTTTAAAAAAATTAAAACTTCAGCCATGTGTTAAAAGTGGGGGAAAAAGAAATTCTACAGTTATGGGAATCATAAATTAAATTTGATTGATATTGATTGTTCCAATGGAGATCATGTGTTAATGTGATATAAAACAGTTTTAAGCAGAAAACAATTGAAATGCTAGGAATTGCTCTTAAGAAATAAAATAGAGTTGAGTCACATTAAAATGATTTCAAATGGGGCATTCCTTTGGTAATTTTAAATTGCCTTTGTTGCTGACAAGATCAAATGGGCTAGTCTGACCAGTTCTTTTTCTTCTGTCACTTTTTAATAGAATCAAACGTCAGGGTTAGAGTAACATTAAATGGTTCTTATCTCTGCTTTCTACTTAATGATGCTTTTAAAAAGCCTAATGCAGAAAATACGATTAGATTTTACATAGGTGCTATAAGAAGCAAAATTATATTTCCATTGCTTAGAGAACAAAAGGGAAGCTAAAACATATTTAGATTGATAGATGTGTACTATATTTGATTTGATCAAACTATTTATATTTTTAACTGCTAAACTATAGCAGTTAAAGTTTATTTGCTGTTTACTAGACAGTTGTATTTATCAAAGAAGAACCAGGAAACCTATGCCTAAATCCTTTCCTCTGGATTTTACTTTCTTTTCTCTCAAATGCTCTAACCTCATGTAGAATCTTGTAAGCAACTTATCATTTGACAAATCATATATTATAGTGTCGCTTATAAACTCACTATTATATTAATATGTTAGTTTCTTAATTTTGAATAAGAAATCAGGAAAAATTTGGGAGCATTGTGTGGTATGTTAAAAAGATTCTGGAAGCTCAGAGATATGAAATATATTGCCCAAAGTTAAAAAGGCAGTCTTCACCAGAGCTGGGATATAAATCCATATCTTTCTGATTCTGTATGTTTAACATCTACACTTCATGGTTCTATAAGCATTTTATGCGTATGTGGTGGTCTCTTCCTCCATATTGAAACATTTCTTTAACATGAGGACTGGGTTTTATTAACCTATTACTCCTCTTTTTATGGACATAAGGTGCATGTAGCACAATGCTTACACATACAAGGTACTTTTGTTCGTTTTCACCTACACTTGTGTCTTTACTGACAACAACCATGGCAACAAAATATATTGCTGAGAAAACTAGAGAGGCAGAGAGCAACATGACAGAATAGAAGTAGAAACACTAAATTTGAACAACTATCTACACACAGAGAAGAACTGTCACGAGAACCAAAAACCAAGTGAGCAATCACAGTACATGGTTTTAACTTCACATCATTAAAGGAGGAATTGAAGAGGGTGGGAGAGACAGTATTGCATCACTGGTTCCACCCTTCTCTATCCCCTGGCAGTGGCCATAAGATGCAGAGAAAGAGGCCGTGTACTTGTGGGTGGGAGAGCGCAGTGACTGAGGAACTTTACATTGAACTCAGCGCTGCTTTGTCACAGTGGAGAGCAAAGCTGAACTGGGCTCGGCCAGCACACACACAGAGGGAGCATTTGGACGAGACCTAGCCAGAGGGAACTTGCCTGTCCCAGTGGTCAGAACTTGAGTTTCTCAGCAAACCTCATCAACTCGGGCCAAAGTGCTCTGGGGTCCTAGATAAATCTGAAAGGCAGTCTAGGACATAAGGACTGAAATTCCTCAGTAACTTCTAATGCTGAGCTGGGCTTAGAGCCAGTGTACTAGTGTGGCACATGACCTAGGGAGACACAAACTGGGGCAGCTAAGTGAGTGCTTGCAACACCCCTCCTTCAGCGTCAGGCAGTGCAGCTCCCAGCAATGAAAGTGACTTCTTCCTTCTGCTTAAGGAAAGGACAGTGAAGATGAAAAAAGACTTTGTCTTGCACCTTGGACACCAGCTCAGCCACACTAAGATAGGGCACTGGGCAGGGTCATGAGGCCCCCATTCCAGGCCCCAGCTCCCAGACAACAGTTTTTAGATGTACCCTGGGCCAGAAGGGAACCTGCTGCCTTGAAGGGAAGGACCCAATTCTGCCAGGATTCATCACCTGCTGACAGAAGAACCCCTAGGCCTGGAATAACCAGTGGGGATACACAGGTAGTATATCATGGGCCTTGAACTCTGAGATGTACTGGCTTCAGGTGTGAGCCAGCACATTCCCAGCTGTGGTGACTACAATGAAAGACACCTGCCTGAGGAAAACAGAGAGAAAAGTAAAAGGGACTTTGTCTTGCACCTTAGGTATCAGCTCGGCTATCGTGAGGTAGAGCACAAACCAGGCTCCTGAGGTCCCTGAGGTCCAGGCCTAGGCTTTTTGATAGTATTTATGGACCTGTCCTGGGTCAGAGGTGAGCCCACTACCCTAAAGAGTGAGTCCCAGGCCTGGTAGCATTCACCACAAGCTAATTGAAGAACTCTTGAGCTCTAAGTGAACAGTGGGGACCTGACAGAACCCCCAGAGGCCAGAGGTGTTTGTGACTCTTCTGCATATGGAAAGGGGAGACAAGAACAGGAGGACTTTGAATTGTGGTTTGATTCCAGATTAGCCACAGTGGAATAGAACATCAGGTAAATTTACAAGGTTTTTGACTCCAATCCCTGGCTCCCAGGCAGTATCTCTGGACCTGCCTGGGGCCTGGGAGAACTCACTGCCCTGAAGGGAAGGACAAACACTTGTCTGGCTTCACTGTCTGCTGATCGTAGTGCCCTAGAAACTTGAGTGAACATAGATGGTAGCCAAGTAGTGGTTATAGAAGTCCTGATATCACTGAAATTCAAAGGATTATTAGTAGTTATTATGAGTAACTATATGCCAATAAACTGGAAAATCTAAAGGAAATGGACAAATTCATAGACACACACAACCTACCAAGTTTAAATTATGAAGAAATCAACAACTTGAACAGACCAAAAACAAGTAATGAGATCAAAGCTGCAATAAAAAGTTTTCCAATAAAGAAGAGCCTGGGACCCGATGGCTTCACTACTGAATTCTACAAACCATTTAAAGAAGAACTTATATCAATCCTACTCAAAGTATTCTGAAAAATAGAGTAGGAGGGAATACTTCCAAACTCATTCCATGGGACTAATATTACCCTGATACTAAAACCAAAGATGCATCAAAAAAAAAAAAAAAAAAAAAAGAAGAAGAAGAAAAATACAGGCCAATATCTCTGAGAAATAAAAATAGCAAACAAAATTCAACAACGCATTAAAAAGATCATTCATCATGACCAAGTGGGATTTATCCCAGCGATGCAGGGATGTTAAAATAGATGCAGCTCAATCAATGTGATATATCATATCAACAGAATAAAGGACAAAAAACATATCATTTCAATTGACATTGCAAAAGCTTTCGATAAAATTTAACATCGCTTCATGATAAAGACACTTTAAAAACTAGATATAGAAGGAATATACCTCAACATAATAAAAGCCATGTATGACAGACCCACAGTTAGTATCATCCTGAATGAGGAACACCTGAAAACCTTTTCTGTAAGATCTGGAACATGACAAGGGTGCCCACTTTTACCATTGTTATTTGACAAGCCCTAGCTAGAGCAATCAGATGAGAAATAAAGAAAGGGCATCCAAATTGGAAAGGAAGAAGTTAAATTATCTATCTTTGCAGGTGACATGATCTTATATTTGGAAAAACCTAAAGATGCCATCAAAAAAACTATTAGAACTGATAAATTCAGTTAAGTTGCAGGATACAAAATCAACATACAAAAATCAATAATATTTCTATATGCCAACAGTGAACAGTCTGAAAAAGAAATAAAAATGTATGTCCATTTACAATACACACAAACAAATATAACACCTCGGAATTAACCAAAGAAGCAAAAGATCTCCACAGTTAAAATTATAAAACACTGATGAAAGAAATTGAAGAAGACACAAAAAATGGAAAGATATTCCATGTTCATAGATTAGAAGAATCAAATTGTTAAAATGCACATACCACCCAATTAATCTACAGATTCAATGCAATCCCTATCAAAATACTAATGACAGTCTTCACAAAAACTATAAAAACTATATTAAAATGTATGTAGAACCACAAAAGACCCAGAACAGCCAAAGCTACCCTGAGCAAAAAGATCAAAACTGAAGGAATCACATTACCTGACTTCAAATCACACTGCAGAACTATGGGATGTTTGTCTTTCTATGCCTGGCTTATTTCAGTTAACATAATGACCTCCAGTTTTATCCATGTTATTGCAAATGACAGGAGCTTATTCTTTTTAATGGCTAAATAGTACTCCATTGTGTATATGTACCACATTTTCTTTATTCATTAATCTTTTGGTAGATGCTTAGGTTGCCACCAAATCTTGGCTATCATGAACAGTGCTGCAACAAACATGAAAGTGCAGATATCTCTTCTATATACTGATTTTCTTCATTTTGGATATATATCCAGCAGTGGGACTGTTGCCTTATATGGTGACTCTCTTCCGAGTTTTGGGGAGAATCTCAAATCTATTCTCCATAGTGGTTGTACTCATTTACATTCCCACAAACAGTGTAAGAGCGTTCCTTTTCCTTCAGATCCTTGCCAGCATTTGTTATTGCCTATCTTTTGGCTATAAGCCATGTTCTCAGTTATTTGTTGGATCTAAAAATCAAAACAATTGAACTCATGTAGATAGAGAGTAGAAGGATATTTCCTAGAGCTTGGAAGGGTAGTGAGGGGTGAAGAGGAGATGGAGATTGTTAACGGGTACAAAAAAAGAATAAATAAACCAAGTATTTGATAGCAAAATAGGGTGACTATAGTCAATTATAATTTAATTGTACATTTTAAAATAACTAAGAGTAAATTTAATTGTAACACAAAGGATAAATGCTTGAAGGGGTGGATACTCATTTTTCACAATGTGATTATTACATATTGCATGCCTATATCAAAATATCTTATGTACCCTATCAATGTATCTACCTACCATGTACCCACATAAATTAAAAATATTTTAAAAAACCTATTGCTGACTTTGCTTGTAAGATGAAACATCCTAGAGTGGAAATCATTGCAATTGCAGTGGTGTAAAGAAGAAAATTTTTATTATTTTCTGAATACATCTCATTGAATAGTCTACTCTTCATTACTTTTCTACTGCCAACTTGCTTCCCCATTGGAACAAAATTGATATGTAGATATGAGTTAAGTTTAAATAGTGACTATTTTATTTTTATCTTTTAATTCTGTGACAAGATATCAAGCAATAAATAATAAGTATAATTCAAATTTATACACTACATTATAATTTTTAAAGTACATTGAAATACATAGCTGTTTGCATCTCAAGTTCTAAAGTGCTTACAGGGCTATTAATTTTATTCTTATTTTTCAAATATATAAATCAAGTTTATATATATATATATAAAACTTATCAAAGATTACATGACTGGAGAATGGCAGGTCTTAGATGAGATCTTTTGGTTCGCATGTCAGAATTCTTTTAATGTCTTTAATTCTTCAGAGGAAAGAAATAGTAATGATTTTTTGACATGATATTAATATTGAATATTATATTGGAAATATTATGAATTGCCTGAGGTGAGGACATATACTTTTTTATTTAAATATTTTATGGTGCTTCTTAATAGAAACTCAGCTCAGGTGAAGTTAACTCTATCCTGGTTAAGGCTAAATTCCAATCTTGAAGTAGACTTAAATTAAATTAAATTTTAAAATTAAATTTTGGATAATTATGAGAAAATATGGTGGGTCAGAGATCTTTTGGGAATAGTTCACTTCCATCTGAAATGAGATGTACAAGATGGGACACTATCTTTAGAATGATGTTATATACGGATATCGTGCTTGGAACCCTGCGTCTTATGATGATAAAAAGCATCTCGAGTATTCAAAATGAAACTTAGGTCTTTGACAGTGTGTTAAAGGTTTCATATCAATCAATTGTATACCTGCCTTAACTCAGATATTGTATTATGTGAGATAGGAAGCAGCCCTTACTGTTTAAATAAGTTTGTGTCATAGTTTCTTTCTAAAGATACCTGAACTGATAATATCAGTTGTTTATTGAAACAAACAAAAATGAAAAACCGAGTCCCAATTCACAGTTTCTAAAAATAAATTTTGATCTATTGTATAAAGCATATACATATGTTCTATAATATAAATTAAGATTTCTTGGCTGAAAACCTAATGTTTTTACACTGACATAAGAGTTTCATCAATATTCATATCTTCCCAGATTGGCCATACAATTCCATATTTAATTTGAGTTTGTTCACTTAAAGCACTAGACTTAGTGAGATACAGAGATAAAATACCAAGGAAACACTTAAAAAATATTTATGATTTATATGGCCAAAATATTCATACAAAATTCATATTAGACTAAAAATTATTTTCTTTAAAATGTAGTTACTTATGAAAACCTGAGAATTTTATGAAGTTAAAAAGGAGACATATTTAAATTAACATTTGTTTAAACTCAAAGGCAATTTAATTTTAACTTACAGTTATGTTGGCTCAGATTTTGAAACTGTCATTCATAATGCAGATTTTCAATGACAAGCTGTTTTATTTTTCCTGACACACTTGGATTAAATTGAGTTGAATTAGATTCTAGTTAAAATTTGTTGTCCTTTATTTTTAATGTGTAGAAATACATGTGAAAGCTAAACCACCATTAAGGAAATTGACAGGTTATGAGGAGTGGGATAATTAAAAATGTTTTTCACTGGTATATTGAAGCTTGCATCACTGTGGTTAGATGGTATGGCTTTTGGTCTCATATGCATTCTAGTACTCATTAATGTTGATGAAGATGTGTATCCCATTTCCCTGGGTGAAGCTTCATATGTTTTAATCATGAGCTTCTATTTTTTTTACACCCCTTAGATAATTGATAGCTTTCTTGTATGCTTTATTTAATAACAAACCTAAAACATTATTTTTGAAGTGTGTGGATATTTGGTGTTATCCTCTGCTTTGGCCTTCTATCTATCTCCTAGTTTTTTATCTCTATTTATTCATGTCTTTCCTTTATTTGTTATGATTATTTTATTTTTATTAAATTATTTGTGTAGCTTCTATCATTTCTTGAAACATTTTTATTAAGTTGACTAATTGGTTATTATTTTTTATACAAAGCTATATGTTTTGGTGTATTATAATGTAAGATATTTTCATTGAACACTCACTTTTTTTTTTTTCATTTTTAGACGGAGTTTCACTCTTGTTGCCCAGGCTGGAGTGCAGTGGCATGACCTTAGCTCACTGCAACCTCCGCCTCCTGGGTTCAAGTGATTCTCCTGCCTCAGCCTCCCAGCAGCTGGGATTACAGGCACCCACCACCAAGCCTGGCTAATTTTTTTGGTATTTTTTTAGTAGAGATAGGGTTTCACCATGTTGGCCAGGCTCACTTTATATATATATATTTCAGATGAATCTTCCAGATAACTTTGCCATATGCTAATAATGATAGATTTGCTTTACCTTCACTATTAAAACTGCCATTGTAGTTGCTTGTCTAACGTTACTGGACAGCAATTCCTATCTTCTGGTCAATGAAGAATTGCGCTTTCTTTGTTAATCATGCCTTTCTATCCACTGCATTACTGTCACTTCCTCCTTCATTGTCATTCACCCCTTGTCTAGTGTAGCTGACTGTGTCATTCAGAACTCTGTTGATTGCAAATAAAATTAATCAGACTGACTTCGGCACGTAGGAGTTGTTGCTCTTGGTAGTCATTGGGCTCTACTGCCAACAGAGCTTGTGCAAAGTATCTCCTATTTTAAAGTTTAGGAGGATGATTCTGGGGTGAAGATAAAGCAGAGGCCCAAATCATGTTTATGTTTTTACTTAGGTTACCACTTTTCCCTAGGAATCTTTCTGTACTCTTCAAAAAATAAAAACACTTTTTAGCTTTAAGATGTTGATTTTTTAAATATTTAAAGTTTTTAAAAATATTTTTCCCATTTTGCTGTTAAGCCATTTCCTTGATCCTTTCTCTTCTCTTGCCTATTGTCAAAAAATAGAATTTTCTAAGGTTTATTCTATGTTTTTGCTAGTAGTGTAAGCTTAAATTCCATGTTCTAAAACAAATATTTGTAAAGCACTGACTTTTAGAAATTATTTACAGAAATTACCTCACTCAACATTTTGAAATGCTCTCTCAATTCTGAGGCCTGTAAACTGTGAAAACGCTTTGGGGCGTCATTATGCTTATACTTTGCTAGTTTAGGGTAATATTTAATTGACTTTTCTTGTTTACATTTTAGAAAGAAGAGTATATTTAATAGAAAAACAAAAACCAATTCAGCAAAACATGACATTGTATCCCCTCCTAACCATTTCCAATGTGAAGTCAACCAAACTATAGTTTTTCACTTGTCATTTGATTTGATACATTAAAGAATGATCAGCATCATTTATGATGATTTCATTAGAATTTTTTGGGCTTCTGTAATAGATATAGCATGGATTATAATAAATATTAAGCATGATGCTAATCATCTTAAAATAAACATACAAATGTTTATTGTAAATTTTTGAGGCTCAATAGGAGAAATTTTTCAAGATAACTCAGAACTGTGGTAAGAGATAAGAGATGGTATGCATGTCTAAATATGCTATATGAAGTAAAAACAATTATAGCAATTATGATGCTAGAAAAATGTGGAGTGGCTCTCATCTGAGGCATTTCTTATATGCAATGCCTCTGGCCATCACTATGTTATTTCTTTCAGATCTTCCAGTCTTGTTTTTCTGAAGAAGGTAAACAAATCACAGATTCTGCCTATGAGGATTACAGTATCACAGGAACATAAAGCACATGCACATAGAAACACATACAGGTAGGTAAATAAATTTTGTAATAAGAGTATAAATAAAGATATATATTATTTAATATTTGGAGATGGAAGAAGCACATTCATTTGAAAAGAGAGGGTGTGCTAAAGTGCAAAAGTAGAAGCATGAGGTGTCTGTAAAAGCCACCAAATAATTTGCTTAATTGGAACATGAAGATATTGAAGCAGATATGTTTGAATGAGGGTGGAAGAATAGCTCACAGTGAAAATATGAAAGGCTTTTGGAAAACTTCCATCTTACATTTAAGTTCTTTTTCTTGTTTTCACATTTACTTTAGTATCGTAAATATTTGCCACTCCATTGGTAACACTTAAACATCAATACCAGGCAATCTGCTTCCTACGGGACTGCAAGGACAAAAGTAAACCTCACCTTTTTATATAGACAAGCAGATACAACCTATTATGTGCATGTTTTCAAGATAAACAATAACTAGTTCTCAGGAAAGAGGACATGACGGTACCATTAGTCACACATAGTTTATTTTTAATTGATCTGGTAATTGGGGTGACCATCTGTGTTAGTTAATTGGCTTGATCCAGAGGAGAAACAAACTTCTCATATCTTTGTGATAGGAAGTAGTTTTACAACTTGGAGCAAGGTGCCCACTGAAGTTAGGCTCTGCTCTTTCATGGAAACTGGGAGAGATGCTCTCTTCCTTGCATACATTCCAAAGACATGGCTCTCAGGTTCTGGAGAAATACACTCTTGGGTCATCAAGCTGACAAAAGGCATATTCAATCTTCAAAAGGATTTATATGCAACAAAAAGCCATAAGAAAGTATTCACAATTTCAAGTTTTCCAAGGTAATGCTCTGACAAGTGAGAGAAATTTCTTCCTGCTTTTTCACCAGGGAGAATTAAGCCTCTTGTTTTCCATTTATATTTATGCTTAGAGTGTTTATTTATTCATTCATTTATTTATATGTTCTAATGAATAAAATAATTTTACATAAAAATGTTAAAAAGTTAAACAAAAACCATTAAAAATTAAAATATATATATTTGCATGTCTCAACTATAAGGCATTCTTCCCAATACAGAAAATAAATTGTGAATTTGTTTTACCTAAAGTTAGGAGAGCAGCAATGATTAAAATAAAGAGAAAGGCCTTAACCTAGTACTATCCCCATCACCAAGCACAGTGCCGTGAACTAACAGACTCTAAATATATATTATTAAATAAATTAAAATTGAAACAAAAACAAAAGTGTGGAATTGATTATTGTATGTCAATAAAATATTTAGTCTTTTATTAAAGAAAAGCTAAAAATAATTGTAAAAAATTACTTAAGATGAACCCTATTTCCTACGCTAAAATAGAAAAAATATAAATGTAAAAAATAAGAAAAAAGTTACATGAAAGCAAGGTAAATTCTTTATTTATTTATTTTTTTTATTATACTTTAAGTTTTAGGGTACATGTGCACAATGTGCAGGTTAGTTACATATGTATACATGTGCCATGCTGGTGTGCTGCACCCATTAACTCGTCATCTAGCATTAGGTATATCTCCCAGTGCTATCCCTCCCCCTCCCCACACCCCACAACAGTCCCCAGAGTGTGATGTTCCCCTTCCTGTGTCCACGTGTTCTTATTGTCCAATTCCCACCTATGAGTGAGAATATGCGGTGTTTGGTTTTTTGTTCTTGCAATAGTTTACTGAGAATGATGATTTCCAATTTCATCCATGTCCCTACAAAGGACATGAACTCATCCTTTTTTATGGCTGCATAGTATTCTATGGTATATATGTGCCACATTTTCTTAATCCAGTCTATCATTGTTGGACATTTGGGTGGGTTCCAAGTCTTTGCTATTGTGAATGGTGCCGCGATAAACATATCTGTGCATGTGTCTTTATAGCAGCATGATTTATAGTCCTTTGGGTATATACCCAGTAATGGGATGGCTGGGTCAAATGGTATTTCTAGTTCTAGATCCCTGAAGAATTGCCACACTGACTTCCACAATGGTTGAACTAGTTTACAGTCCCACCAACAGTGTAAAAGTGTTCCTATTTCTCCACTTCCTCTCCAGCACCTGTTGTTTCCTGACTTTTTAATGATTGCCATTCTAACTGGTGTGAGATGATATCTCATTGTGGTTCTGATTTGCATTTCTCTGATGGCCAGTGATGATGAGCATTTTTTCATGAGGTTTTTGGCTGCATAAATGTTTTCGTTTGAGAAGTGTCTGTTCATATCCTTTGCCCACTTTTTGATGGGGTTGTTTGTTTTTTTCTTGTAAATTTGTTTGAGTTCATTGTAGATTCTGGATATTAGCCCTTTGTCAGATGAGTAGGTTGTGAAAATGTTCTCCCATTTTGTGGGTTGCCTGTTCACTCTGATGGTAGCTTCTTTTGCTGTGCAGAAGCTCTTTAGTTTAATTAGATCCCATTTGTCAATTTTGGCATTTGTTGCCATTGCTTTTGGTATTTTAGACATGAAGCCCTTGCCCATGCCTATGTCCTGAATGGTAATGCCTAGGTTTTCTTCTAGGGTTTTTATGGTTTTAGGTCTAACGTTTAAGTCTTTAATCCATCTTGAATTAATTTTCGTATAAGGTGAAAGGAATGGATCCAGTTTCAGCTTTTTACATATGGCTAGCCAGTTTTCCCAGCACCATTTATTAAATAGGGAATCCTTTCCCCATTGTTTGTTTTTCTCAGGTTTGTCAAAGATCAAATAGTTGTAGATATGCGGTGTTATTTCTGAGGGCTCTGTTCTGTTCCATTGGTCTATATGTCTGTTTTGGTACCACTACCATGCTGTTTTGGTTACTGTAGCCTTGTATAGTTTGAAGTCAGGTAGTGTGATGCCTCCAGCTTTCTTCTTTTGGCTTAGGATTGACTTGGCAATGCGTGCTCTTTTTTGGTTCCATATGAACTTGAAAGTAGTTTTTTCCAATTCTGTGAAGAAAGTCATTGGTAGCTTGATGGGGATGGCATTGAATCTATAAATTACCTTGGGCAGTATGGCCATTTTCATGATATTGTTTCTTCCTACCCATGAGCATGGAATGTTCTTCCATTTGTTTGTATCCTCTTTTATTTCGTTGAGCAGTGGTTTGCAGTTCTCCTTGAAGAGGTCCTTCACGTCCCTTGTAAGTTGGATTCCTAGGTATTTTATTCTCTTTGAAGCAATTGTGAATGGGAGTTCACTCATGATTTGGCTCTCTGTTTGTCTGTTATTGGTGTATAAGAATGCTTGTGATTTTTCTACATTGATTTTGTATCCTGAGACTTTGCTGAAGTTGCTTATCAGCTTAAGGAGATTTTGTGCTGAGACAATGGGGTTTTGTAGATATACAATCATGTCGTCTACAAACAGGGACAATTTGACTTCCTCTTTTCCTAATTGAATACCCTTTATTTCCTTCTCCTGCCTAATTGCCCTGGACAGAACTTCCAACACTATGTTGAATAGGAGTGGTGAGAGAGGGCATCCCTGTCTTGTGCCAGTTTTCAAAGGGAATGCTTCCAGTTTTTGCCCATTCAGTATGATATTGGTTGTGGGTTTGTCATAGATAGCTCTTATTATTTTGAGATATGTCCCATCAATACCTAATTTATTGAGAGTTTTTAGCATGAAGAGTTGTTGAATTTTGTCACAGGCCTTTTCTGCATCTATTGAGATAATCATGTGGTTTTTGTCTTTGGTTCTATTTATTATGCTGGATTACATTTATTGATTTGCGTATATTGACCAGCCTTGCATCCCAGGGATGAAACCCACTTGATCATGGTGGATAAGCTTTTTGATGTGCTGCTGGATTCGGTTTGCCAGTATTTTATTGAGGATTTTTGCATCAATGTTCATCAAGGATATTGGTCTAAAATTCTCTTTTTTCGTTGTGTCTTTGCCCAGCTTTGGTATCAGGATGATGTTGGCCTCATAAAATGAGTTAGGGAGGATTCCCTCTTTTTCTATTGATTGGAATAGTTTCAGAAGGAATGGTACCAGTTCCTCCTTATACCTCTGGTAGAATTTGGCTGTGAATCCATCTGGTCCTGAACTCTTTTTTTGTTGGTAAGCTATTGATTATTGCCACAACTTCAGTTCCTGTTATTGGTCTATTCAGAGATTCAACTTATTCCTGGTTTAGTTTTGGGAGGGTGTATGTGTCGAGGAATTTATCCATTTCTTCTAGATTATCTAGTTTATTTGAGTAGAGTTGTTTGTAGTAATCTCTGATGGTAGTTTGTATTTCTGTGGGATCGGTGGTGATATCCCCTTTATCATTTTTTATTGCGTCTATTTGATTCTTCTCTCTTTTTTTCTTTATTAGTCTTGCTAGTGGTCTATCAATTTTGTTGATCCTTTCAAAAAACCAGCTCCTGGATTCATTAATTTTTTGAAGGGTTTTTTTGTGTCCCTATTTCCTTCAGTTCTGCTCTGATCTTAGTTATTGCTTGCCTTCTGCTAGCTTTTGAATGTGTTTGCTCTTGCTTTTCTAGTTCTTTTAATTGTGATATTAGGGTGTCAATTTTGGATCTTTCCTACTTTCTCTTGTGGGCATTTAGTGCAATAAATTTCCCTCTACACACTGCTTTGAATGTGTCCCAGAGATTCTGGTATGTTGTGTCTTTGTTCTCGTGGGTTTCAAAGGACATCTTTATTTCTGCCTTCATTTCGTTATGTACCCAGTTGTCATTCAGGAGCAGGTTGTTCAGTTTCCATGTAGTTGAGCGGTTTTGAGTAAGTTTCTGAATCCTGAGTTCTAGTTTGATTGCACTGTGGTCTGAGAGACAGTTTGTTGTAATTTCTGTTCTTTTACATTTGCTGAGGAGTGCTTTACTTCCAAATATGTGGTCAATTTTGGAATAGGTGTGGTGCTGAAAAAAATGTATATTCTGTTGATTTGAGGTGGAGAGTTCTGTAGATGTCTATTACGTCCGCTTGGTGCAGAGCTGAGTTCAATTCCTGGGTATCCTTGTTAACTTTCTGTCTTGTTGATCTGTCTAATGTTGACAGTGGGGTGTTAAAGTCTCCCATTATTAATGTGTGGGAATCTAAGTCTCTTTGTAGGTCACTCAGGACTTGTTTTATGAATCTGTGTGCTCCTGTATTGGGTGCATATATATTTAGGATAGTTAACTCTTCTTGTTGAATTGATCCCTTTACCATTATGTAATGGCCTTCTTTGTCTCTTTTGATCTTTGTTGGTTTAAAGTCTGTTTTATCAGAGACTAGGATTGCAACCCCTGCCTTTTTTTGTTTTCCATTTTCTTGGTAGATCTTCCTCCATCCTTTTATTTTGAGCCTATGTGTGTCTCTGCATGTGAGATGGGTTTCCTGAATACAGCACACTGACGGGTCTTGACTCTTTATCCAATTTGCCAGTCTGTGTCTTTTAATTGGAGCATTTAGTCCATTTACATTTAAGGTTAATATTGTTATGTGTGAATTTGATCCTGTCATTATGATGTTAGCTGGTTATTTTGCTCCTTAGTTGATGCAGTTTCTTCCTAGTCTCGATGGTCTTTACATTTTGGCATGATTTTGCAGCGGCTGGTACTGGTTGTTCCTTTCCATGTTCAGTGCTTCCTTCAGGAGCTCTTTTAGGGCAGGCCTGGTGGTGACAAAATCTCTCAGCATTTGCTTGTCTGTAAAGTATTTTATTTCTCCTTCACTTATGAAGCTGAGTTTGGCTGGATATGAAATTCTGGGTTGAAAATTCTTTTCTTTAAGAATGTTGAATATTGGCCCCCACTCTCTTCTGGCTTGTAGAGTTTCTGCCGAGAGATCTGCTGTTAGTCTGATGGGCTTCCCTTTGTGGGTAACCCGACCTTTCTCTCTAGCTGCCCTTAACATTTTTTCCTTCATTTCAACTTTGGTGAATCTGACAATTATGTGTCTTGGAGTTGCTCTTCTCGAGGAGTATCTTTGTCGTGTTCTCTGTATTTCCTGAATGTGAATGTTGGCCTGCCTTGCTAGATTGGGGAAGTTGTCCTGGGTAATATCCTGCAGACTGTTTCCAACTTGGTTCCATTCTCCCCATCACTTTCAGGTACACCAATCAGACGTAGATTTGGTCTTTTCACATAGTCCCATATTTCTTGGAGGCTTTGTTCACTTCTTTTTATTCTTTTTTCTCTAAACTTTCCTTCTCGCTTCATTTCATTCATTTCATCTTCCATTGCTGATACCCTTTCTTCCAGTTGATCACATCAGCTCCTGAGGCTTCTGCATTCTTCACATAGTTCTCGAGCCTTGGCTTTCAGCTCCATCAGCTCCTTTAAGCACTACTCTGTATTGGTTATTCTAGTTATACATTCATCTAAATTTTTTTCAAAGTTTTTAACTTCTTTGCCTTTGGTTTGAGTTCCGTCCTGTAGCTCGTAGTTTGATCGTCTGAAGCCTTCTTCTCTCAGCTCTTCAAAGTCATTCTCTGTCCAACTTTGTTCCATTGCTGGTGAGGAACTGTGTTCCTTTGGAGGAGGAGAGGCGCTCTGCTTTTTAGAGTTTCCTGTTTTCTGCTCTGTTTTTTCCCCATCTTTGTGGTTTTATCTACTTTTGGTCTTTGATGATGGTGATGTACAGATGGGTTTTTGGTGTGGATTTCCTTTCTGTTAGTTTTTCTTCTAACAGACAGGACCCTCAGCTGCAGGTCTGTTGGAGTTTGCTAGAGGTCCACTCCAGACCCTGTTTGCCTGGGTATCAGCAGCGGTGTTTTCAGAACAGCGGTTTTTCATGAACCGTAAATGCTGCTGTCTGATCGTTCCTCTGGAAGTTTTGTCTCAGAGGAGTACCCGGCCGTGTGAAGTGTCAGTCTGCCCCTGCTGGGTGGTGCCTCCCAGTTAGGCTGCCCGGAGGTCAGGTGTCAGGGACCCACTTGAGGAGGCAGTCTGCCTGTTCTCAGATCTCCAGCTGCATGCTGGGAGAACCACTGCTCTCTTCGAAGCTGTCAGACAGGGACATTTAAGTCTGCAGAGGTTGCTGCTGTCTTTTTGTTTGTCTGTGCCCTGCCCCCAGAGGTGGAGCCTACAGAGGCATGCAGGCCTCCTTGAGCTGTGGTGGGCTCCACCCAGTTGGAGCTTCCCAGCTGCTTTGTTTACCTAAGCAAGCCTGCGCAATGGCGGGCGCCCCTCCCCCAGCCTCGGTGCCGCCTTGCAGTTTGATCTCAGACTGCTGTGCTAGCAATCAGTGAGACTCCGTGGGCGTAGGACCCTCCGAGCCAGGTGCGGGATATAATCTCCTGGTGTGCCGTTTTTTAAGCCCGTCAGAAAAGCTCAGTATTCATGTGGGAGTGACCCAATTTTCCAGATGCCGTCTGTCACCACTTTCTTTGACTAGGAAAGGGAACTCCCTGACCCCTTGTGCTTCCCGAGTGAGGCAATGCCTCACCCTGCTTTGGCTCACGCATGGTGCGCTGCACCCACTGACCTGTGCCCACTGTCTGGCACTCCCTAGTGAGATGAACCCGGTACCTCCGATGGAAATGCAGAAATCACCCGTCTTCTGCATCGCTCATGCTGGGAGCTGTAGACTGGAGCTGTTCCTATTCAGCCATCTTTGATTAATTCTTAATCTAAGATTTCAAATCATGTTTTGTGTATTTAAACAATTTCATTGTTTTTCTGTATAAATTCTTCAATGGTAGTATAATGCTTTAATTTTTTATTTGCAATAAAATTATTTCTCAAAGGAAAATGATGACATTGGATTTTTGAGCTAAAGAGATGACAATATCAGAAATTATTTAGTTCAAGAGTTGTAGCCTCAAATGTTTGAACTCTTAAAAGTTCAATGGAGGTGTTTCAGTGAATTTGTGAAATCTCTGAAAGTGTATGCAATATTTTGAATTTATATATATAAATTATATATATACACATTGTATATATAATTTATATGTATATGCATGTGTGTATATATACATATACATATATACATATATGCACACACACACATATATATACACACGTACACTTTTAGGGGGTTGGGAATGTTAATAGCATCTATTATTATTCTTGAAATAGCCTATGATTTCTAAAATTTTAAGAACTATTATTAGTCCTATGGTCTTCATAGTCTAATCCCTGGACTAGCAGCATTAGCATACCTAAAAATATCTTAGAAAATGTGGCTTCTTGGGCCCACTCAAGACCTAGTGAATTAAAAACTCTTTAGGTGAGGCCCAGCAATATGTGTCTTAATAAGCCTTCCAGGTTACTCTGAGGAATGCTAGTGTCTGAGAACCACTATTCTCTAGCCCAGTAATTCATAACTCTAGATTCAAATTTCAATTTGAATTAAAATGAAATACCAAATCCCAGAACGATGTTAAATCAATGAAATCATAATCCAGACAGGAAAGGAAAGTGAGGCCCAAACATTTCTATCTTTTTAAATCTCCCCACTGGCTTTCATTTGCAGTGAATGTTGAGAACCACTGGTCTTGTTTAATATCATTTTTGTTGTAACAGCTAACATTTCTTACCCTACTATGAAATATCAGAGTGATTTAAACAACACTCCCACCCATCCATCCAACATTATCAGGCTTAGATTAACACAATAAATATTTGAATGTTCAAATATCTAGAAGTTATAAATTACCTTGCAAAATGTTAAAAATTACTTTTCTTTCTTGACAAACATCTTCATGTCAAAACCAAAATATATAAGTAAGCCTATTGTTTTCAAGTTTTACTAATATTAAATTGAAGACCTACTTTCTGCCATGAGCCTACAAACACTATCACAATTTCTGTTTATAACAATACTAAAGAGGCGGCAATGGTCCCATTTAGTTTTTTTGAAAAAATGTAGTCGTTACTTGTTTACACTTGTATTTTAGGTTTGGGGGTACACATTCAGGTTTGTTACACAGGTTAACTCCTGTCAAAGGGGTTTGTTGTACAGATTATTTCATCACCTGGGTACTAAGTCTATTCCTGATAGTTATTTTTTCTACTTCTATCACCTCTCACCCTCCACCATCACGTAGGCCCCAGTGTCTGTAAGTGTCCATGTGTTCGCATCATTTGGCTCATACTTATAGGTGAGAACATGCAGTATTTGATTTTCTGTTCCAGTGTTAGTTTACTAAAGATATTGGCACCCAGCTCCATTTATGTTCTTGTAAAAGAAATGATCTCACTCTTTTATGGCTGCATAGTATTCCATAGTGTTTATGTACCACATTTTCTTTTTCCAGTCTACCATTAATGGGCATTTAGGTTGATTCCATGTCTTTGCTTTTGTGAATGGGGCTGCAATAAGCATACATGTGCATGTGTCTTTATGTTACAGTGATTTATATTCCTTTGGTTATAAACCCAGTAATAGGATTGCTGGGTCAAATAGTAGTTCTGTTTTTAGCTCTTTGAGGAATTGTCAGACTGTCTTTCACATTGGTCGAACTAACACCACCAACAATGTCTAAGTGTTCCTTTTTCTTTGCAACCTCAGCAACATCTGTTATTTTTTGACTTTGGAGTAATAGCTAGTCTGGTGTGAGATGGTATTTCATTGTGGTTTTGGTTTGCATTTTTCTAATGATTAGTCATATTGAGCTTATTTTCATATGTTTGTTGGCTGCATGTATACTTTGTTTTGAAAAGTGTCTGTTTTTGTCTTTTGTCCACTTTTTAATGGGGTTGTTTGCTTTATCTTGTAAATTTGTTAACTTTTCTTATAGATGCGGGATATTAGACCTTTGTCAGATGCATAGTTTGCAAAATTTTCTGCCACCCTGTAGTATGTCTGTTTACTCTGTTGATAGTTTCTTTTGCTGAGCAGAAGCTCTTTATATAAAATAGATCCCATTTGTCAATTTTTGCTTTTGTCACAATTGTTTTTGGCATCTTCATCATGAAATCTTTGCCTATTCCTCTGTGCAGAATGGTATTGCCTAAGTTATTTTCCAGGGTTTTTATAGTTTTGGGTTGTACATTTAAGTCTTTATGCCATCTCAAGTTGATTTTTGTATATGATATAAAGAAGGGGTCCAGTTTCAAGCTTCTGCATATGGATAGTCAGCTATCCCAGCACCATTTATTGAATGGCAGAGGGGTCTCTTCCACACTGCTTGTTTTTGTCAG
The DNA here is from genome assembly GCF_000001405.40 of Homo sapiens. Taxonomy (NCBI): domain Eukaryota; kingdom Metazoa; phylum Chordata; class Mammalia; order Primates; family Hominidae; genus Homo; species Homo sapiens. Next base: position 61,291,253 of record NC_000012.12, on the reverse strand, counting down.
CTTTGTCAAAGATCAGATGGTTATAACCATGCAGCAGTATTTCTAAACTCTCTATTGACTTCTATTGGCTATGTCTGTTTTTCTACCAGTACATGCTGTTTTGGTTATTATAGCCCTGTGTTTGATGTTGGGTAACATGATGCCTCCAGCTTTGTTCTTTTTGGATTTAGGATTTAGGATTGTTTTTCTATACAAGACCTTTTTTGGCTCTATATGTATTTTAAAATGGCTTTTGTTTATTATTGTAAAAGCTGAAGAATGTTGTTCATAATTTATTAGGAATAGTATTGAATCCATACATTGCTTTGGGCAGTATGGCCATTTTAATAATAATGATTTTTCCTATCCATGAACATGGAACATTTTTTCATTTGATTATGTCATCTCTGATTTGTTTGAAATTCTTATTGTAGAGATTTTTTACCTCTCTGATCAGCTGTATTCTTAGGTATTTTATTCTTTTTCCGACAAATGTGAATGGGATTGCATTACTGAATTGCCTGTTGGCTTGGCTGTTGTTCATGTATAGAAATGCTACTGATTTTTGTATATTGACTTTGTATCCTAAAAATTTGCTGACGTTGGTTATCACATCAAGAAATGTTTGAGCAGGGATTATGGAATTTTCTAAATATGGAATCATATCATCTGCAAACTGAGATAATTTGACTTCTGCTCTTCCTATTTGGATGCCTTTATTTCTTTCTCTTGCCTGATTGCTCTGGCCAGAACTTTCAATACTATGTTGAAGATAATTGGTGAGAGAGGGCATCCTTGTCTTGTTTTCGAGGGGAAGCTTCCAGCTTTTGCCCATTCACTATGATGTTGGCTGTAGTTTTGTCATATATGGCTCTTATTATTTTGAGGTATGTTCCTTTAGTCCCCAGTTTATTGAAAGTTTTTAACATGAAGGGATGTTCAGTGTTATGAGAAGCTTTTTCTGCATTTATTGAGATAACCATGTGCTTTTTGTCTTTAGTTCTGTTTATGTGATGAATCACATTTCTTGATTTGCATATGTTGAACCAACCTGGCATCCCAGGGATAAGGCCTTGTTAATCGTAGTAGACTAGCTTTTTGATGTACTGCTGGATTCAGTTTGCCAGTGTTTTGTTGAGGATTTTTGCATTAAAGTTTATCAAGGATATTGTCCTGATGTTTTGTTGTTGTAGTTGTTGTTGTGTCTCTCCCAGGTTTTAGTATTAGAATGATGCCAGACTCATAGAATGAATAGTGGAGGAGTCCCACATCCTCAATTTTTGAAATAGTTTCAGTGGGAATGGTATGAGCTGTTTTTGAAAATCTGGGAGAATTCAGCTGTGAATCCATCTGGTCTTGGGCTTTTATTTTATCGGTAGACTTTTTGTTACTGATCCAAGTGTGTTGTTGGTATATTCTTGGATTTAATTTCTTCTTAGTTTAGTATTAGGAGGGTGTATGTGTCTAGGAATTAATTCATTTCATCTTGATTTTCTAGTTTATGAATAGAGGTGCTCATAGTCATCTCTGATGGTTATTTTTATTTCTGTGGAGTCAGTGGTAATATCCCCTTAGACATTTCTAATTGTGTTTATTTGGCTCTTCTCTCTTTTCTTCTTTCTTAGTCTATCTAGTGGTCTATCTGTCTTATTACTTTTTTCTAAAAACAAACTCCTGAATTTGTTGATCTTTTCAATGGTTTATTGTGTCTCAGTCTCCCTCAGTTCAACTCTAATTTTGGCTATTTCCTGTCTTCTGCTAGCTTTGGTTCTCTAGCACTTTTAGTTGGTTCTCTAGCACTTTTAGTTTTGATGTTGGGTTGTTAAATTGAGATCTTTCTAACTTTCTGGTGTTAGTGTTTAGTGCTATAAATTTCCCTCTGAACACTAGCTTACCTGTGTCCCAGAAAATCTGGTATGCTGTATCTTTATTCTCATTAGTTTCAAAAAACTTCTTGATTTCTGCCTTAATTTTATTAGCGATATGGTTTGCATTTTTGTCCCTACCCAAATCTCATGTTGAATTGTAACACCCAATATTGGAGGAGGTGCCTAGTGGGAGGTGATTGGATCATAGGGCAGACTTCCTCCTTACTGTTCTCATGATACTGAGTGAGTTCTCATAAAGTATGGTTGCCTAAAAGTGTGTATCACCATCTCCCTACTCTCTCTTCCTCCTTCTCTGGTAATGTAAGACATGCCTACTTTCCCTTTGCCTTCTGGCATGATTGTAAGTTTCTCAAGGCCTCCCCAGCCATGCTTCCTGTACAGCCTGAGGAACTGTGAGTCAATTAAACCTCTTTACTTTATAAATTACCCAGACTCATGTAGTTCTCTATAGCAATGTGAGAACAAACTAATATAGAAAATTGTTACCTAAAAGTGAGGCATTGCTATAGATACCTGAAAATGTGGAAGTGACTTTGAAACTAGGTAACAGGCAGAGGTTGGAACAGTTTGGAGGGCTCTGATGACAGGAAGATGAGAGAAAGTTTGAAACTTCCTAGAGAATTGTTGAATGTTTGTAACCAAAATGCAGATACTGATATGGACAGTAAAGTTCAGACTGAGGTGGTCTCAGATGGAGAAGAGGAACTTATTGAGAACTGAAGCAAAAGTCACTTTTGTTATGAGTTAGCAAAGAGGTAGGAGACATTGTGTTCCTGCCCTAGAGATCTGTAGAACTTTGAACTTGACAGTGATGATTTAGGCTATCTGGCGGAAAAAATTTCTAAGCAGTAAAGCATTCAAGTTGTGACCTGGCTGCTTCTAACTGTGTATGCACATATGCATGAGCAAAAATACAACCCGGCCAGAACTTATATTTCAAAGGGAAGCAGAATGTAAAAGTTTAGAAAATTTGCAGGCCTGACCATGTGGTAAAAAAGAAAAATCCAGACGGGGCACAGTGGCTTATGGCTATAATTTCAGCACTTTGGGAGGCTGAGGCAGGTGGATTACCTGAGGTCAGGAGTTAGAGACCAGCCTGACCAACATGGAGAAATCCCATCTCTACTAAAAATACAAAAAAATAGCTGGGTATGGTAGCACATGCCTGTAATTCCAGCTACTCGGGAGGCTGAGGCAGGGGAATCGCTTGAACCTGGGAGGCAGAGGTTGTGGTGAGCCGAGATTGTGCCATTGCACTCTAGCCTGGGGAACAAGAGTGAAACTCCATCTCAAAAAAAAAAAAAAAAAAAAAAAAAAGAAAAATCCATTTTCTGAGGAGAAATTTAAACCAGCTATAGAATTTGCTAAGAAAAAAGGAGCCAAATATTCATAGCCAAGACAATGAAAAAACATGTCTTGAAAGCATTTCAGAGACTTTTGTGGCAGTCCCTACCTTCACATGCCTGGAAGCCCAGGAGGAAATAATGGTTTTGTGGGCTGGGACCAGGGCCCTGCTGCACTGTGCCACCTCAAAACACTGCTTCCTATGTTCCAGACTCAAGCTCCAGCTGTAGCTAAAAGGACCTGGGATACATAACAGGCCATTGCTCCAGAGGGTGCAGGCCTTAAGCCTTGGCAGCTTCCATGTGATGTTAAGACTGTGGGTGCACAGAGGGTTAAGAGCTGATGCTGGGGAACCTCTGCTTAGATTTCAGAGGATATATGAAAATACCTGGATGCCCAGGCAGAAGTTGGCTGCAGGGTTGGAGCCCTCATGGAGAACTTCTACGAGGGCAGTGCAGAGGAAAGATGTAGGGTTGGAACCTGCACACAAAGTCCCCACTGGGGCACTGCCTAATGGAGCTTTGAGAAAAGGGCCAGCATCCTCCAGACCCCAGAATTGTTGATCCACTAGCATCATCAGCTCCAAGTTTCTATATCTCAGTTTCCGCATCTCTAAGAGACTTTACTCACTTTCCAGAGTGTTTTTTCTATCTCTTACAACTTTTTCTTTGTTTTAATATCCATTTTGTCTGATTTTAGTATGGCCATTCCTTTTTTCTTTTAGCTATTAATTACAGGGAATATCATATTTTTCATCTTTTCATATTCAAGTTATGAGTTTAGATTGAATGTGTCTTACAGACAGCATATACTTGGATTATGTCCTCTTTTGAGAATCTATTCTGCCAATCTCTGCTTGTAGTTAGAGAATGTAATTCATTCATATTTAGAGTAATTACTGATAAGAGGAACTTCTGTCATCTATTTTTTTCTATATCCCTTGTGGCTTTATCCTGTCCTTCAAATCTTGCATTACTGTCTTCTTTTGTACTTGTTAGAGTTTTGGAGAGAGGCATTTTAGTTCCCTTCTTATTTCCTTTTGTGTATATTTTGTGCTTCTCTTTGTGGTTACTATAGGGACCACATTTAAAATAATAAAGTTATAACACCATAATTTGAATTTATACTGGCTTAACATAAATAACATAAAAACCTCTGCTCCCATACAACCCTATCTCCCACTTCTTTTAGTTGTTGATGTCACAAAATTACATCTTGGTACATTGTGTGTACAAATGCATAATTATTAGTAAAATAATTAGTAATTATTTTAATGCATTAGTCTTTTAAATCATGTAGAAGACAAAAAGTGTAGTTACAAACTAAAGTTACAATTGAACTAGGTTTTGTTTTGAGACAGAGTCTCACTCTGTCACCCAGGCTGGAGTGCAATGGCATGGTCTCAGCTCACTGCAACGTCTGCCTCTTGGGTTCAAGAGATTCTCCCTCCTCAGCCTACTGAGTAGCTGGGACTACAGGTGTGTGCCACCACACCCAGCTAATTTTTGTGTTTTTGGTAGACAGGGGTTTCACTATGTTGGTCAGGCTGGTCTTGAACTCCTGACCTCATGATCCAGTGTGTGCCACCACACCCAGATAATTTTTGTGTTTTTGGTAGAGATGGGGTTTCACTATGTTGGCCAGGCTGGTCTTGAACTCCTGACCTCGTGATCCACCTGCCTTGGCCTCCCAAAGTGCTGGGATAACAGGCGTGACCCACTGCGCCCAGCAAATTGAACTAGTTTTTATAATTTTCCATGTGTTTATCTTTACCAGGGATCTTAATTCTTCACACAGTTTCAAATTACTGTCCAGTGTCCTTTCATTTTGCCCTCATAAACTTCCTTTAGCATTTCTCACAAAGTAGGTCTAGTGGTAATGAATTCCCTCACGTTTTCTTTTCTTTCTTTCTTTTTTTTTTTTGAGACAGAGTCTTGTTCTGTCACCCAGGCTGAAATGCAGTGGAGATATCTCGTCTCACTGCAACCTCTGTCTCCTGGGTTTAAGCACTTCTCGCGCCTTAGCCTCCCGAGTAGCTGAGATTACAGTTTTGTACCACCACACCTGGCTAATTTTTTGTATTTTTAGTAGAGACAAGGTGTTGGTACATTGTCCAGGCTGGTCTCGAACTCCTGAGCTCAGGCAGTCTGCCTGCCTCAGCCTCCCAAAGTGCTAGGATTACTGGTGTAAGTCACCATGCCTGGCATGCCTCACATTTTCTTTATCTTGAAATATCTTAATTTCTCCTTTAATTGTGAAGAATAATTTTGCTGGACATAGAATTATTGGTTGACAGGTTTTTTTGTTTTTGCTTTTTTTTCCCCTTTAGCACTTTGAATATAACTATCCACTGTCTTCTAGCTTTCAAGGTTTCTGATGAAAAATCTTCTCATAGTCTTATTGAAAATATGTTGCATATGACAGTTCATTTCTTTCTTTCTGCTTTCAATATTCTCTCTGTTTTGGGGTTTCAACAGATTCATTTTAATGTGCTCTTATGTGAGTGTCTTTGCATTATCCTGCTTGGAGTTCTTTGAGCTTCTTGAATATTTATATTCATGTTTTTAATCAAATTTGAGAAGTTTCCAGCTGATATTTTTCAAACAATCTGCTCTTTCTCTTCTTTTTCTGAGACTCCCACAGTGTATACTCTGGTCAGTTTGATGGTGTTCCATAGGTTCTTTAGGCTCTGTTCTCTTCCCTCCAATCTTTTTTTTTTCTGTTTCCCAGACTGACTAATTTCAACTGTTGTATCTTAAAGTAACTAATTCATTTATCTGTCTGTTACAGTCTGTTTTTAAATCCTCCAAGTAAATTTTTTATTTTAGTTACTGTACTTTTCAGCTCCACAATTTCCTTTTGGTTCCTTTTTATTATTTTCCCTTTATTGATATTTCCACTTTGCTTAGACATCATTTTCTTGACTTTACCTATGACTTATTTGATATCTTCAAATATCTTTAAGATACTCGTTTTAAAGCCATTGTCTAGTAGGCCCATTTGGTCTTTCTCAGAGGCAGTTTCTGTATATTTATTTATTTTTCTTTTGAATGTGTCATACTTTTGGTTTTTTGTGCACCCTGTGTGTATATGCATTTTGCTGAAAACTAGATATTTTAATTTTATAACAGACTAACTGTAGTGATCTAGTTCTCCATCTTCCTTAGGTTTTTTAAATGATGGTTTTGTTTATTTGTCATTGTTTAATTTAAAAATTGTTGCAGGATGTTTCTGTGCCATGTATCAGCCTATAGTGTAACTTAATGTCTTCTTAGGTCTTTCTGAGTCTGGGCTGTTCCCTAGACACACACAGTGACTTTTCAAATTCTTTATATAGTTGCTTTTGATTGTTTTTATTCTTAAATTTCTGGCTCTCAAAAGAGGAAGAAGAGAAAAATGAAAGAAGAAAAATTATTCTGTTCCTTTAAATTCCCAGAAAGACACCACCCACAGCAGGAGAAGTTTACAATAATGATTTCCCACACTCATGTGAGCATTTTGGCAATCAGAATCAGTAATCAGAATGCTGGTTGTTGGTATTTGGAAGATGGGGTCCCCATTGCCCACTCTGACTCCCACAAACTGTGTGCAAAATGCTCCAAGAATGACAGGCTACATGCTATGTGAGCAAGTGGTGAATGATAGACAGCTATTTCCATGCTAAGACATAAATTAATTACAAATTCTCCTAAAAGTTACAAGCTTTCTATAGACTCAAAAGAGTTCAAAAGTGGTTGCATCAGAGATATTATGCCAGTGTAATTTTTGGCTAGATGAGGAGACAGATTTCTCAGGGTTTTTACTCCACCAAACATGCTGCGTCCTTTTAGCTCTGCCTAATCTATGACTTTAATATGACTTAAAGCTCAAAAAATGTCAGAGTGCAGGTGTTCTGAAAATAAGAAGACACTTAAATAAATATTAATGATATACACAATTCACAAGTTCTCAAGCATTCCATTTTATATATTTTTATGTTTATTTTAAAGATTACTATGTTATAATCAGAATTTTCACATGTCATACAATAATAAAAAGTAAAGTGTAATCATATTCAAAGTAATATTCATAGTATTTTTTATCAAAAATGTAAAATAAAGTGAATGTAAATGAAGTAAAATATCTTTAGCTGCTTCGTGCAACTTTTGCAAATGTACTTACTCATAAATATTCCTGCATCCATGCAAAGCAACATGAAGAGAACCAAGAAAAGGTTGATTGGTGCAGCAAACCACCAGGGCACATGTATACCTATGTAACAAAACTGTACATTCTGCACATGTAACCCAGAACTTAAAGTAAGATAAATAATAATAACAATAATAAATAAATAAAGACAAATTTCCTCAAAAAAGAAAATAAATGCTTAATTCAACTAGGAAATATTTAGTTTTATTATAAGTATCTATTGCATTCAAGCAATCTGAAAGCCAATTACCGCTTTTTTTAATTTTACTTAAGCTCTTTTACTGCTTTAATTCTTCCTGTACTCTTACACCAGAGTACTTTCTCCATCTGAGCAACGATACAGCCCACAAATCTTCACAGATCAGAGAAGCAGGTGCCTTTTCTTTCCTAGGCACAGGGCTAGATAAAGGGGAATGATTCCATGATGGCTAAAGACTGTCAGGAAAGTGGATGTTTTCGTTTCTGGGTTGCTTCATGCCAGGAATGATGCCAGAGTCCAAGGAGCAGAAGGATTAGCATTTTGTACTCTTGTGTTTGCGATAAAGGGCCTTCTGAAGTCCAAACCCTATGTCTAACCATATTACTTCTCTTAAACTCATTCTCTCATTTGTTTTCTGTACAACAATTCTTTGTGGCATTCACTGTTAAAAAAATTTTAATTTTATAAATGAAAAGGAGAACCATACATCACATTTTGTATGGGTAGCAGAGATGTTGTGCATGGTACATCACACAAAAAGTGATATATGGCTATGCTCATTATCTTGACACAATTATTATTAGTAATGTTGGCTCACTTACAAAAATGTCTTGGTTGGTTGGTTGGTACAATACACTGTATGCTGACTCCACAGATGACTAAACCAAGGTTCACAGGAATTGAGTCATTCAATCACATCAACTGTATGTCTGTATTTGAACCCAGACATTCTATTAGCTTTACTGTATATTCTGCTTCTCTCAGGTAAGACCTGAGCAACAAGTATCTAGGCATGGAATCCATGAGTAGAGAATATCTAGCTTAATATCTTATCACTTGATACATTATACAAAACCAAGTTTTATAGTTTGTTAACTTATCAAATATATTTTATAAGATAAATTATCTGAGCTATTATGAATAACTATGCATTGAACATTTTTATTTCTGAATGGGTTACAGATCCTTTGCTATAAATTATAATGTTTTGTATTATCATTATACACAATAAATCTTCCCATTCAAATATATTAAAATTTCATAGCCTTAATGAGAATAGATTTTTAACTGACAGTTGTTAGAGATACATTAGATGTGGTGGCACATGACTTCTGAAGGTGGTCATTGGTTCTTGACTCCTGATAAATCCATTTAGAACCCAGTGATGGTATTTCTTGAATATACTATTCTACTGCTGGAAGCTCTTTTATTTCTTTGTCACCATTCTCTTCTATTTATTTCTAAGCATCGAACTAAAGTCTAAATAGGTAAGGAGTCAGAGAAATAACTTATAATTATGATTTTAAGTGACAGAGATAAGAGTCCTTGTTAATTTTTATTGTCACTCTTTTTGCAAACAAGTGGTTTTGTGGGTGTATTAGTAAGAATAGGTAGATTATGTAGTAATAACTATTAAACCTCCAAATCTCAGTGGTTAAATAAGCACAATTTTATTTCTCCCTCATGATGTCCATTGTAGGAAAATCCATGTCCCCTTCAACCCGTGACTTTGAGGTTCAACATACCAACCTCTTGCAAAGCCGCCACCTAAACATATAAATTGAAGGTTGTCAAGAAGGGAATGAGAGTCTTGCTGGAAACACAGTTGCACTGATAGCCTCAATCTAGCAGTGACATACCATTGTTGTTTATACTCCATTAGGCAGAAGTAATCTCATGACCTCTATCCAATTTTAGAGGAGGCTGGGAAATACACAGAAAACATACGGACAAAAACATGAACAGTTGATGAGTAAGTACTACTTTTCCATAGTGTGAGGCTAAGATTTTTCACTTCTAAAGGTGAACATATGTTGGAGCAATCCAAAGAAAATCTTCCACTAAATAAAGTAATGATTGTATGTGAAATTAAAAATTATTGTAGCTATTTTCATACATTTAGGGGAGGTGCTTTGGGCAGCCAAAAGAGTTATGGTGGGAAGACAACCATTATATGGACCCCAAAGACCAAGCTGACATTACAAAAACAGATAGGCAATGCAAAAACGATCCCTGAGATTTTTATGGCAGGTGCTGAATCAGGCCTATCTTGAAGGTTGAAGGTACCATATTTCTATTCTTAGTTATCCAAGTAAATAAATTCACTTAAAATTGTTTGTTTTCTATCAATTGCCACCAAAATAAATTCAACTTAAATGTCATTTTAAATAAAATATAACAAAATTCATATAAACATTGAGGAATTTGTGAAAAAATGAGAGAAATCCAGATACCATAAAACGTATTATTCAAATCCTCCATATAAATTCATCATGGATCCTGTCTCCTTCAAAGCTCTCAGCCTTTTATATCATTACTCTCTCCTTCTTATTCTATGTCACACCCAATGCTACAGCCTTAGAGTGGCTTCAAAATGTATAGTTTCCTCTGTGTAATTTCTATGTGCCCTTTGAGTTATAGAATGTGTACAAAAGAAATTGACTTAACATTTTTTGCCCCATGCCAGGCACCATGCCAAGTGCTTCATGTAAGTTTCTTAACTTAATATTCAGAGGTAGTATTTTGGATGTGTAATCTTTAGTTGCTCAGGACAGTAGTATACACCATCTTCTGAGAGTTAATATTTTATATCATGAGTCAATTAGAAGGAGTTATCTCACATAAACCCCTTTGCTCTGGCCACTGAGATTCAGTAGGGAAAGGGGATGCAAGAAATATGACCCAAGTGGAACCAGTTGGAGTTTTTGCAGAGATTATTGAACCTGAGATCAGACAAGGAGGTTGTCTTTATTTCCCTGGTTGCTGACACTGTGGAGTATAGTGAAGGACCTGCTTTTGTAGAAGAAACAAATGTTCAGTAGCAGGGAATCAAGCAGACACATAAAATATTTAAAGATAAGGACTACAAGACTTGCATCTTTGAGTTTCCTTCCATAAGCCTTCCAATTAATTCCTCTCTTGGCCTAATCTTTTTCCAGGTGGGTTGTTATTTTTGCCACCAAACCAAACAAAACAAAACAAAATGAAACAAAAAAACTAAATAGTAAAGATTTGTAGATTCCATCATTATTCATTTTTAATTTTTTTATTATTATACTTTAAGTTCTGGGATACATGTGCAGAACGTGCAGGTTTGTTACATAGGTATTCTTGTGCCATGGTGGTTTGCTGCACCCATCAACCTGTCATCTACATTAGGTATTTCTCCTATTGTCATCCCTCCCCTAGGTCCCCACCCCCCACAGGCCCCTGTGTGTGATGTTCCCCTCCCTGTGCCCATATGTTCTCATTGTTCAACTCCTACTTATGAGTGAATACATGCGGTGTTTGGTTTTCTGTTCCTGTGTTAGTTTGCTAAGAATGATGGTTTCCAGCTTCATCCATGTCCCTGTAAAGGACATGAACTCATCCTTTTTTATGGCTGCATGGTGTTCCATGGTGTACATGTGCCCACATTTTCTTTATTTAGTATATCATTGATGAGCATTTCAGTTGGTTCCAAGTCTTTGCTATTGTGAATAGTGTCACAATAAGCATACGTGTGCTTGTGTCTTTAGTGGAATGATTTATAATCCTTTGGGTATATACACAGTAATGGGATTGCTGGGTAAAATGATACTTCTAGTTCTAGATCCTTGAGGAATTGCTACACTGTCTTCCACAGTGGTTGAACTAATTTATACTTCCACCAACAGTGTAAAAGCGTTCCTATTTCTCCACATCCTCTCCAGCATCTGTTGTTTCCTGACTTTTTAATGTTCACCATTCTAACTGGCATGAGATGGTAGCTCATTGTGGTTTTGATTTGCATTTCTCTAATGACCATTGATGATGAGATCTGTTTCTTGGCCACATAAATGTCTTCTTTGGAAAAGTGTCTGTTCATATCCTTCACCTGATTTTTGATGGGGTTTTTTGTTTTTTTCTTGTAAATTTGTTTAAGTTCCCTGTAGATTCTGGATATGAGCCCTTTGTCAAATGGGTAGATTGCAAAAAATCTCCTCCCATTCTGTAGGTTGCCTATTCACTCTGATGATAGTGTTTTTTTTTTTTTTTTTTTTTTGCTGTACAGAAGCTCTTTAGTTTAATTAGATCCCATTTGTCATTTTTGACTTTCGTTGCCCTTACTTTTGGTGTTTTAGTCATGAAGTCTTTCCCATGCCTATGTCCTGAATGGTATTGCCTGGGTTGTTTTCTAGGGTTTTTATGGTTTTAGGTCTTCCATTTAAATCTTTAATCCATCTTGAGTTAATTTTTGTATAAGGTGTAAGGAAGGGGTCCAGTTTCAGTTTTCTGCATATGGCTAGCCAGTTTTCCCAACACCATTATTAAATAGGGAGTCCTTTCCCCATTGCTTGCTTCTGTCAGGCTTTTCAAAGATCAGATGGTTGTAGATGAGTGATGTTATTTCTGAGGCCTCTGTTCTGTTCCATTGGTCTATATATCTGTTTTGGTACCAGTACCATGCTGTTTTTGCTGCTGTAGTCTTGTAGCATACTTTGAAATCAGGTAGTGTGATGCCTCCAGCTTTGTTCTTTTTTGCTTAGGATTGTCTTGGCTATGCGTGCTCTTTTTTGGTTCCATATGAAATTTAAAGTAATTTTTTCTAATTCTTTGAAGAAAGTCAATGGTAGCTTGATGGGAATAGCACTGAATCTATAAATTACTTTGGGCAGTATGGCCATTTTCATGATATTGGTTCTTCCTATCCATGAGCATGGAATGTTTTTCCATTTGTTTGTGTCCTGTCTTATTTCCTTGAGCAGTGGTTTGTAGTTCTCCTTAAAGAGGTCCTTCACATCCCTTGTAAATCATATTCCTACATATTTTATTCTCTTTTTAGCAATTATGAATGTGAGTTTGCTCATGACTCGGCTCTCTGTTTGTCTATTATTGGTGTATAGGAATGCTTGTGATTTTTACACATGGATTTTGTATCCTGAGACTTTGCTGAAGTTGCTTATCAGCTCAAGGAGTTTTTGGGCTGAGATTATGGTGTGTTCTAAATATGCAGTCATGTCATCTGCAAACAGAGATAATTTGACTTTCTCTCTTCCTATTTGAATAACTTTAGTTCTTTTTCTTGCCTGATCTCCCTGGCCAGAACTTCCAATACTATGATGAATAGGAGTGGTAAGAGAGGGCATGCTTGTCTTGTGCTGGTTTTCGAAGGGAATGCTTCCAGCTTTTGCCCATTCAGTATGATATTGGCTGTGGGTGTGTCATAATAGCTCTTATTATCATTATTTTACCATTTATATTTTATGGTAACAAGTGCTGAAACCAGTACTTAAATTAAAATGCAGGCAAGGCAAATTGTAAAAACTGTTTATAACTATATTGATACACCACCTTCGTATTTTGAAGAAAACACCTAATACTTTATTTTTGAAAAGAAAAATTGAAATGTTTAATCCAGAAATAAGGGTTTAATTGCTTTTAAATGAGCCTATAGGGAGAAGTCTTTTTTTTACTACATTTCACTACTATGTAACTGAGGCAGCCAAGCAACTATTTATGAAGCGAAGTCAAACCAAAGGAAAAAATCTATCAAAAGTTCAATGAAAACATTTACTATTACAAAGCAGTGCTTTCTTGAAGATTTCTGATAAAAGCAGAACAGTGAACATGCTTCTCTCTCCTCTGAGTATTTACAAAACGTTTAAAGTCAACAGATGGCATCTTGATATGCATGTTAGATGGGATTTCGTTGGGAAAAAAATGGCTAATTTTCTCTTTGAAATTGTGGGGCCAAAGTGAAAATTCACCACGGAGTTTTAAATGTATATAATTGTAGAATTCAATTCTATTTTCAGATTTTAGCAGTAAAGAAAGATGTATTTTTAAATTGGTGAAGGTCATGACACTAAATTAATAATTTTAGCATTACATAATTATTTGATAATATAAAGCATGTACTATATAGAAATCAATTAAAATTTAATAATTACTAACACTGATTGAGCACTTACTGAATGCCAGGCAACTTCTAAACCTATATTACTCATTTGATTTCCACAAAATCTCCATGGCACAGTTACCATTATGGTTCATTTTCTACAGGTGAAAAGACTGATAAAATGAGAGTATAGAAAGTTGCTAATGAGTGATGAAGTTGACATGTAGTCGAGAGAGTCTAGTCCCAGAGCCTTTGCTCTTAGTCACTATGCTTATTACATAAAATTATATAAGAAATCAAATTTTAATTCCAGCTTAAATCATGATAGTTTTCCATGACCATGACCATGTTGATGGTAATACTGGGTGTCAGTTATTCAAATAAGTCATTACTAGAATATGAACCAGTAGAAAACTACACCTAATTTCATATTCCAAAACTCAATATAAAAGTACCCTGTTTCTCAAACTGTTTCATCTGTCTGACAATCTTATCAATTTAATACATCAAGGGATTGAATAAATGGCAAGATGTGTAACTAAATAAATTTTTAATACCAAGGAAACTATTACCCAGTTCTCAACAGAGTTTGCTCTTCATATTCATTTAGGACTTTGAGATCATTGAAAGCACATAATGCCTTCATTTCATAAGAATTCCAAAAATTTCTGTAAATTTTATTGAATATATTTAAGGCAATATTTACTAAAGCTAAGTTAGAGTGTAATAATTACGTAAAAGAAATCTTAGACATATGCTTTAGAGTTTCACACCATCAGCATTCTCTAAAGAAATAAAATTGCCTTTGCTCTGCACTTTTTCTTTGCCCCGAGTTCATGACTGGCTGTGTTTTTAAGTCATGACATTTTATTTCTAGCTTCAATAGTTGTTTCTGGCTTCTGCTGTCATTTCTAGAATAGATTTTTGCCCCACTTCTGTCTGTCTGTCTCTCTCTCTCTCTTAAACAAGTAATAATGTCTTGAGATAATTACTCAATAATTTTCCCTATTGAGAGGAAATCCTGAAACAAAATGTTCATGCTGTAATAGAGTATTCTCTATAGAATCAGCCTTGTTGAATTTTAGCACCATAGAATGTGAGACCATCATATTAAAGTAGTTATAAGCAAACACACACACACACACACACACACACACACACAGAAAGATACAGTTAGATATACTTACCTATATCAAGATAAACATCTATAACAACTGAGTGATTTTTAAATTTACACGTTATTTTTCTCTGCATTATTATTAAATGGTATTGCTAAATCTTTCAAAATTGAGTTTGTTTATTCAATTCTTCTTTCAGCTTTTGTTGGCTTTTTGAGCAGTTATAGATCCCCTGGAGGGTTAATCAAGAATGTCTTAACACAGGTAATGGATATTACAGGGGTAGGTAATTGCTGGGAAATGAAAGATATCAGTAAAATACACTTTAAGAATTAACGTTTTCTTCGAGATATGATCATTTTCTTCAAACACAGCGGTAGTATGCTTTTAGGAAATTTAAGCCTAGTTACTTAGCTATGAAAGTAACTAAATCATGTCTTCCATTATACTTGAGGTAATTTATATTACAGTGTTATCTTGATGGATGCCATACCTTTTTCTTTCCACCTTTTATTTTAAGTTCAGGGGTACATGTGCAGGATGTGCAGATTTGTTACATAGACAAACATGTGCCATGGTGGTTTGCTGCCAGATCATCCCAGCACCCAGGTATTAAGTCCAGCTTCCACTAGCTGTTCTTCCTGATCCTCTCCCTCCTCCCACTCCTTGACCTCTGACAGAACCCAGTGTATGTTGTTGCCCCCATGTGTCCATATGTTCTCATCATTTAGCTCTCACTTATAAGTGAGAACAGATGATATTTGGTTTCCTGTTCCTGACTTAGTTTGCTAAGGGTAATGTAAATGCCAAACCTTTGAATTATCCTAATTATAGTGATTTTATTATCTTTGTTAATGTGTCTGTTTGATCCAGATCAAAACATAGATCAAGAGATCTTGTTTTTGGGTGGAATAAGTAGAGATTGTTAACAAATCCTATGTTAATTTCTGTATGTAGTGAATTTACTTGTCCTAAGCACCTGTGAGCCATACATAGTGCTAAGCATTTTTTAGGTATTAGCAAAACTACCCCTCAGTAAATTTATGACGTAGTTACTATTACGCCCATTTTCCAGATTAGAAAATTGAACCTCACATTTTATGGCTGATTAGTACAGTTGACCTTTGAGCAATATAGGAGTTAGTAGCGCTGATCCCTACAGAGTCAAAAATACACTTACAACTTTTGACCTCCCCAAAACTTAACTACTAATAGCCTACTGTTGACTAGAAGCCTTAGCAGTAACATGAACAGCTGATTTATAATATATAGTTTTCATGTTATATGTATACTGTATTTTTTTACCAAAAGGTGAACTACAGAAAATTAAATGTTATTAAGAAAATCAAAACAAGGAGACAATCTATTAACTATTCATTAAGTGGAAGTGGATATTTTAAAGGTCTTCCTCCTCATCACCTTTATACTGAACAGGCTGAGGAGACGGAGAAAATGAAAGGGTTGTTCTTGCTGTTTCAGGGATGACAGACGTAGAAGAAAATTTGCATGTAACTGGACCCACACAGTTCAAATCTGTGTTGTTTAAGGGTCAACTGTAATAGTGCATGTACTGCTTGTACTGTTTATTTGTGTTGTTTGACTCCACAGGCTAAGCTCTTCTTACCCTCTACAAGTTCAATTATATTTGTCTATTTGTATCATGCTGCTATTTTTTCTTGGATATTTTTGATTGCCTACTCCATATCTTCTTTAACATCTTAATTTCTTTTGATGGGCTTGTTCTTTCTCTCCCCCCTTTTTCACTAAAAGTATTTGATTGAATTTTTTCTCTTTTTTCTTTCTTGAGTTCTTTATTTTTCTCCCTCTTCATTCTTTTCTATATATTTAACCAATCCATAGATTCAAATTTTTCTCTTTCCCATGGGAAATGATTTTCTCATTTTCTTACTTCTAGTTTAATAGCGTTCCTTAACACGTCATTCCTTTCCTGTTTATCTGTTAAAATAATAAGTTATTCTAGAATAAATAAGTATATAATATTATTTTGACTAGGTAAGAAAAATATCTGAATATATCTATGAAAATAATGGAACATGAAACCTAAATGCATAATTATTGAGGTTATCTATAGACACGAGTTCTCTAGACCCTTTAATTTGGGGAAAATGATGTTTTCTGAATCCAAGGGAGAATTTTAATCTGTAAATGACTATGAAAGGATATTCCTGATAAAAGGAATGGTGGTCCTCCCCTGGTCAACGTAATCTTTGAAACATCAGATTTCTCTATTTGCTCCCTATCACTCAGCTACAGTTGTATTATTCTATCAATCTAGCATTCTATCAGCTATGTAGCTCAGTGAGTCTCAAAATGCTTGTACTACCACTTGTCAAATGGTATGAAAATGTGTTGGGACTTTTGTTTTTCACACGACTAAAGGTACAACTGGCATTTAATAAGCAAGGACTAGGATGACAGAAGTCCTGCAAGACATGTTATACTTATTTCTAGCTCATATTTCAAATAGTCAGATATTCAGAGGAAGTGTTGATATTTTTAATATTTACAATTAATTTTTAGCTTTTCACAGTTATCACTATTTTAATCATAGTGTATGTTTGAAAGTAAAACATAAATATTAAGTAAATATTTGATAAAGAATTATATTGATAAAGCAGGTAAAGGTCCATATTTCAAAAATTTGAGCAAAATGTTGAAAACAAGAATACAATAAATCACTGGAATGCTCATAAAAACTCCCTGTAAAAAGTAACAGCATTATTATTTCTTACAAAAAGTACAAATACTTTAGAAATGTTATAATTCACACAGTACTGGAAAAATTTATCTTGCTAGGGTTATTAGAATTGGTCCAGTATGATTGTTGAAATAAATCAAATGAAACAGTGAAATATAACAACAAGCATTAAACATTTTTCAGTAGGTTTTATTAAGACAATTAAGTGGAACTCCTCAATAAGTTATTTCCTAAAGAGTACAGTAAAAATAGAGAAGAGTTTAAATATCTTATTCCATGGAAGAAAAAGCTTTGCAAGGAAAACTGGTTAAAAAGAGTTTGCTTGCTATTGAATATTTTGTGACACATTTAAAATTAATGAAATTTGTATCTTGAGATTGAAATATTGCACAATATGTCATATCCTTTAGATAAGTATATATGTTTTTAAATTATTATTATTATTATTTGAAACTGAGTCTCGCTCTGTCACCCAGGCAGTAGTGCAGTGGTGGGATCTCAGCTCACTGCAACCTCCACCTCCCAGGTTGCAGCGATTTTCCTGCCTCAGCCTCTCAAGTAGCTGGGTTTACAGTCATGTGCCACCATGCCTGGCTAATTTTTGTATTTTTAGTAGAGGCAGGGTTTCCCCACGTTGACCAGGCTGGTCTCGAACTTCTGACCTCAGGTGATCCGCCCTCCTTGGCCTCCCAAAGTGCTAGGATTACAGGCATGACCCACCAGCCTAACCTATTTTAAAAGCTTATTGATGCACTTAAGCTGCAAAAAAGAGATAAATCTCATTAAAATACAGAGAATTATGGGATTTATAAACAAATTTACCCAGTTATAAATAGCACTTTCTTGCTGAGAATGTTATTTTCCACCATTTAAAGAGTTAGATAATAGGCTTAAAATGTATTTCCAATGACTTAAAAAAATAAATTGCTGCAAATTGGATCTTATTAGAAAGCTGTGATGTATAATTCCACATATTTTTATATTTAGTGATATAAATAAACCAACAACACAGGATTGTATGATTTCTACATTTGACATGAACATGGAACATACCTGTCAACATTTCTATAAAGAGTAAGCTGGAAAAAAAGAGAGAAAAAACTCTATGTCAAAATAAAATCTAATCAAATTACTGAAAGTTTCAGGTTCAATTAAACTTTATGTCCAACTTCTTTTATATTATTAAAGAAAATATAATAACCAATAATGCTTGTTAAAACATGAGGAGGAAGACTTTATTTAAGACTGTTGAGACAGATGTGGGAACCAGAACAACAGGATTTTGCAGTGGAAGAGAGAGGTTGGGCTCAAGTCCAAATACAACATGGGCAAGTAGGAATTTATAGCCAAGGAACATGGTGGGGATCAGAGGTTAGAAAATTACTAAGAGGAAGCATCAGAAGTAAGGGGGATTCTGGCTAAACTGACCTAACAGGATTCTTGCTGAAGACAGGCCAGTCTGATAACACATCACCTGAGAGATGGTGAAGGATGAGGAACTTGATCAGGCATCAAGGGTGATGCAATAGCAAGAGTGGGGGTTCTTGCTAAACTAATTTAGCAGAGTTCTTTGCTAAAATAGAATTTTACAAAGAAGTATGATATGCACCTAGGAGAAGGTTGAGAAGCGTGACTAAATTTTGGTGAATCAGAGAATCTTTATCAATATTCAGTGGTTCATATCACGTGCAACTGCATACAGCAGGTCCTCGAATAAAGTTATTTCATTATAAGGCTGATGAGAATAAAACATCGATTCTCAGCTGGGGCTACTCTCTGTGTGGAGTTTGTACAATTCTCACATCTGCTTGGACTTTTTCTTGCGAGTCTGTTTCCCTCTCACAATTCAGACATGTGTGCATTAGATTAACTAGTATGATGACATTGTCACAGTCTGAGTGAGTGTAGATGAGTGAATGAGCACACCCTGTGATGGAACGGTGTCCCATCCAGTTCTGGTTCCTGCCTTGCATACTGAACTGCTGAGATAGGCTCTGGACACCCAAGACACTGAACTGGAATAAATGGTAAATAATTATCTTACCTGTTTTATTAATGTTTCTTTAATGTATATATAGATCACATTTATCTCAGTGTTTAATATTAGAAGAGTTTTGGGTCGTTATTTAGAAGCTTAGTGATGTTTTTGTGACCAAAAATATGCTGTAGGAACTTAACTCTTGTTTCTATCAATTAGGCTGCAGTAAGATTGATTTCATTTTATGTCATTTCTCTTAAAGTCACAGTTTCCAAGAACCTATCAGCAACATTGAGTGGAGATTTACTGTAGTTAGTTGAAAATGATTTAAGTGCATCCCTACAGGTACTACGAATGTAACAATAATGCAAATGGTTATTAATGGAGATTTGAGACTCAATTTTAACAGATTCAGAAACAAACATAATTCAGTTAGCAGGGATATACAAGAAATTGAAAGTTGTCACTAAATTTCATTAAGAAAAGTTGTCATTAAAATAGTCCATAATACCAAATTGCATAGTTTTAAAATGTTTATTAAAAGATGTTATTACAATTCTAAGTTGAAACTGTTTAAAATATTTTATACTAGTGATATTCTAAATATTTTCAAAAATTAGAATTAAATAATACATGTAATGAAAATTACTTTTTGAAACTATTTTGAAGTTTTCTGAGATTATCCTCACTTCTACAGAAATTCTTCTCTCTAGACACTGGCACTAATATTTGTATTTTTAAATGAATTCATTCTGTATTTTACTTATTGAAGATTATAATATCTAAAGTCTTAACTACTAGAGACCAAATGCATGGTTTGATTTCAAGGTAGGCAATATGATTGATAAAAGACAGACTTTCTAAGCTTCGTATTTATTTCTTCGTATGTCATAACACAAGAAATTATTTTGTCACTGCACAGAAGACAGCACATATGTGAAAATATTCTACTTTTTCATTTTCTCCGCTTGAACAGCTTAATTGACATTGGTATGTTTTCCTTTGACAATTTAAATATATTTCTCCTTTTCTTTTACATACAAATATGTACGTTGTATTACTTACCACTAATGTTTATTCTACTGTCTATCCTTGCTAGTTTCATTGTCTTGTACTTATTTTAAGGGCAGACTAATGATCTAAATTCACTTATAGCCAAACTTGTTAAATATAAGCAGGTGAAACGTCAGACTGATGCATCATATCTTCTAGTAGTTATGTTCAAATATTTACACATTGGAATACATATGATTTTGTTATAAATATTCCTGTCTTCTTGTTATTAGATTTGGGGTTTATATTGACTTTTTGAAGTTACATGTGTATGTTGGTTATATTATCAATGGATTTAATTTTAGGTAGTAATGTAACCGAGTATCCCAGCCTTGATACGCACTTTAACACTTTTTTTTTTCCTTTCCTTCCTAATCTCTGTATGTAGAAGATTCTTTATTCTCTCCCTTTCCCACTAGGCACATCGTGCACAGCACATGCTTATCTAAGCTTACTTAGAAATTCCAGGGGCCAATTTTGTAACAAATGAGGCCGAGAACCCCAGCTCAGAATTCTCCCACTCATGGGGAGTAACGAAGAGTTAACCCATCACTCCCTACCAGGCTGAAGTCAGGGTGGTACAAATTGGACCTCTGGACAGGTGATTACTCGAGATGGTCAGTTAAACAAAACATGCACACCTGTCCCAAGTTTTTCACTACCCCACATATTTCCCACACTTTTTTCCTTCCTAATCCCCTTCACTCAGCTCAGAAGGTTGGTATGGTCTTTTAAAGGCATGAGCCTGGGCATTCCCCAACTGCTAGCATTTGATTAATAAAACTGCTTTTCTTTCAGCACACTTTGCTTCTCGTGTTTGCAACCTCCGAGTTGCGAGGAGGTGGGCTTGAGCTGGTTATGGTAAAAGGGACATTACAAAATATCTGTTTTACAGAGAGGACACTTCTGATATGACTGAGAAGCACCGATCCATTACTTCTCCATCTCAGTCTTCTCCTCAGCCTTAGAATCTAGCCATAATCTGTCTGCATAAGGCGCACCTTATGTGAAACCACTATGTGTTTAAACTCTTCCCTTTGGAACTCATGTTGGAAAAGTGGGCCTCCTGTTAAGTTCTCTTTTGGTCTGCCTTGTTTTATGGGTAAAAAACACCTCACTCAAAGTGTCTATAAGGGTTAGAAGCCAGAGGAAAACTTACAGTGTGTACTTAAAGGTACCTAAGAAAATCTGCTAAGTGCAGGATACCTCAGGAAGGAAATACCACAAAACTGTTTAAAATGTAACCATTTCTCTGATTCACGTTTTAGCATCAGGCATCTCATAATATTGGGGTTAGAAGTGATTATATAAAAAGGACTGCCTATAGCCTATGGGTTAGGAGAAATTGGACATTTAATTCCAGTCACTCAGTTGACATCCTCTCTTTAGGCAGAAGAAGTGAAGCTGCATTTTTCCTGTTCTCATTTACTTTTATTCCACTAGAGCAATTTTTCTTGAGATACCAATACTACTTAACTTCTATTTGAAAATAATGATAATAGGTTTGGGACACTTGGGGGACTACAAGAATCTCTGACCTCATTTGATTAATGTTCCACCCACCTTTTAGTTTCAGTATGTCTTAAAGTGAATGAGAAAAGAAGTTACTTTCACAAGTGCTAATAGGTAGTACAGAAGAGGTAGAGAGGTAATGTTCTTTCTTCCTAACAGTCACACTCAGTTCTGTGAAATGTTTTTTAGATCATCTTTTATGCCAAGGGGCTTTGTCTTGCTCCTTTTTGTCCTTTGTGACCCTTAAATAAAATGGAAACTTTATATGTTCATGACTTTCTTTCATGTTGAGCTCATAGGGATGTGGGGTCATGCTACTAATATATTTTTAAGCTTCACACAATTACACACAACCCCAGTAAAGTATAGAGCAGTGAGACAGTATTTATAACCTGCTCCAAAGAAAGCCACTGTCTTAGGCAGATCCACAGGAGAACAAGCATTATGCAGTGCGTATAAAGAATATGAAGGGACTGGGCGCAGTGGGTCACGCCTGTAATCCCAGGACTTTGGGAGACCGAGGTGGGTGGATCACCTGGGGTCAGGAGTTTGAAACCAGCCTGGCAAAGGTGGTGAAACCCTGTCTCTACTAAAAATACAAAAATGAGTCAGGCGTGGTGGCACGTGCCTGTAATCCCAGCTACTCGGGAGGGTGAGGCAGGGGAATTACTTAAACCCTGGAGGCAGAGGTTGCAGTGAGCCGAGATCGTGCCACTGCGCCCCTATCTGGGTGACAGAGCAACAACACTCCATCTCAAAAATAAATAAATAAATAAATAAATAAATAGCAAAAACAAAGAATATGAAGGGACAACATAGGGCTAACATATTTAAATATCCTTTTACCACACCTTTGAATATCACTTCTTCCAAACTGGTTTTCTGCTCCTAAGTTAAGTTGTGTGATTTCTCTTCAGGTTGCTGAAGTGGAAATTATTTCTCTATTTTTCTGCCTCCTATTATTTCTGAAATAAAATTATCATCCTGCATTGTTTAAAATTGAGGAGGGATGGTTATTAACTTTATAAATATCAAAGGATACTTCTTCATAATATTTTGTCACTTCCACTCAGTCATGCCATTTAGCTTGTTATAAAGTGAATATAATCACATATTATGCCACAGATTTCAAAAGAAACTTTTGGTTTTCAAACTATTGTTCCTTGTTCTTTATTTTATTTCAATAAAGCTTCAATCTTTTTTATTTTAAAAAATGAAATAAAAAAACAGAAATGAATCTTCATTTGTGAACTGACACATTTGAATGTGAAGAATATTTAAATTAAGAGGCTTGAATATTTATTTCTGGAAAAATTATTTATCCAGGATATTAGAGAAACTGTGGTCTAGAGCAAGATAAATAATATATACTATACTGTCTACTCTCCCATTGATCAGATGTGTTTTCTCAGCTCAGCTGTTAACATTAACCTTGTACCTTTCACAGGTGCAGTATCTGTCAAGACTATAAGTGTGGATATCATTAAGTCTTGTGCAAATCACAAGCCCATTGTGGTACACTAGATGATTTTCTCAGTCTCTGCAGCTTGGAGTTTATCTTGGAATCCTCTATGAAATTACAGTATTCTCTCCAACATCTAAGATGACACTGGATCTTTTAATGACTATCTCTGCTGACTTGTGCCTTTGGATCAATGTCAGCTGTGACTTGATTAATTATGTGTATGAATCATCTGGTGAGGGGACTTGTTTTACATTTCCCCTCAGCACTTGTGCATATTCCTCACAATTAGTCATAGTAATTCAAAGGCCTTATATCACAAGGTCAGCAGAAAGGCTACAGAATTTGTGAGATAAAATAAAGCAGGGTAAATACATAACGCTACAGATTTGCAGCCTAGGTTGTTCTCAAGCATTTTACTGTCACCAGAATAAATTATTGAGAATGTTAAATCTCACTTAGAAATCACTCTTTTAACAATATACTCTTTGATTATAAGATAGACCTGGATTCTATTATGTGATTGCATTAGCAGACATAGCAATTCATGATTGTCAGTGTTATGTGAATTGAAAATTAAATGTAGTGTTTGGACAATTTCCTTTTTTAAAAAACTTTATTTTATTTTAAGTTCTGGGGTACATGTGCAGGATGTGCGGGTTTATTGCGTATGAAAATGTGTGCCATGATGGTTTGTTCCACCCATCAACCTATCACCTAAGTATTAAGTCCAATATGCATTAGCTACATTTCCTCCCTATACCCCTGACCGGCCCCAGAGTGTGTTGTTCCCCTTCCTGTGTCCATGTGTTCTCATTGTTCAGCTCCTACTTAGAAGTCAGAACATGTGGTGTCTGGCTTTCTGTTCCTGTGTTAGTTTGCTGAGGATAATGGCTTCCACCTCCATCCACGTCCCTGCAAAGGACATGATCTCATTCTTTTTTATACTGCATAGTATTCCATGATATATATGAACCACATATTCTTTGTTCAGTCTATCATTGATGGGCATCTAGGTTAATTCCATATCTTTGCTACTGTGAATAGTGCTGCAATAACACTTGTGTACATGTATCTTTAACAGAACAATTTATATTCCTTTGGATATATACTCAGTAATGGGATTGCTGGATCAAATGGTATTTCTGGTTCTAGGTCTCTGAGGAATCGCCACAGTGTCTTCCACAACGGTTGAATTAATTTAAATTCCCTCCAACATTGTAAAAACATTTCTATCTCTCTGTTTTTTCTTGATATTTGTCAATTTTTGTTTTTGTTGAAATTGTTTTGCTGCAGTTGCTTTTGCTGTCTTCATCATGAAATCTTTGCCCATGCATATGTCCTACACAGTATTACCTAGATTTTTTTCTTGGGTTTTTATAGTTTTGGGTTTTGCATTTAAGCCTTTAATTCATCCTGAGTTAATTTTTGTACAAGGTTTAAAAAACGAGTCCAGTTTCAATTTTATGCATATGGCTAGACTGTTCTCCCAGTGTCATTTAAAATTGTAGTAGTTTGTTTTCATGCTGCTGATAAAGATATACCTGAGACTGGCAATTTACAAAAGAAAGAGGTTTAATTGAGCTTGCAGTTCCACATGGCTGGGGAGATGTCACAATCATGGTGAAAGGCAAGGAGGAGCAAGTCACGTCTTACATGGATGGCAGCAGCCAAAAAGAGAGCTTGTGCAGGGAGGCTCCTGTTTTTAAAACCATCAGATCTCTTGAGACCCATTTACTATCACAAGAACAGCACAGGAAATACCTACCCCCATGATTCAATCATCTCCCACCAGTTCTCTCCCACAACATGTGGAAGTTATGGGAGATACAAGATGAGATTTGGGTGGAGAGACAGAGCTAAACTATGTGATTCCACCCATGGCCCCTACAAAATCTCGTATCTTCACACTTCATAATCAATCATGCCTTCCCAATAGTCCTTGAAAGTCTCAACTCATTTCAGCATTACCTCAAAAGTCCACATTCCAAAGTCTTATCTGAGACAAGACAAGTCCCTACCACCTATGAGCCTATAAAATCAAAAGCAACCTAGTTACTTCCTAGATACAATGGGGGTACAGGCATTGGATAAATACAGCCATTCCAAATGGGAGAAATTGACCAAAATGAAGGGGCTACAGGCGTCAGGCCAGTCTGAAAACCAGCAGGGCAGTAAAATCTTAAAGCTCTGAGATGATCTCCTTTGGCTCCATGTTTCACATCCAGGTAATGCTGATGCAAGAGGTGGTTTCCATGGTCTTGGGCAGCTCTGCCCCTGTGACTTTGCAAGGTACAGCCTCCCTCCTGGCTGCCTTCATGGGCTGGCACTGAGTGTCTGCAGCTTTTCCAGGTGCATGGTGCAAACCGTTGGTGGAGCTCTCATTCTGGGGTCTGGAGGATGGTGGCCCTCTCCTCACAGCTCCACTATGTGGTGTCCCAGTAGGGATTCTGTGTGGGGCTTCCAACCCCACTTTTCACTTCTGCACTGCCCTAGCAGAGGTTCTCCATGAGGGCCCCACCCCTGCAGCAAACTTTTTCCTGGGCATCCAGGCATTTCCATACATCTTCTGAAATCTAGACAGAGGTTCCAAAACCCCAATTCTTGACTTCTGCACACTGGCAGGCTCAATACGACTTGGAAGCTGCCAAGGCTTGCAGTTTGCACCCTCTGAAGCCATGGCTCGAGCTCTATGTTGGCCCCTTTCAGCCATAACTGGAGTGGCTGGGATGCAGGGCACCAAGTCCCTAGGCTGCACACAGCACAGGGACCCTGAACCCAGCCCACTAAACCACTTTTTTCTCCTCAGCCTCTGGGCCTGTGTTAGGAGGCCCTGTGGCGAAGACTCTGACATGCCTTGGGGACATTTTCCCCACTTTCTTGGGGATTAACATTTGGCTCCTTGTTACTTATGCAAATTTCTGCAGCTGGCTTGGATTTCTCCCTCAGTAAACAATTTTTTCTTTTCTATGGCATTGTCAGGCTGCAAATTTTCTGAACTTTTATGGTCTGCTTCCCTTATAAAACTGAATTCCTTTAACAGCACCCAAATCACCTTTTGAATGCTTTGCTGCTTCTTAGAAATTTCTTCTGGCAGATACCCTAAACCATCTCTCTCAAGTACAAAGTTCCACAAATCTCTAGGACAGGGGAAAAACGCCACCAGTCTCTTTGTTAAAACATAACAAGAGTCACCTTTGCTCCAGTTCCCAACAAGTTCCTAATTTCCATCTGAGACCACCTCAGCCTGGACCTTATTGTCCATATTGCTATCAGCATTTTGGTCAAAGCCCATTCAACAAGTCTCTAGAAAGTTCCAAACTTTCCCACATTTTCCTGTCTTCTTCTGAGCCCTCCAAACTGTTCTAACCTCTGCCTGTTACCCAGTTCCAAAGTCACTTCAACATTTTTGGGTATCTTTTCATGAGAACCCCACTCCTGGTACCAATTTACTATATTAGTCTGTTTTTATGCTGCTGATAAAGACATACCTGAGACTGGGCAATTTACAAAAGAAAGAAGTTTAATTGGGCTTACAGTTCCACATGGCTTGGGAGACCTCATAATCATGGTGGAAGGCAAGGAGGAGCAAGTCACATCTTACATGGATGTCAGTGGGCAAATAAGAGCTTGTGCAGGGAGACTCCTGTTTTTAAAACCAGCGGGTCTTGTAAGACCCTTCACTATCAAAGAGAATAGCATGGGAAAGTCCTGCCCCCACGATTCAATCATCTCCCACCAGGTCCCTCCCAAAACACGTGGGAATTATGGGAGATACAAGAAGAAATTTTGGTGGAGACACAAGCCAAACCATATCAGGAATCCTTTCTTTATTGCTTGTTTCTTGTCAGGTTTGTCAAATATCAGATGGTTGCAAAAATGTAGTCTTCTTTCTGAGTTCTCTATTCTGTTTCATTGGTCTATGTTTCTGTTTTTCTACCAGTACCATGCTGTTTTGGTTACTGTAGCCTTATAGTATAGTTGGAAGTTGGGTAGCATGATGCCACCAGCTTTGTTCTTTTGCTTTTTAGTTATACAAGCTTTTTTTGGTTCCATATGAGTTAAATTTTTTTTTCTAATTTTGTGAAGAAGAATGTCAATGGTAGTTAAATGGAAATAGCATTGAATCTATAATTTCCTTTGGCCATTTTCATGATATTAATTCTTCCCATCCATGAGCATGGAATGTTTTATCATTTGTTATGTCTTCTTTGATTTCCTTGAGAAGTGGTTTGTAGTTCTCCTTGATGAGGTCCTTCACTTCCCTTGTTAGCTGTATTTCTAGGTATTTTATTCTCTTAGTAGCAGTTGTGAATAGGATTTCATTCATGGTTTGGCTCTGTGCTTGTCTGTTGTTGGTGTATGGAACTCCCTGTGACTTTTGCGCATTGATTTTGTATCCTGCGATGTTGCTGTAGTTGCTTCTCAGCTTAAGAAGCTTTTGGGCTGAGACTATGGGGTTTTCTAGATATAGGATCATATCATCTGCAAACAAAGACATTTTTACTTTCTCTTTTCCTATTTGAATACCCTTTATTTGTTTCTCTTGCCTGATTGCCCTGGTCAGAACTATGTTGAATAAGAGTAGTGAGAGATGGCATCCTTGTTTTGTGCCAGTTTTCAAGGGGAATGCTTCCAGCTTTTACCCATTCACTGTGATATTGACTGTGGGTTTGTCATATGTGGCTCTTATTATTTTGAATTATGTTCCTTCAGTACCTAGTTTATTGGGAGTTTTTTAACATGAAGGGATGCTTAATTTTATGGAAGGCCTTTTTGCATCTATTGAGATAATCATGTGGTTTTTGTTTTCAGTTCTGTTTATGTGATGAATTATGCTTATTGATTATTATGTGTGTGTATTGAACCTGCCTTGTATCACAGGGATGAAGCTGACTTGATTGTGGTGGGTAAGCTTTTTGATATGCTACTGGATTTAGTTGGCTAGTTTTTTACTGGGGATTATTGCATCAATGTTCATCAGGGATAGTGGCCTGAAGTTTTCTTTTGTAGTATCTCTGCCAGGCTTTTGTATCAGGATAACACTGGCCTCATAAAATGAGTTACAGAGGCGTCCCTCCTTTTCGGTGGTTTGGAATAGTTTCAGAAAAAATGATATCAGCTCCTCGTTGTATTTCTGGTAGAATTCAGCTATAAATCCATCTGGTCCTGGACTTTTTTTTTTTGGTTGGTAGGCTCTTTATTACTGCCTCAATTTCAGAATTCATTATCATTCTATAGGGATTCAGCTTCTCCTAGTCCAGTCTTGGGAGGATATATGTGTTCAGGACTTTATCCATTTCTTCTAGATTTTCTAGTGTATGTGCATAGAGGTGTTTATAGTATTCTCTGATGGTTGTTTGTATTTCTGTGGGGTCAGTGGTGACATTCTGTTTTTTATTTTTTATTGTGTCTATTTGATTCTTCTCTCTTTTCCTATTAGTCTAGCTAGTAGTCTATATATTTTATTATTTTTTCCCAAAAAACAGCTCCTGAATTCATTGATTTTTTGGAAGGTTTTTGTGTTTATATCTCTTTCAGTTCTACTCTGATCTTAGTTATGTCGTGTCTTCTGCTAACTTTGGGACTTGTTTGCTCTTGATTCTCTTGTTCTTTTAGCTGTGATATTAGAATGTCAATTTGAGATCTTTGTACCACCCCCCTTTTTTTTGAGATAGAGTCTCGCTCTGTCACCAAGGCTGGAGTACAGTGGCGTGATCTCGGCTCACTGCAACCTCTGCCTCCCAGGTTCAAGTGATTCTCTTGCCTCAGCCTCCCAAGTAGCTGGGACTACAGGCATGCGCCACCACACCTGGCTAATTTTTTGGTATTTTTAGTAGAGACAGGGAGACAGGGTTTTACCATGTTGGTCAGGCTGGTCTCAAACTCCTGACTTTAAATGATCCACCCACCTCGGCCTCCCAAAGTGCTAGGATTATTGGTATGAGCCACCATGCCCAGCCCTTTCTAGCTTTTTGATGAGAGCACTTAGTGTTATAAATTACACTCTTAACACGCTTTAGCTGCAGTATGGACAATTTCTATGGAAATGATAGTTGGTTTGGAATTTTAAAATATCCATGACTCAGAGAATCTTATTCAGAACACATAACCATGTTTTGCTTTAACATTTGGATTTTAAATGTGATGTAAACTTATTTATTCATAAATAGATAATTCAGTGTTTTACACTAAATAGAAGGAAACACTATGGGAAACTAAGGATTTTCTTTAAATGATTGTCCTATTGTTAGAATAGTAAGACAAAGCCAGTGAAAATAAAACACACATGGACACACACTGTTTCTCTATCTCTATCTCCCAGTATCCTTTTTTATAACTTGGAACCAGATTTCAAACAATAAACATCCTTATATAAAGGGATATCACCATTTAAAGTTTGAAGCTTAGCCTATTTACAAAATAAGAAATGTTTATGCTAAAAACTTCTAAAAATATGAGACAAGCGTAAATAACTTGTCAACCATAATACCACATGAAAATATATCCACCACCACGTCAACATCTTTATTCCCAATTTTCTATTTAAGTTTATGCATATAGACATTGTTTTCAAAAATAGAATTATATTTTACAAACTGATCAAAACTTCAGTTTTCCAAATATATTGTGAGTACATTTTAAATTCTCATAAACATACTACAATGAACCTTCTTGTAGTTTCATCTATTATTATCACTTTAGAATGCATCACCAAAATAGAATGGCTTAAATGGAGAAATTTGTCTTTCAGAAAGATTGTGCTAGTGAATAATGGACTTATATCTTTATACCATACATAAGAAATGTCTTGTGTGTGTGTGTCTGCATGTAGGCATGTGTATCTGTGTGTATGCATTTGCTGCTATATACGTTTATATTTG
Organism: Homo sapiens; assembly: GCF_000001405.40. Classification (NCBI taxonomy): domain Eukaryota; kingdom Metazoa; phylum Chordata; class Mammalia; order Primates; family Hominidae; genus Homo; species Homo sapiens. The sequence continues at coordinate 61,261,068 of NC_000012.12, read as the reverse complement.
CCAATTTCAAAGGAAAAAAATATGTACCTTTGTGTTTTTCTGCACATTTCCTTGATTAAACTTTTACTCTTGGGAGTTTCTATTTTTTAATATACTTATTAGTCATTTGTAGTTATTTTATGTTTGTCTATTACATCTTTTCTGGATTTTTTTTGAGGGACTACCCACATTTTGAAACTGGCTTGTAGGAGCACTTTATATGTTAAGGGCATCAGCCCTTCACCTCTCGTATACTAATTATTGGCATATCATCTTTGTGTTTTGCCTTTTACACTTGTTTAACTTAAATATAAAATTTTAAAATATTATATAAAAATAGTCCTTTTAAAATTTATAAATTCTTTTGCACATATATTCTAGAAGACTATCTCCCACGTAAGAGACAGTGAATATTTGGATATTTGGAATTTAAAAACATTTGCTGTTTTTGTGTTTAGAGAGACTTGTAGGATAGAGGGCATTGTGAGTTTATGATTTGAATTCTTTCGTTTGTCCTCAGATACGTACCTTTGGTAAAGATTGACTTAATTAAAATATGCTTTACATTTAGTTCTTGATTTATGTAATTTAATGTGTTATATGTTGTTCTTTCTCCTAACAATCAACAATGTTATAGAATAATTTATTTCTTCCCTACTGATTTCTAAAGACAATTTTTGTCACATATATTGGCTCTATTTTGAACACTTGCTAATATTCAAATTTATATTGTCATATGGATGATTGTCAAATCTTTATAATTTTACAATTATTTTGTAATGCATGTTCCTTCTCACATTTTTTATATAAGTAGGTGGGAAATCAACATATAATGTAAACACTAAATTGGAAAAAATAAAGGCAGAATAATTCATGTGATATTTCAAAATGTATAATTGTTAGGCAGTTTGTGTTGTAAATTGATGTAATTGGTTCAAGAAGAAGTTCGTAAAAATGTTAACACAGTACAACATGTAGCTATAACCATTTATAATAATTTAATGACTGAACACTTATCAATGTCCTGAATTGCTGACAATTTCATTAATTGTTTAGAAATGTTGATGGTGCTTAAGTCTAGTGGGCCCTAACTTGAGGGACTACAGCTGGCATGTTTGATTGGATGTCAATCTTGTAGTCCTAGTCATGACTATATAAAGTTTAATTATTATGTGTTTGTTCTTAGAACACAGGTGAGAGTTGAATGCTATGATACTGAGGCCTAAAATAGCTCTGTGATTTAAATGTTAAATATCTAACCAGTTAATACCTAAAGAGGTATACACTTCCTATAAATGTACCTTTTTAATTTATTTGATATCTGTCTTTAAGGGTAAAATGCAATTTAGAGGGCCACTTTAAGTGCAGTTTTATTGTGATAGGAACACAGAGCTATTAATTTATGGACATGTGGAAATAACCTCCTGATAATGGGCCACTTTTTTCCTTTGAATTTATCATAGATATGAAATTTGCAGGTATTTTAATTCAAAGCAATTTCTCTTGCACTATATATCAGAGCACTTAAAATGCCATTGCTCTAAAAATTGATAATGGAAAGAATAGTGGCAAAAGCATTTTGGGTTAAGATATAGGGAATGTGAGAAGAAAGAGTGACTTTTTGGGAATTAAATAGAACAAGAACAAAGAGCCTACTCTGAGATCTAAAATGTCATTTGTATAGAAATTACATGGTATTAATGGGTGTGAGTTTAAACACTTTCAAGTCAAAATCAATATACTATTTTTCACTTTCATAGTTTCATTTTAATCTGTCAGGAGTTACTGACCAAGCAGAATTGTAAACCACGACAATTTCATGATTGACAAGTATTATATCAGAGGAAAAGGCGGGCTGTCCTGTTTTTCAGTTGATTTTTAGCTTTGTGAGCATAAACAGTGGAGGGGCAAATATTCTGTGATTGTCTGTGTGAGGGCACCTCAGGCATGAAATTTTATAATTTGAGGATAGCTTATTTATGTGCAGAAACAAGAAAGTGTTGCACGCACAAAAATTATACACATAAATTTAGTTTCATCAGATGGAGTCATATTGGGATATAAAATTGAGGCACATTCTTTCTTATGGATTCAAATAGTCAAGAAAACCTTTAGACTACTTTTTTTTTTTTTACTTGAGTCTCTATCCTGAGCTATGTTAGTACCTAATCTCCACTTCCTATTTCTGCCATCTATTTATACAATCAATGCCCTGCTTTTAATTCTTCCACACAGGTGGATGATAAAATGCAAAGAAAAAGTATGATATAAAACAGTTATAAGTATTGAGAAACACACAGTGAATACACTGACAGTAGATTTATAAGTCCATTTTGTTCCAGGATATGTATATATTTAGCTGATTTGTGAGTTGATGGAGTGGTAAAATATTTTAATTTTCTGACTTTGGAATGATGCTAAAATAATTTGAAAGGTACTGTAACTAATATTTACCAGATTATAATATTCTTAAAAAGAGCAATAGGCAAAACAAACTGAACAAAAAAAGGGAAATCAAAACTTGGAAAAAGAAAAAGAGAAATCAAACACTAATACAAACTACAATAATTGCATATATAAAGCATTTTAGGGGAAAGATAAGGGCAATAGAATTGATTAAGTTAATGTTAGAATTAGCAAAAGAAGACTTTTTGAGAAAAATATTTAGGGCATTATAGAATATTCTAGTTAAAATACTCATTTTCTAAATAATGAGTTGCAGTTATTTAAAAATATTTGTTATTTTCTTTCTGGATTTTTTGATGTATAAGATATAAAATAATTCACTGCTTAGAACTTTTCAAAAACTTGATATGATAAAAATTAAGATTACTGGAGATATATATATATATCCTCACCAGAATCACCCTTAACACTCTATTCATGGCAATCTAGGCCTTTTCTATCCTGCTCTCTTACCTTCTGCCGATTACCCAGTTACAAAGCTGCTTCCACATTTTTAGGTATTTGTTCTAGCAACATCTCATTTCTCTGGTACCAATTTTCTGTCTTGGTCTGCTTCGTGCTGCTATAAAAGAATATAACTGATGACATAATGTATAATGAATAGAAATGTATTGGCTCATGGTTTTCGAGGCTGTGAAGTCTAAAACTGAGGAACTGTTATTTGGTAAGGTTCTTCTTGCTGCATCACCCTATGGTAGAAGAGCAAAGAGAAGGCAAAAGGTGGGGGGCAGAGGGTAATCTCAGCCTTTTATTAAAAAACCCACTCCTGCAATAATACCCTTCATTAATTCATAAGGGATTTTCACATTAAAAGTAATCTTAGGTGTATTCCTAGAATAAAGTTTATTTTGTTATGGCATATAATCTTTTTATATGTTGCTAAATTGAGTTTGCTAGTATTTTGGGGTCATTTTTGGATCTGTATTTGTAAGATATATTAGCTTATAGTCACATATTCTTGTGATGTTTTGGTTACTTTTGGCAAGTGGAGAAGGATTTCTTCCTATTTTTTGAAGGAGTTTATAATGGATTGACATCTATTTCTCTTTAAGTTTTTGGTAGAATTTACCACTGAAGCCATCTGGTCCTGGACATCTGTTTTGGTGTAGTTCTTGTATTACTATTTCAATCTTTTTGTTATAAATCTATTCAGATTTTCAATTTTATCTTTTATGTATTTTAGTAATTTGAGTCTTTCTAGGAAGTTGTTCACTTCATCTTAGTTGTCTAATTTACTGGCATACAATTGTTCATAGGATTCTCTCATAATGATTTTCACTATTGAATTGTTTCATCACTCTTGTAGAAAATAGTTGAACTTAAATGTAAGGGTAAATGTTTGAAATGCCAATTCTATGTGTATAATTATATGAAAATACTGCACAATCTTGACTAATGTAGCTGCATATAGTAGTACCTCTTTACCCATGCGAAATATGTTCAAAGACACCCAGTGGATGCCTGAAACCATACATATGTGTGTGTGCGTATATATATGTGTGTGTGTGTATGTATACCCTCACCAGAATTACCTTTAACACTCTATTCATGGCAATCTAGGCTTTTTCTATCCTGCTCTCTTACTTTCTGCCTATTATCCAATTCTAAAGCTGCTTCCACATGCATAATTTTTATATTATGTGTTTTTTTGTAAACTTTTTGAATACCCCCATATTTCTATTCTCTATTTTGTGTAATGACCTTCTAGTCTTTGTTATATCCTTCTTCTACGTGCTTTGCTTACTTTGGGTTTAGCATGCTCTTATTTTTTCTAGTTTCTGTAAGTGGAGTTTTGGTTATTTAGTTGAGGCTTTTTTTTCTTTAAAAATTTAGGCATTTACAGCTATAAATTTCTCTCTGAATACTTCTTTTGCTTTCTTCTGTAAGTTTTGGTATGTTGTGGTTTTTGTTTTTATGCATCTCAAAGTATTTTCTAATTTTACTTGAGATTTCTCCTTTCTCTCATTGGTTAATTATGGCATATTGTTTAATTTTTCACATATCATAAACACCTAAATTTTCATCTGTTACTGATGTCAAATTTACTTCTTTTGTGACCCAGAAACATTATCTGTATGATTAATTTCCTTTTAGATATATTAAGGCTTGTATTATGGTTTAGCATATGGTCTATTCTGGAGAATGTTCAATGCGTATTTGAAAAAATATGTGTTTTTTGCTGTTTTTACGTAAAATACTCTAAAGATATCTGTTAAGTCTAGCTTGTTTAGGGTTTTGTTCAGGTCTTCTTTTTGCTTGTTGATCTTTTTTGCTAGTTGTTTTATCCTTTATTGAAAATGGGGCACTAAAGATTTTTAACTGTTATTTTTAAATTGGATGTTTTCCTTTCAGTTTTCTAAATTTAGTGTATGGCGTTTTGTCTCCATTTTAAGAGGCATGCATTTTTATAAATTGTTAAGTCTTCCCAATTAATTAATTATTTTATCATTATGAAATGTCTTCAGTAACATTTAAAAAATTTGAAGATCTGTTTTTTTTTCTTATAGTGTAGACAGTATAGCTCTCTTATGGTATATCTTTTTCAATCCTTTTCTCTCTAAACTATTTATAATTTTACAGCTTATATATATATCTCCTTTTATTGCATCATATTCTTATTTAATCCAACCTGATAATCTCCACCTTCTGAATAGTTTGCTTAAGCCATTTACATTTATTATTATTAAACATTTGCCATTTTTGTTTTCAATAAGTTGCATATTTTTCTCTGTATTTCCCCTTTATTGTCTTTTTATATTTAGGGAATATTTCCTAGTGTAACATTTTAATTATTTTAATGCTTTTTTCACTATATATTGAAATCATTCCTTAGTGGTTGCTCTGAGACTTACAATATAAAAAAATTATCAAATTTTCTTTTAGAGTAATATTGACATAGCTCCATTAAAATATACAAATTTTACTTCTACGTACTGCTATTCTTTCTCCCTCTTATTGAGCTACAAGTTATTACTGATATAGATAGTATCTATATACGTTAAACCTCTTCAAAACTGTTATAATTTTTACTTTATGTAATCTTGTATCTCTTATAGAAGCTGAGAGAAGAAAAGAGAGCATGTATATGTATATATGTATATATATGTGTGTGTGTATATATGTGTATATATATGTGTGTGTGTGTATATATACATATAGTTGATTATGTTAACCTTTTTATTAACCCTTTCTTTTTCATTTCTTTCTATGGATTTGAATTATTGTCCATGACTTATTACAGTACAGCTTTGCTCCCTTGTGGTTAGGAGTAACTCTGAATATGAATACTGTCTCCCAAATATTGCTCTTTGCTTAGTCATTTATTTTTGTATCGATACTTGAATAAAATAATTTTGCGAAATCCATTTGCCACTCCATTATGCAGCATCTGATGTTTCTGCTAATTTTTAATTGTATCTTTCATTCTTGCTATTATCTAGGGATTGCTTTCATGTCAGAATAAGCCACTCATTGATAAAAAGTTATGTTTAAGGTATTTAATCAGTTAAATTTTTACCCATTACTGTTGGATATGAGTCTAGATTAGAGACCACTATCACAGTTCAGGAAGTGTGCGTATTTTTTTCCCACATTTAACCAGGATTAATAGGTTGGAAGTTCCCTCTATAACGACAGCTTAGGTATACAATCAGTCTTCCTGACTCTCAGAGATGAGTGTGACTTTTAATTTTAAACCTGAATTCTTAGGAGTTCCCCATGTCAGAGTAGCTTATTGCTCAGCAGTGTTTTGTCTGTTATGTTTTAATTCCTCGTGCCAGTGAGGCTGCCATTTTTTGTTGACTGATTTGTGTACAGCTTGGAGAATGCTTGCAAGTATGCCCACATTCTGCTCTGGTTGCTTCTGAGTGGTTGTAGCCTAGCATATACACACAGCCTTCTCAACTCCGAGAGTTGATGATAATCTCAGGAAGACTTTTCTTGGCTGTTTCCCTAGTTCTATTAAACTAGTAGCTGCTTTGCTCTTTAGTTTCATACTGTATTCTTCTTGTCCTTGCTTTAAATAACACACTGAGGCAAGGCGTTTTCCACTTTGTTTCAAATAAAGTCAGTCCCTTCTAGCGGAGCTGTGCATCTCTTTATTTAAATGTCTTGCCTTCTCTCTGGGCAGAATCTTTGCATTCCTACACCTGAACTGGGGGTGTAGACTCATTTCTTTTGACGTGGCATCCTCATTCTATTAGTCATCTTGGGAGGGAGTGGCAGTCCCTGGTCTTCTGGGCTTGTCTCTTCCAGGGTAGACCTCCTACTCTGTAAGCAAGCTGGGGAAGGGGCTTGAGGTTCTTATTCTCAGCCTTTCATACATCTTCACATATGAAGATACTACCCTCCTAGTGGTATCTATGTGAAATAGAACTTAGAGGACACAGGACTGGAGAGATGAGAAACACTGGTGACCTGCTTTTTCCAGAGTAAAAGCTTAGTTCTAGGCTCACAGCTTAGAGAAGAAGTAAACTACATTTTCTCTACCTTCCAGGAGGGGAATGCTTTGAGTAATTTCAATAAGACAGGGCTGTGTTGTGGTGAGAAGTAAGTGGATTGTGGCTGAAATACTACAGATTCTTCTCTTTCGTACTAAGATTTAGGATTTTTTTTTTTTTTGTAAATGTTCCTTTATTTGCTGTTTCTTCATAGGACAATTTCTAGAAATTTAATTATTGTTTTTATTATAATCGTAATTCCTTAAGTTATTGTTTTGCCTGATAAATAATATGCCAATCTCTTTACACTGCTGTTCTGAAAGTCCTGCCTTTGTTTCAAGTGAAACCCAAATACACACTTTTCTCACTTCAACAATGAATGTTCACTCTTTCTTCATTGGCATTCAATTAATGTTGATTCCAGGGGACCTAAAACATCATTGTGGTCCTCCAGTTAAAGTAGGAGCTTATAGAGGTCATGTAAGTAATTGAGTTTTAGCTCAGGTCTGACTTACAGAGGGTCCAGTGGGTCCCCGGACTCATCCTGTGGTCATTTCCCCAGTGCCACAATGCATAATTGGCATAGACATACTTAGCAGCTGGCAGGACCCCCACTTTGGCTGCCTGACTGGTAGGGTGAGGGCTATTATTATGGTGGGAAAGGCCAAATGGAAGCCATTAGAGCCTCCTCTACCTAGAAAAATAATAAATCAAAAACAATATGGCATCCCTGGAGAGATTGCAGAGATTAATACTACCATCAAGGACTTGAAAGATGCAGGGGTGGTGATTCCTACCACATCCCTGTTCAACTCTCCCATTTGGCCTGTGCAGAAGAAAGATGCATCTTGGAGAATGACAATGGATTATCATAAGCTTAACCAAGTCGTGACCGCAATTGCAGCTGCTGTACCAGATGTAGTTTCATTACGTTGAGCAAATTAACACATCTCCTGGTACCTGGTATGCAGCCATTTACTCGGTAAATACCTTTTTCTCCATTCCTGTCCATAGGCCCACCAGAAGCAATTTGCCTTCAGCTGCCAAAGCCAGCAATATACCTTTACTGTCCTAACTCAGGGGTATATCAACTCTCCGGTTTTGCATCATAATCTTATTTGGAGAGAACTTGATTGCTGTTCGCTTCCACAATATATCACACTGGTCCATTACATTGATGATATTATGCTGATTCAATCCAGTAAGCAAGAAGTAGCAAACATACTGGATTTATTGGTGAGACATTTGTGTGCCAGAGGATGCAAAATGAATCTGACTAAAATTCAGGGAACTTCTACCTCAGTAAAATGTCTAGATGTCCAGTGGTGTGGGGCCTGTCGAGGTATTCCTTCCTAGCTGAAGAATAAGTTGCTGCCTTTGGCCCCTCCTACAACCAAGAAAGAGGCACAATGCCTAATCGGCCTATTTGGAATTTGGAGGCAACACACTTCTCATTTGGGTTTTTTAATCCGGCCCATTTATCAAGTGACCCAAAAGGCTGCCAATTTTGAACGGGGTCCAGAACAAAAGAAGGTTCTGCAACAGGTCCAGGCTGCTGTGCATGCTGCTCTGCTACTTGGGCCATAGGATCCAGAAGATCTAATGGTACTTGAGGTGTCAGTGGCAGATAGGGATGTTGTTTGGAGCCTTTGGCAGGCCCCCATATGTGAATCACAGTGGAGGCCTCTAGGATTTTGGAGCAAGGTCCTGCCATCTTCTGCAGATAACTACTCTCCTTTTGAGAGACAGCTCTTGACCTGTTACTGGGAACGTTTGACTATGGGTTATCAAGTCACCATACAACCTGAACTGCCTATCATAAACTGGGTGCTTTCTGACCCATCTATCCATAAAGTGGGTCATGCACAGCAGCATTCCATTATCAAATGGAAGTAGTATATATGTGATTGGGCTCAAGCAGGTCCTGAAGGCACAAGTAAGTTACATGAGGATGTGGCTCAAATGTCCATGGTCTCCACTCCTGCCACCCTACCTTCTCTTCCCCAGCCTGCATTGATGGCCTCATAGGGAGATCCAAATGATCAGTTGACAGAGGAAGAGAAGACTAGGGGCTAGTTCACAGATGATGCTGCATGATATGCAGGCACCACCCAAAAGTGGACAGCTACAGCACTACAGCCCCTTTCTAGGACATCCCTGAAGGACAGTGGTGAAGGGAATCTTTCCCATTGGGAGGAGCTTCAAGCAGTGCACCTGGTTGTGCACTTTGCATGGAAGGAGAAATGGCCAGATGTGCGATTATATACTGATTCATGGACTGTAGCCAATGATTTGGCTGCATGGTCAGGGACTTGGAAAAAGAATAATTGGAAAATTGGTGACAAAGAAATTTGGGGAAGAGGTATGTGGATGGACCTCTCTGAGTGGTCAAAAACTGTGAAGATATTTGTATCCCATTTGAGTGCTCACCAAAGGGTAACCTCAGCAGAGGAGGATTTTGATAATCAAGTGGATAGGATGACCCATTCTGTGGACACCACTCAGCCTCTTCAGTCACCCTGTCATCGCCCAATGAGCCCATGAATAAGGTGGCCGTGGTGGTGGGGGTGGAAGTTATGCATGGGCTCAGAAACATGGGCTTCCACTCACCAAGGCTGACCTTGCTACGGCCACTACTGAGTGCCCAATTGCCAGCAGCAGAGACCAACACTGAGCCCTTGATATGGCACCATTCCTTGGGGTGATCAGCCAGCTACCTGGTGGCAGGCTGGTTATATTGGATCTCTTTCATCATGGAAAGGGAAGAGCTTTGTTCTCACTGCAGTAGATGCTTATTCTGGACAGGGGTTTGCCTATCCTCCACACAATGCTTCTGCCAAGACTGCCATCTATGGACTCATGGAATGCCTTATCCACAGTCATGGTATTCCACACAGCATTGGCTCTCACCAAGGCACTCACTTTGCTGCTAAAGAAGTGTGTCAGTGGACTCATGCTCCTGGAATTCGCTGGTCTTACCATGTTCCTCGTCATCCTGAAGCAGCTGGATTGATAGAACAGTGAAATGGCCTTTTGAAGTCACAATTACAAGGCCAACTAGGTGACAATACTTTGTAGGGCTGGGGCAAAGTTCTCCAGATGGCCGTGTATGCTCTGAATCAGCATCCAATATATGGTGCTGTTTCTCCCATAGCCAGGATTCACAGGTCCAGGAGTCAAGGGGTGGAAGTGGAAGTGGCACCACTCACAATCACCGCTAGTGATCCACTAGCAAAATTTTTGTTTTCTGTTCCCTGGATATTACATTCTGCTGGCCTAGAGATCTTAGTTCCAGAGAACTAAAATCTTAGTTCTAGAGATCCTGCTACCAGGAGACACACCAATTCCATTAAACTGGAAGTTAAGATTGCCAACTGGACACTTTGGGGCTCTTCCTACCTTTAAGTCAACAGGCTAAGAAGGGAGTTACAGTGTTGGCTCAGGTGACTGACTCAGACTATCAAGATTAAATCACTCTACTCCTCCACAATGGAGGTAAAAAACTGTGTGCATGGAACACAGGAGATCCATAAATGTGTCTCTTAGAATTACCATGCCTTGTGATTAAGGTCAATGGGAAGCTACAACAACCCAATCCAGGAAGGATTGCAAATGACCCAGACCCTTCAGGAATGAAGGTTTGTGTCACTCCACCCAGATAAAAACCACAACCTGCTGAGGCGCTTGCTGAAGGCAACAGAACACCAAACGAGTAGTAGAAGAGGGTAGTCATCAATACCAGCTACAATCATGTGACCAGCTGCAGAAATGAGGACTATAGTTGTCATGAATATTTCCTCCTCCTTTTGTTAAACACATGTTTGTGCATGTACACAGTTGTACTAAGAAAATATCTTCATTTCCTTTTTCCTTTATTATGTGACATAAGATTTATTGACTTCATATCAGCATTTAAGTATTAATTTTATCAAATAGCATTTGGGTTTGGGGTTGATGTGTATTTTCGGTTGTACGAAAAATAGTTGTATTATGTTAGGTGTATTATGACCTTATTATTGTCTTTATCTGAAGATTATGTGTGATCTCAGGAGATGTGTATGGGTTCACGTTGACAAGGGGTGGAATTGTGATGGTGAATACTGAGTGTCAACTTGATTGGATTGAAAGATGCAACGTGTTGATCCTAGGTGTATCTGTGAGGGTGTGGCCAAAGGAGATTAACTTTTGAGTCAGTGGGCTTGTAAAGGCATATCCACCATTAATCTGAGAGGGCACCATCTAATCAGCAAGGCTAGAATATAAAGCAGGCAGAAAGATGTGAAGACTAGACTGGCCTACCCTCCCAGCCTACATCTTCTTCCTATGCTAAATGCCTCCTACCCTCGAACATTGGACTCCAAGTTCTTCAGTTTTGGTACTCAGACTGGCTTTTCTGGCTCCTGAGCTTGCAGACAGCCTATTGTGGGACCTTGTGAACATGTGAGTTAATACTTAATAAACTCTACTATATATATCTCCTATTAATTCTGTCCCTGTAGAGAACCCTAACATAAATTACATCAATAAGCAATTTTGAAAAAATAAACAACCAGTTAGTTTGTCCTGATGCCCAAGGCCTTGTGATGGACTCTTATGACAGAATAGCTTGCCTTGAAGCTGACTTCTGTTTCCAGCTACTTGGAAGAGATCTCATTCTAAGAAAAAGCTACTATTCACTTACTCAGTTATTCAATATTTATTATTATCACTATACTCCAGATACTCTGCTGGATATTGCATACATATAAAAGTTAATAAAACAAAAATAAATTCTGTCCTCAAAGGGCCTATAGGTTCATGTGTAAAGCAAATCAAGTGGATGATAATAGTGCTATGATATAAATTTGTGGTCATAGCAGGATCTATAGAATATGTTAAGTCATTTGAACTTTATTATTATAAATGCAATAGAAATACATTACCTTGATGGAGTTTATTCAGTGGGGCATAAAGAGATTTTCATTATCAAAAGATCCCTTAGGCTGCTTGCTACATGGAGAATGGATTAGAATATGGCAAAATGGAACCAATGAACAAGGAGGAAATTATATTAATCTAGCCGAGAGATGACAGTGGCTTGAGAAAGTGCCAGTCAAAATAATGAGAAATAGAAGCTTTAAGACAGTGCAGTTGACCCTTGAACAATGCAGAGATTAAACTCTGCTAACTCCCTGCACAGTTGAAAATCTATGTATAATTTTTGACTCTCCCAAAAGTTAACTAATAGCCTACTGTTGACGAGAAGCCTACTGGTAGCATAAACAGTCAAGTAACACTTATTTTGTATGTTATACATAGTATATAGTGTATTCTTACAATAAAGTAAGCTAGAGAAAAAATATTATTTAAAAATTATAAGAAAAAGACAACATATTTACTATTCTTTAAGTGGAAGTGAATCATCATAAACATGTTCATCCTCATTGTTTTCATGTTGAGTAGGCTGTGGAGGAGAAGGAAGAGGAGGGGTTGGTCTTGCTGTCTCGGGTGGCAGAGGTGTAAGAGATGGAGGTAGAAGGGGGGAGCAGGCACAAAACATACATCACAATGTGTGTCTGACTTTCTTGCTTTTTTATTTCTCTAAAATTGTTTCCATGTGGTACTAATGCTTCCCCCCCTCCCCACTTTTTGTCTTCTTTTCAGTGCTCTTATCATGGAAGGGTCCCAGTCATAAAAGAAGTCAAAAACAGTCAAATAATCGGAACCCTTCTGCCAGACTGTCTAATGTCAATTTGTTTTCTGGCACTGTTTCTTCTACATCTTCTTCTTCGTCATCTGGCACTGGTTCAGAAGCACTCACTATCAAATTGTCTTCTGTTAATTCCCCTGGCATGGTGTTTAAGAGCTCTTGAATTACTCCAGTATTCACATCTTGAAACCTTTCACCCACCCCTACTAATTTTTTTTTTTTTGGCCATATCCACAATCTCTCTCTTTCTTTCTCTTTTTTTTTTCTTGCCATATCCACAATCTCTTTCCTTGATTAGTGTTGTTGTTAATTCTGTGAAGACAAGCACAACATTTGGACACAGTTTTCTCCAGCAGAAATTTACCGTTTCAGGCTGGATGGCTTTGGTGGATTTTTCTATAACAATGATGGAATCTTCCACGGTTTAATCCTTCCAGATTAATGTTTTCATGATTTTCCCTCTACTGGAGTTTCCTTTCATTGAATTTCCAATTATTCTCTTAGAATACCATGTGTAATGAGCCTTAATGATTCTATGACCCTCCTCATCTGGAGGCTGAAATATAGACATTGTGTTTGGGGACAAGTAGACTACTGTGATGCCTTGCTGTTGAACTCATGGGGTTCAGACTGGCCAGAGGCATTGTCCAAAATTGAAAGAACTTTTAAAAGTAGTCTCTTACTGGCAAGATACTTCCTGATTTCAGGGACAAAGCATCAACAGGACCAATCAAGGAAAAGGGTTCTTTTCTCATTGTTCAGGCCTCTTGCTGTATAAACAAAAGACTGGTAGCTGGTGCTTATCTTTTTCTTTCAAGGTTAAGAGGTTAGCAGCTTTATAGATAAGGGCAGTTCTGATCATAACCCAATTGCATTCTCACAAAACAGTAGGGCTAGCCTATCCCTTCCTGCCTTAAATCATGGTGCCCATTTATCCTCTTTACTAATACATGTCCTTTATGGCATTTTTCCCCCTCAGAATAAGGTGCTTTCCTCTTCATTACAAAAAAAAAAAGAAAAAGAAAAAGAAAAACCCAAGGGAAAAAAACGTGTTTAGGCAGATATCCTTTCTCCTCAATACTTTTTTGAATGGTGTCTGGGAACTTATCTGCTGCTTTTTGATTAGCAAAAGCTATTTCTTCTATTATCATGGCATTTTTTAAGTTAAACCTCTTTCTAAAATTATCAAACCATCCCTTGCTTGCATTAAATTCTCCAGCTTTAGATCCTTCACCTTCCTTTTACTTTGAGTTGTCAAGTAATAACTTCACTTTTTTCCAGAGTCACATTAGAGCCTATAGGTATGTCTTTATAGCACTCCTGCACCCACATAAAAGCTGTATTTTCAATATGAGGTAAAATAAATAAAAGCACTAAGTGTAAGGCTTTTGTGCCTGCTGGCATCACTGCAGTGATGGCTTCAATTTTTTTTTCTTGTAATAGTCCTTACACTGAGTAAATTACAGATAAACTGAATGAATGCATTTATTCACTTATCTTGAAATGGTGGACAATTGCTGCAGAAAGCCTCAATCTATAGTATATATCAAGCAATTTATTCAACAAAAAATGTAGCATTATGTAACACTCATGTGCACCGTAATAGCAACAGGAAAAGGCTATAAAATTATTATAGTAGTACAGTATGTACTACAATTAATTTTATATACTATGATTTACTACTGCATCTTTATATTTGTTTACATTTCTTTGGACTGTGAATGGTTTCTTGTAGTGTCTGTGTTTGTGTGGATAAGTTTTGATAAATTTTAATTTTATAATAGATTTTTGCATATTTTATGGTAGTAAATGATAAAATAGACTAGTATCTACAGGTATTTTATGCATTACTGAAATAAGTAACTTTTCCTTAATTTTTTCTATATTCATAAGCTGCATGATTCATCTGTGAGTTTTTTCATATTGTTGCAAATATCCAAAGAATTAAGATAATTGTTGAAAAAACTCTGTGTAAGTGGACCTGTGCAGTTCAAACTCATGTTGTTCAAGGGTCAACTTTATATTTAAAGTACAATCATGGGCATGGGTATTAAGTGATTGATAGGGTAAATATGGAAGGAGTGCAGGAATTGACAAAAGATGTCTTCCAGGTTTCTGACTTATGTACCTGGATAGAATGTGGAGATGTTAATGAAAAAAAAAAAAAGGTTGGTGGAGAAAAAGGACATGTGGGAAAGATAATACTTCATCGAAACTATGTAAAAATGAGATATCTAAGTCCTGAGACAAAAATTGTGTATGAAGTCTTAATTAAGCTCAGAAAAAAGTTGGAGTTGAATACAAAATTTTCAGACTATAGTCACGTAGATAATATTTAAAGCCATGAGAATAGATGAGACCATCCAGTGACAGGCTAAATCAAGAGGGTTCATTATCCCTTTCTGCTTTTTAGAAAACAGAGCAATCAGAGATTAACAAAACACTATGATGCTGTGAACAGAAGAGTTAAAGGAGAGAATGCAGTTATTTTTCCTTAGGCAGCATTTATTTATTCTGTTTTCAGATTTGCTTGGTATTTAATTTATTTCATCTATTTGATTGCTTCAGGACTGATAGAAATATTTTACAGTATTCTACTATCAGATTTCTACTAATTTTCCTGGTACTTCTAAATATTTTAAGAAATATTTTGAGGTTATGTTCTCTAGCCCAAAAGTAGTCATACTATTTTGTCCTTCCTCCTTTCTAATGGCAATTTCTGTATTCATACCCCCAATTTTTACCTCCTCTTTATGTTTATTCAGGGATTTCCATCAAAAGTTTCTCTGCTTTTATTTTGCTTCAACTTTCTCCTCAGCATTCAAACATGTTCAAGATTTCCTTGTCCTCAAAAAAAAAAAGCTAAAAATAAATTTATTCCACTGATCCCCCATCTTATTCCTGCTACTGCATAAGCTCTCTTCTCCTTTGCAGCCAAAATACTCCACTCTAACAAACACTCCTTCTTTCTCTTTTGCACTTACCCCTTTACTGTGTTTGCAATGTCACCTGTAATATTATTGTTGCAAAATCCAGTAGACACTTATCTTGCTTGACATCTCTGAAACAATTCATATCTTTTCATTTATCCACTTCCTTGTTCTCAATTCTATTAATATGCTAATGACTGTAGACTCTTTTTCCTGTGCAACCTCTTGTGAGCTTCAATTCCATATATTTAGAAAAACTGCACAATTTTTCCATTTGATTGAATATTTTAATTAAAAATTGAAAGGGACATCATTAGAGCCCTGTATTTACAATACCATCTTGCTTGGAAGATAATATCAAGAAGAAACATCAAAATTTATAATATGCAAATAACATTAGACAGACACTGGTGTTGGTTTATTTTTTAAAAATTTGTATTATAGATGCTATATAAAATTGCAAGTCAGTGTTTATTAATGAGGATGGGGATAACTTGAGTAACAGGTTTGAAATGATACGTGCTTGGGAGATAGCTTTGTGTTATTTTAGCAACTAATGTTCATTTCATTATGCTATCTTGAAAGAGACATTTATGTAAAATTAAATTTTACTTTGATTAATGGTTGCAAAATAACTTATTGTTGTGCTTCCTGGTTAATTGCACATTATTTGATAATGATGTCATCAGAGAATTATGAAATTCAGTAACTGTTCCCTGCAGAGTGATCACTAGTTTCAGCCTTTGAAAAGTGTATGATGCAGAATGCATGATCATTTTTCTTTTATTTTACTTATGAGTTTTAAATTCGTGCTGTAAACTTAACTTAAAGTTTGTGTGTCTATTTCAAAGCAAATTGAAAATGTTAAAAGAAATACAGGAATTCATCTCTCACTATTTGAATGGGGCTTGATTTTCCTCCTGATATGAATCTTTAATATAAAAATATGAATCTTTAATATAAAATGTACAAATAATTGTATTTCTTCTAAATGTTTCGTAACTCTTTATTTTTGATAGCTTATATTTTGACTACCCTCTGTTTTTTTTGTGGTTTACGTCTCACATTTCTAATTTTTAATGCATGCACAAATTAAATCTCAACATCTTTATATTTTTAAGCATGTTAATATTACTTTTTTCATATTCCAACTGTGGTTTTATTAATATTGTATATAAAATTCAAACAAAACAACTCTAGATAATATAACTACAGAGGACCAGGTTTTCTGTATATTATCACATTCACTACATTAAAACCACAAATATTGCCAAAAATGATATCTCCAATAAAATCATATTTGGAAGCAGCACAGTTTAAAGTAAAAGTTTGTTACATTTTGTATATATTAAAACTACTTCTTAAGGAGAAAACATTTTAATAAATAACTATAGTCAGTTCCCATACAATGGAGCAAAATATTTGATTAGAGGGATCTAGACACTGGTATTAAACTAAACATCATATAGGTACTTTTAATGCAGAGTATTTTTGAGACATGCAAAGCTTGACTTAAATAAATAACAGAAAACTTAAGTGTAAAACTAAAGGTCTAGGTCACAGTGATCACTTAATAAATGAGAGGTGTTATTCTTATTGATATAGCCATCACGATCATCATCACGTCATCATTTTAACTTGTCAATTACAAATATGAAATATTAACTATGCCAAGACATAATCTGTGAATTTATAATAAAAATCAGAATTATATATGGACTTAATTTATATATATGAAAATAATAGCATATTGCAAAAAATCCAGAATAAATACAGATTCATTAGGTCCATTAGGTATATACATTGTTCAGTCTTCTTTTGATTATATTCTATGCATATAATTTAAGATCCTATGGCATCAGAATTTTATTGCTCTTTTGGGTAATTTAGTTTCAACTCTTATCTGTATTAATTTTAGTCTAAAATATCAAAGTTGTACATTGTTATTTATTTTGACTGGTGAATGTAATGGCACATACTGTATTTCATTATTGTCACATAAGACTTAGATTTCATTTATAGGTGAAACAGATATTAAAACATTGGTATTTGAGACTATGAAGCCAAGAAATACATAACGATTAAATAAAATAAATAAATTACTACTTAGGGAATGCTCTTATGTATGGGAAGAAGACAGTTCTTTCTCTCCTTTATGTATCATTTACACAAATGACAAGAAAGATTCAATTAACACAACTCCACTGTGTAGACATTAAAAACCCAGGGAAGGAATGGTGTCACAGCAGCCTCTAACAAGAATAAAGCTTTTATTCCAGGAATAAATGTTTATTTTTATGTTTACTAGCATAATGATGAAATATTCATAACATGTGACCTGACAAGCCCACCTCAATTGTTGAATATTGTGTTTTCCAGGAAATGCATCTGTGTCCTCTGGCTTTATCAGTTATTGTTAGGGCATCAAAATTAAATAGCTTATTTCAAGTACCAAGACATAAATTAAAACCAGGATGATAGTCATAAATCACTGTAAAATCTCTCTTATTTGAAATTAAAGGCTGACTAGTAGTATAAGTAGCTTCAAAATTAAAGAATTTTTAATTTAGATTTTTACTAAAAATTATTGCAATTAAAAATAATTATTTAATATACATTTTGACATTCCCACCTCTACCCCAGCCCTCAACTACCCTTCCTAGCCTCTGGTAACCATCTTTCTACTCTCTATGTCCTTGGGTTCAATTGTTTTGATTTTTAGAAACTGCAGATAAGTAAGAACATGCAACATTTGTCTTTACGTGTTTGCCTTATTTCACTTAACATAATGATCTATCTCTCTCTCTCTATATATATATATACACACATATATATATCACATATTTTACATATATATATAATATATATTATGTACATATATTTAAAATAATAAACATATATAATAGAGTCCATTCCATATATATATATATATATACACACTCATGTACATACACACATACATACATATGTGTATGTATGTTTTTTTGTGTGTATTTATGAAATGGAATTTTATATATTTGTATGTGTAAATTTCCATTGCACTTTATTGCAGCAAATATCTGTGTTCACACACGCCACCTATAAACAGACATGCTGGATGAAATTAAATGTAGATCAGATATTAAAGGAAAATCACTGGACTTGAAGACATAGGCATAAAGGTTTTCAAAATAAATTACAGAGAGTGAAAAAGACAGATAAATGGGGCATTAGTAATCTGTGAGACAGTGGCCTGTTAAAACAATACCGAACATTCTAACATACATCTATTGGGGTCCCGAAAAGGGGGGGTGTTGTGGAGAGGCAAAAAAAAGTCTGAAATTTCTAAAAATCAAAATGAGAACCAAAGAAAATAAACATAAGTAAACTATGCCAAAGTATATGTAGCACCATGGAGGTATGCAGCTCAGATATCCTACATGAGAATTTGCTGGCATTGGGGGCCTATAGTTGGCTGGTAGCCTCCAGCCTGCACACCCCCAGGCTGCTTTCAGCCAATGGTGGAACATGGCTGGAGTTCCAGTGCCTATCCATTTCTGACTCAGGTGGAACTATTCCACTGAAAACCTTTCCTCAAGAACTCCATATTTATCTGATCAACATTCTCAGAACTGTGCTGAATGTTAGCCTCCTTCTACACAATTTATTCTCACAATTTATTCAGTAAATAATACTGATTCTATTAAAACTCTCCTCAAGATAAAAGAAGGGCAATTTTCTAAATATATCCTAACAGTCCAGCATTACCTAGCAATAAACCATAGACATATATGATAAAAAATATAATCAAAAATCCTTGGAGCATAAACACAAAAATTTCTAAGAAACTTTTAGGAATACATAAAAGCTAATATATCATGACCAAGTGAGGTATATCACAGAAAATAAAGTTGCCTTAACATTGAAAAAATCAGTGTAAGGTCCTACATTAACAGAACAAAAAATAAATCCAGAGATAAGGAAAAAGCATTTGATTATCAGAGAACTAGAACTAACACAGAATAACAAAACCAAATTGGGAATCCAGAGATTAAGAGACAATTTTTAAATTATCTGTAGAAAAAAGATGGCAAAATATCTCAGTATACTAGGAATAGGAGTGATCTGTCTTAATTTGACAAGCGCATTTGCAAAGTCTACAGATAAACTTGTGGTGAAAGAATGAATGTGTTCCTCCTAAAAAAAACAAGACAAGGATGTCTTTACCAACTACTTCTATTAAACATTGTACTGTAAGAGCTAGATAATACAAGAAAGTAATAAGAATAAATATATGTGTACACACTAGAATGAAAAAATTAAAAATTTTTTGATGACAAATTACCTATATAGAAAATACGAAAGAGTTAACAAAAAAGATTCAAGAACTAATCAATTAGTTTAGCAGAGTTGTAGGAGACAAGGTCAAAAAAACCTAACTGCATTTCCCATACTGGCAATACAAAATCAGAAATTGGAATTTAATAAACTAGAGCATTAGTAGTAGCATAAAATATGAAATACTCAGTGATAAATATAACAAAACTTGTACACTTCTTATATAATTAAAACTGTAAAAATATTGCTGAGAGATATGATAACTAAGTGGATAGATACACTATGTTTATGAAGAAGATTGAATTAAATTAACTAATTAATTGCATTTAATTTATAGACCAGTCATGGAAATTTAAAAGCAATTTTAAAAGCAAATTCCTAATTGTGGGAATTTAAGGGCCAAATTGGAGGGCTGACAAAACCTGGCTTTAAGACTTACTAAAAATCCACTATAGAGGAGCAAAATCTACTATAGAGCAAGACAGTGAAATAGAAAGCTCCATGGATAGTCCCCCCAGCAAGGACACCAATTCGACAACTACACAGAAAACATAACAAACAAACCAAAACAAACAAAAAGCCTTCGTAAGACCCAAAAATCAGGTGAGCACTCATAGTACCTGGTTTTAACTTCATATTGTGGAAAGAGGCACTGAAGAGATTAAAAAAAGAAAAAAGAAAAAAAAAGTTCTGAATCGCTGATGCCACACACCCCCTGCCCACCTCCATCCCTGGTGGTGTGTTGCCCAGAGCATCTCTGGGTGCTGGGGGAAGGAAAACACAGCTATTGTGAGGCAATGAACTCAGTGATGTCCCGTTAGAGCAGAAAGGAAAACCAGACCAATTCAGCTGATGCTGGCTCACAGATGGAAGGATCATTTAAACCAGCCCTAAAGAGAAGAGAATTGATGATCCCAGCAGTCCAAACTTGAATGCATGCAAACCTTGCCACGGATGGCTACAGGATTCTGAGTCTCCAAGTAAACTTGAAAGACAGTCTAGGGCATAAGGACCACAACTCCTGGTGCTGAACTAGGCTTAGAGACAGTGGACTAGGGGTGCACATGACACACTGAAACACCAGCTGGGGCAGCCAAGTGCTGGCATCAGCCCTCTCCTAATCCCAGGCTGCATAGTTTGCTGACAAAAAAAATATAATAAGACCCCATGCTTCCACTTGAAGGGAGCGGGGGAAAGATTGGGGAGGACTTTGTATTTTATCTTGGATACCAGCTCAGCCACAGCAGGATAGGGCACCAGTCAGAGTCGTGAGGCCTCCATTCCAGCTCTAGCTTCCAGACAAGATTTCTAGACACACCCTGGGTCAGAAGGGAACCCGCTTACTTGAAGGAAAAGATCCAATTCTGGCAGCATGCATCACCTGCTAACTAAAGAGCCCTTGAGCCCTGAATAGCCAGCAGTGACACCCAGGTACTACACTGAGGGCCTTGGGTGAGCCTCTGAGGCTTGATGGCTTCAGCTACTAGCATAGCCACAGAGAGATGATAGAGCACCAATCAAGCTCCTCGGATCCCCAATTCCAGGACTTGACTCTTGGTTGGCATTTCTGAACCTACCCTGGGCAAGAGGGGAGCCCACTGCCTTGAAAGGTGAGTCCCAGGTTAGGCGGCATTCATGGCAAGCTGACTTAAGGGACCTTGGGTCTTAAGGGAACATCAGAAGTGGTCTGGCAGTACTCCTTGTGGCCAGGGTTGGTGGTGGGTATGAAGTGAGGTTCTTCTGCCTTTGGAAAGAGGAGAGAAGAGTAGAAAGGATCTTGTGGTTTGAGTGCCAGCTCAACTGCAGCACAATAGAACACCAGGTAGACTTCTAAGGTTTTTGACTGTGGTCCCTGACTCCCAGGCAGCACTTCTGGACCCCCCAGGGGCTTGGGAAACCTCAGTGCCCTGAAGAGAAGGACATACGCCTTCAGGTCTCACCCAGCACAGTCATAGTGATGGTGACCACAGAAAGGGTTTCTGTCACTCCATCCCCAGCTTTAGGTGGCTTAGAACACACACAGAGAGAGAGAGAGAGAGAGAGAGAGAGAGAGAAAATGAGAGAGAAAGACTCTGTGTGTTTGGAGAAAGTAAAGAAAGAGAATAAGGGTCTCTGCCTGATAATCCAGATAATTATCTGGGGTCTTGTCCAAGACTATCGAGGCAGTACTTCTACAAGTCTGCAAGAACCACAGTGTAACTGGGCTTGGGGTGTCCTCTAAAGCAGATACAGCTTAGATCACATCCAAGTTTTTCAAATATCTGGAAAGCCTTTCCACTGGCTACAAATATGCTCAGACAGTGAAGACTACAATAAATACCTAACCTTTCATTGACCCAGCACTGAAGAACATCTATTAGCATCAATATCATACTGAAAAACATGACCTCACTATATAAACTAAACTAAATAAGGCACTAAGAACCAATCTGGGAAAAACAGAGATCTATAACCTTTATGGAAGAGAATTCAAAATAGCTGTACTGAGGAAACTCAAAGAAATTCAAGTTAACAGAGAGAAGGAATTCATAATTCTATTAGATACATTTAACAAAGAGATTGAAATAATTGAAAAGAATTAAGCAGAAATTCTGGAGCTGAAAAATGCAATTGGCATTATGAAGAATGCTTCGATGTCCTTTAGTAGTAGAATGGATCAAGCAAAAGAAAGAATTAGTGAGTTTCATGCAAGGTCCTTTAGTAGTAGAATGGATCAAGCAAAATAAAGAATTAGTGAGCTTCATGCAAGGCTATTTGAAAATATTTTTTCCGTCAGAGAAGACGGAAAAAAAAGAAACAATGAAGCATGCCTACAGGATCTAGGAAATAGCCTCAAAAGGTCAACTCTAAGTGTTATTGGCCTTAAAGAGGAGGTAGAGGAAGATGGGTAGAAAGTTTATTCAAAGGGATAATAACAGAGAACTTTCCAAACCTAGAAAAAGATAGCAATATCCAAGTACAAGAAAGCTTTAGAACACCAAACGGACCAACACAAAAAAGACTACCTCAAGACATTTAATAATCAAATTCCTAGAAATCAAGGATAAAGAAAGGATCATAAAAGCAGCAAGAGATTTTGAAACAAATAACATAAAATGGTGTTCCAATATGTGTAGAAGCAGACTTTACAGTGGAAACCTTACAGCCCAGGAGAGAGTGTCATGATTATATTTAAAGCACTGAAAACACTTTTACCTTAGTATAGTATATCTAGTGAGAATACCCTTCAAACATAAATGAGAAATAAGGACTTTCCAAAACAAACAAAAGTTGAGGGATTTCATCAACACCAGACCCACCCTACAAGAAATGCTAATGGTAGTACTTCAATCAGAAAGAAAAAAAATACATTAATGAGCAATGAATAATCACCTGAGTGTACAAAACTCACTGGCAATAACAAGGACACAGAAAAACATAGAATATTATAACCCTGTAACTGTGGTGTGTAAACTACTCTTGTTCTAAGTAGAAAGACTAAACAATGAACCAATAAAAAATAATAGCTACAATGTTAAAGACATAGTCAATGCAATACGATATAAATCGAAATAATAAGAGTTAGAAAGCATGGGATAAAATTAAGGTGTAAAGTTTTTATTAGTTTCCTTTTTACTTGTTTGTTTATGCAAATAGTGCTTAGTTGTTATTGAGTTAAAAAGAGTGGGTTTATTGCAGCACTATTCACAATAGCAAAGACTTGGAACCAACCCAAATGTCCAACAATGATTGATAGACTGGATTAAGAAAATGTGGCACATATACACTATGGAATACTATGCAGCCATAAAAAAGGATGAGTTCATGTCCTTTGTAGGGACATGGATGAAGCTGGAAACCATCATTCTCAGCAAACTATCACAAGGACAAAAAACCACCACATGTTCTCACTCATAGGTGGGAATTGAACAATTATAACCCATGGACACATCACACACCAGGGACTCTTGTGGGGTGGGGGGAGGGGGGAGAGATAGCATTAGGAGATATACCTCGTGCTAAATGACGAGTTAATGGGTGCAGCACACCAGCATGGCACATGTATACATATGTAACAAACCTGCACGTTGTGCACATGTACCCTAAAACTTAAAGTATAATAATAAAAAAAAAGAATGGGTTATGAGATGGTGTCTACAAGCCTCCTGGTAACCTCAAACCAAAAAACATGTAATGAATACACAAAAAATAAAAACAAGAAATTAAATCATATTACCAGAGAAAATCACCTTCACTAGAGGAAGTGAGGAAGGAAAGAAACGAGGAGAAGACCACAAAACAACCAGAAAACAGGCAACAAAATGGCAAGAGTAATTCCTTACTTATCAAAAATTACATTAAGTGTAAATTGACTAAACTGTCCAATTAAAAGACGTAGACAGGCTGAACGCGTGAAAAAACAAGCTCTATTCGTCTGTTGTCTATAAGAAACACACTTCACCTATAAAGGCACACATAGACTGAAAATAGAGGAATGGAAAAAGATATTCCATGCCAATGGAAACCAAAAAAAGAGCAGGAGTTGCAATACTTGTATCAGACAAAATAGATTTCAAGACAAAAACCATAAGAAGACACAAAGATCACTATGCAATGATAAAAGGGTCAATTCAGTCAGAGGATATAACAATTTTAAATATATATTCACCCAACACTGGAGTACCTAGATATATAAAGAAATATTGTTAGTACTGAAGACAGAGATACATCCCGATACAATAAAAGCTGGAGACTTCAACACCCCACATTCAGCATTGGGCAGATCATTCAGACAGAAAATGAACAAAGAAACATCAGACTTAATCTGCACTATCGACCTAATAGATCTAATAGATATTTACAGAATATTTTATATAAAAGCCAAGGAATACATATTCTTTTCTTCAGCACATGAATCATTCTCAAGGATAGACCATATGTTAGGCCAAAAAGCAAGTCTTAAAACATTAAAAAATTGAAATAATATCAAGCATCTTCTCTGACTACAAAGAATAAGAGTAGAAATTAATAACAAGAGAAATTTTGGAAACAATACAAATACATGGAAATCAAACAATATGCTCTTGAATAATCAGTGGGTCAAGAAAGAAATTAAGAAAAAAATTGAAAAATTTCTTGAAACAAACATTAATAGTATAAATACAACATACCAAAACTTATGGGATACAGCAAAAGCAGCACAAAGAAGGGAGTTTATAGCTGTAAGTGCCATGTAAAATAAGAGCATAGACTTCAAATAAAAAATCTGATGAGTATCTTAAAGAATTAGAAAAGCAAGAGCAAGTGAACCCCAAAATTGGTGGAAGAAAAGCAATAGTAAAGACCAGAGAAGAAATAAAATTGAAATAAAGAAAATAATATAAAAGATCAATGAAACAAAAAGTTGTTTTTCTGAAAACTTAAAATTGACAAAGTTTAGCCAGAAAAAAAAATAGAGAAGATCTAACTAAATAAAACGTCATTCTCAGCAAACTATCGCAAGGACAAAAAACCAAACACCGCATGTTCTCACTCATAGGTGGGAATTGAACAATGAGAACACATGGACACAGGAAGGGGAACGTCACACACCGGGGCCTGTTGTGGGGTGGGTGGAGGGGGGAGGGATAGCATTAAGAGATATACCTAATGTTAAATGACGAGTTAATGGGTGCAGCACACCAACATGGCACATGTATACATATGTAACTAACCTGCACGTTGTGCACATGTACCCTAAAACTTAAAGTATAATAAAAAATAAATCAGAAATGAAAAAAATGAGACATTACAACTGATACTGTAGAAATTCAAAGGATTATTAGTGGTTATTGTGAGCAACCATCTTCCAACAAATTCTAAAAATTAGAAAAAATGAACTCCTAGATACATGCCACCTACCAAGATTGAACCAGGAAGAAATAAAAAACCTGAGCAGAACAAAAACAAGTAATTAGGTTGAAGCCATAATAATCTTCCAGTAATGGAAAGCCTGGGACCTGGTAGCTTCACTGCTGAATTCTATCAAACATTTAAAGAAGAACTAACACTAATCTTACTCAAACTATTCCAAAAAGATAGGAGAAGGAAATACTTCCAAACTAATTTTACAGGGCCAGTATTACCCTGATACAAAAACCAGACAAAGATACATTAAAAAAATGAAAAACAACACTACAGGCCAATATCTCTGATAAATATCGATGAAAAAATTCTCAACACAATACTAGCAAACAAAATTCAGCAGCACTTTAGAAAGATAATTTATCATGACCAAATGGGATTTATCCCTGTGGTGCAAGAATAGGTCCATACACTCAAATCCATATATGTAATACATCACATCAACAATAAAGGATAAAACCATATGGTTATTTCAATGATGATGAAAATTATTTGATAAAATTCAACATCCTTATATAACAAAAACTCCCAAAAACTGTGTATAAAAGGAACATAGCTCAACACAATAAAAGCCATACATGACAGACCCCTACCTAGTATCATAATAAATGGGGGAGAACTGAAAGCCTTTTATCTAAGATCTGGAACATAACAGGGATGCCCTGTCACCATTGTTATTGAACATATTACTGGAACTCCTAGCCAGAGCAATCAGACAAGAGAAAGAAATAAAGGGTATCCAAATTGGAAAGGAAGAAATTAAACTATCATTGTTTGCAGATGACATGATCTTATAGTTGGGAAAACCTAAAGACTCCACCAAAAAACTATTAGAATTGATAAACAAATCAGTAACATTTCAGAATACAAAATTCAGAAGCATTTCTATATGGCAACAGTGAACAATGTGAAAAATAAGTTTAAAACTAGTGTCACATACAATAGCCACACATAAAATTAAATACCTACAAATTAACCAAAGAAGTGAAAGATCTAGAATGAAAACTATGAAACACTGATGGAAAAAATTGAAGAGGACACCAAAAAAATGAAAAAACTGTTCCATGTTCATGGATTGTTAAGATGTCCATACTACCCAAGCAATCTATAGATTCAAGGCAATCCCTACCAAAACACCAATGACATTCTTCAGAGAGAAAAAACAAACTAGTCTAAAATTTATATGGAATCACAAAAGACTCAGAATAGCCAAAGCTATCCTAAGTGAAAAGAACAAAACTGGAGGAATCACATTACCTGACTTCAAATTATACAACAGAGCTATAGTAACCAAAAAAGCATGATACTGGCATAAAAACAGAGATATAGACCAATGGAACAGAATAGAGAACCCAGAAACAAATCTACAGACCTTCAGTGTGATAGTTAATACTGAGTGTCAACTTGATTGGATTGAGGGATACCAAGTTTTAATCCTGGGTGTGTCTGTGTGGGTGTTGCCAAAATAGATTAATATTTGAGTCAGTGGTTTGGGGAAGGCAGATCCACCCTTAATCTGGTGGGCACAATCTAATCAGCTTCCAACAAATATAAAGCCGACAGAAAAACCTGAAAAGGAGAGATGGGCCTAGCCTCCCCGTCTTCATCTTTCTCCAGTGCTGGATGCTTCCTGCCCTCGGACATTGGACTCCAAGTTCTTCAGTTTTGTAACTTGGAGTGACTCTCCTTGCTCCTCCACTTGCAGACAGCCTATTGTGGAACCCTGTGATGGTGTAAGTTAATACTTAATAAACTCATATGTGTGTGTGTGTGTGTGTGTGTGTGTGTATCTTATTAGTTCCGTTCCTCTAAGAGAACCCTGACTAATACAATGAACTCATTTTTGATAAAGGTGCCAAGAACATACACGGAGGAAAAGACAGTTTCTTCAATAAATGCTGAGATAACTGGATATGCATATGCAGAAGAATGAAACTAGACCCCTGTCTCTAGCCATATACCAAAATCAAATCAAAATAGGTTAACATTTATGCCTATTGTTCCATTATTGGAACACTAAGCATGTGGGAGTGATTTATATCCTACTGCTCAAGATCATCGCCAGTCTGATTTTTCACATATGTCTGCCTCCTGAGGGTACATGTTATCACATGGTGCACAGAGTTAGTCACTGCTGAAGACACTGGCATGCTGGGAGCTTGACAAAAAGTGATGTGAGTTTTTGGAAACATTTTTGAGGAAGTATCCAAAGACAGGTACGTAAAACTTTACTGCATTACCTCTTACATAGTATTTTTTTATTACTTCTCTACTAGTTATGCTATTGTGCTGTAAAAAGAAAATACCGAAATTATTATTGTTGCATTAGTTATGGGTTTGAGATTTTGCATGTTCCATTTTTGGAACACTAGGCAAAATGACTACCACTGGGACTAATAATACTTTGTTTTTCCGTTTTAGTCCCAAGATGCCTCAAACTCTAAGTTTACATGAAATAACTGACCTTTTAGAGACAGATGACATCATAGAAGCAAGTGCTAGAGTGATACAACCACCTGAAAATGCTACAACACCTGTTTCTGATGAGGACTCAGAAGATGAAGAAGGTGTAATAATAAATAATCTGCCAGGTTCTTTGTTGTTTGCAACTGCATAACTTATTCAAGATGGCTCGGATGCTGAATCTGACTCAGATGATCCCTCATATGCACATAATGATGACTCTCCTGGCGAAGTTCCATCTACCTCCACTGTGCAGCAACCTCCACCATCGAGGAGGAGGAAAGTGACAAAAGTTGTTTTCAAATGGCAAAACGCTGATCTAACACACACCCCCTAGCAGGTAGAGTTACAGAACCACCAAAAGGTTTCTTTAGCAAAATGAGAACTCCCACAGAACTTCTTGAACTTTTTCTTGATGAAAAGTTCTTTGAATTCATTGTCAAGTTCTCCAACTTATATGCTGGAAGTAAGGGTGTACATCTTGGCTTGACTAGCTCCAAATTCAAATGTTTTCTGGGAATTATTTTTCTGAGTGCCTATGTCTCAGCTCCTAGAAGGCGTATGTTTTGTAAACAAAGAACAGATGCGCATAATATACTGGTGAGTGCTGCCATGAGATGTGACCGCTTTGAAACTATATTTTCTAATTTGGATGTTGCTGACAATGCAAATTTGGATCCAATGGACAAGTTTTCCAAGTTACAACCTCTCATAAGCAAACTCAATGAGAGATGTATGAAATTTGTTCCAAATGAAACATATTTCAGCTTTGATGAATCCACGTTTCCTTATTTTGGTCGTCACAGGTGTGAACAATTTATTGGGGGAAAGCCCATTCAATTTGGCTGTAAGTTTTGGTGTGGTGCCACATGTCTGGGCTGCATTTGCTGGTTTTAGCCATATCAGGGTAAAAACCAAATACTAAACATGAGGAATACGGTGTCGGTGCATCATTCACCCTTCAGTTTAGAGAGGCACTTATAGAGGCACACCCTGGACAATACCATTTTATATTCGATAACTTTTTTACCAGTATTGCACTTCTTGATAAGGTCAGTTCAATGGGACATCAGGCAACAGGTACAGTGAGAAATGATAGCACTGACAAAGCTCCACTGGAATAGGATATAGTGCTAAAGAAAAAAGAAAGAGGCACATTTGATTATCTAATTGATGGCAAAGGCAATATTGCCTGCAGATGGAATGATAACAGTGTTGTCACTTTTGCCTCATCTGGTGCTGGTATCGATCACCTGTGTCTTGTCAGTTACTATTCCTGGAAACAGAAAAAGAAGACCCAAGTTCTGCAGCCAAACATGAACAAAGTGTATAACTGGTTCATGGGAGGCATAGACAGAGCTGATAAAAACTTCGATAAGTATCAGGCAGCAATCCATGGAAAGAACTGGTATTCGAGCTCTCTTGTTCTGTTTCAAATTGGTCTTACAAAATGCTTGGTAATTGCATAAAACGTGATGAGAAGCCAGTGGATTTTCTGGAGTGTCGTTGGCGTGTGGTATGTCATTATCTGCAGACCCATGGTCATCCTCCAGAACCTGGCCAAAAAGGAAGACCTTCTCAGAAGCATAACATTGACTCACATTATGATGGCATAAATCACATGATAGTCAAACAGGGAAAGCAAACGCGATGTGCTGAATGTCATAAGAACACCACTTTTCGATGTGAAAAATGTAATGTTGCTTTACATTTGAAGTGTTCTGTTGAATATCACACTGAGTAGCAGGTGTCATGAGACAAAAAAAAAAATTATATGTTATGTACAAGGTAGCAGTGATTTTGCCTAGCGTTCCATTTTTGGAACACCACATAACTCAACAATGGAACATAATATTTTTTTTCTCTTCAAATTCTTGTCCCTTGAATTTTTCTAGGAAATATATATGAATTTCATGGCCAAATTCAGAAAACTTCAACCTCAGCATAAACGAGTTAAAGACTTAAACCTAAGACCTCAAACTGCAAGAGAGTTTCCTCAAACTACTTTGGGGAAAATCTCCAGGACATTGGTCTGGGAAAAGATTTCTTGAACAATACCCCACAAGCACAAGCAGCCAACACAATAATGAACAAATGGGATCACATCAAGTTAAAAAGCTTCTGAGCAGCACAGGAAACAATTAACAAAGTGAAGAGACAACCTAAAGAATGAGAGAAAATATTTGCAAACTACCCATCTGACAAGGGATTAATAATCAGAATATATAGGGAGCTCAAACAACTCTACAGGAAAAAATCCAATAATCCTATCGAAAATGGGCAAAATGTTTGCATAGAAATTTCTCAAAAGAAGACATACAAATGGCA
Source organism: Homo sapiens (assembly GCF_000001405.40). NCBI lineage: Eukaryota > Metazoa > Chordata > Mammalia > Primates > Hominidae > Homo > Homo sapiens. The sequence continues at coordinate 61,230,574 of NC_000012.12, read as the reverse complement.
AAAAGCCATATGAAAGTTGCTCAACATCATTGATAATCAGAGAAATGCTGATCAAAACTAAAATGAGATATGATCTCACCCCAGTTAAAAAGGTTTATATCCAAAAGACAGTCAATAACAAATGCTGGCTAGGATGTGGAGAAAAGGGAACCCATGTACACTGTTGGTGGGAATAAAAATGAGCACAACCACTGTGAAGAACAGTTTGGAAGTTTCTCAGAAAACTCACAATAGAGCAACCATATGATGCTTCAATCCCACTGCTGGGTATACACCCAAAAGGAAGGAAATCAGTACGTCAATGAGATATCTGCACTCCTATGTTTGTTGCAGCACTGTTAATAATAGCTGTGATTTGAAAGCAACCCAAGTGTCCATCAAAAGATTAATAGATAAAGAAAATGTGGTACATATACACAATGGAGTACTATTCAGCCACGAAAATGGATGAGATCAAATTATTCACAGCTACATGAATGGAACTGGAGATCACCATGCTGAGCTTAATAAGCCAGGCACAGAAAGACAAATATTACATGTTCTCAATTAGTAGCGGGATCCAAAAATCAAAACAATTGAATTAATAAACATAGAGAGTAGAAGGACAGCAGAGGGGTGAAAGGGATAATGAGGTGGAGGTAGTGGTGGAAATGGTTAGTAGGTACAAAAAAATAGAAAGAATGAATAACACCTACTATTGATAGCTCAGTAAGGTGACTATACTCAATAATAACTTAATTGTATATTTTGAAATAACGTAATTGGATCGCTTGTAACTTAAAGGTTAAATGCTTCAGGAAATGGTTACCCCATTATTCATGATGTGCTTATTTTGTATTTCTTGTAATTATCAAAACATTTCACATACTTCACATATATATACATTTACTATTTACCCACAAAATTATAAAAATAAAAATGTTAAAAATACTATAATCAAGTTTATCCATGTAAGATGTACATATTGATCAAAAGTGAATAGAAAATCAAGAAAGAAACTGAACACATATATGGTCAACTGATTTTAAGCAATAGGAATTCCCAGGCAATGCACTGGAAAAAAATGTATAGTTTTTTCCACAATTTGTGATGAAACAGTTGAATAAAGAATATATAAACCTTGTCGTTTCCACAAATAAAACAATCAAATCAAAATAGAATGTAAATTAGTATCAGAAAAATATTAAGCTAGGGAATAATTTCTTATGTACAATACAATAAGCATTAACGATAAGAGAAAAATTGACAATTTGGACTTGATACAATTTTAAAATGTTTATTTCTTGCACTCTTGAAACCAAGCTGAAGTTATTGAACATTCTCAGGCACTGATAATTGTTAGGATTTTGCATGTAAAAACTAGCCCCAGCCCTGAGCCAAATTATTTAAACCCTCATATAAACTCTCACCCATTCCCCTTGCAATGGATATATCTGGGTAGGACACCTTTCTTGCAGTGTGTTGTGAGTATGCTGTAGCCCTCTGCATGTAATTTCTCCTAATAAATACGTTGAATTGATTATCATAGCATTTAGTGCTTCTTTCTTTGGAATCCTAACTGGTTCCATCTCTGGATACTTTGGTGTAGTCCCTTGTGGGAACTACCCTGCAGCCACTTTTGCGTCAACTGCAGCTGAGGGTTCAGCTGAGCAGAACAGTTAGACATATATCTATGCCAAGACTAGTAATTCTCTAAGTATTTCCATAAAGGGAAAAAAAGAAAAATTCTTACAAAGAACTGTACTTCAGTAATTATAGCAGCTTTACTTATAACAAATTAAAACTGGCAACCAATAAACAAGTGAATGGATGATGCCAATCAACAAGTGAATGTCAATTAACATGTAAATTTATAAAGGAATATAGGGATGCCCATACAAAGGAATAATACTCAAGAACAAACTACTAATGCATGCCACAACATAGATGAATCTTAGAAGCAGTATAAGTGAAAGAAGCCAGGCACAGTCACCTATGGACTGTATGATTCTATTTATGTGGAATTCTTTTTTTTTCTTTAAGCTTTTTTCTATTTTATTTTTATTTTATTTTACTTTATTTTAGGTTGGGATACATGTGCAGGTTTGTTATATAGGTAAGCCCGTGTCACGGGGGTTTGTTGTACATTTTATTTCATCCCCCGGTACTAAGCCTAGTAGTAAATAGTTATTTTTTCTGATCTCCTCCTTCTCCCAACCTCGATCCCCAAGTAGGCCCCAGTGTCTGTTGCTCCCCTCTATGTGTCCATATGTTCTCATTATTTAGCTCCCACTTATAAGTAAGAACCTGGGGTATTTGGTTTTCTGTTTCTGCATTTGTTTGCTAAGGATGATTCTATTCATATGGAATTCTAGAGGAGGCAAAGCTATAGGGACCAATTTCAGATTGACAGTTGCTAAACCAGATTATGGGAAAATAATTTTACAAGAGGCATGATACATATTTTTATGGCTGATGGAAATGCTCTATATCTTGATTGTGATGATTACATGATAATACACATTTGTCAAAACACATATAATTGTTTCCTTAAACTTGGTGAATTTAAATCCATGTAAATTATGCCTCAAAATGGTGATTAAAAAGAAATATAAGTTCTGGTTCATACATAGTAGGTGGTGAAAATATAAAAATCAGTAGTATTAGTTGTTTCTTGTAAGTACTAATTACGTTAAAGGTGCTTAACAAATAAAAAGAGATAATAAAGTCTATATTTAATTGTTATATTTTTATAAATATATGTAATTATATCCATAAATGTTTGCAATAAGCGAAATTAAATATTCTGAAAATTTATTTTGCACTTGATAAAATGTTGACTATATTGATGATAGATGATTGTATTGTAAAAAATGTCATATTAAAATACTACCTCATCATATGTTGTTTTTTTTTTTTTGAGACGGAGTCTCGCACTGTCACTCAGGCTGGACTGCAGTGGTGTGATCTCGGCTCACTGCAAACTCTGCCCCCGGGTTCACGCCGTTCTCCTGCCTCAGCCTCCCAAGTAGCTGGGACTACAGGTGCCCGCCACCACGCGCCACTAATTTTTTGTATTTTTAGTAGAGACGGGGTTCCATCGTGTTAGCCATGATAGTCTTGATCTCCTGACCTCATGATCCGCCTGCCTCGGCCTCCCAAAGTGCTGGGTTACAGGCGTGAGCCACGGTGCCCGGCCATATGCTGTTATTTTCTAAAGAAGTTATTTACAATCGTGGTCATTATTACATTACATGTAATCAGAGCTATATATTTAACAATTATTGATATAATAAAATTATAAAAGAAAATAAAAATCTTACTTGCATAATACTTTGTGCTATGTGTCATTTAGTTATTTTATTCTATACCATTAACTTGATACACAGAGAAAAGATGTACATATAAAATTGAAGGAAAAACATATCTACATCATATATGTATGTGTGTGTGTGCTTGTTTGCACATACCAGAGAGATAAGGAAGAGTTAAGTTATGACTCTTTTAAGAGTTAATAGTTAACAAATTTATGATCCAGAGTGGTATTTCTAAACATTATCCAGGGTCCAGGAACCAATTTCACTGGAATCATTTGAGGTGCTAGAGAAAGAAATACACCTTAGCCAACCTTCTGCACTGTACCTTTGATCTACTGAATCATTGTCTCTTTGAGTAAAGCAAAATTTTTTTTTAAAGAAAGAAAATTATAATGTCCACTAAAGTTTTGTAATCCTTAATTTATCTTGATATATTGTTTTATTTTCTATGTACCTTATTTTCATGTAACTTTCTATTTATTTTGGCTTTCAATAATTGTTCTGTAGTTTTCATAGGTTTTCACATGTACTATCTAATATTATCTATATAGCAATGAGATAAATAGTAATTTCTTAGCTCTCTTTTATTGCCAGAAAACATAACAACATAAATTTTATTGATGATATTTTTCTGGTTGAGTAGATCATTAAAGCTGGTTGAAAGAAATTGATTCCTGTTAACAGATTCTGAGGAAAGCACAAGCTGTCGTTCCTTACTTCCACTCCAATATCAAAAATAATAGGAAACATTACTTGAGATTGTATTATTTGGAAATAGCTAGATACAACCTGGGGGTTAATTTGTCTTGTATCATTTTTTTTTATAATTCTCCAAATTGATATAGACCCATAATTGTTTGGGTTCCAAAAAACAAATATTTCAATTAGGCCCCCAAATAGAAGCTTTTGACATATATTTTCTTCTGTCAACTTCGGTTTCCTGAGAAAATTGGAATTTATTGTCTGAAAAAATACAATTCCCGGAATCATACTAACACCAATGATTTTTCTGTTATGAATCAACAAGTTATATACACATACCTTTATATGTTCACATACAGAAAATATTTATTTTATTTAAATTATTTTTGTGTGGTAATAATAAAACTCAGTGTTCTGTAGAGCTTTAGGCTTTACAAAAGGGATGCATTCATATATATTAACTAATTTAATTCTTATAATAATTTTATAAAGTGGTATAATTATCACCATTTTAATGAATGTCTGAGGCTCAGAGTTGAAGTGACTTCTTTAAGGCAATGGTGCAGGTAAATAATATGACTAATTATTGAGTCTTCTTTTTAATGATTATATAATTGATTAAACTTTGTTGGCTGCAAGTCTGTCATTACTTTACATCTTATTTTAGAAATTGTATCCAACCTCTGATTTCTATTATTTTCCAAAAAATAGGAGAATGTTTTTGGCTCTCATATAACACAGTCAATTACTATTTTATAACATGGCCAGTGCTTAGTGTTAAAATATCATCTAGAAGACTCTACTAAATATAAAATGGAACTTAAAGAACTTGACTCATTGTTTCCTGATATAATGATTCTAACACGGATTTTCATTCCATTTTTTTTCCATAGTATAGATAAATTCTGAGATTGCACTAATGAGGGAATTTTGAGTTTACAAGATAAATAAATTAGATGTTTATGTCTAATTGCATCCTTAAAATATAAACTAGGTAAACAAATGTATCTGAGTGGAAGAAATTATTTATTAAAATATAAGAATTAAATACCAATAACGAAATAGGATAAACTATTATCATGCTTGGACCTTTAAAAACTTTTTCTTCATTTTAAGTGATATATAGACTTCAGAAAGAAGTCCTGTTGCTATTTATTTGTAAACACATATTCAATATTTCAGACATGTTATTCTGAGCCCATTTTAAGCAGAATTACTAACTGGCAGTATCTATCTGAGAAACACAGTCTGTCTCCATCGATGAGTTTGCTTGCAACTGAAATAAGCCACCTTTTGATGACTAATTTTAAGAATAAAAAATGAAGTATACATAATTCTGTTTCTCTGCTACATGCATGAGTACACACACACACACACAAACACACATACACACAGAAAGAGAGAGGTTAATTTTTAGAGGCTTGACTTGGTAAGAAATTATTCAACTTTTGGATAGTTGACACGTAAATTAATTTTAAAAACCTAGTCCTGTTAACTGCCAGCCAATGTAGAGGACCAGGAAAAAATTCTTATCAGTGGATTTATTACAGAACTTTTCTCCAATTGTGTGATGTGCTTAACTGCACTCATCAATTTGAACACAGGTATAGGAGAGGGAAGAGAAGGGCTTATCCAGGGTTTGGAATTTTTGTCAGTGGATATGGCCTGAGGACAGTAGGTAAAGAAAGTTTAAGATATCTTTAGGATACTGTCTGTCTGAAATAATATAACATTACCTCTAAACTGAAATGGAGAAGGATTTAAGGCTGGAGGGCCTCATGGATTTTTAAATTTAGAGATGATAAATGTGGGGGAAGATCCAATGAGGCTAAGCAACATAGGTATGTAAAGGAAGGATTTTCAGAGGGGCATGCCTCAATTCATAATTTTAGAGATGAAACTGTATGTGTATGTGTGATGTGCCTAAGGATGTAAATGGTTTAGGTGCAGTGCAGAAATTATTCAATGAATTACTCAGTACATAACATTTCATCAAGAGTAAGTGGGGAGAACACACTGAGAGCCAAACGCAAATAGCAAAATGACCTACAAAGAGACTTAGACTCCCACACAATAATAATGGGAGACTTTAACACCCAACTGTCAACATTAGACAGATCAACAAGACAGAAAGTTAACAAGGATACCCAGGAAGTGAACTCAGCTCTGCACCAAGTGGACCTAATAGAAACCTACAGAACTCTCCACCTCAAATCAACAGAATATACATTTTTTTCAGCACCACACCACACCTATTCCAAAATTGACCACATAGTTGGAAGGAAAGCTCTCCTCAGCAAATGTGAAAGAACAGAAATCATAACAAACTGTCTCTCAGACCACAGTGCAATCAAACTAGAACTCAGGATTAAGAAACTCACTCAAAACCACTCAAGTACATGGAAACTGAACAACCTGCTCCTGAATGACTACTGGGTACATAACGAAATGAAGGCAGAAATAAAGATGCTCTTTCAAACTAATGAGAACAAAGACACAACATACCAGAATCTCTGGGACACATTCAAAGCAGTGTGTAGAGGGAAATTTATTGCACTAAATGCCTACAAGAGAAAGCAGGAAAGATGCAAAATTGACACCCTAACATCACAATTAAAAGAACTAGAAAAGCAAGAGCAAACACATTCAAAAGCTAGCAGAAGGCAAGAAATAACTAAAATCAGAGCAGAACTGAAGGAAACAGAGACACAAAAAACCCTTCAAACAATTAATGAATCCAGGAGCTGGTTTTTTGAAAGGATCAACAAAATCGATAGACCGCTAGCAAGACTAATAAAAAAAGAGAGAAGAATCGAATAGACACAATAAAAAATGATAAAGGGGATATCACCACTGATCCCACAGAAATACAAACTACCATCAGAGAATACTACAAACACCTCTACGCAAATAAACTAGAAAATCTAGAAGAAATGGATAAGTTCCTCGACACATACACTCTCCAAAGACTAAACAAGGAAGAAGTTGAATCTCTGAATAGACCAATAACAGGATCTGAAATTGAGGCAATCATCAATAGCTTGCCAACCAAAAAGAGTCCAGGACCAGATGGATTCACAGCTGAATTCTACCAGAGGTACAAGGAGGAACTGGTACCATTCCTTCTGAAACCATTCCAATCAATAGAAAAAGAGGGCATCCTCCCTAACTCATTTTAGGAGGCCAGCATCATCCTGATACCAAAGCCGGGCAGAGACACAACCAAAAAAGACAATTTTAGACCAATATCCTTGATGAACATTGATGCAAAAATCCTCAATAAAATACTGGCAAATCGAATCCAGCAGCACATCAAAAAGCTTATCCACCATGATCAAGTGGGCTTCATCCCTGGGATGCAAGGCTGGTTCAATATACGCAAATCAATAAATGTAATCCAGCATATAAATAGAATCAAAGACAAAAACCACATGATTATCTCAATAGATGCCGAAAAGGCCTTTGACAAAATTCAACAACCCTTCATGCTAAAAACTCTCAATAAATTAGGTATTGATGAAACATATCTCAAAATAATAGGAGCCATCTATGACACACCCACAGCCAATATCATACTGAATGGGCAAAAACTGGAAGCATTCCCTTTGAAAACTGGCACAAGACAGGGATGCCCTCTCTCACCACTCCTACTCAACATAGTGTTGGAAGTTCTGGCCAGGGCAATTAGTCAGGAGAAGGAAATAAAGGGTATTCAATTAGGAAAAGAGGAAGTCAAATTGTCCCTGTTTGCAGACGACATGATTGTATATCTAGAAAACCCCATTGTCTCAACCCAAAATCTCCTTAAGCTGATAAGCAACTTCAGCAAAGTCTCAGGATACAAAATCAATGTACAAAAATCACAAGCATTCTTATACACCAATAACAGACAGAGACCCAAATCATGAGTGAACTCCCATTCACAATTGCTTCAAAGAAAATAAAATACTTAGGAATCCAACTTAGAAGGGACGTGAAGGACCTCTTCAAGGAGAACTACAAACCACTGCTCAATGAAATAAAAGAGGATACAAACAAATGGAAGAACATTCCATGCTCATGGGTAGGAAGAATCAATATCGTGAAAATGGCCATACTGCCCAAGGTAATTTATAGATTCAATGCCATCCCCAACAAGCTACCAATGACTTTCTTCACAGAATTGGAAAAAACTACTTTCAAGTTCATATGGAACCAAAAAAGAGCCCGCATCGCCAAGTCAATCCTAAGCCAAAAGAACAAAGCTGGAGGCATCACACTACCTGACTTCAAACTATACTACAAGGCTACAGTCACCAAAACAGCATGGTACTGGTACCAAAACAGAGATATAGATCAATGGAACAGAACAGAGCCCTCAGAAATAATGCTGCGTATCTACAACTATGTGATCTTTGACAAACCTGAGAAAAACAAGCGATGGGGAAAGGATTCCCTATTTAATAAATGGTGCCTGGAAAACTGGCTAGCCATGTGTAGAAAGCTGAAACTGGATCCCTTCCTTACACCTTATACAAAAATTAATTCAAGATGGATTAAAGACTTAAACGTTAGACCTAAAACCATAAAAGCCCTAGAAGAAAACCTAGGCATTACCATTCAGGACATAGGCATGGGCAAGGACTTCATGTCTAGAACACCAAAGCAATGGCAACAAAAGCCAAAAGTGACAAATGGGATCTAATTAAACTAAAGAGCTTCTGCACAGCAAAAGAAACTACCATCAGAGTGAACAGACAACCTACAGAATGGGAGAAAATTTTTGCAACCTACTCATCTGACAAAGGGCTAATATCCAGAATCTACAATGAACTCAAACAAATGTACAAGAAAAAAACAAACAACCCCATCGAAAAGTGGGCAAAGTATATGAACAGACACTTCTCAAAAGAAGACATTTATGCAGCCAAAAGACACATGAAAAAATGCTCACCATCACTGGCCATCAGAGAAATGCAAATCAAAACCACAATGAGATACCATCTCACACCAGTTAGAATGGCAATCATTAAAAAGTCAGGAAACAACAGGTGCTGGAGAGGATGTGGAGAAACAGGAACACTTTTACACTGTTGGTGGGACGTTAAACTAGTTCAACCATTGTGGAAGTCGGTGTGGCGATTCCTCAGGGATCTAGAACTAGAAATACCATTTGACCCAGCCATCCCAATACTGGGTATATACCCAAAGGTCTATAAATCATGCTGCTACAAAGACACATGCACACATATATTTATTGTGGCACTATTCACAATAGCAAAGACTTGGAACCAAGCCAAATGTCCAACAATGATAGACTGGATTAAGAAAATGTGGCACATATACACCATGGAATACTATGCAGCCATAAAAAATGATGAGTTCATGTCCTTTGTAGGGACATGGATGAAATTGGAAATCATCATTCTCAGTAAACTATTGTGAGGACAAAAAACCAAACACCACATGTTCTCACTCATAGATGGGAATTGAACAATGAGAACACATGGACACAGGAAGGGGAACATCACACTCTGAGGACTGTTGTGGGGTGAGGGGTGGGGGAGGGATAGCATTAGGAGATATACCTAATGCTAAATGACGAGTTAATGGGTGCAGCACAGCAGCATGGCACATGTATACATATGTAACTAACCAGCACATTGTGCACATGTACCCTAAAACTTAAAGTATAATAATAATAAAATATAAAAAAGAAACAAAAATAAATAAATAAAAAGTGCCGCAAAAAAAAAAAAGACATAACAATGAGAAGTACTAGTTAGATGGTGATAGACACAAGGGATAAAAGCCTCTGAAAGGTAGAGATTTTCACCAGAAGCTGAGGGAGTAAAAAAATTAGAAATGGCATTAGGGACATTGATTGAGAGCGTGGATTCCAACTCATGATATATCTGCAGATGGGTTTGAGAAAATAAATACATTATAGTTGAGAAAGGAATTGGGGAAAGAGAGTTTACACTAAAAGTGAAGAAGTGAAGTAATGCTTACTGAAATGGTTATGGTCTGTGGGCAGATGACTTATTCCTGACTCACGTTCCCATAGAGAGAGTCATTTTTCAAAATAACAATTCTGGTCTCTCTACCCATCTTATTTACTCCTTCCTAGGTAGTGGACTGACTTCACTGAGTGCTGAGGTTGGAAATGAGCCGGGCATGCGTGGCTTGGGCAGACCCTCCAGACCTCTTGTTTGAGGGATTTTCCTCTGTGCACAGAAGATGTGCCATGGTCTCCTTTGTTCCTCTGTGTAGTAAGTTTCAGGGAACAGGTCCTTGGTCAGAAACATGCGGTTGTCAAGCTCAATGTGTGATTCGAAGGTGTATGGTTAATTCTGAGGTGAAATGTTAGCAAGCTCTCTTGCCTGAATATCTAAGCTCCATATTCTCCAAACTTGCTCTTATAAACCTAATATTAGGATCTCCAGTTAAGACCCATATTCTCCAAACTTGCTCTTATAGACCTAATATTGGGACTTTTTTATTTTAATACAAATTTAGGGATGAGGAGAGCACTATTTTTGTTCTCAAATTCCAAGAACAAAAGGGTAATGAAAAACTAAAACTAAAACAAAGTAGCAAAGAACAAACCAACCAATATGCACCTTAGGAAGGATGAGAGAAGAGTGAGTTTGACTTCAGGAAAATGCCACCAAGAGAATAATCAGCATAAAATCCTAGAACATAGTGGCCACGTGGACCTAACAGAATTCAGTGGAGATTTGGAAGATTTAGGCAGCAACTTGGCTGAGGAGTCAGGTTTGTCTTTGCTTCTGGTCTGCAGTGGTGGTAATATTTGCCAGTGAACAGAGCCTCTGCAAACTCTAAGTGAGAGTGGGCAGGGAGGAGCAACTGATCATAAAGCATATGGCTCTCCGCATGGTAGAGTCAGGTGGCAGAAAGGGATCCTCAGCTTTTAAAGGTATGATATATGTTAATATTCCATGTTTTGGTCTAGTCAGCATTCTGAGTTAAGTCAGTATTCCTTAGGGACCAGGATGGCATCTTTAGAATGAAGTCCGAACTATTTAATACAATCTACAAACCTGTGTACTTTGGCTTCAGCTTTTCCTCTTCCTCTCTGCTACCCAACCACAATCTCTAACCCAACCAATTCCTTTTTCATTTACCAAAACCCATATGAAAGACAATTTTTACCTGTCAGAAGCTTCTCCACTAGTTGCTGCACAGATAGGAGGACAACATCAAGCTGGCCCATTCATTTTAAGTATGCTACCTCTCTGTCACTGAAGACTTGCATTTTAGAAAGTGAGAAAGACAAAAATTATATTTAAAGGTATCCCAGCAAATTTTGAGATTTTATGCATTCATTTTCTTGCTTATTCTGTTACCTCTGCCTTAAAAATCAGTTATCTTTTCAATCATATCCCTCTCACTTATTTATTCAAAAAATATTTATTAAGCACCTATTATGTGCCAAGATTCCTAAAAGATGCTGAAAATATAGCAGTGAATAAGCATCCATTCTAGTGCAAACATGTGCATAAGAATCACCCTGGTGCTTTAAAAGCGCACATTCCTGGGCTCTATCCTGGATGCATAGAATGAAAATATCTATGGATGAGGTTGAAAAAATTGGACTTAAAGAAAGTTTCTAAGTGATTTAGATTACCCCACTGTGTAATAATCACTAAGCCAATGTAAAAGACAAACTGACAATTAAAATTCACTGGCATGGAATAGCATAAGGATGAATTTTATGCACCAGGGTAGATTATAGGAGAGGCATTTTCCAGATGAAATTATATCTAAAATGACATATGAAGGATAAGTAGGACTTAATCAGATACAGTGGGTAGGAGAAAGGAGAAAATATTCTAAGCAGAATTAAATGGATAGACAAAGTCTTAGTGAGGAGAAAAAGCATGGTCACCTGGATTTGATTCTGAAAACACTTCAGCATAGACAAGGTGCATATTTGTGGGAGGCAGGAGAAGAGTGGGACAGGAATAACAAGAAATAAAACTGGATAATAAGAAAATAGCCAGGTCATAAAGGGGCTTTGTGAAGCATCTTAAAGAGTTTGTATCTCATTCTTAGAAAAAACAGGAAGACATATAAGTGCTTTAATTGGGGAAGGATGTGAAAGCACTGCATGTTAAAAATATTGCATTATGGAAGTTAAGACTCAAAGCTTTTAACCAGGCAGGGGGACTGTTAATGGAACTTGGGATAGACGTTCTCCAAGTAAAGCATATGCCACCTAGGGATAAACAAGACCAATACCACCTGTGTAGAAAGACAGTATTTGAACTTTCTATTTATTTGTAACTTCTTGTTTTGTACTTTCTGTTGCACTGTTTTCTGATTGTCAAGTATATGGTTGCCCAGAGTTTCTTGCATAATTTAGAAACAAAATAAATATACACATTTTGGAAATTGTTGCTGAATGTTTCTTACTGATATATATGCATGATCAATAAAAGCTTGGTGTACACTGTTCTAGGCAAGAGGTGATATCAACCTGAAATAAAAGCAGAAGAAAGAGAAATATAGATGAACTTGAGATGTTTACAAAGTACAATTGGTAAGATATATCAATTCATTGTGAGCATGAATTAAGGAAGAAGGAAGAGTCAAGGATAAATATTGATACCTGGTTTACACAGCTGAGTGAACGATAAAAGGTAATGTTTTCTGACATGAAAAAGCATAAACCAGAAGTAGAAAAACATTCGAAATATGTGTCTCTGCAAGAAAATGTAGAAAAATGAAGGTTAGAGCTGCTGGGATAAAATGGTTAAGCCCATTGAGTTTTGTTTTGTGATATATTGATATATCCAGCATTAAAGGTTTCAAAATGTTTTCATAAGAAACTCAAGGCAGTTTGGGGATTTATTCCAGCCTATTTACTAAGGAATTCTGTTATGCTTTGAATGATGAATAATTGGAGTCTTGTGGGAATAGAGTCACAATGCACCACCCCACAAACTCGGTGTTTCCCTTGAATATAATGAATCTAAGTTTTCATATAAAATGACACATGCCAATTACTTTTAAAAGTGTATGTGAAGACTGGGAATAAAACTATTATATGTTGTTAGTTTTAAAGGCATATAGTAAGCAATAATAAAAACATAAGGGAATATGAATATATTTATGTAATATATACATACATATTAAAATAATTTCTTAACCTATTATTTTTCCTTACTTCAGATACTGAAGATTATGCATCTAACATATAAGAAAATTATTTACTCCAAACCAACACATTGTAGAGTTGTGGATCAGCTTTCCAATTTTCTTTACCTGCCCACAGCATGATTTCTTTTAGGCTCAGAGCTGCAGTAATTTGCATGCTGAATTAAACCACTTCATCACTTTGACTTTCTGTCATAGGATCATAGCTGGAGAGGACTGAAAAAAGTGGACAGTGCAGCTGGGAGCCAGAGGCATGTGTTATTGCTTGCATTGAGTTGTGATAGTCTCTAGTGAATCATGAAATTATAGAATGTTAGCACAAGGAGCACCTTAGCAGTCATCTAGGCCAACTTTTTTCTTTACATAAAGATAATCTGCATTCAGAAAGGGTAAGCAACTTATTTAGGTTCATATAATTTCTAGTGTCTATCTTTTTTCTCTTCTTTCTCTTTTTGTCTTCACACACCTATTTGATTCTTTAGTTTTCTGTTATATCTTTTGAGAAAATAAGTCAATTTTATAGCAATTATTCACTTATTTGACAAACATATGTTGACATCCTGTGAAGTACAATGTATTTGGGGGGCAACTATGAAAGATATTACACTATACTGTTCATAGATAGCTAATAGTTCAGTAGGAGAGGCAAGATAGTGTAAATAACGACAATTCAAAAGCATGTGTGAAATGGGCTGTAATGAAAGGACTTGGAGGTGCTAAAGGAAATCAGTGATTATGTTACGCTTAGAAAATCATACAGGGCATCACTGAAAAAAGGGACCTTTGAGTGGATCTCAGAGAATGGGTAGAATGTCAGTAGGCATGTGAGGAGGAAAAATAAATGTTACGAATAAAGATAAACAGGTGGAAAAAGTAATGGCATGTTTGAGGAATTGTTGGAACACTTTCTGGATCATGTGGGAGTAATGGAATGTGAAACTGGAAAAGACTGACTGGGGCAGATTTTTGGGAAGACTTCACTGCCAGACGGAGGGAGAAATTGTGTGTGAATGATTATGATGTATGAAAGTGATATTGATCTTTTAATTTCAAAGGTAGTGATATTTGGGACAGAGATGCCAGTTGGCTAACTATGGAAATTTTGAGAAAAAAAATGGCTCTCGATTCAGGATGGTGGCCAAAAACTCAGCACAGAAAAAGGAAATATGATGAAGACCTAGTTGACAGGAATTGAGGACTTATATTCAAACAAAAAGGTGGAAAGTCTTCCGTATTACTCTAAAATTTTGATATGGAAAGTGGAGAAATAGATGTAAATTTGACAGAGGAGAAGGAGGTGTTTCAAATAATTGAATTAGTTCTAGACTGGTTGAGTTTGAAAAGTAGATGATCATTCACGTGTTATTCTTATTGTATTTATTTTTAATTGACAAATAATAATTTTATACTTGAGTACAATGTGATATTATGATACATGTATACATTATGGAATAATGAAATCAGGCTAATGAACATATATATCACCTTACATATTTGCCATTTCTTTGTGGTAAGAACATTTAAAATCTACTCTTTTAGCAATTTTGAAGTATGTAATACATCATTATTAACTCAAGTTACCATGCTGTTCAATAGATCACTTGTTCTGTCTCTTCTTCTATCTAACTGAAATTTTGTACCGTTTGACTAATACCTCCCTTTTCCCAATAACACCCTCAACTCCCCAACCTTTCTCTGACATCAGCAACTGTTGAACTATAAGTGAGCATTAATCAGTTATTTGGTTAAGGCAGAAGTGATGGTTATGTTTTTGTCCTATGTGGTACAAGCAGGCTTACTGACACACTTAAGAACCAAAAATCAGAGAAAAAGCTTAGAGTTGTTCTGGTAATCTCACACCTCAAAGATTACTTCAAACTACCCTTTAAAGTGTATTTATCTGTAATAAGCATTTATTCAATAACAAACATATATTCAGCATATACTATGTGCCAGATACTGTTCTAAGTGCCAGGGCTACAGTAGCGTAAAAGACACAGTAAATCTCTACACTTCTCTTTGTTTAGCAGTTGCAAAGGTTAACGTAATTTAATGTGAAGCAGTAAAATGTGTTAGGGAGAAAACTAAAATTGATTTAGTAAATGGAGGGGGAAGATATTTTCACTTCAGTAGAACACTGCATTTATACATATGTATGTGTCTTTCAGTATGGGTTCTAGATGACAAACATAGTAAAAAATAAGAAATCCATCAATTCTGATTGAGATTCAGGTATTTTGATCTAACTGAGAAAGGATGTAAGGTCAGGACCTTCTTTAAATTCCTCTAATCAAACTATAGAGGTGACATTAGTTTTATCCTCACTTGACAGGTATGGTCACGTGCTGAGTATTATAAATTCAAGTACTCTAGCATTAGAAATACATTTAAGATTCTTTACTCTTCTTCTTCTTTTTTTTTTCATTTGAGACAGAGTCTTACTCTGTTGACCGGGCTGGAGTGCAGTGGCGTGATCTCGGCTCACCGCGGGCTCTGTCTCCCAGGTTCAAGCGATTCTCCTGCCTCAGCCTCCCGAATAGCTGAGATTACAGGAGTGTGCCACCACGCCCAGCTAATTTTTGTATTTTCAGTAGAGACGGGGTTTCACTATGTTGGACAGGCTGATCTGGAGCTCCTGAGCTCAAGTGATCTGCCTGCCTCAGCGTCCCAAAGTGCTGGAATTAGAGGCATGAGCCACTGTGCCCTGCCTTGACCATTTTCTGTAAACAAACAATGCAATCAAAATTTTCTAGGAAGTGATTTATTTTGTCTTTTAGTGCTCTATCTAATGCCTCTAATGTATTATTTATTCTCCTTTTTCGTTTGCTAATTACTAATTGAGACTCATTATTTTAAAATAGGACTAAGTACTTTTACTTTCTTAACAGAAGTACATATGTAAACAGGATAATATAGGTTATTTGGCATAGGTAGGATGATTTAATGATTTCTTTATTATGATCAACAAGACAGTCACAGTGCTATCATTTTTATTATAAGCACAATCATTCTTATCTGCCAATAGTAATTTTTTTCTAGCATTGATGTGCTTTATTGAGAGATGTGTATCCTTTCAGCTAGTTGCTTTGAAAAATGTAGGCATTTAATGGACAAGTAAGCTGGTTCGAATATAGGGGGTTTGCCTGTGGTTACTAAATATAAAACAGGTCTATATAAAAATGGATTTTTTTTAAGAGATGAGGTCTCACTCTGTTGCCCAGGCTGGAGTGCAGTGGCTCAATCATAGCTCACTTCAGCTTTGAACACCTAGGTTCAAGCATCCTCCTTTCTCAGCCTCCCGAGTAACTGGGATTACAGGCAGGCAAAACCACACTCAGCTGATTTAAAAAAAAATAAATAAGAGAGAGGGTCTTGCTATGTTGCCCAGGCTGGTCTCAAACTGGCCTCAAGTGATTATCCTGCCTTGGCCTCCTGAGTAGCTGAAATTATAGGCTTGAGACACTGCACCTGGATAAGCTAATATTTTTTATTTCAGAGAAATCCCTTTGCCCCTTCTGCCATGTGAAAATACAGAGAGGAGACACCTGGCTAGGATCCAGGAACTGGGACCTTATCAGACACTGAATCAGCAGGTGCTATGATCTTGGACTTCTCAGGTTGCAGAACTGTGAGACAAAAATTTCTATTGTTTATAAGCGGCCTAGGCTATGTTATTTTGTTATAGCAGCCCGAACGGACCAAGATAGACAGGTTATAAGGAAGGAAATGAAATATTTAGTTAGGTATAAAGGTACAGGCAAAAAAAAAAAAAAATAACATAAAAAGTCAGGAAGAGTTAAAGGAGTAGTTCCTAACCATTCTAGCTTATGTCTGCCATGTATACGAGAAGGCAATGATAGCTTGGACAATACACTTTCTTTACTAATGCAATTACTGTAGGTCTTAAATGTAAAGCCATACTCGGGGGACCGCAGCTACATGGGTGTCAGCAAAAAGAATGCAGTTACCCTTTCACCTCATATTGTTAAGCTCAATAAAATAAAACTAAAGTCGAGGGAGGATGATAGGATTATTACAGCTTCATCACTCCTCTCAGCCCATCTTTTACAAATTTGACCTTTGCTACACTTCATTATTCCAAAATTGATAGGTTGTGATCATAGACTAAAATAATCTTGACCATTTGAGGGTTACCCTGTTGCTTAAACAAACAACTGTATGTGTTCCATTTTTTAAATGTTTTCTTCCTTCTGGGCCAATGTCTTATGAAATTTTGTCCTTGGCATTAATTTCCTCTCTCTGTAGTTGTAAAAGTAAATTCTTTAGAATGGACTTTAGTGAACTAATTCTATGCTTTTAATCTACTTAACCTAGGAATTTTCAGAGACAATTGGAATAAAGTCGTATGAATAATAATGATGGGGATTATTAATGTACTTCATCCCAAATGGGGAAATAATACCAATACTACACTTAAACAACTAAATTTATATTTTGCCTTTCTGATTTCTTAAGTTCTGTGAAAAACATTTTATTTAGAAAATTTTATCATGTGTTATAAAAGCTCAGCCTATTGTTCAGGAAAAAAGACGTAACCACTGATAGGGAAAAATAAATATTAATTTAATTTTGATTTGCTTTGTGAGAAATAAGGTCTCAGTGTAATCACAATTAACACTGGATTTATCAGGGAAATAATAGAAACTAATGAGTAACATTAACTTATAGCAAAGTTGATTAATATTTTCATTAATAGTATTTAATTATTGAAGAGACTTCAATCAAGTCACCTAGCCTTTCTTTACCTAATGTATAAGTAAAATTTTGCCTCCATATGTAAACTTGAATTTAAACTGTGGCACCAGGTGATTCACGCTGTAGGTGTGCTAATATTTTGTGTTTTCAAGGAAAACTAACTGCTAAAATGCTGGCATATCGTATTCTGTTACTCCATTCTTCTCCTTGCCCTTAAAATCAGGCCAACTTTCTCTGACTCTTCTTCTGTCTGGTTTATATAAAGCAATATAAAAATATCCTTTATGAAGTAACTTGGGTCTTTCTCATTCCTTTTTGACTAACTGTATTCCCCTTCTTCACACATATTCTCTTAAACCTACTTCTCTCTTGCTTGTTCTCAAACTTGTACCATTTTCATTGCAGGCAACCTCCTAACTTTGTAGTTATTGGCAGCCTTGAAATGAATTTGACTTTGTTCATTATTTTGGTTTTAAGTGTCAATCATTTATTTAGTTTGGTTCCCTGGAAGTTCATTTTTGCTCATACTCATTCCTACTTTCTGTTTCTGACACTAGCTCCCTCATCCCTACCCCAAACACAAAGCAATGAGGAGAGGAGGATGTACTTGTTGGCAAAACATCACTTCCAGGTTGAAGTCTGAAGCAAAAGTAAACAAACAAAAACCTATTTTTGCAGTGTCATATACAATCCAATAGGGTCATCACTCAGAAAGAATAATATTTTCCAATAACGTACCTTTTTCCTCCAGCTGCCAGATATGCCCCAATGCTGTAATCTAGGGATGGAAGGTGGATATTTTTCCCACTGATGCTTGTTCCATGTTTATGTCAGAGAGATAGATAAAATCTCTAACTTTGAAAAAGTATTCATCCATCTTTCTTTCTTAATCTGCCACACTCTGTCCTACCAGTCTATTTTATTAAAATATATAAAAACAACTCTATAAATAAGTAAAGCACCCTCACAACTCAAAAATTCTACTTTTAAAAAATCAGGAAGGAATCTACAACAAGGTCTTACAGAAACCAGCTCCACAACAACTTGGATCAAGGACATATAGGATATATAGGTTGAGTCAATACATCTCTGTTTAGAAATGTACAAACAGCGGGAAAAATTATAATGTCTTAGAAAATACCATAATACCCAGAACATGGGAACAACTTTAGGGAATTGAAAAAATATTCATTTGATCTAAATTCCTAAAAAAAAAAAAAAAGTTTTAGATTTGTGTTCTGAACAAAACTAAAGATATTGCTTAAATGAGATTAAAGTGCACATACAAAATATTAAATATTTTGAAATCAGAAAAAAATTTCAAATAAAACAAAGAATAAGGTACCGATTAAAATCACAATGTCAGCATGAGGTAGAAGTTTAAATGGCACAGAAAATCATATTGCAGTAGTAAGAGATATATGGAAAAATTGTCTACAAATTTAGATAAAAGAATAAAGTAATGTTTACAGTGAAAGAAAAGATGACTGACATGAAGAACAGACTAGGAATAAATTAAGAAGAAATGATAATTAAGAAATAACAGTAGAAACCATTACTGATATAAAACAGCAACAAAAACAAAAAATAAAAAGCATCATATGAAAATATAGAACCTGAATCATGTTTCTAAAAACCTATACTAAATAAATCCATATGAAAATAAATGTTTCAGCAAGGATTTTCAAATTCTGCAGGTATAGAAAAAGGAATTCCACAATAATCTATGGAATTAAAAGGGATGTTATACAAAAAAGAAAAGAATTTGGATTGCTCTTCAACTTTCTCTACATATACCTGAATGGTATAATAAAATCATTCTTATAGAGCAACAAAGGAAAAAAAAGTGACATTTAGAATTTTGTATTCATACTACTTGACATAGGTATGTGAAGGCAACAAAACGTTATACTTGAGGCAGACTATATAACTCTCAAAATGTTCTTCAAGAAAATTCTACTTGAAATCTTAGGCTAAAAATAAATTTTGAATCAAAACAATATCAAACAGATAAGGAATTTTCCCTACAAATGAGGGACACTGGAAACAGATTCTGCTAAACTTTAAAGATACACATTCCAGGAATTGTTCTGATTCTCTTTTAATTTTTGTCATGTTATATTTCTCTCATATTTTGGGAATTGCAGCAGTGGGATTTAATGAGCAAGTCCGAACAGTAGAAATGTATTTTTCACTCATACTGGACAACTTGTCAAGCTGCTGTGGTAGTTAGAACCAGAAACAGATCAGGTCAGAAAGTTTCTATCAGTTGAATTCACAGTTAGAAGGGGAAGAAACAGGACTACGGGACTCATACACTGGGTTAGAGGCAGAATTAGGCAGAGGAAGTTCAGGATCCTAGAGAGCTTACTGTTAAGAATACTTGCTTAAATGAAGTCTAGTTTATATTGAGGCAAAAAAAAAACTTCAGTGTTTTCATCTCAGTAATAGGTTCTGATTCTTTGAACATTTAATTGTTTTTAAAAACATGAACCTGATGAGAATTAGATTTTGCTTAAGTGTCCTTTCTATGTACCTAAAGGCTTTTATATAAAGCCTTATCTAAGGTG